>NC_000010.11:72870368-74120368 GCF_000001405.40 Homo sapiens | reverse complement strand
TGTAATCCCCAGGGTTGTCTTGTATTACACACATCCTTGTTAAGTAAATATACCACTGTTGATTTCTTCTTCCAGTGCAACATTTGGATTAAATAAAAATCTTTAGTTTCCAGATCTTGAGGATTAGTTTCATTGACTATTCATCAAAACAAAGGAGAAACCTGACCTAAAAGTTCTTGCTAAAGTAACATATCCATCATTTAAAGCATTTTTTATACAAATGCATTTTATTGTTTTAAACAGAACAAAAGAAGAGGCAGAAAATATTTGCATATAACAAATCCTAGCTTATAAATGTAGTTTTTTAGCGGTGATGTCTCTAATCATCATTCAGGGATTTTTTTTTTTTTTTTTTTTAATTTGCTTCACTGTGTCTCGAGCACTGATATTGGAGAAAAGCACATCCGGCATAAAGTGTAAACCAGTGTCTCAAACCACTGGAAGAACCGGGAGAGCAAACATGATTTTTCTTATTTCCTCTAAGTAATCTTTCTTTAGTAAAACAACAAGTGATCTTTGGCATAGATTCATACTTTAAAGGCATTAATATTGCATTTATATCAGGCAAGCAACTATACAAATATGCTGAGGGCCTTGAAAATAATCATCCTCATTATAAAGGAAATAGTGAAAGCCTGAGTGTAAAGGACCAACTTAAGTTGTACACATTCGATGTTGGGAACTAACACACAGCGATGGGTGGGAAGGAAGGATGTTCAGGCAAGGTTCTTACTCCTTTACTCATCTGGTTCTGGCTTTGGGAAAAAATAAGGTTTCATGTGCTGGGAAATACTTAGCAGTAATAAGTACCAAAAAGGAAACACTGCCCTCTCATTTTGCCTAGTAGGAACTTACTGTGGTGATAAGAAATATGAAACCCATTACTCTCTTGAACCCCATACTTGGGAGTAGATGCAGAGAGCTTGGTTGTAGTTGGTTGCAGGGAGGTAGGAATTACAGGAGTAGTATTTCCCATTGATTCATCTTCAGCAGCACTAGAATTCTAGTCTGCAAATACCACTCTCCCTTAGGCAGGAAGTGTCCTTCAGACAGGGCTGCCTTGCCATTAAACACTCTTAGGGGACAAGCACTCCTCTTTCTTAGGACTGAATTTAAAAAGGATCTTTTAGAGTTACAGATGAACAAACACCTACATGTCTTTAAAATCTTGTTTAGAAAGGATGTGGAGGAAGGCTACAAAAACCAGGATAGGAGACATGTTTTGGTTAAAATTAAAATGCAGCATTTCAGCTCAAAATGAACAATTAAGAGCTAAGAATGAATGATAAGGCCTCAGCACAGACCTCTGCAGGCAGTGACTAAGCATGGAGTGCCGGGAGTGGCCCTGCTGGGAAGATGGCAGGGCCACACCCTGGCTACTCTGCCCTTCCAGTGGCAGAGAGCACCAGGACACAGTGTGTTCATGGGATGGCTACCTTGGCGGGCTGAGGCAGGATATGGGACGGGAAGTTTCCCTAGCACAGACATTGCTCAGGGGCATGGTAAAAGCAGAATCATATGATTCTGTGATTTCTTCCTGACAGTGAAGTACAGTTTTATATTGTGGGAAACTAGAAGGATTAAACTGAGGAAGGGCAGGAAATGAATCCAGGCCCCCATATGCTGGGGCTCCACAGAGGCCACCTTCCCCTGTAGCAGCAAAGCTCACTTCTGAAAAGGACCCAGGTAGCACAGCCCAGGGAAGGAAGGTATGGTTGGCAGCAACATGGAAAGCTCAAAACAATTTTGGGAGGCACAGCAATTTTCTTCTTAGTAACTGATTTGCCTGGGCCCTGGGTCTTGGGATTCTGGAAGAGTGAATGGGAGCCAAGGAAAGAGAAACAGAGGGAAGTGTCCCCTAGGGAACAAGGGCAGAGCAGAGTGTCTGGCTAGTGTTCACTTGGATTCTGAGCTTATGTGAAGTCCATGGGCTAGAAACCCAGTCTGCCTATTGGGATAGAGGGTGCACAAGTGTAACTGTGTTTGAGAATACAGGCTTTATACAGAAACACATTTCAAAGTGTCCATGAAAAAAGAGTATAAATGTCTTCTAATTTGAAGAGGCCCCCATTCCTTTCTGATGTGCCAGGCCAGGATGTGATTTTTCAGCTCCCAGCAACTCTGGGCAGCTCCTGGGACTCAGATCATTTTCCTTCTTTTTAGTAGAGGTTTCTGTGCCAGCCAGGCTCAGCCAGGTGCCTACTGGTACCAGGGAGTCTTTCTAACCCAGCGCAGTGTAAATCCAGCATCTGTTCGAATTTTGATTGAAGCAGCTTCAGCTTCCCGCACAGTCTCCTTCACAGACTGCATGAGGTTCTGGGCATTGTGAACCAGCATCTCTGTGGCCTGCAAGGAAAAAGGTACTTTCCGTTACCCAGGGTCCCTGATGCAGGCCTGTCTCTAAAATAGGTTTCAGCCAGGAGTGGGATGCAGCTAACCCCACTGGTACCTGGCATCCCCCATATTTGCTTGCATCACTAGGGGTTTTCCCAGATCACCAAAAAGAACCCAAAACTGGCCATCGCTGATTGTATACTGTGGCTTCAGATAGCTTACAGCATGTCCTCTTTCTTGGTCTTCAAACATGCTTCTCCCTCAGGACTTGCTGTTTCCTGTACCTGGACTGCTCTTTCCCCAGGGATCCCAGGGATCCCCTCACCTTCAGATCTTTGCTCACTTGTCACCTTGGTGAGGATTTCCCTGCTCATTCTTTTTTTGAGATGGGGTCTTTCTCTTTCATCCAGGCTGGAGTGCAGTGGTGTGATCTCGGCCACTGCAGCCTCTGCCCCCTGGGCTCAAGGATCCTCCTGCCTCAGCCTTTGAGCAGCTGGGACAATAGGTACATGCTGCCACATCTGGGTAATTTTTTAATTTTTTGTACAGATGGGGTTCCGCCATGTTGCCCAGGTTGGACTCGTACTCCTGGGCTCAAGTGATCTGCCCACCTCAGCCTCCCAAAGTGCTAAGACTACATACAGTAGGCGTGAGCCACCGCGCTTGGCCTTATTTTTTCCATTGAACCTATCATCACGAACTGATACACTACGTATTTTACCTAGGTTGTTTGGGAGTTTTGAGGGTTTTTTCTGTCTTCATACTAACATTTAAGTTATACAGAGTAGATTTTTGTCAATTTTGTGCACTGTCATACCCCCAGTATTTAGGATGGTGCCTGGCACACAGGAGGTATTTCATAAATATTTAATTAATGAATTTTAAAAACAACCAAATGAACAAACCAAGCAACCAACCACTTTAAACCCATGAAAATCTAAATACGTTAATCTTTCAAACAAACGCACAAACTTATAAGACTGAAATCACATTGGTACTCTACCATAGAAAGTCAAGGAAGGATCTTGGCAATTCATCAGCTCAGTAATTCTTGGCTATTTTTAAGTCATACATCATTTGAGGATTTAATGAAGGCGGTGAATTCTCCCCCAGAAAAAATGCACACCTGCATAAAATTTGTACACTCAGTTTCACAGGCTCTGATAAGTGTAACTGTGGGCTGGAATTCCTCATCAGTTGTTCTTTTCACTTGGTCAGCAAAGGGACTCAGGCCCAGAGACATTCATAGAGTGAGAATTAGGACTCAGGATTTCTGACTTATAGTCCTATGGGTTTTGTTTTTTGTTGTTGTTTATTTTATTTTATTTTATTATTATTTTTTTTTTTTGAGACGGAGTTTCACTCTTGTTAACTAGGCTGGAGTGCAATGGCACGATCTCGGCTCACTGCAATTTCCGCCTCCCAGGTTCAAGCGATTCTCCTGCCTCAGCCTCCCAAACAGTCCTGTGTTTTTTCCATTCTACCATACTGTCAATTTCTACCCTTTTTAAAACTGGAATATTTAATGGAACATAATAGATATTCTCAAGGCATATTTTTAGTGGTTAATTGATTAAGTCTCTGATTAGGCCTGAATCTCAGTCTTACCCTTCCTTCCCCATTTTTTTCCACCTTTCTTTGGACAGAAGAGATCACATGACATAGAAACAGCGAAGTGTGCAAACCCTTCATAGAATATGTGGAAGTTAGGTGTGAAGATACAGTTCCCATGGTTTGGGAGAAGAGAGGATTAGGGTGAGAGTTGTTGGATTAGAATATGGTAGCAGAAGCAACAATAATGGCACCAAGAAGAATGGCCGCCTTATTTCCTCTAAAGTGCCCCAGTGCCCTATCTCCTGGCCTAGAGATCAGAAACAGTTGTTCTTTCAGACTATTTTTGAGTTCCCCACGTTGGGTGGGGGGAATTGTGTCTCTTAATTTTTTAAACTCCCTTAACACCTAATACAGTGCTTCACCTTAGCCCATGTGTGATGAGCCTCGTGTGGCTAGTCCAACAAAACTATGTACCCCATGTGTGAGGAGCCCTGTGTGGGCAGTCCATGTGGGAATCTTGCTTAGAGCAGGGCCTCCCGGAGGGGAAATAAGGAGAGTAAGGGGTGCTCAAATGAGGGTTTCCTGAAAGACCTGGGCCAAGATTTTGGGAAGGAGGACAAACTTGGGTGACTGCCAAGGTATATGCAGGAAGCAGTGGTTAAGAGAACCTTCTCAGCATCCTTATTTCTATCTCTATCAGAGAAACCTAAAGAGAATATAAGAGAAGCACCTCCTTTGAGCTGTCATTTCAGTTTCAGCACAGGCCTAACTACCTCATGCCCCGGAAAAGCCTGCACTATTCATCCTCCCTGAGGCACTAACACACAGAGAGCTGGAAAGCGGACCTTCTCTCCAGCCAGAAACATACAGTGAGTTGAAATGAACAGGCACTGGAGGCCTCAAAAGAGCCAAACTTATTCCAAGGGTAAGGAACTGAGTAGAGTCCTAACTGCCACTGATCCATAGTGTTATTTCAGACACTTAACCTCTCTAGACCTCAGTTTCCTATCTGTAAAATGACAAAAGTTGCCCAAGAGCAATTCCAGATTCCTTTTATTTACTTATTTATTTATTTATTTATTTATTTATTTATCTATTTATTTTGAGATGGGGTCTTGCTATTTTGCCCAAGCTAGTCTTCAACTCCTGGTTTCAAATGATCCTACTGCCTCAGCCTCCTGAGTAGCTGGGACTACAGGTGCACACCACCACACCTGGCTCCCAATTCCTGGTGTTTTGTTTTGTTTTTTCAAGACAAGAGTCTCACTCTGTCACCCAGGCTGCAGTGCAGTGGTGCAATCACAGCTTACTGCCTTGACCTTCTGGGCTTAAGCAATTCTCCCGCCTCAGCCTCCCAAAGTGCTGGGATTACCTGCATGTGCCACTGCACCTGGCCCCAATTCCAAATTTCTGATGTATCTATCCAACACAGACTTTCCCCTCCTGAGACAGTCTGAGTGCATCCCACATACTGAATACTCGATACTCAATTAAGGGGTAAAATTTCCCCAAAGCAGAGTTAAATTACTGCAAAACGGCACAGAAGCTGCCAGCCAGAAACCAAAAACAGCTGCCACATACCTGCTCAGACTCCTCATCACTGATGTTGGTCCGGCCCAGCATGGTGGCCTTCACTGTGGACAGGATTTTGAGCTGGGTGCTTATGGTTGGGATTCGCTCACATACCTAAAGAGAAAGTTTAATTTGGTATGTTTCTCTGTTTGCCTTGCCCACAAGCTCCTTGAAGGCAAGACTTACCTACCTCTGTATTCCCAGTGGCTGGCACAGAAAAGGCACTCGATAAATAAGCAGCAGAATTCCACTTGTTTTTTCCCCTAGGGTCAGTACAATCCATTTCTCCAGAAATGGAAGCATTCATTTGATTAGGAAGTAACCTTTCCTGAATCTGTCTTTCCCAGTACATTTGTTTTTTTCCCTTTCTGCTATTTCTGTCCCCGGTGAAGTGCCTCTTTCTCCCTTACCTAGTTTTTCTCTCCTGCTTTTCTCCCTCTCATACCCTCCCCTCCAACACACACACACACGCACACACACACACACACACACACACACACGCAGCCTCTTTCCCCGAGTACCTGTAAGAGGTTGGTTCTAATCCGTTTATCTGTGCACTGCTTGGCAACCTCCTTGGCCAACCGAGTCACCTCATCTGAGGCCTTGGCGATGTCCTTGGCACACTGAATGAGTGCCCGCTTGGTACCACTGCCCCCTCTTACCAGCCGAGACATCTCAGCCATCAGCAGAGCCATGCGCTTGGCTGCTGCAATGATGTCATTGCCCTAGAGGGAAGCAAAGATACAGTGTGAGCTCTGCCCACGCTCTGGCCATGTTAAGGAAGGAAGGAGAAGCACAGAGAAGAGGAGGGAGCTTGCCACCTTAGCATCCCTCCGGAAGGGTGAGAAGAGGAGAAAAGGGCCGTTCTTGAGTGATACGGATAGCACTGGAAGAAAAAAAAAGAATGAGACAGGGCACTCGCCCAAGCACTCAGTGTGAGAAACAAAGAGAGAGGAGAGAGGAGGGGGAAAGGAGAGGGAGAGAGACATTTCCTGACTAAAAAAAAGGAAGACCCAGATATTAGTCTGAAAGGGCAAGATGTGCACCCCAGGCACAGCACTGAACAAGCACTTTGGCATCTCCAGGTTAATCATATCAATAAACTGGGGACAGGGCCAAGGAGCTGGTTAAACAGGCACTTTCATTTCTATAGGGAGAAAGCAGTAGAGCTGGCCTGAGGGGAAAAATACAGAGGAGCCTTTCCAGATGCTGAAATCACCCTCTTCATGCTTACCCTTGTTGCAAATAGCAGCCAAGCGTTCTTGCTACTTAACTAGAATTTCAAACCCAAGTAACTATTCTCAGCTGGGTGAGGGAAAAAAAAAAAAAAGATATTTTCTGATCTAGCCTGCTCTGGCTATCCCTCTACTGCCTCTTATTTGTCCTGTCAGCCTGAACGAACATGTTGCTTTAATTTTTCCCACGTAAAAGGGTAAAGAATCAATTCTTCAGTCCCCTCAGCTAAGTGAAGACTCCAGTTAAAGGAACCTTCAGCTAAGAGGATGCAAGAGAAGGCATTAGGAAAATAAAAGTCGTGATTCAGGCTGTAAATGGAACCCTCACTCCAAGGAATGGCAGTTTATCTTAGACTTGGCATTTTGGTTTACTAAAACCCTCATGGGTCATAGTAAAGAAACAGACAAGTTATGTATTCTGTGCCCTCTCATGAAAGCTCCTCTTTTGGCTGCTAACAACCCCAAGTCATAGCAACTGCAGTGTTCAAAACTAGCTAAAAGTCCAGGCCCTACTCATTTTTCCCCTCATGCTCTTCATTTCTCTACAGTGCAGTGAGGCATACACAAACCATACCACTGCAGGGTGCTCTGCAAGAGGCCTCTACAGGCACCATGAAGCGGTTCATCATTTATGCTGGAAGGGTGTAACATCTCAGGCAGTAATTGAGGCCGGAGAGAACGCAGGTATGGGAAGAAGTCAAGAAGCAAGGGGTATGTTAGACAAGGTCCTCTGGGTCTACCTCTTCTAGTGCAGACCTAGGATCATTCCAGGACCCCATCACGTTGGTTAGAAGATAGCATAGTGCCATGGTTAGTGACTACCCATCACTCTTCAAAGCCTTTCTTCTTGCAGCATGCCACCTTTAAAGGGAAAAGTGATCACCCCAATCACCCTACTCTCCAAACTAGCTTTGGTTCATTCCCCAAGGCCAAAGTTCTATGGCGGCCTGTCTTGTGGCCTTGAGTACTCCATTTCCCACTCCCATTCCCTCCCACTGAGATACCTGGACAAGCAGTCAGTGAGGCCCCATTTTCTGTGGACTCCCATCAAGGCCAGCATCTGCCACATAGCCAAGTGCAGGGCAGCAAGCAGTCCTCCCCCAGAGACCCTGCCCTATAAAGCTGCCTCTCCCCCTCATCAACTCTCCCTGAGCCATCAGTGAGGGGTCAGTTGGGAGCAGGCAAAGCTCAATGGTCAGGCCAGGTGACCTCGTAATGGTCTACCATGGTTCCTGACCTGGAAGTCATTGAGAGATGCATTCACGGCTTCCCAAGGGGTTTCCAGCGATGGCCACAAAATCAGTAAGAAAAGGAATCCTTTCCAAAAGTGACCCCCCCCATCTCTCTTCATCCCCTAAACATAAATGCAGTCCAATTAATCTGGCGTTAGCAGACCTATCAAACTTGTGAAGCCAGTCCTAACAACATGGTGCAGACAGACAGATGCCCGCCCTGCTCAGACTCACAGGACCAGCACAGATCATGAGTGATGCAATGTGTCAAGGCTGCACATGGCCGGATGCATATGGAGCAGCCCCCAACTGGGGGTGCTTATCAGTACCTTACTAGACCACTTGGTAGCTTCCCGATGCAAGGACTGAGCCGCGGCCAGAATGGGCTGGTTGACCGGCTGATTGGATGGCATTAACAGCAGCTCAGGTTCGTAATCGTCTTCCATGTCAGGGGGGACAGGGAAGCCAGCAGCATCGGCCGCATCTGCCTCAGCTACAACACCTATACCCACCTCAGCGGCTGGGATGCCCGGCTTTGTCGATGGCGGGAAGGATGAGAAATAGGGATAGTGTTAGTAAGAGCAATACGACTTGGGAAACTGGGCTTCAGCTGGTTTAGTAACCAAAGCCTGCCTAGGATGAGAAAGAAACATGTTCTCTAGGAGCCTTGTGTACCAAGCTTCACAGAAGGGGGAATTCTCAGCCTCCAGCGCCACTCAGCCCAAGCCACTGTGTGGTGAGAGAAGAAAAGGGACTCACTCCAATGGCAAAGGGCTTCTAGAGAAATCTTTACACCAAGAAAGCAAGTGGCATCCATTTCTTTAATATACTTGATACTAAAGTCAAACTTGACAAGAGTGATTCTCACATGAGAATATTTCTGAGGAGCCAAACAACCAAACGATAGTAGCAAATTACCTTTAAAAGGAATCCGGAGAGAAAAAGTAAATGCAGCCACACAAGTTACTTTGTACAGAACAAAGTGAACACTGCTGGATCATATGGTCACTGTTCTACATTTTCCTGGGACACAGGAGGCAATTTGGGTCAGCTCTGCAGCTGCCAGACATAGATTATTTCCTTCATGAGTTAAAAGTCCCAGAATTAAAAATGATACATCAGAGGTAACGAATACCAAACTAGGAAAGAGGCAGGAAAAACAAACACAATGGTGACTGAAGAGAACTTAAGTACCCCACTGTCACCCAGCTGTAAGGAGCCTCAAGAAGCCACCTCGTCAGCCGCCCATCTCAGGGAACACCCACACATCAGACCAGCTCTCTATCCCCTCAAGGTCTTCTGAGGCAAAGCTTCTACCATCTCTTTTTGCATCCATTGCTAGTACCACCTCAGAAAGCTTCTCCTTGGGTACAACCTAAATTGCTTGCAAAATAGGTTCTCACTCACCCCAAACTCTGCTTATCTAGTTCACAGATAGAATAATATGTGAACTTGGCAAGTGACTGCAGCTGAGCTCACAGAAGCTCAGAAGAATGGTGCTCATTTAAGAATGAGAATCATGATGGAGAGAACATGAATTTAGAACCAGGGATGGAGATTATAAAAGCCAGATGCTGAAAATAGACTAACATGGAAAGAAAATTAAAAACTGCCACAATGAAGCCAAACCATTTATACAAAGAATGATGAATACAGGTTCTTTACATCAAACATCTGTACTCAAGAGGAAGTAGTTTATATGGAATTTTCTTTGAGGTTGTTACCACTCCTAAAAGTCTTAACCTGCACATGAAACCTGACTCCAAAGGGTGACGATGTTGGAGGATTCAGGGCCAACAAGGGGTTCAGATACCATCTAAACTCTTTTGCCTAAACTCAACCAAGACCCATCTCTGCTGCTCAGAAGAAAAGCCAGCTCACTGCTGCTAAGGCTCAGAGTCCCACAGTGTACAAAGACAGATAGGTTGACAGACACACGAACAGATATTCCTCCCCAGCCCAGTACACACATGGTTCAAGTAGCTTCTGACTTCACACAACTCAAAGTCAGCAAACTCCTGATCTTGCACACTTCAGGAGATAGACCTCAGGACTTCTGGCCACAAATGGCAGAGTGGGGCAAGTAATGTGGGCCAATGCTGTCTGCTTTTAAGTTTGTTTGTTTTTTTAAATAATTCATGTATATTTTTTGTTCTGCATAGTGTATTTTGGTTCATTGTAATGAAATTTAAATTTCCTTTAAAATCTTCACTGTCACCCTCCCCCACTCCCCATGCACAGTGGGGCTCTGCCACATGCAGTTGGAGAGATACCATTATAAATAATTCTACAGGTCAGGTCCAACACCAGCAAAGTCTCCCTTCCTTCTTAGAACCTGGGCTCACAGCTAACAGTTCAGCAAAATACAGAGTTAAAAACCAATGTGAATTTCCCAGCCTGAAAAAAATCCAAGATCAGCTGCAGGTGCAGGAGGTCCCTGAGGAAATACAATCGACACAAGAGCTTGAAAGCTTTGAGGATGTGTAAAGAATAAAGGCAAATAGGTGGTGGGAATAAAGATCTAGGGTCATAAAAACATTAAAAAAAAGATCTAGGGTCATATTAGAAACAGTTTAGAACTAAGAGCTACCTTTCACTGCAGGGTTAGCAATAATATTCCTCTTATCTAGAAAAGCTACTGCTCACTTTTCATCATTTAGGGGAAAATAGGCAAAAGTTATTCATAGGGCAAGACTGCTGTAGCATCCATATTTTTACCAACCACATTAATATTTACACCTTCAGATTTGCTGAGTAAGAGACAGCCTGGAGCTGTCTTGAGTTGACAGGTGAAATGATTCTGAGAAAGGACAAAAGCACATGGCTTCTAAGATACCAATCTACTTGCTTCTGTGGAAAAAAAAAGAAAATGCAAACATTTCATCTAGCTTTAGCACAGCCCACACAATTCATATTTGGAGCTCTGATCATTAGCAATGTAGCATCTAAAAACATTTGCAGTTCCAAGAAAGATAAGCAATTTCTAAAAGACCCCAAATGCTAAGGTCAAGGCACCTGGCACTCTAATGGACAAAGGACAGGAATCCTCTTCTCAAATCACAGGCACCCTGACTCTGGCTTTTGCAAGCTTGAAGGAGAAACCATCAGGTGTCAGAAACATCTCACTAAAGCACAGGTAAGAAGAGGAATATGCTATTGGCAACACAGGAACCAAAGGAGAGAGAGAGGGTGACTCCAAATAGACTCTTCTTTCTGGGTCTTTCATGGTCCTTCATCCTTTCCGAGAAGACATCCTTTCTCAACAAGAAAAGCTTCACTACTTACCTTGCTGGACCATTTGCGAGCTTCATCATGGAGCTGTCTGGCAGCCATCATCATTGGCTGGTTAATCACCTCCCCGGCCTTCTGCTCAGGGAACTCTTCATCCTTTTCCTCTGGTGGTGGAGGCCTAGGTGGAGGGACCTCACCTTCAGGCAGAGGTGGTTTGGGAGGAGCAAGCTCATCTGTTAGCTAAAAAAGAGAAAACAAGTTGTAAGTAAAGTCCTAAAACTACTCCCCCCTGGAATTCTTTCCTTTCTTCTAAAAAGCATCCCTAGAAAACCCACCCATATTGACTCCACATAAGACCACCCACACTGAGCCACAAGGACCACCTGCTTCAATCTCAACAGAAGCAGGTTTCTCTACAAAAAGCTAGCAGTGGCCGGGCGCAGTGGCTCACGCCTATAATCCCAGCACTTTGGGAGGCCAAGGCAGGTGGGTCACCTGAGGTCAGGAGTTCGAGACCAGCCTGCCCAAAATGGTGAAACCCCATCTCTACTAAAAACACAAAAATTAGCCGGGCATGGTGGCATGTGCCTATAATCCCAACTACTCAAGAAGCTGAGGCAGGAGAATTGCTTGAACCCGGGAGGCAGAGGTTGCCGTGAGCTGAGATCATGCCACTGCGCTCCAGCCTGGGCGACAGAGCAAGACTCCATCTCAAAACAAGAAAAAAAGAAAAAAAAAAAAGGCTTGCAGCTACTGTTTTGGTTGCATCCCAGGGAAGTATACACAGTGCTACCAGATGAAGGATTCTCAAAAAGTCCCTACAGAAGATGTAAGTTGTGGTCCTGGTTCTACCAGAAAGCAGCTACATAGGCAAGTAACTTCTCCCCTTGGCCTGAGGTTCCTCATCTGTCACTGAGGGGTAGCTAGACCAAATGACCTCTAAGATCCAGATTCTAAATGACATAACTCTGTTGCTCACATAAGAAGCCATTCCCAGGAATAGCCCTCTCTCCCAGCTCTAAACACCCACCAAGCACCCAGCTGGGAAGAATCTAAGATGCGTTGAAGGCTGGGAAACACTGTTCCTTAGCTGTGTGTGCGATGACACAATTTTGTACTCAACCAACTTAAAAACTTAACATCTTTTACTGACATTAAATATGGGAAAGTAAATCAGATTATTGCCTTGATAAGTTATTTACAAAGTCAAGGTATTTCTAATACTGTTAGTTGGAATAAGTGTCTAGAAATAATCACTATTTCTGTTTCTGGAATTTGTGTCTGCAACATACTGCCTAGCTAGCTTCTTCCTACACCATGTAAAAATATATTCACAGTACTTGCGGGGGGTAGTGGGGAAGGTATCTAAAGATCTTAAATTATAGTTAGGGAAAAATTTTTTAAAAGCATGTATCTTGTTACTTAAAAAAAAGTCAAATAAAGGAAAGAACCAACACAAGATTTCAACCACCTCGGTTCTACCATTATCAACTAAGAACACACCAAATCTCCTTACTCCAAGCTGTGCAGATTATTTTACCACAATGCACTACCTCATCACTCATCACATCCACACTTACCAAAGCCAGCTCCTCTGCTCCAGCCGCTCCCCATCACAGCAAGCCACTACCACACACACCAGTACTACACACACACACACAACCCATGCATATAAGCACTAGGTTATAACTCCACTGGATTTAGGAATGAAAATCGAGATCTGCCTCCCACTAAGCTTCAAATGAAAGCTAAACGAAGCCACCTAGTGATGGAGGCTCTAAAACACAATCTACCTCTCTCTTGCTGAAGTCTCAACACCTTCCTGCTCAATTCTCTGCATATCTGAATTTACTTACTCGGAGTTGTTCAAGGTCTGGTGGAGGCGGCGGGAAGTCAGGCTCCTGAGGTTGGAAGGCTTCTCTGACCTTGGCCACAGCTCCCAGGATCCGATATCCTGAGTCCAGGAAGCTCTTTTGCAGTCCTAAACACAAGACATCCTCACTTTCAGCTGGGTGGGTCAGTGCCCCAAAGCACTGTCTGTGCAGCAGCAGAACTGGTTCCATGAACAAAAGCTGGATGTGAAGCTGCCAGTAAATATCACGGGCAGTGATTGAAGAAGGGGGGAGGCAGGACAAGGCAGATGCCCTGAGGCCTGCAGAGCATTGGAAGCATCACAAACCAGCTGTTCTTTTAGTGTTCAGGGTGCCTTCTTGGCTGTACAACTAAAAAGTACCCAGGAGATCCCTGGGCATGAACACTTTGGGCTCAGGTGGCATCCATCACCTCTCTTATGATGAGGCAGTCAAGAGATAAGCCTGCCCAACTCAGAACATGGGAGATGTCAGTTTCAGATTGGACATACATTCCCTGAAGTACTTCTCACCTTTCTCTCTACTCCTTTGCTGTCCTTGGCATTCAGTATGTTAACCCTTATGCTGAGCTGCGCTACTCTGTTCAGTTGCCTGGAATTCAGGAATCTACTCTACTATTAGAAACTCCAATTAGGAAACCAAGCATGTCCTTAGTGATAATGGGTTTTGGATATTAGAAAGATTCTGCCTGAACCAGAGATGAATAGGGGAGCCCCTCCTTCCTACTCTCTTGCATTGACTGCATTCTACTCATAGACAAGACTGAAAACATCAGATGTTCAAAACAGGAAGGAATTCAGATGATTTCAACCAAAGGAGCGGCTCCAATTATGATCTGCCATGGTAGTACCAAAAATATGATCAAAATTCACCTAAAGAAAACCCAGATTTTCTTTAGGTGTAGGGCCTAGGAGACCCACAGATCAACTTAAGCCCTCCAGATTTGATAGAAACTGAGAATGCTTTACAAAGAAAAAAAAGCATTTTAAGAAAAGCCCAAGAGAAGTTAACACCAGTTACATAAACTAAATGGATGGTAAATTGGTTATCATGCATCTTTTGAAAATTTTCCAAAATAATGACTGAACAAGGCGAGGAGCTATTTAGCCAGACCATATTAAGAAAGCACAGGCTGGATGCCTGTAATCCCAGCACTTTGGGAGGCCAAGGCGGGTGGATCAACTGAGGTCTGGAGTTTGAGACCAGCCTGGCCAACATGGTGAAACTCTGCCTCTACTAAAACTACAAAAAATTAGCTGGGTGTGGTGGTGGGAGCCTGTAATCCCAGCTACTCAGGAGGCTGGGGCAGGAGAATCACTTGAATCCAGGCGGGGGCGGAGGTTGCAGTGAGCCAAGATTGTGCCATTGTACTCCAGCCTGGGCAACAAGAGCAAAACTCCGTCTCAAAAAAAAAAAAAAAAAAAAAAGCGCAGAGGTTGGGCACGGTGGCTCACACCTGTAATCCCAGCACTAAAAAAGCGCAGAGGTTGGGCACGGTGGCTCACACCTGTAATCCCAGCACTTTGACAGGCCAAGGCGGGTGGATCACCTGAGGTCAGGAATTCAAGACCAGCCTGGCCAACATGGCAAAACCCTGTCTACTAAAAACATAAAAATTAGCCAGGCATGGTGGCACACACCTGTAATCCCAGCTACTCGGGAGGCTGAGGTAGGAGAATCGCTAGAACCCAGAAGGTGGAGGTTTCAGTGAGCTGAGATCATGCCACTGCCCTCTGGCCTGGGTGAGAGTCTCAAAAAAAAAAGAAAGCACAGAGAAGTTGGTCCAGAAAAACTAACATACAACAAGCCTGCTGATAACTGCAGAGACTTGGATGGAAAAAGATTAATCTAGCATTCTCAAACTAAGTGTCTATAGTTTTTGCCCCCAGACTTTGTATGTGGTGGTTGTGGGGTACATATTCCCTCACGACCTTTCCTGAGTTAACCTCTCAGTGGAGGTGAGACATAGTGCCATGCATTGCTTACCAGGGTCGGAAATGTTTCCAGCCACAGCTTTTGCATCCATCACCATCGGGGAGATGGTTTTGCTCAATTCATCAGAGGCAGCTTTCACAGCCTCACGGAACTTGGGATCCTCGGAATTCTCCACCTCCCTCTTAGCCACCAGCAGGATCCGGTTGGCCCGACGAGCAATACTGGTTGCCCCAGCAACCAGCATCTGAGGCTGAATGTTGGCCATAGCTACCTTGCACTTGTCCAGGTCTTTTTTAATTGCTTCTTCTGAAGCATCCAACAGAGATTTGGTATCAATGGCTTCGTCCACCAGCCCTGTTAGGAAAACAGAAATGGAATTTAGTTTCAATTTAGAAGAACAGAAACTCCAAAACACTGTTATCCACTCAAACTTCTCATGAGAAAGTATAACATCCAGAATTCTCTTCTTCAGCTCAAACTCTTCCTACATAATCAAAAGCTTCCAGGTAAACACCACAGTTAAAAAAAACAGTGAGGACATAGCCCAAAAGCCCATCTGGATTTGCAGCATTTATACCAACCGTGGTTGCCAGCCTTCTTGTATCCACCCCAGACAACCAGAAATGCAACATCGGGAGGAAACAAGGAATATGTCTGAAACCATCACTGCATCACCACCACGTTATCTGTGAATAATATTTTCTCCCTGTCCCTCTCACTCCCCAGCCATCTGTTGCTTGTTGGCAGCTTGTAGTGCTCAAGATGAGCCATGCGGAGGATTCCAATAACCCTAACAGCCTATTTCTTATTCCTGTTACCTCTCTTCAGACACCTCAGGAGTTCCACTTTCATCTCGGGCTGCCATGGACCCCAGTCACAGCAGGTTCTGCAGGGACAGCAAAAAGCCTACATTCCTCATTCCTTCTTTCCTATCTCTCCCTTTACAGAGAATGAAGACGATTCAGAGGTGCCACTTCAATTGCACAGACACAGGTTTGCTGGTGGTTGGTTTCTCCTTTTTAAAAAAACTACGTAGTTGATAAGTTGGAGGAAACTTTGAGACAAGTTGTATTAAATGGTAGCTATTGTGGTTCCTTGAAATGTGAACCCACTGAAAATGACAGGGACACTTACTGTATCCACAAACACCGCCTCCCAGCCTCTGAAACCAAACTCGGGCTCGGACTGGGCAAAGACACTATTCAAAGAGAAGATAGGAGTGGTGACAATAAACATCACGCCAGGAGGGCAGCATTAAAATAAAAGAGACTCAAAGAGTCTCTCTTCTGACAAAGTTGCAAGGCTTGAATGAGAAGCCGCCACTGCTCAGCAGCCTTAAGCAGAGCCAAGTACACTGCTCAGCACGTGACCGGCCCTTTATCCAATTACAGCTGAGTAACAGAACCAGTCCCGCTCCAATTTCTCAGAACTCATTCTTCATGGATTAGACAACAAGATTTGTATAGAAAACTCTACCTGTCATTTTTTCAACATTATCGATCCACTGGTTCTTCATGGTCTCAAAATGTTCATAAGCAGCTTGATTTCCAGGGTTCCTAAGTAAGATACGAGCAGCCGAGACCACCTGACAATGACAAAACACCTTTAAACACCAGAGCACCCTTGCTCTCCAGATACAAACCTTCAGCCAAGCTTTCTCCTCTTTACCTACAGATGGCACTGTAAAGCCAGAAAGTGGCAAGTCTCTTTTCAGGCTGAATACATGAGGTTTGGTCTCAATAAACAGCTCCCCAGAATGGGCCCTTCACAGGAAGGTTTTACCATCACAGCCTGATTTTAAGAAGGTAATAAAGTGACAAAGTAAATGAGTGTCCACTTGATACTTCAGAAGAACATACACAAAACTGGCATATGTTTAAACACTTGATGTCAACTCTTCCATCTTAAAAATCACCATTAAGAAGGATACCGAAAAGTACTCAAAACTGATTTATGAATAATATGAAGAAAAAATCCTCACAACAACCCCATGAGACAGGACAGTTAATATCTCTACTTTAGAGATGCAAAAACCAAGTCTCAGAAAATTTAAGTGACTGCTCAAGAGGTCCTGGCCAGTCAGTTACAGCATTTGGGGAAAAAAGGATTAACATTTGCCACGTATCTGGTAAGATACAGGCTGTACATGCATATTCTTAATCCAAATAGAGTCCATTAGGAAGGAGTTAGCTCCATTTTACAGATGAGAGACTAAGCATCAAGAGCACAGAGGAGTCGGCCGGGTGCAGTGGCTCATACCCATAATCCCAGCACTTTGGGAGACCGAGGCGGGTGGATCACTTGAGGTCAGGAGTTTGAGACCAGCCTGGCCAATATGGTGAAACCCCATCTCTAATAAAAATACAAAAAACTAGCCGGGTATGGTGGTGGACGCCTGTAATCTTAGCTACTGGGGAGGCTGAGGCAAGAGAATCGCTTGAACCCCGGAGGCGGAGGTTGCAGTGAGCCAAGATCATGCCACTGCACTCCAGCCTGGGCAACAGAGCAAGACTCCGTCTCGGAAAAAAAAAAAAACTCACAGAGGTCTCAAGTCCAAATCTGTCTCCAGAGTCCTCATTTTATCTATAATTGGTGTTATAAGCCTAGATTCCTGTTCCTCCTTTTTAGGAATCTCAGTTTCATATTGAAATTGTATTTTATGTTCCATGTTTTATGGGAGCTTTTAAAGAGTGTTAGACATGTTTGTAGCTTATGAAAAATTGTGTAAAAGTTGGACAAGTTAAAAAGTTGGACAAGAGGATCTAATTTATTAACACGCCACACAGGCAAAAGTTTAATGATTCAGAGACATGTTTATTTCCCCCATATCTCCTCACAAGTTCACACATAAGCCAGTATCACAAATTTATAAAGCCTAGCATAGTTTCGAATGTATCATAGGCACTCAGTAAATGTCTGAATAAATAAATGAAAAAATAATGAATTTTCTATAATTTGAATAGAAGAAAAATTGCACAAACATCACACTAAATAATGTTGAGCTAATATTTTTAAGAAAACCTATCACATAGTAAACTTTTAATAACTGTACAGTTTGGTTTTTTTTCCCAATCTTCCTTTGCTCCCAAACTTACTAGCCATGCCTTGTTACACAATAAGTAGAAAAAAGAAAGTTATAGAAACAGATCAATTTAAAAAAAAAAAAAAAACTCTCACAAAGATGTGGAGAAAAGATATAAACTCCAAAATCAAAACAAAGTAGCCTCTTAAGATTATCCAAGCCGGCCGCAGTAGCTCATGCCTGTAATCTCAGCACTTTGGGAGGCCGAGGTGGGCGGATCATGAGGTCAGGAGTTCAAGACCAGCCTGGCCAACATGGAGAAACCCTGTCTCTACTAAAAAATAGAAAAATTAGCCGGGCATGGTGGCGGGTGCCTGTAATCCCAGCTACTCAGGAGGCAGAGTCAGGAGAACCACTTGAACCCAGGAAGTGGAGGCTGCAGTGAGCTGAGATTACACCATTGGACTCCAGCCTGGGTGACAAGAGCGAAACTCTGTCCCTCAAAAAAAAAAAAAAAAAAGATTATCCAAATATTTTCCTAGTTATGTGTGTATGTGGCAAGGGGATTGCTTTACTAATTTTTTCTACTTTCAAAACTAAGATCGAGACCATCCTGGCTAACAAGGTGAAACCCCGTCTCTACTAAAAATACAAAAAAAATTAGCCGGGCGCGGTGGCGGGCGCCTGTAGTCCCAGCTACTCGGGAGGCTGAGGCAGGAGAATGGCGTGAACCCGGGAAGCGGAGCTTGCAGTGAGCCGAGATTGCGCCACTGCAGTCCACAGTCCGGCCTGGGCGACAGAGCGAGACTCCGTCTCAAAAAAAAAAAAAAAAAAAAAAAACTAATAAATAGTCCTTGTAAAAAAAAATTCAAATGTTATGAAAATGTATAAAGACGGTGACAGGGTCTTGCTCTGTCACCCCAGGCTGGAGGGCAGTGGGGCAATCAAAGCTTACTGCAGCCTCAACCTTCTGGGCTCAAATAATCCTCCCACCTCAGCCTCACAAATAGCTGTGTTCACAGGCATGCGCCACCACACCCAGCTAATTTTTTTTTTTTTGGTAGAGTCGGGGTCTTGCTGTATTGCCCAGGCTGGTCTCAAACTCCCAGGCTCAAGCAGTCCTCCCGCCTCACCCTCCCAAAGTGCCGGAATTATAGGTGCTACCGTGCTGGCCTGTATATGTTTTTTTATGCCATCTTACGGTAAGTATTCAAAAATGTATAGAAACTGTTCTGTAATTAACTTTCTTTACTGAACACTGTATGAGGAATGAGCAAAACCCAACCTGGGGTGTGAGTTCTCGGGCCGTCTTCACTGAGGCCTGAATGCCTTCCACTGTTGATTTATTAGCAGTACCAACCGCAGCCGCCTTCTCGGCCGTAGCACCAAGCTTTCCTGAATGGTTTTCAAAGTTAGCTGCCCTCTCATCAAATACCTTGAGGAAAAAACAGATATTAAGAACATTTATTTCAATAAAATGGGTCAGGCAGCCTAAGAAAAAGTTTCATCCTTTAAGAAGGGCAGCAACTGCTCAAAGACTTTAGAGATGACATCAAACCCTAGTTAATAAAACAACAGTCAAACTCCAAATCCTGGCCTTGATGGATCTCCTCAGACGTTTAGCCATCACCATCATGTGCAAATGCACACAAACACACTCACACACACACGCACATAACCTTCATTTCCAGTTCAACCAGTGCTTACCAGGTACAAGCAGGAGCATTATATACTCTGCAGTAATTTGCTGAATGTGAAGACTAAACAACCCCCATTCTCAAAAGCTTATCTTCTAGTTTGAAGAAGACAGTCAAGCCCACTCCAGGCTCTATTGTAGGCAGCTGGGTACATTAAAAGCCCAGAACATCCACACAGTCCTAAATTGAGCTCCAGGCTCCCCAGAGCAGCATCCTTCATATATCCCATTACCATTAATGTTGTAAAAACTCTGCCATTGACCTCCAAGGGAAAAATGATAGCTGGTGCTCACACTCAGGCCTCAGGGCAAGGATGACTGACTTTTATTAACCCCAAATGCAAAATCATCTACTTAATTGTTCATTCAGCTCTCAAATTCTAAAAAAGTTAATGTTTCCTTTAACAGGGATACTGTGCAAGGTTGCATACTGTGGAGGGGACTATTAAACTTAAAGTAGCAAGAGATCTTTGGTCATTTGTTAGAATAGATTCTTGCAAAAGCTTATCTTCTTCAAACTAGAAGATAAGCTTTGGAGAATGGGGTTTATTTAGTCTTCACATTCAGTTACTTACTTACTGCATTATTAGAACTGATGCTTCCCAACAGCACTGGGTCAGGTTTATACACTACACGAACATGTCTGGAGCTGCCTAGTGGAATGCGTCCTCTTTTTTGTCAACTTCTGCCTAACTTGGAGATCAGTTCTGGCTCTAGACAATCTCTAAAGGTCTCTTGGTTCAATAGCAGGTTCCAAATCATTGCCAGTGTTCTGTGTCTATCTTCTCAAGTCTCTTCCCCACGCCAGCCTCTTGTTTGGATTTAACTACATGGGTTCCTGCCATTTAATGCTGAGAATCTCTGCCTAAAATCCCTGATCTCCTAGCCTCCTTCCCGTGGCCTCAGTTCTTTTACCCTAGCTGGTCTCCCACACTCTGGATCTCCTGGGCTTTTACCTACCTAATATCCTTGGTTGACCATCTCAATGCCAGACCATGACTGCTGCTCCTTCTGATTTAACTAACTGCTTAACTTGCTTTTCTCGTCACTCAACCAAAATTTACTGAGCACCTACTATGTGCCAGACCCTGAGACAGGTGCTGAGGACACAAAAATGAGTAAAACACAATATCCTCATCTCAAGGAACTCACAGCCCAGTGAGAAAAAAGCACTCGAAAACAGATTTACAATACAGTGTGCTATGTACAATAATAGAGCTAAGCACTGATACTATAGGTAGGAGCAAAAGAAAAAGCACTTAACCTCTCTAGGAAACAAAGGATAATAGGATGAAGGATAAATAGTAATTCACCAAAAAAGAAGGGGAAGATAATTACACAGAAAAAACAAAGACATGGAAAAGACAGACTGTGCAGGAAACCACAAGCAACTAGGTATAGCTAGGGCCAGAAATGAGAGGGAGGGGTTTGTAGGAAACAGGTATGGGAAGTGTCAGAGCTAGATCACAGAGCCCTGGCCTTATCCTCTGTGAAAGTACAGGCCCCACTGAAGGGTTTAAGCAGGAGAATGTCAGAGTCAGGTTGTATTTTTATTTGATTGATGGCCTAGTGAAAGAGTCAAAGAAGACCAGTTAGAGCTATGCAGTCATAGCTCTAGGGGGACTAGGGGACTAGGAAAATAATTAGAGCTCTGGCAATATGAACAGAAAATGGATGTGAGATTAAATGAGTGTGCCTTAGTTGTTTATTTGTATGAACGGGTGTGGGGAAGGGAAAAGTCAATGACAACTCACAAATTTCTGAGAGAGAACAGAAGGACAACATATGCTGAGGTAACTAGGAAGACTGTAGGTGGAGAGGCCCACCTAGATGTATCTACTAGCCTGAAAGAGAAGTCTGGAATTAAAAAAATAGCAAATCATCTCAGCCTAAGGGAACAATCAGCTGAACTGCCTAGTAACTCAGGTTACAGAAAGAAAACTGGGGTAATCAGCACATAATAACAAAAACCTCCACCTACCAGTTCTACACTGTCTTGGGTACCTGACCCAAACCCCTTCTCATTCGCTGCCAATACTATAAAGGCTGGAAAACCAAATACTTGCTTTCCTAAACTCCTTTGCAGCTAGGGTGGCCATGAGACAGAGTTCAAGCCAATGAGGCATAGCAAAGCTCTCCTGGACAATTTCTAAGAAAGCCTCTATTTTCACTCATTCAGCACCAACAATGTGGCAGGCACTGTTCCAAGAAGGGGGAATAAGGCAATGACAGAATAAAGTCCCTCCCTGCATGGAGCTTTCATGGTAGTGGGAGGGAGACAGACAAACCAAAAATGAAAAATGGGTAAATACATTAAATGTTGATAAATGCTAAGTGAAAAAGTAGGATATGGAGATGAAGAAATCCATGGGGATAGTAGTTGGGGTGGTGGTGTTATCTTAGTGGTCACCCGAAAGTGACATTTCAGTAGAAAGCTGAAGAAAGACAGTAACTAATAGATATGGTTATCTGGAGAAGACTGGAACAAACGAGTGCAAAGGCCCCAAGATTAGAACATATAAATACACACTAGGAATACAATTCAAGGAGGTACATACAGATGTAGCATGAGGGGGAAGAGTGGTACCACACGAGAGCAAAGAAATGGATGGGGACCAGATCCAGTGGTGTGCTAAAGCCACCTGTACCGACTCGTGCCAGCTCACAGGAGCGAAACATGTCCATCTCTTCCCAACTCAGGTTTCAGTGACTTCATGTTGAAACAGCCACCGTGGGAGTATTTACATAATGGAAATCAACAAACATTACAAATCAAGGTTTTTCGTTTTCCTGGAGAGTTGGCTTACCAGCACATCGCTGGCAATTTTCTTCATTGTTAGCACTCTGGTTTTACTCTGGGATAGCGGGGAGTCATTGGAAGGGTCTGAGTATAAGAATGACATCGATTGATTTAAAAAGATCATCCTGACTCGAAAGGCACAGTTGTGACTGGAGTACCCCCATTCTTCATTTCTTCCTGCATTTAACATGATGCCATCCCACACCCTGAGAAAATGACCTAGAAAATCATAGAAATGCCAGCTTTCATGATATTTAGCTGCTGAACCAATGCCAAAGCCACCTACTTCCATGTTTCTTGGTTTGTGATGAAAACAAACCCGGTTGTTTTCATCTCTGATGGTCAGGTCTTCTATTGCTTGCAACTAAAGATATTCCTCACTGATATACGTGGAGACTAAAAGTAGAGGTGGTAGGGCTTTCCCTGTTCTGCTCTTCCACCCTTCATCTACAGTTTCCCAACCACTGATCCTGATGTCCACTGTAATCACATTTCACCTTTACATATACCTATAGCACAGGCTGACAGAAAAATGGAAGACCTCAGATACCCACCTCTTCCCTGTTAGGCGCATCAGGAGGCGCCGTGGCTGCCACTGCCAACAGCTTGATGGGAGTTGTGGTATCGCTGAAAACATCTGACACTTCCTGAGTCATGGCCTCCTGCATCCGAGCTTTTAGATCCTTAAAAACATTGTTTACATATGAAAATGTCCAGATACATCCTCAAAGCATATCTACTAATGCCCTTACTTCACTGACATTCATTCATCTATTCAGTCTTTCATTCAATAAATATTTGTTAACTGTGTACAAAGCACTGAGCTAGCACAGAACAGGTGTAATTTATGAATCCTGCCCTGTAAGACATTAGTGGTGTAGTAGAAATAAGACATGACCCACATGTCCCTAGAGACTGTTCCACTCAATCAAGGAACCCTACTTCCTTTTTTGGTGGCCTCCATGAAATGATACTGAGAATCATGAGGTTGAGCCCAAAGAAGGCCCAGAGATGGGCTAGAGTTCCACACCATTGCCAGTGCTGGCGGGGCCTGATAACGATCACAGTAACTGTAAGGATTGTTTGGTGGATGTAGTGCCAAATTCTAAGCAATTTATTGTCTTAAGAGGAAAGAAATCAAGAATGGGAATTTTTTAATCCAGGTTCTTTCAATTAAGTTTTCTAGAAAAACTCAATAACAAATATCTGTATCAATTTCTCAACATGGGTCTAAATAAGAGTATTCTTAGAAGCCATGAACAAGCTCTTTTTCATAGTCATCACATTTAATCCAATTTAAGTTTTCTGGATATATACAAAGAAGTCTCCATCACCCTCATTGTTTTGCAAGGTGGGCAGCATAAACTAGCTGGTGATACCTGAGATAATTTTAGGTGTTACATGGGCAAATGTTTTTATTTTAATAATTATGTGTTTCTTTTAAAGGATAATAGAAAAAATACAACTAGCTTATCAAACCCAAGATTTCAGGATTACAAAGTTTTCTTTCATTTATTTATTTATTTATTTATTTGAAATGGAGTCTCGCTCTGTCACCCAGGCTGGAGTGCAGTGACGTGATCTTCAACCTCTGCCTCCCAGGTTCAGGTGATTCTCCCACCTCAGCCTCCCAAGTAGCTGAGATTACAGGCATGTACCACCATGCCCGGCCCACAGAGTTTTCTCTTAAATAAATTTAAGTTTTAAAAAGAAGTCCATTTAAAAAAAAAAAAAAAGTCCATTTTAAGAAAAATATTGGCTAAATAAAAGTACAGATGATATGTGGATAGAGCAAAAATCACGAAAGGGCTCTTGACTGAGTGGAATTTGGAAAACACAAATTTAGTTGCTACTATATACCAGCAAGCTTTTTCCTAATAAGCTCTAGATTTCCTTATATCTTTGGTCACACTCTTTTCATTTTCCCTAGACCCCAGAAATTATGTATTTTTCAAAACTCTCTCTTCCTTCCCTCGTCTTTCAATAATAGGAAGCATAAAAAGTAAAATGATATGTGCTCCTGACTTCTACCTTTAAGGAGTCTTGGAGCTGAGATGCAAGTGCTCGTGCCTGAGGACTCTCCCCTTCCCCTCTGGCAGCCAGGTCAGCCAGCTGGGCTGTCAGCTGGTCCACTCGGTCACACTTGGCGAGAAGATCTTGCCGATAAGGCCCCATCATAACATTAGCCAGACGATGCCCTTCGGCCACAAGCCCCCGGATGGCAGCCTGACCTGGACCAAGAGAAAAACAATGAAACTTACAAGACCCAGAGGAGACAATTGCAATGCCATTCTGTGGTGCGATGTGGCGTCTTGCTCTATCACCCAAGCTGGAGTGCAGTGGAACAACAGCTCATTGCAGCCTTGACCTGCCGGCTCAAGCAATCCCTCCCACCACAGCCTCTCAAGTAGCTGGAACTACAAGTGTGCACCACCATACCTGGCTAATTGGTTTTTTTTAGAGAGACAGGGTCTCACTATGTTGCCCAGGCTGGTCTCAAACCCCTGAGTTCAGGCGATCCACCCACCTCGGCCTCCCAAAGTGCTGGGATTACAGGGATGAGCCACCGCACCCAGCCAGTTCTTTTTATTTAACACTTTATTTTTATTTCACTATCTTTTAAAATCATGATCTAAAATCTATGTAATATTTTATCATATTAACAATAATTATTTCACAAGTCAGTTATTATTAAACATTTATGCTGTATGCATATATTCCTGTATGCAACTTCTTAGAAAGATCTCTAATTATTTCTTAGGGAAGAAACCCTTAATTTCCTGAGTCAATGGGTATGAACTTTGTTTAAAGCTCTTGACATCTAATACCAAATTTAGAAAGTTTGTACTAATTTATTTCTCCAGTAAATTATATATGTGCCCAATTCTCCAACTCCTCACAACACTGGGCATAACTAACTTAGAATTTTGTTCTTTTTTGTTTTGTTTTTAAAGAGACATGGTCTCTCTCTGTCACTGAGGTTAGAATGCAGTGGTGTGATCATAGCTCACTACAGACTGGAACTCCTGGTCTCAAGCGATCCTCCCACCTCAGCCTCCCAAGTAGCTGGAAAGGTGTGACTACAGGTGAGCATCACTATGCCCAGCCAATTCTTTACTCTTTTATTTTTGTACAGAGAGGGTCTTGCTATGTTGCTTGGCTGGTCTCAAACTCCTGGGCGCAAGTGATCCTCCCACCTTAGCCTCCCAAAGCACTTGGATTACAAACATGAGCCACCATGCCTGGTCTGCTTCTTGATTACATCACAGGAATTTTACTGGCTGCATTTGGAAATGGAATCACAGTTACTTATCAGCAGCTAAAGAACCCTTACCTAATTACAGATGTTACAGGACCCCTATCAACAACTTGCTTATTTGCACTGAGACCAATTTAATGAGGTTATAGTGCACTGCTGCCCTTACCGACTCCACGGTCATCCACTGTGGGATTATCAATCCACCGCTGTGCTTGCTCAATCTTGCCCTCAAGGTGTACAGCTGCTTTGGCCGGTCTGCTGTTGGCCACAGCCCGGTTGGTTTTGGTCTGCAGGTTCTGCAGGGCCGTGGCCACCTGTTTGGCCAAGGCTCGAGCCTCTGGAGAATCTCCTTTCCCCCTACAGAGAAAAAGACAGCCATCCTGTCACACATAAACACTATTTACATTGAGATCACTTAGCTGCTAATGACAAATGCTAATAGGATGACAAATTGCTCCTGATTACTATTAATTTGGTTTGAAAGGAGTGGTTTATTTATTTGGCCCTTACATAAGAAATTAATAATTTACATTCAGATTATTTTGTCCTAGTTAAGACATTAAATATGAGTTTGCATCAGTAAAGCTCAGATCAATCATTTGGTTAGCGGAGCTCAATCAATCATCACTAGGTTAGCGGCACCCTCTGCCTGCCACCTCTGAAAACACCAGTTTCCTCTGGAACTGGGTGGGCCCAGGCAGCCATGTTTGTTGTAGGAGCAGCTGAAACAGTTATAGTCAAACTAGTAGTAATACTATCTTTTGAGTCCTAATTCTGCCAGGTACTGTTACAAGCAATTTTTTGTTGTTGTTTGTTTTTTGTTTTGAGAGGGGTTTTGCTCCATCACCCTGGCTGGAATGCAGTGGTGAGATCATGGCTCACAGCAGGCTTGACCTCCCAGGGCTCACTGCAGCAATCCTCCTGCCTCAGCCTTTCAGGTAGCTGGGACTATAGGTATGCACCACCACACCTGGCTAATTAAAAAAAAAAATATTTCGTGGAGATAGGAAACATTCTCCCGATGTTTCCCAAGCTGGTCCTTAACTCCTGGGTTTAAGTGATCCTACCACCTGGGCCTCCCAGAGTCCTGTGCTGGGATTATAGGCATGACCTACCACACCCAGCCATAAGCAGTTGCCTTATATTATTTAATCCTTACAACAACCCTATGATGTAAATAACAGTATTATCCTCATTATTAAAGAAACAAAATGGAGGTATGAGGTTGGATAACTTGCCCAATGTCCCATTATTTACTTTGATAGAGTCAGGATTCAAACCCAGCACCGTGACTTCAGAGTCGCCACACTTTTTTTTGTTTGTTTTGTTTTGAGATGGAGTCTCGCTGTGTTGCCCAGGCTGGAGTGCAGTGGCACGATCTCGGCTCACTGCAACCTCTGCCTCTCGGGTTCAAGCCATTCTCTTGTCTCAGCCTCCTGAGTAGCTAGGATTATAGATGCCCACCACCACACCCAGCTAATTTCTCTATTTTTAGTAGAAACGGGTTTTCACCATGTTGACCGGGCTGGTCTCGAACTCCTGACCTCGGGTGATGTGCCCACGTCAGCCTCCCAAAGTGCTAGGATTACAGGCGTGAGCCACCGTGCCCAGCCTTCATTCATAAACTACTATACATTTGGTATCACATAATCCCCAGTCCTTGCCATAACTGATTAAACTGGGTGGTTATCTACCTCAAGGACAACATACCCACAGTCAGGCAAGGCACTCAATTAGATTCTGGGGGTTCTCAAAGTCCAGTGTGGATAAAAGTCACTGGAGATCTTATTTTTAAATACAGATTGTTAAACCCACCATCAAAAGCGATTCCAATTAAGTATGTCTGCGGTGGGGTCAAGGGGTCTGCATTTTTAACGACCTTCTCAGATGATTCTTAGGCAGATAATCCTGGGTCCATATTTCAAAAACACTGCATAGTCAACCAGTGATGGTATCTGGAGCTGGAAAGTGATTAAGCCTGGGCCGTGGTAGCTCACAGCCAGAGACAAAACCCCCAGATAAATAAACTAAGTCAACACACAGGGTGAAACAGACATAGAGGATCCCACACAGCGACTAAGAGGTGGAGGGAGGGGCTTCCAGTTGCCCAAGATCTGGCCACATTCAAGCTATTGGGTTTGATGAGGTGCCTCTATTTTCAATAATCCTCTACTTTTTACTTGACCAGGTCCTTCCAACCAAAGAACCTCAACCAAGTATCAACACAGAAATAAAAAGACAACCACAATTATATCACAAAGAAAAAAACTGCCCCCAACACCTTATTCCAAAGACTTCAAATTCTAACCATTATAAAAATACAAAGAATCTGACTCATTTTCCATCTCAGGTCCTCTCAGCCATAGAAAGGTAACTTTCAGGCTAACTTTATCTGTCTCATCTGTAAAAATAAAAATAATAGGCCAGGTGTGGTGGCTCACACCTGTAATCCCAGGACTTGGGAGGCTGAGGTGGGTGGATCACGAGGTCAAGAGATCAAGACCATCCTGGACAACATGGTGAAACCCCATCTCTACTAAAAATACAAAAATTTAGCTGGGCGTGGTGGTGTGCGCCTGTAGTCCCAGCTACTCGGGAGGCTGAGGCAGGAGAATCACTTGAACTTGGCAAGCGGAGGATGCAGTGAGCCAAGATCACGCCACTGCACTCCAGCCTGGCAGCAGAGCAAGACTCCGTCTCAAAAATAAATAAATAAATAAATAAAATACATACATAAATAAAAATAATAGCCCATCCGCGCCAGAACAGCTAATTTAGATACTCTGTCTCTCTCTTTTTTTTCTTTTCTTTTCTTTTTTTTTTTTTTTTTTTTTTTGCTGAGACAGAGTCTCACTCTGTCACCCAGGCTGGAGTGCAGCGGCACAATCTCAGCTCAATGCAACCTCCACTTCCTGGGTTCAAGCTATTCTCTTGCCTCAGCCTCTGAGTAGCTAGGATTACACACCCACCACCAGGCCTGGCTAATTTTTGTATTTTTTTTAGTAGAGACAGGGTTTCACCATGTTGGCCAGGCTGGCAGGCTGGTCTTGAATTCCTGACCTCAAGTGATCCACACGCCCTCAGCCTCACCAAGTGTTGGGATTACAGGCCTGAGCTACCATGCCCAGCTTAGATACTCTCTTAAGAGTTCCTTTATGATTCTAAATTTTTATAACATTCTCCTTTATAAAGGTGAACAAAGAGGGTCTTTAACATGATTCTGATCGTGGCTACTCCTGGCAAGAGGTTACATAGATGTATGTTTATGTGTGTGCTATAGTATTAAGTAATGATGGCATGAATGACCACACATGAAGGTCTGCTGTTAGCACCATTACCATTCATTACCTCTTCATCATTAAGAAACATTAAAGAGTACCTAGTATGTATATGGACTTCCATTAGGTCCTAAGAGTATAGAGAGCAACTTTTACATTTGACATTAAACCCTTCCTTAGTGTTATTTTAGCATGTGCTGCAGGGGTTTTTTTCTTAAAAGTGAAAAATATCTATTGAAAGAAGAAAGCAGTTAGGTGCAGTGGCTCATGCCTGTAATCCCAAAACTTTGGAAAGCTGAAGTGGGAGGATAGCTTGAGCCCTTGAGTTTGAGACCAGCCCTGACAACATAGCAACACCCCGTCTCTACAAAAAATAAAAAAATTAGCCAGGCATGGTGGCACGTGCCTGTAGTCCCAGCTACTCCGGAGGCTGAGGTGGAAGGATGGCTTGAGCCTGGGAGTTCAAAGCTGCAGTGAGGCATAGTCATGCCGCTGCACTCCAGCGTGGGTGGTAGAGTGAGACCCTATCTCAAAAAAATAAAAATAAAAAATAAAAAAAAAAAGAGGAAATACCCCTTTTCCATATCATCAAAGTAGGTGCCATGAGAGACTTTAGGAGAGGAGGCTGTGGGGAGGCTGTTGTTACAAGAAAAATCATCCAGGAAATGTAATTTAAGTATCTCCTATACTTGCTACTTACAAAATATCATTGCTGGGGAAGGAGGAAAGTACATTCTTACGCTTCTTCCCCTCCATATACACATAGGAGTCTTTTCATAGCTAGCCACAAAAATTATTTTCCTCTTATGTATGGGAAACAGATAGGTCATAAACATGATGTATCAAAGAAAGCCCTAGCTTAGAAATTTAAAAAGCATCTCAAAAAAGGAGTTCTTAGCATCCTAAATTTATCAATTTATAACTATGTGACCAGCAATAAATCATTAAACCTCAGTTACATCACTGATACAGCAAATTAACATCTGACCTAGAATTAATGAGAATATAGTGGAAGAGCATCATAAGTGCATTTAACCTAGGGGAATTGAAATATGTATGTTCTTGGGGGAAGAAAGAAAGAAAGGGAGAGGGAAGGGAGAGAGAAAGAGAAGAAAAGATATGAAAAGGCAATGTAAGGGTTAAATACATACTGTCTTCGTAGATCTGCTAATTTAGAAGTCAGAGCAGATATTTCCCCAAGGGAACGTAGAATGTCATCTCTTTCTTTAGGATCATCACATAATTCTGCTATTTTCCGAGCTTCAGCCAAAGCACCTCGAATCTGCTCTTCTCCTTCCGGTCCACCATTTGGATCTGCAAGCCAGTTCTACACATAGAAACGGAGAAGCAGCACGCTGTGATCTACTCACACACTCCTTTCTACTAAACTTAACAAGGCCAGAAGAAGGATTTCAAAAGTAATATACCAGTAATCATTTTTATAATTCTGATCTTTATTATTGTATGGAGGTTCTTAGATAAGAAACTCAATCTCTCATCTTTTTAAAATCAATTTTTTTACACCCATTAGCATAAAATATTTTCCCAAGCTTTATCTCATCTCTGAATTAACCACACCTTATTAGTTCCTCAGTTCCTCAAACATGTGTGTTTGTGAAATGCTTGAAAATCATTTTACAGTAGAGCAGTATCGGAAAACTTTAACCCCTAAACATTACAATGACCCAAGAGTTGTGAATTCTGGGACAAGGAATAGTTCCAATGTACTGCAATCTTCCCTTGGTACTCTGAGAGCTTACTTTTACCTAACTGAAGTGCTGTAAATTAAGATCTTTATTTCAAAATATAGATAAACATTTGTCTAAACCTGTGGTGGTAAAGGAGGTGTTAACATTGGTAAGTGCTGGAAGTCACTCATCACTTAGAAACCATTATCCAACCACAGTAAATGATAAGAGACAGAGAAGAAAGATAGGATATTTATGACTTAGGATATTTATGAAATATTTCCCACCCCTCCTGAAAATCACTGTGACTACCTGAGCAGCATCGATCTTCTTTGCAATGCTCTGCTTTGAGTTGGTCATGGCTTCCAGCTTGCGAGCTGCATTTTCCACTTTTGCTGTGAGCACATCCAGACCCTGAGATACCTGCTGAGCTTTCTGCATGGCCACCGGTGAGGATCCTTGTCCTCTGCTCAAAACAGACACATGCTGTCATTGTACACCCTCAAATACTTAATGACAAAATATTCCCAATAGCACAGTACATGTGGTTTTCATGAACATGCTTGGCTTTTTCCTTTTTCCCAGTAAATCTGGGACAGCACAAGAAAACAGACATAAACAAAGCAAGACGCCCAAATCAAGTACTTTTTCTTTTAAAAATGCACATTAGCTTCACGGAACTGCATAACCACTTTGAAGACCAGGCCAGCAAATTTTGATAATTATTCTCCTCTTGGTAGTGATTACATAATCCAATCTAAACTTCAGTGGGAAAATGTGCTGGTGATCTTATTGCTAGGGAGGGCTTTGTTACCATAGTAATGTGTGCTTCTGAAATAAATAGTCCATTAAATTGTCTTCTTATGGGCAAGTATACATTGAAAATGTTTCAGGAGGAAGCACGCATAGTGTTAATGAAAGTGTACCAGACTGGGAACAAGCAGATCTGTGTTCAAATCTTGACTCTTGGTACCTGTGGAACCTTGTTTATGATGTTTAACCTCCCTGGGTTTCCATTTTCTAACTTATATAGTGAAGGTAACATATAATGAAGGTAGGTAATACATTTTCCCCACTTATCTTATGGAGTGGCTTCAAGCATCAAAATAATATACTTGAAAACACTGGCAATAAAAATCTATCATTATTACTGAATTATCATCATTTTTATAATGAACCTAATGATAATCTTAAATGCCTACCTTCCTCCTAGGCAACCTATAAATATATAAATAATCGAAACTAGCTAATACTGAGCACATGGTGATAGGAAACCACTGTTTCCCATCAAGTTCCTAAAGAACTGATTTCACTATTTTCCTCTCTCAGAAATGATATGCTATTACTACTAAAAATGATATGAGTTCATGGAAACTTGTTTCTCTATTTACTTTCCCTATTTACTTGTTTTCCTTATTTACTTTCCAAGTCACAAAGTATGATTTGCCCTCATTTTACAATCCAGATTGTTTTAATCCAAGCAGGCTGGTAAACTCAATGATAGGGGCAGTAACTTTACCATTTGGTAGAATGGCATGGCTGATTATCCTAATCAGAACTTCTATTTTTAGGATAAACTCCAAAACACCTTTGCTTCCCTTCATAATAGTATTGATCTGTCATTCATCTATCTAGCCTCTGTGGGTTTTTTTATTTTTTTTGAGACGGAGTCTCACTGTTTTCCAGGCTGGAATGAAGTGGCGCGATCTTGGGAGGCAGTGGTTGCAATGAGCCAAAATTCTCCTACCTCAGCCTCTCAAGTAGTTCAAGCAATTCTCCTGCCTCGGCCTCCCGAGTAGCTGAGATTACAGGCATGTGCCACCATGCCTGGCTAATTTTTGTATTTTTAGTAGAGACGGGGTTTCACACTGTTGGCCAGGCTGGTCTTGAACTTCCGACCTCAAGAGATCCACCAGCCTCAGCCTCCCAAAGTGCTGGGATTACAGGTGTGAGCCACCACACCCAGCCTATCTAGCCTCTTTTTAAAATTCTTCTGGTTTTCGGCCAGGCGCGGTGGCTCACGCCTGTAATCCCAGCACTTTGGGAGGCCAAGGTGGGCGGATCACGAGGTCACGAGATCGAGACCATCCTGGCTAACACGCTGAAACCCCGTCTCTACTAAAAATCCAAAAAAAAAAAAAAAAAAAATTAGCCAGGCGTGGTGGCAGGCGCCTAGTAGTCCCAGCTACTCGGTAGGCTGAGGCAGGAGAATGGTGTGAACCCGGGAGGCAGAGCTTGCAGTGAGCCGAGATCACGCCACTGCACTCCAGCCTGGGCGACAGAGCGAGACTCCGTCTCAAAAAAAGAAAAAAAAAAAAAAAAGAAAAACCTAAAAAAAAAAATAAATAAATAAATAAATAAAATTATTCTGTTTTTCATCTATACCAAAACTTGAGGTAATGAATCATTCATTTATTGCCGGGTATATAAAAGGTATATATACACTTTTTCCTTGAAGTTGAGGCCTTCCTTTTATGTGGCAGAAGAGGGGAAGACTTTTAGGAAACATAGTCTTTAGGATTTAATGTGCTTTTTTTCTTCAAATCTACTACTTCATGATGAGAGATCTTTTTGTTAAAAGAGTCCAACTGTATATTACAAAATAATAACTTCTCTGAGGCTGGAAATTTAGAAATTTTTTTTTTAAAAAAGAGTCCAACTGTGAAAAAGTAAAACTATTTATGGGCTACACAGTTTTTTCATTCAAAACAGAAAGATTTTATTGAGTCTCATGGGGGTAAAAATATATACTAGCAACCTAGAAACCCTGTGTGACTGAACAGAATATCAAGAAGAAATTGTTACCGCATTTCAGCCACTAAAATATTAAACAGCTGGGTACACTTAAGAAAGGACTACAGGGAGATAACTTTCTAATCTTTCATCAGGAAAGGATATTGCAGGCTCCACTGTGAAGCAGGACCATAGTTACCCTTCACTGTTCTAGCCTTTTCTCTTTACAGATTAATGGTGGAACCCCTACAATAACTACCTCATTCTCTTGCTCATACTCATCTTTCTCTAAACACATACAACTGTGTATTTGAGAATTCCAAGTGAAAACTGGCTACCACACTGGGAAAAGGTTGCAGACAAAAGACACAAAAGTGAGAAATCAGAAGAGCCAAGAATCCTATCAAACTGCACTGGCATTTCTCCGAATGAGAACAAAACTTCTTTTTGTCCTTTTTGCAAAGTTCTTACCATGCTCATGACAGAGGAGACTGCTTCTCAGCAGGAGAAAAGATTCACTGAACTCAATGGGATCACATTTATTTAAGCTGTTTCTTTCCCCTTCAACATAGAGACGCAACCTGAAAGTCCTGGAGCTTCCAGGGCTGCAGGGAATCCAGGAACCTCTAGAAATTATACATAATATTGTATGGGCATGTTTATATGCATCTTTTTAGGTAAGGATGAATGTTTTCATCAGATGATAGAAGTGATCTTGGTCCACAAAAGGTTAAGAACCACGCCTTTAAGATCCGCATTCTTGGCCAGGCACAGTGGCTCACACCCGTAATCCCAGCACTTTGGGAGGCCGCAGCAGGCGGATCACCTGAGGTCAGGAGTTCAAGACCAGCCTGATCAACATGGTGAAACCCCGTCTCTATTAAAATACAAAAATTAGCCAGGCATGGTGGCGCATGCCTGTAATCCCAGGTACTCAAGAGGCTGAGGCAGGAGAATGCCTTGAACCCAGGAGGCGGAAGTTACAGTGAGCCAAGATCATGCTATTGCACTCCAGCCTGGGCAATAAGAGCAAAACTCTTGTCTCAAAAAAATAAAATAAAATAAAATAAAAATAAATAAATAAGATCTGCATTCTTATGTCTATTGCACTAATATTGGAGACCAGGTATAATGGTGCACTGCATGTAGAGGAGTGTTTCTGAGCCCTGTTTGTATGTAGACCCTGTGTATCCTAATTATCTCATGATGTTTCATGAGTGTCTCATCCTATTCCAAGTTTTCGTAATGTCCATACCATAAAATTCTATAAAAATCTTTTAGAACTTCATTATCACTATGGATGAGTTCATCTGTATGAATTCCAAACAAATTTATATTATATTGAGTTTTCTCAATAGCAAACTATGTTTATTTAGTTTATGGGGAGAAAAGCTCTAAAGGCCAAGGCTTTAGGAGGGTAAAAGGAAGGTAAATAATTATGAATCCGAATAAATAATCATGAAAAGGAAACTCAAAAAAGCCCAGAAATTACCAACTTAGAGGATAACCTAGTTAAATGATTTTTTTATGAGGTGAAATAATTCCAATGTTTTCACGCTATGTTTCTTTCTCCCCATCCTCCGTAAAATGTATTTACCCATGCCAGACTTCACCACTGCCCCTTTATTTTTCATAAGCCTATGGCTAGTAAATTAGAAACTAGATTTGTGTTTCAGTTTCAATTACGGAACAAGTTTCAACTTTACTATTAGGCATTTGTGTATTTTAAAAGTTCAAGCCAGGAGTGGTGGCTCACGCCTTTAATCTCAACACTTTTGAGAGGATCACTTGAGGCCAGGAGTTTGAGACCACAAAACATAGCAAGACCTTATCTCTACAAAATATTGAAAAACTAGCCAAGCATAGTGGCACATGCCTATAGTTCTATCTACTCAGGAGGCTGAAGAAGGAACATTGCTTGAGCCCAGGAGTTCAAAGTTACAGTGAACTATGATCATACCACTGCACTTGAGCCTGGGTGACAGAGCAAGGCCATGTCATTAAAAATAAAAAATTTGGCCGGGCATGGTGGCTCACACCTATAATCCCAGCACTTTGGGAGGCCAAGGCAGGTGGATCACCTGAGGCCGGAAGTTTGAGACCAGCCTGACCAACATGGAGAAACCCCGTCTCTACTAAAAATACAAACTTAGCCGGGCATGGTGGCGCATTCCTGTAATCCTAGCTACTCAGGAGGCTGAGGCAGGAGAATCACTTGAACCCAGGAGGCGAAGGTTGCAGTGAGCCGAGATCGCGCCATTGCACTCCAGCCTGGGCAACAAGAGCGAATCTCCCATCTCAAAAAAATAAAAAAGAAAAAGAAAAAGAAAAAGAAAAAATTTGGCAGGTCATGGTGGCTCACGCCTGTAATCCCAGCACTTTTGGAAGCCAAGGCAGGTGGATCACCTGAGAGTTTGAGACCAGCCTGGCCAACAAGGTAAAACCCTGTCTCTACTAAAATTATAAAAAATTAGCCAGGTGTGGCAGCCCATGCCTGTAATCCCAGCTACTTGGGAGGTTAAGGCAGGAGAATTGCTTGAGCCTGGGAGGCAGGGGTTGCAGTGAGCCGAGATTGCACCACTGCATGCCAGCCCGGGTGACAGAGCGAGACTCCGTCTCTAAATAAATAAATAAATAAATAAATAAAAACATGTTTTAAATAAAGTCAGGCCAGGCATGGTGGCTCACACCTGTAATCCCAGCCCAACCTGGCCAACCTGGCAAAACCCCATCTCTACTAAAAATACAAAAATTAGCCAGGTGTGGCCGGGCACAGTGGCTCACTCCTGTAATCCCAGCACTTTGGGAGGCCAAGGAGGGTGGATCACGAGGTCAGGAGTTCAAGACCAGCCTGGCCAAGATGGTGAAACCCCGTCTGTACTAAAAATACAAAAATTAGCTGGTCGTGGTGGCGGGCGCCTATAATCCCAGCTACTCGGGAGGTTGAGGCAGAGAACTGCTTGAACCACGGAGCTGGAGGTTGCAGTGACCCAAGATCGCGCCACTGCACTCCAGCCTGGCAACAGAGTAAGACTCCATCTCAAACAAACAAACAAACAAACAAACAAAATTAGCCAGGTGTGATGGCGGGCGCCTATAATCCCAGCTACCCGGGAGGCTGAGGCAGGAGAATCTCTTGAACCTGGGAGGTGGAGGTTGCAGTGAGCCAAGATCGCACCACCGCACTCCAGTCTGGGTAACAGAGTGAGACTCTGTCTCAAAAAATAATAAATAAATAAATAAAGTCAGCAAAGGGAAAGTTCACCTCCATCTCAAAAGAATTTAATAGACTATAATATCTCTGTTATCTACTAGCCAAAGAGATAACTCAAAACTGGCAGAGGCTTGTTTTCTGAATCACCCTGTTAGGAGTGAGTTACCCACTACTGCTCTGTAAGGACAGAGGAACTTTTACCTGGCACGGAGGTCAGCCACTTGATCAGTCATCTGCCCTAGCATTTTGCAAGTTCCCAGAATCTCCCTGCGTTCTTTGCCTGCACAGAGTTCACCAACTTTTCCAGCTTCATCTAAGATCTGTCTGATGGCCTGCTCACCAGCATCCCCTAAAATAAAGAGATATTCAATAACTACATTGTTGACACATTCATTATTTAGAGAGGATACTTTACAAGTCATTTCATTCACCAAGGAATGGATGATTTTAAACAAGACGAGTGAATAGAAGGCAACATATCTGATAGCTAACAGCCAAGCAGTGCCCTTAAACCATAGGGTGAGGTTTCAACAACAGACACGCAAAAAAAGATACTTGGAACTGTATCTATTTGGAGATACTAAGTAGCTTGTGGTAAGAATATGGATGATGAAAACAGACTCTAACAATTTAATAGTATTTAGCACCTCCAACCTACTTTAGGTTTTTCACATTCATTCAAATATTAATCTAAAACAGAATAAATATTAGATTAGAAAATCAATAAAGCCTAGTTCAATAACCTATTTGGGTCTTATCTTTATACAGTCAACTTTCCAATTCTCATTGGCATCATGATTTAATCTGCTTAATTAAGAACTCTGTTGACATAAATGGAAGTCTGCTCAATGGGAACTGGAAGAGAAGAACTTTCATTCAAAATAATTACCTTTTGGATTCAGGGAAGGGGAGAACCAAAAATTTTGCAAAGAATGCCCAGCTCAGTATGACTTACTCCTCCGTGATTAGAGGTGATCGAATCTATTCCCTTCATCCTTGTAAGGCCTACTACTTGCTTCAGTTACTCAGAACTATCAGATAATGGGGTATGCCCCATAATGTTACAGTAGTTCTCTCAGATGATGAGATTATGGGAAAATTTCTTTCTTTCATTTGCTTGGTTTTTAGCTTCTCGTTGTATTGATCAGAAAAGCAGAACTAGAGGGTTACCTGGGGAGGCACTAGGGTCACGGAGCCAACCTTTGGCCTGGTTCAGTTTGGAGTCTATGGAGGCCAATGCTCTCTTCATGGCTTCAGTGTCCTTTTGGGAAGAAATCCCACCATTATTTTCTTTGCAAAAGTTGAGATACCATGATAGAACGTAAGACAGAGAAGAAGTTACAGCATTAACATACATAGCTAAGGTAGTCAGTCCTACGAAGGCCTTAAAAATATTGTCACCACACCACAATTCTCATTTCTGTCAAAATGCAGCATCTTGCATGCAAATATTCAGTTAATTCTACTCTGTTGCTAAACAGAGTGGAATTGGGTTCCCTATTGCTAAAACTGTGAAAACTGGTAAAATTGCTCAAGCCAGAATATGTTTAATGTCTTCAGCAGGAAAAAGCCCTGTTGTCACATGCCTCATTGTCAGCCTTTCCACTAGTCAACATTCATCTACTGCAGCCTTGCCAAAGCCCTTCCCACCTCAGGGAAGCCTCGTTAGTATGTGGTGCCACAAATCACAGTTCTTTTACATCTTGTTTTGAAATGCACACACTGGATGATATTTCACTATATTCAATTAACCTGAAAAACTTGGAATTACTGGTTGGAAGAAACAATTGAAAATGTTAATCTAGCAGTTTAATTTTAATTCTACAAATAAACCCCTCAAAGTAATATAATTTAGAAGTGTTTTCTGACCTTCCCTGCTATTCCTCCTTCTTAGTTCCCTTACTATCCCTCACCTGGAAGAAGATGCAGGATAGAATAAATGGGTCTCAGCTTATTTTTTACAACCAGGATTCACGAGGACTATCAGGAAACTAGCATAAAATCTCCCAGGATACACCAGGAGAAGCTGAAACAACAGACTAATCACTTTAAATGTATTTAAGTATTTCCGTAAATTTTTTTAAACACATAAAAACACAGAGAACAATATAACACCAGCCATCTCTTAAGTCTCTATTTAGCATCTTCAAAGACCATCTATCCTCCTTTTTGCTGTAGGAAACTGACTCTTACAGAGTTAAGCCATCAAAGCACAAAGTTAACCTCTAAAATTCTAGGCAATGTCCTAGCTTCCTTCAGTTTCCAATCCTGCACAACTGGGGTTCTTAAAGGTGTTGCACCACTAGTTTTCCACACGGGGGCACCAGGAGCATCCCCACTTCCAATTCAAAAAAAGATACAGCACTATCACAAATAAGCATTGGCAGCACCCATAGTTAGGCTCAAGGTCCACAACTGTTCCAAAGCCCCCTATTCAAAAGACAGATCTCTCAACTGTCGGAATCCCTCCTTCCCCTTCTAAACAGACACAGATGATTCTCCTGTTGAATCCTTGGCTATCTAAGGCTCTAAATAGCAAATTCTCAGCTATAGCAATGAAAAAGAAGTGAACTAAATTACCAAAAAAATTGAAAACAAAATATTTTTATTATCAAGTTATATGTAACCATGGTAGCTGTCAATAAAAGGCAGAATCATAAGAGGATCTATTTCAAAATCCACTTGTAATTAGAAGAAGATATGTGGTATTTTTAAGTGCTTTGATTCTCAAATGGTTTGAATATCAGCAAATCTCTCCTATCATGTCTTAAATTAATTTGTGCAGAAAACGTTGCCTTCAAAATTAATGCAAAGGTCAACTTTAGCTTAATTCCAAATTAGCAAGGCCTGAATCAATAACTTTTTAAAAGACTTGAGGCCAGGCAACTCCTAACCTCAGAGAACTGGGTAGCCTTCAGGATCTAACACAAGTTATCTAGGCATAGGTTTTCTTTTAATCACAAACTCTTACTTAGGAAGTGTGTGGACATCCTGGAGAATAATTATGTCAATGTAAAAATATTTCACTTAAAACCTGTTAAACCATTTTCCTAACACACTTTTATTTTCAGTGAGAAAAGCAATAGGTATTTATTACATTTCAAAAATCTAAATTCAAAGGGAAACGAAGGTCAGAAATTTTTATGTCTACTCTAACATTAAAGGCTACTAGTTAGGAAACTAAATTCAACTGACATGCATTGAATTTAATATGCATTCCCTGCATGTTAGGTTCTGTTTTAGCTACTTTCCCCCTCCTTACCTCATTGAATCTCAAATTTAAATGTCATTTAAATAATACTACAAATTAAGAAACAGGAACTGACTCCTACAAACCTAATTTGATCTCAGGTTTGTTGACTCCAAACCTCATTGCTTATCAAATGAAACAAGATTTTTTTTTCTTTTACCAAGGAGAGTTGCTAAAGATTCTACTAATCTCCAACAATAGTCAGCAAATCTCTGCCTTGTCAGTTTTGACTTTGGTTAATACTGCAGAGAAAATAAGCTCCAGAAATCAAATTCATAATCTACACTAACAAAAATGACTGCTTTTATTCTCCAATGCCCAAAAATGATTTGAAACACAATGGAAAAAATAGTTTTTGTCTATTCAGCATCCTCAAAAATCATTTCTTTTTTTCTCCTTAATAAAGCTCTAATGGCCAGTACTGCAAGGAAAGAATGTAATTCTCAGGAAGTGAGTAATTTACTGCTCAGTGGGAGGTGTGACACCGTCAAGAAGTTAAAATTAAGAGATGTTCATTTTCCCCTAAAAGGAACCAATAGCCAATTTTGAATGAAGCTGCATTTAATAACTGCGACTTTCAATAAGTTACCAAAATTTTTAACAGCATTAATTTTAGACAATTTCAGAGATTTAAAACAATAACTGAAAGAGCCATCTTAAATTCTTTCTGGAAAACAGTAGGTTATAAGTAACCATTTTATGTTAGTCATATCTAGTAAAAACAAACATGTCTAAGGGAATTTTTTTCTCCTAAGACTTTCATATATATTTCTTTTGAAAGGCAATATTTATTATAGAATTGACAGAATTCTGTCATAAGCATGTAAGTATACAAACAATGAATATGACATAAACAAATTCACTGGACAACTAGGACAGAAGTCAATTTGGGGATATATTTATAAAGGGTGAAAATAATCGTAACCCTTGTGGTCAGCCATGCTTTGTACCACAAACCATTTTGCTAAACCTTGTCATGTAGGTCTGTATATTTCAGGTCAGTATAATTCAGATATGAAATAGAAGAGAGAAAAACTGCACCTTCATTTGAGTATTCTTCTCTGTAAAAGCTCAACTTTGGGAAAAAGAAAAGTCTCTACCAATTTCTTATCTGTTTTTGGTTTGTTTTTCAGGGGGTTTGTGGGTGTTGAAAGAGTGAAGTATAAAAAGACCAGGTCTAGTCATGTGGCTTTGGGGACAGCTGGCCTGAATCTATCTGGGTCCTCCCCCACCATGTTATGCTCCTTCTTAACATAAAATTCTTATGAATTCATGTTTTAAATGAAAAAAATACAGTGCCTTGGCACTCTTCCCTGCATACCAAAAGATGGAACGACAAGCTAAACCATTTGTACGTGCTTTCCTAGGAACTGAAACACTCCTTAAATTAAACATAGATTTAGGCCTCAGAACACCTGTGAATAATAATGACCTCCTTCTATGGACAATCAAGAGGAACTTCGGTTAAAAAAGTAAAGTCCTGCAATCCTAGGCTCTTGAAAATTTTAAATATGGGGAATAAGAACCTCTCTCCATGACTGCCCACCATACTCTCCCTTCTCCCTCCACCAACACCTGTCTTCCCACTCCATCCCCTTTCTAACCTCATTTCCACCTGCAAGTCAATGTTTTAAACCAGATGTTTCTGGTTTAAGATGTTTCTGGAAAGTATAGATTGGGCAGTAGAACAAAATCTTACAAACTACATTTAAACAAGAGAAAGTTGTCTAGTCCTGAGACTTCATGCAAGTTACCTTCTCTGGGTCTCAATTCCTCATCTCTAAGAATACCTTCCTGGCTCTAAAAATCTATGCTACCTATGAGTGCATGATCAGATGTACTAGCCAAAGATAACTTAGATCAGAAGGGAAACATCAATTTATTTTGGGATTTTCTCCTCATGGGGAGCAGGGAGATAAAATATCATAAATGCCTGAATTAACTATTTCTCTCAAGCTCTTAGAGATCTTTCATTCTATTAGCTGCTAAAAACAAAACACTAGAACACTTGCTCATAGAAAGCCCACAAATGACCTTTTTTTAATTTAACAAATCAACTCTTAAATCCCAGTGGTCTGCAAGTAAGGGGGTAGTATTACACACTCACAAGTTCTAACCAACATTTCCTGCCTTAGTTAAGTTTGCTAATCTTCTGTATAAGGCATCTGAGTCACTTACTACTTTTACCCACCACCAGCCCAGGACCACAGTGGGGAGAGACCCACCACAGGAACTAATTCTGAATAATAGAATTTAATGATTCACGGTGCAAAGCTGCAGGAGTGCCTATGTAGGGTTCAAAGTCTTAGCAGTGAAATTTTTTTTTAATTTTTTATCTCACTTCCTCTTAATTCTCAGCATGCATCAAGATACAAGTAATATAAATACCAAAAAAATTAAATGTAGAGCACTAAATTTACAAAGGGTAGAATTAGAATTGTGTTTAACTCAAATTCTTTTAATAAATAATGTATTTTCAGAAAAAAATGCTAACCTAATTTTTAATGATCACTATAAAATGATTGTTGATTTAAGAAAAGGAAACTTTTTACTTTTAAAATAAGTGAAGTGTTTAAAGTCAAAGTTACTTTTAAATTTGTAAATGTGCAATTTGAATATAGGTATAAAAGGTAAAATAATCAGTTATTGCATTGCCTCTTTAAAATCTTAACTTATTCGGCAAGACGCACTTTTACCAAGAATTTTTTCCACTTACTTTCTTCCCCCACTTTTCTAGAGGAATCATCACTTTCCAGAAGAATACTGCACCAATGGGGAGGCATGAAACAAGTATGGTAAGACAAAGTTAATTATTTATTGGTAGGGGCGAGAAGAGGTGAAAGACACTGTATGCATTAAACAGAATGGGAACCCAGCAGTCACAGTCAGACAAAAGGTCTGATTAATTCACTGCTTACAGTGGAGCAATGAAAGATGCGTAATGCTACAAAACTGAAAAAGAGCCAAAATCCTAGCTACCAATTTCTATTTTCAGGGTAAAATTTTTTTCTATTTTGATAACCAATAGAAATGATTACTCTTAGAGGGTGAGGAGCGGTAGAGTGGATGGGAACCAGGTTAGGAGGAAGACTTATCAGGTATATCTTTTTGCAGCACTTTGATATTTGAACCACATAAATGTAAAACAAAAGCAAAATTAGGTTAAAAATAAACCTCTTTTTTTATTCTGATGTCATTAGGTTAAAAAATAAGCATCTCTTTTTCATTCTTATGGTCAGTAGATTAAAACATAAACATCTCTTGTTCATTCTGATGTCATCGTGTACTTGAGTTGAGCTAATTTAATTTACCTTCTTTCATTTCAGATGAAGTTAGTTTTGTAGCATCCTAACAAATTGGTTTTCCTCAGCATAAAACTGGGAGCAGCTACAAGACTGTACACGGTGAGTACCAGGTCTATTTCACTTGTATCCCCAAGTGCCTAATCCTAGCCCTGAAAACTCAACTGACTACATTTTTTTAATGAGAGAAGCAGCTCTTGATGGCACTTGCACAAAATAAAGTTCAATAACATTTATTCACTAAATGATGGATAGCTTTTCCCTTCTGAAAATAGAGAAACATTAAGGTTAAAATGCCTGTTCCTCCTTATTACTTTTTGTCATCTGCTAGAAGCAAAAGAAAGAGAATAAGCGAAGAGCTTGGGTTAGGGGAACATGAGGTCATGGAGAACTACAGCTAATTCAGTTTGGACAGCAAAACATGCAGTGAGCCACAGAATGAAGTTAGGAAGACCTTTAGACACACTTCACTTCTGTTTTCCTTTGGATTTTGAAGGCTAGGATTATTATGAAGGACAGGTGCCTCATCTAAGCTCTCTAGCCTACCCTCTTTCATTATGGCTTAAAACCTCAATGATGCATCTCCAAAAGCAAAATTTCAGAGCCCGCAAAGAAGACTGGTGGGAGAGGCAGGTACAGAGATAGCATCAGCTGGAAGTCTCCTTTCCCAACAGCAGGGTCCACAGGTAACTCAGGGGTCTCCCAGCTACCTGGGGAATCCTGCTCCTCAAATGAAGTCAATGGGAAAGACCAGGCCAAAAAAGATCCCAGGAGCCTACCCAAAGAACTGAAGGCACCCACCAAATATAGGCAGCCTGATAGCCCACAGTAATGTCTTTCCTTTAGCTTTTCCCAAAGAAATCACTCAATATGAGCCACAGTCAGTCTCCCCAGCACTGCCTAGAGTCCCGTATTAAATCACATTCTGACGCACATTCAAGCACAGTGTTATACACAGAATAAGGCACGGCACACAGCACAAAAAAACCTCACAGACATGCTTTTCTCTTTTTAAGCGAAAAAGAAACTAGAGGGCAAGAGAAAGCTTACCTTCTAAACGTGAGAAAAAGAATAAAACAAAAGAACAAAAAAAGATGCATAAAGAAGTCATAACAGGGAAGTGAAAGTTGTCAACTATGCAAAAGCAAAATTAAATAAAATATCAGAGTTAAAAAGATTTTACCATATAGATTTAAAATACAGTCTTAGAATCTATTCAAGAACTTCACATCAATGAGAAAATGTCTCTGTAAATAAATCCATAGTTAAAATAAGCTAACTTACTCTATATAATTAAATTAGCTTTCAGGGCAACAAGAGAGAGGGCTGGTGATTTCAGGCCCCAGCTTTTACATTACCTTACAGATCCCGGAGAACATACCGTTCTACTGAGCACCCAATGGAAGTCATACAACAAAATCCCTTCTTTAGTTGACTACCAGCCTTCTGGCTGGCCCTGGAGACATTGGGGTCACACATGGGAAAGCTAGATCTTGGGGACAGTGTGTTCCCCCCACTGCCTACATCTTGGGCTCCTACAAGGAAAGTATGAACCCAAGTATCTCTGTTCCCCCAGACCTGAAAGCTTGGTTCACAGTCATTAAACAGGGAGCAGCAGACCAGAGCAGCAGCAACACAAAACCACTGCTAACAGGCTCTAGAAGGAATCTGCCAGCCCCTCTGGGGTCCTAAAAGAGATTCCAGAAAAAGGGTGAAGGGATCCCTCAAACTAACTGACCAATGTGAAGACTAATATTTTAATTAAACCTTCCTTGGGGAAAATGGAATGATCAAGGGACACATCTAGAAATGCCAAGAGTTTCCTCTGTAGATTTCTCTGGATCAAAGATTGGTTAAAGAAAAGTTTTCCATAAAGTTCAGAATTACAGGCATATCTGTATCTTACTTAGTCAGCTGGGAAGAACCACCCATATACAAGGCAGAGCTCCCATCCACGGGAATATACTCTTCCACCAGTCCAACCAATAAGACTCCAGCCTGATGGAAAAGCTATAAATCTCAGCCTTAAACCAGTATCTACCCCACATGCCTATTTACTTGTTCTACCTTAGAACAAAGGAAATTAGCAAAGATAGCAAGTAACCTATGAAACAGAAATGAAGAAGAAATTACTTTCACAATATCTGAGTACTCTTATGCTACAAAAATTACAAGATAAAGTATGAGACAGGTGCCAATCAAAACCCCCAGCCAGGGAGAGTTGGGGATTTTGCTTATTTCTCCACTAAGAACACGTACCTTGCTGGCCCAGGCATCTTCATCCCAAGAGGTGAGTTGTAACACACGAATTATCTCATTAATTTCAGCACTCATTTTTTCTACAGTAAAATTGCGATTTTTTAAAGCTTCCTCTATGCCTTGGTTTTTTGAGTTTTTAGTTGTTACAAAAATCTTCATAGCTGTAAAAATAAAAGATCAGAAAGTAAGCTTGGAATTTAATCTTGTTGTATAACAATATTCACAAAAGATGTTCTACACTTTAGATGTTTTGGGCTTTTAAGATCCTAAAATGAGTATACAAAACAAACACTACAAGTTTGACAATAAAGTTCCAACATTAACAACCTTTATTGTAAAAATAAAAAAAGAAAAAGAAAACTCAAGGTACAAAGACACCATCACAACATGATTAAGTAACTAATTTAACCTGCATATGCTGATGACCTGCAATCACAAAATATCTAATATCCTTCTAAATCAGTTATCATCCTGGCCCTCACCCTGGCTCCATCTACTACAAACCTAATGGGACAATATGAAAACTGTCAGTAATACTCTGAATGGCGTATCCTGCTGCCCCTGATCCCAGCAGAAGATCCCAAGATGTCAAGTTTATCATCCGAGATTTCTCTCAACATGTAGCTTGGATTTGCCAACCCCCAAACATAAAGAAGAAAAAAATAATGTCTGGGCATGGTGGCTCACGCCTGTAATCCCAACACTTTCGGCGTGATCTCGGCTCACTGCAACCTCCGCCTCCTGGGTTTGAGCAATTCTCCTGCCTCAACCTCCTGAGTAGCTGGGATTATAGCCGTCTGCCACCAATCCTGGCTAATTTTTGTTTTGTTTTGTTTTTAGTAGAGACGGGGTTTTGCCATGTTGGCCAGGCTGGTCTCGAACTCCTGACCTCAGGTGATCCACCCACCTCGGCCTCCCAAAGTGCTGGGATTACAGGAGTGAGCCACTGTGCCCAGCCTCCTGAACTCTTATACTCATATGTCCTTTTTTAGCTACTACTTGAAACACCAAAGCAGGTAGCTGGAAGTCACAATGACATGAGTCACCAGATTTTTATAATAAAGTTGCCTTCTGAGAAATAACTAATTAACCCACAACTTGACTAAGATAATTCATATAAACCATGAGCTGTCTGGCATATACTAGACACTCAATAAGTGCTACTCCCTTTTGCTAGTCGAGAGAGCAGCTACCATGTTTGCATTTCAGAGCACTACTCAATGGGAAGGTAGTCCCAGCTGGTGACTAAAGAACTGATCTACTCATGATGTAAACAACAGTTAAATATCTTTTAGGAAAAATTGGATTAATACACACTAAAAAGGGCTCTGAGTTCATGTCTTTATCATATGATGCTCTATAATATCCATTCCAGCTCCTAATTATTTTTCTATAACACAAAGGTGTGAAAATTTAATATCCTAGGCTAGAGTTTATAGAGGAGAGTCCACCTCCCAGCAAAGGGGCTTGTTAGAGCTTTAGGAGAACAGAATTAGGCCACAGAAAGGCAATTTCAAACAAAGAACAGGAGAAGGACAGCATTAGAGAAGAAGACTGGTTCTCAGCCAATCAGCTACAGCCATCATGTGATAACCAATCAATCGGGTCTCATTTTTACCTAGGCTGAAGGACATGCAGTGAAGCCACAAAAGAAAATGAACCTCAGGCCAGGAGCCATGGCTCACGCATGTAATCCCAGCACTCTGGGAGGCTGAGGCAGGCAGATCACGAGGTCAAGAGATCAAGACCATCCTGGCCCACATGGTGAAACCCCGTCTCTACTGAAAATACAAAAATTAGCTGGGCATGGCAGTGCGCACCTGTAGTGCCTGCTACTCAGAAGGCTGAGGCAGGAGAATCGCTTGAACCCAGGAGGCAGAGGTTGCAGTGAGCCGAGATCGCACCACTGCACTCCAGCCTGGCAACAGAGTGAGACTTCATCTCAAAAAAAAAAAAAAGAAAAGAAAACAAAAGAAAACAAAATGAACCTCAGAGTTTAGAACATGCTAACATTTTTCCCCCCTATAAAATAAAGTACAGGCAGGAAGTACCTGAAATGAGAACTGGCAGCAACTCTTTCACGGTGTTCATCGAGTTCACCAACATCACTCGGTGCTCCTGGTGAGTGAGCTCCTGCTGTCTCTCGTCAATCATCTTGGCCATCTTAGTCATTCCTGGGGCACAAAGAAGAAATTGTGCAGGGTGAGTAGTGAAACAATCCCGGGTCTGGCTTTCTCAGTCTAAATCCATTATGAAATACTATGAAAGTTCAAACCGATTGCTCACTTATTTAAACAACAGACACCATCACTGAACTCTAATTTATGCAACATTACTCTTTTCAATGAAAGTAATGTATTAAATGTAAACACTAAATGTGATAAACATTTTCATATTTTGATATAAATATATTCACAAATATTAAACATCTAAATGAATAAATATATATTTATTAAAAAGAAATTCACAGGTAAGGGAAAAACATTTTGCCAGGCTTCTATGCATACAGGTTTCATGCCATGTCTCTGAACTCTGTGCTAAAAATCTCACATGAGCCTAGTACTGAATCTAGTGGCTGAAAAAAGTTCTAAGAATAACAATGATATGTTTTGTTTTCATATTTCTATTTGTCTGTACTTTCCAATTTGTCCAAAATAAGCATGTACTAGTTTTATAATTAGAAACAAATAGAAATATTATAAAAATAATTATAGGGATGACAGTGTTTGAAAGCATCTGGTGTTTTGGAATCACTCTGCTAGCACTTTTTGTTTATGTTGGTTGTTATTCAAAGGCGCTATGTGATTCTCTAAAGCTTTGATTTTCAAATTACTCCTAGGATTTCTCAAGTTGTCTCACAGACCATCAAGACCAAAGAGAAGCAGAGGTGGGGCTGCTCCTGCTTCACCTAAAGTAGCTCCATTTTGTCTTTTTTTGTTTGGGGATTCTGCATAAGATTCCATTTGGGGAAATATAATTTTCGCCAGTATTATGAGAAATTTTAAGAGGACTACTCTAAAGCCACCAGAGAAACCTATTTCCAGGTGATCTTCAGTGATGGCTCAAATTCTTAACTGCCATTAAGTTTTACAGAACACCTACACTGGAACCTCATAAAAATGCTGTTAATTAAAAATCAACATTTCACATAAAACAAATGAATTTTATAAAGTGATAACAATCAAGTTAAGCAGGTTAAACATCTAACATATCTTGTCATTGGTCTCATTCATACTTTAAAGACCCTCAAGTTCATGTTATATGTCTGTAACATCAAAAGCTGGTATCCGTTTATATATTTTGAATATTTAATGCTCAGATGCCTGAATAATCATTTCAAAATAAGATTTAACCACAATAGCTCTTCTCTCCTAGGTCTGATTATATTATGCAGCCTTGGGTGAGGGCATGAATCCATAATAGTAGGCAGGCTAATTAGCAAGCTAAGAGGTCATAAAGAACTACAGGCCAGCTGGCAGACAGTGAAGGAATGCTGTGTAATGTGGAATGGAGAGGTCAGGATGCAGGATGGCCTTCAGCATTACAGTAACAGAAAAGTATTTCCTACATTCTCCAATAGCAGTATTTGCAATGTTTGGTTTAATTCATTTGACAAGGCAATATATAGAAAGCAGATTCAGATACCAGAGATAATGACATCACCTCAAAGCACAGCATCATCTCCATCAACAGAGCAGACACCTGAAAGCCCAATGCATCTTCACCTATCTTCTGCAAAAAGTAGGAAGAGGGTACCCTTTCCTTTGGCTCCAACATGGACAATCCTTAAAAAATGTTATAGAAATTGGATAAAACTAACCTGGCCCAAGATTCTTTGTGTAAGTGACCAAATCTTCCATAGTCTCCACCACCTCTGCCACTGTAAGATATTCCAAAATTCCTTTGCAAACTCTAATAATTTTACGGACCTGAAAAAATATTTCAGAGTATTCAATCACATGGGTGGACAACTAGCAAACACGGTAACACAGATGTGCAGCATTCAACATATTTTCATTCTAAACAATCATCAATCTTCCATTATTATCTTCAAGAGTAGGCTTTTTGTCTCAGATTGCCTACCTCAGCCTCATCGAAGGTAAGGAGCAGGTCTGATGTTCCAGAGAGGATGCCCCTTGACCCATCAATTAGATAATCTCGAGCAGGCACTGAGTAAGGGTCTGACTGAAGCATCTGAGCTGCCTGGACAAGCTTGGTGCAAGCATTCTCAACCCTATAGGGAAGAACACAGGTTAACACACCGGCAGAACCACACAGAAGAATACCATATGCAAATACAAAGAGAGAATATGCATGTAAATTCACAGTTTTTTTCCCTACATGAAAAATAGCCAAGACCAATTGATAATAGAACCTACGTTTTTAGATTTTACAATTTAGGCAGGACACAGTGGCTCATGCCTGTAATCCCAGCATTTTGAGAGACCCTGTTTCAAAAAGAAAATTACAAAATTACAGGTAAAAGCAGCACATTCATTCAGTGCACTGCCCTTATTCTTTATTTCCTGACAACAAAAAATGACGAGAAAACATCTGGGCTCTTTGACTTCAGGTTGCTCTATCTCTGCAATGCCTTTGTTTCCTTATTCCTCCCCACCCTATACACACTGCTATTAAAAGACACTGCACAAAGAACTGAAATCCTTCAGTTCTTTGCTGAAATGTTAGATCATTTTCAGATCTAACATCTGGAAATAAAATGCCAAAGCATGGTGTTAAGTGAAATTTAATAACTAAACAAAGCAAAGGAATAGGAAGAAACACAAAGAAAAAGTATGAGGCAATGCATAAATTTCTCACTCATTCATCTAGCTAAATAAATTTGTTTGATAAATCCATTGGACCATTTGAAAATATATTGTTAAAAGAAAATAAAAACAAAAATTTAAAAATTAAAATGAAAATATATTGTTAATTAAAGGTCACTATTATTAGTAACTAAGCCAGTTATTAATAGTTTAATATTAATATAAGTAACCAGATCAGCCAAAGGTTGAGTGGTGGAAGGGGAGCTGGGCGGGGGATTCATTTAAAAGAGGAACCCAAAATGCATACACCAAGTATTCAGTTTGCCTTCCTTGTACTAATAAAATGTATTCATTCATTCATTCAATTACTCATCCCCACAGAGTTGAAAATAACCTAATAGATCATCTCCTCTAGTCTCATATTCAATATAGCCATTATGTTGTGACTGACTAACTTACAAAGATAAGGAACAAACTGCTTAAAGTTAAAATGCTTAGCCAGAATTATACAGTCTCATTTGAAAACATAGAAAATGTCACCTGCAAATAAAAGCCTATCTCACCAGGTTCTTTTGAGGATAAATGAAGTAATACAGAAACTCCACAAGTTTAAAGCAGTATTACATTGTTAACAAGTAGAATTAAACCAACTTATGAATTTCAACTACATAAAAAGCACTGGGCTGTGGACACTGTAGGTATGTATATAAAGATGTAAAAAGCACTATTCTAACTCTCGAGGAGCATACTTTACTAAGGCAAGACACAAACATTGGCAGAATAAGCCAATACATGGCCGGGCGCAGTTGGCTCATGCCTGTAATCCCAGCACTTTGAGAGGCCAAGGTGGGCAGATCACTTGAGGTTGGGAGTTCGAGACCAGCCTGGCCAACATAGTGAAAGCCCGTCTCTACTAAAAATACAAAAATTAGCCAGGCATAGTGGTGGACATCTGTAATCCCAGCTACTCAGAGGCAGGAGAATCAGAGGTGGAGGTTGCAGTGAGCCGAGATCATGCCACTGCACTCCAGCCTGGGTGACAGAGTTAGACTCTGTCTCCAAAACAAACGAACAAACAAACAAAAAAAAAAACATAAGGCAGTATATAATAAATATCAGTGAAGGGCAAGACCTGTTTGATGTGGCTTTTGATCAGGCTTAAAGGACTGGATATTTTGTTCTTTTTAATTTTATTTTAAATATATAATATATATTCATACATATTACACAAGCATATACACATATTTAAAACCAAAAGGGCATACAATGAGAAATCTCTTTCCCTTCACTATCTTCCATGCACTCATTCCATCCCACTTGCAACCAATACTGAGTTTCCTCCAATGTTGTATTTCCTCTGTATGTAAATGTCTTCATAAAACATTTCAGGCCTCAAAGAAGCAAAAATGTACATTTCCCCACTTTTTTACACAAATAGGATCATATATGGTCACTCGCTGCATTCTGCTTTTTACATTTATGTGTTGTTCTATTAAAAGTACATAAAGAGGGCCGCGCATGGTGGCTCACACGTGTAATCCCAGCACTTTGGGAGGCCAAGGCAGGTGGATTACTTTAGGTCAGGATTTCGAGATCAGCCTGGCCAACATGGTGAAACTCTATCTCTACCAAAAGTACAAAAATTAGCCAGGCATGGTGGCAGGGGCCTGTAATCCCAGCTACTGGGGAGGCTGAGGCAGGAGAATCACTTGAACCCAGGAAGCGGAGGTTGCAGTGAGCCGAGATCATGCCACTGCACTCCAGCCTGGGCAACAGAGCAAGACTCCAAAAAAAGAAAAAAGAAAAGAAGAAGAAGAAAAAAAGAAAGAAAAGTACATAAAGAGCCTCCTCCTACTTTTATAAAGCTACATAATAGCCCAGGCTAATAGTTATTAGCCTGCTGTGATGAATCACCTTGAATACATGTAATTTTACCCTGTATGTCTGTAGGATACATTCTAGATATAAAATTGCTGAGTCAAAGGTATGCATATGTATAATTTTTAACAAATGTTGCCATATTGCAATCTGCAGAAGTTATACTAAACAGTTCTTACCTTCTCACCAATTCAAATTTTGGATCTTCACCAATAATAAACCAAAATTGGATCCAAACATAGTTTCTTTTCAATTGAGGTGAAATTCATGTAACATACAAATAACCATTTCAAAGTGTACAATTCAGTAGCATTTAGTGTATTCACAGTGTTGTGCAACCACTGCCTCTCTCTAGTGCCAAAACTCTTCATTATCTCAGTAAAACACGCAATACTCATTAAGTAATAACTCCCTATTTTCTCCTTCCCCCGTCCCCTGATAACCGCTAATCTGCTTTCTGTCTCACTGGATTTGCCTATTGTGGAAACATCATACAAAAGAATTCATACACTACGTCTGGCTCCTTTCATTTAGCATGTTTTTGAGGTTCATCCAAGTTGTAGCCTGTATCAATACTTCATTCTTTTTTTATGGCTGAATAATAATATTCCATTGTATGGATATGCCACAGTTTGTTTACCCATTAATCTACTTATGAACATTTGAGCTGTCTACACCTTTTAGCAATTATGAATAATGCTGCTATAATGTTCTCATTTCTCTTAGTTATATACCTAGGGGAGGAATTGCTAGTTTATATAGTAATTCCATGTTTGATTTTTTGAGAAACCACAAAACTATTTTCCAGCACTGTGCCATTTCACATAAGGGCTCCTAATTCTCCATATCCTCACCAATGCTTATCTTTTTTTTTTTTTAAATAAAAGCCACCCTAGCAGGTGTGAAGTGGTATCTCATTATGGCTTTGATTTGCAATTCCTTAATGATCAATGATGGTGAACATCTTTTCATGTGCTTGTTGTCCATTTCTACATCTTTTATGGAGAAATGTCTATTCAATTAGGCCCATTTTTCAATTAGGTTGTCTTTTGGGGCTGAGTTGTAAGAGTTTCTTAGATAAGCTAGTTATTAAACTCTCATCAGAAATACAATTTGCAAATGTTTTTTTCCCAGTCTGTAGGTTATCTTTATTCAATATAGTGTTAATTTCCATTGAGGTTGAGGATTTTCATAGTTTTTAAGTTACAAAATAAAATAACACATGTAAAAGATTGTATAAATTTTAATTCAAACAAACACCATCTACCTAAAAGTCAATAATCATTTTATGCCAGGTGCAGTGGCTCATGCCTGTAATCCCAGCACTTTGGGAGGCCAAGGTGGGCGGACTGAGGTCAGGAGTTCGAAACCAGCCTGGCCAACATGGTGAAACCCCGTCTCTACTAAAAATACAAAAATTAGCTGGGCATGGTGGCGGGCACCTGTAATCCCAGCTACACAGGAGGCTGAGGGAGGAGAATCAGTAGAACCCAGGAGGCAGAGGTTACAGTGAGCCAAGATCATGCCACTGCACTCCAGCCTAGGCAATAGAGTGAGATTTAGTCTCAAAAAAAAAAAAAAAATCATTTTATAAAATAGTACCAGGTACTTTAGAACCCCACCTTAACCAAATCCTCCTTCCTATTCTCCAGAGATAATTATTACTCTGAATGTTGTTAATTATTTTCTTGATTTTCTTTATACTTTTACCACCTATATATGTATACATACCTAAGCAATTTTTTGTTGAGTTCTGCCTATATTGGAACTTAAGCGGAATCATACCGTTATGCATGCTTCTGTGACTGTTCTTTTTGTTCAACATTATAATGTTCAGTCCATCATGTTAACAACTGTAGCTACTATGTTGTATTCCCCTGTGAGAATATACCAAAATTGGCCAGGCGTGGTGGCTCACGCCTGTAATCTCAGCACTTTGGGAGGCTGAGGCGGGCAGATCACCTGAGGTCGGGAGTTCAAGACCTGCCTGACCAACATGGAGAAACCCTGTCTGTATTAAAAATACAAAATTTGCTGGGCGTGGTGGCACATGCCTGTAATCCCAGCTACTCGGGAGGCTGAGGCAGGAGAATTACTTGAACCCGGGAGGCGGAGGTTGCGGTGAGCTGAGATCGTGCCATTGCACTCCAGCCTGGGCAACAAAAGCGAAACTCCATCTCAAAAAAAAAAAAAAATATATATATATATACCAAAATTGATTTACCCATTCTACCTCTGCTGGATGTTAGAGGTGTTCTAGGTTCTTGTTTCTGTTATTAGTGTTAATATGAATAATAGTGCTGTGAAAATTTTTATTCTGGCTCCTGGTACACATGAACAGAGTTTAGATTATATATCTAGTAATGGAAATACTAAATTACAGAAAATAAATATATTCAACTTTACCAGGGAATGACAAACTGCTTTCCAAAATGGTTTTATCAATTGAATACTTCTACCAGCAGTATACAGACTTGATCCTCATCGTCTGAACTTTTAATATGCCAATCTGGTCAATGTGAAACGATAAACTATTGTGAATTTAACTTGCTTTTTTTTTCTTTTTTTTTTTTGAGACAGGGTCTCGGTCTGTTGCCCAGGCGGCAGGTGCAGTGGTATAATCATGGCTCACTGCAGCCTCGACCTCCTGGTCACCTCCCACCTCAGCCTCTCAAGTAGCTGGGACTACAGGCACAGACCATCATACCCAGCTAATTATGTTTATTTTTTGTAGCGATGGAGTGTTGCCATGTTGCACAGGCTGGTCGTGAACTTCTGGGCTCAAGCAATTCATCCATGTCAGACTCCTAAAGTGCTGGGGGCCAGGCACAGTGGCTCACACCTGTAAACCCAGCACTCTGGGAGGCCGAGGTAAGTGGATCACTAGAGGTCAGGAGTTGGAGACCAGCCTGGCCATCATGGTGAAACACTGTCTCTACTAAGAATACAAAAATTAGCCAGGCATGGTGACAAGCGCCTGTAATCCCAGCTACTTGGGAGGCTGAGGCAGGAGAATTGCTTGAACCTGGGAGGCGGAGGTTGCATTGAGCCAAGATCACGCCACTGCACTTCAGCCTAAGCGACAGAGTGAGACTCAGTCTGAAAAAAAAAAAAAAAAAGTGCTGGGATTATACATTTGAGCCACTGTGCCCAGCCCTGCATTTTTCTTTTATTAATAAAACTGAGGATTGTTTGTTTGTTTGTTTCACTGTTTACTGGCCCCATGGGTTTTGATAGGTAGTGTTTTTGTCATTCATTTTTAATTGTCACTGTGATTTATTTAACAATGAATTGTTTGGGAATTTTAAAATATACTTCTACGTATAAAGGACTCTTCCTCTTATCTTCTGATCATTGATTTATCATTCAAATGAGTTGTGTAGAAAATGTGGTCTTAAGGCACTAAAATATATTTAGGCTAGCTTCATGGCTTAACATATGATTTATTTTTATAAATTTTCTATGTGTTATTAAAAAGAATGAGTGATCCAAATTTTAGGAAAAATATTTTTCCTAAAAGTGTCTTTTGACACTTAAAAGTGTCTTTGTGGACAGGCACAGTGGCTCATGCCTGTAATCCCAGTACTTTGGAAGCCCAAGGCAGGAGGATCACTTGAGCTTAGGAGTTCCAGACGAGCCTGGGTAACAGAGCAAGATCTCATCTCTACTAAAAATTTTAAAAAGATAGGCAGGCACGGTGGCTCACACCTGTAGTCCTAGCTACTCAGGAGGCTGAGGCAGGAGGAGTGCTTGAGTCCAGGATATCAAGGCTGTAGTGAGCTATGATCATGCCACTGCACTCCAGTGTGGGTGACAGAGCTGGATCCTGTCTCAAAAAAAAAAAAGTGTCTTTTGTATGCTAATAAGATGACTAGTGGCTGGGGGACCCTAGATAGCTTCAAAACGGGAGCTGGTTCCAGAAACATCAAGGCATGGTCAGAGAGTTTCTGAGTTGGTGAACACATCTGGGTGCTGGGAGGTGGTGCACCCAGGCAGCATGAAATCTTCCTCATCATATCTTGCCCTATGCATCTCTTCCATTTGGCTGTTCCTGGGTTGTATCCTTTATAATAAACTGGTAACTATTTGAGTAAAGTATTTCTGTGAGTTATGTGAGCCATTCTAGCGAATTAACAAACCCGAAAGCGGGGAGTTGTAGGAACTCCCAACTTTGTAGTAAAGTCAGACAGAAGTGTGGGTATACCAGGCACCCAATACTTGTGACTGGTATCTGAAGTGAGGATAGTTTTATGGGACTAAGCACTTAAACCTGTGGAGTCTGACACTAACTCTGGATAGTTAGTGTCAGAATTGAATTGCGCTGCTGAATACCAAGTTGGTGTCTGAAGAGTTGGAAGACTGGTTGTTGGTGTGGAAAAAAAAAGCCATACATCTGGTATCAGAAGCGTTGAGTAAAAACATCCCATTATTATATACATCAACACTTATCTACATTTACCAACAAACTGTCCAGTATCTTGGCTCATCATTCCCTCTTGTATTTCAGGCTTACATCTGGGATCAGCGGACTTGTCTGAAGTACATTCTTTAGGATTTCCTCTAGTAAAAGTCTGCTGGTGACAAAATGTATCAGTTTTTGTTTGATAATGTCTGTTTTGTCCTCATTCTTCAAAGACTATTATAGCAGTACAGAATTCTAAGTTGACAGTTATTTTATTAGCAAACTGAGGGCATTATTTCACTGACATGGCAATGGAAGCAGGAGAGAAGGAGGTATGATAATGAAAGCAGAGACTGGAGTAATGTGGGGCTACAAGCCAAGGAAAGCAGGCAGCCTCTAGAAGCTGGAAAAGGTGAAGAAACAGAGTCTTTTCTAGAGTTTCCAGAAAGAATGTGGCCCTGCTGACTCACTTTGGACTTCTGGCTTCCAGAACTGTAAGATAATAAATTTGTGTTGTTTTAAACCACAAAGTTTCTGGTGACTTGTCACAGCAATAAGAGGAAACTCTCATCCAGTCAAAAATTATCAGGTATACAAGAAGGCATGAAAATACCGCCAATAATGAAGAGAAAAGTCAATCATTCAAAACCAACCTCGGGCCTGGTGTCATGGCTCATGCCTGTAATCCCAACACTTTAGGAGGCTGAGGATGAGAGGAGGACTGCTTGAGGCCAGGAGTTCAAGACCAGCCTGGGCAACTCAGGGAGACCCTGTCTTCTTTTTTTTAGACAAAGTCTGGCTGTGTCGCCCAGGCTGGAGTGCAGTGGTGCGATCTCGGCTCAAAGCAACCTCCACCTCTTGGGTTCAAAGGATTCTTGTGCCTCAGCCTCCCAGGTAGCCGGGATTACAAGTGTGTGCTACCACACCACAGCTGGCTAATTTTTATATTTTTAGTAGCGACGGGGTATCATGATGGCCAGGCTGGTCTCGAACTCCTGGCCTCAAGTGATCCACCCGCCTCAGCCTCCCAAAGTGTTGGGATTATAGGTGTAAGCCACTGCACCCGGCCAAGGAAGACCTTGTCTCTACAAAAAATTTAAAAATTAGCCAGGAACAGTGGTAAGTACCTGTGGTCCCAGCTACTCAGGAGGCTAAAGTGGGAGAATCACTTGAGCCCAAGAGGCCAAGGCTGCAGTGAGCCATTATCGCACTACCACATCCCATACTGGGTGACAGAATAAGACCCTATTTCAAAACAAAACCGACCTAGAAATGACAAAGATGACAGAATCAGTATATAAGAACATTAAAATGGTCATAACTGTACTCCACATGTTCAAAAAACAAAAGTAAAGATTGAGCTGGGCACAGTGCCTAATACCATGGTCTGGGAGGCTGAGGCAGAAGGATTGCTTGAGGCCAGGAGTTCAAGGCCAGCCTGGGCAATATAGCAAGACTCCATCTCTACAAAAAAAAAAAAAAAAAAATCAGGCCAGGCATGGTGGCTCACACCTGTAATCCTAGCACTTTGGGAGGCTGAGGCAGGAGGATCTCTTGAGCTCAGGAGTTCAAGACCAGCCTGGGCAGCATGGCAAAACCCCATTTTTACAAAAAATAAAAAATTAGCCATGTGTGGTGGTGCACTCCTATAGTCCCAGCTACTCAGGAGGCTGAGGTGGCTGGATCACCTAAACCCAGGGAAGTTGAGGATGCAGTGAGCCGTGATTGTGCCACTGCACTCCAGCCTGGGCAACAGAGTAAGACCCCATCTCAAAAAATAAAAATAAAAAATGTAATGGCATGGTGTTGTGCGCCTGTAGCCCCAGCTACTCTTGAGGCTGAGGTGGGAGGATCACTTGGGCCCAGGAGGTTGAGGCTGCAGTGGGCCGTGATTGCACTCCATCCTGAGTGACCCAGCAAGATCCTGTCTCAAAAAAAAAAAAAAAAGTAGATTGGTTACCCTAGTTAGATAAATGGAAGATAGAGAAAAAGACCCAAATAGAACAACTAGATACGAAAGATATGTCTGAGATATAAAAATACACTGTGAATTACTAGCAGATTAGATATTGCAGGGGAAAAAATAGTGAAATTGAAGTCATAGCAATAAAGACTATCCAAAATAAAACAGGGTGAAAAAAGATTTTGAAAAACAAATGGCATCAGTGAACTGTGGGACAACTCCAAGCAACCTAATATATGTGTAATTAAAGTTTCCAAAGGAGAGAAGGTAGTGGTAGGGTAATATTTAAAGAAATTGTTTCCAGGAAACTTGAACATTTATGAAATTATAGCCAACAAACAAAAGCATCACCAACTACAAGTCTTGTGATATATCTATTTATGAAATCCAGTTACTGTATAAGTTTTTCAAATTTGGAAAAAAAATGACAAGAATGACCATTATGGAGAAAGGAAACTGAAAAAGATGAAATTGAAAAGGTTTACAGGAATAAAATTGATTATCACTAATGGTTCCCTTGTGTGGTAAAATGATAGGTCCAAAACAGAGACTGAACCATTTTTTTATACAATAAGACATCTGATCTGCACATTAAAATTTAATGGCATTCATAAAAGCCAAACAAATCCCACTAAGACTAACCAGCAGTCAGAAACAGGAAGAAGTCTGTCTTGTGTATGGAAAATTGGATTTTATTTAAACATTCAAGCTCCCTAGCTTCTTAAAGTGATCTTGCACATTTTAATAGAAATCTGAATTTTTAAAAAGTATTTAAAGAATGAAAGTAGGCATAAGGTCAGTTTCCTAAATAATTGTATATCTTAACTATATACTAATAATATTTAATTAGATAATTTAAATCAATCAACTAGTACTTCTCTCTCCCTTTGAATCTTCAACCTAAATTGCTAGAAAAAAAATCTTATGCTATATATCAAATGGACCAATGACAGCCTTATGGGATCTCGAAATATGCTCACTCATGACCCTCTAATACATTCTTCCCAGAATTACCACCTACTCTAATTTGAGACAATTTAGGAGAAGACCTTGAGTATGAGTAATTATTTTGTAAGAAAAAAAGAGCACAAATTCCTCAGTTCCATGTGATTTCAATTATCACTAACCAAGAAGATTAAATGTATGCCAAAGAAGAGGAAAATCCATTTAGAGATTATAAAAAGACTACCACAAGTCTTTTTTCTTCTTTTTCTTTTTCTTTTTTTTTTTTTTTTTGAGACAGAGTCTCATTCTGTTGCCCAGGCTGGAGTGCAGTGGCGCGATCTCAGCTCACAGCAACCTCCGTTCCCTGGGCTCAAGCAATCCTCCTGCCTCAGCCTCCCAAGTAGCTGGAACTACAGGAATGCGCCACTATGCCCAGCTAATTTTTTTTGTATTTTGCGTAGAGATGAGGTTTCATCATATTGCCCAGGCTGGTCTCCAACTCCTGACCTCAAGTGATCCACCCACTTCGGTCTTCCAAAATGCTGGGATTACAGGTGTGAGCCACCACACTCTGCCTGCAAGTCCTTTTTAAGGGTTCTTTTAGACTATATCCAGAAAAAGTGAGTTACTAAATTTTTTTTCTAGACAGTGTCTCGCTCTGTTACCCAGGGTGGAGTGCAGTGGTACCATCACAGCTCACTGTAGCCTCAACCTCCCAGACTCAAGTCATCCTCCCACCTCAGCCTATCAAGTAACTGAGACCAAAGGCACATGCCACCATGCCCAGATAATTTTTTATTTTTTATATTTTTTGTAGAGACAGGGTCTCACTATGTTGCCCACACTGGTCTTGAACTCCTGGGCTCAAGTGATCCTCCCACCTCAGCCTCTTAAGTAGCTGAGACTATAGGTGCACATCACCATGCCCAGCTAATTTTTTATGTTTTGTACAGACAAGGTCTCCCTATGTTGTCCAGACTGGTCTTGAACTCCTGGGCTCAAGTGATCCTCCTGCCTTGCCTCACAAAGTGCCAGAATTACAGGCGTGAGCCACTGTGCCCAGCAGAGTCACTAATCTTAAATTCCTTTAAATTCTTTCATATATTTATTCATCTAATATATTGAGGAACTATTACATGCTATGATTCCTAGAAATGGGAATATTTTTTAAAAGTCCTTACCTAAGAGGAACCTTGGTAGGAGGAGACAAGTACAAATCAGTCTTTAGAAGTATGTCCAGCAGGCTGGACGCGGTGGCTCACACCTGTAATCCCAACACTTTGGGAGGCCAAGGCAGGCAGATCACAAGGTCAGGAATTCGAGACCAATCTGACCAACATGGTGAAACCCCATCTCTACTTAAAAAATACAAAAATTAGCCAAGCGTGGTGGCACATGCCTGTAATCCCAGCTACTCAGGAAGCTGAGACAGGAAAATTGCTTGAACCCAGGAGGTGGAGGTTGCAATGAGCCAAGATGGCACCACTGCACTACAGCCTTCGTGACAGGGCGAGACTCCGTCTCAAAAAAAAAAAAAGTATGGGTGCAAAAGCAGGAGGAGATTTTTTCTTTTCTTTTTTTTTTTTCTTTCGAAGTGGAGTCTTGCTCTGTCACCCAGGCTGGAGTGCAGTGGTGCGATCTCAGCCCACTGCAAACTCTGCCTCTCCCACACTCAAGTGATTCTCAAGCCTTAGCCTCCCAGTAGTTGGGATTATAGGCATGCGCCACCATGCCGAACTAGTTTTTGTATTTTTAATAGAGATGGGGTTTCACCATGTTGGCCAGACTGGTCTCGAACTCCCAACCTCAGGTGATCCCTAAGTGCTGGGATTACAGGTGTGAGCCACCGTGCCTGGCCTGGAGGAGTCATTTTTACCTAAGAGGTTAGGAATGTTGCGATGGAGAAGGTAACTACACTGCTCCTGCCTTGAGAAGTTCAGCACTACTTATAAAGATGATTCTCTTTGCAGCATCTCTTTGAGCTCTTTTTCCAGTAGATCTCTTTCTCTCTCTCTCTCACGCATACGCACGTGCACACGCACACACACACACACACCCTTTCTGTGAGAAATAACATGCACTTGCAATCGGTCTAGTTGGACTAGGGAGGGCAGTCTACCATCACAAAGTGCAGGTAGCTCACTCTAAAGCCAAACAATCTCAATCTACTTCTGTAAAAAGCAGTCATCCTATGTCAGCTCACTGGTTTAGTGGCCGTGGAAAGGAGAGCTTTAGACAAAATAATATAAAGGAAATGGTGTGATTAAGTCTATTTAGACATATGGTCCATAAATTAAAACTGGAAAGCACTTGAAAACATTCACGTTCAACTTTCACTCCCACCAAAAAAAAAAAAAAGTTGGGGAGGAGTGGAAGTAACTCATATCACATTCACTGTTTTAATAAAAACAAAAAAATTAAAACTGATCTTAGACAGTATAGCCTTTTAGGTTATAAATACTGTCAAAAAGATGCATTGTTTGCCTAAGAGTGAAGTACTATGGAACAGAACACTTGAAAATTTTATTTCATGGAGGTCGCAGTTCCTGGAGCACACCCAAGGAAACAGGTGTTTACATACCACGATCCCTGTATTAGAGAGAGAGAGCTTGTTGCAGAGCCCACAAACATATCTGATCAAACAAGGCTACGACGACACTTGGGAGATGGGAAGGAAACAGGTGGAGGGAAGGAAGTGAGAACATGAGAATCTGGTCAGTGAGGTTTTCTCCACCTGGCCACTGCACCCAGCACCTCCCTCACTGTCATCTCCAACCAGTCTGGCCCCAGTATAATTATGTGGCAGGCAAAATCAATTGTCAGGGCTATTCTTCCTCTTTTCTTAGCCCTTGTTGAGATCTTCCCTTCCCTTCCCATCCTGTCAGGGTCTTTCAGACATCAAGAAAGGCATAGATCACTTCCCAGTCTGAGAAGTCCATCATATTTAAAAATGAAGAAATGCCAAAACAGGTTCATAAAAATGGTGGTCTATTTAAGTGCTTACATTTAATATTTTAATTGCATGATCAACTTTTGTCTGGGCTGGAGTGCAGTGGCACGATCACGGCTCACCACAGCCTTGACCTCCTGGGCTCAAGTGATCCTCCTACCTTAGCCTCCCGAGTAACTGGGACTACAGGTGCATGCCACCATGCCCAGGTAATTTTTTGTATTTTTAATAGAGATGGGGTTTTGCCATGTTGCCCAGGCTGGTCTTGAACTCCTGGGCTCAAGCAATCTGGCCACCTCAGCCTCCCAAAGTGCTGGGATTACAACGTGAGCCACCACACCTGGCCATGAACAACATCTTTTAAAACTTCTTTTTTTCCTGTGACTACATACATGGCCTTATTTGAAGATAATATTAAAGTCCAGACCCTTCATAATATAAGGCCTGAGTGAGAAGACAGGGGTTTGGGGTACAGGCAGGCCCTCAAGCTCTCTCTGCCTTCCCGCATATTAAGAACCTACCTTCAGACAAAGATCTAAGTGAAAATGACTGCTAAGGCCCCCCAAATTATCCCTTCATTAGATATTTAAGATTTAAATTGTTAACCTAAGGAATGAACTCCAATATAAAATTTCAGGCATCAGCAACTGAGAGTTCAGCCATTCTAGTATGCTTCAAATAGGAAGTACTGCCTCTATCAATTCACTGGAATTTATATATACATATAATTTTTTTTTAAATAATAAAAATAGAGCCAGGGATGGTGACTCACACCTATAATCCCAGCGCTTTGGGAGGCTGAGGTGGGAGGATTGCTTGAGCCCAGGAGTTTGAGAACAGCCTAGACTACGTAGCGAGACCCTATCTCTACGAAAAATTTTAAAAAATTAGCCATGCATGATGGCATGTACCTGTAGCCCCAGCTATTCAGGAGGCTGAGGGGAGAATTGTTTGATCCCAGAAGTCTGAGGTTACAGTGAGCTAAGATCATGCCACTGTACTCTATCCAGCCTGGGAGACAGAGCAAGACTCCATCTTTAAGAAAATTTTAAATAATAATAATTTAGAAAATAATATATGTGAAGATTTCAAAAGACTCAGGAGATAGGTGAAGAAATTTCTTTTCTATGTTAATATGAAGCATTTGGCACAGATTGTACTTTAAAACAGTAGAGATGGACGCATTCTGTGGCATATCAGTAATAGCTGATATGCTTTGCTCCTGGAGTTGCCATTTTGAGAAAGGTCAAGGATCCTCAGCCATTAGTCACCTAGACACCTGACTGAAGGCCACAAGCATAGTTACAGTTTTTAGGAGGGAGTCAGGAACACAGAGTACAATGACAAGCTTTAATCTAATTCAAGTAGCAAGTATGCAGCACCAACTCACACGGGTGTACACTGTGTGATAATATTAATACATGCTGTTCCAACCCTGTACTCCTACATTTAAAGATCCTACAGACCTCATCCACAAAGTATTCCTTTCCCTGTCCCAACTCTCTTAAAGTACAACATAATGCAAAGTGGACTTCTTGTTCTTATCAAGGCCAAACAGTGATAGTACAGGACACTGCATGAGTACACCCAAAACTAAAAATAAAACCACAAGGATGCAGCTTAAATATATACAATTTCCATTTGTCAATTATATCTCAATAAAGCTAAGGGGAAAACTGAATTTTAAAAAATAACCCACAATGAGTCATATTGAAAACATTCAAAACATTTCAAGGGAAACACCAAACCCTTTGCTAGAGGATGTATACTAGATAACAAAGCCTAAACACACACACACACCCATCATGAGCACACACACACACAAAACCCACAGGCTCACTAAATTCTCTTATTTCAGATTATTGAGATTAGGAGGGTATGCAGCCAGTTTTGACTTCAAATAAAACAGGACTCTGTCCAAGTCAATTGATAACTGAAGGGGAAGCAGCATGTTGGGAAAGAATGGGAGAGGAACAAACGTTACAGCTGCCCAAGCTATATGTTCCTCAAGTCTTGGTAAGTAGTTTATTTTAAAGATGTGTATAAGTCACAATCTTTAAATCCTTTAAAACCTGAATAACCAGTCCTGTTCTTTCTCCCTTCTTCCCTTATTCTCTTGTCAAATCTAGCGTCAGTGCAGATTCTGAGTGTGCAGAGTTCAATCAAGAACTCTGCTACCTCCTGGTCCATCAGCTCCACAGTCCTTCCTCCATCTCATACTAGGGTTGCAGCAGAAATAGACTGAGTATACAAGCAAGAGTGTCTTACAGATACTAGCAGTTTTCAAATGTATGTTGATTCTGTTGTGATGAATAAAATTTTTAAATTATCTTAAAATATTACTAAATTGGCCAGGCGTGGTGGCTAACGCCTATAATCCCAGTATTCTGGGAGGATTGACTGAACCCAGGAGTTCTAGACCCACCTGGACAACATAGTGAGATCCCATCTCTAAAAAAAAAAAAATTTTTTTTTTCTTTTAGTTAGCCAGGTATGGTAGCATGCATGCCTATAGTCCCAGGTACCTGGGAGGCTGAGATGAGAGGATCACCTGAGCCCAGGAGGCTGAGGCTGCAATGAGTTGTGATCACACAACTACATTCCAGCCTAGGTGACATAGCAAGATCCTGTCTCAAAAAATTATATAAAATAAAATAAAATATTATGAAATTCACTGTATCATTTGTTTGTTTGTTTGAAATAGAGTCTCACTTTGTCACTCAGACTAGGGTGCAGTGACATGATCTCCACTCACTGCAATCTCTGCCTCCCAGGTTCAAGCCATTCTCCCACCTCAGCCTCCCAAGTAGCTGGGACTACAGGCACTCCTCACCATGCCCAGCTAATTTCTGTATTTTTAGTAGAGACGGGTTTCCACCATGTTAGCCAGACTGGTCTTGAACTCCTGACCTCAAGTGATCTGCCCACCTTAGCCTCCCAAAAGGCTGGGATTACAGGTGTGAGCCATCGCACCCGGCCTGTATCTTTTTGTTTTTATGCATTTCTTAATCAAGAAATAATTTAAAATCTCACTATTATTATTTTGTTGTTGGTTTTTCTGTTTTTGTTTTTTTTTGAGACATAGTCTTGCTCTGTCACCCAGGCTGAAGTGCAATGGCGTGATCTCAGCTCACTGCAACCTCCACCTCCCAGGCTCAAGCAGTTCTCCTGCCTCAGTCACCCGAGTAGCTGGGCCTACAGGTGTGCAGCATCACGCCCAGCTAATTTTTGTATTTTTGGTAGAGACGGGATTTCACCATGTTGGCTACACTGGTCTTGAACTCCTGGCCTCAAGTAATCCTCCTGCCCTGGCCTCCCGAAGTGCTAGGATTAAAGGCGTGAGCCACCACGCCCAGCCTAAAATTTCACTATTATTACTTAAAGGTCCTTATGCTGAAAAAAAGTAGGCAATCACTGTTCTACAGTAGAATGTAATAAAAGAGTTACAGGCGTGGCAACCTAAACACAAAATGAAGTGATAGATACAATAAGAGGATATTTTTCACTTATGAAGAAAACTGGCAAAAACTAGGATGTAGATTAAAAGAAGAAGAACACAGTCTGGAGAAACAAGCCAACAGCAGGCTAACGTCTATCAACAGTCATTCTAAAAAAAGATAATTAGCAACAAATAATTAACAGAATTCAGAACCCAGAAGAATCACAAACTTGTAACCACCTAACAATATTGCTTTGAAATATGTAGAGCTAACACTGACAATTATAAGAAAAACAGACAGGTCTACAATTAGTATAGGAGATTTTTAACATATATCAATCATAAGCTGATAGTTGAAACAGACAAATTAGGCTATAAAAAATTGGACTAGTAATATTTATATACTGACCTAATTAGTATAAATAGAACTCTATACCCAAGCAAAAGAGAATATACTTTCTTTTCAAGCACACATAAAAACTCACTAGAACTGAGCTGTATGTAACAAAAGAATTTCCAAGAATTGATATCATACCAACCATGTCTTTGGGTACAATACAATTATATTAGAAATATAACAAAAGATATTAAAAAGAATTTTGAAAACTTTAAAAAATAATTTTAAAGAATTTTTAAATTCTCTAATTTAAAAATTAAAGTGGTACATGCCTGTAGTCCCAGCACTTTGGGAGGTGGAGGTGAGTGGATCACCTGAGGTCAGGAGTTCGAGACCAGTCTTACCAACATAGTGAAACCCTGTCTCTACTAAAAATATAAAAATTAGCCAGGCATGGTGGCGGGCACCTGTAATCCCAGCCACTTGGGAGGCTGAGGCAGGAGAATCGCTTGAACCCGGGAGGGAGAGGTTGCAGTGAGCCGAGATCATGTCATTGCACTACAGCCCAGGTGACAAAGCAAGACGCTATCTCAAAAAAGAAAAAAGAAAAGAAAGATTGAACATAAAGACTGAAATATTAAAAATAAGGTATTCAAATAATAAACTTGAGAAAAGTAAATAATAAATATGAGAAAAGAATTTAATGAAATAGATCTTTGTGGGAAAAGCTGGTAAGACAGATAAATCTCTAATAAGAGCGATAAGAAAAAAAGACAAAAGGCAGAAATAAGCAATACTGAATAGGAAATGTGATATAACTAGATACAACAGAGATTTTTAAAAGAATAATTATTATGAATTTTATGCTAATAAATTGGAAGGTTGGATAAAATTGGTAATTTCTTAGAAAAGTATCAGACTACCAAAGTTGACTCACAATGAATTTAGAACCTGATTTAGATAATAAAACAAAACTGAGCGAGTTTCTTTTTAGTCATATCTCTTCCTCCCAAAGACACCACCAGATACAGGGAGTTTTAGATGCAAGTTTTGCCAAACTTTCAAGAGCAGATAATCTTTATCTTACATAACCTGTTTCAAAAACTAGAAAAAGACCTTATTTTATGAAGCTAAAATAACTTTGATACCCAAACTAGAAAAGAACATAAAAAGAAAAGAAAATTACAGATAAAGGTCCCTCATGAGCAAAAATGCAAAATCCTTTTAAAATATTAGCAAATTAAATTCAGCACTATATATATATATATATATATTTTTTTTTTTCATCACAGCCAGGTAGGGTTTATCCTAGAAATGCAAGAATGGTTCATTATCAGCAAATCTATATTCATGTAGTAAACCATAGACTATCTCAACAGAGTAAAGGATAAAAATTGTGTAATCCACTCAACAGATACAGAAAGAAAGGGCATTAAATAAAAACAAGTAATCATGGTCCAATTCAAAAAAAAAAAAGTCTTACTACAGAAGACTACAAATTAGATAAAAAATATCTCTGAGAAAAGCTTAAAAAGTAACTGAAGGGCCAAGCACGGTGGCTCACGCCTGTAATTTCAGCACTTTGGTAGGCCAAGGTGAGCAGATCACCTGCGCTCAGGAGTTTGAGACCACCCTGGGCAAAATGGTGAAACCCCCTCTCTACCAAAATACAAAAAATCAGCTGGGAGTAGTGGTGCACACCTGTAGTCCCAGCTACTTGCGGGGCTGAGGCATGAGAATCGCTTGAGCCCTAGAGGGGGAGGTTGCAGTGAGCTGAGATCACGCTACTGCACTCCAACTTGTGCTACAGAGTGAGACTCCGTCTCAAAAAAAAAAAAAAAAAAAACTAACTGAAGAATTGAATCATTTATTTGGAGAAAATTATTAAGAAACAAAAATTAAGAAGCTATAGAAGAAAAAAAAAGAAGCTATAGAAGGGAGCTAATATGTAATTGAAGTAGGAGTCAGTACTCAATTCCAGAGGCAGGGCGTGGACACTGGACCACATAGAGGACTAGCTAAAGCAGGTCCAGGGTAAAAGCACCTCCCCATAAGACACACCCACCAGGGTGATAGGTCACCTTACCATTGCCACGGCAACACCCAGACGTTACTGCCCCTTTCCATGGCAACAACTGAACAACCTAGTAGCCACCACTTGCATTCTAGAAATTTCTGCACAAATCACCCCTTAATTAGAATATAATTAAAAGTGGGTATAAATATGAATGCAGAACTGCCTCTGAGCTGCTACTCTGGGCACGCTGCCTCTAGGGTAGCCCTGCTCCGCCAGCAGAAATGCCTCTGCTGCTGCTGCTGCTGCTGCTGTACACTGCTGCTTCAATAAAAGTTGCTAACACCACTGGCTAGCTCTTGAATTCTTTCCTAGGAAAAGCCAAGAACCCTCTTGGGATAAACCTCAGTTTTGGGGTTTGCCTGTCCTGCAACATAATCACCAAATGTTTCTTTTTGTTTGTTTTAGGTATTTTCACATATATCATTTCACTCATTTAAACCTCACAATAACTATTATGTTAGAAGAAGAGACTATTGTAAAGAAGAATGAGAAAGTACCTTAGCATACTGGAATGAGCATACTTGGAATCAAACAGTTCAGGGTTAGAATCCTACCTCTGCCATGTATGAACTGAGTAACTTTCAACACCTTACTGAGCTTCTCTTCATCTGAAAAATGAAGTGGACTAAATAACACAACTTAAAATACCCAGCTCATACAAGGTATTTAAGAAATTGAGCAGAGCTCAAGACCAGGCTGGCCAACATGCTGAAATCCCATCTCTACTAAAAATACAAAAATTAGCTGGGCGTGGTGGTGCGTGCCTGTAGTCCCAGCTACTCGGGAAGCTGAGGCGGGAGAATTGCTTGAACCCAGGAGGCAGCGGTTGCAGTGAGCCGAGATCACACCACTGCACTCCAGCCTGGATGACAGAGCAAGACTCCGTCTAAAACAAAAAACAAACAAACAAACAAACAAAAAACAGTAGTGATAGGCCAGCATTTTGGGAGGCTGAGGCAAATGGATCACTTGAGGCCAGGAGTTCGAGACCAGCCTGGCCAACATGGTGTAACCCATCTCTACTAAAAATGCAAAAATTGACCAGGCATGGTGGCATATGCCTGTAATCCCAGCTACTCGGGAGGCTGAGTCAGGAGAATCTCTTGAACCTGGGAGGTGGAGGTTGCAATGAGCTGAGATGGTGCCATTGCACTCCAGCCTGGGTAGCAGAGCGAGATTCCATCTCAAAAAAAAAAAAAAAAAAAAAAAAATACAGTAGTACTAAATTATGCTTAATGTGGCAAGTCCAAAGGTGAACTATTTAAAGTTTGAGTGCTTGCTCTAGGTCAAAAATGCAGCAAGGCAGTGGGCAGAGGTCAATGATTACATCACAGAACTTGGGCATCCACATTAAGAGACAAAAATCTTCTAATACTGTAGCAGTGGAAAGGACCACAAAACTCAGGACACACACACACACAAATCACACATTAGCCCCAGGCAAACAAAAGGTATTAAGTGATATGATTAAGTAATTAATTGTTAAAAAAAGATATTCTGGGCACTTTCACCCACAAGTGTGTTTAAAAATACAAATTTCATCACAAATTATTTTGAGTGTTCAAGATCACAAGCAAAGAAAAAGCTACAAGGCCTGATGACCTAAAAATGTGACATCATTACTTTAGGTCAAAAGAGATCTAAATTAAGTATAAAGCATATTTTAATCCTTCTCAAATTTCTTCTTTGTGCATGAATATAAATTATGGTAAATTTGTATAAGTAAATACCATAACTGTTCTTAACTAATAAAGTTTAAGGGTTAAAACAAAGAATTCCCAAGAAATGTGAATAATGGCAATCATGTAGCAGTAGTACATCCTTTCACATGGTATTTTGGGAACATTCTTTTATTCAATAAGCCTAGACATTACAGTATGCTTCAAAAATAGTCCAAGCTGGTGAACCAATCCAAGTTTTGACTTCAAGCAGACTGTCAGAGCAGCACTAAGGCAGAAAGTGACAACACTGTCCAGTTCGAAATGAAAGCTGTCATTTGCCTGCCAACAGATAATGTACACCATGCCCTTTTCAAGTTCATATCACAAGACCACCTCAGAAGTGATGCTTTTTGATCCATTCAGTTCTGAACATCCTTGGATCAGGTCCAAGAATTGCCTTCCTTATTCATTTCTGCTCCATTGCAGAAATAAGAATGAAATTCCACTGTATACAGCAATGACAATTTTTCCAAGGCAAATAAAATAGTTTGCTATAAACATTTCTCACCTATAATAAGGAATCAATCTGAAGCAAATCTACACTGACAGAAAATAAATCTGGTCAGTTTGACATCTAGCTTATTCTCTGTTACAACATTAGCACCTACTATTCCTTCTGTATTTGGTTATGAATCTTCTGGAAGATGCTTTCATATTGTCATCCTACTGCTCAGCAACTACAAAGCTTCCCTCCTGCCCAATTCTAAATTCCTTTGCCTGGCTTTCAAGGACCTTCACTATTGCCCAACCTACCTACCTAAGCTTAGTTCCTACCACCCCCACCATGTGCCCCTCTCCCCACAGGCCCTCATGACTTGGTCATGCCATTCATTGCACCTAGAGTATTTTCCTTCCTCCCTACATCTAACCATCCTCCCAAGCCCCACTTCCTACATAAACGCTCTTTCTACTATTCCTACTTATAATGAGAGAGCTCTCTCTCTGAATTCCTATCATAAAGTCAGTCTGTATTATAGCTCTTTAATTGGAAACGTCTTAAAATATTTCTTTTTTACAAAATTTCTCTGCAGTAGTGTTTCCACTTTTGCTCTGCCATCATATATAGAAAAATAAAACTCAAGTTTATGGCATATCCCCATGGGTCTACTTGGGATTATGCATAATTCCCAGCCACAATAGCTGTAGTTCCACTATTTTATCTCCCATTAAAGAAAACATAATAACAAGCATATTATACTTCAATGAAAGTTTAAAAAAAAACATAATGAGAAGGAATGAGAGGGATATTATTATACACGTGAACTTAAATATGCTCAATTAAGTTTTTGTTTGTTTGTTTGTTTGTTTGTTTTTTTGAGATGGAGTCTCGCTCTGTCGCCCAGGCTGGAGTGCAGTGGCGCAATCTCAGCTCACTGCAAACTCCGCCTCCTGGGTTCACGCATTCTCCTGCCTCAGCCTCCTGAGTAGCTGGGACTACTGGTGCCTGCCACCACGTCCGGCTAATTTTTTGTATTTTTAGTAGAGACGGGGTTTCACCGTGGTCTCGATCTCCTGACCTCACAATCCCCCCGCCTCGGCCTCCCAAAGTGCTGGGATTACAGGCATGAGCCACCACGCCTGACCTCTCAATTAATTTTTTCTTTTAAAGCAAAGCATTAGTATCCTCTGGCACTTTATTACTGTTAATATATTATTTGCAATATATCTCACAAGTGACTATTCATTACACACTGGTAGGAACTACTATTCTATAAACAGCACTCAGCATGCTAGGCACATAGAAGGCAATCAGTAAATAATTAACCAAGGAGCATGTCTAGCCCATTAATCAATTATATATAAAACATTACTGCCACAGCAGTCTGATGATGATGATGACGAAGAAGAAAATGACAACTGACAGTGATACAAAATGTAAACATGGAGTACAGTAGCTGACTCCCCTGCTGACAGTCTCAAAAGGAACAAATGATTTCTTTTCTTTTTTTTTTTTTTTTGAGACAGAGTTTCGCTCTTGCCCAGGCTGGAATGCATGGCATGATCTCGGCTCACTGCAACCTCCACCACCTGGGTTCAAGTGATTCTCCTACCTCAGCCTCCCAAGTAGCTGGGATTACAGGTATGTGCCACCACGCCCGGCTAGTTTTGAATTTTTAGTAGAGATGGGGTTTCACCATGTTGGCCAGGCTGGTTTTGAACTCTTGACCTCAAGTGATCCACCTGCCTCAGCCTCCCAAAGTGCTGGGATTATAGGCGTGAGCTAGCGCACCCAGCCAGGAACAAATGATTTCTTATAGGGTTATAAGGTTAGTCTAACCAACATTTTAACAATACAGCATAGCTGCTGCACTCCTGAAGTTTATGACAATCTGGGCAGTTTCGATGGCAATCACCATGCAACCCTACACCTCTTATGCAACACTGTGGCTATTATTGCAGTCTTGGGTAAAATTAGTAAATTGTGAGCTCTATCTGCCAGTGCAGCCAGGGATCAAATAACTTTAGCTCCACCCAAGAGAAAGGCTGTGACCATGCAAATCTTGTTCTATATTAAAATGGCTCTCACTTTTACAGTAAGGAATTGCCTGAGCACTGGAAGTTCCTCATCGACAATTGTATCATTTTAAATGTATTAAACCCATTTTTCCATATGCCCTAATTGCCAATCACACAAATAGCCTATGATAGGATCTTGAGATCCCCAAATCCTAAAAGTATCATATCTTTCCCTGAAAAATCTTTAAATATATATCAGATAGCTTAGGTATAAATCTATCTACAGGCCAAGTATCTTCTGTTTTCTCTAGCCTTGACATCTTAACATTCTAGGAGTACAGACTGATCTAACAATAAATGTTTAAATATTTTAGCCTTTAGTGTTGCTTAAGCAGTCACTTGAGAAGTCCTTGCAAAAGTAGACTACAGAGGAAGTTTCAGTCGGTCATGCCCTAGAAATTTCTAAACATCAACCAAGCAGCTCAAAAGAATGTCCTACTCAATAGTTCCAAGGATGTCATTAATTGCTTCCATCTGTTTCCCCCTTCTCTGTCCCTGTCTTTTCCAAGTCAAGGCATCTACTATTTTCTGCTTCATTTTGCATTCTATAGAAAAACAAGAAAAGCAAACATAAAAATCCATCACGGTTTGTTTTATTTTGTTTTGTTTTACACAGGGTCTCACTCTGTCACCCAGGCTGGAGTGCAGTGGCATAATGACAGCTCACTGCAGCCTCGACCTCCTGGGCTTAAGCAATCCTCCCACCTCGGCCTCCCAAAGTGCTGGGATTACAGGCGTGAGCCACCATGCCCAGCGATCAATGATTTTTTAATTCTGTCATGTCTTCCACATTTATTGGTTAGAATTCACCTTACAACTAGGGCTATTGGGCTACTCTAAAAATTTTGTACAGGAAAGGCAAGATAAATGCTTAATTTCCTTTAAATTACCAATTATTAGAGTAAGGGGTTGATGCCCTAGTTACCACACAGGGTGATCAGTAAAGTTTTATTTTGTTTTAAAGTGACCAAATTTTTTGAAATTTTTATCACAACTAGGGTGTGCTCATTTTTAATTTTTCTAAGTCCCCAAAGAAGTCTGTGAAAGCACATAGCATATTTCAGAATATGTCTCTGGGGATAAGCAAAAATAAGTTTCCTGACAAAATCCACTTACCAATCAAATCATATTCATAGACTAGAATGTCAGGGTTGGAAGCAATTGTTTGTAAGGTCTTCTAGTCCAACTACCTACCCGATAGTGAAACCTGTACTCACTCATTCCCCGTGCTCTGTATCTTCCAAGGGGTGAGGGGCAACCTGCTACAAGCTAGAGCTATGTTTTTAATGTAAGGTAAATGCAAGTTTAATTATAATATGTTTAGTTGACAGCATAAGATTCCTCTTAATATTACCAGGCTAAGGCCGGGGCACAGTGGCTCATGCCGGTACTCCCAACACTTTGGGAGGCCAATGCAGGAGGATTGCTTGAGCCCAGGAATTCAAGACCAGCCTGGGCAACAGGGAGACCTTACCTCTACAAATGATTTAAAAATTGTCCGGGCATAGTGGCACACACCTGTAGTCCCAGCGACTCGGGGTGAGGCAAGAGGATCACTTAAGTCTGGGCAATTGAGGCTGCAGTGAGCCATGATCGCACCACTGCACTTCAACCTGGGTGACAGAGTGAGAGCCTGTCTCAAAAATATATATATATTACCAGGCTGATCGGATGGCATGTAAACAAAATAGGCTCATGTTGATCAGAGCTCGAAGAAACCTTGAGATCACCAAGTCCAATGAAGGTAGGACAAAAAAGATACTCCCACAAAACAGGCTGTACAAAAAAACAGATGCTTCTAGCACCTTACTTCCTGACACATGAAGACATTTTATGGAATTAACAGAAACACAGTTGCATAAAGCACCCACTCAGGTAGAAATAAGAAGATTTCAATATGGGTGAGAATTTTACATCTGTTCAATGAAAATAATAGAACATAAGGAGGATAAAAATAAAGGAACACTTTTAGCTTTATTTAAAGTTGTGATATTTAACATACATAGAGAAAATAAACATATGTATAATATAATGCATAAATATAAAACAACCGCCCATGTAACTCATCACTTAAATCAAAAATAGAACATTATTACCACTTTTAGATGCCCCTGTGTACCTCTTCCTGAGTATAGACCTCTTCCTCCCTCCCAGAGGTAGGACTACCCTGGCTGTGGTGACCATTATTACTTACTCATCTTCATCTTTTTACCATATAAATAGGCATGTCTAAACAACATAGTTTATTTCTGCATGTTTTTGAACTTTTTTTTTTTTTTTTTTGAGACAGAGTCTCACTCTGTCACCCAGACTGGAGTACAGTGGCTTGATCTTGGCTCACTGCAACCTCCGCCACCCGGATTCAAGTGATTCTCCCGCCTCAGCCTCCCAAGTAGCTGGGATTACAAGTGTGAGCCACCACGCCTGGCTAATTTTTATATTGTTAGTACAGATAGGGTTTCACCATGTTGGCCAGGCTGATCTCGAACTCCTGACCTCAAGTGATCCACCTGCCTTGGTCTCCCAAAGTACTGGGATTACAGGTGTGAGTCACCACACCTGGCCATTTTTGAACTTTAAATAAGTGGAACCTACATATCTATCTATCTATCTATCTATCTATCTATCTATCTATCTATCCGTCTCTCTGTCTCTCTGTTTTTCATTTCCCTCAATTATTTTTGAGATTCATTCATTTCTCTTTTTTTGTCTTTTTATTTATTTATTTATTTTTAGATACAGGGTTTCACCCTGTCACCCAGGCTGGAGTGCAGTGGTGCAGTCACAGCTCACTGCAGCCTTAACTTCCCCAGCTCAGGTGATCCTCCCACTTCAGCCTCCTGGGTGGCTGGGACTATCGGCTCACACCACCACACGGAGCTAATGTTTTGTAGAGATGAGTTTTCACCATGTTGCCCAGGCTGGTCTCAAACTCCTAGGCTCAAGTGATCTTCCCTCCTCGGCCTCCCAAAGTGCTGGGATTACAGGTGTGAGCCACTGCACCTGGCCTCATTGTTTTTTTCAATTGAAATGAAACTCATATAGCATAAAATTAACCATTTTTAAGTGAAAATTCCTCACTCCTTTTCATTACTGATTAATATTACAATTTCTGATTACACCATGATTATTTTATCCATTCTACTCTAGATAGACCAGTGGGGTCATCATGAACAATGCTGATAGAAATGTTTTTTATATGGATGCTGGTGTGCATGTGGACGAGTATCTTTAGGGAACATACCCGACAGTGGAACTGCTTATCTTCTACTTTACTGATGTCATGTTGTTTTCCAAAGTGGCTGCAGCAATTTACATTCCCAACAGCAGTGTAAGAACATTCCAGTTGCTCCACATCTTATCAACAACTAATATTATCAGGGTTCTTAATTTGGGGTGTATAATAAAATAATTTGCACTTCTCTGATGACTGAAATAAAATATTTATTGGCCACTTAAATTTCCTCTTTTGAGGTGCCTATTCAAGTCCTTCAAACACCTTTTTGGAAAGTCTTATGTTATTCTTATTGACTTCTATGAGTTCTATTTTTTTTGTCCTACACATCAGCTTTTACTTTTGCTTACAACTTGACTGCCATATAGAACAAAACCACTAATCAAAGACAATATAAGAACCTAAGAAGTTTTAAGTATTCAAAAATTAGTATGTCTGCTTGTTTTATGCAGAATAGCCCAAAAAGCCTGGAAATTATTTTTAGGAATACTAGGAGATATATAAATATAACTTAAATTTAAAATGTAACTGAAAATATGAAACAATAATTTTTTTTTTTTGAGACAGAGTCCCGCTCTGTCACCCAGACTGGAGTGCAGTGGCGTGATCTCCACTCACTGCAAGCTCCACCTCCTGAGTTCACGCCATTCTCCTGCCTCAGCCTCCCAAATAGCTGGGACTACAGGCACCCGCCACCACGCCTGGCTAATTTTTTTTATATTTTTAGTAGAGACAGGGTTTCACCATGTTAGCCAGGATGGTCTCGATCTCCTGACCTGAGGTGATCCACCCTCCTTGGCCTCCCAAAGTGCTGGGATGACAGGCATGAGCCACCACGCCCGGCCAAAACAATAATTTTTTAAAGTTTATATCTACCATTATTCCCTTATCTCCAAGCAAAGGTGCCTAGTATACAATGTAGATTCATGCATGCTATAGTCACAGTGGGTCTCTGAATACTTTTCATTTTGGAAAGAAAAACTCAAAACTCATGGTCTTATTAAAAATTATTATGTCAAAAATTGGCCAGGTACAGTGGCTCACGCCTATAATCCCAGCACTTTGGGAGGCCAAGGTGGGTGGATCACCTGAGGTCGGAAGTTCAAGACCAGCTTGGCCAACATGGTGAAACCCCATCTCTACTAAAAATACAAAGATTAGCCAGGGATGGTGGCACGCGCCTATAATCCAAGCTATTCCAGAGGCTGAGACAGGCAAATCATTTGAACCCAAGAGGCAGAGGTTGCAGTGAGCTGACATCGCACCATTGCACTCCAAACTGGGTGACGAGGGTGAAACTCCGTCTCAAAAAAAAAAAATTATTATGTCAAAAATGCCTAATATCAAAAACTAAAATGAACAGTTTTTTTAAAAAAGTTAGAAGACAAAAAAGTTGAAATTTCAATTGTAAACAAAAGTTTTATACCAAAAAAAAGTTGTTACTGAAATCAGCTACTTTTTCTTCCTAACAAGAGTATTATTCTGCTTAGCAACAGAAGAATATTTCAATTACTCACTTAATAAATGCTGGTGGCATATCTCTCTTCAAAATCTGATCCTCAGTGGTTTGAACAGTCTCTTTTCCAACCTACAAGAGGAAAAAAAATCATAATTCAAATATAAATTCTCAGACTTTAAAAAACTATTACTTAAGCATATTTGAAACATATACTTAAACATAATCTATCATTAAAGTTTCTAGATTTAAGGGAGATTTCTGGATTTAAAAAATTTTTTAGGATTACTCACATAATATGCCTTCACAATATACTAGAATAACAATATGGAATACAAACATAATGTTGTATTACTCCTTCTTCAGAATAACTAATTTGAAAGCATTACTGAGCATAATAGGAGAAATTCATCATTGAGAATATAAGTGTGTGTATTTAAGCCAAAAAACTAGGCCACATCTCTAAAATGTTACATGAAGTACATGAATCAAGTTAGACAGACAAAACTATCTATACAGAAAAAAACGAAGTTATTGGAACTGGGAAAAATATTTGAAGCTATTATGATTCTGACACTAGAAACCAAACATGAAAATATGCAACTTCACTAGTAATCAAAAAAACTGAAATTAAAACAATATGATATTTTTCCCTAATTATAGTGCGAGTTAAAAAGAAAGAATATATAATGCTGAATGCAACAATGGAATAGGTAGTTTTACACCCTGCAGGTGGTGATATAAACTGACATATTCTCTTTGGAAAATCACTTGCTAGAATTTGTTAGCGGACATAAAAAAAGTCATACCTGGGAATTCCACTTATGAGAATATACCTTATAAGCAGTAATGCCAAATGTGATAATAAAAACAATATTCACAAAAGTATTCACTAAGATGACAGTTATAAAAGCTAAAACACTTCATAAATAACTCCTCCAACAAAGAGGAATAGTTAAGTAAATTAAGATATATCGTTAGGTTGAGTACTATGTGGGCCATTAAAACAATGGTTATAAAAACTTGGCATTATAGGAAAATGTTTATGACATTATATTTCACTTAAAAGAAGAAATATACATTATGAGTACAACACCAAAAAAAATCCACATGTATAAATAAAGCAACAACACCGAAAGAACATTTTTAAAATATTCTACTGGTTGTACTAATGCTTAGGAAATTGAATGAATTTGTATCTGCGTTTCCTATTTTCTAATTTCCTGAAATGTAAATTTTAAAGTAATTTTTGTAATTTAAAAACACAAAAATGTTACTGTAAGTTGTTTTGTTATTTTTTGTTTGTGTTTTTGAAATAGAGTCTCACTCTGTTGCCCAGGCTGAAGTGCAGAGACGCAGTCTCAGCTCACTGAAACCTTGGCCTCCCAGGTTCAAGTGATTCTCATGCCTCAGCTTCCCAAGTAGCTGGGACTACAGGCATGTGCCACCACACCCAGCTAATCTTTTTTTTTTTTTTGGATTTTTAGTAGAGATGGGGTTTCACCATGTTGGCCAGGCTGGTCTCGAACTCCTGACCTCAAGTGATCCACCCACCTTGCCTCCCAAAGTGCTGGGATTACAGGCATGAGCCACCACTCCCAGCCTAAGTTATTTAGTTGTAATTATTTCCTACCTAATAATCTCAGTACACAATTATCTGTCATTTTATATAGATCTTCCAAATAGTAATGGTCAGAAATTTTTTAAATTATCAAAATATTAAATGTCACACTACCAAATTATGTGTGTATTATACCACTAATCATACACATATTCACTTTCTTCAAAATTATCTCTATGCAGGTCTTGAATGTCAATTTTTCTTCCACTATATTCATGTATTATAAAATATAAGAGTAAACTTTAATATAGTAAATGGTGAAATTCACCCATTTTAACAATATAAAGCCACCTAAGAGTACTAAATCATATTTATAAACCATATTTTAATGTAGAAATCTGTGAAATTAAAAAAACCCAGAATGGAAAATATGTCAGTCCTACTATTTAACCATTTAACTTTTGATTGAGTTTAAAGGAAAAAAAAATGGAGTAAGAAAAATCCTGGCTGGCACAGTGGTGCACACTTATCATTCCCAGCACTTTGGGAGACCAAGGTGAGAGAATTACTTGAAACCAGGAGTTTGGGACCAGCCTGGGCAACATAGTGAGACCTTGTCTCTACACAAAATTAGTCGGGTGTGGTGGCTCACACCTATGGTCCCAGCTGCTTGGGAGGCTGAGGTGGAAGGATCACTTAAGCCCAGGAGGTCAAGGCTGTGGTGAGCAGTGTTTTACACCACTGCACTCCAGCCTGGACAACAGGGCAAGACCCTGTCTCAAAAAATCTCTAAATGCTCAGTAAATCAGCTAAAGAAAATAACACAATAAACTATTCTCAGGGAATATAAGTCATGCATAAATTATGAATACAAGTTTTTTCTTTCAAGTTAATAGCTAGAAAAAGCAACACATATCTACCACTGTGTAATAGCCAATGCTTTTATAGACAATAGACTGTCTGTATCATAATAAAAGGCTTTTAAATCAGCAGCTGGTTCTCTAGAGTTTCTCAGCTCAAAACATGACAGAATATTTCCAGATGTATTGTTCACTATGTTTTCCAACTGAAACTAACCATTCAAAAAGCTATGGCCATGATTTCATGAAGTAAAAGATGAAGTTCAGCCACAAAGTCACTAGTTCACATTCAGTATAAAGGGCCTAGAAAGATATTCACATTTAAGACACAGAGAGATTCCTTTTATATATGTGGGGGGAAGGAGGGACACAGACACAGAGAGCAAGCGTGGGAGGGAGAACTAGGTGAGTTCCTCTTATATTTCCTTTAGAAAATAGTAAGTTATTCAGTGTTATTAAACATTGCTTTTAGCACAACAACATGAGCCAGGTACTGTTTAGGTAGTAGAGATGGAGTAGAGAATAAAAAAAAGTTTCCTGCCTTCACGGAACTTACAGTCTAGTAGGGAGAGACAGAGAGTCAAGTAAATAAACAAGTATGATTCCAGATAATGGTAAGAATGATGCTATAATAAAGAGTACGGGCTGGAAACAAAGGAGCTTACTTTGGAAAGAGTAGACAAAGAAGCAAAATTGGAGCTGAGACTTTGAAACTAAGAAGGAGTCACTCATGAAAGAGCTAGGCAAGAACAATCTAGGGGGAGCAGCCAGAAAAAGGCCCTAATGCAGGAAAAGATTGGGTGTATTTTAGGAACTGGAAAGAGGCCAGAGTGGCTGAACCTCAGGGAGGGAGGGAAGTATGGTGTGGTAATGAGGCTGGGTAAGAAGGCAAGGGCCAGATCATAAAGAGCCTTTTAGGCCAGCTTGAAATATTTGGAATCGTTTATCAGTACAATAGGAGGCAGGAGTTCTAAACAAGAGATTAATCTGACTTTTTCTTTTCTTTTCTTTTCTTTTCTTTTTTAAGAGACATGATCTGGCCCCATATCCCAGACTTGAGTGCAGTGGTGCAATCATAGCTCAAGTGATTCAGGGCTCAAGTGATCCTCCGTCCGGAGCAGCTAGGACTCCAGGCATGAGACACCACGCCTAGCTAATTTTTTTTTTTTATTTTGTAGAGATGGGGTCTCACTATGTTTCCCAGGCTGGTCTCAAACTCCCATGCTCAAGCGATCCTCCTGCCTTTGCCTACCTAACTGCTGGGATTACAGTCATGAGCCACCACGCCTGGCCTGATTTTCTTTTTAAAAGGTCATTTTGCCTATTTTTAGGTGGTGAGGGGAGAGCAGGGTAACCAGTATCACTCTCCTAGATGATTGCAGGGAGGCTACTGCAGTCAGCCGGGAGAGTGATAGTAGTGACTTAAGGTTTCACTACTTAAGTAGTGAAAACAGAAATGGAGAAAAGAATAGAATTGTGTTACCTTTTTACGGAAGAAATATTATTAGGACTTGCTCTTGGACTGGGTGGGGTGGGGTGGGGGATGAAGACTAGACTGAGGTAAAGAAATAAAAACCACGTGGCCGGGCGTGGTGGCTCATGCCTATAAATCCCAGCACTTTGGGAGGCCGAGGAGAGCAGATCACCTGAGGTCAGGAGTTCGCGACCAGCCTGGCCAACATGGCGAAACCCTGTCTCTACTAAAAATACAAAAATTAGCTGGGCGTGGTGGCGGATGCCTATAATCCCAGCTACTCCGGAGGCTGAGGCAAGAGAATCGCTTGAACCTGGGAGGCGGAGGTTGCAGTGAGCCAAGATCGCGCCACTGTACTCCAGCCTGGGTGACAAGAGCAAAACACCGTCTCAAAAAAAGGAAAAAATAAAAAAAAAAATCACTTCTAAATCAATGAAATAAAAAGCCTTCAAAGGTAGCAATGCTAGAAGGCTGATATATGGCAAACAGTTATTATCCAAAGATAAAGCAATCATGGCTACACCAGGCAAAAACATTAAAACAGTTTTGTAAATAGCATATATTCTGACCTCAGTAGAGGTAATTACTAAAAACTGAATGGCATGTAATTAATTGATGCCTCTTTGTAAGAGTAGGAGTAGGTAAGGAAAGATAAATGGATAATTAAAAATATATTCAAGGGCATTTATTTAAATGCTATTTTTGAATACTTAAGTGATAAACACTAAATGTGATTTTGTTATTCTAAGCTGCATTCATACTTGAAGCAATAGTATCCATGATTGCTCAATACACTCTGGCTAGAATTAGATTAGGGACAACGAACGGCACTGTTTTTAAGGTACAACACATAAAACATGACTATATAGAATGAATGCCATTTTTTCTTGGGGAATTGATTTTTGGCAGTGCTGTCCAAATAATTTTCTTTTATGATGGAAATATTCTATTTAATCTGTGCCGCCCAATACAGTACCCATTAGCCACCTGTGAGTATTGACCACTTGGAATGTTCCCAGCATAGGCCAGGTGCAATAGCTCATGCCTGTAATCCCAGCACTTTGGAAGGTCAAGGCGGGTGGAACACCTGATATCAGGAATTCGAGACCACCCTGGCCAACATGGCGAAACCCCGTCTCTACTAAAAATACAAAAATTAGCCAGGGGTGTGGCAGGCACCTGTAATCCCAGCTACTTGGGAGGCTGAGGCAGGAAAATTGCTTGAACCTGGGAGGAGGAGGTTGCAGTGAACTGAGATCGCACCACTGCACTCCAGCCTAGGCGACAGAGCGAGACTCCGTCTCAAAAAAAAAAAAAAAAGAAAAGAAAAGAAAAAGAAACAAAGAAATGTGGCCAGTATAACTGAAGAACTGAATTTTTACCTTTATTTCATTTTAATTGCCACCTACGGCTAGTGGCTACCATATCAGGCAGCACAGATCCATGAGACCCTCACTGTATCCTAAAACTGGTCTTGTTGCTCCAGACTCTTCCAATTCATTCTTCACACAGCTACTATAACCTTCATTTATTCCTTTCCTATGTGGTCTTTTAGAAAAAAGGAGCCAGGCCTGGAAAGGAGAAGCTGCCCAGTAGAGAAGAATCAGACAGCCCAAACAAAGAGAAGAGCACAGGCAAAGAAGGTTCAGTCAGATATGCGAGTACAAGGAGGCCAGGACTAGAAAGACACGCTGGTGTGGCTTCAGCAGAGGAAATGAGGCTAGAAAGGAAAGTTCAGTTAGTTCAGGACTTTGTATGCTAAGTGAAGGCAGAGAGGATTATGTTACCTTGACCTGCCCATTTATTCAAAGATTGTCATCCTCTGTTCTAGATCTTTACAATTTAGTGTTCTATCACCAAAATAACAAGTCGAGAACTTCCAAAGAACCACTTTGTAAAGATCTACAGAAGCAGAAAGGTATGTCCTATTTGAGAACAACTGGCAAAGCCTGTCTAGGAGAACCAAAGACAAATCTTTAATTTTTAAGCCATTAACCCATTGATGACAGAAAATGCATTTTCCTGTACTCTCCTGTCACCATCAAAACAGAAAATTTCCATAGCACCCATCTTTTCCAAATAAAAATAGAGTAGAACAGTCAGCCGTGGTGGCTTACGCCTGTAATCCCAGGCGTAAGTGGGTAGATCACAAGGTCAGGAGGTGGGTAGATCACAAGGTCAGGAGATGGAGACCATCGTGGCTAACACGGTGAAACCCCGTCTCGACTAAAAATACAAAAAATTAGCCGGGCGTGGTGGCGGGCGCCTGTAGTCCCAGCTACTCGGGAGGCTGAGGCAGGAGAATGGCGCGAACCCGGGAGGCAGAGCTTGCAGTGAGCCAAGATCGGGCCACTGCACTCCAGCCTGGGTGACAGAGCGAGACTCCATCTCAAAAGAAAAAAAAAAAAGAAAAAGAAAAAAAGTAGAACAAACAAGAAAGGGATTAATTCACAAAATGTCTTTTGTTAACTAACAGGAATCTTCATAGCTGGTGGGAAAATGTTATTCTTCGAGGTCAACTTAGTATGGAGAAATATGATTCCCAATGTAGACTACAACTTTGCAAACAGGTCAGTAAGAATCAACAAATGCTTCTTTTTTACTTTTTTTTTTTTAAGATGGGGTCTTGCTATATTGCCCAGGCTGGACTCAAACTGCTGGGGTCAAGGAATCCTCCCACCTCAGCCTCCCAAGTAGCTGGGAATACGGGTGCATGCCACCACATCTGTCTGATGCCTCATTTTTTTTATGCCTTAAAATAGATCTTATTCCTTCTGAAAAAAGTCCTATGGATTAAAGGGTTAAAAAAAAACAGAGTGGCTGGGCACGGTGGCTCACGCCTGTAATCCAGCACTTTGGGAGGCCAAGGCGGGTGGATCACCTGAGATCAGAAGTTTGAGACCAGACTGGCCAACATGGTGAAACCCTGTCTCTACTAAATATATAAAAATTGGCCGGGCGTGATGGTGGGCGCCTGTAATCCCAGCTACTCGGGAGGGTGAGACAGGAGAATCACTTGAACCTGGGAGGCAGAGGTTGCAGTGAGCCGAGATCGTGCCATGGCACTCCAGCCTGGGCGACAAAAGCAAAACTCCGTCTAAAAAAAACAAAAAACAAAAACAAAAACAGAGAAAAGAACAAACAGATCTTAGTTATAGTCTAATTAGCTTTCTCTGGGTCAGTATTTAAAAACAACCCTTTTGGAGTAATCTAACTTTATAATAAATATAGTCATGTCTCTTGGTATCTATGGAGAATTGGTTCCATGACCCCCTTCAAATACCAAAACCCACAGATGCTTGTCTCTTATATAAAACAGCATAGTATTTGAATATAACTTACACACATCCTCCCACATACTTTAAATTATCTCTGGATTATTTATAATACCTAATATAATATAAATGCTATGTACATAGTTGTTATACTGTATTGTTTAGGGAATAAAGACAAGGAAAAAATCTGTACATGTTCAACACAGATGCAACTATCCTTGTTTTCTGAATATTTTCAATCCGCAGTTGGCTAAATGCAGAAGTGTGGAACCCACAGATACAGAGAGCCAACTGTACGTGTTATCCCTTCCTAACTTTATTCCATTGCCGAGAGAAACTCAGACTTGTTATTTCTATTCACTGACAAAATTATTTCTCTTTTATTTTCTTCTTCAGAGAATAGCTTTTAACTCTTGGGGCTAGATTCCATTCAATTCAATAAACAAGCAGTAAGTGCCAACTATGTGTCCACTAGGTGGTGGGAAGAGAATGAGATAAGAAATAAAACATCTTTAGATATAAACTGAAATAATGGTAGTGAATGAATAAGAGGCCTGGGGGCATTTTTAGGGGGCTTGGCAGGGAGCTCTGTTTCTTTTGAAGAGCTCTTACTTTGTTCAGTAGTTAATTTAAATATCCTTTGTTCAATATGTGACTTTAGTTCAAAATTCTATGTGAGAGGCCTTTTGTCTTCTGCTGTTGTTATTATTACTCCTTTCATCACAATCTACTCGATTTGGTTTGGTAATGTAGAGAGATTTGGTTTCTTTCCAGCAAAAAAAAAAAAAGAAAGAAAAAAAAGGTTGGCTGGTTCAAGTCACTACCTAGACTAAAAAATATGTTAATGTAGATGTCTCCCTTAGCTAGACTAAGTACAAGAAAACAGAAAGACAAAACAAAGCTGAGAAGACTTGTGTTACTTATTTGTACAATGTAAGTCGTAACTAAAGAACATTACATTAAAAATGTGGTAGGAAGATGTTCTTAATGTATTTAGACAATAGGTTGTGACCAACTGATTGTGACCAGACTTAAGAATGTGTACCCATTTGCCTGTACTTACTGTGGCTCAAATCAATGTCATGGCATAACAGTTAGCCTGATCAATCCATTATACTGAACAACCATTCTGATTGCAGCTGTGCCCAGTACCAGGCCTCAGTCATACAAGGATAATAATAATGTAAGTGACCCATCATCAGCAATGCTTTTGATTGTTTTTCTGGGGTGGTGATGAACTTGTGATCCATCCACCCCTCACTGATATCCTTTGTACATCATTCACAGATGGCCAGCCAGAGTTCAGTGTTTAAGAGGCCACATCCAGAAAAACTAAAACTCTCTAATCTACTCTGATTTCCAACTTATTCATTTAATCAAGCACTTAATGAGTACTTCCCATGTGGGAGGCACTGTGTCTGTCACTGTGTGATGGGGATACAAAAGTGAGACTCAGTCCTTGTTGTTCGTTGACAAATGCTTAAACAAATAAGGCAATGCAGTGTAATGCATGCTCTAGTAGAGTTACAACCAAGTTTCTGCTCTGCGTAGGTGAGGTACAGGAAGTTTCACAGAGGAAGAGAAACTCTAGGAAGGCAGAATAAGAGTTCTCCAGAAGTAATGGAATTCAAGGTAAAAAGGAGGGCTTTCTAGTTAATAGGGCAAGATATGGGAAAGCATGGCCAGCTCAGGAAACATAGCTGGAAAATGGGGTACTGGGTAGAGAGGAGATGTGGAGAGGACAGGAAATTGGAAAAGCAGAAAGGGGCCACATCATGGAGGGCCTTGTATGCAATGCAATAGACTTATCCTCTAAGCAATGGGGAATTATTTAATTATTCTAAGTAAAAGACATTGTTAGGTCTGCATTTCAAACAGAAAAATTCAGCAGCAAGAATGGATCAGAGCGAAGAAAACTCGGAAGACAAGTTCATTTGTGAATTCATTTATTCAATCAACAAATATTACTTACATAACATGCAATGTACCAAGCATTACAGACAGTGATGAAGAAAACACACATGGCCCCAGATCTCATGGAGCTTACAGTCTTAGTGAAAGATAAACTACAGATTAACTGTAGCAGAAGCAGCAGCAGTGTGAATGGAGATGAGAGGGCAGGTGTAAAAAAGGCAGCCACATGACACTCCATGTGGAGGGTGAGACAGAAATCTAGGATGGCTCCCAGCCCCTGGCTCAAGTGACTGGGTCAATTGGTAACATAGGAAGAAAACCAGCTCTGAGAGGGAAAGTAATTAGCACTGGGATATTCAGAGGGAGTTGTCCAATAAGCAACTGAAAAGATGGTTCCTCAGTTCACTTACCGGGACTAGAAAAATTGATTCACAAGTAACAGGCAACTCAGACGTTCTAAAAGCCATGGATAATGAATGAAATCACGACCCAACACCACCAACAGATAAGTAGCTGGTGGAAGAACAAGCTGGTGAAAAAAGCTGGAAAGAAAATATCAGAGATAGGGGCAGGGGGATCAATAGAACTCTGTCATAAAAGCCAGAAGAATTTCAGGAACAGTCAATAGTGTCAACTGCCACAGAGAGGTTAATGGTGTCGTTAAGACAGTCACAGAGTTGTGCAACCATGACAATTGATTTGTGAACATTTTCATCACTCCAGAAAGAGACCTAGTAACTATTAGCAGTCAACACCACCCCCATTTAGCCCTAACCCTTCCTCACCACCACCTAATCTTAGGTAAACACTAATCTACTTTCTCTCTACAGATTTACTTATTCTAAATATCTGATATAAATAGAATCACATAAGATGTGCTCTTTAGTGACTAGCTTCTTTCATCTGTGCTATGTATCAGTACTTCATTTCTTTTTATTGCCAAATCATATTTCATTGTATGGTTACATCACATTTTGTCCATTCATCAGTTGATGGGCACCTGAGTTGTTTTCATTTTTGGGCTATTATGAATAATGCTGCTATAAACATTAGTGTACAAGGTTTTGTATGAACATGTTTTCATTTCTCTTGGTTATAAACCTAGGTATTCAATTGCTGGGTCATATGGTATCTCTATGTTTAACCATTTGAGGAAATGCCAGACTATTTTCCAAAGAGGCTAAACCATTTAACATTCGCAGCAGCTACATGAGAGGGTTCCAACTTCTCAATATCCCTGGCAACACTTGTTATTATCTTTTTAATTACAGCCCTCCTACTGAAGCGGTATCTCATTGTGGTTTTGACCTGATGGCTAATGATGCTGAGCATCTTTTTATGGGTGTATTGACCATTTATATATCTACTTTTGAGAAATGTCTATTCAGATACCTTGCCAATATATATATATATATATATATTTTTTTTTTTGAGACCGAGACTTACTTTGTTACCCAGGCCGGAGTACAGTGGTGCAATCTGGGCTCACTGCAACCTCCGCCTCCCGGGTTCAAGCGATTCTCCTGCTTCAGCCTCCCAAGTAGCTGGGACTACAGGCATGAGCCACCATGCCTGGCTAATTTTTGTATTTTTTTGGTAGAGACAGGGTTTCATCATGTTGGCCAGGCTGGTCTCAAACTCCTGACCTCAGGTAATCTGCCTGCTTCGGCCTCCCAAAGTGCTGGGATTATAGGCATGAGCCACTGTGCCTGGCCCCTTGCCAATATTTTGAGTTATTTATCTTTTGCAAATATTTTTCCCAGTCTGTGGGTTGTCTTTCCCTTTCTTGATAGTGTCCTTTGCAGCACAAGCTTTTAATTTTGATAAAGGCCAATTTAAGACTAAAATATAGCTTGTCTTTTCCTTTTTCTTTTTTTTTTTTTTTTTTTTATTCTGAAACAGAGTCTCTGTTGCCCAGACTAGAGTGCAGTGGCATGATCACAGCTCACCACAGCCTCTACCTCTTCAGGCTCAGGTGATCCTCCCACCTCAGCCCCCTGAGTAGCTGGAAGTACAGGTGTATACAACCACACCCGGCTTTTTTTTTTTTTTTTTTTTTTTTTTTTGAGATGGAGTTTTGCTCTTGTTGCCCAGGTTGGAGTGCAATGGCGTGATCTTGGTTCACTGCAACCTCTGCCTCCCAGGTTCAAGTGATTCTCCTGCCTCAGCCTCCCAAGTAGCTGGGATTACAGGCACGCACCACCACGCCTGGCTAATTTTGTATTTTTAGCAGAGACTGGGTTTCTCCACGTTGGTCAGGCTGGTCTGGAACTCCTGACCACAGGTGATCCGCCCGCCTCGGCCTCCCAAAGTGCTGGGATTACAGGCATGAGCCACCGTGCCGGGCCACACTCGGCTAATTTTTAGTATTTTTTGTAGAGACAGGGTTTCACCATGGTGACCAGGCTGATCTCGAACTTCTGGGCTCAAGTAATCTGCCTGCGGGGCCTCCCAAAGTGCTGGGATTGCAGCCCAGCTTGTCTTCTTTTGTTGTTTGTGATTTTGGTTGCTTGTGCTTTTTTCCTGTTGTTTTGTTTTGTCTTTTGCTACTTGTGCTTTTGGTGTAACACTTAAGAAGGCTTCATCTAACCTGAGATCATGAAGATTTACTCCCATGTTTTATTCTAAGAATTTTATAGTTTTAGCTCTTATAGTTAGGTCTGTGATCCATTTGGAGTCAATTTTTGTGTATGGTATAAGAAAAGGTCGTCATTTTTTTTAAACTGGAGAAAACCAAGCATACTGATAGGCTACAGGACAAGAGGCAGGAAATAGATTTCTTCTGAAGTCAGATCCCTGAAGAGACAGGGTAAGAATCTGGAGAGAGATACAGAGACTAACCTTTACCAGGAGGAAAGCCACTCTTACCCTAGACAAGGGGGGTGGTGGGGGAAGCAAGTGGAGATGGTGACCTAACTGTAACTGTGGGGTAATGGGCTATATCTTCTTAGGAATTTACAAGGCACATTAGCATAATTGAGGATCTATGATAACCTTCAGTCAGGAAATGTGTTCAGTTTTGTTTAATCCATCATTTTCCAAATTCATGTGACCAAGAATTCCTTATTTCTTAGCACCTATTAATATATGACAGAATTAGGATTTCTAGGACATATGTAGGAAACAGTGATCTAGGCCAAGAGCTGCAAATTAGTGGATTTTGTGTAGAATTTGGGGCAAGGATGGTTTTTGTTTGGTCCACATAGTATTTTTAACCCATTTGTGCCAGAGGTTGCAATTTTTTTGTGTGAAAAATCAGACCTTGGCGATGACCTTGAGCAGTAGGATATAAATAACTCCCACAAGCTTAGCGTTCCAATAATGGAACACTATGCATAAATGAGTTGAAAATCAAGAAATTTCACAAAGATCCAAATTTCTGACATCTCTTAAATCTTAGAAGGTCTGGCAGCAATTTGGATCTGCATTCCATCAAGGAAAAACATTACTGGAACCCAAATGTCCCAAACAGCGCATTTGTACCATGTCCACACTCATAATCTTAATCCCAATTCATTTTACTCATTTATGTCACCACCTGATTCCTGTAACTGAGTTTATCATTTCTATACTAAGCAACCCTCTCAGACGGAAAAGTTCCTGAAGCCATTCTCAGAAACTCCTTATGCATAAACTCCTCTCCCAACATTTTCTTTAATAAATGTGCTCTTCTTGTAAGAGCTATGAGAAAGATTGAGAAGCATTTATGTCAGGAGTGACAAAAAATGCCAGTGTATGGGCCAAGTGCAACACACAGACTATTTTGTTTGACCTGCACAGTATTTTTTAACATGAGAAATTTCACATTAAAAAGAAACAGACTTCTGGGACTTTCTTGACAATTAGGAAGATTTGGTAACATTAGCCCCTGTTTCCATGTGACAACAGTAAGTTGAAGATGGTAGTAACTTCTTCAGTTAGGGCCGGCATTTTCCAGTTAACCACAGTTGCCATCACTCCCCAGTGCTTATAACTGGCCTGATTCACTCATTGCCTATTTGGCTCCTAAGGCATCAGAATTTGTACCACCTGATTAAACAAACAACCTTAATTAGCACAGTGCATTAGGCAAACATCTCAATATCATGAGTGTTAAGTGAAATTTTACTGAAGCCTCAGCTATTTCACTAATAAGGAAACATCCCACTCTCTCCCAAATATATATCCACATTGAAAAAATAACTGGAAGCAAACATACCATGGGAAGTAGAATTTCAGGTGATTTTTATTTTCTTCTTAATCCTTTTCTATACTTTTTCCAGAGTATTTTTTTTAAATCAACTATGTATTGCCTTCATAATCAGAAAAAAACACAAATTAAATTCTAAAATGCATCAACAATATTCTTCATAAATAAAGTCATGAGAAACCTCTAGGGCCTAAAGGTCAAAATTTTAACCAATTGCCCAAAATATTAATTTAAATGTGCATCAATGAGAACACAATCACATAGGCTAGGCAGCAGATGAACCATGTCAGTGGCAAGTTCTGATGTCAAGCAAGCTTATCTGATGCCACATAGTTTCCTTAGAACCAATGTTAAGCTTCCTTGGCAGCAGCTGTTTATTCTAACCCAATATGAGACTCAGTCTGTCAGTTAAGGCTACATAAATGTTAGCAGAGCAACCTTGCTCACCAGATCCCCATTTATGAAGATACCATGACTAAGCTTCTAATGTGCAAACACTTCATCCTCCCCCTCAACTCAAGATTCTTCTGGCCAGGCGCAGTGGCTCACGCCTGTAATCCCAGCACTTTGGGAGGCTGAGGCAGGGGGATCATGAGGTCAGAAGATCGAGACCATCCTGGCTAACACAGTGAAACCCCGTCTCTACTAAAAATACAAAAAATTAGCCGGGCATGATGGTGGGCGCCTGTAGTCCCAGCTACTAGGGAGGCTGAGGCAGGAGAATGGCATGAACCCAGGAGGCGGAGCTTGCAGTGAGCCGAGATCACGCCACTGCACTCCAGCCTGGGTGATAGAGCGAGACTCCATCTCAAAAAAAAAAAAAATTCTTCTGTATGGAGGCACGCCTGTAATCCCAGCACTTTGGGAGGCCGAAGTGGGTGGATCACTTGAGGCCAAGAGTTTGAGACCAACCTAGCCAACATGGTGAAACCCCATCTCTACTCAAAATACAAAAATCGGCTGGGCATGGTGGCACCTAGCTGTAGTCCCAACTACTCCAGGGGCCTCCCAAAATGCTGGGATTACAGGCATGAGCCACTGTGCCCAGCCTAAAGTTTCCATTTTAGTTGCAAACATACATAAGCAAATGCTATGTAACAGAACTCAAAGGTCCCACATCTCCCACCTTTTAGTCCTGACTAGTGACAGGAAATCAAGCAATAATTATGGGAAAATAAAATGAACACCTTTTACTAATAATCTCCTCTAGTTTTTCCAGTGTTCTTAGTTATTAAAAAGATTACTTGCCAGGCGCCATAGCTCACGCCTGTAATCCCAGCACTTTGGGAGGCCAAGGTGAGTGGATCACCTGAGGTCAGGAGTTCGAGACCAGCCTGGCCAACGTGGTAAAACCCCGTCTCTATTAAAAATACAAAAATTAGTTGGGCATGGTGGTGGATGCTTGTAATCCCAGCTACTTGGGAGGCTGAGGCAGGAGAATTGCTTGAACCCGGGAGGCAGAGGTTGCAGTGAGCCAAGATCACGCCATTGCACTCCAACCTGGGTGACAAGAGCGAAACCCTGTCTCAAAAAAAAAAAAAAAAAAAAGATTACTTAAGGCTGGGAGCAGTGGCTCACACCTATAATTCCAGCATTTTGGGAAGCCAAGGCTGGAAGATCACTTGAAGCCAGGAGTTTGAGACCAGCCTGGGCAACATAGCAAGACCCTGTCTCTACAAAAAATAAAAAAAATAAAAAATTAACTAGGTGTGGTGGCTCTTGCCTGTAGTCCTAGCTACTTGGGAGGGTGATCCAGGAGAATCACTTGAGCTGAGAAGATCGAGGCTGTAGTAAGCTATGATTGCACCACTGCACTCTGGCCTGGGCAACAGGGGGAGATCCTGTCTTAAAAAACAAAAACAAACAAAAAAACCCTCAGTCTTATTCCCACTAGTTATAATTAAGTAACCTTTACATATTCATAAATACCGATAAAGAGGAAAACATCACTGGATGATCTGAATATAATCTCTAGTAGATGCTTCAAGTACAAAGCAAATTCTTTTGCAAATTTGTGACTAAGGGTCTGTGACTGTTTTTTTCCCTCATAGCCATGACACATGGTGACTGGCACATAGCATATGCTCAGAAATTAAATGCCAACTGAAGTAAAATGATGAAGATTTAAGATGAAATGAAAATTTAATTTTATCATTTTCATATCTGTGCGCACATGCTCTTTAGCTCCTCAATTCCTTCAAATTCTTATACAATTCACTCAGGAAAACATTCTTTTTATCTTCATTCTTTCTTCAACACATCCATAAACTTCATTTTTTTTTTTTTTTTTTTTTTTTTGAGACAGTCTCGCTCTGTCACCCAGGCTGGAGCGCAATGGCTGCAACATCCGCCCCCCGGGTTCAAGCGATTCTCCTGCCTCAGCCTCCTGAGTAGCTGGGACTACAGGTGCCCGCCACCACACCTGGCTAATTTTTGTATTTTTAGTAGAGGCGGGGTTTCACCATGTTGGCCAGGCTAGTCTTGAACTCCTGACCTCAAATGATTCACCTACCTCGGCCTCCCAAAGTGCTGGGATTACAGGCATGACATCTATAAACTTTAATACTCTATGACTATATGAGGGTGACTAGCTGGGCTCCCACATGTCATTACAAAAAAAAAAAAATGGGTAAATATATTTAAAACGGAAAGCTAAATATTGCCAACAGAAATTAGGTCAACGCTACCACCTGTCCTATCTCTTGCATATGTAATTATTTTTTAAAAGGAAATATGTGTGAATACCATGAAAGTATCCCAGAGCCCCACCAGAATAAAAACAGTCCCCATCTTCTCCCTCACTGCCCTCTAACCGAACGTGCTTTTCTCATTCCACAGAATTTAAAATGCATCCTTATTTTTTCTTTTCTGCTTATAGCTAGAACTGCAAATGCATTTTTTTCCTTAATAGTTTCAGTTCACAAATGTGCAGAATTTCAGTTACATTATAGCTTTTGCAGATAAGCCTGGGCATGTAACCATGTAACATTGTCTCCATGGAAAAGTAACTCCAAACAACCAACTTGTAAACGAATTTTTGAAATGCAACCCATTTTCATGTTAGGAAAATGAGGTCCTACTCCTCATCTTGGAAGGTAATGGAATAGTGGAAAAAGAACTGGGGCTTTGGAATGCAGCAATCTGAATCTCACCTCACTGTGCTGTTACCAGATCTGTGTCCTCTGGCAAGTTACTTAATCTCTTTGAGCCTCAGTCTCCTTATCAGTAAAATGGAAAAAGTAACATCTCTCTCAGAGATAAATGATGTAATACATATGTAAATCACCTAGAATAGGGCCTGGTAGATAACAAGGGCTAAATAAACATTAGTCCCTTTTTCCTTCTCTGCCATTGCAATATTCGTTTGTGATTTCAGTTTTCTCCTTCAAAAAAAAAATTATTTTTCATTTAGCACATGCTGTAAGTCAGGAGCTCTTTATGATCTCATTAAATCTTTACAACTCCCCCATGCGGTGGGTTCCATTTACTATCCCATGCCACAGATGAGGAACAGAGTCACAGAGAAGTTTGTCAATTTGCCTAATATTGATGCAGAAGCTAGAAAGAAATTATTTAGGCAGTTGGTGAGGGTAAAAGAGTTCTCAGCAAGGTTTCCCTTTTAATAAAAAGCAGCCCCCAAATCATTTCTTTTCTAACAAAGACCACCCTGAAAAATCGAGCTGCAGACATAGAAAAGCATGCTAAAACTTGCATGGGTGAATGCCAGCAGCTATGCCAATAGGAAAAGGCTACCTGGGGGCCAGGCATGTTCAACATGGAGGCTCCATCTTCCCTTTTCTTTTTCAACCATGTGTACAATAAAGAAACAGGCAATATGATGCAGGCCAGGTAGAGAACCATCTGCATAATAAAACATTAGCTTCTTTGCATGCTATGTAAATGACACACCTGGTCCAACCAATCTTTTGGGCCCTATGTAAATCAGACACTGCCTCCTCAAGCTCATTTATAAAACTCCGTGCATTTCATCATGGAACTGGTAACCCATTTTTCTCCAGGATCCCTCTCTGGGCTGAGAGCTCTTCTCTTTCTTTTGCCTATTAAACTTCCACTCTTAACCTCACTCTGGTGTGTTCACATCCTTGATTTCCAGCAATGAACCTCGGGTATTACCCAAGATAAGTGACATTGCTTCAATTATCACTCAAATAGTAATGATGATCTCAGCACACCTACACTCTAATCCTAAACCTCCCTCCTCCCTCCCTCCCTCCCTTCCTTCCTCCCTCCCTCCCTCTCTCCCTCCCTGCCTCCCTTTCTCCCTCCCTTCTTTCTTTCCCCCTCCCCTCCCCTTCCCTTTCTTTTTTTTGACAGGGTTTTGCTCTGTCACCCAGGCTGGACTGCAGTGGGGCAATCTCAGCTCACTGCAACCTTGACCTTCCGAGCTCAATCAATCCTCCCACTTCAGCCTCCCGAGTAGCTGGAACTATAGACGCACACCACCACACTCAGCTAATTTTTGTATTTTCAGTAGAGGTGGGGTTTCATCATGTTGCCTAGGCTGGTCTCAAACTCCTGGCCTCAAGCAATCCTCCCACCTCCGCCTCCCAAAGTGTGAGCCACCACACCCAGCCATACTGTGTCTTTTTAAAATAAGAAGAGTGGGGCCAGGCACCATGGCTACGCCTGTATTCCCAGCATTTTGGGATGCTGAGGTGGGTGGATCACCTGAGGTCAGGAGTTTGAACCAGCCAGGCCAACATGGTGAATCCCCGTCTCTACTGAAAATACAAAAAATTAGCCAGGCATGGTGGTGCACACCTGTAATCCCAGCTAGTTGGGAGGCTGAGACAGGAGAATCGCTTGAACCCAGGAGGCAGAGGTTGCAGTGAGCTGAGATCGTGCCATGCCTGGGTGACAGAGCAAGACTTTGTCTCAAAAAAGTAATAAAATAAAATAAAATAAAATGAGAGTGGGATTCAATTATGTCTAATATTTTTGGCTGTTATATTGTGTGATTCTGTAACTCTACAGCACTATCAGATGGCAAGAAGGACAAGAAAAACTTCAAGTACACAATGGGCACATATAAACCATCAAGATGCAGTCTAACCAACTGATGTCCCATTGTCCTGGTTCTTCCCAGAAGCTGGAAGGTTTCCACAGCCAAGATCAGTTAGGCTTAACTAGGGCTTCAGCTCCTTAACTGTTATTTGCTTAGGCATGATCAGCTGAGTCAGCCTGGCCTTAAGTAACTTTTAAAATTGAACCAGTACTGACCAACACTGTAGACCCCCCATTTTTTAAATTACAGGTGTGATGAAAACTTGAAATGGTAACACAATGGCAAAAGTCTTTTTTTTTTTTTTGAGATGGAGTGTCACGTTGCTCTTGTTGCCTAGAGTGCAATGGTGCAATCTCAGCTCACTGCAACCTCTGCCTCCCGAGTTCAAGCAATTCTCCTGCCTCAGTCTCCCGAGTACCTGGTACTACAGGCGCCTGCCACCATGCCCGGCTAATTTTTGTATTTTTAGTAGAGACAGGGTTTCACCACGTTGGCCAGGCTGGTCTCGAACCCCCGACCTCAGGTGATCCTCCCACCTTGGCCTCCCAAAATGCTGGGATTACAGGCATGAGCCACTGCGCCCAGCCGGCAAAAAGTCTTTAAATGCATTTACTAACGTTGACCATTCTGCTTGCTAATTGGAGATTATTCAGTCACTTTTACAATATAGTAATTGAATTTGGCTCCAGGCCATAATAAACATTCTGACCCATTAAATTAAGGCTACAAGCAAAATCACTCTATTCCTTTGCTCAAGCTACAAACACATTTCTCACAGGCAGCCACAGGCAGAATATTATAAGTTTTATAATATTCATGTGTCAAATGGCAAGACCTCCAATTAAAATGCTCATAGAAAAGAGTAACCTTTATGATATCTGTACTTCCAAAGTTACACCTTTAGGCTTTTTTTTCTTAATGTTTTTTCCTTTTCAACTACTGCAAACACAATTTAGTGTGACTACATATGAGCTGGGCATGGACTCAGTTCTGAAGTTGCTGAAAAGTGAAAGAAGAGAACAGCTACAGCACTTCCAGAGCATGCTGGCTGAGATGTATTGATAGAAAATAAGCTGTAAACCAGCTCCAGCAATACTATTTGTGTTTGTGCCTTTTGCAGATTGTATTTCATCACTGCTCTTCATAGAACATTAATAGATTAGACACAGCCTTTGGTCTAAAACAAGAAAAAGACTTTTATAGAAATGTTAACTTCATTTCCTTTTGTTTCACTTGCTTACCAATATAAAACATCAATACTGCAGCCTAGATATTGAACAGTTGCCACGGACAACCAAACTCATTAGTAAATTAGGCTATACCATCTCAGATAACTTATTCCCAGTTAGGCAAAAGGAATAATCAGAATTAGTCAGAATTGAGAGAATTACAGTATACTAGAGAGTTCATTGGTTTATCCAGTTTGTCACTGTTTTAAGTACAGTCATACATTGCTTAATGACAGGGATATATTCTGAGAAATGTGCTTTTAGACAATTTTGTCATTGTGTGAACATCATAGAGTATACTTACACAAACCTAGACGGTATAGCCTACTACATGCCGAGGCTTTATGGCATAGCCACTGCTCCTAGGCTACAAACCTGTATAGCATGTTACTGTTCTGAATACTGTAGGCAACTGTAACACGATTGTAAGTATTGGTGTATCTAAACATAGAAAAGGTACAGTGAAAATATATTATTATCTTATGGTACCATCATCACATATGCAGCCTTTTGTTGAAACCTCATTACCCACAACTGCATTAAAGACAGTGCAGGCAAAGCACGTACACACTAAGCTACAATCCTTTTATCTTCATTCCTCAATAAATATCAAGTTCACTTCTAATGATTCATTAAAGAACAACACAAGTCTATATTTGGTTCATAAATGAAAACCATCTGAAACTAAGAGTTTAGGTGGGAGATATATAACAGCAGAGAGTCCCTGGAGATCTAGAGACAATGTGGGCCAGGCACAGTGGCTCACATCTGTAATCCCAGCACTTTGGGAGGCCGAGGCAGGTGGATCACCTGGGGTCAGGAGTTTAAGACCAGCCTGGCCAACATGGCGAAACCCCTTCTCTACTAAAAATACAAAAAAAATTTAGCCGGGTGTGGTGGCACGCACCTGTAATCCCAGCTACTAGGGAGGCTGAGGCAGGAGAATTGCTTGAACCTGGAAGGCGGAGGTTGCAGTGAGCCGAGATCGTGTCATTGCACTCCAGCCTGGGCAACAAGAACGAAACTCCGTCTCAAAAAAAAAAAAAGACATTACGGACACTGAAGTTTTATTTACTTATTTATTTATTTATTTATTTATTTATTTATTTATCTTTATTCTTATTGTATTTTATTTTTTCTTGAGACGGAGTCTCGCTCTGTCACCCAAGCTGGAGTTCAATGGCGCAATCTTGGCTCACTGCAACTGCTGCCTCCTGGGTTCAAGCAATTCTCCTGCCTTAGCCTCCGGAGTAGCTGTAACTACAGGTGCGTGCCATCATGCCCGGCTAATTTTTGTATTTTTAGTAGAGATGGGGTTTCACCATGTTGACCAGGCTGGTCTTGAACTCCTGACCTCAGGTGATCCACCCACCTCAGCCTCCCAAAGTGCTGGGATTACAGGCATGAGCCACCGTGCCTGGCCTGAAGTTTTAATTTTGAATAACTTCTTGTGTCTCAAAATATTCATCTTCTGTTTTTTTCCCAAAATATTTTTAAATGCAAACACTATTCTTAGCTCCTGGACAGTTAAAAACACAGGCTATAGTTTGCTGACTTCTGCTCTCCATAGAGAAATAATACAATCAGAAAGGGGTTAGGGATGTGATAGCCCTGAAGAGCTAGAATAAGGAATTTAAATTAATCTGGAAGACTGGGGACAAGGCATAGGTTTCTGAGCAAGAACCTTTTGAGATCAGAGCTATACTTAAGAAAGATTTACTTGGCAGTAATGGAAAGGAAGGAGAGATTAGAAGATAACAATCAGCCTAATCCAGACTGGTTGCTTTGAGGAAAAAAAGAAGAAAAAAGATGTAAAAGGAAAGATCAACGGAACATTTGTTGGAAAAAAAAAGAAGAGGAATGGTTTATTTATCTGGCAAGAATAAGTAAAAGGTTCAATCTCTAGACAAGAAGGAGAAAAAAGGAGATTTTTGCATTCTCATTCTCTAGTGCTATCATTATAGTATATAACTTCAGCAGACTAACTGAGGAATTTGCCTTTTTACAGAAGCTTTAGAACAGCCCAAGTTGGAGCTTCCAGTTCAGAGACAGAGTCTTCTGGTATATGTCAGTTGAAATGTGGCAATCATGTTTTGGTTTTACAGATGTAATAGGTATGGTAGTTCCAGAGATGGTTTATTTATTTATGGCCCTGTTTACTCCAGAGAGTTCCCAAATTAGGCAAGAGTATTCATATGGCTTACATAGATATATCATTGCCTTCGGAAGTTTTAAGTCATTCTTCTATGACTCAGAATTTTTATCTATCTTTTCTTGTTCTGACAGGGAAAAAAAAAAACTGCAGTGCTGAAAATGCAACCAATTCAACATTGAAGTCTGTAACTACTCTCATTCTACGGACTCAAATTTGGAAGCTGGGTAGGGGGGTCAGAGAAAGGAGGGGTGGAAACAGACACGAACACAATTAGTTCTAATTCATGATAACAACCATAGTCAAATATTTTAGTAACACAGCAAAGGGAGAGAGCTTCCCTTTGCTGAGCAGCCTGGGAAGAGCTTCATGAAGAGAGTGACATCTGCACTGGGCCCATTCTAATGAGAGAGGAAGGGCAACTCCAGGCAGTGGGAAGAGTACAAACAATAACGAAAAGATGGAGGGGAAATACGGAACTTATTTCTCTTATTTCCAAAGTGGCACATGTTCATTGTTAGGGTAAAAGCACAAACTATGGTCAGAAAAAGTTTTTCATTAAAACAATTATTTAACCTGAAATCCTACCATTCAATCCCGCCACCATTTTAGTATGCACTCTTCCACACATACATCATAAACAGATTACCCTACTGTTTTATCTCTCGCTCTCTTTTTTTTTTTTTTTTTTTTTGAGACAAGGTCTTGCTCTGTTGCCCAGGCCAGAATGCAGTGGGGCGATCATGGTTCACTGCAGCCTCAACCTCCAGGGCTCAAGTGACCCTTCTGCCTCAGCCTCCTGAGTAGCTGGGACTACAGGTGTGCACCACCATGCCCACCTAATTTTTGTATTTTTTGTAGAGACAGGGTTTCGCCATGTTGCCCAGGCTGCTCTCAAACTCCTGAGCTCAAGTGGTCCACCCACCTCGGTCTCCCAAGGTGTTGGGATTACAGGCATGAGCCACCAAGTGATTGACCCTGTTTTTTCTTACTAGCATAGATATCTGTCCCTCCCAGCTTGGAATACATATCAGAGTCATTAAAAAACACTGGCATTCCTGAATTCAAGCCCTTTCCTTATGCGCCATCCTTTGAGCTCTCACTTCAACTAGATTGTGTTTTCTTGCAGCATCTCTCTAGGTGGATCCATGCTACCAGCTATTGTATTTAGTTTTTCTTTTTCCAAGTGAGATCAAAAAGGTTAAGGCATGACTTCTTTCATATTCAGCTTCAATAAAATCATTGATGAGATCTTTTAGATTTAATAAGAATTCTAGGTTTTCTGCCCTGCATCTCAAAGTAAGCTCATTTGCATAATAAAAATATTTGCACTCCGACACCACCAATTACTGGCTCGGGACAAGTTACTCAAATGCTTTCAGCCTTAGTTTCCTTACCTGTAAAATAGAGATAATAACCACATAGTGCTCCCCTGAAAATAAATTAGTAATTTTTTTCTTTTTTTTTTTTTGAGACGGAGTTTCACTCTTGTTGCCCAGGTTGGAGTGCAATGTCGCGATCTCGGCGCACTGCAACCTCCAAGTCCTGGGTTCAAGCAATTCTCCAGCCTCAGCCTCCTGAGTAGCTGGGATTACAGGCGCCCGCCACCACGCCCGGCTAATTTTTGTATTTTTAGTAGAGAAAGGGTTTCACCATTTTGGCCAGGCTGGTCTCAAACTCCTGACCTCAGGTGATCTGACCATCTCAACCTCCTAAAGTGCAGGGATTAGAGGCGTGAGCCATCACACCGGGCCAATTAGTTATTTTTAAAACATTTACTTTACTGATTCATTTTCAAAATCGAGAACACTATGAATCCAAATATAAATTAAGTAATAATGAGTCTATCTCTAGAATTTATCTTTTCTTTTTCCTCCCTCTCCCTCTTGTACTCTACACATGCTGCAGATGTGTCTTTTCTCTATCTGCACTCCTACCACTGCCTGAAGGCAGCTCTTACTACCTCTTGCTTGAATGGATGGCTCTCCAACCCCAGTGTCTCACCAGCGCTCCAATCTATCTTCCTCAATACTACCAGGATTATTTTACCAAAATTTTATACATCAGCTTAAACACCTCTGTTTCGGGAGGGGAACATCACACACTGGGGCCTGTAGGGGGATGGGGGACAAGGGGAGGGAGAGCATTAGGACAAATACCTAATGCATGCGGGGCTTAAAACCTAGATGATGAGTTGATAGGTGTAGCAAACCACCATGGCACATGTATACCTATGTAACAAACCTGCATGTTCTGCATGTGTATCCCAGAACTTAAAGTAAAATAAAGTAAAAATAATAATAATACAAGATTTCTCTGTTTTCTAACATCCAATGCTTAGTATGTTCCTCTTCTAGAAATTATCCTGTAAATGTACTTGCACATACGTAAACTGACATATTTGTGTCATTCTTTGCCATGTTGTCTGAAACAGCAACAGATCACAAATAACCTTCCATAAGGGTCTAGTTTAATAAATTATCTACAACCATCAAGGGACTATTATTTAACTGTCAAAAGAAGAGAAAGTTCTGTAGATACAAGCAAGAAATGTTCCCCAAAACATGCAAAGGATGAAAAAAAAATCAAGAAACAGGACAAGACAGTATAACAGGTCTTCATTTGTATGAAAGGGGACTAGTTACTGCCAGATTGTGCACAAACTATCTCTAGAAGCATATCCAAGACATTGGGTTTCTTAAGTGCATCGGTTTCCTATGAGGAGGGAAACTGGGTGGCTGGAGTTCAAGGGGGAAAGGGAGACTTTTCACTGTATACCTTTACCTTTTAAATTTTGAACCAGGTGAATCCTATACCTATTCAAAAACTGAAGTTAGTTTTGTTTTTTTTAACTGATTTATGTCGTCTGAGTCCCTTCACAAGGGACACAATCCACCTTAACAGTCTCATTACTAAAGCTTCCCCATTCCCTAACTGCACATTCACACCCTTGTATCTTTGTATTCACTCTGCACAGAAGGTATTCCCATTTTCTCTGGCTGGCAAACTTCCTCATGCTTCAAACACTGCCTCTCTAAAGTGGAATGAACTTCCCTTCCTGCCTTACTGCCATATTATGCAAAAGGGCCTTTGGCCTGCTTTCATTCCATGTTTGCTCCTTGGCATCAGAGGCTAAGTTCACAGTCCTAGCCCAAGTCCGTCAGAAGCTTACATTCCAGCTGGGCACGGTGGCTTACACCTGTAATCCTAGCACTTTGGGAGGCCAAGGCAGGTAGATCACATGAGCCCAGGAGTTCAAGACCAGCCTGAGCAACATGGTAAAACCCCATTCTATAAAATAAAATAAAATAATACACATATATATATGTATTTATATATATATATATATATATATATCCTATATATATCCTCACATTTTACCAGATTTTTTTTTCTTTTTGAGACAGAGTCTCGCTCTGTTGCCCAGGCTAGAGGGCAGTGGCACGATCTCCAGCTCAAGCAATCCTCCCACCTCAGCCTCCCAAGTAGCTGGGACTACAGGCATACACCACCACGCCTAGTTAATTTTTATACTTTTTGTAGAGAAGGAGTTTCGTCATGTTGCCCAGGCTGGTCTCGGACTTCTACGCTCAAGCAATCTGCCTGCCTCAGCCTCCCAAAGTGCTGGGATTACAGGCATGAGCCACCTTACCCAGCCTTCACCAGATTTTAAAGGTGCCTTGCTATTCTCGCTCTGGTATTAAGCTCTTATAGTTTCTATACTCCAAGAAAAACAACAAGAACAACAAGAAATGACAATTTTAAGTATAATAAAATTGTATGTGTATAATATATACACATACACACAAAAATTAGCCAGACATGGTGGCATGCACCTGTAGTAGTCCCAGCTACTTGGGAGGCTGAGGTGGGAGGATGGCTTGAGCCTGGGAGGTTGAGGTTGTAGTGAGCTGAGATCATACCACTGCACTCCAGCCTGGGCAACAAAACCAGACCCTGTCTCAAAAAAAAAAAAAGAAAGAAAGAAAGAAAAAGCAGCAGCAGCAGCTTACACCCTTCAGAGACAGAGTTCAGGCCTCTTAAGATATTAAACATATGATGAAATAGCAGCATTATTCACAATAGCCAAAAGGTGGAAGCAATCCAAATGTCCATCAATGGATGAATGGGTAAACAAATGTGGTATGCACATACAATGGAATATAATTCAGCCTTAAAAAGGAAGGAGGCCGGGCGCGGTGGCTCACGCCTGTAATCCCAGCACTTTGGGAGGCCGAGGCGGGCGGATCACGAGGTCAGGAGATCGAGACCATCCCGGCTAAAACGGTGAAACCCCGTCTCTACTAAAAATACAAAAAATTAGCCGGGCGTAGTGGCGGGCGCCTGTAGTCCCAGCTACTTGGGAGGCTGAGGCAGGAGAATGGCGTGAACCCGGGAGGCGGAGCTTGCAGTGAGCCGAGATCCCGCCACTGCACTCCAGCCTGGGCGACAGAGCGAGACTCCGTCTCAAAAAAAAAAAAAAAAAAAGGAAGGAAATTCTGACATATGCTACAACTTGGATGAACCTTGAAGACATTATTCTAAGTGAAATAAGCCAATCACAAAAGGACAAATACTATATGATTTCACTTATATAGAGCATATCATATACTATATGTTATACAGTATATACAAACACTGTATGATTCCACTTACATAGAGTAGTCAAATTCACAGAGACAGAAAGAATGGTGGTTGCTGGGCTAGGAGGAATGAGAAATAGGGAGTTTAGTTGGGGAAAATAAAAAGGTTCTGGAGGTATGTGATGGTAATGGTTGCACAACAATGTGAATGTACTTAATGCCACAGATCTATACACTTAAAAATGGTTAAAATTGTAAAGCTAATATTATGTACATTTTACCAAAATTAAAAAAGAGTGAGAGACTCTTGCAGCCTCAAAACAATAAGATTATCCTCACATTTCACCAGATTTTTTTTTCTTTTTGAGACAGAGTCTCGCTCTGTTGCCCAGGCTAGAGGGCAGTGGCACGATCTCCAGCTCAAGCAATCCTCCCACCTCAGCCTCCCAAGTAGCTGGGACTACAGGCATACACCACCATGCCTAGTTAATTTTTATACTTTTTGTAGAGAAGGAGTTTTGTCATGTTGCCCAGGCTGGTCTCGGACTTCTACACTCAAGCAATCTGCCTGCCTCAGCCTCCCAAAGTGCTGGGATTACAGGCATGAGCCACCTTACCCAGCCTTCACCAGATTTTAAAAGTGCCTTGCTATTCTCTCTCTGGTATTAAGCTCTTATAGTTTCTATACTCCAAGGAAAACAACACGAACAACAAGAAATGACAATTTTAAGTATAATAAAAGAACAAGAGACTATCAAAACTGAAGCAGATTTTGAAAAAGATCCAAAGGGAATTATAGAAGGGAAAAAGACTGTCATTTAGGCTGGATGTGGTGGCTCATGCCTGTAATCCCAAGACTTTGGGAGGCCCAGGCAGGAGGATCCCTTGAGCTCAAGAGTTCAAGACCAGCCTGGGAAACACAGGGAGACCCCATTATTTACAAAAGCAAATAAATAAAAAGAAAAAAGGCTGAGCGTAGTGGCTCATGCCTATAATCCCAACACATTGGGAAGCTGAGGTGGGCAGGTCACTTGAGGTCAGGAGTTCAAGATCAGCCTGACCAACATGGTAAAACCCTGTCTCTACTAAAACTACAAAAATTAGCCTGATGTGGTGGTGGATGACTGTAATCCCAGATACTTGGGAGGCTGAGGCAGGAGAATCGCTTGAACCTGGGAGGCGGAGGTTGCAGTGAGCCAAGATCGCACCACTGCACTCTAGCCTGGGCAACAGAGTGAGACTTCCTCTCAAAAAAAAAAAGAAAAAGAAAGAAAAAAAGGAAAAGACTGTCATTTAAATTAAAAATGCAGTGAATGGATTAAATGGCATATTAGAAACTACTACACAAGAATTAGCAAACTGGAAGAACTAAAGAAATTACCAAGTGGGAAATATAAACTTTTTTTTTTTGGAGACAGAGTTTCCCTCTGTCACCCAGGCTGGAGTGCAGTGGCACTGCAACCTCCACCTCCCGCATTCCAGCGATTCTCCTGCCTCAGTCTCCCGAGTAGCTGGGATTACAGGCGCAAGCCACCACGCCCGGCTAATTTTTCGTGTTTTTAGTAGAGATGGGGTTTCACCATGTTGGCCAGGTTGGTCTCAAACTCCTGACCTCAAGCGATCCACCCGCCTGGGCCCCCCAAAGTGCTGGGATTACAGGCGTGAGCCACAGGGCCTGGCCAAAAATTGTTTTAATATCCTTTTATTACTCAGGAGAATAGTAGAAATGCTAATTAATTTAAGACTTTGAAATTAAATATGCATAGCAAAAAACTTCTTGAAAGACTAGAAATACTGAGTATAACCTCTAAACTAGTAGTTAAGGTCTCCTAATCTCACTTTTCAACTCTATTACTCCTATATTTGGTAGGAATCTGAAAGCGATTCTATCCCTTTTTTCAGACAAGAGAAATTAAGTTAGTCTAGTATCCGGAATAGAATGTACTCATTAAATATTTGATAAGCTGCTGGGCATGGTGACACACCTGTAATCCCAGCACTCTGGGAGGCTGAAGTGGGAGAATCGCTTGAGCCCAGGAGTTCAAGACCAGCTTGGGCAACATGGCAGAAACCCCATCTCTACAAAAAATACAAAAATTAGCCAGGTATGGTAGTGCACGCATGTAGTCCCAACTACTCAGGAGACTAATGCAAGCTTGAGCCTGGGAGGTGGAGGTTGCAGTGGGCTGAGATCACACCACTGCACTTCAGCCTGAACAACAGAGTGAGACCCTGTCTCAAAACTAAATTGGCTGTTCCAGAATATGATGAATTGTATTTCACAAATGCATAATATTTCTCAACTCTACCTGGAAAGCTGGTTCTATCTTATTACTTCAGTGAATGGCCTGGGTACCTCTTTGGGATTTTCGTTTTGCTTTTTTTCTTTTTTTTTTTTTTTAAGAAAATAGGACACTGGCCGGGCATAGTGGCTCATGCCTGTAATCCCAGCAATTTGGGAGGCTGAGGCGGGTGGACTGCTTAAGTCCAGGAGTTCAAGACCAGCCTGGGCAACATGGGAAAACCCCGTCTCTGCTAAAAATACAAAAAAAATTAGCCAGGCATGGCTGTACATGCTTGTAGTCCTAGCTACTGGGGAGGCTGATGTGGGAGAATCACCTGAACTCAGGAGGTTGAGGCTGCAGTGAGCCGAGATTGAGCCATTGCACTCCAGCCTGGGTGACAGAGTGAGACCCTGTCTCCAAAAAAAGAACAGAAAAGAAAGAAAAGAAAAGAGAAAAGACAATTAATGCTTGAGTTAAAACCCTAAATCCTAAACCCTAATTCTTGCTTCAAATTGGAAAATATATATATACTTTTTCCCTCACTATTGCTTCTAACAAAATAAATATAAATTAAAAATTTAGATGTCTATCTTTAATCATGGGAAACTGGCAATCAAAGGTTCAAGCACCTAAAACTGTGATATTTTCCCCACAGTTGGTAAAACTGTATATTCCACAACATATGGAATTCTACTGAAAGCTTTCATTGGCATTTTGCCTTGTTGAATAAAAGTTAGAAGCTATGCTTAGACATTTTTTTTTTAAATCAACACTGCCTTTTCATTAGACTAACGTTTAAAATATGACTTAAAATCATGGGAAAATATAGTAATGATAAAATCTAACACTCATAAAGCTCTTAGCTCTGTGTCAGGAATAGTTATAAACATTTTAATGAACTAATTTAACCCACACAACAACAACATTATCAGCCAGGTACTATCTTTACCTTTGTTTTACATAGGAGGATCAAGAGAAATGGAGATTAAATAACTTCCCCAATGTTACCTATCTCGAAGGTGTCAACAATGGGATTTTAAAATAAGGAGTTTAATGCTTAACGATTATACTACTGTACTGCTTCCCAAAATTTTTATCATGTGCTGATTATCATATGCTGATTTATCTAGTATCTATATCTAAAGTGTGACTTTGGTATTTGCTAACTCATACTACCACATTTTGCCAAAGATGGCTATTCTGCTCATTTGCAAAAGATCAAAACTAATAGAGAATTCTACATCCATGTTTATTTTTTTATTCACACTTACATATTCTGTATAATCCTGTGCTGGGCTGTGCAGGATTATCCCCATCTGCACCCCAGGACTCTGTGCCTAAATTTTTTTCACTCAGAGAACACAAATTAGATGGTCCTTTTGCATGCAATGCCCTGTGTTAAGCAATTATTTACAGCTACTTTCCTAATTGGCAGTTAAATTTCACCAAGATTCAACCACAGCCTGATATATATTTCTCCAAAGAAGCTTAAAACAGTTTTTGATCGCAGCAGAAAATGGCCTTCCTATTTGTTTATTGAACAAATACTTTACTCCACAAGGCAAGATCCTACTATATGCCAAGCACTATGATGGATACTAAAAATTCAGAGACAAACACAGCAGAGCCAATATTTGCCCCTGAGGCTCTGGTGGGGAGATATGTTAAACAGTGAATAATCACACAAATAATTAATTACAATTGTGATAAGCATAATAAGGAAAAAATATAGAAAGTACATGATAGAAGGGCCTAACCTAGCTTAGAGGTAGTCAGGGAAAGTGTCCCTGAAAAATGGACATTTACTATGAAAACTGAGAATTAGTAGAAATTATCCAAGTAAAGAACTACAGAAGAGTACATCAGGCAGAAGGAAGGCCAACAGGAAGCACTGTACTTTGGAGGAAACAAAAACCCAGTGAGTTTGGGCAGCCACAAGCAGAAAGCAGCTGAGGCCAATGCTCAAAGGTCTCTTCCTAACTAGGTGGCCCACCATCTCCTCACTCCTCTCATACCATACCAGTCTCGATCTGCTGCTGGCCTACTGTGTGTGTGTCACTCTTCCCCCACGTCCCTACCACTTCACATCTTCTCCATGACTCCAAAGAAGAAAAACCACTGTATTTGTAGTAGTTAACACACAACTCTTTAAGAAGAATAATATAAATTCTGCAACAATTATATTGGTGGAGAGGATGTGAATAAATCTTTTTTATAAGATTATTGATTTCATCTGTGTTTTAGGCAACTTGAGGCCAGAGACCATATCTTATATATCCCAACACCTAGCAATGTGCATAGCTGGAGTTTGACAAGTAACTTTACTATTTGGGGAGAATTGTAGAATGAGAAATTTAAGTGTTGCTGATCTACATTTTTTCTTATGAGATTTACTAGCCTATTCATATACCCTTATCTATTTTAATTGCAAGAATAAAAACATGTTATCCACCTGGTAGATAAAAGATGAGCCAGTTCTCCAGGGATGGAGAGAGGACAAAGAGAAGGCTGGAAACACAAGAAAGCTATATAACAAAGGTCCCTCAACTCTCAACTCTAACAACTGTGCCATTTCTTTCTTCACAGAAAGCTTACTCATGGGAATAACTTAAGCTTATTTCAAAAGAAGGAATGACTTTGACTTGGATGGTGGCCAGCTGTGGTAAGAAGTGCAGTGAAATTCAGCCACTTTCCCCTTAAAAGTCATTCAACTGGAAATTTTATCAGTGGGAAATTCTCTAAGGGCCAAAGACTCTATTTTCTGCAGCTTAACAACATTTGTAAAACATTTCGAGTTCTAAGATTCACCACCTCTCTCCTCTATACACACACCCCACACTTATGCCAATCCAGTGTGCTAACTTCTGATAGAAGTGACATGGAATTTTTTGGAATCTAAAAGTTCAAAATATGTACCCAACACAATATAATATCGTTTATGAATCTTTGTTTCTCTTTGAGACTGTATAAATATTTGGTACATAGCAACATTTGAGGGCAGGAAAAGAGAAACATCATGCCTTCCAGTGGAGGCAAGAGATAATCAGCTATCCTTATTATCATAAAATAACCTAAAATGACTAGCTGGTATATTAAATATCAGAACATAACACACTTAATTGAAGAACTACCATGAGCAGGGGACTATGGTAAACACAGAACCAATAATATGAAGAATAAAACCCACTCCTTGCCCTTCAGAAACCAACAGTCTAAAGGGAGACACCCTAGGAGAGTAGGGAGGAGAGGGGGAAGAAAATTCGATATGAAATCCATCATCCAAGGACTGATGATCCAGTATATGAGGACATAAAATCTACATTTACCAAGGGACTTGAAAGAAGGCAGTGAGTTCCCCATTTCCTACGTCTAATTATACAAGTTCCTTTTTACCTAACACTCTATCCCACTCTACCTCTTTGCATACATGCAATGCACATACTTAATTTAATCAATGGTTATTTGATCCCGTGTCTTTTTTTTTTTTTTTTTTTTTTTTTTGAGATAGAGTTTCACTCTTGTTGCCCACGCTGGAGTGCAATGGCGCAGCTAACTGCAACCTCTGCCTCCTGGGTTCAAACGATTCTCCTGCCTCAGCCTCCCATGTACCTGGGATTACAGGCACCTGCCACCATGCCCAGCCAATTTTTTGAATTTTTAGTAGAGATGGGGTTTCGCCATGTTGGCCAGGCTGGTCTCGAACTCCTGACCTCAGGTGATCCACCTGCCTCAGCACCCCAGAGTGCTGGGCTTACAGGCATGAGCCACCATGCCCAGCCCCCATGTCTTAATAAGTATGTTGGGACCAGAAGTTCTTTCAGGATGAGGCTCATTATCTTGAAGTTATTTCATTTCATATTTTCTGAAGCAGCAGTTTCCTGTCTACAGCACAGCTCCCCAGATGGCAGAGAAAGTCTTGGGGTATTTTAAGACAGTGGGTTTCCTCACCTTGCTTTGAAAATTCATAAGCAGGAAAGTGAACTAGAGATGGGTTTTGTTTTTGTTTGTTTTTTTTTTTAAACGGTGAAAAGGATAAGAGCTGGTGCATCTATATATAGTTAAATTTGTATTTATACCCAGAGAAACATAAATTGGTTTGGAGTAACAAGAAAAAATGATGCAAATCAAGTTCAAGTAGACAGAAATGAAAAAGGCTGAGAAATACTGACAGAAGATTGCAAATAAAGATAGATTTTCTAAATTTTCAACAATAAAAATGCATTATTTTGTAACAAGAAAAATTATTCTTTCAGACTATATGAAGACACAGCATGATAAAAAGTGATTACTAATAGTATACTGTTCAATAGTATTATTTTTTAATGCAATATGAAAACTAAAATACTTTGATAAAAATACAAAAGAACAAAATTCCCTACTTACATATTCTCAACTTCCTTCCCTAATAAATCTTTTTGTAACTTGTTAAGAAGAAAAAGGTAGGCTGGTGCAGTGGCTCACAGCCTGTAATCCCAACACTTTGGGAATCCGAGGCGGATGGATCACTTGAAGTCAGGAGTTTGAGACCAGCTTGGCCAACATGGTAAAACTCTGTCTCTACTAAAAATACAAAAAATTAGCTGGGTGTGTGGCGCATGCTTGTAATCTCGGCTACTTGGGAGGCTGAAGAGGGAGGATCACTTGAACCCAGGAGGCAGAGGTTGCAGTGAGCTGAGATCTCACCACTGCACTCCAGCCTGGGCAACAGAGCAAGACTCCATCTCAAAAAAGTAAAGAAAAATAAAAAAAAGAAAAAGGTGGCTGGCCGCAGTGGTTCATGCCTGTAATCCCAACACTTTGGGAGGCCGAGGGGGTGGTTCATTTGAGGTCAGGAGTTCAAGACCAGCCTGGCCAATAGGTGAAACCCCGTCTCTACTAAAAATACAAAAATTAGCCAGGTGTGGTGACGCATGCCTGTAGTCCCAGCTACTTGGGAGGCTGAAACAGGAGAACTGCTTGAACCCGTGAGGTGGAGGTTGCAGTGAGTCAAGATCATGCCATAGCCTGGGCAACAGAGTGAGACTCTGTCTCAAAATAATAATAATAATTAATAAATAAGGTAAGACAGCTTTCCTTTCCATAACAATTCCCAATAGAAACAGAATTAAAGCCGGGCGCGGTGGCTCATGCCTGTAATCCCAGCACTTTGGGAGGCTGAGGCAGGCAGATCACGAGGTCAGCAGATCGAGACCATCCTGGCTAACATGGTGAAACTCCATCTCTACTAAAAATACAAAAAAATTAGCCGGGCGTGGTGGCAGGCGCCTGTAGTCCCAGCTACTCGGGAGGCTGAGGTGGGAGAATGGCGTGAACCCGGGAAGTGGAGCTTGCAGTGAGCCGAGATGGCGCCACTGCACTCCAGCCTGGGCAATAGAGCGAGACTCCGTCTCAAAAAAAAATAAAAATAAAAAACAGAATTAAATACTAAAATGGCTCGGGGGGGGGGGGGGAAAGCAGCAGCCACCTAGACAATTTGAAAATTATTTCACCTGAACTTATGTGGCCCACTATATTCAAACATATACTGCAAGACTTCTACAGATCCAAGGTACAGGGAAAAGAAAGACACATGAAAGCTTTCAATGGGACGTCCTTCCTCCAATATATCAAATTTCTTCTCTATCTTTCAGTCTTATTACAGACTTGAATTTTCCCCCCCAAAAGCTAACTCTTAAGGATTTACATTATATAGCACTGAAAGTTGTTGAAGCTTAAAAATGCCAAGGCAGAAGTTTGTTTTTTATTCTAGTCCTATCTGTATGGAAAGGTTTAAGGGTTGACCTGCCTGAGAGCAACAAGAACTGACTGAATGGACCTTCCTCATCAAGAATTCTGACCAAACAGCATATTCTAGAAAGAAACATCTACAAAGAAAGCAGCTAATCTCTGATATTTGCTCATTAAAGACTGCTACTTCTTTTGATACTGCCCTAATGCTGGTTTATTATGTAAAAATACACCCCGCTGTCGGAACCATGACCTAAAGGTTTAATGAAAAGGCTGGGCCCAAATCAGCCAGAAAGCAAAAAAGCAGCAGATCAACTTTGTGATATCTTTGTCTCTTGCCATATGGTTCAGGGAAATAAAGATCCTTTAATGAGGAATTCTGACTCATAGTATGAGACTACATTGTAACCAGCAGGGCTCCAAATAATATATCAACATCTGGTCTAAATCATTAAATTTTAAAAAGGCACTCCCAAGAAGAGAATGCAAAATCCCAACGCCACTTTCAGATAGAAGGTAACATACTCTCACATTATGAATTTAGTAAGTGATCTGCATAGCTGAAATGACTCTGAAACAGAAAAACCACAACCCAAAATAGCCTGAACACTTTTGTTATCTCAAACAATGGGCAGTTAGCCATTCATTCCTCTTAGTATATATTTCACTTGTTTCAGTCAAAGCCCATTATAAATTCCATGAGATGGCTCAAATTTGACTATACCAGATATTTGACAGCTGGGGATGGGAAATATTCACTGTACGATAATTCCTAATATTATATGTTATAAATAAAAATAAATGCTATGCATATGTTCACTTAATTTAAAAATTTAGGCCGGGCGCGGTGGCTCATGCCTATAATCCCAGCACTTTGGGAAGCTAAGGTGGGTAGATCACCTCAGGTCAGGACTTCGAGACCAGACTGGCCAACATGGTGAATCCCCATCTCTACTAAAAATACCAAAAATTAGCCGTCCATGGTGGTGGGTGCCTGTAATTCCAGCTACTTGGGAGGCTGAGGCAGGAGAATCACTTGAACCCAGGAGGCAGAGGTTGCAGTGAGCGGAGATTGTGCCACTGCGCTCCAGCCTGGGCAACAAGAATGAAACTCCATCTCAAAAAAAAAGGAAAAAAAAATTTAGGCTGAGCGCAGCGGCTCATGCCTGTAATCCCAGTACTTCGGGAGGCCAAGGCAGGTGGATCACTTGAGGTCAGGAGTTCGAGACCAACCTGACCAACATGGTAAAACCCTGTCTCTACTAAAAATACAAAAATTAGCTGGGTGTGGTGGCACGTGCCTGTAATCCCAGGTACTCAGGAGGCTGAGGCAGGAGAATCACTTGAACCCGGGAGGCAGAGGTTGCAGTAAGCCAAGATTGTCCCACTGCACTGCAGCCTGAGCAACAGAGCGAAACTCCGTCTCAAAAAAAAGTATATTGCATACCTATAACCCGGAGAGGCATATTGTCCCTGCCACTGAGGAACCTACAACTTAGTGAGATGACAAACACTGAACAAGTATGAGTGTAATAACAGAGCATCTCCATGCTATGCTGAACTACAGGCTGTGGATAATGAGGATATTCCTATCCTACCCATTTCAAAGGGTGCAGTGAAAGACTGGGAAGTTGTCAGAAGGCTCTTAAAGTTACAATCCTGGCCAGGCACACTGGCTCACATCTGTAATCACAGCACTTTGGGAGGCCAAGGCAGGTGGATCACTTGAGCCCAGGAGTTCAAGAACAGCCTGGGCAACATGGCAAAACCCCATTTGGATATTTGTTTAAATACTACTAAAAATACAAAAATAGTTGGGCATGATGGTGTAAGCCTGTAGTCCCAACTACTCGGGAGGCTGCGGTGGGAGGATCAATGCCCAGTAGGTCGACGCTACAGTGAGCCCAGATTGTGCCACTGCACTCCAGCCTGAGCAGCAGAGCAAGATCCTGTCTCAAAATAAATAAATAAATAAAAATAAAATGACTATATATAAAACATAAACACTTCATAACTATATAAATGATGAGTAATTAAATAAGTACAGGTTAAATATCCCTTATCTGAAATGCTTCAGATCAGAAGTATCTCATATTTCAGATTTTTTTGGATTTGGGAATTTTTGCATATATATCATGAGCTATATTGGAGATAGGACCAAAGGTTAAACACAAAATTCATTTATGTTTCATATACACATAGCATGAAGGTAATTTTACATAATAGTTGTAATAATTTGTGCATGAAACAAAGTTTTGACTTCTACCTATCATGAGGTCAGATGTGGAATTTTCCACAAGTGGCATCACGTCAATACTCAAAAAGTCAGATTTTGGAGCATTTCAGATTTCAGATTTTCAGATTAGAGATACTCAACCTGTGTATGAAATAACCAGGCTAGTTTGTTTTTAAACAAATATCTAAGAAATAGTAAAATTCAAATGAGTCCTATAAAAGTAGTTTGTCCTACTGTTGTCCTTACTCCAGGACTGTAACAGGAGGACCCAATCTAAGCTACTGTTGCTGATACCAGAGGACTTTTGCCCTCTTACTTTGTCCATTTAGAGTTATACCAGCTCTATTTATAAAACAGCTTTAGAAAAGCCCAATTTTCCACTGTGTGGATGTAAACAAACATTTAAGTTGTGGTTCCATTAAAATTTAAACATAGCTATAGCCCTGCATATCCTTGAGTTCCACATCTATGGATTCAACCAACTGGAGATCAAAAATATACAAATACAAATAAAAATAGGCCGGGCACAGTGGCTCACACCTGTAATCCCAGCACTTTGGGAGGCCGAGGCGAGCGGATCACCTGAGGTCAGGAGTTCAAGAGCAGCCTGGCTAACAAGGTGAAACGCTGTCTCTACTAAAAATACAAAAATTAGCCAGGCATTATGGTGGGTGCCTGTAATCCCAACTACTCAGGAGGCTGAGGTGGGAGAATCTCTTGAATCTGGGAGGCAGAGGTTGCAGTGAGCTGAGATCGTGCAATTGCACTCCAGCCTGGGTGAAACAGCGAGACTCTGTCTCAAAAAAATAAATAAATAAAAATAAAAATAAAAAACAATACAACAATAAAAATAAAAATTAAAAAAACAGTATAACTATTTATAACATTTACATCATATTAGGTATTACAGTATAAGTAATCTAGAGATGACAAAGTATACAGGAGGATGTGCATAGGTTATATGCAAATACCATGCCACTTTATGTAAGTAACTTGAGTATCTGCAGATTTTGGTATCCGAGGGGGGTTCCTGCAACCAATCCCCCATGGATACCGACGGATAACTGCCCATCTCCAAAAATCTTCTGTTCTCTCAGTCACATGAGTAAATGTTAAAAATGATTGGAACAAAATATATCTCTGTCTCTGGCTGGGTGCAATGGCTCACACCTGTAATCCCAGCACTTTGGGAGGCCAAGGCGGGTGGATCACATGAGGTCAGGAGTTTGAGACCAGCCTGGCCAACATGGTGAAACCCCATCTCTACTAAAAATACAAAAAATTAGCCAGGCGTGGTGGCACACGACTGTAATCCCAGCTACTCAGGAGGCTGAGACAGGAAAATCGCTTGAACCTGGGAGGCAGAGGTTGCAGTGAGCCAAGATCGCACCACTGCACTCCAGCCTGGGCAACAGGGCGAGACTGCATCTCAAAAAAGAAAAAAAAGAAAAATACATATATCTATCTATAGATATAGATATCTGTCTCGTTCTTACATCTCTTTTGATGTAGCAACAGCTTTACAAATGAAACTTCATGATTCCCCAAGTAATCTACAAAGTTATTTTACATACGATTTCATTCTAACAGGCTTCAAGCTAAGCAGGCACATATACCACAAAAACTCTTCATCTGTTTTGCAGGCATACTTTTGTGCTGATCTGTATCTACTCTAATTTCTCAAAAAAGAAATGCTGTGGATCAGGCGTGGTGGCTCATGTCTGTGACCGCAGCACTTTGGGAGGCCGAGGAGGGTGGATGGCCTGAGGTCAGGAAATCAAGACCACCCTGGCCAACATGGTGAAACCTAGTGTCCACTAAAAATACAAAAATTAGCCAGGCATGGTGGTGCATGCCTGTAATCCCAGCTACTCGGGAGGCTGAGGCAGGAGAATCGCTTGAACCCAGGAGGCGGAGGTTGCGGTGAGCTGAGATCGCACCACTGCACTCCAGCCTGGGCAAGAGAGTGAGACTCCGTCTCAAAAAAAAAAAAAGAAAAGAAAAGAAATGCTATGAAATTGGGTGTGGCTATGAAACAAGCTTACCTTCACATCATTCTTCTCATATAGGCCATTCATGCAGGCTATGCTAAAGCCAGGCTCTAAACAGATACTGTTGCCAGACCCAGGACAAATGGAACCTCTATGACTAACAGCATTCCTGTTGCTTCTGATTCTAGGTGGGAAACCTCCACTGATATTTAACAACTTTGCTCTAAGTAGATGTGGAATGGTGGTGTGAAAAAAAGCAGAGGATCTGGAACAACAGACCACAGTTCAAGTCCAGGTTAACCAGCTGTGCCACTGTGGGCAGGTTACTTAATTTATCTGAACTACAGTATCCTCCCTCATCTGTAAAACGGAGACCACCACTATACCTACCCATAGACTGCTATGAGATTATAAATATAAAAGTATTTTATGAGCTATAAATGATCACATAAATATTCTTTTTATTTACTCTATTTTTTCCTTAGCATAGGAATTATATATTAATTTTCAAAAATTGGAAAATACAGAAATATATTAAGAAGAAAAAAATCACCCACCCAAACACTGTTATTTACTTAACTGAAATAAAGTCTAATATCAACCAAATTTTAAAGCAAAAATATTTTCAGATGTTAATACTGATAATTACAAATGACAAAATTAACTGCTGATCTCCTTTTAAGATCAGAGTAGGCTGGACACAGTGGATCATGCCTATAATCCCAGCACTTTGGGAGGCTGAGGCAGCAGTATTGTTTGAGGCCAGGAGTTCAAGACCAGCCTTGGAAATATAGTGAAACCCTATCTCTATAAAAAAAATTTTAAATTAGCCAGGCATGGAGGTGCACCCCTGTAGTCCCAGCTACTAAGGAGGCTGAGGTGGGAGGATCTGTTGGGCCCAGGAGTTCGAGGCTGCAGTGAGCTATGATCACACCACTGCACTCCAGCCTGGGCGACAGAGCGACTCCATCTCTAAACAACAACAAAACAAGAGCAGAGCAGTCTTTCCCATTTATCAGTGTAAAGTGAAGATAATACTGCTATTTGTCCCAGAGCTGGTCCCAAGAACATATGATATACAAGTGAGGCCCATAAAAGTCAAGGCCACAAAAAACTCCCAAAATAAATATTTCATGAGCCCAAGGAGTACTTACAACACATGCTCTCAGATGCACTGGAGAAAGCAAAGTATCTGAAGCCCCATTAACAAAACTGGCATGACTATAATGTCACATCACAGACTGACACATTTCTATGGGCCATTTTAATGAAAAAAAGAAAAATTTATATACCATGCTACAAAGTACTCAGTCTAAGACTTGTGACTTTTTCACACTGCCTGCTGAATCCAAGCCTTCTTAGAATTTCTTGTGCCCTTCTCCTATTTTTCCTTTCCCACCCTTCCCTTGACTACCTCCTCTTCCTTGTTTCATTATTGAATTGGACTCACTCTCTGTGTTTAAAACTGCCTTAAATAGAGTTTTAAGTGGTACATGCCTGTAATCCCTGCTACCTGGGAGGCTGAGGCAGGAGAATCACTTGAACCCGGGAGGCAGAAGTTGCAGTGAGCTGAGGTCACGCCACTGCACTCCAGCTTGGACTACACAGTGAGACTCTATCTCAAGATAAATAAATAAATAAATACTCCCACCCTACCCCCTCCCTAATTGTGGAGTAAAAGTGATGACCCAGTTGCAAATTTTATATATATATTTATATATATATATCAGTGACCAGACTACTTTGCTTAGCAAATATACATGAAATTACAAATCCTAATGAGTTCTGCCCCCATAAAAGTAAGTAATGTCTTTCTTTTTTTTTTTTTTTTTGAGACAGAGTCTTCCTTTGTCACCAGGCTGGAATGCAGTGGCAAGATCTCAGCTCAGTGCAACCTCCACCTCCCGGATTCAAGCGATTCTCCCGCCTCAGCCTCCCGAGTAGCTGGGACTACAGGCGCGTGCCACCATGCCCAGTTAATTTTTGTATTTTTAGTAGAGACGGGGTTTCACCCTGTTGGCCAGGATGGTCTCCATCTCTTGACCTCGTGATCAGCCCGCCTCGGCCTCCCAAAGTGCTGGGATTACAGGCATGAGCCACCATACTTGGCCAAGTAATACCTTTCTTACCACATCTCTAAATATTCAAATCCTATCTGTCTTTAAGACCCAACTCAATGTTATATCCTCTGTGAAGCCTTCCCTGATTCTCCAATCAAAAGTAATCTCGTCTTCCTCTGACTTTCCATCATACTCTGTTTCCTCAGTGCCACTTAAGATTTCCAATTCAGCCGGGCGTGGTGGCTCACGCCTGTAATCCCAGCACTTTGGGAGGCCGAGGCGGGCGGATAACCTGAGGTCAGGAGTTCAAGACCAGCCTAACCAACATGGAGAAACCCCGTCTCTACTAAAAATCCAAAATTAGCCGGGCGTGGTGGCACATGCCTGTAATCCCAGCTACTAGGGAGGCTGAGGCAGGAGAATCACTTGAACCTGGGAGACAGAGGTTGCGGTGAGCCAAGATCATGCCACTGCACTCCAACCTGGGCAATAAGAGCGTAACTCCATCTCAGAAAAAAAAGACTTCCAATTCAGTATCATACTGATTGTGACAGGCATCACACTTATTGCTTTGACATTGGAAGGGGTCTCAATAAACACCTGCTTGATAAGTGAATGACTATTACAACAATTGAAAATTTCATCTTCATCTAGTAAATTTTAATTATGGAAATATCCAAAAGTCATTTAGGCTCAAGAACAGTAAATGAAGTAGTTGAGCTCAAGAATGCCTACTTCAGTCAAAATGTACACTTTCTTGACCAAAATAAGACTAATTTGGCATACGTATGTAAATAATCTGAAAGAAATTCCCAAAGAAAAGCACTAGAATAAGGATATAACCTCCCAAAGTAACTCCCAAGAAATACTCACCCAGATTACATAAATTCCAGAAGATTTGTTCTAAAATCAGTTTCATTATTTTACCGTAATACTATGTTTCTTTTCTAGCAAATTCAGAGTTCAATTATCCAGTTCTATTATTTCTTCTTCTAATATATTTCTGATTAATTCCTTCTCCATTTTCCCTGCCACTCGCAAGTCCAGGCCTTCATTTTCTTCATAACCAACCAATTTTAAAAGCTTCCCAATTTGTCTCCCTTCCCATAGTTCCTTCAACAATATTTATTGAGTGATCCTATGTGCCAATTTTGAGGGCAGGAACTGAGGACCATATAAAGAAATATCAGACCAGGCACAGTAGCTCACAACTGTAATCCAGCACTTTGAGAGGCCAAGGCGGGAGGATTGCTTGAGCCCAGGGATTCGAGACCAGCCTGGGCAACATAACAAGACCCTGTCTCTATTTAAAACCAAAATAAAATTTTTTAAAAAGAGAGGAATATCAGACAAGGCTTGACCTCCAGGAACAATCTTGAAGCATGTACAGAATCCACATATTTAACGGTCACAGTTGGCACCAAGAATGTGAAGCAATGGGTAGGTCCTCTGGCCTCCCCAAAACACACTATACTATTCTCACACGCCATTCTCACGCAGTCTTTCTCACACACTATTCTCATCCTCCTTCCCCTCCTGCTCTCTTTGTTCATCCTTTTGGATAAGGCCTATGTTACACTGCCCATATGTCACGCACTAACTTCATCTCCAATTTCTCTCCAACTTGTCTCCTGAGCTGCAATCAAGATAATCTACTTGCTGTAACCTGGAAGTGACTTACTCACAAGTACCTTTGTTCATGATTAACTATTTATCAGCACAATCCTCCCTACTTTGTCTCTGCTAACCCATAGCTACCACCAATCTCAAGTCCCCTCTTTTGTATGTGTTGGAAAGTATATAACTTAACTACATATCATTGTTTTCATCTTATAACCTTATTTCTTTTGTATTTGTCTCACAGTGTGTATTACAGTGTTTCCTAACTAAGGCCGTATATCACAATCACCTATGGAGCTTCCTAAAAAATACGAAGGCCTGGCCGGGCACAGTGGCACATGCCTGTAATCTCAGCACTTTGGGAGGCCGAGGCGGGCAAATCACAAGGTCAAGAGATGGAGATCATCCTGGCCAACATGGTGAAACCCCGCCTCTACTAAAAATACAAAAATTAGCTGGCCACGGTGGTGCGAACCTGTAGTCCCAGCTACTCGGGAGGCTAAGGCAGGAGAATCACTTGAACCTGGGAGGAGGACGTTGCAGTGGGCCCAGATCGTGTCACTGCACTCCAGCCTCGTGACAGAGGAAGACTCCATCTCAAAAACAAACAAACAAACAAACAAACAAAGGCCTTCAGCTACTTGGGAGGCTGAGGTGGGAGGATTTTTCTCAGTCCAGGAGATGGAGGCTGCAGTGAGCTATGATCACGCCATTGCACTCCAGCGCCTGCGTGACAGAGCGAGACCCTGTCTCAAAAAAAAAAAAAAAAAAAAGCAAAATACAAAGGCCTTGACCCGTGGGAGCTGGACATCTTAATTTCTAAAAAGCCTCACTGATGATTTTCATGAACACTCTTAAGCTGAGAAGCACTGATTTATTGCAGTGTTTTCCATATAGCAGACATTCAATGCTTATTAATTCATGGCATGGAAGCCCATAAATAACTTTTCTCTAAATAGCCTAACCAGATATCAACCCCTAGACTACACTAGCTCTGTTCCAAGTGCAACATGTGGTTTTAAGATTTCATTTCCTGAAGTACTACATGGAGAGACACTATTACCTTGTCTCTTTACATTGTTTCCTATTTGTTGAAAAATGGAGGCCTGGAATGCAGCCATGTTAGACAACACTACATAAGAATGTACTCTGGAGTGTTCTGTTCAAATTAGTTATAAAAAGAAGAACAATGTACAAGTAGACATTGTGAATGAATACAGCATTCTTACTGAATGAATAGATTCTTACTAAAGCTATAGAGAAGAAAGATCAGGAATTTGGTCGGTGGTGTCACCCTGTCTTCCTAGCTACCAGTCTCCTAAATTGCTTGAGACAGTCCAGGGACCCCTGAAGACTGAGGAAGACTTTCAGCTGCTAAAGAGCCTCTAAGTGCACTAAAGTGCTCAAATCAGAAAAGTAACCCAAGCCCCACCCAGACAGACCCACAGTTGCCGCCCAACTGCCCTGACACACACTATTTACACAGCTCAGTGGGGGAGCAGTATGAACTTTTTCCAAAATTGTTCCTCACAAGCAGGACCAGTCTGAGTCACCCACCCAGGGTGGGAAAGAAAAGTGTGACATTAGCCAGGGGAGTCTTGGGAGACTGGTCTCAGCACCTCTTTTTTCCCATTTCAGACGTGGGCTCCACCTCCTCCAGGAATCACCTCGGTTATGAGTCACAGCTGTGGGTTACAGGGGTCTGCAGAGCCACCAGGAAAGTTGTGGATGGGGAGCGGATGCCCCAGCCTTCTCTCCGGCAGGGGCGGCAGATCCCAGATTCCACAGGCCTCTCCCAACAGCTCCATCTTGCTTCCTGCCAGGAGGAGGGGCCAAGGAGGGCCCCCGAGTCTAGAAAGGCCCCAGTGGGAGGAGGCCGTTTGACAGCAGGTAACGCCAGGTGAAAATGTCCACAGGAGGGAATGAAAGGAAGGGCAGCAGGGCTGAGCGGAAGGAAAAACCGGGCTTGTGGTCACGAATGACTGCATAAAGGTGTGAGAGTGCCAGAGGAGTGAGCATAAGTAAAATGCCCAGGAGGGAGGAGGAGGCGACAGAGAGTGAGGCAAGTGAATAAAAGGGCGGAATACAGGGAGCTCTGGGGAGCGGGGGTGGGCGAGGCGGGTCTCAGGGTGAGGGGCAGAAGTATTAGAAAGGAGGACAACGTGGCTCAAATAAGGATCCCTAGAAGAGAAGGCAAGGGATCCGTGGGAAGGCCCGCTCTCCCTCCCCCGCACAGCCAGATCGAGGAGGCCTAAAAGGCGCTGAGAGCGAGGAAGTCAACGTGGGGGCGAAGCCTGCGCGGGGCAGGGACCCTCGGACATCCCAGCAACTCTCATTTATTGGGTGTCTGCTGTGGGCCACACGCCGCGCGAGGCACTCCACGAATAATACCTCGCCATATCTTCACGACAAGCCCGCAAGGCAGCCTTTTTCATGACTGCTCCCATTTTATAGATGAGGACACTGAGGCCCGGAGAGGCTCAGGACTCGCTCAAGGTCACAGGGCGGAGAAGAGGCCATTCGAACCCTCGGCGCCTGGCTCCGGAACCCACGCGGAAAGCCACGGCCAGCGAGCCGGCCACAGGCAGCCGCGACGCGGGCCGGGGCCCCGGGGATACCTCCCGCGCCCGCTCCCGCGCCAGGCCCTGCGCGCTCACCCGGACGAGGTTGCTGACGGCCGCCTGCACGGCGGCCACGGGCGCGGTGAGGTCAGGAATGGCTTTGCCGTCCACCTCGCCCTCCTCGTGCATTATCACCAGGTGGGAGATCTGCTGTGCCACCGGCTCCAGGATGCTCTCGATCGTGCGCGTATGAAACACTGGCATCGCGGCGGCGAGCGGGGCGGCGAACCGCGGGCGACAGAGAAGTAGGATCCACGGGGCCGGGAACCGGCGAAGAGACAGACTGTGCAGCGACTACGGAGTCGGGGCTTCCCTCGGCGTAACCAGCCTCACGGGCTCCCCGCCCCCTCTCGTCGCCGCGCCCAATGGCAGCGCAGCTCAGACCTGGGCCGCCACTCCTACTGGTCCCTTTTCGAGATGCTCCGCCCCAGCCACCGCGCCGCCAAACCCCGCCCCTCCCCCATTCCTAAGGGAGGGGCCTGGGATTGGGGCTGAGCCGCCGGGATTGCTACCGGATTCCCGAGCCCTAACGCCGGGCGCTCCTTATAAGGGCATGGTGGGAGCGGAGCGGGCCGCTGGAGCCGGCTGGTCCCGCCCCCGGGCCGCCTCCCGCCTCGGATCTGGGGGGCTCCGCCCCTCTGCAGAATCACCTCAGCGGGGCGGGGTCTCCTCACCTCAAGCGGCGCTAGAGTTTGATGAGACCAAGGGGTCTCCCACGTCCCCTCCTCAACTTTTCCCTTCACACGAAACCCTCAAAATACTCCTTCCATTCCCTCCCAGCAATGCATGGGAAGGTTTTTAGTAAAAGATTCAAACAGCAGAGGTGCACTGAGAAACAGCAGCGTCCCATTCACGTAAACGCAGACTCCGCCCCCTGCCCTCCTCAAAGACATTCTGTTTAACAGCTGGGTGTGTAGCCTTCTAGACTTGTCTATAGATTCACTTCTACATATATATTTTCTAACTAAATGAGATTAATAAACATTTTCCTGGAACTAGGTATGATTGCCCTTGATTAAAATGCCCTTATCTTTCACTGCTGGTAGAGGTCTACCTCATTCTTCTTAATGACTGCATGATATTCCATTGCATGAAATAAAACTATTTACAGAACCAATTTCCTACTCATGGACTTGGGTTGGGTCCTGGTTTTCACTATTAAAAAACAATTCTGCATGAATTGTACTTACCCCTGTGCTGTGCATCTGTGTATTTATCTAGCGCAAATGCCTACCAGGAAAGAGAAAAACGCAAAAGTATATGCATTTTATATTTTGATAGGTAAGACCAAATTATCCAGTTCCCTCACGCTTTGTATAAGACATCTTCCAGGCCGGGCGCGATGGCTCACGCCTGTAATCCCAGCACTTTGGGAGGCTGAGGCGGGCGGATCACGAGGTCAGGAGATCTAGGCCATCCTGTCTAACACGGTGAAACCCCGTATCTACTAAAAATACAAAAAAAATAGCCAGGCGTGGTGGCGGGCGCCTGTAGTCCCAGTTACTCATGAGGCTGAGGCAGGACAATGGCGTGAACCCGGGAGGCGGAGCTTGCAGTGAGCGGAGATCGCGCCACTACACTCCATCCTGGGCGACAGAGCAAGACTCTGTCTCAAAAAAAAAAAAAAAAAAAAAAAGACATCTTCCAAACGTCTTACTTACTTCAAATTCGCTTTTGCCCAAGCTTTCCCATTCTGAGGTAAACACTTTCAGTAATGCCTCCAAGCAAAAGATTCTCACATCAAATGAAAATTTTTGTCTAGTCCTACCACAACCACCACAGCTGTTTTCTCTGCCCATTACTTTGTGTTAATAGTATAAATATTTGGGTGATGGGGCCAGGCACGGTGGCTCACGCCTGTAATCCCAGCATTTTGGGAGGCTGAGGCAGGCAGATCACCTGAGGTCAGGGGTTCAAGACCAGCCTGGCCAACCTGGTGAAACCCCGTCTCAACTAAAAATACAAAAATTAGCCAGGTGTGGTGGCAGGTGCCTGTAATCCCAGCTAATCGGGAGGCTGAGACAGGAGACTTGCTTGAACCTGGGAGGTGGAGGTTGCAGTGAGCTGATACCGTGCCATTGCACTCTAGCCTGAGCAACAGAGTGAGACTCCCTGTCCAAAAAAAAAAAAGTTGAGTGATGGAACGATATGATTTTTTTATTTTAAAAATTATTTTATTTTATTTATTTTTATTTATGTTTTTATTTTTTGAGATAGGGTCTCACTCCGATTGTCCAGGCTGGAGTGCAGTGGTGTGATTTCGGCTCACTGCAGCCTTGACCTCCCCAGGCTCAGGTGATTCTCCCACCTCAGCATCCCAAGTAGCTGGGACCACAGGTGCATGCCACCACGCCCGGCTAATTTTTGTATTTTTGATAGAGACAAGGTTTCGCCATGTTGTCCAGGCTGATCTCAAACTCCTGGACTCAAGAAATCCACCTGCCTTGGCCTCCCAAAGTATAAATGGCCTCCCAAAGTATATATAGCCTCCCAAAAAGTGTATGATTTTGTTAAATCCTCACCCTGTCCCCACTTTGCTGATTGTATATTTATGTGTAGTTTAACTTGTTCTTCTGAACTATATATTTCCTACAGATTGGCAGGAAGACTCAGAGGCTTGATCATGTAATCATCTTTAATGCCTGACTGGCCATATTAACCTCCCAAAAAGAATATCACATTGCACATCCAGCCCATGTGCTCCCCAACATCCATAATCATACCCATTTCCGTCCCCCTGATTTCCACATTCACTGGCTCCCTCTAAAATCTTTCTTGGTGCCTGTTAGCATGTGTTAACACCAATGCCCTCCACAATCTGGGTCCAGACCAACCTTACTGCCTTCAGCTTCCCCACCTTAGACCCACAGACAGGCAGGTTAAACAGTGCAAACAGCATAAATTCAGAGCCATCCAGAGCTCAAGCCAGAACCCCAGCTTCACAACTTGATGGAGATATAACTCCGGCAAGTGGGATAATAGCACCGTCACAGAGCTGATGTAAGGGAATTTGTAAAGCACCTAGGAGACCTTCAGTAAAAGAAACCATTATCATTATTAGAGCAGTCACAAACTGACATATTCACAGTCTCCAGAAATTCCTGGTAGAGTTTCACTTTTGAGCTTTTCTCCACATTTCTTTCCCACCTAGAAAGCTATCAGTGCTTGTCTAACTCTTACCTATTGTGGTAGACAGAATTCTAAGATGTCCCCCGGGATTTCTCACTCCGAATATACACACTCTCCATAATCCCCAGGCTGTGACTATAAGGGATTTTACTTTCATAATCAGATTACATTATATAGCACAGTTGGTCTTAAAACAGGGAGATTATCCAAGTGGGCTTGACCTAATCACATGAGCTCTTTTAAAGCAGAGAGTTTTCTCTGGCCAGTTACAACAAATGAACTCAAAAGCACAAGAGGATTTGATGAGCTGTTGCTAGATTAAAGACGTGGGAGGCCATGGGTCAAGGTATGTGGGCAGCCCCTAGGAGCTGAGAGTGGCCCCTGACAGCTAGCAAGGAAACGGGGAAGTTGGTCGCACAGTTACAAGGAGCTGAACTCTACCAACAAGAAGAATGATCTTGGAAACAGATTTTTCCTCCAGCTGAGAGCTCCAGGGGACACCTTGTTTTCAGTCCAGTAGACACCTTTATTTCAGCTTTGCGACACTGAGCAGAGAACCCAGTCACACCATGCAGGACTTCTGACCTACACAGTTGTGAGATAATAAATGAGTGTTGTGGCCAGGCGCGGTGGCTCACACCTGTAATCCCAGCACTTTGGGAGGCTAAGGCGGGTGGATCATGAGGTCAAAAGATCGAGACCATCCTGGCCAACATGGTGAAACTCCGTCTCTACTAAAAATACAAAAATTAGCTGGGCATGGTGGTGCGTGCCTGTAGTCCCAGCTACTTGGGAGGCTGAGGCAGGAGAATCACTTGAACCCGGGAGGCAGAGGTTGCAGTGAGCTGAGATCATGCCACTGTACTCCAGCCTGGTGACAGAGCGAGACTCCGTCTCAAAAAATAGTAATAATAAGGCCGGGCGTGGTGGCTCACGCCTGTAATCCCAGCACTTTCGGAGGCCGAGGCGGGTGGATCACGAGGTCGAGAGATCGAGACCATCCTGGCTAACACGGTGAAACCCCGTCTCTACTAAAAATACAAAAAATTAGCTGGATGTGGTTGCGGGCACCTGTAGTCCCAGCTACTCGGGCGGCTGAGGAAGGAGAATGGCGTGAACCTGGGAGGCGGAGCTTGCAGTGAGCGGAGATTGCGCCACTGCACTCCAGCCTGGGCAGTAGAGCGAGACTCCATCTCAAAAATAATAATAATAATAATAAAATAAATAAAAATAAATGAGTGTTGTTTTAAGCCTCTAGGTTTGTGGTGATTTGTTCATAACAATAGATCACTGATATACCTACCTTCAAGGTCCACTTTCAGTTCTTTCTTTATGATTTCCCACAGCAAGGCCCTGGCATGAGCTGCTTGTACTAATCCTTTTAATTGTCCTTTTCTGACATGATCATTTTACATTTCTCTCCTATGATACAGGCTGCTAGATGTCCTCCAATATATCCGTTCTGCTTTTCCTCCATAGTAATAGAACCCCAGATGTATGTGGGCACTTAGCCACATGGTTCTCATTTGACACTTGAAAAATTACAAATCTGGTTTCTAATGTCTAAAGTGGGGATAATAAAGTTTTCAGTCTCACTAAACATAGCACAGATTATTAAGGACTGAAATGTTACCATGGAAAGAGAGAGGTCAGTTCATTGCACGGGCTAGACTAAGGAATCATCATGAAACTAAGTTGCAAATATGTGGCAAAGAAGGTGTGATGCTCAAATTCCAAGCAGGAGGAGATCCCCACGGGCCTAAGGGTAAGAAAGAGTCTATGGGACAGTGGAACTAAATCTGCCCTCAAAGGAAGAATAATGTTTGGTTAGGCAGGCAAGAGGGCAGACATTTCAGAATGAACAAGGCAGGAGGTGGGCGAATGTTCCAGATCAGTGATTAGTCAGACTGAAGTGAATGTTCATGCAACTCAAAGATAAGGAAGAAAAGGGAAATTGCTACAGGATTATAAGCTACAGAGGTAAAGGACTGTATGACATTTACTCTTGATTGTGGCTAGCTCGACATTACTCTTTACCATGTAATTAGTTTGGAGACCACTAATGTTAGGGAATGTTGTAAGATATGTAAAAAAAAAAATTGCATTTCTTTTTTTCTTTTTTTGAGACAAGGTCTAGCTCTGTCACCCAGGCTGGAGTAAACAGTGGTGTGACCACAGCTCATTGCAGCCTTGACCTCCTAGGCTTAAGCAATCCTCCAACCTCAGCCTCCCGAGTAGCTGGGACTACAGGTGTGTGCCGCCATCACACCCAGCTAATTTTTTTTTTTCAATAGAGACAAGGGTCTCCTATGTTGCCCAGGCTGGTCTCAAACTCCTGGGCTCAAGCAATCCTTCCATCCCAGCCTCCCAAAGTGTTGGGATTATAGGTGCGAGCCACCAAACTTAGCATTTCTAAATTAGAAATCATTGGGGAAGAATTTTTGATGGTAGCAACTCTATTACACATGGCTTCATGACATGGGTAACTTTCTATTGTTTTAGTCTGTAGCAATTCTCTGAGGTATGTAGAAAACAAGAAGTACAGCTCTTTCATATACAGACTGGGAAATTGAGACATAGAAGCCACTGTCAGTCGTAAGTACAATTTGTGAATTCTTTTTTCTTTGAAATGGAATCTTGCTCTGTCGCCCAGGCTGGAGTGCAATGACATGATCTTGGCTCACTGCAACCTCCACCTCCCAGGTTCAAGCGATTCTCATGACTCACCTCTTGAGTAGCTGGGATTACAGGCACCCGCCATCATGCCCGGCTAATTTTTGTATTTTTGTAGGGACAGGGTTTCACCATGTTGGCCAGGCTGGTCTTGAACTCCTGACCTCAGGTGATCCGCCCACCTCAGCCTCCCAAAGTGCTGGGATTACAGGTGTGAGCCACTGGGCCCAGTCCAATTTGTGAAAAGTTTAATCCAGGATAGAGCTGGTTATAAAACCTGAGACTTCTATATTTAGTTGGGATGCTCAGTGTCTCTCTAGGTTTTGGGGCTCTCCTTTTGCCTCATTTTTGGACTGCTGAGTATCAGTTGTATGGCTAGATTTACTTACATCTTTCCATACACTCCAATACACTTTGTGCCCGCATGAGTGAACCTGTAACACACACCCACACAGACACAGACACACACACACACACACACACACACACTGCATTCTCCAGCTCATCACGGATGAACCTTCTCTATCTAGACCACTATGGCAGCCTCTTCCCCACGTGAACCACACAGCGGCTTCGTTAGTAGCTCTTCCTTCCTCTCTCCAAATGCTGACATGTACACCATGCCCCACCCTCCAAACACCACGCCCCACCCTCCACCTCCACCCAAAACCACAACCATTTCCCCCATCACTTTGAATTGTGGTTCTTCTCTTTTCTTGACCAATTTTTTAAAATTCAACATGGATTTAAGTAATTTTCAACTTCATACATTTTCCAATTTTTTTAATTGTACACTTTTTTATTGTATTTTAATCTGTGTTGTGTGAGAAAACTACAAACAAGACTATTAACATTATGTAAAATTCCAGCTCCTAGAGATGACTACTATTAACATTTTAATGTATTCTCTTTCAGCCTTTTTCCTGTTCATCTGTATTTTGTGTGTGTGTTCAACTTTTTTCCCATGTGATTTTTACTGAGATCTTTTACATACCATAAAATTCACCCCTTAGAAGTATAGTGTTCAATTTTTATTCTTGCTATTTTCACCTAAATATATCAAGAGCATATCCTGTAATTGCAGCTACTTGGGAGGTTGAGGCAGGAAGATTGCATGGTAGTCAGGGTTCTCCAGAGAAACAGAACCAATTGGCGATTACATCTATCCTATTGAATTGTGTGTGTGTGTGTATATGTGTGTGTGTGTGTGTAAAATAAGGAATTGGCGTACACAATTACGGAGGCAGACAAGCCCTAGACCTGAAAGATGAATTGGCAAGGTGGAGACCCAGGAGAACAGAGATTTAGTTCCAGTCTGAAGGCCAGCAGTGTCAAGAATAAAGAAAAGCTGGTGTTTCAGGTCAAGTCTGAAGGTGGAGAAAAAAACCCAATTCAAACATACACAGTCAGGCAGGAAAGAATTATCTTACTTGGAGGAAGTTCACTCTTTTCCTTATATTCAGGCTTTTTAAATTATTCAGTGAGGCCCACCCACACTAAGGAATGAGGACCATCTTATTTTCTCAGTCTATCAACCTAATCATTAGTCTTATTCAAGAACACCCTCACAGAAACACCTAGAATAATGTTTGACCAAATATGTAGGCACCCCATAGCCCAGTTAACACAAAACTAACCAGCACACTGAGCAAATAAATCCTCCTATGGTTAAGGCCAGTTTGGCTTGGGTTTTCCTTCACTTGCTGGCCAAAGAGACATAATTGATTATGTTGATAAAATTATGTATGATTTTTATGATAATACAATTATATATTATGTATGACAAAATAGAAATCAATATTTCCTGTTTCAGAAAAAAATGATAATTTAAAAACATATCGACTGAATTAATTGAAAATAATAAACTCATCACATTTTAACATAACATTTTTTTTTGAGATGGAGTTTCGCTCGTTGCCCAGGCTGGAGTGCAGTGGCGCAATCTCTGCTCACCGAAACCTCCGCCTCCCGGGTTCAAGTGATTCTTCTGCCTCAGCCTCCCAAGTAGCTGGGATTACAGGCATGCACCACCACGCCCGGCTAACTTTGTACTTTTGGTGGAGACGGGGTTTCACCATGTTGATCAGGCTGGTGTAGAACTCCCGACCTCAGGTGATCCGCCCGCCTCGGCCTCCCAAAGTGCTGGGATTACAGGCGTGAGCCACTGCTCCCAGCCAACATAACATATTTTTATAAAAATAATGTGAACCCGGCCGGGCGCGGTGGCTCATGCCTGTAATCCGAGCACTTTGGGAGGCCGAGGTGGGCGGATCACAAGGTCAGGAGTTTGAGACCAGCCTGACCAACACGGAGGAAACCCCGTCTCTACTGAAAATACAAAATTAGCTGGGGGTACTGGCGCATGCCTGTAATTCCAGCTACTTGGGAGGCTGAGGCAGGAGAATCACTTGAACCCAGGAGGCAGAGGTTGTGGTGAGCGGAGATTGAGCCATTGCACTCCAGCCTGGGCAACAAGAGCAAAACTCCGTCTCAAAAGAAAAAAAGAAAGAAAGAAAAAAGAAGATAATGTGAACCCTGTAAAACTGTCTCAGAGACCCTGAGTGTGGCCTGGACCACACTTTGAAAGCCACAGTTACATGCTGATGAGTTCCTTGCCCTTATCATGCTTATCATTTTTAGCAGTCATCTCTTATTTTGACTTCGCAGAATCATACCTATCTTTGTGTAGTGATAAAATTCTTCTTTCTTAAAAAGAATCTATGTGAGATGGTTCAGATGAGGCTGACTACAACCCTTTTCCAACTCAGCAGTAAGCATGTGACCCATGATTGGCCAGTTTTTTCTGGAATTCTTATGCTGGGCTATTAGCAAATTCTCTCTCAGGAGCACATGCTCTTGCTCTTGCTCTCTGCCTCCAACCACCCAGCAGGTTTGTGAATCTTGGGCCAACATTCTTGCCCATTAAGTAGAGAGAGAACCTTCTAAGAAATGGGAAGACCCAATCCTTAGAGATATAATTTGAGTCACTGGAACATGCCATGACTGAAAAATCTCTCCTTCCTCTCCTCAGTTGTGTGAGCCAGTTTGCTTAAGTTGGGTTTCTGTCACTGGCAACTGAATGAGCTCTGATTAATACACTTCACTAACATTTGCACACCATTTGTAACCTTCAAAACCTTAAGAGTAACACGTGGCCAGGAGCAGTAGCTCACGCCTGTAATCTGTCCGCTTTGGGAGGCCAAGGCAGGTGGATCACCTCAGGTCAGGGGTTCAAGACCAGCCTGGCCAACATGACGAAACCCTGTCTCTAATAAAAAATATAAAAATTAGCCGGGCATGGTGGCAAGCACCTGTAGTCCCAGCTACTCGGGAGGCTGAGGCAGGGAGAATCACTTGAACCCGGAGGCTGAGGTTGCAGTGAGCCGAGATCACGCCACTGCTCTCCAGCCTAGGCAACAGAACAAGTCCCTGTAACAATTAAAAAACCACAACAGTCCAGGCACAGTGGTTCACACCTATAATCCCAGCACTTTGGGAGGCCAAGACGGGCAGATCACCTGAGGTCAGGAGTTCAAGACCAACCTGGCCAACATGGTGAAACCCCGTCTCTACAAAAATTAGCCGAGCATGATGGCGGGTGCCTGTAATCCCAGCTACTCGGGAGGCTGAGGCAGGAGAATCACTTGAACCCAGTAGGCGGAGGTTGCAGTGAGCCGAGATCGCGCCACTGCACTCCAGCCTGGGTGACAGGGCGAGACTGTGTCTCAAAAAAAACAAAAACAACAACAAATTGTAGGCCTTGCCCAGAATAGTCTTATTTAAACTGTCTTTGGTGAGGACAAAGAATCTGTATTATCAATAAAGTTCCTTTATGAACCTGAAGAAATCAATCCAAGATCTGGCATTTGATAAACACTAACTTAGGAAGTTACTAACTCCATCTACAAGAACAATTCTTGATATTGTGTGGATTCCTATGCCTCTATTTAAAAAATTCCCTTGTAATTCCAGGTACTCCGCAGGCTGAGGCATGAGAATTGCTTGACCCTGGGAGACGGAGGTTTCAGTGAGCCGAGATCTTACCACTGCACTCCAGCCTGGGCAACAGAGCAAGACTCTTTCTAGACCAAAAAAAAAAAAAAAAAAAAAATCTTTGGCTGGCACAGCAATTCCAAGATTTTCCGAAATTTACTTGAGAGAAATCCTGAAGTTTGTAAATTTAGTAAAATGTTCCCACAAGGCACAGTACCCATTTATCTCCCATCAGCTTTCAGCCTATATTATTTAGGAGTTTCTCACTATCATCTTCAACTTTCTATCTTGTCCACAGCTTTGCCAACCAAATCGTTAACTGTATGTATCTCATAGTCTGACTCTTGACTCTACAGAGCATCTAGCAACTCAGCATTTTGCCAACCATAACAGACATAATTAAAATGTGCTCATAACTACTAATGAGAGCATCAAGTTGAATATCACTATCTTGATGACCAAAGAAAAACCTAGGCCAGGTGTGGTGGTTCACACCTGTAATCCCAGCAGTTTGGGAGGCCAAGGTGGGCAGACTACTTGAGCTCAGGAGTTTGAGACCAGTCTGGGCAATATCAAAACCCCATTTATACTAACAATACAAAAATTAGCTGAGTGTGGTGGCTCACGCCTATAGTCCCAGCTTCTTGGGAGGCTGAGGTGGGAGGATCACCTGAGGTTGGGAGGCGGAGGTTGCAGTAAGCCAAGATCCTACTACTATACTCCAGCCTGGGGGACAAAGGGGACCCCCCCAAAATAAAAAGAAGAAAGAAAGAGAGAAAAGAAAAGAAAAACCTAGGAATTCCAGGCACAATTTTCTTTTCTTTTCTCTCTTTCTTTCTTTCTTCTTTTTTTTTTTTTTCGAGACAGGGTCTCACTCCGTTTCCAGGCTGGAATGCAGTGGTATGATCACAGTTCAGTGCAACCTCCAACTCCTGGGCTCAAGCAGTCCTCCTGTCTCAGCTTCCTGAGCAGCTAGGACTACAGGTATATGCCACCATGCGTGGCTAATTTTTTTTTTTTTTTTTTTGAGACGGAGTTTTGCTCTTGTTGCCCAGCCCGGAGTGCAATGGCACGATCTTGGCTCACCACAACCTCTGCCTCCAGGGTTCAAGCGATTCTCCTGCCTCAGCCTCCCAAGTAGCTGGGATTACAGGCATGCACCACCAAGCCTGGCTAATTTTGTGTTTTTAGTAGAGATGGGGTTTCTCCATGTTGGTCAGGCTGGTGTAGAACTCCCGACCTCAGGTGATCTGCCCTCCTCAGCCTCCCAAAGTGCTGGGATTACAGGCGTGAGCCGCTGCGCCAGGCACTTGGCTAACTTTTTTAAAAATTTTTGTAGCGTGAACCCGGGAGGCGGAGCTTGCAGTGAGCCGAGATCGCGCCACTGCACTCCAGCCTGGGCGACAGAGCGAGACTCCGTCTCAAAAAAAAAAAAAAATTTTTTGTAGAGACAGAGTCTTGCTGTGCTGCCCAGGCTGGTCTTGAACACTTGGCCTCAAGAGATCCTCCTGCCTGAGGCTTCCAAAGCATTGGAATTACAGGTGTGAATCACTGTGCCCAGCAGAACTTTCTTTTTTCTTTTTTTTTTTTAGGCAACTCCGGTTGCCTAGGCCAGAGTGCAGTGACGTGATTATAATTCACTGTAGACTCCACCTCCCAGGCTCAAGCAATCCTCCCACTTCAGCCTCCTCCCCAGTAGCTGGAACCACAGGTGTATGCCACCATACCTGGCTAATTTTTGTATTTTTGGTACAGACAGGGTTTCACCATGTTGCCCAGACTGGTCTTAAACTCCTTGGCTCAAGCAATCTGCCCGCCTTTGCTTTCCAAAGTGCTGGGATTATGAGCCACTGTACCCAGCAGAACTTTCTAATTAATTGATCTTTGTCAGATTTTAGTTGATTAGTTTTGTGATTGGGTGGCTTTTGAAAGAAAATCAAGACCTCTTTCTAGGAAATGTTTGGAAATAGTGTTTCCAAATATGGACATTATATATGAAGATTGTAAAGATTTTGTTTTGCATTCCTTCAATATAAAATGTTATTGCTCTTTTCACTAGATATGTAACTTTTTTTTTTTTTTTAGACAGAGTCTTGCTGTTGGCCAGGCTGGAGTGCAGTGGCATGACCTTGGCTCACTGCAACCTCCATCTCCCAGGCTCAAGCAATTCTCCTGCCTCAGCCTCCCGAGTAGCTGGGATTACAGGCACATGCCACCACGCCCGGCTTAATTTTTGTATTTTTAGTGGAGACAGGGTTTCACCAAGTTGGCCAGGCTGGCCTCAAACTCCTGACCTCAGGTAATCCTCACGCCTCAGCTTCCCAAAGTGCTGGGATTACAGGCGTTAGCCACCATGCCCAGCCATTTTTTTTTTTTTTTTTTTTTGGAGGCTGAGTCTTCGCTCTGTCACGCATGCTGGAGTGTAGTGGTGCATTCTTGGCTCACTGCAACCTCCGCCTTTCGGTCTCAAGCAATTCTCTTGCCTCAGCCTCCCAAGTAGCTGGGATTACAGGAGTGCGCCACCATGCCCGGCTAATTTTTGTATTTTTTTTTTTTAGTAGATACGAGGTTTCACTTTGTTAGCCAGGCTGGTCTCGAACTCCTGATTTCAGGTGATCCGCCCACCTCAGCCTCCCAAAGTGCTGGGATTACAGGCGTGAGCCACTGTGCCCAGCCGATATGTACCTATCTTATTAAATTTATTTGGACCAGTCACGGTGGCTCATGCCTATAATCCCAGCACTTTGAGAGGCTGAGATGGGAGGATTGCTTGAGCCCAGGAGTTTGAGACGAACCTCAGTAGCGTGGGAAGACCCTGTCTCTATAAAAATAAACATAAAAAATTAGCCAGGTGTGGTGGTGCACACCTGTGGTCTCAGATACTTGGGAGGCTGAGGCAGGAGGATCATCTGAGCCCAGGAAGGCGAGGCTGCAGTGAGCCATTATTGTGCCACTGCACTCCAGCCTGAGTGACAGAGTGAGACTCTGTCTCAAAAAATAACAATAAAATAAGTTTATTTGTTGGTATTCATACTTTACTGATAACTGAAATTGATTTTTTTCCATTGCCCTTTCCAGGAAGTTATTTCTGATTTAAAGAAAAGCTATTTTAAAATTTGCCATAAGATAAATTATCTTATTAATTATAAATAAAGTTTTATTTTTGGTAGAGTATCTTAAGTTTTCTTGTTATACAATTATATAATCTGAAAAATCACATTTACTTTGCCACTTGATTTCCAATATTTTTTTCCATATGTTTTGTTTTCTTATTGCATTAACCACAACCTTTAATGTCAAATACAGTGATGATTATAGTCATCTTTTTTACTGATGATTTTAGTATATCACCATTTAAAATAATTTTATTCTTCATAAAGATTACATTTTAGTCAAAATACATATGAGCTACCTAAATGACTGCAAAGACGGCATATATCCATTAAGAATGTTTTTATCTGCAGGCCAGGTGTGGTGGCTTATGCCTGTAATCCCAGCACTTTGAGAGGCCAAGGCGGGCGGATTGCTTGAGGTTAGGAGTTCAAGACCAGCCTGGCCAACATGGCAAAACCCGTCTCTACTAAAAATATAAAAATTATCGGCCTGGCGTGGTGGCTTAATCAGCTGTGCACGGTGGCTCATGCCTGTAATTTCAGCACTTCGAGAGGCCAAGGCAGGCAGATCATCTGAGGTCAGGGGTTCAAGACCAGCCTGACTAATATGATGAAACCCTGTCTCTACTAAAAATACAAAAATTAGCCGGGTGTGGTGGCATGCACCTGTAACCCCAGCTACTCGGGAGGCTAAGACAGGAGAATCGCTTGAACCCGGGAGGCGGAAGTTGAAGTGAGCCAAAACTGCACCATTGCACTCCAGCCTGGGCGACAGAGCAAAACTCTGTCTCAAAAAAGAAAGAAAGAAAGAAAATAATAAAAGAAATCATTGGATAATATCATTTTGGCCAGGCGTGGTGGCTCATGCCTGTAATCCCAGAACTTTGGGGGGCTAAGGCAGGTGGATCATGAGGTCAAGAGTTCAAGACCAGCCTGGCCAAGATGGTGAAACCCCATCTCTACTAAAAATACAAACATTAGCCAGGCATAGTGTCAGGTGCCTGTAATCCCAGCTACTCCGGAGGCTGAGGCAGGGAATTGCTTGAACCCAGGAGGCAGAGGTTGCAGTGAGCCCTGATTGCGCCACTGCACTCCAGCCTGGGCCACAGAGCGAGACTCTGTCTCAAAAAAAAAAAAAAAGAAAGAAAGAAAAAAAATTAGCTGGATGTGATGGTGCACACCTGTAGTTCCAGCTACTCAGAGGCTGAGGCAGGAAAATCGCTAGAACCCAGGAGGTGGAGGTTACAGTGAGCTGAGATCACACCATTGCACTCCAGCCTGGGTGACAGAGCAAGACTCTGTCTTAAAAAAAAAAAAAAAGAATGTTTTTCGCTGCAAATAGCAGATAATCTAACTAAAACTGGCATAATCAAATAGGAATTTGACTTCCAATCTTGACCAAGACAGACTAATAGAAACTAGATTTATCCTCTTGTCTAAAAACTTTAAAAAAGGCAAATACACCAACAAACATTGGTCAACAGGCAGTGCATGATGTTGATCCCCGAGGAGAGGGAAACTAGTGAAGCAAGCATTCAATTTGCCCTGAATTACCGTCAGCTCAGAGAAGAGGAACCCAGAGTCCACAGTCTTCCTGAGCTGACGAGGTGTTGCTGAAAGTACTAAGCATTCAACGAGAGTATAATTCACAGTAAAGAGTACCAGAAGGAGGCTCCGAGTGCTGCACATGAATAGAGCTCTGAAGATTTTCAGATGATCACACTGGGTTTTCAACTGACCACTCTTTAGAATATGCATGTGAGAAAACTACCCAAGGCTGGGAAAAGAACCATCTGAAAGGAGCAGGTGGAATAACTCACAGAGATCAGATGGCAGTGGAAATAGTTCATGTTCTCTAGAGCCAGAATGGAAAAAAACTTTTAACACATGGGGGATCAAGCAGCGTATTTGTACCAGTGATAGTTCTCTAGAGAAGCAGAACAAATAGGAGATGATAGATAGATAGATAGATAGATAGATAGATAGATAGATAGATGATAGATAGATGATTATTATATAGGTATATATCTGTACACATATATAGAGAGAGGTTTCTTATGAGAATTGGCTTACATAATTATAAAAGCCAAGAAGGTAAGAGTAACAGCAGGCTTCTCATGGGAAACGATAAAACCAAGAAGTCAGTGGAGTGATATCTTTACAAGTACAGGCATGCATCACTTGACAATGGGGACATGTTTTGAGAAATACTTCGTAAGGCAATTTCTTCATTGTGCAAACATTATAAAGTGTACTTACACAAATCTGGATGGTATAGTCTACTACACATCTAGGCTTTACAGTATGGCCATTGCTCCTAGGCTACAAATCTTATAGCATGTTACTGTACTGAATACTGCAGGCAAGTATAAGAAAATGATAAATATTTGTGTATCTAAGCATGTCTAAACATAGAAAAGGTACAGTGAAAATATTGTATTGTAATCTAATCTTATGGGACCACCGTTGTATATGAGGTTTGTCATTGACTGAAATGTTGTCTTGCAGTGCATGACTGTACTCAAAGAAAAAACAAAAACAAAACAAAACAAAGCTGTTAACCTAGAATTCCGTGAACATTTTACCTTTCAAAAATGAAGGTATCAACACCTGTGAAAAAGAAGGGGAGAAAAATGGAGGCAAAGAAAACTTTTTCAGATGCAGAAAGCTGAAAAACTTTGTAACTGGTGTGCATGCATTATAAGTAATGTTGAAGGAAATCTTTCAGACAGAAGGAAAATGATATCTACGCAAAGGAATGAACTGTATTGTAAATGGGAAATATGCATTAAAGTATAAACAAATAAAGATTTATTGTCCTTACATAGGCGAAAGGTGACAACTGACAATGGGTGACTTTAATTCAACTGATTGGTCTTCAAGGATTCTAGCTCTTTTTAATCTTCATTCTGCCAAATTGGGCTTTTCATTGGCATGCATGTTGCTTCAAAGAGGTCTTATCTTAAAATTGTTCTATTCATAGGCCAGTGAGGTATAGGTATAACTACAATATTTGCATAAATATTACTGAGCAAAGGGGTCTAGAAAGCAAGTTCAAATGCTGTGGAAAGAAAAAGCAAGACGATATTATCATGAAATTTGGGGCTAAAGAAAAAATACTCACAAACTTAAACAAATTATAGTTATTAGCCCAATAAACTGAGGCATAGAAAAGGCCAAAGGTAAACAATTCTAGATTGATGCCTTGCAAAGCCAAAGCAGGAGGATCATTTGAGGCCAGCAGTTCCAGAACAGCCTGGATAACATAGTGATACCCCATCGGTACAAAATAATTTAAAAATTAGACAGGTGTGGTGGTGCATGCCTGTGTTCCTAGCTACTAGGGAGGCTAAGGCAGTAGGACAGACATCCTCTCGTACTTCATATGACTTTGTAGGGCTCCTAAATACAGGAATCTCTTTTCTCTAACCGCCTCCCCTGCAACATTATCACAGTGAAATGAATATGACCCAGGATTAGCCAATCATAGTATCCTACCTCCTTGGTGACAGTTAACCATTCAAGAATAGACATGTAACCCTAGAAGAGCCAGTCAGAATCCTTCCCAGAAATTAATATACGGGTATTAAGAAAGAACAATTCTCTATTGGAGTTACTAACATTGAAAGATGTGAAATTGGAACTGTTGGAGCCATTTTCCCCAGAAGTCTGGAGTAAGAAAAAAATGAGACCAAATCACTGTGAGAAGCAGGGCACAAAGATTGGGAGAGAGGGTTAGATTTGAACAATTGTTTGAGCTCCTGAGTCCGGTTATACTCAAAGTCAGAGAATACCCTGAACCACTCAAATATAGAAACCAATAAATTCCCTTTGGCTTTAATTAGGTTAAGTTAGGATTCCCCCATCTGCAGTCTAAAGAGCTCTGGTTAATGCATGTTGCTATTTCCCAGTCTTAGCTATGTCCCTCGCCTGAGTATCTAGAACTGGACATGGTGGCAGGTAGCTGTAGTCCCAGCTACTTGGGAGGCTGAGGTGGGAGGATTGCTTGAGCCTAGGAGTTTGAAACTGGCCTGGGCAATATAGTGAGACCCTATCTCTAAAAATAAATAAATAATGAATAAAAATTAGGAGGAGGAGGAAAAGGAAAAAAATTTTAAATTAAATTAAATTTTTAAAAAGAAGAAGAAAAAGAAAACCCAGAGTATACTAGACGGTTTGTACCAGCTTAGGAAGAAGAGAAAGGCATTAAAATCACCCAAGAAAGAGGGCTATTGCTTCCTTTTACCCATCACCAAAACACACCCCCTCTGGCATCAGGTACACATCTAGTATTTGTATTTGGGAACTCATTTTGAGGATAACACAGCACTGTAATTTGGGATATTATGATAAATATGTTACAAAATGTTCTAATTTTCTAAATAACAGTGGACTTTTGATGTGTATCCAAATCTTCACTTCTTAGTAGAGAGGAACTGCTTGTAACTTCTAAATAACAGTTTTTATTCTGCTTTTAAAATCTCAAGGTCCAGTGTCTATCAAAAATAATCCATTGCACATACATGTTCTCATTTAATCCTGAAAACAATTATGTCTTTCATTAATCTCCATTTTCCAAAAGGAAACTGTATTTCAGAGAAATTAGGAAATTTGCCCAAGGTTGCTGCCCTAAGTGTTAGACACAGAAATTAAAACCAGCTCAAAGGAGTTTTTGTTTTCCTTTCAGTATGTGATCTATACAAAATTTGCTTTTTAAAAAAAGGTTTTATTTTTATTTTATTACATCTTCTAAATATATTTATAATTAGAGTGCTTTAGAGCCCCATGATCTAATAATTTTTAATGGGAGTTAATGACAGACCATAATCCACCTAGCAATATTCCTAAAATGTGATTTATTCTTCCAAGCAAGGGGGACCTTTGCATTACACTATGTGTGCTCAGGAATGATTGCTCCAAAAATTAGAGTGGATTTATAAATAAAGTGACCCTGGAGCATGGTATTTTATGGAATGACAGAGAATCTTGGAAAGTGGGCGAGAAATAATTAGTGTTGACTGTAGTCTTGTTGTGAAGCAAGTATTTTACCTGGGCAACCAAAATGCCTGGCTTTAGCCTAGTACCGCAAATTTCAGTCATATTTCCATTAATATTAAAACAATGACTCACTACTCATTCCTCTAATTGCCAGAAGTCACCTCTCAGTGTGACCTGCTGGGAGAAGCTATCTATTGAGGTGTCAGGAATAGATCTGTAAGACTCTACCACTCTGGCCTCCTCTCCCTGTGGACTCTCTCATGAGGATGAGATGACCACTGCAGGAGACCCCACTGTTTCCCACTGGTTCTCTCCATGGTTACCCACACTCTAGTGTCAGGAAATGGGGTGTTTCTCTCCCCATAGCTACTCTATCCCACATGTGGCCGTCTTAGAAATCAGATGACTTTAAACAAAAAGCCATGTACTGCACAGAGAGAAGAGTATCTTGCACCATTCAAGGAGTTGCAGCCCAGCCTCATAAGAGTCAGAACAAAAAGAATAAGGAAGTGGTCAAGTGCTAAGGAAAATATCTTCTATTTCGGCATCTTCTGCTGGGGCCTCTTGCTCTCATGGGCACTTGCTTCATTCCCTGTCTCTAGAGTCCAGCTGTCTTTATTTTTTCATCCACAGCATGAAAAATGACTATCTCGGTCTGTCTTGGTTCCCTCCCCATTTTCTCTCACAGGCATATTCCCTAATACATTCCTTGCACATTTAATGCCATCTTGATTCTGTCTTTTAAGAGGACTCAGACTAACACATCCAGCATCAATACATTCTGGATTATTTAGTTTAAAAAAAAAAATACCACGCGAAGGGAATAGCCCAGAGCAGTCACTGAGTACAGCCTCCCTCCACCATGAAGTAAAATTCATGCCTGTGGCCCCTCCTACAGTCCTCAGGGTTCCTTCATAAACAATAGGGGAAAAAAACTCTCCAAGAAGAAGCAACAATGTAGGGGCATAACACAGCCTAAATTCATAGAGGAACGAACAGATTCCCCTTCAAAGTTGTGAAAAGATTACCCAATTTATATGATCAAACACGTAATTTCTTGACCTAAAACAACTGTATTTCAGTTATTTTACTGTATTCAATTTTCTCTCAAGAACAATGGGTGGACACTTCATGTATATTTGCATAATTTAAACACAAAGTGGTGGCTCTCCCAGAACAGAGAACAGTAGACTTTTGAGTGTATCCAAATCTTCACTTAGCAGGGAGGAACAGCTTGTAACTTCTAAGTAACAGTTTTTATTCTGCTTTTAAAATCTGAAGGTCCAGTGTCTATCAAAAACAATCCATTGCACATACATGGTCTCATTTAATCCTAAAAACAATTATGTCTTTCATTAATCTCCATTTTCCAAAAGGAAACTGTATTTCAGAGAAATTAGGAAATTTGCCCAAGGTTGATACCCGAAGTGTTAGACATAGAAATTAAAACCAGCTCTTTCCAACTCGTAATCACATCTTTCCGCTGCTTTCAGAGATGCTGCTAGAAATCTAGTTTGCTAAGCTTTTAGTAAATGATAATATACGGAGCATTTAAACAAACTTGCTTCTACTTCCTTTTTTTTTTTTTTTTTTTTTTTTTTTTGAGACAGTCTGGCTCTATCACCCAGGCTGGCGTGCAGTGGCGCGATCTCCGCTCACTGCAAGCTCCGCCTCCCGGGTTCACGCCATTCTCCTGCCTCAGCCTCCTGAGTTGCTGGGACTACAGGCGCCCGCCACCACGCCCGGCTAATTTTTTGTATTTTTAGTAGAGACGGGGTTTCACCATGTTAGCCAGGATGGTCTCGAACTCCTGATCTCATGATCTGCCCGCCTCGGCCTCCCAAAGTGCTGGGATTACAGGCGTGAGCCACAGCGCCCGGCCTATTTTTTTTTTTTTTTTTTTTTTTTTTTAAGACGAAGTCTTGCTCTGTTGCCCAGGCTGGAGTGCAGTGGCACCATCTCGGCTCACTGCAAGCTCTGCCTCCCGGGTTCAAGCCATTCTCCTGCCTCAGCCTCCCGAATAGCTGGGACTACAGGTGCCCGCCACCAGGCCCGGCTAATTTTTTTGTATTTTTAGTAAAGACTGGGTTTCACCCTGTTAGCCAGGATGGTCTCAATCTCCTGACCTCATGATCCACTCGCCTCGGCCTCCCAAAGTGCTGGGATCACAGGCGTGAGCCACCGCACCCGGCCTACTATTACTTAAGAATGAATGGGCCGGGTGAGGTGGCTCACGCCTATAATCCCAGCACTTTCGGAGGCCGAGGCAGGTGGATCACAAGGTCAGGAGTTCAAGACCAGCCTGGCCAACATGGGGAAACCCCGTCTCTAATAAAAATACAAAAATTAGCCGGGCGTGGTGGCGGGTGCCTGTAATCCCACCCACTCAGGAGGCTGAGGCAGGAAAATCGCTTAAACCAGAGGCAGAGGTTGCAGTGAGCCAAGATCATGCCACTGCACTCCAGCCTGGGTGACAGAGCAAGACTCCGTCTCAAAAAAAAAAAAAAAAAGGTCTGCAAACAACTTGGTCAAAATAGTTGAATAAACAGAAATGTTTGCCAACATATACTGCTTAAGTTTCTGACACATTGAAGGGGGAAAAAGCCTTTTTTTCCCTCTTCCCCTTCACTGGTGCCGAGCTTTCCCTTGGTGCCCAGTGAGGGATGGAGGTCAGCATGTCCAGGATGAAGCAAATAAATGAATACACATTTCTCACTGTCAAAGAAAGGAGGTACAAATATGGAAACTGGGAAGCCTAGAAAATACCCTCTAGTGTTGCATAGGGATTAGAGGTATCAGTATCAGAGTCTGATTAGATAAGACAACAAATATAGGTGTGTGTGTGTGTGTGTGTGTGTGTGTGTGTGTGTGTGTGTGTGCATGCGCGCGCGCACATGCTAGTTCTGTCCACTGAGATGGCCTAGAAGCAATGAGACATTCTGATAACAACAAACATATTAAGATCTTGGTTTCTAAATACCATTATCTGCTAAAAGGAACCAGGGCTCCTTAAAGAAATGGCTGACTCCAGGGCTGAAGAAGGGAGAATACAAGGATGGGCTTGGAACATTTTATGACATCAGAAAGTAAAGAAATGCTCAAGGAATGACGGGCACACGTCTGTGAGACAGTAACCAGCTTAAAGGGACTCCCACTGGCCAAGCCTGGGACAATTTCAATATCAAGATAAATAATGATAATAACAGATTGTAACTCTGTGAATAAAAAAGGATTCTTGAGTCCATACTGATATCAATAATTAATAGGAGAGAAAGGAAACTCTATCCCACCTAATAAATCTAGAAGGAATAAGACAGAAAATTCCCATTTGGTAATCATCAGAGTAATAATATTCAGGTTAGAATCATTAATCAATGCTAAAACTGGTGAATGTTTGATGAGAAACAAGATTTACACGATTGCATTCAAAGATTCTTGCCACAAAATAATTACTAATTACTTTAAAATGGAGAACCTGGCAAACACCATCTTATCTAAATGATAAACGTTAACATCACCATTAATGGAACAAGTCTACATCATGTGCCTTCTGGTATGCTGCACTGAGACTAGCACAGCATTATTCCTGTGATATTCCTGCCAAATGCATAAATTATAAACAGTAAACAATCCCCACCTGCCAAATTGAAGGAAATTCTCAAAAGTAACTGGCCTGGGCTCTTCGAAACTATCAAGGTCATGAAAGAGAACTCAGAAAATGAGAAACGGCTGGGCATGGTGGCTCACACCTGTAATCACAGCACTTTGGGAGGCTGAGGTGGGTGAATCACCTGAGGTCAGGGGTTCGAGACCAGCCTGACCAACATGGTGAAACCCCGTCTCTACTAAACATACAAAATTAGCCGGGTGTGGTGGTGCATGCCTGTAATCCCAGCTACTTGGGAGGCTGAGGTAGGAGAATCGCTTGAACTCGGGAGATGGAGGTTGCGGTGAGCCAAGATCGCCCCACTGCACTCCAGCCTGGGCAACAAGAGCGAAACTCTGTCTCAAAAGAAAAAGGGCAGGGTGCAGTGGCTCACGTCTGTAATCCCAGCACTTTGGGAGGCCAAGGTGGGCGGATCACGAGGTCAGGAGATCGAGACCATCCTGGCTAACACGGTGAAACCCCGTCTCTACTGAAAATACAAAAAATCAGTTGGGCATGGTGGCGGGCGCAGGTAGTCCGGGCTACTCGGGAGGCTGAGGCAAGACAATGGCGTGAACCCGGGAGGCAGAGCTTGGAGTGAGCCGAGATCGTGCCACTGCACTCCAGCCTGGGTGACAGAGCAGGACTCCTCTCAAAAAAAAAAAAAAGAAAGAAAGAAAGAAAATGAGAAACAGTTCCAGACTGAGGAACACTAAAGAGATGTGACAACTAAATGCAACACGTGATCCTAGACTGGATCCTGGACCTGTAAGGGACTCTTTTCAGACAATGGGTGAGATTTAAACTGGGTCCGTAGATTAGGTGGCATTATTAGATCAATGTTAATTTATCAATCTGAATTGTTGCACTATATCCTTGCACTCAAGAAATCCAAATTGAAATATTAAAAGGTAACGGGGCATCACAATTTATTCTCCAATGATTCAGAAAAAATAATAAGTGGAGGATCTAGGTGAAGGGCATATAGAAGGTCTATGTTCTATTTTGCAACTTTTTTTGTAAGTTTGAAATTATTTCCAAATAAAAAGTTTTGAGGATAAAAAATTGTGACAATTTCTTCGTTGAAGAGCCCTAAGAATAGCAAAGCCCACAAACACCTGTGGATTAGGAGATTTAGAGAAAACAAAACAAAAATATACATTTCAGTTATTTATAGCTGCATAACAAACCACTCCAAAATTCAGTGGCTTAAATCAGCACCATTGTATTGCCTCTCATGATTCTCTGGATTAACTGGGCTCAGCTGGGCAGTTCTTCTGTTCCGGGTGATGCTAGATGGGGCTGCAGTCATTTGGGGGAACATACATGATGGCACACTCCCACGTCTGGTGTCTTGGTGAGGATGACTGGAAGGCTGGGCTGCTGGGATGGCTGGGCCTTTCTCCATGCAGTCTCGGGACCTCTTCCATTTTGCATTGCTTCTCCAAGTCACTTCTCCACATGATCTCTCCAGTAGGATAGGCAGACTTTTTTTTTTTTACATGGAGTCTCACTTTTTTCGCCCAGGCTGGAGTGCAATGGCGCGATCTCGGCTCATTGCAACCTCCGCCTCCCAGGTTCAAGCGATTCTTCTGCCTCAGCCTACTGAGTAGCTGGAATTACAGGCGTTCACCACCACATCGACTAATTTTTTTTGTATTCTTAGTAGAGATGGGGTTTCACCATGTTGGCCAGTCTGGTCTTGAACTCCTGACATCCTGATCCTCCTGCCTCAGCCTCCCAAAGTTCTGGGATTACAGGCGTGAGCCACCATGCCCGGCAGCCAGACTTCTTACATGGCAGTTCAGGACTGTTTTCAAAAGTACAAAAGCCAAAATTGTCAGGTAGTCTTAAAGCTTGGATCCAGAACTGGTACTGTGTCACTTTCAGTGTATTCTATTGGTTAAAACAAAGCAAAAGCATACAAAAATGTTCAAACATACAAAAAGTGCATAAGCCTTTTGTATGTATATAGCTCCAAATTTTGTGTAATATCTTAAATCTCATTACGATTCTTAGTAATTTTTAAAAATGAGTTACAGGATCAATCCAAAGTCTATATGGGAGAGGATTACCTAAAGACATAAACAACAGGAAGTATATCAGGTACCAGGCCATTTTCAAAGATTAGCTACCATACCGTCGTAGCTAATTTGCTTGTCTCCTTGCCAGAAATATGTTATATTCCAAAATCATGTTAAATACGTAGTCTTTAAAAGCCAAATATGGATCATAGCAAAATAAAGATTTTTTTAGAGGCATGCTATAGATTCTCGCTCAGATTATCTCTTCTACCCTCTATCTGACCAGCATGTAACTTTGTGGTTGTTTCTTGTGGTTTTCAAAAATCTGCTTTCTCTTCTTATTATAACCTTGTCATTTCTGAGCAGCAAACTACCTACCTTGATTTATGAAGTTTTTTTGTTTACATGTGTATTATTTCTTTAGATTTCACAGACTGGTTGAAATAATCAAATGTATTTTAATCATGTTCTTTCACTGTCATGAATTGAAATTTTAACAGCTTTATTGAGATATAATTTATACACTATAAAATGTATACATTTAAAGTATAAGATTCAGTGATTTTTAGTATGTTTACAGAGTTTTGCAACCATCACCACAATCAATTTGGGAATTTTTTTTTTTTTTTTTGAGACAGGGTCTCACTCTGTTAGACAGGCTGGAGTGCAGTGGTGCAATCATGGCTCACTGCAACCTCTGCATCCTGGGCTCAAGCAATCCTCCTACCTCAGCCTCCTGAGTAGCTGGGACTACAGGACTGCGTCACCACACCACAGTAATTTTTTGTATTTTTTCTAGAGTTGGGGTTTCACCATGTTATCCAGGCTGGCCTTGAATGCCTGGCTTCAAGCAATCTGCCCACCTCAGCCTCCCAAAGTGCTGGGATTACAGGCATGAGTCACCTGTAATGCCCAGCCAATTTTGGAATATTTTTATCACCCCAAAAGAAACCTCCTACTCATTTGCAGTCCTCCTACTCATTTGCACCATCCCTACCCCTTGTCCTAGGTACCACTAATCTACTTTCTGTGACAATAGATTTGCATACTCTGGACATTTCATATAAATGGAATCATGCACTATGTGGTCCTTTGTGACCAGCTTCTTTCACTTAGCAAAATGTTTTCAAGGTTATTAATGTTGTAGCATGTATCAGTACTTCATTCCTTTTTATGACCAAATAATATTCCATATCTGACTATATTGCATTTTGCTGATTCATCACCAGTTAATGGGGCATTTGGATGGTTTCTACTTTTTGGCTATTATGAAAAATGTTATCATGAAAATTCATGTTTTTTGTTTGTTTTTTGAGACAGACTCTCACTCTGTGGCCCAGGCTGGAGTGCATGGCTCGATCTCGGCTCACTGCAACCTCCACTTCCCAGGTTCAAGCAATTCATGTGCCTCAGCCTCCTGAGTAACTGGGATTACAGGCATGTGCCATCACACCCAGCTAATTTTTGTATTTTTAGTAGAGATGGGGTTTCACCGTGTTGGCCAGGATGGTCTCAATCTCCTGACTTTGTGATCCACCCACCTCGCCCTCCCAAAGTGCTGGGATTACAGGCGTGAGCCACCACACCTGGCCATTCATGTACACGTTTTTGTATGGACATGTGTTTTCATTCCTCTTGGGTATGTACATAGGTCCATGAATTGATTTTTTTTTTTTTTTTTTGAGACGGAATTTCATTCTTGTTGCCCAGGCTGGAGTGCAATGGCGCGATCTCGGCTCACCGCAACCTCCACCTCCCGGGTTCAAGAGATTATCCTGCCTCAGCTTCCTGGGTAGCTGGGATTACGGGCATGTGCCACCACGCCCTGCTAATTTTGTATTTTTAGTAGAGATGGGGTTCCTCCATATTGGACAGGCTAGTCTCCAACTTCTGACCTCAGGTGATCTGCCTGCCTAGGCCTCCCAAAGTGCTGGGATTACAGGCGTAAGCCACTGCGACCAGCCAAATTGATATTTTTATGAGAAAGTCAATGATTATTTTCCAATCATTAAACTTTTATCTTTCTGATATATGGAGAACAGTAAGTGATAGTTAATGTGGGGCGAGGAAAGTGGAGAAGAAGTTAATAGGAACTTTCACTCAAGGTATAAAGGAATTTAAGAGCTTAGATGGTGAAGTGAAACTGCATAGTTTAAAATCCTGATTCTACTTTGGGAGGCCGAGGCGGGTGGATCACAAGGTCAGGAGTTCAAGACCAGCCTGGCCAATATGGTGAAACCCCGTCTCTACTAAAAATACAAAAATTTGCCGGTGTGGTGGCACGCACCTGTAGTCCCAGCTACTTGGGAGGCAGAGACAGGAGAATCGCTTGAACCCGGGAGGCAGAGGTTGCAGTGAGCTGAGATTGTGCCACTGCACTACAGCCTGGGTGACAGAGTAAGACTCTGTCTCAAACAAAACAAAACAAAACAAAACAAATCCTGATTCTACCTCTTACAAGATGTTTGCCTTAGGCAATTTATTTAACTCTCTGAGCTTCAGTTTCTTTGTCTATAAAATGGAGAAAAATATAACTACCTCATAAGATTGTTGTGAGGATTGAATCAGATAGCACTAAACCCAGTGACCAGCACATTGTAATGTTCACTAATAGTAATTATTGGCCAGCCACAGTGGCTCATGCCTGTAATCCCAACACTGAGAGGCTGAGGTGGGAGAACTGCTTGAGTCCAAGAGTTCAAGGCTGCCGTGAGACATGATTGCACCACTGCACTTCAGCATGGGCAACAGAGCAAGACCTTGTCTCAAAAAAAAAAAGTAATTATTATTAATAATTTACACACTGCTGCATTTTTATAATGAGCATGCATTGCTTTTGTAATTTAAAAAATAATTTTAAGATGCATGAAATCAACCTTAATTCTGTGTATTTACTAATGTAAATGCATTCTTACGTTACCAAATTGTGCTTTAAGCTGGAAAATAGTGCTTTGACCCTGTTTCCTTGCTGTCTGTGTTTTAGATTTACTGAGGAAATGGAGACTGCTTACTTAAAGCCTGTATCATGCTTTAGTTATTCTTTTCCATTTTACAAATCAGGAGGGAGAATTTCCTGGGCAAAAAATAATTCATGAAGTAGTGGTGCCATTTTTCACAAAAATTGATCCTGAGATGAATATTAATTGTGTAGTCTACAAAGAGTTAATTTTATTTCTCCATTGATAGTTTGGACCTTTGAAGTGAAGAAATTCTAACCGAACTCCTTTCTGACCCTTAAGCCTTTTTGTTTCCATGCAAAAGAAATCTGTTAATAATCTAGCATCTTGCCAAAGATTCTGTCTCATTTCTCTATAGCTGATTTGAGTATTCCATTTTAATTCACTGCCTGTGGAATTAGTAATTATATGATTTTTGTAGTGACTCCAATCTTAAATAATGATATCCTTCTAATAAGGCTTGTTCTATTTATAGGGCTTAAAGAGAAATTAGATTGTTAAGAAGAAACAACAGAAATACTAGAAATAACTATTAAAATATACTCAAATCTATTTTGTGGCCTGTTTTCTCATGCTTTATTTATATTTCTGGCCAAAAGAACAGGAGTACAAATGATGAGCATGTGAGGCCCTTGCCCTGGCTCCTCCCACCCATGCTTAGCCCCAGCAGTGGCCACTCACCAGGAGCTCCAAACGGGGTACCAGGGCCATTTTCCATTCCTAGGGAGACCTGCAGCCTTTTAACCAATCAACTTGTAAGTACCTACAAGGTAATAAGTACTATGTTCCAGATTTTCTTTGTGTGTTATATGTGTGTGTAACAGCTTTATTGAGATATAGTTTATATGCCCTACAATTCATTCATTTAAAGTATACAGTTTAATGATTTTTAGTATATTCACAGAGTTGTGCAACCAACATCACAATTTTAAAATATTTTCACTACCCAGCAACGGAAATTTCATACTCATTAGCAATAATTCCCCTTTTCTTCCCAGCCCCTACAGTCACTAATCTATTTTCTGTGTCTTTGAATTTACCTATTCTGGACATTTCGTATACATGGCATTATATGCTAAGTGGCTTTTTGTGCCAGACTTCTTTCACTTAGCATGAAGTTTTCAAGGATTGTCCATGTTGTAGCATGTAATCAGTACTCATCCATCTTAAGACTGAATAAAGGCTAGGCGTAGTGGCTCACGCCTGTAATCCCAGCACTTTGGGAGGCCAAAGTGGGCAGATCATGAGGTCAGGAGTTCGAGACCAGCCTAACCAACATGGTGAAACCCCATCTCTACTAAAAATACAAAAATTAGCCGGGCATGGTGGCACGTGCCTGTAATCCCAACTACTCAGGAGGCTCAGGCAGGAGAATCACTTGAACCCAGGAGGCGGAGGTTGCAATGAGCCAAGATCGCACCATTGCACCTAGGCAACAGAGTGAGACTCCATCTCAAAAAGAAAAAAAAAAAGACTGAATAATATTCCATTGTAGGGATGGATCACATTTTGTTTATCTGTTCATCAGTTGATGGGCATTTAGTTGGATGTTTCCATTTTTTGGCTATTGTTAATAAGGCTGGTATAAACATTTGTGTGAAAATTTTCGTGTGGACATGTTTTCATTTCCTTTGGGTATATATGTAGGAGTAGAATTGTTGAGTTACATGGTAACTCTACATTTAACCTTTTGAAGAACTGTCAGACTGTTTTCAAAAATGGCTGCACCATTTTACATCAAGGCTACTTATAACATTTACTTGGTCTGGGGTTAATTGATGTTCCATTTGGCTATGGACTTGGGAACAGGCTTTTGCTGTTCAGGTAAGAAACTTCTGTCAAAGTCAAAGTTTCTCTCTATATCACAATCCAAATTTAGCAATCTAAAAGAGTATGTGTTTTTCCACAGTTTTAAAAAATAAGACTATTAGTATTCTGTCTAGAAAGAAAAAGAGTAATTCTGCTTATCAAGTTTCCAGATTCCTTTAGCCTCTTATGGCACACTTGCCTCTTCTCACCGTAAGTGACTGTGTAGGCCTCAGGGGTAGATGGACTTAGGCACAGTGGTATAAATGAAAGGAGACTGCAATATGTCCTCTCGTCGTAGACCTATGCAGTCCCTGGCTGCCTGCCATAACACAATACCAAAGACTGGGTGGCTTAAGCAATAGGAACTTATTTATCATACTTCTAGAGGTGGGGAACTCCACCATCAAGGTGTTGGCTAATTCAGTTCCCCGGTGAGGGCTCTCTTCCTTGCCTCTTACAGACATCCACCTTCTCGATGTATCCTCACATGTTGTGGGCTGGAGGGAGCGACTGCCAGGGAGCAAGCTCTGTTCTCTGTTCCTCTTCTTATAAGGACACTAATCTCATCATGGGAGCCCTATCTTCATGACCTCATCTAAACCTAATTACCACCAAAAAGCCTCATCTCCAACCAAATACCATCACAATGGGGGTTAGGGCTTTGACAGATGAATTGTGAGGAAACATAAACATTTAGTCCATTACCCCTCCATGTTGCAACAAAGTTTTCCATTTCACTTGAAACAGCATCCCTGTTCACAGCAGTTACAAGTGCAGATGGGCCAATAAATGTCTTATTTTAGTCACTCACACCTAAGCATAAATTAGTTTTCTTTTCTTTTTTTTTTTTCTTTTTTTGAGATGGAGTTTCACTCTTGTTGCCCAGGCTAGAGTGCAACGGCTTGATCTTGGTTCACTGCAACCTCCGCCTCCCAGGTTCAAGTGATTCTCCTGCTTCAGCCTCCCAAGTAGCTGGGATTACAGGCACCCGCCACCACGACCAGCTAATTTTTTGTATTTTTAGTAAAGACGGGGTTTCACCATGTTGGCCCGGCTGGTCTTGAACTCTTGACCTCAGGTGATCCGCCCGCCTCAGCCTCCCAAAGTGCTGGAATTACAGGCGTGGGCCACTGCACCTGGCCTCTGAGCATAAATTAATACAAGCTTTCCTGTTCCTCTTAATCTCTGTTTAAGTACAATCAGCACAAACTAAGGGGTTCTGATAGTGGAGAAGGTACTGAAAAAGGATAGGAAAGGAGTAATTTTAGGGTCAATCTAGAATGTGCTACATGCATTACTTTGATTAGGTTATTTACTCCTCATAACAACTACATGAGCTAAGCACTATTATTTTTACTCAGAAAGAAAGGAAAAGGCTCAAAAAGTAACTTACTGAAGGCCATTTAGCAGATTGTATGTGTAGTGCTGGGATTTTACCCTAAATTTACTTAATTCTAGAGAATCAGAGCATCCTCCTTCTATCCTGAGTTGAGAGCCAACTCGGGCTGGGAAGGAGGTAGAGAGGGTAGGGGTGTATGCAAAAGCCAAACTTTGTCTTTTCTACACATTTTTTTCATGTCCCTGGTTGTCACAACCACTTGCTGGCAGCACCCCCGCCCCTCAGTGGTTTGGCTGTGCAGAAGTGCTAATAAGTCCCTAAATGCTTTCCAGCTTAGTGGAGCTACTGTACTCCCCTAAGTGAGGACGGCGGCAACAGTTGCTAACTGGGCCACACACACTCTGGCAAAACTTCCTTATTTGGAAAAGTCTTTTCCATCCTATTTGGGCAGAAAGAATACAATCTCACATTTAAGATAAACAAAATGCCTTGACCTACATCAGAAGGGGCACTCGAAAACACTAAAACCCAGCCAAACACCAAAAAGATCCGGTATATTCCTAGCTACTTCCCTTCAAGTGGAAGGTGGTGGGGGCAGGGCAATGCTCAGAGAGTTAAAAGAACATTCACGAATTCCTTTTTCTTTAACCCCAGAAGCTGTTCTAGTTAGCAATAAGCTTTGAATCTCAGTTATATGGAATTTAGCACACTTTTTACTAGAGTTAAGAAAATACACATTTTTAGATTGTTCATATCATTGAAGTTGGAAGAGGCCTGAGTGGCAGGACAGTATACTTCCTTGGGTATGATTTAGCATTGCTTTTAATACCCTGAGGAGAGGTTACATTTGAAAATACAAGACCAAGTAGGTATTTGCAGGGTGGGCCAGTGGGATCGACCTGAGTGTCCGCTCCTGTCACTCTTGGAAACTGTGACCAGCAGCAGCTTGTTAGAAAGATGAAAAGAGAAAACTTAAGTCTCAACTCTCCCCTTGCAGGGTGAACTTGGGCAAATGACTTAACCTCTCTGGGCCTCAGTGTGCTGGTGTCTGAAGAGGAGTTGACTAAATGACCTCCAACGGCCTTCCCTGTATTGGGGCATTCTTTTTATTTTTGAAACGGAGTCTCACCCAGGCTGGAGTGTAGTGGTGCAATCTCGGCTTACTCCAACCTCTGCCTCCTAGGTTCATGCGATTCTCCTGCCTCAGCCTCCGAGGAGCTGGGATTCAAGCGTGCACCACCATACTTGCCTAATTTTTGTATTTTTTTTTTTTTTTTTAGTAGAGATGGGGTTTCACCATGTTGCCCAGGCTGGTCTCAAACCCTGAGCTCAGGCAACCCGCCTGCCTTGGCCTCCCAAAATGCTGGGATTACAGGTATGAGTCACCACGCCTGGCCCCTTCCCAGTATGGGCATTCTATTTTGTGATTTCCATGATTGTGGAAAGGGCTTCTCTAGGCTTGGGTATGCAAAAGAACACATGGGTTTCCAGTGCCCTCTAGACCCACCCTGACTTCCCTCTTGGTCCTTTTGCTCCCTCAGCCCTTCCAGAGCTCAGCCCTTCCTGGGTCCTGGAGCGAACCCCTAAAAGCCCCATTGGTATGCAAAGCATAAGAAGCCTAATACCCTCCATACCTGAAGTCTGCTGTCACCACCTGGCCCCGGGTGATGATGATGAATTAAATCAGATAAAATAACTCTTATTGATATTAGCTAACATGTAACCCCCTTCCCCACAAAAATACCTTAAGAATAATTTGAATATATGTGCTTCCCCGTGAAAGGTCCTAAAATCTGCATTCCTCATTTCTTTTTTCTTTTTTTTTGAGATGGGGTCTCCCTCTGTCACCCAGGCTGGAGTGTAGTGGTGCGATCTCGGCTCACTGAAACGTATGCCTCCTGGGTTCAAACGATTCTCCCACCTCAGCCTCCTGAGTACCACCACAGCCCAGCGAATTTTTGTATTTTTAGTAGAGATGGGATTTCACCATATTGGTCAGGCTGATCTCGAACTCCCGACCTCAGGAGATCCACCCGCCTCGGCTTCCCAAAGTGCTGGGATTACAGGCATGAGCTACTGCGCCCGGCCTGCATTCTTCATTTCTGTGGGAAGGAGAGTGTTGATTGAATGGGCTTCCTGTGCCCCTCAAATTGCTTGAAAGTTAGGCTGCTTTCTCTGATCAGGGAAACTTGGAGAAGTTGTGTTATCTTGGCAGGAATATTGCAAAATCAAGATGGATATTTTGTTTTCTTCTGCATTAATCTGCAGCTAATGCCAGTGAACATTATCTGTGTTTAATTACATTCGCTAACCAACTGACACAACTTCCCCTGGGAAGAAGCTTATCCGACTCTGACTCATGCTTTACAACATGTTGGATTTGAGGAAATGGATAATATACGCCCTGCTGGCTTTGGAATTTTAAACAGAAACCCACATGCCGCCGAGTCTCCGGCTTACTCCCAAATATGGGAGAATCTGTGCCCCAGCAAGGGTGCAGGAGGCATGCTCAGTGTGACAAAAGGCAAAACCTGTGGTGTGTGCGGGGAGGGCCAGAGCCAGCAGCCACTTAAAGGAGAAGGAACAACTGCAGGGAAGGGAAGGGAGGCCAACATCCCAAGGCACTTTTCTAGAGTTAGCTTGATTATGTCATGGTAGTGAATGTCTGATTGAAAGTAAAACGTATCCCCAGCATCAGGGGCCAAAGAGGGACTGACCTTTAGAGGCGTTTAGAGCAGTACTCACAGGCACAGCACTTCTGAATTGGACGAGATGATACAAGCCTTGTGCTGGGCTAGCTGGGTCACCCTGAACCAGGTGAGAAACCTCCTGGTAGCCAGGGTGCCCCAGGATTCTCTAAGAAATAGAGCTGTCCCAGAACACAGCGATTGGGGTCATTTTTCTTGTGTCTGAACCAGGAGGGAGGGGGCAGTATTCCACCTCCCCCTCCTGCTATGGCTGAGCCCCTCCACCCCCGCAAACTCTCTTCCCTTCTGTGCCGTCCTTGTGCTTCTTCTCCTTAAAAAACCTTTATTGGGGCTGGGCACAGTGGCTCATGTCTGTAATCCCAGCACTTTGGGAGGCTGAGGCCGGTGGATCACCTGAGGTCAGGAGTTCGAGACTAGCCTGGCCAACATGGTGAAACCCCGTGTCTACTAAAAATAAAAAAATTAGCTGGGCATGGTGGTGCAGTTGCCTATAATCCCAGCTACTCTGGAGGGTGGGGCAGGAAGAACTGCTTGAACCCAGGAGGCAGAGGTTGCAGTGAGTCACGATTGTCCCACTGCACTCCAGCCTGGGCCACAGAGTGAGACTCTGTCTCAAATAAAAATAAAAAAAAAAGGCTGGGCTCAGTGGCTCATGCCTGTAATCCCAGCACTTTAGGAGGCCAAGGCGGCGGATCACCTGAGTTCGGGAGTTCGAGACCAGCCTGACCAACATGGAGAAACCCCGTCCCTACTAAAAATACAAAATTAGCAGGGCGTGATGGCGCATGTCCGTAATCCCAGCTACTTGGGAGGCAAGGCAGGAGAATCACTTGAATCCCAGAGGTGGAGGTTGCGTTGAGCCGAGATTGCTCCATTGCACTCCAGCCTGAGCAACAAGAACAAAACTCCATCTCAAAAAGAAAAGAAAAGAAAAACAACCCAATGATATAAAAATATAATAATAATCATTCCCATTTAAAGCATTTTCTTTGCATCAGACACCATACTAAAGCACTTAATGTGCATCATTTTGGCCAGGGGCCATGGCATATGTCTATAATCCCAAAGCTTTGGCAGGCCAAGGCAAGAGGATGGCTTTAGGCTAGAAGGTTGAGACAAGTCTGGGCGACATAGTGAGACCCCATCCCTACAAAAAGCAGAAAAAATTTGCCAGGCATAGTGGCACATGTCTATAGTCCCAGCTACTGAAGAGGATGAAGCAGGAGGATTGCTTGAACCCAGGAATTCAAGACTGCAGTGAGCTATGACGGGGCACACCACTCAAGCCTGGGTGACAGAGCCAGACCCTAACTCTTAAAAAAAAATGCATAGTTTAATTCAAACTTCTCAATATCCCTATGAAGTAAGTATATTATCATCCTTATTTACAGGTAAGAACATTAAAATTCATACAAGTGAAGTAAGTTGCCCAAGACCACACAGCTAGTACATGCAAAGCTGAGATTTAAACCCAGGTGGTAGGCTGGGCGCCGTGGCTCACGCCTGTAATCCCAGCACTTTGGGAGGCCAAGGCGGGCAGATCACTCGAGGTCAGGAGTTTAAGACCAACCTGGCCAACATGGTGAAACCCTGTCTCTACTAAAAATACAAAAAAATTAGCCAGGCGGGTCGTGGGCGCCTGTAATCTCCGCTACTCAGGAGGCTGAGGTGGGAGAGTTGCTTGAACCCAGGAGGTGGAGGTTGCAGTGAGCTGAAATCATGCCACTGTACTCCAGCCTGGGTGACAGAGCAAGACTGCATCTCAATAAAAAATAAAAATAAAAAATAAACCCAGGTGGTTGCTCTCCAAAGGTTGTGTGCGTCAGCTACATGTGCTGCCTTGAGAGGTACAAGAAATAGAAAAATATCAACTGCAACCCACTACTTAAAGATAATCATTGTTATCATGCTTCCAGACCTCTCTTTATACACATATGCCTGGTTTTATCCTGATTTCAGTAGAATAAAATCTAGGGTTGGTTAAACCTCCAGAAAGAGAGTGAATGAATTGTCCAGTGCAATTTATCCGATTTCTCCTCTCCTTTAAAAGCTCTAGCTCAAGGAATCTGCACTTGGGACTGAGTCCACTCTCCTGGTCTCCAAGAGGCTCAGGTGTTTTGCTGGATGCACCATCCCAAGCACACAGTAAGCACTCAATAAATTCTCTCCAATTGCATTGTGAGGGACAGGTTCTTCTGTCAGGGAGCATAGCTTCTGCTCCCACGAGCATATTTAAGAGTTGCAAGGCTGGACACGATGGCTCACAGTACTCTGGGAGTATTGTGGGAGGCCAAGGTGGGCGGATCACCTGAGGTCGGGAATTCGAAACCAGCCTGGCCAACATGGCGAAACCCCAACTCTACTAAAAATACAAAAATTGGTTGGGCGCAGTGGCTCACACCTGTAATCCCATCACTTTGGGAGGCCGAGGCGGGCGGATCGCCTGAGGTCGGGAATTCCAGACCAGCCTGACCAACATGGAGAAACCCTGTCTCTACTAAAAATACAAAATTAGCAGGGCGTGGTGGCACATGCCTGTAATCCCAGCTACTTGGCAGATCGAGGCAGGAGAATCGCTTGAACCTGGGAGGCGGAGGTTGCAGTGAGCCAAGATCGCACCATTGCACTCCAGCCTGGGCGACAAGAGTGAAACACCATCTCAAAAAAGCAAAACAAAACAAAACAAACAAACAAAAAACAAAAATTAGCCAGGTGTGGTGGCACATGCCTGTAATCCCAGCTACTTGGGAGGCTGAGGCATGAGAATCGCTTGAACCCGGGAGGTGGAGGTTGCAATGAGCCCAAATGGTGTCACTGCACTCCAGCCTGGGCAACAAAGTGAGACTCTGTCTCAAAAAAAAAAAAAAAAAAAAAAAAAAAAAAAGCCGGGCGCGGTGGCTCATGCCTGTAATCCCAGCACTTTGGGAGGCCGAGGCGGGCGGATCACGAGGTCAGGAGATCGAGACCATCCTGGTTAACACGGTGAAACCCCGTCTCTACTAAAAATACAAAAAATTAGCCGGGCGAGGTGGTGGGCGCCTGTAGTCCCAGCTACTTGGGAGGCTGAGGCAGGAGAATGGCGTGAACCCGGGAGGCGGAGCTTGCAGTGAGCCGAGATCACGCCACTGCACTCTGGCCTGGGCGAAAGAGCGAGACTCCGTCTCAAAAAAAAAAAAATAAAAAAAAGCGTTGTGGGTTCTTTTGCCCCTCCAGATGGTGCTGGTGCTGGAGCCAAGTAAAGAACCACTTGCCCCAGTGAGCCTAGAAGACACAGGCATGCCATCACTCAGAGAGCAAAACTGATCCTACTACTGTAGTCCCATTTAAAGCCCTTGGTGCATTTATAATCCTGTCTTTCTCATGGCTGCTGATGAGGAGGGAAGCTTTGGGGACAAAGATGGACACAGGCCAGGTTGTATATGTGTATTCTGGGAGTTGGGGGAGCGAAGTTACTGTAGCAAAACCTGGATTCAATGGCACTTCTGGACCTCACAGGAGCTCCTGTCATCTGGGCCAGCCTAGCTTCAGGGGGATGGAGAACCACCCTTAGCTAATGGAGGGGCTCACTTTAAAGGGCAGTGGCATTTCCCTGCCTGGTCATGAAACCTTAGCTGAGCAAGCAGAGCGAATGCTTGTCACATCAAGGCAGGCCATGACAGAAGCTAGTTAGGGACTCAGGGAAACCCATCTTTCCTTCCCACTTCCCACTAACCAGCACTTCCCTGCCACACACACACAAGCACATACTTTCTCTGGAAAAAAAAAAAGATATCACAAAATGCTAAATTTTGTTATGTGTATTTTACTACAATTTGTAAAAACCAGGTTCAAGGTAGGCTGCAGTGGCTCACGCCTGTAATCACAGCACTTTGGGAGGCCGAGGTGGGCAGACCATGAGGTCAGGAGTTCGAGACCAGCCTGGGCAATGTGGTGAAACCCTGTCTGTACTAAAAAATACAAAAAAATTAGCCAGGCATGGTGGCACACGCCTGTAGTCCCAGCTACTCAGGAGGCTGAGGCAGGAGAATTACTTGAACCCAGGAGGCGGAAGTTGCAGTGAGCTGAGATCATGCCACGGCACTCCAGCCTAGGCGACAGAGCAAGACTCTGTCTCAAAAAAAAAAAAAACTCAAAAAACCAGGTTCAATACCAAACCAGGTTCAACATTCTATTCTCTTTCCTTGTCCCTACATCTATGTATTCCCCAGTTGTTTCTCCAAACACTGTAATACACATTTTTGTATTTGATCCCCTCAACTTGTGGTATAATGAGTAGTTATTGTTAGTTACCAGAACCAGGGACTACTAATTTTTTCTTTTAATTAACTTTTTGTTGGTATAACATATATACAGAAAAGTGCACAAACCATATACAAATTACATAAATATCTATAAATTTGCAAAAGGCAAAACACTCCCGAGTGACTAATACCTAAAGGAAGGAACAGAACATCGCGAGCACCCCAAAAGCCCCCTCTTGACACCTTCTAGTCACTAATCTCCCAAGGGTAATTCTTATCCATGGGTGAACAGCATAGATTAATTTTACCTATTTTTGAACTTGACATAAATGGAACCATCAGTATATGCTCTTCTGTGTCTGATATCTTCCATGTAATATTATGGTTGTGATAGTCATCCATGTGGTTGTGCTTAGTGATACATTATTTATTCCCGTTGCTGTGTAGCACTCCATTGTATGAATTCACCATGATTTATTTATCCATTCTATTGTTGGTGGACATTTGAATTGTTTCTGTTCTTAGCTTTTACATATAGTGCCACTATGAACATTGTTTTTTCGTGTTTTTTTTGGTGACAGAATCCCGCTCTGTCGCCCAGGCTGGAGTGCAGTGGCGCGATCTCGGCTCGGCTCACTGCAAGCCCTGCCTCCTGGGTTCACGCCATTCTCTCGCCTCAGCCTCCTGAGTAGCTGGGACTACAGGCGTCTGCAACCACGCCTGGCTAATTTTTTGTATTTTTAGTAGAGACAGGGTTTCACCATGTTAGCCAGGATGGTCTCGATCTCCTGACCTCGTGATCCACCCGCCTCGGCCTCCCAAAGTGCTTGGATTACAGGCGTGAGCCACCACACCCAGCCAAACATTCGTATAGATGTTTTTATGTATATGAACATGCATTTTTTTAGAAACGTAATTGCTTATCACACCTTTTGCATATGTTCCACTTTGATAGTTGTCAAATGGTTTTCTAAACTGGCAATTTACATTCTCACTAGCCACATGTGAAAGTTCCAGTTGCTCTATGTCCTCACCAATACTGTGTTGTCTGTCTTTTTCATTTTAGCCATTCTGGTGAATGTACAAGGATATCTTATTGTATTTTAACTTGCATTTTCTTGCCAATTAATGAATTGGTGTCTTTTTGTATATTTATTAGCCATTTGGGTATTTTGAGATGTTTTAAAGGGTGTTCTTTCTCCTGGTTATGAAAATAATACATGCTGAGGTGGGTGAATCACTTGAGGTCAGGAGTTTGAGACGAGCCTGGCCCACATGGTGAAACCCTATCTCTACTAAAAAATACAAAAATTAGCCAGGTGTGGTGGCATGCACCTGTAATCCCAGATACCCAGGAGACTGAGGCAGGAGAATCACTGGAACCCGGGAGGTGGAGGTTGCAGGGAGCCCAGATAGTGCCACTGCACTCCAGCCTGGGTGACAGAGTGAGATTCTGTCTCAAACAAACAAACAAACAAAACCATGCTAATTGAAGAAGGTTTGGCAAATACATAGTGGCTTTGTACTATGTCAGTTTAGCTAAACTGAAACTATGTTTTTCAGAATTTCTTTCTCTGTATGGTTCTGGGCTAGGGTTGGCCACAGAAAATTTGCACAAGATTGGAGGGCAGAGGTGAAGCAAACATGCTTATGCTCAGAAGGTCAGTGTAGAGGCAGGTGCCGTTCTAACTTATGGTATCTCAGATCTGCTAGCTCACCCTGTGGCCATGGGATAGACTTGAGCCTACATCTCCTTCAGCTCCCATGACAGATCTTCCTTCAGCATTTTCAGTCCCTGAGTCAGGTCTGTGTTCAGCTTTATGATGAAGGTTCAGCAATTCCTGCAGGTCGCCCACATAATTGAAGTAGGAAGTTTTAGAGGCAGTGAGACATTGATACAGGCTCTATTTCATCCTGTGGGTGCCCTCTGGTTCTTTTGGACTCCCACTGGTCCTTACTGTCCCATACTTCATGTCTACCTGTTATTTCTGACTTCAGTCCCAGCACCAGAAACAGAAGCAACTGTTGTATACAAACTGCTTAACCAGTTCCCACATTGCATAACACCAAAACCCCACAAGAAACATCTTACTCTATGCCGTGCCTGATAATTCTGCTTCTCTAATTAAGCCTTGACCAATAATAGGCATTAAGAAGTAAACCATGGCCAAGCACAGTGACTCACGGCTGGAATCCCAGCACTTTGGGAGACCAAGGCGGGTGGATCGCCTGAGGTCAGGAGTTTGAGACCAGCCTGACCAACATGGTGAAACCCCATCTCTACTAAAAATACAAAAATTAGCCAGGTGTGATGGTACACGCCTGTAGTCCCAGCTACTCAAGAGGCTGAGGCAGGAGAATGGCTTGAACCCAGGAGGCAGAGGCTGCAGTGAGCTGAGATCACACCACTGCACTCCCGTCTGGGGTGACAGAGTCAGGATCCGTCTCAAAAAAAAAGGAAACCAGGCCAGGCACAGTGGCTCACATCTGTAATCCCAGCACTCTGGGAGGCCGAGGAGGGAGGATAACCTGAGCCTATGAGTTCAAGACCAGCCTGGGCAATATAGCAAGACCCTATCTCTACAAAAAGTTAAAAAATTAGCCAGGCATAGTGGCATATGCCTATAGTCCCAGCCACTTGGAAGGCTGAGGTGGAAGGATCACTTGAGCCCAGGAGATCAAGGCTGCAGTGAGCTGTGATCACGCCGCTGCACTCCAGCCTGGACAACAGAGCAAGACCCTGTCTCCCACTCCAAAAAAAGTAAACCAAACTCGCCTGTAATTCTATACCCAGAGAGGACCACTATCGACATCTTAGTGTGATTCTTCCTGCCTGCGGTATTTTAAGTGAAGAGAATGAGCCTGAGACAGGTTAGATGACTGCTCAGCTTTCAACTAGCTGGTGGCAGAGCTGTGCCTTCAGAAGTCTGGTTTCATCTCTGCTCAACTAGCATCACTTCCACTGTGCCTCAGAATCCCTAAGTGACCCTTTACTCCTCTGACCTTCCTGGGAGGCCTTCTTGCTCTGAGCACAAGCTCTGGGGCATGTGAAAGCAGCCATTATCCGTATCTTCCCGAGCTCTGCAGCCACCTGCTTTGACAGCTTCCCCATTTTGTTCTAACCAAACTGCAGGAGTTTCACCTTCCTGTTCCTCTTCAGAAAACAAACAAAAAACTATCTCTTTTTTTTTTTTTTTTTGAGACAGAGTCTCACTCTGTTGCCCAGGCTGAAGGTGCAGTGGCACAATGGCTCACTGCAGCCTCCGTGCCCCACCCCGGGTTCAAGCTAGTCTCCTGCCTCAGCCTCCTGAGTAGCTGGGATTACAGGCGCCCACCGCCACGCTCAGCTAAATTTTGTATTTTTAGTAGAGATGGGGTTTCACCATATTGGCTAGGCTGGTCTCGAACTCCTGACCTCAGGTGATCCACCCACCTTGGCCTCCCAAAGTGCTGGGATTACAGGTATGAGCCACCGCTCCCAGACACAAAAAAAAAGATCTTTACAAGATCTTTTAGGTGGGCGCAGTGGCTCACATCTGTAATCCCAGCATTTTGGGAGGCTGAGATAGGCAAATTGCTTGAGCCCAGGAGTTCAAGACCAGCCTAGGCAACATACGGAGACCCTGTCTCTACAAAACATACAAAAAAAAAATCAGCCAGTGTGTGTGTGTGCCTGTAGTCCCAGCTACTTGGGAGGCTGAGGCAGGAGGATCACCTGAGCCCTAGAGGTTGAGGCTGCAGTGAGCCGTGATGGTGCTACTGCACTCGAGCCTGGCCAATAGAGTAAGAGTGAGATCTTGTCTCAAAAAAACAAAAAGGAAATTAAAAAAAAAAAACTCTAGCCAGCCATGGTGGCTCATGCCTGTAATCCCAGCACTTTGGGAGGCCGAGGTGAGCAGATCACGAGGTCAGGAGTTCGAGACCAGCCTGGCCAACATGGAGAAACCTCGTCTCTACTAAAAATACAAAAATCAGCCAGGCATGGTGGTGTACCTGTAGTCCCAGCTACTGGGGAGGCTGAGGCGGGAGAATCACTTGAACCCGGTAGGTGGAGGTTGCAGTGAGCCAAGATCACACCACTGTACTCCAGCCTGGGCAACAGAGCGAGACTCCGTCTCAGAAAAAAAAAAAAAAAAGAAAAATATATATATATATTTTAAAAGTCATGCCATGTCATCCGCATATCTCCATCTGGAGCACTAACAGAGAAGTGGTGGCCACCAGGGGGCCAGAGAGAGCCCAAAGCCCTCCCCTCCCTACCAAACACAGGTGTCAGAGACATGGTCCTCTAAGTAAGCATTACTATCTCAAGGTTTCTCTTAACATATAAGTACTCCTGAGAGGGGGAACACAAGAAATCCTGAATTCTTCAGAATGAATAATTCAGAAGATGTAGTGATAAGTGATACGGTGTCATCAAAGCTTTGGTAGACAACAGTGAGCAGGGCTTGGCTGGGGAAGAGAAGGCAAAAACAAACTTTGCCTACTTTGCCTATTGTCTGGGAGCCTCTTGGACTCTGGGTTTTACAATAACAAGAGGTAACGGCTTTTCTGCCAAACCTGTGTCCTGGGCCTGGGCTCAGCTCCTCATTTGGAGGTGGAGGAACTAGGAGGGCAGATTTGCTTTCCTGAGAACAGAACCAGAGAGAAGCAATTGGGAATGGAGCGTAATTTAGAAACCAGTGATGGTGAGAAGCAGCTGGTGGCTCACTCCCGGCATGTCAGTCCTGCCTGGCTGGTTTCTTGAAGAGGAACAAGAATGCTGTATTTAAGGTTTCTTGCTTTTCCCCCCCACTTCCAATGGCTGCAGATACTGGCGGCCTCTTTCCTGGTCTGCTCCTGTCACTGCCCTCTGAGTGGAAGGGACGGTTGCCCCACAGATTGGCTGAAGAGCTGGAGCCTCAGGCTGGCAGGGAGGCCACAGCCCAAAGCACAGGGGCACCCAGGGGTAACATTATCCTGCCAAAGCCAAACAAGGAACTGAGTGTTTAGAATAACTTTAAGAAAGTTGTGGGCGTTTTCTCTGTCAGGGAAACCAGAAACCACAGTGAGATAATGGATAGCTATATTCAGGTCACAGATTATCAGCTGCCACTGCTGCTTCCTGTTCAAATTTGATGAAACTTCTTTCTAGTCACTGGAGCCTCCTGGATTCTGCGGGCATGTCAGCATTTAGTGATGTGGGACTCAGAGTTCCACCTAAGGACCTGACATAACCCGGGGGCAGAAACCGTTCTTTTGGGGTGAGGCTTCAGGGGCCAGCTCCTGGTGGAGGAGATGGTAGGTAAGGGGCCAACAGTAAGAATACAGTTTCCCGAACTTTTAGGGTGCTTCAGGCTCTTGGGCTAGGAGATTTTTGTGCATTATCTCATTTGACTCTCAAACCACCCTATGAGAGAGGTACTATTAGGATCCCTTATTTATTTATTTTATTTTATTTTAGAGACAGGGACTTGCTCTGTTGCCCAGACTGGGGTCCAACGAGGCAATCAGGGCTCACTGCAGCCTCCACCTCCTGGGCTTAAGGGATCCTCCCACCCCAGCCTCCTGAGTAGCTAGGACTATAGGCTCATGCCACCACACCTGGCTAATTTAAAAATTTTTTTATTTTGTTGAGACAGGCCTCACTTTGTTGCCCAGGCTGGTCTCAAACTCCTGGCTTTGAGCAATCCTCCCGCCTTGGCCTCCCAAATTGCTGAGATTATAGGTGTGAGCCACCTAGCCTGGCCTGTGATCCTCATTTTATGGGTGAGGAAAGGGGCTCAGAAATGTTGTCAATTGTCCAAGGGTCACAGGGGCAGAACTGGAAACCAAAATCAAAATCAGGATTTTTTTTTTACTTTCTTTCTTTCCCTCTCTTTCTTTCTTCCTTTCTTTCTTTTCTTTCTTTCTCCTCTTCCTCCTCCTCCTTTCTCTCTCACATAGTACTTTATTGAACTATAACTTACATATACCTACTATGTAATATATTAGGCCATGTCCACATAATTGTCCACATAATATGTGGTATACACTTATACCATTATGTCCATGTAGCCACCACCCGGATCAAAATGAGACTATTTCTATCACACTCCAGAGTTCCTTCATGCCCCTTTCCAGCAAATACTCACTCCCCCTAGCCTCCAATGTAACCAATATTCTGACCTCTATTCTCATAGATTAATTTTACCTATTCTCGAACTTCGTGTAAATAGAATCATATTCTTGTCCAGGAGTGATGGCTCACACCTGTAATCCTAACACTTTGGGAAGCCGAGGCAGGCAGATTGCCTGAGGTCAGGAGTTCGAGACCAGCCTGGCCAACATGGTGAAACCCCATCTCTACCAAAAATACAAAAAGTTAGCTGGGCATGGTGGCACACACCTGTAGTGCCAGCTACTCAGGAGGCTAAGGCATGAGAATCACTTGAACCCAGGAGACAGAGGTTGCAGTGAGCTGAGATTGCACCACTGCACTCCAGCCTGGGCAACAGAGCTAGACTCTGTCTCCCAAAAAAAAGAAAAAGAAAAAATAGAATCATATTCTTGTATGTGGTTTCTTCTGTTCCATATAGTATGTCTGTGGATTTTCCCACATTGCTGTACCAGCAGTATGTTCCTTTTTTATGCTGAATTGTATTCCGTTTTATGAATCTACCACCCAATTTATTTATCCATCCTCCTGTTGAATACTTAGATTTTTCTTTCCAGTTTCAGGCTATTTTGAATAACACTGCCATGAACATTCTTATTAGGGGGAAATATGTTTAACTTTATTAAGTACACCAAACAATTTTCCAAAGAGATTGGGCCATTTTATATTCCCAACAGCCCTGTACGAGAGTTCTAGTTGTTCTACATCCTTGTTAACACATGGAATTGTCAGTCTTTTCATTTTAGCCATTAGAGTGAGGGTGAGAAATCAGGTCTTTCTTATTCCAAAGCCTATGCAGCATCATAAAACACTCAATCTGGCTGGGCATGGTGGCTCATGTCCGTAATCCCAGTACTTTGTGAGGCCAAGTGGGGGTGAATCACCTGAGGTCAGGAGTTCAAGACCAGCCTGGCCAACATGGTGAAGCCCTGTCTCTACTAAAAATACCAAAAAAAAAAAAAAAAAAGCCATGCATGGTGGTGCACACCTGCAATCCCCACTGAGGCAGAAGAATCGCTTGAACCTGGGAGGTGAGGTTGCAGTAAGCCAAGATTGCACCACTGCACTCCAGCCTGGGCAACAGAGCGAGACTCTGTCTCAAACAAGTAAATAAGGCTGGACGTAGTGGCTCATGCTTGTAATCCCAACACTTTGGGAGGCTGAGGTGGGTGGATCACCTGAGGTCAGGAGTGACCAGCCCGGCCAACATGGTGAAACCTCGTCTCTATTAAAAATACAAAAATTAATCGGGCGTGGTGGCAGGCGCCTGTAATCCCAGCTACTCAGGAGGCTGAGATAGGAGAAATGCCTGAACCCAGGAGGCGAAGGTTGCAGTGAGCCGAGATCGAGCCACGGCACTGCAGCCTGGGTGACAGAGCAAGACTCTGTCTCAATAAATAAATAAATAAATAAAATAATAAATAAATCACTCAATCTGAGCTCCTGCCACATCCATGACTCCCTGTCCTGAGGAATAACAGGCCTAAATGCCACTTAATCCTGGCAGCAAGGATGGGAAGCAGCTCCCCAGCACGGCAGGATGCCGTGGAAATCCACCTCCTTCATCATTTCTGAAGGGTACCCACCAACTTCAAGGTTGGATGTGTACATGCCATTTTCTGGGAAAGACTCTCAGAAAATGCTCTCTTGTGGCTTTGGATACAAGGGTGCTCCAAGTGTGTGGCCAGTGTGGTCAGAGCCTAGTGGCGTAAGCCTTCTTCTTCTTTCCTAACAGCTTTGAAGTGGTTCAAGCCAGAACATCAGAGGGATCTTGAGGACAGGGCCTGGCCCAGCACTGTGGTTGGAAGCATAAAAACCCTCAAGTTACATTCCAGCTTGGCCTCATCTCCTAACATGACCTTAGGCAAGTCATTTAACCTGTGACTCAGTTTTCTCAACTCTTAAATGGGGCAACAATGCCTGCACTCCATTCCATACAAGGTCTCTCAAAGGCTCCTTACTGTTTCTAGAGTGTCTGTTTCTCAGCTCATCTTCCCCCCATGTCCACTGTGCTTCTGCCTCATTGACCAACTGAATGTTCATGAAAAGGATGTCCTCTTTCACTCCTCTGTATTGTTATAAAAGGTACTTTATGCAAGATGGTCTCTTTTTTCTGCAATGCCCTTTCTCACCCAGTCCAACTGGCAAACTCCTCCTCATTCCTCAAAACTCAGCTTAAGCAGCACCTCCTCTGTGAAGCCTTCCCTGGTCATCCCTGGACCCTCCTGGCAGATGGATGACCCCATAGTATTTGGTATTATACATCCTCACAAACTACATTATTTTCTTGTGAGTCTTCCCACCAGACTATGAGCTTAAGAAGAAGCACCATCTCAGGCACATAGCAGATGCTCAATGAACATTTATTGAAGCATGAGTGAATATTAAATAAAAAGAAATATGGAAATAGTCAAAAAGGAAAATTAAACCATCATTATTGTCTCTGATAATTAAAGAAATGTATACATATTGTAGGGCCGGGCGTGGTAGCTCACACTTGTAATCCCAGCATTTTGGGAGGCCAAGATGGGCGGATCACTTGAGGCTAGGAGTTCGAGACCAGCCTGGCTAGTATGGTGAAACACTATTTCTGCTAAAAACACAAAAATTAGCCAGGCGTGATGTGGCGTGCCTGTAGTATCAGCTACTTGGGAGGCTGAGGCAGGTGAATTGCTCGAACACGGGAGGTGGAGGTTGCAGTGAGCCAAGCCAAGATCCTGCCACTGTACTCCAGCCTGAGCAATAGAGTGAAACTCTATCTCAAAAAAAAGTGTGTGTGTGTGTATGTGTGTGTGTGTATATATATATATGTATATATATATATACACACACACATATTTTTCCCCAAAATAAAAATATGTATACATTTTTCCCATAACTGGGGTTATACTGTTCTGAATCTATTTTTTTATTATATCATAAACATCTTTTCAAAAATAAATTGAGGTCTGGCATGGTGGATTATTCCTATAATCCCAGTACTTTGGGAGGCCAAGGCAGGAAGATTGCTTGAGATCAGGTATTCTAGACTAGCCTGGGCAACATAGCAAGACCCCGTCTCTACAAAAATAAAAAAATTAGCTGGGCATGGTGGTGCATGCCTGTAATTCTAACTACTTGGGAGGCTGAGAAAGGAGGATTGCTTGAGCCCAAGAATTCAAGGCTGCAGTGAGCTCTGATTGCACCACTGCACTCCAGCCTGGGTGACAGAGCAAGACCCTGTCTCAAAATAAAATAAAATATGACCAGCCTGGGCAACACAACAAAACCCCATCTTTACTAAAAATATAAAAATTAACAGCATGTGGTGGCATGTGCCTGTAGTCCCAGCTACTTGGGGGACTGAGGCAGGAACATTGCTTGAACCTGGGAGGTAGAGGCTGCAGTGAGCCGAGATGGTGCCACTGCACTCCAGCCTGGGCAACAGAGGGAGACCCTGTCTCAAAAAGAAAAATAAAATAAAAAGTTGAAAGAACAGGTCCAAAACTTGGTAAATAGGTTGGAGTGAAAAACTTAAGGACTGAATTTTCTTTTCAATTCACCATTCTGAGAAACCTAAAAAAAAATCCCCTTATTTATTTATTAATTCATTCACTCATTTATTCTTTTTAATTACAGAGGTTATGCCTGTGTACTGTGACAAATTCAAATACCACAGAAATGTGTAAATAAAAAAGTAGATGTCTCTCATATATGCATATGCGTGTGTGTGTGTGTATATTTTATATATATATATATATATACATACATACTTTTTTGTTTTTTGAGATGGAGTCTTGCCCTGTTGCCCAGGCTGGAGTTCAATGGTGTGATCTCGGCTCACTGCAACCTCTGCCTCCCAGGTTCAAGCGATTCTCCTGCCTCAGCCTCCCGAGTAGCTGGGATTACAGGCACCCACCACCACACCCGGTTAATTTTTTTTTGTATCTTTAGTAGAGATGGGGTTTTACCATGTTGGCCAGGCTGGTCTTGAACACCTGACCTTGTGATCCGCCCACCTTAGCCTCCCAAAGTGCTGGGATTACAAGCGTGAGCCACCGTGCCTGGCCATATACATACTTTTAAAAAAGAAAAATAATACTGTACTATATATGTTCTATAACTTTCTTTTTTTACTTAATAGCTCATGGACATTTTTCTTTCTTTTTTAGAGTTGGAGTCTCACTCTGTCGCCCAGGCTGGAGTGCAGTGGCATCATCATAGCTCACTGCATCCTCGAACTCTTGGGTTCAAACAACCCTCCCACCTCAGCCTTCTGAGTATCTAGGACAACAGGCATGCACCACCAGGCCTGGCTGATTTTTTTATTTTTTACTTTTTGTAGAGACGGAGTCTCACTATATTGCTCAGACTGGTCTCAAATTCCTGGGCTCAAGCAATCCTCCTATTTCAGCCTCCCGAAGGGCTGGAATTACAGGCATGAGCCACCATGCCTGGCCCTCATGGGCATCTTTCTATATCTGCAAATATTTATCAATTATAATTATATATCAAATATATATCAAAAGAACAATATACATTGTTCTTTTTATGGTTGCCTAGTATTTCACTGAATAATGTACTATAATTTAGATGTCATCTAACCCTGTGCTAATACAATATATCCATTAAATAAGTACTTATTGAGCATCAATAGGAGAAATCAAATGACACTATGGGGCTTGCAATAACAGGTTTACCCCAGGATGCTATGGGAGCCCAGAGGAGACACAGACTGGGGGGCCTGTGTTTGGCAGCATCTGCAGCACTGCAAACAGAACTGGGAAGCATGGCTGGAAAGACCAGCTGCCCAGCCCAGCGCTCTGCCTCCCACCAGGACTTGCATTTCATTGGCCAGAACAAGGCAGGATCCAGGACCCCCAGAGGGAGCATCCAGGAACGCAAGCTGAACAGAGCAAGCACAGTTTGCTTTACAAGAACAAACTAGTTTTGCAGAAGCAGGAAATTTCTCTCATACTTTAGGTCCTAAAATAGAAGAAATATGCTGGGATGCACAGGGATCTGGGGAATTTGGTTAACATCGTAAAGTAAATTTGATGTGCATTTCGAATCTGATCATCTTAATGTGAGTTGTTACACTCTTCTCAAAAAAGGCTTTCATCGAAAATCAAGGAGTGTTCACACAGTGATAAAATGGAACAAAGAAAACACCTCTAAATATTGCTGGTCCCAAAGGTGCAGGTCCCTTCGTTCGCTGTTGGGGAAACTAAATCCGCAGCTTACAGGGCTGAGCTTGGCCTGACCCAGCCTTCCTCTTCAGTCTGGCTTCCCAGATTCTCTCCCCGCACACTGGTCCCAATACTCCTCCGCCTCAGCACACTCTGTCCCACCTCAGGGCCTCCACACAGACCTACCCTTTGTCTGGAAGGCTCTCTCCCCCTCAGTCTTCCCCCCAGTCCCCCAGTCTTCCTTGTCTAGACCACGCACGACTAATTTTATTTTGTATTTAGTAGAGACGGGGTTTCACCATGTTGGTCATGCTGGTCTCAAACTCCTGACCTCAAACGATCCATCTGCCTCCCAAAGTGTTGGGATTACAGGTGTGAGCCACCACGCTGGGCCCATTACTTTTGTAATTAAGAAATACTAGGCTGGGGCTGGGCGCAGTGGCTCACACCTGTAATCCCAGCACTTTGGGAGGCCGAGGCAGGTGGATTACCTGAGGTCAGGAGTTCAAGACCAGCCTGGCCAACATGGCGAAACCCTGTCTCTACTAAAAATACAAAAATTAGTCAGGCTTGGTGGCATGCGCCTGTAGTCCCAGCTACTCGGGAGACTGAGGCAGGAGAATCGCTTGAACTCTGGAAGCGGAGGTTGCAGTGAGCCTAGATGGGACCACTGCACTCCAGCCTGGGAGACAGAGTGAGACTCCATCTCAAAAAGAAAAAAAAGGAAATACTAGGCTGGGTGCAGTGGCTTTTACCGGTAATCCCAGCACTTTAGGAGGCTGAGGCAGGTGGATCACATGAGCCCAGGAATTCGAGATCAGCCTGGGTAACATGGTGAAACCTTGTCTCTACAAAAAATACAAAATATTAGCCAGGCATGGTGGTGCGCACCTGTAGTCTCAGCTGCCCAGAATGCTGAAATGCAAGGATCACCTGAGTCTGGGAGGTCGAGGCTACAGTGAGCCATGATTATGCCATTGTACTTCAGCCTGGGTGGCAGAGTGAGACCCTGTCTTAAAATAAATAAATAAATAAATAAATAAATAAATAAATAAATAAATAAATAAAAGGTGCAGTGGTTCACGTCTATAGTCCCAGCTATTCGAGAGGCTGAGGCATGAGAATCGCTTGAACCCGGGAGGCAGAGGTTGCAGTGAGCTGAGATCGTGCCACTGCACTCCACCAGCATGGGCGACAGAGCAAGACTGTCTCAACAACACCAACAACAAAAAAAAAAAAAAAAGAGAGAGAGAAAAATACTAAAGACCGAAAAGAAAGGAAGAATAAATAAGAATAAATACAAATACTGTTGGACCACACATAAAGTTCATACTGTACATCTGAATACATGCACAGTAACAGGCAGACATGTAAACATGTTCATAGCTCTCTGACCAACAATAAGAGCACACACACTCTCCCCTGAACACCCCTACTTTTCCTTTGACTTGTGGATCTTGCCGAAGGAGAAGAAAGTTGCTTGTCTCCAAGAAATTTGCTCAAACCTGACCTTGGGAGAAGGTGAGCCTAGGACCAAGTGGGTGTCAGAATCTTTGCAAGACATCCAGAGAAGTCTCTTCTGAGCATGACACTCTATTTTTTCAGGCAAGCCCAAATGAGTTTTTTCTTTTTTTCTTTTTTCTTTCTTTTTTTTTTTTTTAGATTAAGTCTCGCTCGATGGCCCAGGCTGGAGTGCAGTGGTGGGATCTCGGCTCACTGCAACCTCCGCCTCCTGGGTTCAGGCGATTCTCCTGCCTCAGCCTCCCGAGTAGCTGGGATTATAGGCGCCCGCCACCACGCCTGGCTAATTTTTGTATTTTTACTAGAGACTGGGTTTCACCATGTTGGCCAGGCTGGTCTTGAACCCCTGACCTCAAATGATCCTCCTGCCTCGGCCTTCCAAAGTGCTGGGATTACAGGTGTGAGCCACTGTGCCAGGACAGTTTTTTTTCTTCTAATCAAAAAAATTTACACATTTTTATAGTGAATATTCAAACAACACAGAAAAGCACAAAGAAGAGAATCAATCACCTATAGTTCTATATCCTAGTAATAATATGATCTAGAGATAATAGTACTTTGGTATAAGTTCTTTCAAACTTTAAAATTCACATACATATAAACACATATGTACACACACATCTATGTTAATATATGAGATGCCTGACTGACATATTTGCCTATTTTCATTTATTTTATACACTTTTCAGCTGGAGCTTTTACTTTCTTTTTTTTTCTTTTGAGACGGAGTCTTGCTCTGTCACCAGGCTGGAGTGCAGTGGCATGATCTCGGTTCACTGCAGTCTCCATCTTCCGGGTTCAAGCGAGTCCCCTGCCTCAGCCTCCTGAGTAGCCGGGACTACAGGCCGGCTAATTTTTTGTATTTTAATAGAGACGAGGTTTCACCATGTTGGCCAGTATGGTCTTGATCTCCTAACCTCCTGATCCGCCCTCCTCGCCCTCCCAAAGTGCTAGGATTACAGGCATGAGCCACCACGCTTGGCCTTTTTTTTTTTTTCTTTTGGAATAAGTTTAAGTTTACAGAAAAGTTGCAGAGATAGTAGAGAGAGTTATTGTATACCTTTCACTCAGCTTGCCTTAATATTAACACATGACATACTATAGCACATTTGTCAAAACTAAGAAATTAACGGTGTTACAGTACTATTAACTAAACTACAGACATTATTCAGATTCTACCAGTTTTCCACTTATCTCCTGTTTATTTTTTCTTTTCTTTTTTTTTTTTTTTTTTTGTTTTTTTTTGTTTTTTTTGTTTTTTGGAGACGGAGTCTCATTCTGTCTCCCAGGCTGGAGTGCAGTGGCATGATCTCGGCTCACTGCAACCTCCGCCTCCCAGGTTCAAGCAATTCTCCTGCCTCAGCCTCCCAGGTAGCTGAGATTACAGGCACCCACCAATATGCCTGGCTAACTTTTTGTATTTTTAGTAGAGATGGGTTTTCGCCATGTTGTCCAGGCTGGTCTCAAACTTCTGACCTCAGGTAATCCACCTGCCTTGGCCTCCCAAAGTGCTGGGATTATGGGTGTAAGCCACTGCACCTGGTCTATGTCCTGTTTCTGTTCCAGGATACCACACATTGTGTTTAGACACATACTTTTGTTTTGTTTTGTGTTTTGAGACAGAGTCTCACTCTGTCACCTAGGCTGGAGGGCAGTGGCGTGATCTTGGCTCACTGCAAACTCCGCCTCCCGAGTTCAAGCAATTCTCTGCCTCAGCCTCCCGAGTAGCTGATTACAGGCGCCTGCCACCATGCCCCGCTAATTTTTTTGTATTTTTAGTAGAGACAGGGTTTCACCATCTTGGCCAGGCTGGTCTTGAACTCCTGACCTCAGACGATGCGCCCAACTCGGCCTCCCAAAGTGCTGGCATTACAGGCATGAGCCACCGCGCCCAGCCTAGACACACACATTTTTACAAATTTCAACTGTTTCTTTGTTTCTTTTCTTTCCCCACCACATGCATCAGAGTGCCTTCCTACATTTTTCCATCTCCTTGCCTTCAGGCCAAATGTTTGCTCTCCTGGCATGTTTCTCCATATACTGCTTTTGGGACCCATCAGTGTCAAGTCTCGCTAAAGACTCCTTTGATCAAACGAACCCTGCTCCCAGTCCCCTCTCCGGGTGGGGTCATTCTAGTCAGGAGGTTTGACCATCATGGGACACTTCCCCTAGGACTGGATAGGATCCACTGCATTCTGCTTCCTTTCAGTGTGGGTCTGCCCTGTACTTGCCACTGTAATTCCAGCCCCACAATGCCCGGACCTGTCCTCTGGGAGCCTAAGCCTTTACCTGTTATCTCATCCACATAATTTCCTGTGCCACCTTGAAATTCCCCTAAGTTGCCTGAAGCATCTTTGTGGTCCTTCCTTTGAAATGGCTACCCAAGTTTTATATAGCCACCAACTATTCCAGTCATTAAGGGGACTCTCCTGATGTCCTTATATTGACCATCTGTGTGAAACTTTTCAAGGGCAATTTTCCTTCCCTCCAGTAGAGAGAGCTGGAGAAATATCTTCAGCTCAGGTATACCATTTTTCATCTCTGGTAAAGAAGTATCCTCTTTTATTTTTTTACCCCATTCATGCCCTGTCTATTCATCCTTCTCCTTATCCCATAAGAGACTCACTATAATGTGTTTAATGCATGTCCTTGGGTATATAGACATTACTGAAAGATATACAGTGCTCTTTTATGGGTAGGTGTGACTTTAGTCTACATAAATGGTGTTATACCCTAGATCTTATTGTATTTCTTTTTTATGTGACACCTGTTTTTAAGCTTGTTGTGGGGGTCTAAGCACTTTTAGTTCACTGTGGCTGACTGCTGCACAGTACAGCAAAGTATGCGTTTACATTTTGCTTCCACGTTTCTGTAGTGATGTCCCCCTAGGTTGTCTCCACGTATAATCCTCTGATGAATCTGCTTGTTTATGTTCCTCTGGGGACATGAGATTGCTGGCTCATTGGCTGTATGCATATTTAAATTCATGAAATTGTGTCCAGAATTGGTGAGTTCTCTGTCTCACTGACTTCAAGAATGAAGCCATAGACCCTCGCGGTAAGTGTTACAGTTCTTAAAGGCAGCGTGTCCAGAGTTTTTTCCTTCTGATGTTTGGAGACATCTAGAGTTTCTTCCTTCTGGTGGGCTCGTGGTTTCGCTGGCTCAGGAGTGAAGCTGCAAACCTTCCCTGTGAGCCTTAACAGCTCATAAAAACAGTGCGGACCCAAAGACCGAACACAACAAGATTTATTGCAAACAGCGAAAAAACAAACCTTCCAACAAGGAAATCCAAGCGGGTTGCCACTGCTGGGTCCAGCAGCCTGCTTTTATTCCCTTATCTGGCCCCACCCACATCCTGCTGATTGGTCCATTTTACAAAGAACTGATAGGTCTGTTTTACAGAGAGCTGATTGGTCCGTTTTGACAGGGTGCTGATTGGTGCATTTACAATCCCTGAGCTAGACACAAAAGTTCACCAAGTCCCCACTAGATTAACTAGACACAGAGCACTGATTGGTGCATTTACAAACCTTGAGCTAGATGCAGGGTGCTGATTGGTGTATTTACAATCCCTTAGCTAGACATAAAGGTTCTCCCAGTCCCCACTAGATTAGCTAGACACAGAGCAGTGATTGGTGCATTTACAAACCTTGAGCTAGACACAGGGTGCTGATTGGTGTGTTTACAAACCTTGAGCTAGACACAGGGTGCTGATTGGTGTATTTACAATCCCTTAGCTAGACATAAAGGTTCTCGAAGTCCCTACCAGATTAGCTAGATAGAGTGCTGATTGGTGCATTTACAAACCTTGAGCTAGACACAGAGTGCTGATTGGTGTATCTACAATCCCTTAACTAGACATAAAGTTTCTCCAAGTCTTCACTAGACTCAGGAGCCCACCTGGCTTCACCTAGTGGATCCTGTACGGGTGCCGCTGTCAGAGCTGCCTGCCAGTCCCGCGCCATGGGCCTGTACCCCTCAGCCCTTGGGCGGTCTATGGCACCAGGTGCCGCAGAGCAGGGGGCAGTGCTCATCAGGGAGGCTTGGGCTGCCCAGGAGCCCACGGCCGCGGGGTAAGGCTCGGGCATGGCAGGCTGCAGGTCCCGAGCCCTGCCCCGCGGGGAGACAGCTAAGGCCTGGCGAGAATTCGAGCACAGCACCCGCGGGCCGGCACCACTAGGGGACCCGGTACACCCTCTGCAGCTGCTGGCCCGGGTGCTAAGCCCCTCACTGCCCAGGGCCGGTGGCACCAGCCGGCCACTCAGAGTGCGGGGCCACCGAGCCCACGCCCACTCAGAACTTGTGCTGGCCCCGGTTCCCTCCCACTCTCCCTCCACACCTCACTGCAAGCAGAGGGAGCCGGCTCTGACCTCAGCCAGCCCAGAGAGGGGCTCCCATAGTGCAGCGGCAGGCTGAAGGGCTCCTCAAGCACGGCCAGAGTGGGCGCCAAGGCCGAGGAGGCGCCGAGAGCAAGCGAGGGCTGCCAGCACGCTGTCACCTCTCAAAATAGAGTCAGATGGCTTCCAGAATAGCCCTACAAGTTTATAATCCCACCAACAGTTGTCCCCTTTTCCCCACATCCTTTCCAACACTTGAAAGGCATTATCTGACTTGCCTAACTTTCGACAATTGAGGTGACACCAAGTGATATCATGTTTTAATTTGCATTGCTCAGGGTACTTCTAAGATTGAGCTTTCTTTTTTTGAGATAGGGTCTCACTCTGTCACCCAGGCTGGAGTGCAGCCTTCACCTCCCAGGCTCAAGCAAGCCTCCCACCTCAGCCTTCTGAGTAGCTGAGACTGCATGTGCACATCACCACGCTTGGCTTTATTTATTTATTTATTTATTTATTTTGTAGACACGGGGTCTTGTTATGTAGTTGAGGCTGGTCTGGATGTCCTGGGCTCAAGCAATCCTGCCTCAGCCTCCCAAAATGCTGGGATTACAGGTGTGAGCCACTGTGCCCAGCCAAGGTTGGGCATCTCTTCACACACTTGCCAGCCATTCTAATTTCCCTTCTGTGATTTCTGACTTTATTCTTTGCTCACTTTTCCATTGGATTTCTGGCCTTTTTCTTGTTGATCCCCAGGAGTTTCTTGAGCATTCCAGATATTAATCTTGTGTAGCTTTAGACATTGCAAATCTCTTCTTCTGAATGGAAGAAATCTGCTTGGAGGGGGTTTGAGCTCACTATCAGGAAATTAATATAATTCATTTGCTGAGATCCAGCCTCTCCTGCTAAATCTCTTGAGTCCCAATCACCCTCCCTAATCTAAGAACAATTAAGCTATTCCCCATTTTTCTAACCCATTTATGGAAAGTAGTGTTTGGGGCCAGTGTGGTGGCTCACACCTGTAATCCCAGCACTTTGGGAGGCTGAGGCAGGGAGATCTCCTGAGGTCAGGAATTCGAGACCAGCCTGGCCAACATGGTGAAACCCCATCTCTACTAAAAGTACAAAAATTAGCCAGGCATGGTGGCACACACCTGTAATCCCAGCTACTTTGGCAGGCTGAGGCAGGAGAATTGCTTGAACCCGGGAGATGGAGGTTGCAGTGAGTTGAGATTGGACCACCACACTCCAGCCTGGGTGACAGAATGAGACTCAGTCTAAAAAATAAAATAAAATAAAAGTAGTTAGTTTGGGTTTATATGTCTAAGCTGTCCTCCAAAATATCCATTTTGATTGCTGTATTACTCAGGATAGTGATGGTTTGTGGGAGGAGGGAGGGTTGTGATTTGAACAGTGCACACAGAAGGTTTTCTGGGGAGGCTGGAAAATTTTTTTATTTTTTTCTTCTTTGAGACAGGATCTCACTCCAGTTGCCCAAGCTGGAGTGCAATGGCACAATCTCGGCTCACCACGGCCTCAACCTCCCGAGCTCAGATGATTCTCCTACCTCAGCCTCCTGAGTAGCTGGGACTACAGGTGCACACCACCACGCTTGGCTAGTTTTTTATATTTTTAGTAGAGATGGGGTTTCGCCATGTTTCCCAGGCTGGTCTCAAACTCCTGGACTCAAGTGATCCACCTGCCTCGGCTTCCCAAAGTGCTGGGATTAGAGCCATGAGCCACCACGCCTGGCCTTATTTCTTAATCTGGGTGGTTTTACCTTATAATAATAAATTAAGCTATACATTTGATTTGTGTGGTTTTCTTTTCTATGCCATGTTTTACAATAAAAGATTAAAATATATGTCCCTCAGTTACCTTTCATTTTCCACTGCTCTTCAGTTTGCAAGACTAAAATTCATTTTTCTTTTTGAGACAGAGTCTTGCTGTGTTGCCCAGGCTGGAGTGCAGTGGTGCGATCTCGGCTCACTGCAACCTCTGACTCCCGGGTTCAAGTGATTCTCCTGCCTCAGCCTCCCAAGTACCTGGGATTACAGGCGCGCACCACCACACCCGCCTAATTTTTGTATTTTTAGTAGAGATGGGGTTTCACCATGTTGGTCAGGCTGGTCTTGAACACCTGACCTCGTGAACCACCTACCTCAGCCTCCCAAAGTGCTAGGATTACAGGCGTGAGCCACTGCGCCCGGTCCTAAAATTCATTTTTCAAAACAATCTAGTTTCTCCCCGAGTCAAAGCAAACCTGATTCCCAGACATAGACTGCTCTGAAAATGGGCTTTTTCAATTACTACAAATCGGATATTCCCCTTTATTGTCCACCAGTAAAACTGACCACCCTCTGGTGGCTGAATCCACAGCCATGGCAAGGGTCTGGGCAGTCAACCTGTCAGGCCAATGCCGGGCCTGAGAGTGGAGGAGGGTAGGACTCAGGGACCTCTGAACCTGCTTCGTGAGCCTAAGGGCTTAGCTTGGCCACGGTTCCCTATTAATAGGCTCTGGGTCATGTACAAAACAAGAGAAAGATGACAGAATCTGGGAAGGCTGCTACCACTAGCGACCTAAGGACTCAAAACTTCACACACAAATATGAAGAACCATATATAAAGAAGTGGCTATGGCTGGGAGTGGTGGCTCACACCTATAATCCCAGCACTTTGGGAGGCTGAGGTGGGTAAATCACTTGAGCCCAGGAGTTCAGGACCAGCCTGGGCAACATGGTGAAACTCCACCTCTGCTAAAAGTAGCAAATATTAGCCAGGCGTGGTGGCACACACCTGTAATCCCAGCTACTCGGGAGGCTGAGGTGGGAGGATCACCTGTGCCCAGGAGGCGGAGGTTGAAGTGAGCCGAGATGGTACCACGGCACTCCAGACTGGGTGACAGAGGAAGACCCTGTCTCAAAAAAGAATTTAAAAAAAAGTGGTCATATATAAAAAGCTGCTTTTTCCAGTTTAAAGTTTCCATTTGCAATACATTGGATGAGAATGGGTGAAGGGGCGCCAGCAAGCTGTGGTGGCATAAACTGCTTGACTCACAGTGACTAAAACCTCTGTCTATTTGAAGTGAGCCTTTGCCAGACCCAAAAGGCTCTATTTTCCAAATCACCTGATACCACCTTTGGTCAAGGCACTAGCCATGGCAGCTGCACTAAGCCACAGGCTCCCATAAGCTATTTTTATCTCAAATACTCACTAGGACCCACTGGGTAACCAGTATGCTCAGGGAAAGGTTTGGGGCCCTGAATCCTACCTTCCACCCCAGAGGGATAAAGACCATGAGGACGGTGAGGAAGCATTTTTATTAAATGGTTGATTGAGGCTCCTGTATGCCCTCAGAACAAGGCTTTTCAGTAAAAGCAGGTCAGAGAATTTGACTTCGGCCAGGAGGTCTTAGCAAGAAATCCTGCTCCCTCTTTCTGAATCAGAGTTCATGACCCCAACCAGCTGCACGGAGGAGGATGGCTGCCCTGCTCAGAGAGGCCAGGCCCTTTATGGTCACCACGTGGAGCCGGGAAGGAGAAGAGAAGAAATAGGGTCATGAATTCCCACCCAGCAATCGGACATTTCCCTCCCTGGGCTCAGCAGTCTTGCCCTCAGACCTGGACTTGCCCCCTTCCTCAGCAGCACTTTCAGAACAATCCCTTAGCCCACAGCGTGGCAATAAACAACCGTGCGGTAAACAGAGCTTGTCTTCTTTGAGTCCCCTTGAGCCCAACGTCTTCGTGCTGCCCACCAGGCCACCCCCACGCAGTGTCTCCTACTCCAGCCAGAGCTCGGGGCACCGCCCCATCCCGGGTCGCCTTTCACCGCCAGCCCAGCAGGGGCCGCCAGAGCGATGCAGATGAAGCCAGAACCGCGCCCGGGCCGCGGAAGGAAGACTCCCACGGGCCGCCCTCGGTTCTTGACGCTCAGTCCAAGTGCCCAGTGGGGACAGGCGCTCTCAGGCTCCGGTTTGGAGCTCTCCTTACCCTTCTCAGAGGTGAAGACTGAGCCAGACTCCTTCCGTTTTATTTTTATTTTGTATTTTTTGTAGAGACAAAGTCTCACTTTGTTGCCCAGGCTGGTCTCAAACTCCTGGGCTCAAGCAATCTTCCCGCGTCGGCCTCCCAAAGTGCTGGGATTACAGGCGTGAGCCACCGCACCTGGCCCCGTTTTATTATTTTAAAAAATGTTGGCCGGGCGCAGTGGCTCACGCCTGTAATCCCAGCACTTTGGGAGGCCGAGGCGGGCGGATCACGAGGTCAGAAGATCGAGACCATCCTGGCTAACATGGTGAAACCTCGTATCTACTAAAAAATACAAAGAAAATTAGCCGGGCGTGGTGGCGAGCACCTGTAGTTCCAGCTACTCGGGAGGCTGAGGCAGGAGAATGGCGTGAACCCAGAAGGCGGAGCTTGCAGTGAGCCCAGATCTAGCCACTGCACTCCAGCCTGGGCGACAGAGCAAGACTCTGTCTCAAAAAAAAAAAAAATGTTTATTACTTCCCTTTCAAAGCTCTAGATATAGATAGATACAGATTTTTAATGCCAAAACAAAGTTACTGAAAGTGTGGTATATCTCAAATGTGTATACTTAGCAAGTCAAAGCTGTGACCCCCACACCCAAATAAATAAATAAATGAGTAAAAGAAAGCCAGGCATGGTGGCTCACGCCTATAATCTCAGCACTTGGGGAGGCTGAGGCAGGAGGATCACTTGAGTTCGGGGGTTCGAGACCAACCTGGGCAACAAAATGAGACACCATCTCCACAAAAAATACAAAAATTAGCTGGGCATGGTGGCGCATGCCTGTAGTCTCAGCTACTTGGGAGGCTGAGGTGGGAGGATCACTTCAGCCCAGTAGGTCCAGGCTGCAGTGAGTGGTGATGACCCACTGCACTCCAGCCTGGGTGACAAAGCCAGGCCCTATCTCAAAAAAAGAAAAAATGCCCAAAGCTGTATTTTGTATTTTTTGTAGAGAGAAAGTCTCACTTTGTTGCCTAGGCTGGTCTCGAACTCCTGGGCTTAAGCGATCTTCCTGCGTCCGCCTCCCAAATTGCTGGGATTACAGGCGTGAGCCACCGCGCCTGGCCCCGTTTTATTATTTTATTATTTTTTTTATTTATTATTATTTTTAAAAATGTTGGCCGGGTGTGGTGGCACACACACACACACACACACACACACACACACGCAGAGAGAGAGAGAGAGTTGACGAAAAGAGTCAAACTGTGTAAAATATTTGAAGAGATTTATTCTGAGCCAAATATGGGTGACCATAGCTTGTGATACAGCCCTCAGGAGACCCTGAGAACATGTGCCCAAGGTGGTAGGGGCACAGCTTGGTTTTATACATTTTAGGGAGGCATGAGACATCAGTCAACACATTTAAGATGTACATTGGTTAGATCCAGAAAGGGGGGACAACTCAAAATGGGGAATGGGGTACAGAGCCTTCAAGATTATAGGTAGATTAAAAAATTTTCTAGGCCGGGTGCAGTGGCTCATGCCTGTAATCCCAGCACTTCGGTAGGCTGAGGTGGGCAGATCATCTGAGGTCAGGAGTTTGAGACCAGCCTGGCCAACATGGCAAAACCCTGTCTCTACTAAAAAATACAAAAATTAGCCGGGCGTAGTGGCAGGCACCTGTAATCCTAGCTACTCAGGAGGCTGAGGCAGGAGAATCATTTGAAGCTGGGAGGCGGAGGTTGCAGTGAGCCAAGATTGCACCACTGCATTCCAGCCTGCACTCAAGACTCCATCTCAAACAAACAAACAAAATTCTCATTGGCAATGGTTAAAAGAGTTATCACTAGAATGAAATATCTAGGTTATGATAAGAGGTTATGGAGACCAAAGTTTTATCATGCAAATGAAGCCTCCAGATAGCAGGCTTCAGGAGAGAATAGATTGTAAAGGTTATTTATCAGACTTAAGGTCTATGTTGTTGTTAATGCTGGTCAGCTTTTCCTGAATTCCAAAAGGCAGGAGGGCATTATGAGGCAGGTCCAACCCCCACTTCCCCTCATGGCCTGAAAACAGTTGTTCAGGTTAACTTTGGAGTGGCCTGGCCAAGAGGAGGGAGTCTCTTCAGATGGTGGGGGTAGCCTTAGATTTTTATTTTTGGTTTACAACAAACACACACACAGAGTCCCATACACACATATGTGTATATATACATATATAATGCAACATAACAGAGCAATTCACAAGCCATATGAAGATAATGAGTTTACAGCACACCATAGGGCTGGTAATGGTAGCAAGTTTAGGATGCATGTCTTCACCTGATCCCGCACAGTGAGGCTGAATGTAGCTCTGACAGGTGTGTGACCCCACACATTTAAGGTCTGTATCTGAGGCCCTACATAATCTGAGGCCTTAGCCAAATGCCCCCCCGCAGTCCACTGCCTACTCTCCACCCCCATCCTCATGGTCCAGGCCACCAAGAAATATTATACTCAATGAAAAGTGGAGAAGAAGCCAGGGAGTCCAAAGTTACTGGGCCTCTTCCTCCAGTTCCCAACTTGCCACCACAGTAGAGAAAGACTCTCAGCTGGCTTGGGGAACACAGTTGGACAGCGAGGAGGCAGCTTCTCTGTTCCTGGGCTGCTCTCTGTATCAGCCTCCACCCCAAAAGTCTCCACCTTGGTCCATTATCCCCTCTCCTTAGGCCCCAGAGCCTCTTCCTGTGTTTGTGTTGTTTTTGTCAGAGCAGGAAGTCTTCCTGGAAATCCACCAGAAATCCAACATCCTCCTCCTTCCCCAGGGGACCCTGGCCTTAGGCATACACCCCACCCCACCTCAGCTCTGGCTGAGGCACAAGGCCAGAATCACAGGAATCCATCTTCCCAGGAACCCTGCCTTGCCCTCAGGCTCTGCGTCAGCCCCATCCTACCTCCCCACACTGCAACACTAAGAGCAGCAACTCCCTGCAGTAGAAAACAGCAATAAGGGAGAAAAAGCTCGTCATTTCTAAAGGAAATGTGAAAAACACAGAAGTGTACACAGAAGAAAACCACCATAACCTGGATGTCCACTATGCCGCTCTTTTTGGTATCCCTTTTCCACCAGAAGCTGACAGCTGAACCATGACTCCCCAACCACATCTGCACACATGCACAGGCTCTCCAGCTTCTCCTCCTTGTTTGGCTGTCAGAATCCTCACCTCATCTAGTTGGTGTGGGAGAGGATAAGGCTAAAGTGAGAATGACCGACTGTGTTCACTCTCCTGTGTTATAGACTAACAGCTGAGGGTATCCTTGGAGTCCATGAAATACCTGTCCTGCTAGATGCTCCTGGAAGAGGGAGTTCTGAGATCATCTATGTTGGGAACACCATCTACACGGCCCCATCCTGTATCCATCAGGTTGAAGTCCAAAAAGTGCTAAAAACTAAGTTTTAAAAAATAACAGGCTGGGTGCTATGGCTCATGCCTGTAATCCCAGTACTTTGGGAGGCCGATGTGGATGGATCACTTGAGGTCAGAAGTTTGAGACCAGCCTGGCCAACATAGTGAAATGCCATGTCTACTAAAAATACAAAAATTAGCCCAGTGTGGTGGTGTGTGTCTATAATCCCAGTCACTAGGGGGGCTGAAACAGGAGAATCGCTTGAACCCAGGAGGTGAAGGTTGCAGTGAGCCGAGATCACACCACTGCACTCCAGCCTGGGCAACAGAGCAAGACTCCGTCTCAAAAAACAAAACAAGACTTAGGGGTAAAACCTGACCTAAAATGATGTTGTGGCTTTTCAGATTTTTTACTTAGCCTACTTAGTATGAAGATGCATATGTTTTGCTGCAGAAGTATGTGCTTGATTACAGGGCCTGCCAGCTCTTCTGGGTGCAATGGAATAAATAGTGGAATAAATAGCATATTCACCATTTACCTTATTAAAACCTGAAATATTCTGAAATCCAAATATATCTGGTTCCAAGGGTTTTGGGTACTGGATTGTGAGCTGACTAAGTTCATTGTATGGATGTTTAACCTGTTCAAAGCATATTAAGCCTTGTTGTAGACAAGAAACTAACCTCACATAACATTCTCCAAATTTATTTGGCTACAAACCCCTTTGTTCCACTTGCTACCTATAAATATATCACAAAATTGCCATGTGGACCCTTGGGAAACATGGAATGTTTCGAAGACTTTAACTCTCTAATAGTGAGTTTTCAGATGTAGAAAAAGGGTAGATCTTCCAGAGGGCTCTTAGATCCCAGGCCCTAAGACTGGGCAAGGTGAGAAGCTGGTATAGGGATGACTGAGGCAAGCCTTTGATGGTTTACATGGGCCCGGGACAGGGCCATGACCTGCTGGAAAACCTAATTAAGACAGACACATATGTCAAACCAGAGAATCAAATCAGAAAGCCAAACAAAAATCAGGAGGAAAACAGTTAAAAGTTGAGCTAAAGATCAGAAACTAGAAGATTTTCAGGACTTAAAGCGCTCAGGGCTCTACGTTCCCAACAACAATGAATCTCTGAGACTAAGCCAACTTTCGCCTCACCCTGTGAGCTTTTATAAGCTTCCTGGAAAGATCTGCACCCATTCTGTAGTTTGCAGGTAGAAAGACAAGTGAGAGCTCCTGGTTAGCCTGTTAAATCCCTGAAGAGGCAGCTGGGACCCACCTAATGTCCTCTCTTGATGCAGGAGAAGGTATTATATTCAGGTACAATATTGAGGGACTTGTGAGAAGAGCAGATTCAGGCAACAAGCATTTGAATCCATTCTTTGGGTCTCCAGTTTCTCTGCTGCTGATGTTACAATTCTTTGAAATCATGCATTGACCAAACGTGTTGGACTTGGGTCCCATGTCTCAGCATGATCAGAGCAGGGTGCCCTGGTCTGGCAGAATATGCTGGTGAGGAGTTGGACATCTTGGCTGGTACCCCTTAACAGTCCCGGACCTGAGAGGTGGCAGGAAACCCCTCAGAATTAGTTCTGGGTAACTCTAGGGAAATTCATTAGCAGTTTCCTCTGGGCTCTTAAGGCTGGTGCTTGGAAGCAGCAGGAACGTCAGGAAAGGATGTGCTGTGTCCATCCCAGGCTTTACTGGAGCTGACTCCTGTCTCTTGCTGCTATAAGTACAGTATTTACAAGGCCTTTAAAAAATGTCTCTTCCTGCCCGGGCATGGCAGCTCACACCTGTAATCCCAGCACTCTTTTTGGGAGGCCAAGGTGGGTAGATCACTTGAGCCTAGGAGTTTGAGACCAGCCTGGGCAACATAGTGAGACCCTGTTGTCTCTATTAAAAATATAAAAATTAGCCAGGCATGGTGGCACACACCTGTCAGCTACTCAAGAGGCTGACATGGGATGATTGCTCCAGCCCAGGAGTTCAAGGCTGCAGTGAGCTATGATTGCAGCACTGCACTCCAGCCTGGGCAACAAGCAGGCAAGACCCCATCTCAAAAAAAAAAAGAAAGAAAAAAGAAAAAACTCCCTTCCAAAATTCTCACGCTCACCCCTTGACTACCTCTCTGTGCCTGCCCTCTACAACTTATTCTCTAGGATTTCTCAGTTGTGACGTTGATATTTTGAGCATCCTACATTGTAGGATGTTAGTTACCTATGAGATGCCAGTAGCATCTTCCCAGTTGTGACAACCAAAAATGTTTCCAGACACTTTCAAATGTCTCCTGAGGGCAAAATCACCACCCTTATTGACAACAACCACTGCTCTATCTGAATGGGGAGGTCGCATGGCAGACAGTGCATGTCTGGGTGAGATCCCCACTCTCCCTGGGCTAGCTGTGCCCCTAGACATTTATATTATTCCATTTGTGACCCTGTAAGATTTTCTACTAAATTTAACCTCTTTGAGCCTCAGTTTCCTCACTTACTTACAAAACATTAAATAGAAAAAAATGATAGTAGGCCAAGCACGGTGGCTCACGCCTGTAATCCTAGCACTTTGGGAGGCCGAGGCAGGTGGATTACCTGAGGTCGGGAGTTCAAGACTAGCCTGGCCAACATGGCGAAACCCTGTCTCTACTAAATAAACAAAACATTAGCCGGGTGCAGTGGCACGCACCTATAATCCCAGCTGCTCTGGAGGCTGAGGCAGGAGAATCGCTTGAACCCGGGAGGCAGAGGTTGTTGTGAGCCGAGATAACGCCACTGCACGCCAGCCTGGGCTACAGAGTCAGACTTCGTCTAAACAACAACAACAACAACAAAAACAAAAAACAAAAAGAAAAAAGAAAAGAAAAAAATGATGGTAAAAATCTCAGGCGCTTTTTGGAAGTGTTAAATGAGCTAATGCATAAAAAGATTACAGTGCTTGGCAAAACAGCATTCCAATACAGGTAGATTATTAACCCCTGTCCCCCAGGGCTTCACACCTGTTCAAGGTGACCACTAACTGACCTTACATTAGCTTATAAAATACTCTATGATCTGACCTTACCTCTGTGGCTTCATTCTTCCACACACCCTCTCCAAACTCAATACTCCAGACATGTTGACTGCTTGCAGTTCCAAGGAAGCAGTCAAGTTTTATACGGCTCCTGCAGTCTTTGCGTATGTTGTGCTGTTCCCTGTGCCTGGAGCTCTCTTCCCCTCCGACTAACTCCTGGTCTCAGCTTGGATATCACTGGGTCCAGAAAGGTCTTTTCTCCCCAGGTCTGGGCAGAGGAGCCTCCTTTGCAATTCCCTGGTGTCTGCACTTCTCATCATCACGCTTCTGACACTGCGTGTTCATTGCCTTGCTGTCTGTCTGAATTGCTCTCCCAACTGGGATCGCTGTGAGGCAAGGGATGCTGTTTTGTAGACGCTGAGTCTCCAGAATCCAGCACAGCTCCTGACATCATCCTATAGAGATTCCGTAATTCTTGTCCAGTTAAGGACGAACTGTACGAAGTGCTTAGCACTAATATGGAAAAGGACTCTCTTTTTATCTTCCTTCCCAGGTAACCATGTTTTATTCTTTCCATTTGAGTAGGTAGTACTTGCAAATGGAACACAATTTAAAAGTGATCAAAGGATATGTGGAAAAGAGTAGTAGCAATTTTCCTTCCTGGAGGTCACTACATTTCTGGTTCGCCCGCAACCTTCCAGAGACAGTCCAACTGTGCATTTTATTTTTATTTTTATTTATTTATTTGAGATGGAGTCTCACTCTGTCACCCAGGCCGGAGTGCAGTGGTACGATCTCAGCTCCCTGCAAACTCTGCCTCTTAAGTTCAAGTGATTCTCGTGCCTCAGCCTCCTGAGTAGCTGGGATTACAGGTGCATGCCACCACGCCCAGCTAATTTTTGTGTTTTTAGTAGAGACGGGGTTTTGCCATGTTGGCCAGGCTGGTCTCTAACTCCTGGCCTCAAGGGATCCATCGCCTAGGCCTCCCAGAATCCTGGGATTACAGGCGTGAGCCACCATGCCTAGCCCCAACTATGCATTTTAAATGGAGCTTTCGTGATCTAGCGACTGGACTCTCCTAAGCACTACCCCACTGTCAGGTCTCCAGTCTGGGCAATCAGCAAAAGTCCTCCCTATTGCCCAAATCCCACCTTCGCTAGTCAAAAATAATAATAATTCACTGGGGCAGGAAATAAACTTTCAACTCTCCCTAAAGGGCAGCAGGGTAGGAAGTGGCAGGCAACAGAGATGAAGGCAAGGGGGAAGTCTTGTAGATCCCAGCACGCCCACCCTCAAGTGTCCTAGACTGTCTACACATACACACACACAGAGAGAGAGAGAGTGTGTGTGTAAAAGCAGAAGCTGTAGGAAGAAGATGCTCTAGGGGGACACCCCACCCCAACTTTCTTCTTTTTGAGAGGGAGTCTCACTCTGTCACCCAGGCTGGAGTGGTGCAATGGCACAATCTCGGCTCATTGCAACCTCCACCTCCTGGGTCAAGTGATTCTCCTGCCTCAGCCTCCTGAGTAGCTGGGATTACAGGCGCCCGCCACCACGCCCAGCAAGTGTTTATATTTTTAGTAGAGACAGGGTTTCACCATGTTGGCCAGGCAAAACTCCCCTGCAAAGCTCCCCTTCCCCCGTCACTACCTTGAGAAATCAAAGGGGAGCGTCAGGCCCAGCTTCGGGCTTCCTGCTCCCTCCCCAATGAGGGGAAGAGAACTTCAATGCTGAGTCATTTCCCATCGGGTTGGGCTTTACCTGGGAGTTTGAGTCACCATGCAGGTGTCGGGAGGGAGAGGTGCTGCCCAGCATGACACATCTGCCTGTTCAGGAAGGAGGTTAGCCACTTGGGGTAAGGCACTGAGGGTTCCAGGGACCACTCCATGTCTGACCCTGGGGCTAAGAACCCCTACTGCTCTGTGAGGGGTTTTACAGTCCCAGGCCAAAACCAAGGACTTAGGGGTGAAAATTAAGAGCCAGGGCTCCTTTGCTTGTCTAACACCTCTTCCCTTCGCTCTGCTTTCTCCCCTCCAACCCGCAGGCACCCAGCCATCCTGGGTGCATCTCCCAGCATCTCAGCTGGCGAAAACACAACCTTCCTGACAGGGCTTAGGTAAAGGCCCCACAGCTCCAGACACAATAAACAACGTCATTTCCCTTCTCCCCTCTGAGTTGGGAAGAAAATCCTAGACCTGAGGAGCACCAATGAGAGTCTGATCCCAAGGCAGCTTCAGGGGCTGCCCAAACCTTTTAGCCACACCAGGGGCTTCCTGGAGCTGAACAGCCCAACCCCAGGAGGCTGGACTCTAGATGGGGGATCCCCACCCGACTTTCTTTCTTTTTTTTGAGACAGAGTCTCGCTCTGTCACCCAGGCTGGAGTGGTGCAATGGCACAATCTCTGCTAACTGCAACCTCCACCTCCTGGTTCAAGCGATTCTCTTGCCTCAGCCTCCCAGGTAGCTGGGACTACAGGTGCCTGCCACCACGCCAAGCAAATTTTTGTATTTTTAGTAGAGACGGGGTTTCATCATGTTGGCCAGGCTGATCTCAAACTCCTGAGCTCAAGTGATCTACCCACCTTGGCTGCCCAAAGTGCTGGGATTACAGGTGTGGGCGAAAGATTACCTAGGTGCTGAGGCAAGAGACTGAAGGCACAAACTGTTTCAGTATAATAAAGAAAATAGTTAGAATAAGAATAGTCATAATACAAATTAGATATAGAGATGATCATGGACAATTATCAATCATTATTATAAACATTATTAATCATCAGCTTTTACTATTACTCTTTGTTGCATTACTAATATAACCTAGGAATAACCGGTGGGTATAGGGTCAGGTGCTGAAGGGACATTGTGAGAAGTGGCCTAGAAGGCAAGAGGTGAGCCTTCTGTCACGCCCGCATAAGGGCTGCTTGAGGGCTCGTTGTTCAAGTGGTAACACCAGTGTCTGGGAAGGCACCCGTTACTTAGCAGACTGCAAAAGGGAGTCTCCTTTCCTTGGAGGAGTCAGGGAACACTCTGCTCCACCAGCTTCTTGTGGAAGGCTGGATATTATCCAGGCCTGCCTTCAGTCATCCGGAGGCCTAAACCCCTCCCTGTGGTGCTGTGCTTCAATGGTCACACTCCTTGTCCACTTTCATGCTCCTCCCGTACTCCTGGTTCCTCTTTGAAGTTCCTAGTAGATAGTGGTAGAAGAAATAGTGAAAATCTTAAAGTCTTTGATCTTTCTTATAAGTGCAGAGAAGAAAATGCTGACGTATACTGCCTTCTCTCTCTGCTTCGGCTACCTAAAAGGGAAGGGCCCCCTATCTTGTAATCACGTGACTTGCTTCACCTTGTCAATCACTTAGAAGGTTCACCCTCCTTACCCTGCCCCCTTGTCCTGTATGCAATAAATATCAGCAAGCCCAGCCGTTCGGGGCCACTACCGGTCTCCACGTCTTGATGGTAGTTGTCCCCAGGGCCCAGCTGCTTTCTCTTTATCTCTTTGTCTTGTGTCTTTATTACAATTTTTCGTCTCCGCACATGGGGAGAACACCCTCTAAGCCCCGTAGGGCTGGACCCTACATACAGGCATAAGCCACCTGGCCTTGTAGCTTTATTTTTAATTGACAAAAAATAAATGTATATATTTATGGGGTACAATGTCATATTTCAATAATGCATATGTTGTGGAATGATTATATCAGCCTGATTAGCATACTGTCACCTCACCTCAAATATTTATTATTTCTTTATGGCAATAACATTTAAAATCCTGTTTTAGCTATTTTGAAATATACAATACCTTCTTATGAACTCTAGTCACTGTGCTGTGCAGTAGAACACAAGAGCTTTTCTTCCTATCTAACTGTAACTTTGACCTATTGACTGCCTCCCCTTTATCCTTCCACCCCTACTGCTTGACTTTCATGGTCCCTCCAGCCACTGTTTCCATTCTCATTAGTTAAACCATGCTAACTGTGGAAGGCTAAATAATATCCTCCCAAAGATGTACACATCCTAATCCCTGGGGCCAACGATTCTGCTCCCTTACATGGCAAAGATGACTTTGCAGATGTGATTAAGGACTTTTTTTTTTTTTTTTTGAGACAGAGTCTCTGTCACCCAGGCTGGAGTGCAGTGGCATGATCTCGGCTGACTGCAATCTCCACTTCCCAGTTTCAAGTGATTCTTCTGCCTCAGCCTCCCAAGTAGTTGGGACTACAGGTATGCGCCACCACACCCGGCTAATTTTTTTTGTATTTTTAGTAGAGACGAGGTTTCACCTTGTTGTCCAGGCTGGTTTCAAACTCCTGACCTCACGCCCACCTTGGCCTCCCAAAGTGCTGGGATTACAGGCTTAAGTCACCAGACCTGGCCTAATTTAAGGATCTTGAGATGGGAAGATTATCCTGATGGACCCAATGCAATCCTCAGGGTCCTTCTGAGAGGGAAACAGAGGACCAGAGTGGGTGAAGAGGATGTCATGACGGAAGCAGAGGTCACCGTGATGTGGGGTCATGAGCCAAGAAATGCAGGCAGCCTCTAGACTAGAAAAGCAGGGAAATGGATTCTTCCCTGGAGCCTTCGGAAGGAACCCAGCCCTGCTGACCCATTTTACATTTCTGACCCAGAGAATTGTAAAATAATACATATGTTATTTTAAGCCGTTAAGTTTGTTACAGTAGCAGCAGGAAATTAATACATTAACCTCTTTCTACAGTGAGCTTCACGCCACCCAAGCCACCCTGCCCACTTTCCAACCTGAGGCCCCTTCCACCTTCCCAATCAATCTCCCCTGGATTTCCCACATGGAAACCATAACTAGCCTTGCCCTCAGGCTTCCACCAAATTGTTTCCTTGGCATTCCTTCACCTTCTCCTGTTTCCTGACCCTTCCCAGATCTGCATCTCCCTTTAACCTGATAGGTTTTTTTGTTTTTTTTTATTTTGTTTTGAGACAGAGTCTTGCTCTGTTGCCCAGGCTGGAGTGCAGTGGCGCAATTTCAGCACACTACAACCTCCACTTCCCACATTCAAGTGACTCTCGTGCCTCTACCTCCCGAGTAGCTGGGACTACAGGTGTGCACCACCACGCCCAGCCTAACCTGATAGGTTTTTTTGTTTCATTTTGTTTTTTAAGAGCTCAGGCTGGAGTGGTCACAGCTCACTGCAACCTTGACCTCCTGGCCTCAATAGTCCTCCTACCTTAGCCTCCCAAGTAGCTGGGACTACTGGCGTGCATCACCGTGCTCAGCTAATTTTTAAAACAATTTAATTTTGTAGAAATGGGGGTCTCATTCTGTTGCCCAGGCTGGTCTCGACCTCCTGGGCTCAAGTGATCCTCCCACCTCAGCTTCTCAAAGCCATGGGATTAAGGCATGACCCCCATATCCAACCAAACCTGATAGTCTTTAACTCTATCTATTAAAATAATCCGGTGTGAGACATTTAAAAAACATCAAGGTCCCAGCCCAGACCAATGAAGTCAGACTCTGTGGAGGTGGAGCTCAGGTTATCACATAATTTTATAAAGCTCCTCAGGTGATTCTAATGTGCATCCAGCATTGAGAACACCTGCCAACTTGTTGCTCCTCAGTAATCACACTTTAGTATGCGCAAGAATCACCTGGAGAACTCTGAATGTAGATGCCAGGGCCCCACGCCCAGAAAGTCTGGGTCAATACCTCTGATGGGGGCTCAAGATCCTGCTTTTCTAACAAGCTCTCCAGAGGTTCAGATGCAGGTAGCATTTGGAATATTAAGAGACACTTCCATTGCCCTTCTGTCTGCTCCCTTCCCAGGAGACTCAGCTAATTAGATGAGTTCCTTAGATCAATGATCCTCAATCTTTGATGAATATAAGAATCATCTAGGGAGCTTACTAAAAATACAGTTGCCCAGACACCAGTCCAGTTTGTTTAACCAGATCCTACATAACCAGCTGCCCCAGGTGTTAGGATGCATCCTGAAGTTTGAGAATCAACACCTAGAAGAGTGGTCCTCAAACCTGAGCAGGCAATGTAATCCCCTGGGGAGCTTGTTAAAACACAGATTGCTAGGCCCCACCTCTAGAATTTCTGATTCAGTCTATCTGGGGTGGGGCCTGAGAATTTGCAACTCCTAACAAGTGCCAGGTAATACAGAATTGCTAATTTGGGGACCCTAATTGCTTTAGATTGATGTTCTAGGCCAGGTGCGGTGGCTCACACCTATAATCCCAGCACTTTGGGAGGCCAAGGTGGGCAGATCACTTGAGGTCAGGAGTTCGAGACCAGCCTGGCCAACATGGCAAAACCCCCGTCTGTACTAAAAATACAAAAATTTAGCTGGGCATGGTGGTGCACACCTGTAATCCCAGCTACTTGGGCGGCTAAGGCAGAAGAATCGCTTGAACTAGGAGGCAGAGGTTGCAGCGAACCAAGATCGTGCCACTGCACTCCAGCCTGGGTGACAGAGCAAGACTCTGTCTCAAAAAAACAAAGATTGATGTTCTAAGCAAAGTGTTTATCCCACTCTGTCTCCAGTTCATCATTTCTCCTCATTCCCTCAGCCAGCACAGAATTCAGTTGAGGAGACAGAAAGGGCAGAGGGAAGCACTCAAAGAGGTCTTGACTTGAAGGGACTTTCAGAGAAGGACTTCTGGTGAGCTCACCACTAGGGAAACTGGCAAAATTCTAGTAACTCTCTACAGCCAAAGATGGTGGCCAAATTCCAGTGGGAAATAGAAGTAACCTGATCAATAGCTGTTAACTTCACAGATACGTCCAGTTCCAATGGGACTCAAGAGCTTAGAGCTTCCCTGGCAGAATCTCTCAGCCTGTGGTGGTGAGGAGTGTGTAGGTATAGTGAGAAATCAGAGAAAGTTTGAGGCTGGGGGGCCGGGCACGGTGGCTTATGCCTGTAATCCCAGCACTTTGGGAGGCCGAGGCGGGCAGAACACGAGATCAGGAGTTTGAGACCAGCCTGGCCAATATGGTGAAACCCCGTCTCTACTAAAAATACAAAAATTGTCTGGGCGTGGTGGCGTGCGCCTGTAGTCCCAGCTACTCGGGAGGCTGAGGCAGAAGAATCGCTTGAACCCGGGAGGCGGAGGTTGCGGTGAGCCGAGATCATGCCACTGCACTCTAGCCTGGGTGACACAGCAAGACTCCATCTCAAAAAAGAAAAGAAAAGGAAAAGGGGCTGACACTTGTTACATTCGTTCATTCATTCATTCATTTAGAAATAAGGTCTCACTATGTTGCCCAGGCTGGTCTTGAACTCCTGGCCTCTAGCAATCCTCACCCCTGAGCCTCCCAAGTAGGTGGGATTACAGGCATGCACCACCATGGCTGGCTTCACCAAGACAATTAAATGGAAAAACCAAGCTGGAGCTAGAGAGTCCTCCCTCCAATGGCATTAACCCCAGCTTGTACAATACTCTGGAGAGAGAGCTAAAAAGACAGTAGGGTGAGGATGGGAAGAGCCAGGTGAGGGAGAAAGTCATTTTCTTCCCTTTATATGAAAAGAGAATGAGAAATTAAGGGCAACTGGAGAACCACCAAAAAGAGGGAAGGAGAGACTGGGCTAGGAAGCCCACCAGCTGGAGTCCTTACAAAATCTGCTCCATCTCCACAACCTCGTGCCAGAACTTGGTGATGTGCTAAGGGCATGTGATCTGTTGAAACACCAGAAGTCACATTTTTAGGAAGTCAGAAGGCAGACGGCTAGATCCAGCATCTGCTGATTTCCTTATACATGCCACCGACCTATCCACTAACTCATTGCCAGTGCATCACATGACCAGCAGGTTCAGGAGAAATTCCAGGTGTTAGAACCACAGTCACAGGGCTGAACAGGCCTGGGGTATTTCAGAAACAAGCATCACCCTATGCAGGCTTGGATATCAGCACTGCGTGGTGATTATGGTGATAGGGAAGTTCTCCAGTTGGGTGGACAGAGTTAAGGAGGTAATTAGCAGAACTAGCTGCCCTGAGGTATTGATCCCCAAGGTTCTACAAGTGGTAACTCTAGCTTGGTCAGCTACCTACTATAAATCACTTACAGCCTCAGTTTCTCACCTGTAAAATTATGCTGTTGCCTTATCTACCCGAAGGCAGGAGACTAAACCAAGTGATATCTCCTTTTCTTCCCGCCCCCAGCCAGGCACCAAGTCTATTCTATCCCCACCAATCTCCCATATTTGTATCCTCTGCTCACATCCCATTGCCATAGCCCTGGCTCAGACACTTTTCAGCTCCTACCTCGCTGATTGCAATAGTCTCCAAACTGGTTTTCCCTGCTGGTAGTCTCACCCAGGCCCAAGAATCTTCCTTTGATCAATTTTTCACACTGCTCCAAAATCTTTAACAATTCCACATCACAAGAAAGTTCAAAGTCCTTCATGTGTCAGGCAGAGTCCTCTAGGCCCGTAGGTTCCAGCTCTTGCCAATCCCTCCAGTCAAATCACTTCAATGCCAGCCCCTACCCCAGCGGCTGGAACCACCTGCAGTCCCTCCGGTGCCCTGGGCTTCCTCCCTCCTCTTCACGTTTGCATGTGCTGTTTCCTCTGCTCAGAGAAGCATTTCTTCCTCCTGTATTTGCCCTTCAAGATTCTCCCCAAGGTCACCTCCTCCACCTTGCTGTCTTAGCCATCCCTGCCCATCTTGTAAATCTTCCTCACCCTGTACTCTATTCATTTGCAATGTGTCTCTTCCCCAACTTGACCCTTATCTCACTGGGGTTGAGACTGGGGCTCTCATCTTTATACCCAATACACAGCACAATGCCAGGCCCATGGCCGACTCCCAATAAGTGTTTGCTATATTAATGAGTGAAGGATGAATCAGTGAATAAATGAAACTTTTGGGTTCTCTTCTAGCCCCTAATCCTCACCAACCTGTGCTAAGAATGCCCTTCTTAGGCCAGCCATGGTGGCTTATGCCTATAATCTCAGCACACTGGAAGGCCAAGGCAGGAGGATCACTTGAGCCCAGGAGTTTGAGACCAGCCAGCCTGGGCAACATGGTAAGACCCTGTCTCTACAAAAGAATTAAAAAAAAAAATTAGCCAGGTGTGGTGGCACATACCTGTGGTTCCAGTTACTTGGAAGGCTGAGGCAGGAGGATCATTTAAACCCAGGAGGTCAAGGCTGCAGTGAACTAGGATTGTGCCACTGCACTCCAGCCTGGGCAACAGAGCAAGACCCTGCTTCAAAAAAGAAAAAAAGAGTGCTCTTCTTTTAGTGGTCCTTTGGTCCTTTTTTTTTTTTTTTTTCTGAGACTGAGTTTTGCTCTTGTCGCCCAGGCTGTAGTGCAGTGGCACCAAACTGGGAAGCTATTGTAGGGTAGACTGGGCTCAACTAATGGTGATGGTGGGGAGGGAGAGAAATGGACGACTTCAAGAGATATCAGTCAAATCCCCAGGATTTGGTGATGGAGGGGATGAAGGAAACCAGGAGAGAAGCATCAGGATGGCCCCAGGTTTCTGGCTTTCATAATTGAATGGATGTGGTGCTATCATCTGAGACAGAAAGTGATGGGAGATGTCTCCACACTGGGGCATGAAGACTCGGCCAGTTTGGGGCAGGTTGACTTTGAGGTCCCCTGTGAGTGACAACCAAAAGGGGTGTCAAGTAGACAACAGAAAATAAGAGTCTGGAGTGCAGAAGAGAGGTCTGGCTAGAGATCAGCTTTGTAAGCCATCTGTTTATTGGTGGTCATTTAAGCCTGGGTGCTAACAAGATCCTAAGGGAGAAAGCTTAGGGTGGGAATAGGAAGTTTAAGATCAGGCTTTAGGAATCCTAACATTTAAGACCGAGTAAAAGAGGTTGAGATTACAAAGGAACCCAAGAAGCCAGAGATGTTAACAATGGCTGTGGAATGCTATGAAAGTATTTTACATTTGTAGCTACTTTTACAATTGAATAAAAATGTTTAGTTTAAAAAGCCAATTTTTTTATGGCTTCTAGAACTTAATTCACTTTCTGGATTTTGAAAAATAGTGCCTGAGGGCAAGAGGTGATAGTCAAAATATTTAACTATCAAGATACCCCAGTAGGACACTTTCGCCTGAGCCAGCTGGAGGAGGGAGGATCTCAGAGGCCTTTGCTGTGCCACAGGCATTAACCCTGTGGTTGCTGGATCATGAAGAAGTGGAGAGAGGCTGATGGCAGGGGCCACGCGGAGAGGATCTCAGGACAGCATCTGTTTAGTCACTGAGCAGAACCAGTGCCTGCTGCTGAGAATCAGTCCTGCAGCAGGGTCATCACCAGCTGGATCCCACCAGATCCTTCCCCACCATCTCCACCTACTCATTGCCCCCCAGAGTTCTCCACCACAATGGACTATTCCTCATTTCCTTAGAACACCTCACCTTTTCATGCCTCCATGAACTTCCCTACGCCTACAATGCCTTTCTTCTAGTTTGGCAAATTTCTGTGTGTATTTGAATGTCCAGGTAAAATATCACCTCTTCTGTAAAGTCGTCATTGACTTCACCAGGCAGAATCAATTGCTTCTTCATTATTTTTCCATGCATTTTATGCAGACTTAGTATAGCACTTTGCAAAGTGGTGAGCTCCTTGAGGACTAGGACTGCCTCATTTGTATCTAAAATAATGTCCTGTGTATGGGTACTTTAAAAAAATGACAAAGGGCCGGGCGCAGTGGCTCATGCCTGTAATCCCAGCACTTTGGGAGGCCGAAGCAGGTGGATCATGAGGTCAGGAATTTAAGATCGGCCTGGCCAAGACGGTGAAACCTCGTCTCTACTAAAAATAGAAAAAAATTAGTGGGGCATGGTGGCAGGCACCTGTAATCCCAGCTACTCGGGAGGCTGAGGCAGAGAATTGCTTGAACCTGGGAGGCAGAGATTGCAGTAAGCCGAGATTGCGCCACTGCACTCCAGCCTGGGCGACAGAGCGAGATTCCATCTCAAAAAAAAAAAGAAAGAAAGAAAGAAATGACAAAGATTGTTGAATGAATCTCAATGTGACTGAAACCTCAAAAAGAGACCTAGAACATCCTTTTTTTTTTTTTTTTTTTTTTGAGATGGGGCCTCTTTATGTTGCCCAGGCTGTTCTGGAACTCCTGAACTCAAGGGATCCTCCCACTTTGGTATCCCAAAGTGCTGGAATTTACAGATGTGAGCCACTGCACCTCGCCTAGACCATCTTTTCCCTCAATTTGTTATTAAAACTCAGCAACCTCACTGACACATGCTATGCCATGGATAAAACTTGAAAACATCATGTTAAGAGTGAAAGAGGCCAGTCACAAAGAACCACATATTATAGGATTCTATTGATATGAAATGCCCAGAATTGGCAAACCCACAGAGAGGACAGAAAGTAGTAAATTAGTGATTGCCTAGGGCTGAGGGGGTTGGGGAGAAAAACGGAGTGATTGTGAGTGGGTACAGGATTTCTTTGTGAGGTGATGAAGTGTTCTAAAATTGATTGTGATGTCTCACAATTCTGTGAATCTACTAAAAACCATTGCATTGTACACTTCAAATGGTGCCAGACGTGGTGGTATGAGCCTGTAATTCCAGCCACTCAGGAGGCTGAGGTGGGAGGATCACTCTGGCCTAGGAGTTTGAGATCAGCCTGGGTGACAGAGCAAGACCCTGTCTCTAGAAAAGAGAAAGAATAAATGGGTAAGTTGTATGATATATGAATTATATCTCAATAAAACTGATTTTTTTTCTTTAGAGACAGGGTCTTGCTCTGTCACCCAGGCTGGAGTGCAGTAGTGCAATCATAGCTCACTGCAGCCTCGAGCTCCTGGGCTCAAGCAATCCTCCCGTCTAGGCCTCCCACAGTATTAGGATTACAGGTGTGAGCCATTGCACCTAGCCCAGAATTGATTTTTAAAAAACACCTCAGCAACTCCTCTTACTTCATCTAATTCAAAGGGAGGGCTTAAATGTTTCCTTCTTGGAAGGAAGGTGGACCCAATGGGAGTGAGTATGGAGGGGTATAGGCAGGGGTGCTGCTGTGGTCAGCTTGGGAAAGATAGGGCATACGTGGAAAGCAGGCTGAGTGCTGTTAATATAATGGGCTGAGAATACTTCAGAAAGAGGGGTTCTGGTGAAAACGGAAACCACTTCAATGAAACCAGATTGCAGCAGAAAGGCTGAGGTTACTGTGAGAACAGTGAAGTTTTACTTTGAAACCAATGGCTGAGTGTGGTCTCCTCATCTGGCCTGGGAATCTTCTAGGAGGAAAGAATTGTTATCTAGGAGAGGATTAAAATTCTGATAGATGAGGCTGGGCGCAGTGGCTCACGCCTGTAATCCCAGCACTTTGGGAGGCCGAGGTGGGTGAACCACGAGGTCAGGAGTTTGAGACCAGCCTGGCCAACATGGTGAAACCCCCGTCTCTACTAAAAATACAAAAATTAGCCGGGTGTGGTGGTGCACGCCTGTAATCCCAGCTACTCAGGAGGCTGAGGCAGGATAATAGCTTGAACCTGGGAAGCAGAGGTTGCAGTGAGCCGAGATGGGCCACTGCACTCCAACCTGGGCGACAGAGCAAGACTGTGTATGGAAAAAAAAAAAAAAATTCTGGGCTGGGCGGGTGGCTTACAACTGTAATCCCAGCACTTTGGGAGCCCAAAGCGGGTGGATCACAAGGTCAAGAGACCGAGACCATCCTGGCCAACATGGTGAAACCCCGTCTCTACTAAAAATACAAAAATTAGCCGGGCGTGGTGGCATGTGCCTGTAATCTCAGCTACTCAGGAGGCTGAGGCAGGAGGATCACTTGAACCCGGGAGGCGGAGGTTGCAGTGAGCCAGGATTACGCCACTGCACTCCAGCCTGGCAACAGAGTGAGACTCCGTCTCAAAAAAAAAAAAAAAATTCTGATAGCTGTTGCCTAGAAACCCAGCAACCATAAAGTAGAAAGCTTGAAAGGGGGGCTGCTCTCCTTTTGCCCTAGTTGGACTCTCCTGAGAGGTGATAAATCCTAGTACCGCGCATGAGGACTCTGGAGATGGCTGCCTGGGTTCGAACCCTGACTCTTTGCATTTGGAGCTGCATTGCCTCGTGCAAGTCACTCAATCTGTCTGTGCCTCCATTTTCTCTACTGTTAAATGGGGCTAGTGATACTACCTTCCTCATAGGATTCTTGGGAGGATTAACTCAGACAACACATGAATAATTTAGCACAGTGTTGGTCTGGCATGGTGGCTCATGCTTGTAATCCCAGCACTTTGGGAGGCTGAGGCGGGTTGATCACTTGAGGTTAGGAGTTTGAGACCAACCCGGCCAACATGGTGAAACCCCATCTCTATTGAAAGTACAAAAAATTAGCCAGGCGTAGTGGCGGGCGCCTGTAATCTCAGCTACTCGGGAGGCTGAGGCAGGAGAACTGCTTGAACCCGGGAGGCAAAGGTTGCACAGTGAGCTGAGATTGAGCCACTACACTCCAAACTGGGGGACAGAGCAAGACTCCATCTCAAACAAAAAAAAAAAAGGCCGGGCACGGTGGCTCACGCCTGTAATCCCAACATTCTGGGAGGCCGAGGCAGGCGGATCACGAAGTCAGGAAATCAAGACCATCCTGGCCAACATGGTGAAACCCCATCTCTACTAAAAACAATACAAAAAGTAGCCGGGCGTGGTGGTGGGCGCCTGTAATCCCAGCTACTCGGGAGGCTGAGGCAGGAGAATCGCTTGAACCTGGGAGGCGGAGGTTGCAGTGAGCCGAGATCACACCACTGCACTCCAGCCTGGGCGACAGAGCGATACTCCATCTCAAAAAAAAAAAAAACAAAAGCAAAAACAGAAAAAGCACAGTGCTTGATCGTGGAGGCACTAATAGGAGGCAGTCTCTGGAGTGAGAATCTGGAACTGTGAAACTGGTTGCTGGAGAAGCGGCTGATGCCTGCTAGCCTGGGGTGAGATCTAATATTAGGCAAAGAGACAGCAGCTGGCTGGGGGTCAGGGTGTTGGCTGGGAAATGGCCTGAAAATTGTTAACAGCCTCCTGGCTTAACCCTGCCAGTAGGGCTCATACTTCCTGTTTTCAGTGTCTCTGAGCCCTGATGCTGGAGCTGCTCAAGTTTGAACAAGATCTTTCTTGGCCCCTGAGGGGAAGGCAGAAACTGAACAGCCACTCGGCTTGGGCAGCTTCCTAGCAGGTTTCCACTCCCGCAAAATAGTGCAGTTCTGAGGTGGGAGAGGGCAGAGGGTTCCCATCTGATCTGATGCTACAATAATTTACTTAGCTTTGTAATAATAACCACCGTTTTTATGCTTTTATTAGGTGCCAGTATTATGCTAAAGGACTTATGAACTCATGAATCCTTTCTGTTGTTGTTGTTGTTGTTGAGACGAAGTCTTGCTCTCTGTTGCCCAGGATAGAGTGCAGTGGTGTGATCTCGGCTCACTGCAAATTCCACCTCCCAGTTTCAAGCAATTCTCGTGCCTCAGACTCCCGAGTAGCTGGGATTACAGGCATATGCCACCACGCCTGGCTAATTTTTGTATTTTTTTTTTTTTAGTGGAGACAGGGTTTCACCTTGTTGGTCAGGCTGGTCTCGAATTCCTGGCCTCAGGTGATCCGCCCACCTTGGCCTCCCGAAGCACTGGGATTACAGGCTGAGCCACTGTGTCTGGCCTTCATGAATCCTTATAACAACCCAGGGAGGTAGATTGTATCATCTCTTTTGTACAGATGAGGAAACTGAGGTGCAGAGAGGCTAATAACCTTTCTCAAGTCACACAGCTGGTGTTAGATTCTAGTTCAGGCCACCGGACTCGAAAATCCATGCTCTAAACCACTGCATCAACCTGTGTAAAACAGCACACTAGATGATGGGGATCAAAAGCCGAATACTAATCCCAGTACTTTGGGAGACCAAGGGAGGCAGATCACCTGAGGTCGGGAGTTCGAGACCAGCCTGGCCAACAGGGTGAAACCCCATCTCTACCAAAAACACAAAAATGAGCCGGGTAGTGGTAGTGCATGCTTGTAATCCCAGCTACTTGGGAGGCTGAGGCAGGAGAATCGCTTGAACCTGGGAGGCAGAAGCTGCAGTGAGCTAAGATTGCGCCACTGCACTCCAGCCTGGGTGACAGAGTGAGACCCTGCCTCAAAAAAAAGAAAAAGCCAAATACTTGGAGTTCTTGCCCTCTAGGGAAGCACGGTCCAGAAAGCCTTTAACCAGGAAATCCAGGAGACCTTGTGCCACCAAACCCCACTCAGAAAACTGGCTGTTCATGCAGAGAACTCATGCTGACCATATCTTGAATTTTTCTGGGCACTTCATATATTCTGACCAATTGTCCCCAAAGGCTGTCAATCAGTGGTGCATGTTAGTAACACCGAGGGAGCTTTTCTAAAACCACGAGACCTGGAGCCAGCCCTGACCTGAATCACAATCTCTACAGGTGGAGTGTAGGTGTGCATATTTTAAAAGGTCCTCAGATGACTCGATTAAGAAACACTGCCCCAACCCATTAACACAGCTTGGCAATTCTAATTTTTGATACCCAATTATCTCCCAACCTGCCTTCTACACCCCAGCTTTTCAGAACTTGATGTTTTGTTCAAAATATATAGTCACCCCCATTAGGACATCATCCAGCTTTGAGATTCTGGGCCCCCTAATCATAGGCATAGCAATGGCTGGTCACAAGCTCTGTTAACACACTGAGAAAATTCCAGCATCAGTCCCACACACAGATGATGGGAAATTATGTTTTTTGTTTCCTGAATGCCACAGAGTCAAGCTGGCATTCTGGATAAGCAATTTTCTTTCTTTATTTATTTTTTTATTTATTTGAGGCGAAGTCTTCCCTCTGTCGCCCAGGCTGGAGTGCAGTGGTGCGATCTCGGCTCACTGCAACCTCTGCCTCCCGGGTTCAAATGATTCTCCTGCCTCAGCCTCCCGAGTAGCTGGGATTACAGGCACCCACCCCCACACCCGGCTAATTTTTTTGTATTTTTAGTAGAGATGGGGTTTCACTATGTTGGTCAGGCTGGTCTCAAACTCCTGACCTCAGGTGATCCACACACCTCGGCTTCCCAAAGTGCTGGATTACAGGCGTGAGCCACTGAGCCTGGCCAGCAATTTTCACTTACAGGTCTTCTTCTTCTTTTTTTTTTTTTTTTTTTTTTGAGACAGGGTCTTGCTCTGTCACCTAGGCTGGAGTGCAGTGGCACAATCAGCTGACTGTAAACTTGAACTCCTTGGCTTAGGATCCTCCTGCCTCAGCCTCCCAAGTAGCTAGGACTACAGACATGTGCTACCACACCTGGCTAATTTTTTTATTTTTTGCAGAGACAGGGTCTCACTAAGTTTCCCAGGCTGGTCTCAAACTCCTGGGCTCAAGCGATTCTCCCACCTCAGCCTCTCAAAATGTTAGGATTACAGGCATGAGCCACTACACCTGGCCACAGGTGTTCTTCTTGGTTGAGGTCAGCTCAAGGATTGTTGGGGGCAGAGTGAAGAGACTGTTGTGGAGTTAACCCTAAAGAAGACCACCATGTACAGCTGTACAAGATGTGCACTGCACAAAGGCATCAGGTTAAGGAGGCAATTGGGAGCTGACACTAAGCCTGTACACTACTTACACAGCCATGGGATTGTGGTTTGGGGAAACTTTGTATACATTAAGTGCTGTGGTGGCCCTGCCCTACAGCTCTCCTAACCTCTACCTCCCAAAGCTCCATTAAGTCCAGAGATGCAGTCCCATAAGAAACTCTAGGGTGCAGTCCACCTTTGTTATTTTCTCCTTTTTATGTACTCCAACTCCTTCCCATACAAGCACCAGGGAGATTTGTCATCAGAAAAATCACATTTTATTGATCACTTTTATTTAAAATTACAAAAATATAAATAAAAATAGTGAAATATAAATATTCAGTGTACAGGAGTGGTCCTCACCCCACCCAGTGAGGATTGGATGAACTAGGCTAAAAGGAAGGGATAACTGGCCAAGAAAGGGACATCTATGTGAAAGTGAAACTGAGACAGTGCTGGTCACAGGTCATGCTGCAGAATAATACATTCCCAGGCACTGTCACGTGGGGGACCCAAGAGGCCCCAGGAGTGACCTATAACCTCTCCAGAAAGACCACTCTGTGTGGCATCACAGTCCACACAGTTTAAGGAAATATTTAGACTTAACAATCAGACACCAGCTCTTACTCACACTTACACTCACAGCCCACACACAAGTGTGCAAACATACACACACATATATATTTCCTGATACATTCATGGAATATCAGAGCCCTGCCCTGAAGTCGTTAGTGTCTCTGCTCCCCAAACCGCTGCTCCCACATTGGCTAAGCTCCCTCAAGAGACCTCAGCTGTTACACTTCCTAATTGGGAAATTATTCATTTCTCAACCATGGGCCTCACAAATGCCCACCGTCGGGGGAGCTGGCTCTCCCTTCACCCATGCACAGGAGATGCCCTGCCCTTTTTAACTCCTGCAGGCTTCAGTCCAGAAAAAGACAAGTTGCTGGTCAGTAACATGTTGAGTCAGGACCACCCCTCCATCCTGGCCAGAGGGGTCTGGGCAGCCAGCACCCAGGCCTATGCCTGAGGGTAAAGCTATTGTCGTTCGCCCTGGTGGGTGGCACAGGCAAATCCATCTGTGCAGAGCCTATCTTCCCAGTCTCTTCTTACAGCTGATGGAGATGACTCTACTGCAAAAATGACAACCAGCAAGAAAGCGGGTGGTGCCCGTTTCCTCCCTGGGGACCCTCAGAGGGCCAGGCCATTCTCTTCCTTGGTGTGACTGCGGATCCAGGGTAAGAAGTGTGAGACTCTCGTGTAGACGCCTGGCTTGTCCTTCAGGGCACATCCACGGCCCCAGCTCACAATTCCAGTCAAAGTCATGCGGCCTTGGAGGGAACAGACGAGGGGTCCCCCTGAGTCTCCCTGTGACGCCAAAGATACAAAAGATGAGCCCTAGAGAAGTGAGGAGGGGATTTCTGATCCCATCACCCAACCATACCAGAGAGAGGGAAGAGTTTCCCAGTCAAAGTCCTTAGCGACTTCCCATTTTCTTTCTTTTTTTCGGGGGGAGGACAGAATCTCGCTCTGTCGCCCAGGCTGGCGTGCAATGACGTGATCTCAGCTCACTGCAAACTTGCCTCCTGTGCTCAAGCGATTCCCATGTCTCAGCCTCCTGATTAGCTGGGATTACAGGCAGGCACCACCACACCTGGCTAATTTTTTTTTGCATTTTTAGTAGACACAGGGTTTCACCATGTTGGCCAGGCCGGTCTCAAACTCCTGGCCTCAAGTGATCCATCCACCTCGGCCTCCCAAAGTGCTGGGATTACAGGCATGAGCCACTGTGCCTGACGCAGCCCCATTTTCTACCACATCAAGTTTAAAATCCCCTGCTTGGCTTTAAAAGCCCTGTCATCTGCCACTATTCCATCCACACTCCCAGACCCTAGTTCTCCTCCCCACCCGGAATATGCCAGCCTCCTTCTCAGTTTTGTATCTTTCAACTGAAACACCTTCCTTTCTTCCCTCTGCCTCTTCAAATGCCTATCAAGTCACATTTCCTTTAAAGCCTCCCCTCCCTGACCCTCAGGTTGGCACTCACCTCCCTCTCCTGAACACCTGATCATTTATAGTTCACAACACACCCTGGGCACTGAGTTACATTGTCTTTTACTGTTTCCTCTTTCTAGGATCTCGTGCCCCCAGTCTGAAGTGACTAGCGCAGAGCTGGGATTTTTTTGGTAATGTCTGGCAAACACATAAGGACTGGTTTAAACCCTCAAAGACCTGAGCTCCTGATTCTGGCTACTTAGGGCTTTGGCTAGAGAGAGACACCCTTAAGCTGGCTGGAACAAGCCCAGGAGCTCTGGGGAGATATGGAAGAGGTGGAGAGAGATGCTTGGAACACTCACCTGGCAGGAATCTGTTTTCCACTGTGGGTCAGCAGCACACAGCATTTTGGTGGTGACTTCAGAGCCGTAGTAGTGGGGCTGCTGACACTCCCGGTGGGAAATCAGCTTCACAACAGTCATTTTCAGCTGCTCCGGATAGAGATAGTCGGCTAGGTGGAGAAAACAGGGAGGCGTTTGCATCAAGATTTATCTGTCCACTGGGAGTCTGCCAGAGAGGGGAACCATAAAGTATCTCTACCAGGGAAGGCCCTTATTCTCTTCCATGCAAATCTGAGCCTTTACTCCACCTATAGCCCCTACCATCTATTTACCTTTGCAGCCCATCGCTCCCTAAACAACACTCTTCATCCATCCCTGGACCCATCTGCCACCGCCTCAGTGCTCCCACCTCTAACTCTGCAGTCTTCCCTTGATCACGCTGGGCTCATTTTCAGGTCAAAACACTCCTCAGGACCTTCTAAGTCAGTCGCAATTGTCACTTACTAGAATTCTCTTTTCCAAAGCCAGTGATCTCACAGCTTGTGCCAAACTGGGGATCGTTATACATCGAGGGCAGGCAGATGGTCTGTATAGTCCGGGATGGCTGCGCACACCTGCCCTCCTTGGAACGGATCTTCAGCAAGGCTGGGGGAGGACAGAGGGTCAGAGGAGAAAGATCACTACTGGTTAGGCGGTCCCCATCTGTCCCCTCCAAGTGCCGAGGAAGTAGCTATGCCTATCCCTAGGTCAGTCATCCAGGGAGGTCTGCTGGTCGCTTATCACCTGGAAACCTCCCCTGCCCCATGCCCCAAGGGCTTTGTTCCAGGTGTTGAAAAAGGCTTGGATGGCCAGAGCCACTGCATACAGCTGTACAGGTCGTTTCTGCAAAAACTCCCAGCTGAGGTAGTTAGGCTGGAATCCATCCCAAGGCTCCATTCTCCAAGTTCTATATCCTAGCACAGACAGAGGCTGCATCCCACAAAGGAAGGTGTGTCTTTTTCTAATTCATATAAACAGGGCCTTCCCAGCCCAAGCCATATACCCACAGGGCTGTTTCCACTCGCAAGAGGCTACTTGTTGGGGAAATTCAGGGTCTCTCCAGAGGAGCACCAGGCCCCTCAGACTTCATGGAACTCTTCCCTGCCACTCCCTTTGTCATGTATATCGAGGCTTCAAGGTCCCTCGCCCCACCCCTGCCCCACCGGGCAGCTTCAACCTCAGCTCCAGTCTCTCCCTGGGTCCCACTCTCCCCAAGCCATTATGGCCACAGTAGTCGCGGGGTTCCCCCTCACCAATGTCGTTGTGGTGAGCAAGCGTGTCAGCGCTGTAGTCCTTGTGTAGGATGAGGTTTTCCACCTCAAACTTCATCTCCCCTTGCGTGTTGGAGTTAAGCCTTGAGCGACCCAGGTAGACGATGTAGTCCTCCTTCTTTGGGTAATCACTGTGGGAGAAGATACCCATCAAACAGCTTAGTCCCATGAAATCTGCCACTTCTTCCTTCCCTCCCTAGAGGCCTCAAAGCACGACTTGTCCCCAAGGCCATGGGCTGCATGGACAGGGGCAGATGAGGGAGAAATGAGGCGGAACACTTTGCTGGGAAGGAGAAAGGGATGTGCTTGGGGTGGGGCAGAAGAGTCGAAGAGGAGAAACCCAGGGCCGTACATGAAGCAGTGTGTGGCGCTGATCACCCAGCAAGGGCTGATGAGGCTGCCTCCACACACGTAGGTGACAGAGCCCCCCCGGTGCCTCCTGTAGATGGCCGCAAACCAGGGCTGGTTCTCGATGGTGGTGAATTCTCCCCCAATAATCTTAAAGCGGGGCCTCAGAGTCTTTTGGCCACACTGAAATTTTAATTCTTCTGGAGGAGAGGAGGGCTTTTTTCCTGGAGGACAAACAGAGGGATGTCTTAGGGAGGCAGGTAGGAGAAAGCATCCCTCTCGGGCACCCCCCACCTCCTCAGTCCTCCTGTGATGGAATAAGGGGACATGTAAGTTTGTCCCCTTCCACCCCACTGTCATCAGCAGGTCAGTGATGCTCACCATCTGCGCAGTCATGCACCATGCACTCTTGGACAAGCAGCTTTAGGCCCACCTGCACATAGCACCAGGGTCGCCTCCGGTTGTCTGGGTTCCTGGCAACACAGAAAGATAGGGGATGTCATTCCAACCCAGAGGGCCTTCCCTGCCTCCTCCCCTCAGGGAAGACTCAACCAGAGGCCGCACTTCTCTTGTGCTATGGCCAGCCCTCTGGGAGAAGGGGATGGTAACAAGGTTTCTGGGAAGCTGTAGGGAGGGCTTTTGGTCCTTGTTGCCCCCACCTCACCTGCAGTAATTATGTTTCCCCAGGCCCAGCTGAAGAGCATCAGATCTGTGGGCATGGTACGTTTGCTGAAGGACAGTGGCAGAGTTCCAGGGCAGGCAGGGCCGGCCCATGGTGTCAGTGCTGGCCTTTCCTCGGTAAAAGTGACCATTCCCCTCATAGCAGGTTTTTGACTTATCTACAAGGGGACAGGAGGATGAGAGAATATGAGAAAGAGAAGAACATTCCAACTAACTTTTATTTTTTTTTTTTGAGATGGAGTCTTGCTCTGTCGCCCAGTTGGAGTGCAGTGGTGTGATCTCAGCTCACTGAGATCTCTGCCTCCCAGGTTCAAGCAATTCTCCTGCCTCAGCCTCCCAAGTAGCTGGGACTACAGGCATCCACTACCATGCCAGGCTGATTTTTGCATTTTTAGTAGAGGCAGGGTTACACCATGTTGTCCAGGCTGGTCTTGAACTCCTGACCTCAAATGATCCACTCACCTTGACCTCTCAAAATGCTGGGATTACAAGCGTGAGCCACCATGCCCGGCTGCCAACGGACATTTTAAAGATGTCGTTTCAGACCTGCCAGAAGACTGGACAGGGTCTCCTTCCAACCCCACCTCACATTTGTGTGGCCACTGTTTCGTGAGCGTGTGTGTGTGTTTATGCTTGTCACATAGGGATGAAGATGTCACCCACCCTACCTCCAGCTCCTAACTCCTGCCTGCTCTTGCCTCCCACCCATCCCTCCCTGTCCCCAAATTTCTCTCCCAGTTGCAGTGGAGATCCCCATACCTATTTCACAGTGCTGCCCTCCGAATTTCTTTGGGCAGTTGCACCAGTGAATGTTGGAGAAGTACTTGTTGGACACACATGTTCCTCCATTTAGACAGTCACAGTTCGCTGGAGAGAACAAAGGTGGGGTAAGCGAGGGGGAGTGGAAGTGGTAAGGGGTGGCGCAGCCCTGCAGCAGAGGGCAGGGAGGGGATGTCCCCTGAAGCCTTCCCAACTTGTCTGTGCAGCCAACTGTTGTAGGGGTGGATACTCACATGGAACTTGATGAAGTTCATTGCTGCCCTGGAAGAGATTCGGGAGGAGGCTTCATCAAAGGTCCCATGCTCCAGGGACTCCAGGGTGAGGGTAAACTGGCCCCAATCCCAAAACCCACTCTTCCCTCTCCCTCTCGCCTCACCCTGTTCGTATCTAGTTCTCAAATGGAAGACCATGGGTTTCCAGCCAGGAGAAATGGATTGACCCAAGCAAGCTTCATCTACCAGATGCCCGCAGGCTGGGGCAGTCCCGGCGGCCTCTTCCTCCCTTGCCAGCCAGTGCCAACCCCCGTGGTTCTCAAGCCTCCGCTGCCACCCTGTCCCATTTCCTGGGGAGAGTCTGGCCCTGCTGTGGATGGAATCCGGAGGACCCCAGCTCCCTGAGCAGCCCCTCCTCTCCCCTGGTGCTGATCAGAGGTCCTTGGGCAGCATCAGTCAAAGCAAGAGCGCACTCACTTTGGAGTCGCTCACGACCAGGACGCAGAGAAGCAGGCGCGCCAGCAGGGCTCTCATGGTGGCGAGGTCGGGGCGCTAGACGGCGGCTCTGCAAAGGAAGGAGAAGTCAGGGCAAGAGGCGGAGGAACGGGAAGGCAGGCCAGGCGGGCGACTGCAGCGCAGGGGAGATGCCCGCGGTGACCAGGCTCCCCAGCTGTCTCTCTCCTCTCTGGGCTCCGGACTCCGGGCAGCCTGGATCGGCACCCGCGGGGGACGCCCGGGACGGGGCGCCTTGACTCCGTGCAGCCGCCGGGGAGCCCAGGGAGCCCGGGCAGCCCAGGGCGGGGGAGGCAGACGCTCGGGAGCTGGGGCCGCCGCGCATCCGGCCCGGGGATCTCAGGACCGCGGCACTCACCGGTGGCTGCGGCAGGAGGGCGCGAGCCGGCGCTGCGGGGACAGGTGGACCCTGGCCCGGGCTCCGGGGCTGCGGTCTCCGCACTGTGCTGCGACCCGCGGCGCCTGCTCTATATCAGGGCCCGCCCCGGCGCCGCCCCTCCCTCTCCCGCCCGGCTCCCTCCCCTGTCTTGCAGCGCTCAGCGACCCGGACCCCGCGTGCTTCCGCAACGCTCACAAAGATTTGGGGGAAGCGCGATCTCCAGCGGAGGGGACCCAACAGCGTCTGGACTGAGGAATCGAGAGGCTTGTAAATTCTCCGTGCTTCCTCCCATGCACCTGGCCGGGGGCCTGCCCCAGTGCAAGGAGTCCCCGAATTGCAGAGAGGAGAGAAGGCGCACAGGAGACTCTCTACCTCGCCCAGCTCTGAAGCCTCCTGGGGTCCTCTAATCAGTTCTTCTGCAACTTCTCCCCGCTGGGCCCCAACTTGCCTAAGACTGCCTCAGACCCCCTTGCCCGCAGCTGATGGAGCTGTGAAGTCTTCATCAACGCGACAAATGTACGAGACATACTCTCCCAGAAGCACAGACAGAAAAACCCCTGCCTGTAGGGGCTCCCTCTGTGCGTCTGTTCAGTGGCAGTCCCCAGATATCACCAACACAACCAGTGGATGGAACAAAGCCGGGCTTATTGCTTTCGGCAGTAAGGGGGTTTGTTTGATGGTGCTATCAGAGGGGGAAAGGCAAGGCCAGATTACTGAAAATTTGCAGCTTGGTTTAAAGTCCGTTTTTGACAGGGCTTGATAAGGATTGGGTTAGGTGTCGTGATATGATGTTACAGGATTGTGGGAACAAAGTCCTAGGGCATAAACTGTTGGTGCTTCCTATTGAAGTGTTAACGGGTCTTTTGGGAAGTTTCCATAATGAGCAATTCATTTATTTGTGCAGGCAAGAATAAAAGTAAAGACAATGGAAACATGTAGACAGTTCTAACTGTGGAGGTTCTGGAGGGTGTGGAAGTTCTGTTCTCACCTCTGAGTAGAGGAATTGGGAGACTGGAGGACAAAATAAGAGGAAGATTTATTTTTCACTGTTTGTCCTTTTACACTCTTAACATTTTAAAAAGCACATCTCTGTATAGCCCATTCCAAAAAGATAATTATGCATTTTTTAATGCATGTGTATTTAGTGTTTTACTTCATCATAGAGCCTTGTTTATTCTATTCAGATAGAAACAATTGTTTATCAAATAAAATTGTCCTCCAGAAAAACAGACCATGTGTAAATGACTGCATCCACCCTTCCTGCCTGAGGATAAGCAGACATTTGTGTATACACACACACACACACACGCATCTCTGGGCACACTTGGAGGAACATAGCAGGGATTCTGTGATTCTGTCACCCCCATCTCTTTCCCCTAGTGTCAGGAACCAGGGCTTGGGGTCATTTTGAACCCAGTAGGACTCGCTCTCTTAGTGGGAAGGAGGAGGCTGAGTCCCAGCAATCCACTAGCGGCTTTGGGCCCTTTCCCAGCCTAGGCCTGCAGCATTTTCCTGCCTTGCAAATCTGGACCTTGGGTCTGGGTCCACCTGAGAGTGACAGAAGGAAGGCAGGGAGAGTGCCAGGAAGGTAGGAAGGAGGAAGGCTCCTTTGCTCTGCCCCAGCCGAGGGCTCAGGGTGCCAGCTGCCTGCTGGGGAAAGTACAAGTTAGCCTTTCAGCTTTTGGGAGGCAGGTGACCCACTGTCTTCTGGAGAGACTTCTGTGCTTGCTGAGCTGCCAGCCTTCCAGGGGACAGACTGAGTCAGCGATGCTATAGGCTTCAGAGCCAACCTTGCTACTTCCTCTAGAAGACTGTGGTCAGTTTTGTTTGGATTTGAGAACCCATTAATTGTAAATAAACGTGACCAGAACATAAACAGAGATGCTGCAGCCTGAGGACTTACCCCGAAACTCCCAGGTTAGTTATCAGGAAATTCCCAGGGACCGTCATGATTCATGTTGCTCCCCTAGCAGCTCTCATGACTCCAGATTACTTGGCTGGAGGCTGTCATGCTGATTGCTGAGAGCAGATGACTTCATTTCCTCCTGGACAAAGAGGTTTGGAGACCGTTATGAAGCGTGACACCCTTTCTCCCCTTCCGCCCCCTCCTCCCCCGTGCCACCTCTTCACCTAGCACTTCAACTCTTCACAGAACTTCCTTATCCATGCGCTAATCTTTAGCACTCTCTGAAATCTTTGTGCACAGTTCTTTTTTTTTTTTAAAGACAAGGTTTTGCTGGGCTTCTGGGTTCAAGGGGTCCTCCCACCTCATCCTTCCAAAGTGCTGGGATTACAGGCATGAGCCACCACGCCCAGCCATATTTTTTTTTTTTTTTTTTTGAGACGGAGTCTCGGTCTGTCACCCAGGCTGGAGTGCAGTGGCACAATCTCGGCTCACTGCAAGCTCCGCCTCCCGGGTTCACGCCATTCTCCTGCCTCAGCCTACCGACTAGCTGGGACTACAGGCGCCTGCCACCACACCCGGCTAATTTTTTGTATTTTTAGTAGAGATGGGGTTTCACCGTGTTAGCCAGGATGGTCTCGATCTCCTGACCTTGTGATCCGCCCACCTCGGCCTCCCAAAGTGCTGGGATTACAGGCGTGAGCCACCGTGCCCGGCCCCAGCCATATTTTTTATATTGTATTTCTGTCTTGTGCTTCAAGGCACATTAATGTAAACCATTTCTCTTTAAACTCATAACTGCCTTATGATATAGACTGGTATTGTTGTTCCCATTTTGCAGATATGGAAAATGAAGTGGAGAGAAGATACACAGTTGATGAGCAGCAAAGCCAGCACTAAAACCCAGCGTCTTCTGATCCTTGTTCCTATGCGCTATACCTCACTGTCTCCATAAAAGACAGAACGCTGTGAAGGGAGGGGCCAGTGAGCTAAGATGATCCAGCTCAGGGGAGCCCTCCTCCTGACTTTGGAGACCTCCTTCCAGAAAGACTGCTCGGACTATGGACTCTGAGCTCTTAAGTTGCACCCGCTGTAATACAAATTAGTTGTTTGCCTGAATTCCAAGAACTGTCTCTGTGGTCTAGGCTGTCTGAAATTTCTGTTGAGGGTAAGAGAATAAGGAACTGAATGTGTATGATTTCATTCTTTTCCTGACTCCTAGGGTGAAGCCACCAACCCCTGCCTCTGTGTCTCAAGGGTACAGAGCTCCTGAGTCAGATGTGGCAACACAGACTGCTGGAGAAGCCCTTTCCAGGAGATTCTCATAAAAGGGAAGGCAGATGCCAGATGCGCAGGGAGGGGCAGGGTATCCAAACCTGGCCCTGAGACTAAGTCCAGGAAACTCAGCCCCTAAGGACTATTTTCTGACCCAAAAGGAAGTTCCCATGGAGTCATAGGATGCAATTCTGTGTTGTATATGAAGAATGCTCAGCATGGCACTATAGAAAGACCACAGTGCCTAGCCTTCAGTCTGCTACATCAAAGTTGAATGATCTTAGGCAAGTTGCTTAACTCTTTTTTTTTTTTTTTTTTTTTTTGACGTGGAGTCTCGCTCTTGTCACCCAGGCTGGAGTGCAATGGTACAATCTTGGCTCTCTGCACCCTCCACCTTCTGGGTTCAAGCAATTCTCCTGCCTCAGCCTCCCAAGTAGCTGGGATTACAGGTGTCTGCCACCATGCCGGTCTAATTTTATATTTTTAGTAGAGATGGGGTTTCACCATGTTGTCCAGGCTGGTCTTGAACCCCTGACCTCAGGTGATCCACCTGTCCAGCCTGTGCCTCACTCTGCAGATTGGCTGAGATCATGCTTGCATGTAAAAGTATTCATTCATTCCATATTTATCATGGACCTACTGTGTGCTGGGCGCAGTTCTGGATGCTAGAGATAGGAAGAGGAACTGTGTAAACTGTAATTCCTACATCGAGTGCCTGCCTCCCCTTTTTGACTGTGGCTGGATTGACTCAGAAGACCAAGTCAGGCTGGAGTCCATTCCAGGATTCCAGGCCAATGGGGATGCTGTATCCTTGGCCAGCAGTTCCCAGCAATCAGGCAGCTGGACCCACAGCTGCATGTGCTGTTCACTCCCACATTGCCTATGCTTACTCCCTCTCCCTCTTGTCTGTGTCCCTGTGTGGCCTGAAGCGCCTCTTTCCCTCCTACACATGGGGCAGACGGACTCTTCAACAGTTCTGGGAAGGAGGTACGGAATGCTGGTCACATAGCTTCCTTGAGTCTAAGGACCCCTTCTTCCTGAGTGTCTAGTGTGAAGGGTGAAGCCAGCTGGCAACGGCAGGCACTGAAAGCCGCTTCTGGGCATGTAACATGATAGGGGGATTGCTGGAGCTGCAGGCCCCCAGCAGGCTGTGGAAGGGGTGGAGGGAGGCAGCATTCTTGCTTCCTTACTCATGGAAAGCAAAGAGCCCAGGGGCTGAACCCTGAGGTTACACTGTCGTCAGTAGCACCATGAAAGGGGAACTAAAGCTGGTCCCTCCAGCATCAGGCTATGACCCCCCTAACCTTCCTCACTCTTTTTCTGCCTTACCAGCTCTGGCCTGCTTCCTAGGCCTACCCAGGCCACTCAGCTCAGACTTCTGCATGTATGTCATGAGTCTTGGCCAAATTTTTCTTTGTCCCTCCCTGACCCAAACCCAGTTATTACCTAAGTCAGGAACTTACTGCTTTAAAGTAGTTTGCCAGGTGTGGTGGCTCACGCCTGTAATCCCAGCACTTTGGGATGCTGAGGCGGCTGGATCACTTGAGGTCAGGAGTTCGAGACTGGCCTGGCCAACATGGTGAAACCCCGTCTCTACTAAAAATACAAACATTAGCCAGTGTGGTGTCACACGCCTGTAATCCCAGCTCCTCAGGAGGCTGAGGCAGAAGACTCGCTTGAACCCGGGAGGCAGAGGGTGCAGTGAGCCGAGATCGGGCCACTGCACTCCAGCCTGGGTGACAAAGCGAGACTCCATTAAAAAAAAAAAAAAAGTAGTGTTGGTCATGGCTTACCAGACCTTCTGGATTCTGAGCCCCTCACCAGGAACCAAAGTTAGGCCCTGGTCCTAAAACTTCTGCTCAGAGTTCTGGTTACCATGTTGGGTGGCAATAGATGCTTAACTAGAAGCAAAGGGGCATGCCCAGGAACAAAGGACTGGGATGACTAACCAGCAAATGGTGGGCTTGCTGAAGACTGCCAAAAAATCAATAATATTTAGGGATATATGTTCAGCCAGAAGCTGAAATACTGAAAAAATCCTATTCAGAAGAAAACTAACATAATATTCATAACCCATATGATGTCTAATTCCACATGCTCATGGCTCTCCCAAGCTGGATTCTATGTGCTGGATTCTATATGCATCTCTGTCTTCAAAGCAAGCACTTCCCCTTCCATTACACAGAGAGGAAAATAGAGGCTAATGAAGGGAAGTGAATCATCTGAGTTCATTCACTAAAAATGATGAGATTCAGGATTCACAGATTTTGAGGAACTTCATGACACATTTCCACCCTCTCCTTTCTTATTCTGAATCCTCAGCTCCTCCCTTTTCCCGATCACCATCCATCCCCATCCTCAATCTATCTTGCCCACCCTCCTGCAGAAGGTGCTTCTTTTCTCTGGTTTGCTGAGCCTCTGAGGAGGGTTTGGAGGCAGCCACGTCCTGCAGAGGGGACAGTCTCCTTTGAGAAGGCTGCTAGAGGACTAAATGTATGAATATCTGTGGGAAGAGGGAGCAGGGATCCCTGGAGGCAGGTGTGTGTGCAGAGTGAATGGGAGGAACAGTATGTGGGTAATCTACATGGGCGTTCTTTGTTTACTCTGGAGACAGTGATGGTGGGGAATGTGGCAGGGACTAAAGAAAAGGAAGAGTGCCAGATGCAGTGGCTCACACCTGTAATCCCAACATTTTGGGAGGCCGAGGCAGGAGGATGGCTTGAGCCCAGGAGTATCAGACCAGTTTGGGCAACATAGTGAGACCTCGTCTCTATAATATATTTTTTAAAAATTAGCCAGAAGTGGTGGCACACACCTGTGGTCCCAACTACTCAGGAGGCTGAGGTGGGAGGATTGCTTGAGCTTGGGAGGTTGAGGTGGCGATGAACCTTGATCACACCACTGCACTCCAGCCTGGGCAATGAGACTCTGTCTCAAAAAATAAAAATAAAAAAGAAGTCTGTTGTCTCCAAGGGGACAATACAATCTTACAATTTATCCCTTGTTAAAGATAGATAATAATAATAATAACCAACTTTTATTTGCATTACATTCATTTTCTTTTTACATCTTAACACCTTTAAGGAAGGTACTATTAATGTCACCATTTTATGGATGAGAAAATGAAGGTTCACTGGGCTTAAGCAATTTCCACAAGGTTAAACTCCAGGGAAATGGAAGCACCAAGACTCACATGCAGACCTGGTTGACTCCAGGTTTGGAGAACTATCTCTGAGGCAGTATCAAATTCAATCAGGCTAGTGGAGGTGCTTGTCCTTCTAACTGGGAATCTTCCTACTTCTAACCCATGGTGACATCCCAGGATAGCTCCAGCTGTCCATCCAAGTCATGTCTGCCTTGATTCCTGCCTGCCCACCTTGAACCAGACTGATTAAAGTGTTCTTCCATTTGTCTAATGTAGCCAGCCACAGTTGTGTCTGCTGGGTCTAGTCAGAGAAGTGATCACTGGGCCTTCTGGCTGTGCTTATATATCTGTGTGGACTCCTGGAACCACCCATAGCCAGTCTTCCTTTTCCACAACTATTCACCCATATTTATATGATGGGGATACTCTAGGGTTCTTCTATGGGGAAATAACAATAGCATCTATTTATTGACAATGGCTTTTATTTAGCAGGCACTGGACTAACAGTTCTGTATGCATTATTTCATTTGATCCTCAGTGAAGGAGATGCAATATCATCCCCACTTTATGGATAAAGAAACTGAGGCACTGAGAGGTTAAATAACTTGTCCAAGATCACACAGCCAATACCTGGCAAATCAAACCCAGGTTTCCTGCTCCCAAGCCTGTGTTGATAATCATCACTAAGATGGCATTGTCTCTTTATCCTTCCCTGAAGGGGGAAAAAAAAAAAGACGAAAAAAAGCCCTGTTGAGTAGATGCCCAGGTATCTGAAATAATAAATATTCAGTAATGTTATCTTTGCCACACTTGTCTGATGATAAGAGTCACTTGGCTTGAAAGTTGAAGAAGTACAGATTTTCAGGTTACCCATTTGTAAATTCTGATTCTTTAGATGGGGCCTAGAAATCTGATTTTTTTTAAAGAGAGACAGCGTGTCAGTCTGTTACCCAGACTAGAGTGCAGTGATGCAATCATACCTTACTGCAGCCTTAAACCCCTTGGCTCAAGCAGTCCTCCTACCTCAGCCTCCCTAGTAGCTGGGACCACAGGTATGCACCATTATGCCCTGTTATTTTTTTAATTTTTGTAGAGATGAGGTCTCTCTATGTTGTCCAGGCTGGTCTTGAACTCCTGGCCTCAAGTGAAGGAATCTGATAGGAGGGAATCTGAAGGAACCTTAATAGGTGACCCAGAGGATTCTCATCACCAAACAAGTGGGGAAAATGTCAGCCAATGCATCATATATCTAGGGAGTGTTGTTTTATTTTTTTCACCCAACTAAACTACAAACTATCTATCTACTGGGGCTTCTACTTCAACCCCATCCTTTGAGATGGGGGCCGGAGGAGAACACAGAGGTGGGGATGGCCCGGGACTACAAGGCAGGTCTTTGGGCAGCATTCCCCAGACAGGGATGAATCAAGGAAAGGGATGTATACCTGAGAGCCTTGTGCCAACCAAACCACCTCGAGGCGACTTTTCTAGAGAATCTGTTCTCAGAAAGTTAATTGCTTCAGCACTTTTGTACTTGTTCTTTTTTTAGATTCCTAGTGATAGTTTTATTTTTTAAATGCCAAACAAATGGCTAAGTGGAGGGACTTTTCCATATAGACTAAAAGAGCTTGGAGGCCAGGTGCAGTGGCTCAACTGTAATCCTAGCACTTTGGGAGGCCAAGGCAGGTGGATTGCATGAGCTCAGGAGTTCAAGACCGCCTGGGCAACATGGTGAAACCCTGTCTCTACTAAAATTTAAAAAAAAAAAAAATCAGCTGGACATGGTAGCATGCGTCTGTGGTCCCAGCTACTCAGGAGGCTGAGGCACAAGAATTGCTTGAACCCGGGAGGCAGAGGTTGCAGTGAGCCAAGAGCATGCCACTGCACTCTAGCCTGGGTGACATAGTGAGACTCTGTCTCCAAAAAAAAAAAAAAAAAAGAGCTTGGAGACCCAGAGGAACCCTCAAAGTCATAGCAGTGAATAAAAAATTGGCTCCCCAAGACCTCAGGAAAATGAAGGGAAATTAAGTAGCGGTTAGAACAAAGCAGAGTTGAGAATAGCTGTACCTACTAGTACCTGTCTATCTGTGATGTTTCCTCTCAGTTCCCGTACTGGCCCTCCTCTGAGCTTCTCAAGGTCAGTTTTTGGTTTTGTTTTTATTTCTAAGGTCTTCTGATTCTACCTGCATAGAATTGGGTTTCCAGAGCATTATGCTTTGCAGGGAGAGTAGACCCAGCAGCTTGTGTGATGACCACAATATTGCATCTTCAGTCAAAGAGGAAGCGACAGTGACACTGTCCCCATGCAGACTTTGCTCCACAGTGCAGCAGTGTCCTGAAGATTCATTCAGTCTGTATCATAGCAGTCAGCTTGTTCTGTTTGTAAAGGGAATTCTACCCTAAGTTCTCAAAAGGACTAAGCTCAACTCAAACTGTTCATTTCATCCAATCAACCAAAAAGGACCTTCAGACACCTAAGGACATGCCTCATGCGGTGCTAGGCACTGAGGGTACACAGGAGAACAGGGCAAGATTCCTGCCCTGAAGACACATGAAATCTGTTAGGAAGACAAAATGAATTTACATGAAACAATGAAAAAGTCTTTAAACAGGATGGCAACTATAAAGAAAAAATAAACAGAAAATAACAAGTGTTGGTGATCATGTGGAGAGAGTGGAATCCTTGTGCACTGTTGGTGGGATTGTAAAATTGTGCAGCTGATATATGGCAGTTCCTCAAAAAATCAGAACTACCAGATGATCCAGCAACTCCACTTCTAGATATAGAAGTAAAAGCAGGGTCTTGATGAGAGATTTGCATACCTTTGTTCATAGCAGCACTGTTCACAATAGCCAAGAGGGGGAAGCAACCCAAATGTCCACGCAGATAAATGGATAAACAAAATGCAGCATATCTACACATGGAATATTAGTCTTAAAAAGGAACGAAATCCCATCACATGCTAAAACTTCAATAAACCCTGAAGACAGCATAGTAAGTGAAATAAGCTGGTCACAAAAAGGCAAATACTGTATAATTCCACTTAAATCTACTTATATTTTATATAATAGTCAAATTCATACAAACAGAAAGTAGAATGGTGGTTGCCAGAGGCTGAGGAAGGGGGAAATGATGAGTTATTGTTCAATGGGTGGGTATACAGCTTCAGTTTTACAAAATGTAAAAGTTCTGGACCAGACGCGGTGGCTCATGCCTGTAATCCCAGCACTTTGGGAGGCAGAGTGAGACCCCGTCTTGAAAAAAAAAGGTTCTGGAGATTGGTTGCACAACAAGCGAAATGTACTAAACACTACTGAACTGCACACATAAAAAATTATAAAGATGGTAAATATTATGTAATTTTTACCAAGATTTTTGTAAAAGTTGTTAATCATTAAGCAGCCTATCAGCCACAAACGCAGCAGAAGTTCAGAGACTGGAGACACTAAAGTTAGAGATTTCCCGGACTAATCTTTTTTTTGGGCGGGGAGGGGAACAGGGTCTCACACTGTCACCCAGGTTGGTGTGCAATGGCGCTGTCTTGGCTCATTGCAACCTCTGCCTCCCAGGATCAAGCAATTCTCCTGCTTAGCCTCTTGAGTAGCTGGGACTACAGGCACCCGCCACCACACCTGGCTAGTTTTTCTATTTTTGGTAGAGAACAAGGGGTTTCACCATGTTGCCCAAGCTGGTCTTGAACTCCTGAGCTCAAGCAATCTGCCCACCTTGGCCTCTCAAAGTGCTGGGATTACAGGCATGAACCACCATGCCTGGCTTCCTGAACAAATCTTTTTTTTTTTTTTTTTTTGAGACAGAGTCTTGCTCTGTCACCCAGGCTGGAGTGCAGTAGCATGATCTCAGCTCACTGCAGCCTCCATCTCCAGGTTCAAGCATTTCTCCTGCCTCAGCCTCCATCTCCAGGTTCAAGCATTTCTCCTGCCTCAGCCTCCTGAGTAGCTAGAATTACAGGCTTACACCACCACATCCAGCCACTTTTTGTATTTTTAGTAGAGACGGGATTCACCATGTTGGCCAGGCTGGTCTCAAACTCCTGACCTCAAGTAATCCACCCACCTCAGCCTCCCAAAGTGCTGGGATTACAGGTGTGAGCCACCGCGCTCACCCATGAACAAATCTTAAAAGATGGGTGAGGTTGGGATTGGCAGAGGGCAGGAAACAAGAATTCCAGGTAAGACCCCTGGAAAGAGACAGGAGCTAGGAATAAACATTTTTACGTGTTGTGGAGAATAAACCTGTATGTATTTAAGTCTCTCTCTGTGTGTGTGTGTGTGTGTGTGTAGATGTATGCACAAGCAGTGAGAAGTCTGGCTTGATTAGGGAAGGTTTACATTGCATGAGAGCTAAGTTCAACTAGAGTGAGGTCAGATTATAAAAGATCTTACTGCAGCTAGAAGTGTGCACTTGATTCCATAGACTCCAGAAAGGTACTGCAGGTTCTTGAGCAAGGGTGTGCTTAAGTTTAGTAAAACTGAAAATCTCCATCAATCTCAGTTGAAATATAGGAAGCAAAAGACAGTGATTTGAAATTTGTCTGTGCTTGGGCTGTGGGGAGCATGAACCCCAGAATCTTGGTGCAGTAATGGAATTGGGAATTGAAATGAGAGGACTCCGAGAGAGGAAGTGAGAGTGCAACGGAAGGCATGAGGACTTGTACAGCTGTCATCTTTCCTATCTTTAGGGGCTTTTGATTTTCCAAACTTGGAAAGTCATGTGCTTTGCTTTAGAAAGAGTCTTCGAGGCCTGGCACGGTGGCTCACGCCTATAATCCCAGCACTGTGGGAGGCCAAGGCAGGCAGATCACCTGAGGTCAGGAGCTCGAGACCAGCCTGACCAACATGGTGAAACCCCATCTCTACTAAAAATACAAAAAATTAGCCGGCCGTGGTGGCAGGTGGCTGTATTCCCAGCTACTTGGGAGGCTGAGACATGAGAATCACTTGAAACGGGGAGGCAGAGGTTGCAGTGAGCTGAGATGGTGCCACTGCACTTCAGCCTGGGAAACAGCAAAACTGTGTCTAAAAAAAAAAAAAAAAAAAAAAAAAGGAAGTCTTAGAAAGTTCCTTTAAAGTGCTGTACCATGAAATCCATATTTGAAGGCCAGTAGTCTCCTGGATTGGAGTGGGAAGAACCGGGGGTAGAAAGCCCCACTGCCCAATGCCAGTAGCACCTGTTGAGTCCAAAGGCCATATCTGCGAGCATGAGCTGAAGCTTCCTCTTGAGGAAAGGAGTGACTGCCGTGGTGAAGGCTGTGGTTTCAGAGTCAGAGGATAGAGCTCCATTCCTGGCTTGGTGGCTGACTCCATCCATGAACCTGGCTGAGTCACTTCCCTCCATATGCCTGTTTTCCCTTCTGTGGAATGCAGCAGAACGTCTTTTCCACCTGCTTTCACAGAAGACAGAATCAGCTAAAAGAAAAAGAAATTTTCATCAGGTACTTGTAAGCAAAGGGGGTGAGGCCTGGGCTGAAGCAAAGCCTGGGACGTCTGTAGCCCATAGGGGCCAGCTTTGACATGAACATGGGGGCCAGGTTTGACGTGGCCTGCTCTTGACATCAGAAGGCCATGGAGAGGATGTAACTATTAAACAACATAAACAAATGTTACCCCAGAGAGCCTGGGTTCTGGGAATATGAACAGGGACTCCTGACCAAAATTCCAGGTCTCCAAGTTCCCCTTGAGGAGTCATGAGGATTAGACAGGGTGAATCACCACACCCAGTGTCTGTCTTGGAGACCTAAACCCAGATATGAACTTCAGCAAAGGAAGGGGCTGATTCAAATAGCATGGGGGTTGTAGCCAGAGCAATATAAGATGTTCCCCTGGGTCCTTATGGGACCAAGAAACAGTTTTGCCCAAGACTTTGGATGCTGTTCTAGTTCTGAGGTCAGTGGCAGGTCAAAGCCATAGCTGGCCTCCATGGAGTCAGCACAGTAGCCTCTGGTCTGGAAGACTATGTGGAAAAAGAAGTTCAGAAGAGTGTGGGCTCAGAAATAGAGTCAGTATTCTCCCTAGAGCCTGTATTATTTCTCAGTCCAACCCTACATAAGTGGAAGGCAGAGAGATAGCCAGCTCTTCAGAGCTTGGAAGAAACCAGAGGGTGCAGGAGAAAGAACCATGTTGGCTGCTCAGCTGCAAGGGTGATTTTGCCACCACAGGGAAACACCAGCTCTCAGAGCTGGGAGAGGTGGGGTCTCAGGGGGAGAAGCAGACCCTGGAGCCTGAAACACTCAGGCATCTGGAGTATTGTGTTCAAAAACGATCTCACCTATGACCTCTCACCCATTAGGATGGCTATTATCAAAAGTAAAAAGAAAAGAAAAAGTGTTGGTGGTCGGGCTTAGTGGCTCACACCTGTAATCCCAGTACTTTATTTTCTTTTTGAGATGGAGTCTCGCTGTGTCACCGAGGCTGGAGTGCAGTGACAAAATCTCAGCTAATCGGAACCTCCACCTCCCAGGTTCAATTGATTCTCATGCCTCAGCCTCCCAAGTAGCTGGGATTACAGATGCACACCACCACACCCAGCTAATTTTTGGATTTTTAATAGAGACGGGGTTTCACCATGTTGGCCAGGCTGGTCTTGAGCTCCTGACCTCAAGTGATCCGCCCACCTTGGTCTCCCAAAGTGCTGGGATTACAGGTGTGCGCCACCGTGCCTGGCCTCAATCCCAGTACTTGAGGAGGCCAAGGTGGGAGGATCACTTGAGCCTAGGAGTTTGAAGCTGCGGTGAACTATGATCATGCCACTGCACTCTGGCTTGGGTGACAGAGTAAGACCCCGTCTCAAAAAAAAAAAAAAAAAAAAGGGCACTGGTGGGAATATGGAGAAATTGGAACTCTTGTGCATTGCTGGTGGGAATGTAAAATGATGCAGCCACTGTTGAAAACATTTTGGTAGTTCCTAAAAAAGTTAAACATAGAATTACCATATGATCAAGCAATTCTGCTCCTAGGTATCTACCCAAAAGAATTGAAAGCAGGAACTCAAACAGATATTTTTATACCCATGTTCATAGCAGCATTATTCACAACAGCCAAAAGGTGGAAGCAACCCAAGTGTCCATCAATGGATGAATGGATAAACAAAGCTTGGCATATACATATATGACATATTATTTAGTCTTAAAAAGGAAGGAAATTCTGGGCTGGGCACAGTGCTTCATGCCTGTAATCCCAGCACTTTGGGAAGCCAAGGCAGGCGGATCACTTGAGGTCAGGAATTCAAGACCAGCCTGGCCAACATGGTAAAACCCTGTCTCTACTAAAAATACAAAAATTAGCTGGCCATGGTGGTACACACCTGTAATCCCAGCTACTCAGGAGGCTGAGGCAGGAGAACGGCTTGAACCTGGGAGGCAGAAGTTGCAGTGAGCCAAGATCACGCCACGGCACTTCAGTCTGGGTGACAGAGCAAGACTCTGTCTCAAAAAAAAAAAAAAAAAAAAAAAAAACCAGGAAATTCTGATACCTGCTACAACATGGATGACCCTTGAAAACATTATGCTAAGTGCAATAAGCCAGACACAGAAGGCCACATATTGTATAATTCCACTTACATGAGGTACTTAACATAGGCAAATTTATAGAGACAGAAAATAGAATGGTGGTTAGAGGGGGTGAGGATGAAGGGGAATGGAAGTTATTATTTACAGGTGGAGGTTCTGTCTGGGATAATGAAAAAGTTCTGGAATGTGTATCAGTGATTTTTACACAACAATGTGAATGTATTTAATGTCACTGAAATATACATTTTAAAATAGTTAAAAAGGTAAATTTTGGCTAGGTGTGGTGGCTTACACATGTAATCCCAGCACTTTGGGAGGCTGAGGTGGGAGGATTGCTTGAGGCCAGGAGCTCAAAACCAGCCTGGGCAACATAGTGAGCAAAACCCTGTCTTTACAAAAAATTTAAAAAATTAGCCAGATGTGGAGGATTGTTTGAGCCTGGGAGTTTTCTTTGTTTGTTTGTTTGGTTGGTTTTTGTTTTGTTTTGTTTTGTTTCTGTTTTTGAGACAGAGTCTCATTCTGTAGCCCAAGCTGGACTGCAGTGGCACGATCTCGTCTCACTGCAATGTCCACCTCCTGGGCTCAAGCAATTCTTATGCCTCAGCCTCCCGAGTAGCTGGGACTACAGACGCATGCCACCATGCCCAGCTAATTTTTTGTATTTTAGTAGAGAAATACATGTTTCACCATGTTGCCCAGGGTGGTCTCGAACTCCTGTGCTCAGGCGATCCACCCACCTTGGCCTCCCAAAGTGCTGGGATTACAGGTGTGAGCCACTGTGCCCGGCCAAGCCCAGGAGTTTGAGGCTTGATTGCGCCACTGCATTCCAGCCTAGGCAACAGAGTGAGACTCTGTCTAAAAAATAATAATAATAATAAATAATAATAAATAAATAAAAAGTAGGGCAGGGTAGGTGGCAGGCACGGTGGCTCACCCCTGTAATCCCAGCACTTTGGGAGGCTGAGGTAGGTGGGTTGCTTGAGCCCAGGAGCTCGAGACCAGCCTGGGCAACATAGTGAAACTCCATTTCTACAAAAAATTAGCCAGGCATGGTGGCACATACCTGTGGTCCCAGCTACCCAGGAGACAGAAGTGGGAGGATCACTTGACCCCCAGAGGTTGAGGCTTCAGTGAGCCATGATCATGCCATTGCACTCCAGCCTGGGTGACAGAGTGAGAATCTGTCTCAAAAAAAAGTAAATTTTATGTTATGTATAATTTACCACAATAAAATAAATAATAATTTTTAAAATGGTAAATTTTGGCTGGGTACAGTGGCTCATGCCTGTAATCCCAGCACTTTGGGAGGCCGAGGTGGGTGGATCACCTAAGGTCAGGAGTTCAAGACTAGCCTGGCCAACATGGTGAAAACCCTGTATCTACTAAAAATACAAAAATTAGCCAAGCATGGTGGTGGATGCCTGTAATTCCAGCTACTTGGGAGGCTGAGGCAGGAGAATCTCTTGAACCTGGGAGGCAGACGTTGCAGTGAGTCAAGATGGTGCCACTATGCTCCAGCCTGGGCAACAGTGCCTGAGACTTCATCTCAAAAAATAAAAATAAAATAAAATAAAATAAAATGGTAAATTTTATGTTGATATATTTTGCTACAAAAAAAGTTACCCAAAACAAAAGGATCCCACAACAGAAGGATCTAGCAGACTCTGAGACTGAGACTCAGAGACGTGAGAAGACAGCAGCAACGACATTCAGTGATGTGAACTGAGATGGGGGTGGGGACTGGGATGGAGATAAAGAACCTGCTGGCAAGGGACAAGGATCAAGTGTGAGTGTTAGAGATGAAAGAGAAGTTGACCCAGCTGGGCACTATGGCTCACACCTGTAATCCTAGCACTTTGGGAGGCCAAGGCGGGTGGATCACGAGGTCAGGAGATCGAGACTATCCTGGCTAACACGGTGAAACCCTGTCTCTACTAAAAATGCAAAATATTAGCCGGGCGTGGTGGCGGGCGCCTGTAGTCCCAGCTACTTGGGAGGCTGAGCCAGGAGAATGGCGTGAACCCGGGAGGTGGAGCTTGCAGTGAGCCGAGATTGCACCACTGCATTCCAGTCTGGGGGACAGAGTGAGACTCCGTCTCAAAAAAAAAAAAAAAGAAAGAAAGAGAAGTTGACTCAAATGGAGTTCTGCTACGGATAGGGCTGACAATTTTCACCTTTCTTCATAATTGCCTTCTCTGTCTCCTGCCCCCTCCACACGGGGTGGCCATGTGTATGCACCTCATTTTAATTATTTTTTCTTTAGCAATTTGAAAGCAAGACATTGAGACACTTCACCCCAAACACTTCAGTTTATATCTGTTAAGAACAAAAATTTTCTCATAAATAACCACAATAATATCACATCTAATACAATTTAACATTGAGTATGGAGAAAGAAATGGGGACTGGCAGGTCTAATTTTAAAAATGAACTTTGAGTCTGAGTCTTTTTTTCTTTGGCAGGCACATGGATTTCTGTGTTTATCACCCACAGGGTTTGCGGTAGGATGCTTCTGAGACCTTCTTCCACTGGCCACTGGTCAGTCCGCAGTTGCCCTCTGAGGCTTCCTGTCTCCTTTTAGAGCTGACAGACACCACAGTGAGTCAGTTCTGCCAAGGCTTGACTCATTTTTAACCCAGTTTTGGTGATCAAACACAATACCCTGGAATTTGGCACTACAGCTCAAAAGGTATGGCGGGCCCATGGTTAGAAGACTGGGCTCCAGCTGCTTCCTGTTGCCCCATCTCATTTCTTTATAAAGATTGGAGTGAACTGCAATTAAAGTCAGAGAGACTTGGGTTGAAACTCTGGCTCAAACTCTTGTTAGCTGTGCTACCTTAAACACATAAGCCGTTAACCTCCATAAGCCATGGTTTCCTCTGTGAGATGGGGCTATCAAGCTCCATAGCATTGCTGTGGGGATAAGATAGCTGGTGCATGAAGAGCTTCTTGGCACTCTGCTTGTCATGAGGGAATTCCCCAGTAAGCTAAGGTTATTGTTATCACCACTACTATTAGAACCCCGAGATCCTTTGTTTTGCTCACTCTGTTACCCATGCTGGTTTTGAACTCATGGCTTCACAAGGGCAACGGAGACCTATATGGGGAGCTTCAGCCACCCAGGCTCCTGTAGTGCTGGATTTAAAGCTGGAAGACCTGAATCTGATCTAGTTTCCCCCATTTACTAGCTGTGTGGCCTTAGGCATTTTTCACAAGTCTCAGTTTTCTCGTGTGTAAGATAGGATGATTATGTAAAGTTGTAAATGTCAAATGAAATAATGTGTGCAAAAGCTTTATAAATAGCCAAAACTAATAATAAAAAAAGGCATAGATGCACAGATGTACAAGGTACTCAGGATCAGAAGCAAAGACATACCTGGGCCAAGGTTAGGGTCAAGATGGGAATCAAAGCCAGGCATGGTGGCACATCTGTAGTCCCAGCTACTCAGGAGGTTGAGGCAGGAGGATCACTTGAGGACAGGAGTTTGAAACTGGCCTGGGCAACATAGCAAGATCCAGTCTCCAAACATTTTTTTAAAATATGTATATATGGGAATCAAGGTTGGGATTGCTGGGATCGGCACCAGGGCTGTAAAAGCAATTGTGATCAAGATCAGGGTTGGCACTGGGGTCAAACAAAGCTTTGGGCGAGGACAGGGAAAGTATAAGGAGCAAGGTCACAGCAGGGAGTTGGGTGGGGTTTTTGGGTCAGGATAGGAATCCAAACTGGGAGGTGCCCACTGTCTGAGCCCCGAGGGGGTACAGTAGGACTGTGTAGTGACTCAGCGGCGGCTACACTGCCTTGGTTAAGGCTCTAATCCGATGATCTTAGTTTGGGGGAAAGTAGAGCGTGGGATTTAAAAAATCCTTGGAGATCTGCAAAAGTACAGGCCTTTGGCAAGTCCGTTCCATTGGAGTAGTGCAACCATCTCATTTCCTTCATCCTTCTTCCCCACCCCCAGTAGTTAAGTCGGATCAAGTATTAGCCTATCTCCAGGGACATCCTGCACTGTGCTGGTCCTCATGGCTCTGACCATCCCTCTTCCATCCATCATCCATTATCCGTCATCCACCTAGCATCATTTATCCATCAACCCAAGATGTACTGAGTACTTACTATGTGTCCAGCACTGTGCTAGACTCTGGGGATCCAGCAATGATAAAGGCAAGCCCATAACCTGTCCTCGTGGAGCTTCAATTCAGAGGGGAGCCAGATAATACAATGGATTTCCACCTTCTGCATTTATGGGAATAGTGGCAGATTCTAAAATCAGTCTGGGACATAAAGATAGCCAACTTATTCCTGCAAATCCCTTACATTACCAGGACCTAGGCATTCAGAAGCACAAAAGCCGAGAAATAACATCTATTTCTCTTTGTACTTTGGTTGTGACCCTGGGGCAGTAGCTGTCAAGATCTGGCTTTAACGGTGGCATGTGACTCTAAATAAAGGAATTTCTTTGTTTTGGGCTTTTTCAGCTGAGTGTGTGGTCGGGTTTGAGTAAGTAAACTGCATTCATGATGCAACCACAGTGTAAATACAAATTCAACCAATATGTAAGGAATGATAGTGAATATGCTAAGAAGGAATACAATGGCCTGTGCGAATGTACAGCAGAGGGACATAACCTGGTGAGGGGCGGAGGAGCGGATGAAGTGGAATATCCCACTGAGGAGGTGACATTGACACTGAATCCTGAAGAATGGCCACGAGGGAGCCTGTCGTAAGGGGAAAAAGAACTTCCCAGGCAGAGGAGTTGACATGAGGCAGAAAGGAACTCAGAGCACTGTAGGAACTGAAAGCCAGTCAGGTACAAGACGTCAAAGAGATAACGAAGGGCCTCCTCTCATCAGTCCTCAAAGTGAGGCTCTATTTCACATGCTCTGACACAGTGCACTTAACTGCATAGAGGGAAGGCAGTCTGAGATTCAGGGAGCTAAATAATTCAGTTGCAGGGCTAGAGAAACAAAAATAATCAGTCAACATTTTTTCTTTTTTTCTTTTTTTTTTTTCTGGAGACAGGGTCTCACTGTGTCACCCAGGCTAGAGTATAATCTCAGCTCACTGCAGCCTCGACCTCCCAGACGGGTGATCCTCCCACTTCAGCCTCCAGAGTAGCTGGGACTACAGGAACGCACCACTATGACTGGCTAGTTTTGTACTCTTTTCTTCTTCTTCTTTTTGAAGAGATGGTTTCACCACATTGCGCAGGCTGGTCTTGAACTTCTGGACTCAAGCAATCCTCCGAATTAGCCTCCCAAAGTGCTGGGATTATAGGCATGAGCCACTGTGCCCAGCAAGTCAACATATTTTGGAATCACTGGGCTAGCTGTATCATGTAATGCATAGAAGAATAGGAAACAAACTATTGGAAACAGAGACAGTGGGATTCAGAGCTGTAGTGGAGTAGACTACACACAGACATAAACCAGGAGTCGTGAACGTGAGCACCCACGAAGCTGTACAGGTAATATAAAGAGGGAAGCAGGCTGAGTGCAGTTCTTGACTTTCCTAAAGGAGCAACTGCTGCTCAGCTTTCACTGATTATTGCCACGTGGGAGCTGAAGACCAGTTTTGCTAGGTCTTCTGTATTGTAGCAGATCCTGTCAGTGCCAGCTTCCTCTGGCCTCTGGAGCCCACTCTTCCCTCCTGCACAGTAGGCTGGAAGTTCCCCAGGAGTTACCACTGCCATTACCCTTCCTCCCCTACACCACATCAGCGCCCAACCAGTGACTGATGAGTTTGGTGGATAAATACCCTAATGCCCTTGCCTCTCAGGTGAGAAAACTTTGAGATACATGTTGGACACTTTTCCCAGAGTTCTCCAGGAAAATTAAGCTCCAGCTGCCCATATACTCCTTCCTTGAAACCTCACCCTTATTGACTGTCTCAATTCCTTTCTGTAATTTTTTTTTTCTTCAGACGGAGTCTTGCTCTGTCATCCAGACTGGAGTGCAGTGGCGTGATCTCAGCTCGCTGCCACCTCCGTCTCCCAGATTCGAGCGATTCTCCTGTCTCAGCCTCCGAAGTAGCTGGGATTACAGGTGCCCGTCACCAGGCCTGGCTAATTTTTGTATTTTTTGTAGACACAGTGTTTTGCCATGTTGGCCGGGCTGCTCTCAAACTCCTGACCTCAAATGATCTGCCCACCTTGGTCTCCCAAAGTGCTGGGATTACAGGAGTGAGCCACTGCACTTGGCCTTTTTTTTTTTTTTTTTTTTTTGAGGCACATTCTCACTCTGTTGCCCAGGCTGGAGTGCAGTGGTGCAATCACAGCTCCCAGGCTCAAGCAATTCTCCTACCTCAGCCTCCCAAGTAGCTGGAACTACAAGCATGTGCTACCACGCCCAGCTAATTTTTAAATGTTTTTGTAGAGACAGGGTCTCACTATGTTGCCCAGCTTGTCTCAAACTTCTGGGCTCAAGCGAGCCTCCTGCCTTGGCCTCTCAAAGTGCTCGAATTACAGGCATGAACCTCTGCACCCAGCTCCCACTTTCTTTCTCTGTCTCACTTCCCCACTCCCTTACTGCAGTTTCCTGGAATTAACTCCCAAATAAACTACTTGGTACTGAACCCCCCTCCCAAATAAACTACTTGGTACTGAAGCCTTGTAGCAGGGTCTGCTTCTGAGAAAAATCAACCTAAGGACACCAAATGTTAAGATATTTGAAATCTGGGTTTGTTTTGTTTTGATTTTGGTTTTGTTAGAGACAGGGTCTCATTCTGTCACGAAGGCTGGAGTGTAGTGGCACAATCACAGCTCACTGCAGCCTCGACTTCCTGGCTCAAGGGATGCTCCTCCCAAGTAGCTAGAATTATAGGCACGCACTACTGCACTTGGCTAATTTTTTTTTTTTTGGTAGAGGTGGGGTCTTGCTATGTTGCCCAGGCTGGTCTTGAACTCCTCACCTCAAGCGATATTTCTGCCTCGGCCTCCCAAAGTGCTGGAAGTGCAGGTATGAGCCACTATGCCCAGCTGAAACCTGGATTTTTTAATGTTAAATTTTCCCAATTAAAACAGTACATGTTAACAAAATCAGGTCTGGGGTCTACATTTGACCAACAGACCATCAGTTTGGGATTCTGACATAAGCTAATACTTCATCTGTCTTTCTTATAGTAACCACCCAGCAAAGGAACACACGTACTAAAGAAGGTGTTTTAGAAAAAGCTGGAGGATGGCCAGGTGCGGTGGCTCACACCAGTAATCCCAGCAATTTGGGAGCCCGAGGTGGGTGGATCATCTGAGGTCAGGAGTTCAAGACCAGCCTGGCCGCTTTTACCAAAAAATACAAATATTAGCTGGGTGTGGTGGTAGGCACCTGTAGTCCTAGCTACTCAAGAGGCTGAAGCATGAGAATCGCTTGAGCCTGGGAGAAGGAGATTGCAGTGAGCCAAGATCATCAGGCCACTGCACTCCAGCCTGGGCAACAGAGTGAGACTCTGTCTCAAAAAAAAAAAAAAAAAAAAGAAAGAGCTGGATGAGGCCAGGCGTGGTGGCTCACATCTGTAATCCCAGCACTTTGGGAGGACAAAGCAGGAGGATCATTTGAGGTCAGGAGTTCAAGACCAGCCTGGCCAACATGGTGAAACCCTGTCTCTACTAAAAATACAAAAAATTAGTCAGGCATGGTGGCGTGTGCCTGTAATCCCAGCTCCTCAGGAGGCTGAGGAGAATCACAAGAATCACTTGGGCCTGGGAAGTGGAGGTTGCAGTGAGCCAAGATCACGCCACTGCATTCCAGTTGGGGCGACAGAGGGAGATGATGAGACAAAGAAAAGGGAAGGGAAGGGAAGGGAAGGGAAGGGGAGGAGAAGGGAGGGAAGGGGAGGAGAAGGGAGGGGAGGGGAGGGGAAGGGAAGGGGAGGGAAGGGAAGGGAAGGAAAGGAAAAGAAAAGAAAAAGAGAAAGAAAGAAGGAAAGAAAAGAAAACAAAAGAGCTGGATGAGAAAGTTCTAAAGGTAGAGACTCGTGCCACATGCAAATGGCGACTTAACATCGGGTCAATTAGAGAAGGACTAGGCAATGATGAGTGTTCTGCTAGAGCGGCAAGAAATGCCCGTGGCTCCCTGCTGCAAGCTTCCTCATTTGAATCAGGCCTTGGCAGCCACCACACCCACCAGGGTAAGTCATATGAAGGCCCCATGGGAAATCCCAGAGCCTAGCTAGGCCCAGTGGCCCACAGGCAGGCACTCCAGCAGCTGCACACTAAACTGGTTCTGTAGTCACAATGACAAGCCAGGGCCTGCTCGTCACAGGGTCCTCAGAATCAGGGTTTTCCGGTACCCAGTCCACAACCTTCCCTGGGGCCACAGTTGCAGCTGCTGTTCCCTGTGATATTAGCTCAGCTCACCTGGCCTCTTGGCACGAGGGAAGTTCCCAAGAGCGCAGGGGTGAGGACCTGGTCGAGGGAGCAGTAAGCCCCCTCCTCTGGCACCTCTAGCCAAGCCAGCTTTCTAGGTAGTCATCCAATTCAGCCACACAAAGTGCTGACAGGAGGAACTGTCATCCTGGGGCTGCATAAAGGAAGATAGGCCAGACCCTGGAGGGCAGAGGGCTGCACCTGGCTGGGATGCCCAGACGGGCCCATGGGTGACAGACAGCACCTTATGCCCCAAGCTCAGTTTCTAGCAGTGTTTGCAGAGCCTGTGCTATTTTAGGTTTCTTTGTCATCATTGCAGGCAAACTGGACTGGAGGAGTCTGATTAGAAGAGAAAGAACCGGTTTAACAGAGCTAGGGTGATGGGGGTTGCTTCCCGGAGCTGGCACCATAGCACCAGGCAGAAGAGCGGGTGTCAATGCTTCCGAGGCTCAAGACTGGTTTAAGATTATGGCATTGGGTTTCAGAGCAACTTGTCAGAATAAAGGAGGCAAAGAGGAGGACTTTGAGCTTCAGGAGCCAGAGGCTATAATTTCTGTCTCAGGAATAATGATGACAACAATAATACCCTTATTATAAATGTGCTTTATAATATACAAGATACCTTCATAGACATTATCTCATTTGATCCTTACTGCAGCCCTATGAGGCAAGCAGATATTCTTCATCGCATCTTAAATATAAGGAATCTAAGTCTCACCCAGGTAAGTGACTTGCCCAAGGTCACAGTCTTAAGAAAGTGGCAATGGCAGGGCCTGCATCAATGTAGAAAGGGGTTTGGGGAACCTAGACCTGCATAGCTAGAGGTCTTTGCAGGAAGAAAGGAACTCAGAGAATGAATGGGGAGCCCTGGCCTTCTGCTGATGGCCCCAGGAAATATGGGGCTTCATGGCTCTGTGGCCTGAGAAGTGACCCCATACACAGCCTGCTAGTGGTCTGGGCATGCAGGGCCATCACAGCGGGCCCCCAGGCAGCTTCATCTCCTCTCTTGGCTGGCGGGTGGGAAGGGTTTTTCTGTTCCCCTAATGCCGCCCCCTGAGTCAGCTCTCTGGCATTGCCCTGGCATGTCCTGGGCCCCACGCCCAGGCAGTGAGGAGGTGCTGGCAGATTGCCCAGGGAATGCTGCTGTCTTAACTTAAGCCAAATCCTAATTACGACCCCCTTCCCGGAGGCAACCCAATAATAGCTGCATTGGGGGCTGTAACTTGTAGGCACAGGGTGAGTCTCCCCTGCCCCTTGGGCTTTCTGGCACAGGTGTCACTGGGCACCCACCTTTACCTGACGGCTGCAGCCCTGGAGGGAATGCAGGGAACAAATCCATTTTATAGACTTTGGCTGAGCCAGGCTCCCACCCCAGGGCCCTGCTTGGGTTTCTGGTCACATCCAAATAGCTACGGAGGGAGTTGCTTTTGGACAGAATGGAGGAAAACAGAGCCAAGACTCCAGCCTGAAGCCGCCTCAGCTGTTTCTGGGGCTCTGACTCAGAAGCTGCTTCTCAGGAATGTGGAGCACTGGGGCCTCTGAGACCCTTGTCCAGGCACAGCGGAATGAACAACTGGGTGGAGGGGATGTTTCACTCTTCTCTGTCTTTTCTGAAAACACCCGCACACAGAAACTCACCACTGGGCAGGCTGAGAGCTCCTCCAGGAAGGAAGCCTTCCCGGACTCCCTCAGACCCCAGGGATCTATCCCTGGAAATGGCCACGGGCAGCCACAACTTGCACTTAGAAAAATGCGGCACTGCACGGGAGTCTGTCTCTATCCCTCTGTATCTTATCTCCCCAACTCTGTTGTGACTTCCTTGACCTCATGCTTCTGAGTGAAAAAGAGTGCCCTGAATATCACATTCATTTGACAAACATGTTGACTGACAGATAATCTGAGAAAAAGGAAGAAATAAATAAACAAAAAGAGGCAAAGATAAATCAGTGAGAAAGTAAGCAGGCAGATCACAACCCAAAGTCTGGGGAATCTGCTTCACTTCCCAAGCAAAGCTCCCAGGCCACCTGGAGAAGGAAGAGCAGGAAGGCTGTGTCGAGGTGGCCTGGTACTTCCTTGTCCCCAGCACCCACTCCAGCCCCAGATGCCCTCAGATCTACCAGAAGACACTGGAGATCCTTATACCTCCTGAAAGGAGGGGTTCTGCAGTGATTCTCCAAATGTGGATGATTTTCTTTTCTCTGCTTCTGGCCTTACTTCCTTGCCCTAAAGCAAGTAGGTGTCTCATGGGATAATTCACAGTGAAATGAGACATAGAGAGAACTAACCCTGGAGGAGAAATCATGTCAGCAGTTTATCACACAATGCATTGATTTTAGATTTGTCTGTGTACCTCATTAGATCATAAGAGCTGGGAGAGTAGAGAAGGGAGGTCTTGTTCACCAAACTAGTCCCAGAGTATAGCACCCTGCCTAGTACACAGAAGGTGCTCAGTTGGGTGCCCCATATACATTTGTTGATTTGGCTCATTGAGGGGCACCTGGAACCTGCCAGAACACTCCTGTTATCTAGCTGGCATCAGCAACTTTTATTCTGGAGCTCATTCCATGTCTGAGATCTAGTGATCTACTGGAAGAAACCATAGCTGGAGGCACCAATAATGGACTGTGGGGCCTTGGGTTCTAAGACAGACTTGGTGCTGGAAATGACCCCTGGGGTGGAGTGGGCTGAGTAATCTGGTAGCTCTCCGGCTCTCTAAAACTGGGTCTAAGGCGGCCTCTAGTGGACAAGCAGAATCACTGCCCGTTTGGGGTGGAGACCTAGCCTCCTCACTTCTGTGGCCCGCACCATCTCCAGGTTCTCCATCCTTGGGCCCAGAGTGGAAAGCATTCAAGATGGCACCACCACCAATATAAGCGGCCCATATCAGAACAGGATCCATCCAACGGACAGACCCGTTAAAAAGCACTCACTGTGTATAGCACACAGTGCTTGGCCACAAGATATGAGGAGAAGGAGATATAAGGAGGAGAAGACTAGGGCTCTGCTTTTAAGGGACCTATGATCTAAATGAGAAGTTAAAACCAAAATTTTAAGAAAGCAAACAGCAAGCCCATAATTAGGTGCCAACCATTTCAAGGGGTGAGTTCAGAGAATCAGCGCAATCTCATCTGTAAAATGAGAATACCAAAACTTACCCTTAGGGTTGTTATGATGATTAAAATGAGATAGTAGGGAGAAAATATGGCATTATTGTTGTTGTTGTTCAAGCAATCTATGTTCAACATAAGAAATTTATTATTTGTGGCCGGGCGCAGTGGCTCACGCCTGTAATCCCAGCACTTTGGGAGGCCGAGGTGGGGCGATCAAGAGGTCAGGAGATAGAGACCATTCTGGCTAACACAGTGAAACCCCATCTCTACTAAAAATACAAAAAAATTAGCCGGGCGTGGTGGTGGGCGCCTGCAGTCCCAGCTACTCAGGAGGCTGAGGCAGGAAAATGGCATGAACCCGGGAGGCAGAGCTTGCAGTGAGCCGAGATCACGCCGCTGCACTCCAGCCTGGGCGACAGAGTGAGACTCCGTCTCAAAAAAAAAAAAAAGAAGAAATTTATTATTTGTGTTTGTTTGTTTGTGTTTGTTGTTGTTGTTTTTTGGGACGGAGTCTGGCTCTGTTGCCCAGGCTGGAGTGCATTGTTGCAATCTCGGCTCACTGCAACCTCCGCCTCTCGGGTTCAAGTGATTCTCCTGCCTCAGCCTCCTAAGTAACTGGGATTACAGGCATGCGCTACCATGCCCGGCTAATTTTTGTATTTTTAGTAGAGATGAGGTTTCACCATGTTGGCCAGGATGGTCTCGATCTCTTGGCCTCGTGATCCTTCCACCTTGGCCTCCCAAAGTGCTGGGATTATAGGCGTAAGCCACTGTGCCCAGCTGCTAATTTTCGTATCTTTAGTAGAGATGGGGTTTCACCATGTTGGCAAGGCTGCTCTCAAACTCCTGACCTCAAGTGCTGGGACCTCAAGTGCCTCCCAAAGTGGCTTCCTGAGGGCAGGGACATCACCTCTTTTGTTCACTCCTTTTTTTTTTTGAGACAGAGTATTGCTTTGTCACCCAGGCTGGAGTGCACTGGCGTGATCTCTGCTCACTGCAACCTCCACCTCCTGGGTTCAATCAATTCTCCTGTCTCAGTCAAATAGCTAAGACTGCAGGCGCACGCCACCATACCCGGCTAATTTTTGTATTTTTAATAGAGACGGGGTTTCACCATATTGGTCAGGGTGGTCTCGAACTCCTGACCTCAGGTGATCCACCTGCCTCAGCCTCCTAAAGTGCTGGAATTACAGGCGTGAGCCACCGCGACCAGCCTTGTTCACTACTATATCCCCAGCACTGAGACAATGTCCCATTAATATTTCTTTTTTTTTTTTTAAGACGGAGTTTTGCTCTTCTTGCCCAAGCTGGAATGCAATGGCGCAATCTCGACTCACTGCAACCTCCGCCTCCCGCGTTCAAGCAATTCTCCTGCCTCAGCCTCCTGAGTAACTGGGATTACAGGCATGCACTACCATGCCCGGCTAATTTTGTATTTTTAGTAGACATAGGTTTTCTCCGTGTTGGTCAGGCTGGTCTTGAACTCCCGACCTCAGGTGATCCACCCACCTCGGCCTCTCAAAGTGCTGGGATTACAGGTGTGAGCCACTGCACTTGGCCAATATTTCTTAAAAAGGAAGAAAAAGAGATAGGGAAGGAAGGAAGGGAGGGAAGGAAGGGAAGAAAGGGAAAGAAAGGAAGGAAAGGAAGGAAAGGAGGGAGGGAGGGAGGAAATAAAAAAAAGGTAGAGAAAGAAAGAGAAAAAGAAAGAGGAAAATGAATAAAATGGGTCAGCAAAGTTAGAAGGAGGGCTACTGCAGAAACTCGGGAGGCTGAGGAAGGCCTAGTCCAGGATGGTGGGAGGGAAATAAAAAAGAAGAGATGGATACAAGGACATGTAAAGGGAAAAATATATAGGTGTCAGTTCCTAATGATATACAGGATGATAATGATAACAAGTACCATTTATTTAGCATCAGGCATCGAACCATTCACCTACAAATACTATCATTAAATTATTATAACAACCCTACAGTGAAAGTTACAACATCTTTATTTTACCAATGAGGAACATGAAGCTCAGGGAGCTTAGTTACCTTGCCCAGGTCGCACAAGTATTAATAGTAAGCAGCAGTCCCAGAATTCAAACCCAGCTCTGCCCTCTAAGCGAGATAAGGGATGAGTCAAGATTGACTCCAAGATTCTGAACCTAGGTCATCAGCAACTAGTCACGTCACTGTCAGAGCCAAGGGAACCTGAGAAGAAAACTGGTCAAGGTTGGCAAGGGGTATAGTTACAATGGCTAATATTTATTGAGCCCTGACTATTCCAGGCACTGTTTTGCCCTTCACTTATACTGATAATTTATTCCTCATAAAATCCTATCAATAGATAGGAGGAATAAGTTCAAGAGATCTATCAGGAGATACAGCACAGTGATTGGCTGGGTGCAGTGGCCTGTAATCCCAGCACTTTGGGAGGCTGGGGTGGGTGGATCACTTGAGGTCAGGAGTTTGAGACCAGCCTGGCCAACATGGCAAAACTCTGTCTCCACTAAAATTACAATAAATAAATAAATAAATAAATAAATAAATAAATAAATAAATAAAAATTAGCTGAGTCTGGTGGCACGTACCTGTAATACCAACTTAAGCATGGGAGGCAGAGGTTGCAGTGAGCCAGGATCATGCTGCTGCACCCCAGCCTGGGCGACAGAGCGAGACCTTGTCTCAAAAAAAAATAAGTTAGCATGGTGACTATAGTTAATAACAATGTACTGTATTCTTGAAAATAACTAAGAAAGTCGATTCTAAAGTGTTCTCAATACAAAAAACAGTATGTGAGGTATGCATATGTTAATCAGCTGCATTTAGCCATTCCATAATGTATACATATTTCAAAACAACATGTTGTATATGATAAATATATACATTTTTTTGCCAGTGAAAATAAATTAGATGCTAATTAAAAAAAAAAGTCTATGAAGTGAGTACTACTATTCCTATTTTGCCAGTAAGAAAACTGAGGCGCAGACAAGTCATAAAACACAGGCCAGGCACAGTGGTTCATGCCTGTAATCCCAGCACTTTGGGAGGCCAAGGCGGACAGATCACTGAGGTCAGGAGTTTGAGACCAGCCTGGGCAACATGGTGAAACCCCGTCTCTACAAAAAATACAAAAAGAAAATAGCTGGGTATGGTGGCACACACCTGTAGAACCAGTTACTCAGGAGGCCGAGGTAGGTGGATAGATTGAGCTTGGGAAGTCTAGGCTGCAGTGAGCTGTGATTGCACCACTACACTCCAGCCTGGGCAACAGAACGAGACCATGTCTCAAAAACAAAAAACAAAAGAAATGCTCACAGGCTCCCATGGCTAGTGTGTTCTTAACCACCATGTTATCCAGCTTCTCAATGTGGTTAATTTGGATGGGGATCATGTTGAATTTGGGTGGATAGTGGGACATTCAAGTGGGAATGTCTGGAAGGGGATCATTTGTAGCTCAGGTCTGGGACCTAGCAGCCTCTGGACCTTGCCTGGAGTCCAGAGAGTTGGACATGGGTCTTTCTTTTTTTTTTTTTTTTTTCTTTTGAGATGGAGTCTCGCTCTGTCACCCAGGCTAAAGGGCACTGGCACGATCTTGGCCCACTGCAACCTCCGCCTTCCAGGTTCAAGTGATTCTCCTGTCTCAGCCTCCCAAATAGCTGGGATTACAGGCGAACACCCGCACACCTGGCTAATTTTTGTATTTTTAGTACAGACAGGGTTTCGCCATATTGGCCAGGCTGGTCTCGAACTCCTGACCTCTCAGGTGATCCTCTTGCCTGGGCCTCCCAAAGTGCTGGGATTACAGGCGTGAGCCACCATGCCCGGCCTGACATGGGTCCTTCCTGAGGCAAGTCCCTGCCTGGCCTGTTAGCCCACCCACAGCCAGGCACGATTTCCACATGGCTGGTCCCAGCTTTATGGCCTGTTTCTCCCCTCTTCACCCCCTCCCCTCCATTTCTCCTGACCACCCCATGTCCCAAACACCTGCCAAGCCCTCAGCACCTCAACACTGTGTTTTCCACTGGCATTGCCACCTCAACTCCACCTCTATCCACCAACATCCTTCCTCTCCTTCCTCTCTGTTAAGTCACTTCTGATGGTTCCAACTGATTCCATTACTCCCATTTACATCATACTTTGCTTTTACTTTCCAAGCATTTATTGAGTACCTACTACAGCCGAGGCACTTTAGATCCTGGGGATGCCAGGATGAACATAAACAGGAATAGACCCTACCCTCATTATGCCTGTAGTCATAGAAACACCTGTATACACTTGGGACGAGTGCTTTGAAGAAGTGGCAGGTGGTAGTTTTGGGGCTGTCAAGATACAAATTTGATCTGATCAAGAGGCCAGGGAAAGTTACCCTGAGAAAATGCTGCTTGGGCAGAGACCTGGAGGACAGACAGGCAAAGAGGGAAGGGAAGAGTGAGTCAGGCAGCCACTTGTGCAAAGATCCAGAGGCTGCCTGTGGTATTAATCTTGGGGCTTGTATCCTTGTTTTATTATCATGTTTATCTTCTTGTCCCCAGTGAGTAAAGCTCTTTAAGGCAGGGCCTATTTCTGGCCTGTTGCTGTCCGCTGGAGGGGTTAAGAATAAAGCTTGCCCAGGGCAGGGAGACAGTTGTTTGAATGGACTAAGGGGAAACTGCCTGTTTCTGCAGAGACCCCCAGTGCATCACCCCCAGAGTCCCTGGAGTGCAGACAGGTCATCCTGTGGCCATCTCTACCACCCTTCTTTGTGGTGGCCAGGGGCCAAGGAACAGCATCACTTCTAGCTCCAGACCCAGATTTATGTCTGTCCTTGATGAAGGTGTCTTCTTGCACTGAGCTGGGATTTCAGGTCTCCTTTGTTTGTGAGCATGGAGGTAGCCTGTCCTTGTGGGCTCCCTGCGAGTTACAGAGTTTGGGGCCACAGAAGGAACATCAGGGTGGTTGTACCAGGATGTGGGGTTTATTACGACCTCTGGGCCCTATTCTCCTCCTGCTGCCCCCTGGCCCACTCTGGCCACACCAGTCTTCTTTCCACCCCTCAAATATGCCATGACCTTTTTTTTTTTTTTTTTGAGACAGGGTCTCACTTTGTTGTACAGGCTGGAGTGCAGTGGCATGATCACGGCTTACTGCATCCTCTGCCTCCCAGGCTTAAGTGATCCTCAGGCCTCAGCCTCCCGAGTAGCTGGGACCATGACCATTTTTTATCTCAGGACTTTGTCACTGCCCCTTCCACCAGGAATGCTCTTGTTTGGATCTTCAAACAACTACCTCCTTATCATCATTTCTAAATGTTATTCCTAAATGTCTCCCTTAAAAGTTGCGTTCAGAGAGCCCCCAGGTCTGAGCACCTCGGTTAAAGGCGCCCTCTATGTTCCCTACCCCGTCACTCTCTATCCCCATTACTTGATTTTACTTTCTCTGTAGTAGGACCTAACTCCAGTCCAAAATGACCTCTTTCCAGTTACACTGCCTGCCTACAGGGATGTAAGCTACAAGAGGCAGAGTTTTGCTGGATTCTCCTCTTCTGTTTCCTAAATGACTGTAACAGAGGAGCTACTCAGTAAAATAAATGAATGAATGAATGAATGAACAAATGTCCCCTGTGGGTACATGCCTGGATTCAGGAGGCTGGGACTAGATTGAGATAAATCCACACTGAGTTTAAGATTCCAATCTAGATGGTATTGGTGGTGTCAGCCTATCTGGATTGCTCCCCATACAATTTACTGACCCCCCTATCTCTTTCTATTCACTGCCCTTCAATCATATTCTCGCAGCTCCACCATAAATTGTGTTAGCTATTTGCCCTGGGACATGCTACTTCACCTTTCTAAACTTCAGTTTCCTCCTCTGTAAAACTCCCACACTTGCAGGGTGATGGTGAGGGTTAAATAGAGTAGCTTATTTAGAGTGCTTAGTGCATGTGCCTTGTAAGTAGCAAGCTTTCTCTAGACGTTAGCTACGCTGGTGAGTTTTGTCATCCTCACCACACCTCCCTTTGTCATTTTTTTTTGACGCTCCCCTTCCTGTACCTCCCTGTGCCCCTCACGTTTGCCCACCAGGGGGCCCCACATGCCGCTCTTCCTGCCCAGGTCGTCCACGCTGACGCATGCCGCCCGCCTGTCGTCACATCAGTACCTCCCTTGTGCCTCTGATGACAGCTCTGTCACTGTCTCTGATGACAGATTTGTCCACTGGTTCTGCCTCTTCACTGCAAATATCTCAGCCCCTTGCACCCAATACTTCATTCATTCCATAAATGACAGCACCTACTATGTGCCAGGCTTCAATGGTAGGTGTTGGGGATACAAAGAGAAAGATCAGCAATGCCCTGCCTTCAAGAAGCTCACAGTCTATAGGAGGATGGCAGAGGGGTCAAGAGGCAGAGGGGGCCATGCCCTGGACTTGATGGATGAGAAGGCCAGGATCACATTGCTCTTTGGAACTAACCCGCTGGCTGGAAAATGTAAGGAAGTTCCCCCCTATCAGGCCCTCAGCTCCTCACGTTACATATTTCTACACTTACCTGAATTTCTCAGCTCAGCTCTTCATCCCTAGTGCCTCAAACTCTATTCCAGACACCTCAGTTCCTTACACCAGATGCTGCAGCCCTCGCCCCAAACTCTCATTCCAAAATCTCCTACGTCCCAAACTTTAGGAGCTCAGCCACTCACCTCAAATATCTCAGCCCCTCCTCTAAGAAATACTGCAGTCAGGCCAAGTGCTGTGGCTCATGTCTGTAACCCCAGCACTTAGGGAGGCTGAGGCAGGAGGACTGCTTGAGTTCAGGAGTTCAAGACCAGCCCAGGCAACACAGCAAGACCTCGTCTCTACTAAAAATAAAAAAAGAAATTAGTAGGACATGGTGGCTTGTGCCTGTAGTCCCAGCTACTCAGGAGACTGAGGTGGGAGGATCACTTGAGCCCAGGAGATAGAAGCTGCAGTGAGCTAGGATCATGCCACTGAACAGTCTAGGCGACATGGTGAGACTTTATCTTAAAAAAAAAAAGAAAAGAAAAAAAAAAATGCTGCACTCATTGACATAATCTGTGGTTTCAGTCTTTTTTTTTTTTTTTTTTTCCAGCTTTTAGACTCAGGAAGGATGGGAAAAAGTAGTGATTTGGAGAAGCCCACTGGTAGGCTTTTTCTGATGTACCTTCCAGGGCAAAGAGGGGCATCCTTCACTCCCTCCCAGTGTGAGGATTGCTTATTTAAATACTGTGTTTACAGTGGCTCATGCCTGTAATCACAGCACTTTGAGAGGCCAAAGCAGGAGGACAGCCTGAGGCCAGGAGTTCAAGACCAGCCTGGGCAACATAGCAAGACCCTCATTTCTACCAAAAAAAATTTAATTAAGCTCGGTATAGTGGCATGGACCTATAGTCCCAGCCATTCAGGAGGCTGAGGCAGGAGAATGGCTTGAGCCCAGGAGTTAGAGGCTGCAGTAAGTTAGGATCACACCACTGCACCACAGCCTGGGTGACAGAGTGAGACACTGTCTCAAAACAAAACAAATGTTGTATTTGCTTTCTCACTCTTTCCTATCTCCATGATCACATCTTCTCTCCAGTTTTAAATGCCGCACCATTAATAATTCTCTCAGAGTTCCTTGGAGAGAGGTCATGATCTCATCACTCCTAATTCTCCAAAACTAATCATAGAATCTCAGAGTTGGAAAGGACCCAGAAGTCCAATGGGTTCCAAACTTCTTTTTAGTCAGGGACTCTTAACTGCAACCAAATCTTATGTGGAACGTCAATATATATATGTTGACTAGCTGTTGCGGCCTGGCCTCGTAACCCCATGGATTCTGCTTAGAATATGGATTGAAAACCCCTCATGGACGTGAGACTTTGCAGGCTTCAAAGAGAAAGATGGTCCCACCCAGTGGGGTGCCTCTGGTGCTTATCAGGGTACTGATATCTTTGTCATTCCCTGTTCTCTGAGCTCTGAGCACAGCCTGAGTGCTGGTGCTGCCCAGGGGACTGGCTGCAACCAGAGCAACCCAGCCCAAAGACCCCAGGAGGTTGCCATAGACACTGAAGTGGAGGGAGCTGGTGAGCTTGTTATTATTTGTGTGTATCTTCCCTCTAATTGCTGTAGGGTAGCTGGAGGTTGTGTGGGCGCTACAGCAGTGGGGATAGAGGAGGGTGTATGTGCGAGGGTGTGTGTTTGTGTGTGCACACAGAAGTGTCTATAGGCTCCAAACCACCACCGTGGATGCGTCAGAGGCTGCGCTGTTGAGAGAAGTAGTGAGGGAGGAAGGGAAAAGTGAAGTAGAGATACAAAGGAAAAAGGAGGCTGGACAAGGTGGCTCATGCCTGTAATCCTAGCACTTTTGGAGGCCAAGACAGGATGATTGCTTGAGTCTACGAGTTTGAGACCAGCCTGGTCAAAATTGTGAGACCTCATCTCTATAAAAAAATGTAAAACTAGCTGAGTGTGGTGGCACATGCCTGTAGTCCTAGCTACTTGGGAGGGTGAAGCTGCAGTGAGCCGTGACAGCACCACTGTACTCCAGCCTGGGGGACAGAGCGAGACCCTGTCTGAGGGGTTAAAAAAAAAAGACGATGGATTGAGTTTTCTTCTAATTGTGTGAATTCTAATTTTCTACTTTATTTGAATGTTTCAAAAAGTAAAAGGCAGTGACAAACCTATGGTAGGGAGTCATATTTGTTGAAAGGCAGCTAGCTCCACTTATATAGTACTATGAGTCACCCCTGAGGCTTCACTCCAATATTTTTCTCATCACTCTTCCTTTTACCTAGAGACACAATGCAAAATGCTTTACGTGGTTACCCCAAAACACCTAGTGTTGAACCCTCCCCTCAGTCGGGATGATGTTCCTCTCACAGCAGGCACATGAGACTGGTCAGGGTTGTAGTCCTGTTTTACATTTGCCCCAGGATACTCCTAGGGGACTCCATGGCAGCCCTCCTCTGTGCTTGTTCTGACCTCTCAGGGTCTCCTCCACTCCACCTTCCATTCATGAATAGAAAGTTTCAAGTATCAGCCTGGAGGTCAGGAAGCAAGTTGCCTTGAGCACTTAGGAAGGGCACATTGATGATCAACTGATATTCAAAGTTGCTTCTGCTTTGGAGATGGATGACAGAAACTCAACACTTACTGGCATCCCCATGTATGCAATCTCATTGCCCTACCCCACACTGGGACTTGGGACCTGGCTCTCACCCAGGTGCTTTGAGATAGGAAGTGGCCTTACTCTCCACTTTACCTCCTGTTGCCCTGGGGAGGGGTAGGGCATGGTGCTCTGGCACTGCTACCCTTTCCCTTGGCCCTCTCTACCCTTCTCCCAAGAGAACTGCTAATGCTTTTCCTTTAGGGCTTCATGCCCTCCCATTCCCTAATCACCCCTACTGGGCAGTCTGGTTCCCAAAGCAGCTCTCAGGGCTGTTGGGTCAGGACAGGAGGGGAGCACTCCTGGAGAGCTCTGCCCCACCCACCCCTCAGGGAGGCAGCTTGGGAGGCTGGGACACCTCTCAGCCCCCTCCTCTGGCAGAGCGAGCCTGCTGGCGAGGGAGACCCGACTCCCAGTGGGCGTCCTGCTGTAATCAAGACTGAGTGGCAGCCTCTGGCTGAGCTCCACCCTGCCCAGTTGGGGCTGGCCTCAGCCTCAGGGGACAGCTGCCCAGGCAGGTCAGGAACCTGCCCAGCCTGTTTGTCCCCCATCAAGACAGTTATGTGCCTCTGTCCCACCAACTTGTGATGGTGGGGACAGGAGAAGGGATGGTATCTCCCTCTGCCATCCCACAAATATTTACTGAGGGTCAGGGGCTGAGTGTACAATGGTGAACAAAAGGTGCAGAGGCCCCGCTTTATTGGAGCCTACAATTCAGCGGGAAGCTAGTTTTTGTATTTTTAGTAGAGACAGGATTTCACCATGTTGGCCAGGCTGGTCTCGAACTCCTGACCTCATGATCCACCCGCCTCAGCCTCCCAAAGTGCTGGGATTACAGGTATGAGCCACCACGCCCGGCCCAGCAAATGTAGTTCTAATTAGGCACCAAGTACTATTCTAAGTGCCTTAGACCATTTAATGCTGACAGGCCTATGAGGTAGGTAATATTATTGTTCCCAGCCGGGCGAGGTGGCTCATGAAGCCACCTCTGTACTACATACATACTTCATTACTTCATGTATGTACTACATACATACTTCATTACTACAACATAATGAAGCCCCGTCTGTACTAAAAATACAAAAAAATTAGCCGAGCGTGGTGGCGCGCGCCCATAATCCCAGCTACTCGGGAGGCTGAGGCAGGAGAATCGCTTGAACCCAGGAGGTGGAGGCTGCAGTGAGCCAAGATCGCACCACTGCACTCCAGCCCGGGCAACAGCGCAAGACTCCGTCTCAAAAAAAAGATTCAGTGACTTACCCCAGGTCACAGAGCTGATCAGTGAGTTGCCTAGAAATCCAATCCAGGCAGTTTGATGCAAGTTCACGCTTAGACAGCTATGAGATAGCTCTACTGCCCCTTATACCAGTCAATGCATCACTACAAAATGTGGTAGGTGCCAGAAAATAAAAGTACGAGGGTGCCTTGCAAGAAAATGGGGATTTCCCCTTTCTTCCACTTTCTCTTCTAGCCCCCACTGCACAAAGCCTTTTCAAGTCTTCCTACTTCACCCCTTTCATTTCTGGCCGGATAGAGAATACTCTTTCATCTCTGCAGTTATGGTGCAGGAAGGCAGAGTCCTACCTGTATCCTTGCCCCTGGCCTGGTCTCCCTGATCAACCCGCGCCTGAAGGGTTTCTTTCTAATAATGGCCCTGGTGCTTGCGCAAGTCTAGACTGTCAGCTCCCAGAGGGAAGGCGGCTGGCAGCTGGCTCTGCGCAGGCTGGGGGCGCCTCCCGGGCGTGCAGCCTGGCACAGGCTCCTTGACCTTGGCTCTCTCCCCACGTGCTAGGAGCCCGGTTGGGGGCTCGGGACCCGCGTGTAGGACCCGTCCAGAGAGGTCAGTGGTCCAGACTCCTACACTCCTAACACATGCACCCTCGCATGCACGTTCCCGAGCCCGCGCGGGGTCCGCCCCGGGACAAGCCCATAAGTCGCGAACCTTCCAGCTCCGTCTGCCCAGACAGGTGGCCCGGAGCGGGGACCCCCTCCCCTCGGCTGCCCCGCGCGCCTGGCCCAGCGAGGGCGGCTCCGGGGCGGGGCGGGGCCGGCGGCGGGAGGCCCCTCCCCGGGGGCGGGCCGGGGGCCGGGCGGGGGGGGGGACTGGCGGGGCCTGGGGGCGGGGCGGGGCGGGCGGCGCGGGGGTGTCCCTCCCTCCCTCGCTCTCCCCGGTAAAGTCTCGCGGTGCTGCCGGGCTCAGCCCCGTCTCCTCCTCTTGCTCCCTCGGCCGGGCGGCGGTGACTGTGCACCGACGTCGGCGCGGGCTGCACCGCCGCGTCCGCCCGCCCGCCAGCATGGCCACCACCGCCACCTGCACCCGTTTCACCGACGACTACCAGCTCTTCGAGGAGCTTGGCAAGTACGGCCCGCCCGCCGCGGTCCCCTGCCTGCCCTGCCGCCCGGGAGCTATGCGGCTTCTCGCCCCGCCCCCCGGCCCTGCACCGGCCGCTGCGGCTCCCCCTCGGCCGCCCCACCCCCGCCTTTCCCGCCCGCCGCCTTCGGTCCCCGCGCCCCCCGCGCACTGCCCCGCATCCCCCTCCGCGCCCTGCAGCAACTGGCGGGGCCGCTGCTCCCCACGCGCCGCCGCGGACACCGCAGACCCCGGACCGCTCCCGGGTGCCCTCCAGCCCCGCCCCTCCGCACCCTTCAGGCGCCCCCCTCCCGACCACCTCCCAACGCTGCCCGGTTGCTCACTCCGCACCCTGAACCCAGGTCCCACGCGCCTCGCACTCAGGACCCTCCCCAGCCCTGCAGCCCTAGCTCTGCTGCGGAGCCCGGGCGTGGGGGGGCTGTTTGGCGCCCGGCCCCGCCCCCCGCGGGTGCCGCTCCAGGCTCCCAGCCCCGCGGCTGGGCAGTGCTGCGGCACCCCCGTCCCCTCCCCCCACCCCTGCAGTGGTCCCGGGAGCCGCGCCGCAGCCTCAGCATCCCCCTCCCCTCCGCACTGAGCTGGCCGCTGCAGCAGCCCCGGCCCCCCACCCCCACCCGCGGCGCCGAGCCCGGCCACTGCAGCCCCCGCCCCGCCCGCCCCCCCAGACGTTTCCAGAGCTCAGAGTGCGAGCTCCCGTTTGACGGGGACGTCAAGGAAAATAGCATGGGAAGGGGAGTTCTTGATGTCTGACTGTGTCCTCTCTTCCCTTGCTGTCAGTTGAGCCGGGATGCAGTGAGATGAAACCGGCTGTGGGGGGGTTTGAGCCTCACTTTGCCCCATGGTTGAGGGAGATTTCTCTTTCAGGGGATGATACCCTCTTTTTAATCTTTCCTTCCCCGACCTTCAACTGTTCCTGCTGAGAGAAGGGCAGGGTCTCTCTGCTCCCTTCTGCCCTGGTTCTCTTGGCCGGGACCGCAGGGCTGTCTGAGATGCAGCAGGTGTGTGTTTTCAGCATCGCCCACCCGCTCCTGATGTGCAGCCTGAGGTGGAGGCTGTTGCCTTGCCCAGGGACTGGATGAGGGGGTGGGAGCGCGGCACGCCACCCACATCTGTTCAGTGTCCTGCGGTGGCCGCGTCCTTTTGCCTCATGTTGGATGGTGGTGGTCACAGCGCCGGTGTGTGTGCATGTACGTGAGTGTGACTAGAGGTCTGGTGGTGGGAGCATCATCGTCCCCAGACTTGAAGTGTGTCTGTGTCACTCTGCCCTGCTCCGTGTCCCAGTTCTTTTCCCCTTCTCCCTCCAGGGGTGCTTTCTCTGTGGTCCGCAGGTGTGTGAAGAAAACCTCCACGCAGGAGTACGCAGCAAAAATCATCAATACCAAGAAGTTGTCTGCCCGGGGTGAGTGTTCCCTGTCTTGACCTCTTCCTGAGGGTGCCTCCAGGGGCCATGGTTTCTTTTGAGGAAGCCCCAGGAATTGGGGGTTGTGCGTTTTAGCACTTGGAGAGGAGTTGGAATTTCAGACTGGTTGGACTTTGTGTCAGGCTGAAGCCAGAAAAGGAGTTGCATGGGGGACTGGAAGCGCCCAGGTACAAAAGAATGAAGGAAGAGATGCAAGTAGCTGCAGTGGCCCCCAAAGGCTCAAGGGAGTTCGGTCTTCAGGGAGGTGGAGGATATGGGGGTAGTGGGTGGTACAGAATGGGGAGCTCTTAATTTGGGGCATTTGGAGCCTCTCCCTTTGGGGCAGTGGTGGCTACTGCAGGCCTTTCCTGGTCCCTGTGCCCCAGTGGTGACTTAGGATGGAAATGCAGTAAGTGAGCAGCTCTGACAAAGCCAGCCTCCCCTGCCCACCAGGCGGCAGAACAGACTCCCAAGGGAAGGGAATCTGTAAACATCAGGGGAGGCTGCTACTGGCGAGGGCTTCTCAGGAACAAATTCTGCCAGATGAACTTGATTGCTTTTTTGATCAAATTACAAAGTTGGTGGTGCAGCAGCAGATGTAGTCTGTCCTGGGTGGAGGGTGATGCCTCATGGTCTAGAAATCCCAAAGGCCCGGTTTGGGCAGGAACTGCACTGCCTCCGAGTCTGAGGAGCATAAAGGCCAAGGCCTTGGGGCCTCACTTGCGAGATCCTCCCAAGTACCTGAGGCTTGGAGGGTCAGGGCCTGTCTTTCACACCTTGAACCTACACTCTCTGAACTTCCTATTGGGTACTTGCCAAACTCACCTCATCTGATAGGTGTAGACCCAGCAATGTGTGAAGTGCTCTGGGAACAGGTCTGGTGAGTACAGAGGTCAGATCTCGGAGGGCTGCAGGGTGCAGCTGGGGGACAAAGGTTGTGAAACTCAGAGAAAGGAATTAGGGCTGGGCAGTAGGATGCCATAAATATATTAGGAGCCAGGACACATGCCCTGGGGAAGACATGGGCTTTGGCCAATAATGACACGGGTTTCTCTGGGATAAGAGACATAATAGATGTCCCAAATGCTTAGAGAAGCTCTACAATTCCACGGGCTTCTGTCGTGTTGGCAGTTGTTCTGGGACCTGTTTAGCAGGGCCGTGTCCACTCCCTGACTGGGGACTCTCTCTCCATCCCTCTAGTAGGGCACTAATTGCTGACTCCCATCCAGCTCCATCTCTTGCTGTTCGTGTACATTGCCTATAAAGTTGGACTTGTTTGTTTTCTTTCTCTCTGGGTACCTTGAGTCTGAGGATGGTTGCCATAGAGATATGTGGGCAGTCAGATACCCTGGAGTGGGGGTGGGGGGGACAACAGGGGCTGGGCTCTCTGGCAGACATCCTCTGGCCAAGGATGGAAGGTGCAGGCAGGAACAATGGCTTGAGGCTGGATACCTCTCTTGCCCACACAGCAGAGCCCTGGTGCATCAGAAACAGGGCTGGCATCTGGTGTCTCCAGTTGATGATGCAATGCTTTGCTCTCTTCATCTCACCAGTGTCCTCTGACCCATGGGTAAGAGAAGGAGAGATGGCTGGGAGCCGAATTCTGGGATGTGAGGATAGGTGATGTGGTGACTTCCTGCAGCTGCCTGACTGGGGCTTTCATTTCCTACTCCTTCCCTACCTGCGTAAATTTCCATGACCTGTGTGATAGCCTCCCTTTCCCTTCCTCACCTCCTTTTAACCTTGTCCCATCTTTCCCAATGGATATCTTTCCCTGGCCAAACTGGATGAGACTTGATTTCTCGTTGATTTTTTTTTTTTTCCCCTCAAGAAGAGGATTCTTGTGTAAAAGTATATGCTTCAGACAGCAACTCCCCCTCTCCCAAGATGGATATGCCAAGACTGGGCTCTGTTGTGTGGCCTCATGTGCCAGGTTGACTTTGGGACAGAGGCACAGATGATAGGCACAGATGCCAGCCAGAGGGGTCAGAATGTGTAAGTGCCAGCCAGTACTGTGTGGAGGTGGGAAAGTGGAAAGGGGCTGTCTTGGAGATGGAGGGAACAAGGTGGGGCTGGACTATAGGTGTGGGCATGGGAGATGTGAACTCCTGGAGAGATCTGGGCCAGGGTAGCCATGGGCTGGTTCCCATGGGGTTAGGGAGTGAGGGCCATGGCTTCCCTGCAGACTCTCAGTTTACACTATATATTTTATAAAGGTGCAGCCACTGGAGCTGGGTTTCACTCATCGCTGTCTGCCTAGGTCTCCGCAGGTGTTGGATTTCTGTGTCTGGGAATGTCGTGGGCCCACCAGGGTCATCTGTGAAGGTCTGAAGGGGCTTGCTGTGTTCACTGGGTCTTCCTGCCTCCTGTCTTTCTTGTTTGTGATTCTCTGGGCTACAAACTGAAAAGATAAAAAGAGGGTATAGAGCTGTTTCTCCTTGGCATCCCTGGTGAGGTGGCTAGGAGTCAGGGAGAGGGATCACCTGTTCTTCTGGGGGGGTCCAATCGAGACAGGAAGCCTTCTTTTGGGCTGTTGTGTCTTGTCACTGTGGCCTCAGAGGCCCACATTGGCGGCTAGGTTGCAAGGTGGGGAGTTCATGCGGATATGCGTTGAGCACTGTCTTTGTCTGCGGGCCTGTCTACATAAAGTCACTGAAAGTCACATAACGTCACTCCGTTTGCTTCAGAACCGTGATAGGAGTGGAGCTGGGCTCTTAAGGGAGCCCATGGTTCCAAGCTTAGCTCCACTAGGCCGAAGGAGGCATTTAAAATAGGCTTGGATGCAGGAGCTAGTGGGCCAGGTGATGGCAATGATAAGTCGTTATTTTAAGATTTAAGAGCACCCCCCTCAAGGAGCCTGAGCCCTTATGTCTTTTTTTATTTTTAAATCTTCATATTCCCTTCTTATCTTTATTCATATGCATACAGATTTTCACCTCGTGGAGCATAACATTTTATATCCTGCTCTCTTTGCTTATATCCAAAGCATTTCCCCCATATTACTACAGTTGAAGGGCAAATGGTCCTTTCTTCTACGTCGTTTAGGATTTATCCCTAAAACAATCAGCATCACAAGAAACTTCTGTATATGTACCATTTATCTGGATTCCAGTTGCTTTTACCAAGATAGATACTGGGGTAATGCCCTTGGCCTTACTAAGAGATGCTACCGGAAACAGTGTTTTGAAATCTGTTATAATACTTTAACATATTTATTTAATCTGTACATTCCGTGTGAAGAAATTTCTTTTGAAGCTAAATGTAAGCAAAAGCTTTCCTCTTTGTGAGGACCTGAGAGGTGAGGGAAGGGTCCTTATGTGTTTCTATACTTCTGCATGGGCAGGCCCTAGCGAAGTGCCTGACGTATGCCAGCCACATACACATTAAATGAATGGGTCAAGAGGACTATGTAACCAATCATGGTTGCCTTTTGGCTTTGGCTCCTAGGAAACTCAGAGTCAAGTTGCCAGAGCCCTTGTACCCTGCTACAGACTTGGGTCCTCCCTTTCTGATCCAGGGAGCCAAGCTGCAGACCTGATACGGCTGCTGGAAGAGAGGACAGATGAGGATAAAGACCTGTGCTTGGGGCATAAGGCAGAGTGGGAGATGTAGGCAGACATTTAGCTGATGATTCCTCCTTCCCTGTCACTAAATGGCACTATAGGGCCACTGTTGGGATCTCTTCCAGGTAGTGATTTTCAATTTTAGTGTGCGTAAGGATCACCCTGAGTACTAGTTTAAAAAATACAGACTTCTGGGCTTTAGCCACAGAGATTCTGCTTTAGGAGGTCTAGGGTGGAGCTGCAGAATCTGCATTTTTAACACATGCTCCAGTGAATTTCATGCAGGTGAGGCATGAGCCACTCTTTAAGAGATGCCACCTAAAATCTGCAACAACAGTTGCTCTTGCCATGCCCTCTGGAATTCAACAGACACACCTTGGCCCATCCTTCTCCAGATTGTGTGTCTGCCACTATGTGGCCATCTGTGCACATGGGCTGTTCTGTGATTAGGGGCCTCGTTCTGGGCCTCGGGATTGGGGTGTCTGTGTCTGAGGCTGCGGCAAGCTGGGTGGCTCGGGTTGTGGCATGTTGGCCACCAGAAGGGTAAAGGCTGTCCCTTTCTGGGTCCAGCTGGCCCTGGGGACTGAAATGGGATCCCCTGGATGGTGCCAGCTGAGAGTCCCCGCCCCCTTAGTGTTGGCCTGAGTAGCCCCCATGACATTTGTGTCCCCTGTGGTATCTCCAAGTGAGACTTTCCTGTTAAGGATCTGGGTGAAGTGAGGGAAAGAGAAGGGAGGGGGAAGCAGTAATGCAGGGAGTGGGAGAAGGAAGAGAAATCCACACAGCACTGGAACACAGGCCTCGAGGAAGCATTTAAGGAGGCTGTGTGCGAAACCATGCTTTCCTCCTGAGGATAAAACAGGCCAATTTCTGTAAACAGAGAAATGGGCATCCTGCATATCAGTGATGGAGCGCCTCTACTTTCTCTCCTGAAGGGATGGAAGCCGACTGCAGGTCCCTCTGTGCAAAGGCTTCTGCCAGGCGGCTTTTGTCACGCGGTCACGTTGAGCTGTGGGCCTTAGCACACACAACACTGGCCTGTCCCCCTCCCCTCCCACCTGTCTTCCTAGAGTGACTTGGGGTGCTGCATCATGGTGTGGGGATGGAGGTGGGAAGGTTGCCCTGTCCTGTCAGGGAGGCCCCTGCCTTCTTCCTGCTGCTTCCTCTGGTCCCTTGTCACCATACCCTTGTTCGAAGCTGTGCTGAAACCCTAGAGGTGAGTGGCTGACCCCATTCTCTGCTGAGACTGGAGATAGGGAAGGGGAGGCTGGGTGTGACCATTCCTGCTCCCATCTGTATGCTTGCTGCTCTCTGAACAGCTTTGGCAGACCAACAAGGGCCTGATCCCATGGGTGCCAAAAGGGTGGTGACAGGAGGAGATGGGCACTTTGCACCTCTTGAATGCCTCTCTGCAGAGCCCCTTTGTCACCTACCCATGGCCAGACAGATCTGCCGCAGGACCGCTGGGGAAATCAAAGCACAAAAGCTTTGTCTGGGGTCTTTTTTTTCTTTTTTGGTTTTGTGCTGCAGGTGCCCATGACTTTGCCAGGGCTCAGACCCAGCGTCCTCAGGCCGTGTGGCCTCCACCCACTCCTTGGCGCCTTTCTTTAAAACACAGGTTCTGGATACTTTGTTCCTGTGATGAATCTTGGCATATCACCTCACACCTCTCCATCTAGGCCCCAAGCTCCAAGCCTGGTGGAGCAAATCCCTCCTCGTTGCTGGCTGAGGCCCCATTCCCGTCTGTACCCACCTCTCTGGGCTGTGCGGTGGGGAGATTTCCAGCCACTCCTCCCCAACACCATCTCCGCTTCCTGGGCCCTATCAGCAGCAGCCGCAGCTTCCCATCTGCTCCCCTCTTTTCTCCTCCCTTTCTTTCCCTTCCCCCCTGCTTGCTGCTGCCCTGGGAGGAGCTATTTTTAGGGGCTGCTTCCTGGGATGTTTTACTTGGGGCTGGTTACCATGAAGGAAATGTCACCAAAACAGTGGGCAAAGGCTGCAGGCACCGGGAGCCCTGCCGGGGGGCATGGAGAACAGACGGCTGACCCTTTTCTGGCCCTTGAGAGCAGCCAGAGTGCCCCCAGGCAGAGCCTTGCCTTCTTGGGGCTTGCTAGTGACCCCTTGGGGATTTTCTCTGTCAAAGCTGATTGAGGGCCTTTTCGCTATAGGGCATTTCTTGGAGCCTCTCGCTTCCCTTGCCTTGAGATCCAGAGGCCAAAGTGGGGCTCAGGTCTTTGTGTCACCAAGTTAAAACTGCTTGAGTGAGGGTTGAAGATAAGGGGAGGATGCTGGGTACATGCACAGAGCCTTGGGGGTTCACATGGGACCATTTCAGGCCCCGTCCCTCTGTATCACAGCCCCCAGCTAGTCACCAGGTGTACATGTGTGAGGGCATTAGAAACCATGGTCCTGCTCTTGTGTGTCGGATGGACTTTGCTTTTAATTGGAGACTCTTTGCATCTTTAGAGTGAGATTCAAAGAGGAAGGGATGTGGCATCACAGTGTCAGGGTGAGGTCGGTGGGATCGTGGCTTGGGATTCCCACTGGTCAGTGTCCCAGGCCCAGGGCTGTGCATAAGCAGCTGGGGAAGGTGGATTATGACATCAAATCCCTGCGATGTCCTTGTTTCTGCTCCTCAGAGTGCCAAGGGGACCAGACGGCGGCCTCTGCTGCTTGGGAAGAAGATGAAAGGCACTCAGGAGGGCAGCAAGTGAGGCCGCCTCCCATGGAGCCCTGAAATCAGTGGGGTTGCAGGAAGTTTCTCACATCCATGTTTAGGGTCATAGGCACAGACCTGCAAAATACCCTTTACAAAGTTAAGAATGTCTTTGAGATTGGAACTTGGGAGAGTCCTCAGTCAGAGTAGGAATGTGCATCCTTTCCCACGTACAGAGGATTGTATGTTTACGTGGCAGCAGGATCTTATTTGAAGCTAGTGCTGGCATTTGTGTTTTTTTTTTAGGAAAATGTCACTAAGTCAAGCAGGCCCATCCCTGAGAGGGCCATGGAGAATCTGTGGCCAGCCCTCCCTGGCCCCCTGACCTGGCAGAGGAAGGAAAGGGCATTGGAGTAGGCTTCTGTCTTCAGGCCAGAGGGGGAGGTGGTTCAGGGGCAGGCTTGGTGCACCCCTTGGCTGCAAGCTATCACCTCCCTATCTGCTTCCTCTTTTCTGCCTCCCCTGGTGCATCTGGTCACTTCTTGCTGCCCTTCCTGTGAAATCGTGGCACCTTGGACCAAGTCCTGAAGCACTTGGGCAGAAGGCGGGAGAGGTTGGGTTTCTAGGATCCTTGTTTCCCAGGGCCTGGCTCTGGCCTGGGCTCAGACCACTCTGGTCTAGGCAGGCTGCTGGGGAAAGGCTGGAGCTGCTTCTGCTTTCTGCTCCTGTTGCCACCTCTGCTAATGATGGGGAAAACCTGCAGAGGGCTGTGGTTGGAGCTGGGCTGAAGGCCGGCAGGGGTGGGTCTCTCCATGGCAGTAGCACACAGGCAGGCAGGAAGTGGCCCTGTGCAAAAGCGGGAAGTGGCAGTTGTCAAACAGGAAGGGGGGGGCTGGGCTGTGGGAGGGGCGGGGATGAGCCTGGTAGAAAGGTGCGTGGAGGAGGGTCCACCTTGGAAGGTCTGAGCCTCTCCCTAGTGGTTACTGGAAGGAGGGGTGTCTCAAGGGGAGACACCTTTGCAGCACCTTGAGATGCCGAGCCAGGGCCCTCCCACTGTGGACCAAGCCCATTCAGTGGCCTCGCCCTTTTTGGGGTTGGAGATGCTGCGTCCAGCTGGGATGCCCTTGCTTTTGGGAAAGATGCTCTAGAAACCACTACTCCATCCTGGAACCCCTCTGCTGCCACTGCTGCTGGGATGGACCCTCTGCTTTTTTGCAGCCGTGGGCCAGCCCTGGATGTGACTACAGGACAGGAAGTGTCAGGGGAAGAGACAGGAGACAACAGCTGGAGAGGCTGGGTGGTGGCCGGGCAGTATGTGGCAGCAGGAACGGGGAGAGCGGGGCAGGTAGAAACTGCTCTGTTCATTGAGGAGAGCTTGTGGATGGCAGGGTGCCACGGCTGCGAGGAAGAGGAGGGAAGCGGACAGTGGCACTTCCTGCGGCGTTCCCCTCTCTCTGAGGAGCCCCTGTTGCTGCCCATCACCTGCAGACTGTAGACACAGGTGGGCCCCGCCAAAACAGGGAGGGACACTCCACCTCCAGGACTGCAATGGAGGACCATGTGGGGAGCCCAGAAGCCAGGCAGGAGGGCTTAGTTGCTGTGTTGCAGACCCTGCATCTGCCTGGGCTGAGGGGACAGTGGGTCCCATTCACAGTGTCTCTGGTGATAGCTGTGGCCACAAGCCCAGCCCAGGAGACCCTGTCAAGCTTCTCACTGGGCCCTTGGAAAGGAGCTATATGCCAGACCTTATGCAAAACTCTTGACCTGTACCACCTCAGTTAAACCTCAGATCTTGCTGTCTCTATTTTAGAAGTGAGGAACCTCTTGGCCGGGTGCCGTGGCTCACGCCTGTAATCCCAGCACTTTGGGAGGCCGAGGCAGGCGGATCATAAGGTCAGGAGATCGAGACCATCCTGGCTAACACAGTGAAACCCCGTCTCTACTGAAAAATACAAAAAAATTAGCCGGGCATGGTGATGGGCGCCTGCAGTCCCAGCTACTCGGGAGGCTGAGGCAGGAGAAGGGCGTGAACCTGGGAGGCGGAGCTTGCAGTGAGCCGAGATCATGCCACTGCACTCCAGCCTGGGCAACAGAGTAAGACTCCATCTCAAAAAAAAGCAAAAAAAACAAACAAAAGAAGTGAGGAACCTCTTTCCCAAGATAATGTGCCTGGCTCACTGTCTCACCTACTTTGGGTCCTAATCAAATGTCACCTCCTTACTGAGGCTTTCTTGGACTGCCCTACTCAAATCTGCACTCCCCACTTTCTCTGCTTTTTCTACGCAGCACTTGCCGTGACATCTAACGTGCTGTTGAGTTTTCTTACTGTCCATCCCTCCCCCATACACAACCCACTAGAGTGTCAGCTCCATGAGGGCAGGGATTTTTGTCTGTTTTGTTCGCCACTGTCTTCCTAGCATCTTGAATACTGTCTGTCACATAGTAGGCCTCAGTAAATATTTCTTTTTTTTTTTTGACTTGCTCTGTCACCCCAAGCTGGAGTGTAGTGGCCCAATCTTGGCTCACTGCAGCCTCCACCTCCTGGGTTCTAGTGAGCACATTTGGCTAAATTTTGTATTTTTAGTAGAGATGGGGTTTTGCCATGTTGGCCAGGCTGGTCTTGAACTCCTGACCTCAAGTGATCCACCCACCTTGGCCTCCCAAAGTACTGGACTGGGATTACAGGCGTGACCCACCGCGCCCAGCCACGATAAATATTTCTTGAAGGAATGAATGAAGCTCGGGTGGGTTTAATAGCTTGCTGGATGTGGCAGTGTTGGGCTCAATCCAGGGCTGTCTGACTTCAAAACCGATGTGTTGTTAATTGCCATACTCCACAGCTTAGAATCAGAATGAGGATCAAGGTATAGTCCTGGGGTTCAGAGAAGACCTGGGCCTTGCCGGGAACACAGGGCTCAGCTCCTTGGAGTTAAGGCTGAACTAAGAGGCTAACAAGGACCCTCTGGATGCTGGGCAGCTCCTTTGAGGAGCTGGGAGCCTGAGTCTGTGTATCTTCTCTCCACTCAAAGTCACTGGTAAAGCAGAGTGCCCTTATTTTTAGTGCTGTTGCTGTTGTGGGACTGTAACCATTAGCTAGTAAGAGACTTAAGGAAGGAGATAAACATTAATCTTCTGGGCCTTCCCTCAGCTGCCACCTCCGCATTGCAAGATGCTGTTCTCCTGCACCTGCCCAGGCAACCAAGCCTGAGAGTTATGGGCTGGAGGGTGGTGAGGTTTGTGCCCAGAGAGAGGGCCGTGGGTCTGTAGCTTTGGGGCTGGCTGGCTTGGTACCTCCATCTCAAGTCCAGGGATGGAAGGAAGGTGGGGTCATGTCAACATCCTGCCAGATCTGGAAGAAGCAAGCCCCCCAGCCACCAGGCAAGGCTGTTACAGCCTCCTTGAGTGCCTCGCTTCTGGAGGTCACTGGCCACATCCCTGTGCCTGGGACCAAGGGATGCCAGGTGATCTGGGAGTTGGGAGTTACTTGGGGTTCTCCTGGCTGCATCCTGGTCGGTGGTCATGCTGAACCCAGGCACAGGAAGGAAGGCCTGACCCAGATCTTTGGGCAGCTGGGACGGATTAGCTGGGCAGCAGGAACTAATCTCTGTCTGTCCCCACCTCCTTCCACAAAGTAGAGCTGTTGCTAGAGGGAAAGTTTAGGACAAAGCTGGGTTTGGTTAGTGAAACAATAAATGTGAATTTCTTCTAGTCCATAATCCCTACATTATCTCACACTGACAGTCCTGAGTTTGAATCCCCCTTTTATCCCTTTCCTGCTGTGGGATCTTGGGCAAGTTACTTAACTTCCCTGGGCCTCCGTTTCTTCCATCATCTGGAAATGTGGACAATCATAGCATTTACCTAATGGGATCATTGTGAGGGCTGTGGGAAGATTTACAGAAGCTTTTTGCTGTTTAGGGTAGAGGCAGGGAGACAGGAATAGCTTGGCAGCTATGGATGTGAAGGCCCCTGCCCGGGCCTGGATAATTCAGGGTGAACTGGACTCTCTTCCTTTTGCACCCCCTCCAAAGCCTAGAGTCTTAACTCAACTCTCACCATTCTTTATCTGGCCATAATAGCACAGGGGTGGAGAAAGAGGGCTCTAGGCTCAGACCACCTGCATCACTGCCTGTTCGTGTTACCTTAGGCAGATTACTCTATCTTTTTAAACCTGTTTCCTCGGTAATATAATAGAGCTAATCAGATCCCTACTTCACAGAGTTTCTGTAGGTATGAAATATGGTAATCCATGCCTCTGCCTGACATGTAGTCAGTGCATAGTAAGCGATTGTTATGGCGACTACTGTTATTAGTAAACCCTTATTAAGCCCCTGTTTACAGAAAGAACTCTAGAAAGCACTACCTGGAAAGGTACCCCCGCCCTTCGAAGAGCTTGCAACTGAAAGATAACTGATGTAATATATGATGTGAGAATCGTGAGAAGTGCATTGGGAAATCGGGGGGGGGGGGGGTGGAGTAGGAGGGAGAAGTCACAGTCTACCGAGAGGAGCAGGGAAGACTTCATGAAGGAGGTGACTTTTGGCAGGATTTCAGCAAGTAGAAAGAGGGAAGGACAGTGGGGGAGGGCTGTGAGGCCTCCGTGCTGTGAGTAGCATCCTCTCTTCCCACGTACTGGAGCTCTGCCTTCCTGTGGAAGGAATTGACCCACGCAGCTCACTTGGATCTGGGGACTTGTGGATTTCTGGTTATTCCACCAAAACCAAGTAATCCTGGAGTCTGAATTTGAAGAGGTCAAAGCTTACAGCCATGGTGGCCAAGAGGACTCCGGGGAGAAGCAGGATTTGTGTCCTGGTTTCTCTTTCTATAAAATGGGCATCATACTAATGCCAACCTCCTAGAGTTGTTATGAGGATAAATTAAAAGAGGCAGCTGCCTGGTGTAGAAGTAAGCTCTCAATAAATGTTAGCTATTATTATTTTAAGTCATCATTATCTTGATCATCAACCTCTTTATTATCAGCATCATTATGTTTCAGGCTTGCCATCAGGACTATGTAGAGAATATATGCAAAACCCCTAGCCAGTGCCGAGTATATATTAGGTGCTCAGTATAACTTAGCTATTATTAGTGTTCCTAACAAGAAAGAGATTCTGGGCCAGGCGCGGTGGCTCACGCCTATAATCCCAGCATTTTGGGAGGCCGAGGCGGGTGGATCACCTGAGGTCAGGAGTTCGAGACCAACCTGGCCAACGTGGTGAAACCCCGTCTCTACTAAAAATACAAAAATTAGCCAGGCGTGGTGGTGTGTGCCTGTAATCCCAGCTACTCGGGAGGCTGAGGCAGGAGAATTGCTTGAACCCAGGAGGCGAAGGTTGCAGTGAGCTGAGATCACACCACTGCACCCCAGCCTGGGCAACAGAACGAGACTCCGTCTCAGAAAGAAAAAAAGAGATTCTGGACACCCTGGACCACTGAAACCCTGTTGTGGTGGAAAGAGCACCAGAGTTTTAGTTGAATACCTGGATTCAAATCCCAGCTCTGCTGCTCACTGGCTCGAAGTGTGCAAACCCTCAAGTCATTTCCTCATCTGGAAAAGGTGGTCATAACTATCTATCTGGCCCAGGCCTGGTGGCTGGTGCCTATAGTTCCAGCTATTCAGGAGGCTGAGGTGGGAGGATTGCTTGAGCCCAGGAGTTTGAGGCTGCGATCATGCCACTGCACTCCTGCCTGAGGGACAAAGTGAGACCCTAAAATGAAAGGAAAACAAGTTGTCTCCAGGATTGCCATGACTTGCTGCATTACTTCAGCAAATCATCACAAATGCATAGTTAGTACCTGAACTGAAGGAATATGAATAACAAGGTGACCACAAGGAGAATGGATGGTTGATGGCTTTTGTTTTTTCTCTTCTGCTTTTAGATCACCAGAAACTAGAACGTGAGGCTCGGATATGTCGACTTCTGAAACATCCAAACATCGGTGAGTGCCTGGGCATGGAGCATTTTGTGGGTATTTTGTAGAAGCAGGGATAACAGATATCCACTGCTTTTGTGTGTGGGATCACCTCTGTCTGTGGACCTTCACCTGGTGTCTGTTTTTACATGAGCAGGATAGCAACTGTGTCTCAGAATTCTGGGGCATTCTAGTTTAGAGACCTGAGTATCTGCATCACTGCGGCACCTTCTCAGGGCTGGGGTGTGAGGCATCAGAATAGGTTTCAGATGCTATTTCTTCCCTTTCTCCTTCTGTCTTTGGGCTGAGGTCCAGGGTCCTCAGCGTGTGAGGTTCCGGGCTCCTAGCCTGCCAGCGTCCCTCACCAGGGGCCATCCACAGCCCTCATGCAAGGGTCAGGATTTTGTTTGTGGACCTGAAAGAGTTTTGTTCCTGCTGCGGTGTCCTGCACACTCTGGGGGTTTCCATGGTGCTCCCATTTGTATTCCCCAGAGCCAGGAAAGCAAGCTGCCCCCCTGCCTGGCTCCTCTGGAGAAGGGATGGCAGGAACCACTCAGATGGGGAAGGAGAAAAAAGAGGATTTCTCCCTGCTCCCACCCTGACTGGGGGGACAAGAGCACATTGTTGGTTGTGCTAAAGCCTGAGGAGGTTTGCCTGCCTCAACCCACTCTGGCTCAGTTTTACTTTGTTCAGCTGAAATGGTCTTTGCCAAAAGCGTTGGCCCTGATTTGGTGCTCCTTGCAGAAGGGACAGAAACTGGGCTGGCTGCAGTGTCTGAGCAGAAGCCCCAGTGTTGACTTGAGGCAGAGCAAGGAGCATCTCCTAGGTTTTCCCTGAAAGCCCTGAGTCATCACAAAAGACAACACGTGTTCTGTGCTCCTCAGGCATGGCCTAAATCTCAGGGCTCCCACCGTGCCCCAGAGGTCGCCTGCTCTGCTCTGTTGGCGGCCAGGGCTGTGAGGTGACTTGCTGAAGCCTAATGCTTCCTTCAGAGCTACCCAGCCCCTGGCTTCCCAGGTCTCGGGCTAGAACAGTCAAAGTGAGCTCTGTCATGGAAGGGCTGAGGTCCTGCTCTAGCCCTCTGGGAGAGGAGCAGCTCTGAGGTAGTCAGAACGTCAGCTGTGCAGGGCTTTCTAGATGGCAATCAGCAGCTTGGATTACACCCGAAGCAGATTGGTGTGGCCAGTGGTGATCGGCTTTGCCTGATGCAGTGTGTTCTGCAGAGCCAGCACCTCTCAGCTGGTGGGTTCCTGGCCGCAGAACTACTGGAGCTCCTAGGTGGTTTCTGAGGTTAGGCCTTCACCTGAAAACAGCGCAGTGGGGACTGACATGTTGCCTTTGGTAGGAGAGGGCCCACAGAGGGAAACACCTAGAACAGCAGTCACAGATTAGGCATGTTTTGCTTGGCTGACTCAGTGGTCTAAAAATATTTTTATTATTTGCCAATATTTAAAAATGAGATTTCACATTTTGAAAAAAGAAAAAATCTATTCCCCCGCCTTTCCAGTCAGAAGGCTTGGCTCTGCTGAGCCCCCACCTTGCATGGCCAGAAGGAGCTGTGAGGAGCGGTGGCTGCCCCTGCAGCCCGCTGGCCACTGTCCTTGTCACCCACTATGAGCTCACATTTGCATTACCCACCTGGGCCCCTGTAGGCCTTGCAAGCTTGTGACCTCTAACCTAGAAGTTCCAGAACAGGAAGAAAAAACATGTGCGTGACTAAAGCCACCCATAAGCACAGAAGCATTTTGATGTTCCAGACCCGGGTCTCAATATCTGAGGAGGGTAACTTCCTTTCCTTTATGCTCCTTGTGACCAACTGGTACAGCAGTGATAATTTGTCCTCATGTAGGCAGGAGAACAGCAGCTAGGGGTCAGTGATGCAGGAAGCAGAACCATGTCCACATCACCCGCGATGCGGGCGGGTTGACCATGGGCGGGTTGACCACGGATGGGTTGGCCACGGACGGGTCAGGGTATAATGAAGACAATTGAGAAATGAGCAGGAAGGACAAAAATAGAATTCTAGGTGAAAAAAGCCCTAGGTGTCTTTTTATTTATTTCTAGAATTAAATACATACTTTTTTACCCCATAGACTTCACTCTGTTTGGTAGCCCTTTACTTTTACCATCTGCCCTCGGCTCAGAATGGAGGCAGGCGGAGGGACCATATATCCTGGCCGTCTGCTCAGAGGCCAGGTGGGGCACAGTCACTCTTTTGGCCTCTGATTTCCTAGAACTGTGCTTCCATTTCATGACTGCTCCCAGGTCCTAAGGAGGTTGGTCCGAGGACCGATTCTGGGGTTGAGGGTGGGCAGAGGGAAGGGGGAGTCAAGACTGTGTCCTGGGAGCTCCAGCATCCGGTGGGAACCAGGGCTGTTGGAGATGTGGCGGAGCTGCAGGTCCAGGCGGCTGTGGTTGCCATGGATCTGGACCTGGCTTGTGGCAGGAGAGGAGGCAATTTTGTGCCCCTAATTCACTATTCCTCTTCTCTCTCCACTGCGCTGTCCTTCAGAACTGTGACCCTTTTGGCTCTGGCCTCTTGAACTCCATCCCAAAGGGAAACAAACGGGCCAGCCCAAGAACAGTGCACAGTCGAGGAAGCTAGAGCAAAGAGCATGTGGTCAGCCCTGCCTGTGGTCAGACTCGGAGGCACTGAATTCAGATGGAGCATTTGGTGCTAGGGGCCAGTCATGCCCAGTTTCCCCTTAATAGCTAGATATTCTGTCCCAGGAGTTAAAAGCCTGTTGGAAGAGTGAACCCTGATATAAACTCTGGACTTTGGGTAATGATGATGAGTCAATGTGGGTTCATAGACGGTAACAAATCCACCACTCTAGTGGGAGATGTTGATGGTGGAGGAGACTGTGCATGTGGGGGACGTGGGGTATTTGGGAATGTTCTCGGGTATTTGGGAACACCCTGTACTTTCCGCTCAATTTTGGTGTGAACCTAAAACTGCTCTGAAAATAAAGTTTATTAATTAAAAACAAACAAACAAACAACAAAATGCCTGTTTGGGTGTAAGGCACACTGCCGAACTCCAAACAGCGCTGGGAGTGTGGCCAGTGGTGGGGAGTTGAGAGGAGGAGACGCTGGTGTGAGGTCTGAGGTCTGAATGAAGTCCGTTCTACCTGTGATCTGCCTGCTCCCTGCTCTCAAGTCCTCTAATGAATAGACTCTGTCTTCCTTCGTGCTGAGCTGCCCCAGCAGTTTCGATCATAGTCTAGCATTGTGGTTTAGAGCAGCACTTCTCAAACTTTTATGTGCTTATGACTCACGCAGGGATCATGTTAAAATTCAGATTCTGATTCAGGGGGTCTGGGGTAGGACCTGAGTCTCCAGCTGATGCTCATGCTACTGGTCCGCATGCCTGTCAATACTTGGAGAAGCCAAGTTTTGCGGCTTCGGAGTCGCATCCAGATTTGGGGTTTGAATCTGGGATTTGCTAATTAGTAACTGTGACCTCTGGCAAGTTATTTAACTCCTCTATGCCTGCCTCTGTTTTGTTATCTGGGTCCCTTCGTGGAGTTGTTATGAAAGGGTTCAGCCAGGAAAGGGGGCTAGGAGGGAGATGATGAAAATGGAGATTCCAGCCCCTAGAAGTGATCTCTTCAAGACCCCCAGCCTCGACTCAGTTCACAAGTTATTCAAGCCTGACCATTTACCCTTGAGCCCAGTACCCATTCAGCTAACAGTAAGTGTAGCAAAGAAACGGTTGCAAATAAAAAGAAACATTGAATCATGACTGAGCAGTTCCTACATCCCTGCCCCCATGGTGGGGGTGGGGGGAGCCCTGCCACAGTAAGCTCTTGGGGGGCAGCTCAGTCCCCCACAAGCCCCCATGGCAACAGGACCTCCTTCCCACTGTGTTATTGCTGCAGATATTTTTAACAGCAACACTTTTTCAGTGCTTTTTGGAGAAAGATTTGTTAGTTAAAATGTGGCATATTGTTGGGTGGTTTTTAAAGAATTGGAAATAGCCACAACATTTGGGTTGTGGCTATCTCAGTCCTTGAAGACATGAAATATCAAGTAAAGGTTTGTAGGTGTTTTGGCCTGTTCTGTCTTCCACGGTTTTTAAAGAACAGCAATTAGGTTTGTTGCTGAAATGCAGTAAATGCTTTATACTCCTTTCCCCAGATCTTCCTGTCTATGGACATGGCCTGGCCCTTGTTGGCCTTCATGCCCTGTCTTTACTCTGGAATGGGCTGGGTGTCAGATTATTTTATTCCACGCATCCATAGTCCCTCTGCTCCTGCCTCACAGCATGACACAGTTGTGCTTAGTTAACGCATTTGTGTAATTGCTGGTTTAAAGCCTGTCTTCCCTCTTCGCCTGGCAGCTCCAGGTGGCAGGGCCGGCTCCTCTTCTTCACAGCCACATCCATGGCATGTACAGCCTCGCCTGCTCCGGGGTAGCTGCCCAGTGGACATTGTCGAGCCAGTCAGAATGGCCACAGGTAGTGGGGACAGATTGGAGCTCCTTTGCCTAAGAATTTGAGAAGGTGACTCCCAAGCAACTCTGCAATATCAGGAATCTTGATGTTGGTTTGTCTTGGCTTCAAGTCCCGGTTCTGCCACTTAGTGTGATTTTGGGCAGGTTTCTTATGGAGCCTCAGTTTCCTCTCCTGTCAGATGGGGTTATTTATATGTAAGTAGCTACCCTGCAGAGCTGGTGTGAGGGTTCAATACAGTAATGCACGTGGAGCCCATGGAACGATGCCGGCACACGGACAGCTCAACTAAGTGTTAGTTGTTAGATTTAGATTGTTATTATCAGAATCTGATGGGGTGCGGTGGCTCACAGCTGTGGTCCCAGCCTCTCAGGAGGCTGAGACAGGAGATGGCTCAAGACCAGGATCTCCAGCCCAGCCTGGGCAACATAGTGAGACCCTGTCTCTTAAAAAAAAAAAGAAATAATGAATCTGCTGTTGCTAAATAGGCACTTAGAATGGCACAGTCATTTCTCCTCTTGTCTTCAGTGTCCTGTTAATTTCTTTACAAATTAAAAAAATGTCGATAGCAGTCTTATTCAGATACAGCTTCCTCCATCCCTCCTTGTCTTGGCAGGTGCCTTGCTCTGGGGCACACATCAAAGCTGTTCTCTCTGCTGGGTGGCCTAGAAGGATTAGTCTTCCTTTGCTGCTCCTTTCTTCTAATTCCCTTCCCCGGCTTCCTCCCACCTGGGCTCTGTGTGTGGCCTTCCTGGAGAAGGGCAGACGCCAATGACTCCATGTCTAGGCAGAGGCCTGGGTGCCTGCACTTCTTGCCCTGTTCTTGGCCTTGCTGTGCTGGGCGGGGGCAGGGTGGTGTGGGGCATGGGGTGGTGTTGGGCATGGGGTGGGGTTCTGGCTGAGGCAGGGCTCAGTGCCAGGCCCAGGCAGAGCTGAGTGGCTCCACTTCTCTGAGATGGTTGTCAGCATCATACCTGCTGCTGTCCCGTTAATTCCCCATGCTGCTGCTGTTAGTCACCTCCCTAATGGAGCTGGTCTGTAGCTTCTGGGACAGCTGATTTCCAGGGGATTATTTGTATTACACACTTTAATGCTTTTTAATAGCAAATTTTTAATTAAATGGAAAGTCCTTTTGGAAGCGAGGGAGCAGCAGCTGCAGCAAGACTCAGCGTGAGGCACCGACTTAGACCAGAGGTGCGCAAGTGAGTGGGGCGGAGGCAATGGCAGGACTTCGAGAGGACTTGATTGAGTGTATATGGAGTGTGCCCAGGCTAATTTTTATGGGAGGAAGGCAGGGGCCTGGCGCTGGCTCCTTCCTCCTGTCCTAAAAGCCCCCTCTGTCATCTGCAGGCCTAGGGAAGCATCTTCTTTGCCCAGGAGAGAATGTATATTGGATATATACATTATATCCAATAATGGGAGGGATATTGGAAGTATCACCTGCCTTTGATCCCGTTCCCAGAAATACTGAGATTGGGATGGGATTTTTGGGGTTGAGTCACTAGATTAGATCAAATAGTGTAGGTAATGGGATGCGGAAACAGTCTTGAGGCCCTGGCTCCGGCCCTGGCAGGCTTCGGAGTCCTCAGTCATCAAGGGAGGAGAACAAGGGGGCTATAGTGGTGGTTCAGTGCCTCGGGACTGTGCCGGCTGGGTTGTATACTTTGCTTTCTGAATGATCTTGCTTCGTGGGGAGGGGACATAGGGAAGCACCTCAGCCCTGAGGAAACGTGTGACACTGGAAATGGAAGCAGCCAGGGCCCACCCAGGAAGAGACATGGCCATTTCTTTGTCTCCTAGCACTGAACTGGTTAGTTTGGTGTCAGGCCATTCCTGAAGTGCTCCATGAGGTGCACCTGTAACTGCCAAGGCTTGGAGCAAAGGTCAAACCGAGGGAGGCCTTTGGAACAGAAGTTCCCCATCAAGAGAGTTCACGTGAGGGGAGGGACAGGACAGTCAGCCAAAGCGGAGTCGTTTCTGCATTAGAATGATGCTCAGGGGTTGGCATTTAACCCAGAGGTGGCTTTGTGGGCAGAAACTTGAAGAGGAGACCTCAGAAGACTTCAGGTTGGTTTTTTACCCAAGAGCTTTGGAGGCGGGGAGCAGGGAGGGATTCCGCCTGCCAGCTTTTTCTCGCAGCTGGTGCATCGCCCGAGTCTTCTTCCAGTGGCACCCTCCCGGACCTGTCTGCGATGCTGCTTTAGGGACATTTGTAAGTGGTCTTTCTTTTGGATGCCAGGGCTTTGTTGCCTGAATATGGGGGCTGCCCCACATTTCTTAAGGGAAGCAGTGGTGTAGACCACAGTCTTTGGAGTCAGGTAGCACTGGATTCACATCTTGACCCACCACTTAGAAGCTCTTTGGCCTTTGTTAAGAGACTTTGTGTCCCTGAGCCTCTGGTGCCCTCATCTGTAGAATGGGAATAACATTCATCTCAGGTGGTCGAAAGGAATAATAAACTCCTCAAAGGCAGGCACTCTGTCTGTTCCTCCTGAATCCCGCTGCCTAGCGTGGGGTCCAGCACATAGTAGGTGCTTGATAAATGCTTGCAGAATCAGTAATGTATGCAAGAGCCTAGCACAAGGCCTGGCATAGTAAGCACTTAATAAGCTGTTATTGTTGTCATTGCCTGAATGTGTGCGTGGCCTTCCAGGCTCACCATCCATTATCCTGCACCACGTGCCTTCCTGCTGAGCTCTGCCTTTCCACCTTCTTCCCCACCCCTTAGTTCTGCTCCCATTTACTGCTCTGGAAGAGCTCTCTGGCTTTCCCATCTGGTCATTGTTGTCCCCTGCCGTCAACATTGCTAGGTGCTGCTCACGCTGCATCTCACCATCGTGCATCATATCCCAGGACCACCTTCTCGGAGACCAGCCCTCTGGGAAGGTTCCGGCTTTTCTCCATCTTGACTTCTTAGCCATGAAGCTTTTCTCTCTTGCCTGAGTCTGAGGTGGCAACCAGAGCGCCAGGCTCTGGCTCCCAGGCTGCATAGCCTTGCACTGGGGGGCACTGGGCACGTCGCCACTTCCCCCCACTGCTCCTTCTGGAGAGCCCTGTGAGCCCGACAGGATGGGGCAGGGGTGGGGCTGCTGAGGAGAAGCCTAGGATTTCCAAGTTTTCTCTCTGTTAATCTCTGTCCCCATCTCCTCTCTTGCAGTGCGCCTCCATGACAGTATTTCTGAAGAAGGGTTTCACTACCTCGTGTTTGACCTGTAAGTGCCACTTTCTGAGGGTGTGGGGGCCTTTCCCTCTAGCTGACTCAAAATGAAGGCTCAGGAAGAGGCCTAAACAGGCTCTCCAGCCTCCGCCCAGGGCCCCCTCCTTTGTCCGAGGGAAAGGATTTGACTGGGGCAGATTGCTGCCCCCACCAAGGGGGTCTCCATGTTCCCCCAGCGTCCCCCCAGGGCTCTGAACCCCAGGACAGCATTCCTCTCGCACTTCTGTTCAGCAGCACGCCTTGCACAGATGCCTTTGTCTTGTTTCTCAGTGTGCTGTCCTTAGTGAAGAAATAAAAGACAGCTCTTTGCATGACCTTAAAAATCCTGAGAAATCAGAGGTAGCTTTCATTAGTCGGAAACCAGGCTCCATTGGATTGGGTCTCTCCTCCACGTTGGTTGTGGTTTAATGTCTTAAAAGTGGCTCTTACCTCCTGGACACTCCTCTCCAGGATTCTCAGGGTTGGGTCTCTGTGTCATTGGTCTCATTACTCTTCAACTTCAGTAGTAGCTCTGTCCTTCCTGGGCAGCGATATTTTAGTGTTTATGTTGGTCTCAAAGCTGTGACTTTTGGGGTAGGTTGACTGTTTTCTCTTAGATCCCTGTATCTTCATCTCTGCCTGACTATTAGTGAATCTGTGCATTTTGGAAAAAGAAATGTCCGGAAGGAAGGGACGGCCCATGATACCTCAAGGAGAATCCGGGTGTCACTGAAGGATCGAGTGTGTTCTGAGCTCTCAGATGAAATGCATGGGGAGTTGGGATTTCTCTGAAAGCCATTCTACAGGGTGACCCTGTTTCTTCTTGGACATTGGGGTTGGACAAAGGACCCTTTCTGCCTCTGACCCTCTTCTTCCCGTTGGTTGCAGTGTTACCGGCGGGGAGCTGTTTGAAGACATTGTGGCCAGAGAGTACTACAGTGAAGCAGATGCCAGGTAGGATGAGGGCCCGAGAGTTCAAATGTAGCTCTGGAGTTTAGGACTGAAGGAAGTCTTGGCCACCTTCGGGGTCCAGCATTGTACCTGTTTGAATAGTCTTTGGGGAAGATCAGAATAGCTCTTGTCTGGAGAAAGATTCTGTTGAGCTGGGCTAGGGCTTGCATACTGTGGGTGATATTAGAAGTTAAAAATTCAGCACTTCCTAACCAGGCGCAGTGGCTCATGCCTGTAATCCCAGCACTTTGGGAGGCTGAGGCAGTTGGATCACCTGAGGTCAGAAGTTGGAGCCCAGCCTGGCCAACATAGTGAAACCCTGTCTCTACTAAAAATACAAAAAAATTAGCCGGGTGTGGTGGTGTGTGCCTGTAATCCCAGCTACTTAGGCGGCTGAGGCAGGAGAATCACTTAAACCTGTAAGCGAAGGTTGCAGTGAGCCAAGATCATGCCACTGCACTCCAGCCTGCGTAACAGAGCGAGACTATGTCCCCCTCCCCCCCCCCACAAAAAAAATCACTTCCAAATGAATGTTTTACAAAGCTTTTCCAAGTCTCCTTTACCCTGTGACCCCAGAAATACTTTTTTTTTGCACTACCATGTACTCGCCACCATGCCCAATGTCCCCCTCTGCCCTTTTCTTTCCTTTGACAAATTCTGGTGTGCTCAAGCCACTGTGCTGAGGCTCTGGCATGATCCAGAGGTGCAGAAGACATGGTTTCTGTCCTGAGGGAGTGGAGAGTTCTGGGCTGATAATCCAACCATAGAGCCCCGGGAGCTTTCAGCCTCTGTCACCTTGTCCCTAGACCACCATGACCAGCCTTGCCGTGGGGCTCCTCCAACTTGAGGACCGTTCCCCGGCCACATGCCTCAGCCTCTGCCCTCCCTGGAATCCCTGGTGCCTCCCTCACCCACGCTCTCAGGCGCCTGTTCAGCCTGCCTTTCCCGCCTTGGCTCTTCCCCCAGCCTTGCTTTTCTCGAGGGTGATGTCCCTACAACCTGGTTTTGATCATCCTGCCTGCAGCTTATCTGGCTTATGTGGCAGCTCTGGCTGCTTCTGGAGAGTGGGGGAGTGCAGCTTCCTCACGAATTTCTCAACCTTGAGAGGCCAATGTTTGCTGATCAACTTCAGATGCTTCAGCCTCGGGAAGAATTCTCAAGTGGGGAGATGAATTCCAGTGCCAGCAGGGGAGGACGAGGCTCTGGGACGGAGGAGGCAGTGATGGCTCAGGGAGCCTGCGGGGAGGAGGGAGAGCTATAGGGAGGGGGCCCTGAGGGGGGGTGACTGTACCAGTGGGCTTGGCCTGGCTCTGCTGGGACACTTCGCACTTTTGCCATTTTTGGCCAGAAGGCGCTCCCTGCTAGCCCGGCTCTGTTCTAATTATACATCTCTGTGGAGACTCGCCTCTATAGCTCAGTCTTAAAGTTTCTGTGGCCCACTCTTGGGCTGTGTCCTATGGGGAGGCCCGAGTTTCAGCCCCCAGGGACCCAGTACGACCCCTTGGTTCTTGTGGCATCCCCAGCATCAGATTTTAGGAATAGTAAGTCCAGGCCACCCAGCCCCATACACTGGGATGCTCTGCAGATGTGCTTAATATACCAGATAGTGCCTGATGACGGGGGTCTATATTCTAGGCCAAGTTCCTCAGCCTTGGTGCTACTAACGTTTTAGGCCAGGTACTTCCTTGTTGTGAGGCCTCTCCTGTGCATTGTGGCAGACATTTAGAAGCATCCTTGGCCTCTGCCCACCAAATGCTGGGAGCACCCCTCCTCCAGTTGTGACAACCAGAAATTTCTCTAGGCATTGCCAAATGTCCCCTGCGGTGGGGGGGGGCGGGCGGCAAATTCATTCCCAGTTGAAAACCACTGCTCTAGACTGCCCCCGCTCCCTGTCAGGAGTTTGATGACAGGGATGGCAGGATGGTTTGCTATGTGGACAGTCTGATTTACGTGTGTGACTGTGGCTGGGCGCAGTGGCTCACGCCTGTAATCCCAACACTGAGAGGCCAAGGTGGGTGGATCACTTGAGCTCAGGAGTTCAAGACCAGCCTGGGCAACATGGTGAGACCTTGTCTCCACAAAAAAATACAAAAATTAGCTGGGCACGGTGGCTCATGCTTGTGGTCCCAGCTACTGGGGAGGCTGAAGTGGGAGGATTGCTTGAGCCCAGGAGGTCAAGGCTGCGGTGAGCTGTGTTCACGACATTGCACTCTAACCCAGGCAACAGAGTGAGACCCTGTCTCAAAAATAAAATAATAAAATAACTTTGGGTTTTTTTCTCTACGCAAAATCATCAGAAGTGCTCCTTAAATGCCCTGTTTGGAAGCTCTTAAGTACATTGTTTCTTAAAGGTATCTTTGTACTTGTTTTAGCTGCCTTACTGGATGCCAGACCTCAGGGCAGCTATTGGGTCTTGTCCATCTTCATTATCCTAGGCACTCAATAAACATTTAGGGAAATGAATGAGTGCACCCACCGCCAAAGTAGCTTAGGTTGTTTAGTTGGACTCTCCTTCCTAAGTTGCCAGCACAAGCTTCTTCTCCAAGAACAAAGTTACTGTATGGAGAAAGAGAAAGAAGGAAGGGATTGGATGCTCTCTTCTTCCTCAGGATTCTGGGCTGTCTCCTGATCTCTTGGAAATGAGTTGGTTGTGTTAGACCTTTCCAGTCAAAAGGGGGTGAGAGGAACCCGTTCTAGCGGTGATCCTAGAAAAACCATTGCATCTGCCTGGGCCTCGGTTTCCTCTTTCTTTAAATAGGTTGAACAAGATGATGTGCAGAGTCTAAGGTTCCAGTGGCCGTTAAGTGATTCTCTGTGAATCCGTGGCCCCTTGTCACATGCCTTAGTCTGCAGCATGTGGTTGTGGATGTGGATGAGGTGGTTTAACCCTGCGCTAACATTTCTTTTCCTTCTGCTTTTTTAGCCACTGTATACATCAGATTCTGGAGAGTGTTAACCACATCCACCAGCATGACATCGTCCACAGGGACCTGAAGGTACTACCCAGGCTCCCCTCCGTGCCTCTGCTCATGAAGTGTTGGCGCCACCTGGTGCCAGATAGTGGTACTGCGTAGGCCCAAACTAGGCTTCCTCTGGGCTGCAGGGTGGGTGCTCACAAGGTTCTCTGTGTTTCTTCTGCAGCCTGAGAACCTGCTGCTGGCGAGTAAATGCAAGGGTGCCGCCGTCAAGCTGGCTGATTTTGGCCTAGCCATCGAAGTACAGGGAGAGCAGCAGGCTTGGTTTGGTAAGGGTGATCCTGTCTTCCCGGAATGCAGCCCCCGCCCTTCCTCCTCTTCCTGATCTGCCTTCCTCTATTAGAACTAGAAGCCAGACCCTTAATGGTCCTGGCCTCCGAGATCTCTCTTGGCCGTACGCGACTCAGTACAGTAAGTCTAGCTGTTGTCAGCACTGCTTTCTTGCTGCCTGTGGGAAGGAGCTGGAGTTCCTGGTAGGCATACGGCTTTGCCGTCTGGTTCAGATTCCAGGCGCTACAAGAAGCCCAGCCTGTCAGCTCTTGCTGCCCATGTGCTGAGAGTTTATGTAGCAAAAGCAGCAGGAATAAGATGGGACTTGGGGGAAATGGCTGGTGTGGATTTAACGAGAGAGAAAGTGGGTTCAGTATGCCTCTGCCCTCTCTTTTGCTACAGGTTTTGCTGGCACCCCAGGTTACTTGTCCCCTGAGGTCTTGAGGAAAGATCCCTATGGAAAACCTGTGGATATCTGGGCCTGCGGTAAGCCCATTCCACGCTCTCAGCTTTTCGCTGTTAAGGGCCCTCAACTTCCGATGATGGCAAGAAAGAGGCATCGCTATTCCTTGCAGGTCACACACGTGCCTGGTGTATGTGAAATTATGGTGTTTGCCCCTGGGATGGCTGTTCCCATCACACCCTCCTCCCTGCGTACTTCTGGGATGACATTGTATCCTTCTTGGAGAGGGATTTGCCCACGCCTTAGAGGATGGGTTGTGCCTAAAGAAATCCCTGGTGTGACTTGGTGACGTGAAGTGTGAGGCATAGCAGGAGGGGCTGGTAGCATAGCATTATCGGCTGGCATCCACTTCTGACTCTGGTATGGCCCCTGCCTTTCTAGGTGGCTCTGAGCCCTGCATGGTTTTTCTTGGTTCCTCAGGGAAGTAGGCGACTGACCCCCATGACCTGTGTGTTCTGTCTCGTAGGGGTCATCCTGTATATCCTCCTGGTGGGCTATCCTCCCTTCTGGGATGAGGATCAGCACAAGCTGTATCAGCAGATCAAGGCTGGAGCCTATGATGTAAGGACCAGAGAGCCGGGCAGCCAGGCCAGGAAGGGCAGATGTCCTTGCTCCTCGGGCTCTGTCCAAGGGAGCAGGCTTGTTTAGTGTGTCACGTGATACGGGGGTGTCAGGGGACTTTGAGGACCCAGGAATGGGCATCCAGGGCCCAATTCTTGCCACTCTATGTCCCAGGGAGCAACTTTCTTTTGCACAGCCTTCTTCATAACTAAAATTGAGGAGTCCACTGAAGTCCTTTGATCTTTACTTGCAAAGAATGGAGCGGCCTCATTGGTGTGCTGTGTAACACAGGGACAAAAGGCCTGGAGACTCCCTCCACTGCAGTGGCACCTTGGACACATTGCTGAGCCTCTGTTCCCTCCTAAGTATAGAGCTGGGCTTAAACCAGAGAATGTTGGAGTCCCCTTCCCGCTCTAATCTGATGTTCTGGCATTCTAAACATGACTGTTCTGTCTGTCTTTCCAAGTCTTTAAGTTGACACAGGTTCTGGAATAGCCGCAGGGCTTCTCCAACTCTGCCAGTCACAGCTTTAGGTACCACAGAGTATCCCAATTACAGGAGTTGAGTTGAAGACAGAACCAGTGTTGCAGGGTATGAAGCTCACCAATACCACATTCTTCTCCCTATTCCTGCTCCTTAGTTCCCATCACCAGAATGGGACACGGTAACTCCTGAAGCCAAGAACTTGATCAACCAGATGCTGACCATAAACCCAGCAAAGCGCATCACGGCTGACCAGGCTCTCAAGCACCCGTGGGTCTGTGTAAGTGTCTTTGCTAGTGGCCAAGGAGCTCAGGGGTGTCAGCCTTCTGTGTGCCCTCGGCACCACCCCCTCCTTCTTACCAGCAGAGATTCATTCTGGGCCCCAAGCAATAACTGAGCAGGCGGGCAGAGGACTGTTGAGGGCCAGGGTCAATAAATGTCACCAGGGAGACTCGGGAGGCTGATGGGGCTGGTGGGCCACTGCTCCTCTCTCCCCCACTCATGGCTGTCAGGCTGGGATTGGTTCTGTTCTTGGATGAGGGCTCAGGTTGACCCTTGTGGACTCCAGGTAGCCGGTGATAGAAAGCAGCTGGCAAAACCCAAAGTGAATTCCCAAGCTGGGGTTCATACTCAGATCTCAACTCCACTGGAGTGGTGACCAAGATCCAACAAATCAACAGAAGGGGTTTCTGAGTCATTAAAAGCATAAAAGCTGAGGCATAAAGCTTCTGCGCTAAAGTCCTAGGAGAGTCCTCTAGGCTATCAGTGTGGGTTGACGTACTCTGTTTTTATACACAATTCTTTCAAGCTGAAATATCAACTTTCAGACAAAGAAGAGGATTTGGTAGAGTTAGGCATCTTGACAACCACGAGGCATTATTTATCTGTCCATTCTGTGTTTATTAAATACCTCTTTGGTGCTGGTTACCGTCTGGGTGCTGGAGATACAAAGATGAATGAGGCATGGTCCCTGCCCCAAAAGATCATCTAGGGAGACAGGCACTCAAACAGGCAGTCATGTTACAATGTGACAAGTAGGTACAAGAATCTAATGAGAGTACAGGAGCTCCTACTGTTCCTGGTGGGTGGTGGGGTTACTGAAGGCTGCACGGAGGAGGTGACACCCCTGTGCTTGTTCTTGGCAAATAACGAGGTCCTCAGAACGTTAACCTGCAGACAGAGTTTAGCACAGTGAGAGGTTATGGGAAACTATGGTGAGTTGAAGGAATGTTGAGTTGTTTGGTTGTCGATGAGGCTGCAAATATCAGAATGCAAGAGAATGGGGCAAAAGATTCCCTGACATACAAGTTTCTGCCTCAGGAGTTTGGATTTTATTCTGAAAACATAGGGAATCATTTAAGGGTTTTAAAGAAGAATGAAATTTGCATTTAAGAACACTTTGGAAGTTGTGAGGAAATGAATTGCCAGGCATGGTGGCATGTGCCTGTAGTCTCAGCTGCTGGGGATGCTGAGGCAGGAGGATCATAAGCCCAGGAGTTTGAGGCTGCAGCGAGCTATGATTGCACCTGTGAATAGTCATTGTACTCCAGCCTGGGAAAGATGGTCAGACCCCACCTCTTTAAAAAAAAAAAAAAAAAAAGAAGGGAATTGAAAATTTTTAAAAGAAAAGGGCTGGAGACAGAGAGCTCAGGAAGCTTTTTTAATAGTTGGAATAGTCTAAGCAAGACCAGGTGAGGTCTCAGCAGAGGGTAAGGATGGGGGAATGTGCAGTGTGTTGAAATTCAAGAGATATTTGAGAGAACCTAAAGGATTTAATTCTCTCCAGTTGGATTTGGGGGGAGCAAAGAAGAGAGAGGCCAGGTTTCAAGTTGAGCGGAGAGTTGTACCCTCACTGACCCAGAAGAAAACCAGAGGAGGAGCTTGTTTGTGAGACAAGACGATGGTTTTCTCTTTTTTTTTTTTTTTTTGAGATGGAGTCTCGCTCTGTCGCCCAGGCTGGAGTGCAGTGGCGCGGTCTCACTGCAAGCTCTGCCTCCCGGGTTCATGCCATTCTCCTGCCTCAGCCTCCCGAGTAGCTGGGACTACAGGTGCCCGCCACCACGCCCGGCTAATTTTTTGTATTTTTAGTAGAGATGGGGTTTCACCGTGTTAGTCAGGATGGTTTCGATCTCCTGATCTCATGATCCACCCGCCTCGGCTTCCCAAAGTGCTGAGATTACAGGCATGAGCCACTGCGCCCGGCCAAGATGATGGTTTTCATTTTGTGCCTGCTGAGTCTGGCAACCTCCAGCCAGACACATTCAGTGGGTGGTTAGAAATATGGTCCTAGAGATTAGAAAAGAAGCTAAAAATTGGAAATCCACATTGTAGTCATTTCTGTGTAGTTGGTAGTGAGGCTGTAGAAATAGCCTCTTCCTATGCTGTAGATGGGCCTGTTCCTATGCTGGTTGAGTTCTTACGGTGAGCTTCTATTGGCTGTAGTAGAGAAGAGACGGCCACTACACACCAGCATTTAATGATAGGGAGAGTTAGGGGGCCCAGCAAAGAGCACTGAGAGTGAGACCTTCCAGAAGACCCAGAAGCTAAGAAACAGGGGGTCTCAGTAAGGGAGCGTCAGGAATCAGATGCAGAAGAGTCCCTGATTAAGTTGGGGAAGAATCCCCTGGCTCTGACCATTAGATGCCATTGTTTCATCATTTCACTGAGACAGTGGAGAGAAAGATGAAACCCTGTTTTCAGTGAGACGAAGAGGGAGTGAGGGTGAGGAGGGGCATGGGGAGCTAGGCATTGAGGTGGGAAATAAATGGTGATACTTAGATTAAGATGGGCCAGGGGAGCTTTTAATGTAAGGCTCACACCTGTAATCCCAGCACTTTGGGAGACCAAGGCAGGCGATCACTTGAGGCCACGAGTTCAAGACCAGCCTGGCCAACATAGTGAAACTCCATCTCTACTAAAAATACAAAAAATTAGCTGGGTATGTTGGTACACACCTATAATCCCAGCTACTTGGGAGGCTGAGGCATGAGAATCACTAGAACCCAGGAGGTGGAGGTTGCAGTGAGCCAAGATAATGACACTGCATTCCAGCCTGGGTGACAGAGGGAGACTCTGCCTCTAAAGAAGAAAAAATTTCTTTTTAAAGATTATATTGGTCAGGAGCGGTGGCTCACACCTGTAGTCCCAGCACTTTGGGAGACCAGGGTAGGTAGATCACTTGAGCCCGGAAGTTTGAGACCAGCCTGGGCAACATGGCAAAACCCCATCTCTACAAAAAAAAAAACTTTAAAAATTAGCTGGTTGTGGTAACGTGCCTTAGCTACTTGGGAGGCTGAGATGAGAGGATCACCTGAGCCTAGAGAGGTGGAGGTTGCAGTAAGCCATTATTGTGCTACTGCACTCCAGCCTGGGCAACAGAGTGAGATGCTGTTTCAAAAAAAAAAAAAAATTTTTTTGTTTAAGGAGAGGCTTAACTATAATCTATAGAGAAGAATCTAGTCCAGAGGAAAGAGTTGAAGATCCTTGCTAATTGAGGAAGCAAAGGTTTGGACAGCAGAAAAAGAGAGGGGGCTCCTGAGCCAAGGGCAGGGGGTCCATCCCGGGGATGACCATGATCCCCCTGAGACTTCTATTAGTGTGGAGGCAGGTGAAGATCGGCTTGTGAGTGGAAGTCTGAGCTGAAAGGGGTTCTTGCTGATGACCTCTCATTTTGCTTTTGGAGAAATTTACACCGAGGAGGAGGTAAAATGAGAGACTTGGGGAAGGTAGAGAAGGTGGGGAGAGTTGCCTCCGGACCTGGAAAGAGTGGGCCAAGGGTGAGGGAAAGGATGCGAGGAGGCCCCGTAGTGTTGGTGGGCACCTGGCTGCAGGTGCCAGGATTTGTTTTTCTGACAGGCTGGTGAAGACAGCAACAGCAAGGGGAGAGGGCAAGCAACCTGAAACAGGCACCCAAGAATGGGGGAAATATTCTGTTCTGGGGTCATTTTTGCAGGCCCTACCCTCTGCAGTCCCGTGTGTCTCGAGCCCCTGAGGACATCACTATATTCTGAAATTACATAATGATGCTGGTATTGACAGCTGAGTCATTGAGGAAGTGTAGACTGTGTCCCATGGACTCTGTTTAAGGAGGCCAGGAAGTTAGCAGTAAATACATTGAAGACAAATTTCCATCCAAAAAAGGCGGGGCACAGTGGCTCACACCTGTTATCCCAGGACTCTGGGAGGCCGAAGTGAGCAGATCACTTGAGGTCAGGAGTTCGAGACCACCAGCCTGGCCAACATGGCCAACCCTGTCTCTACTAAAAATACAAAAATTAGCTGGGTGTGGTGGGATGTGCCTGTAGTCCCAGCTACTCGGGAGGCCAAGACAGGAGAACCTGAGAGGCGGAGGCTACGGTGAGCCGAGATTGCACCACTGCACTCCAGCCTGACTGACAAAGCGAGACTCCATTGCAAAAAAAAAAAAAAATTACATCCAGAATGATGAAAAGAATTGATGCTTCAAGGTGACGATCCTTAGCTTCTGGGATCATGGCTTCATTCAGGACCTTGCTGGGGGTGTGTGGAGAGGGGCTCTTGGAAGGAAGGAATGTCCTCTGTAGAGAGCAGGAACCCTGCCGTTCTCTCGCTGCTGAGCATCTGGAACGCAGTAGGTGCTCAGTAAACAGCTGCCTAAGGAGTGACTGAATGAGGATCACAGCCCCCAGGGTACTCTCCTGTTCGGTAGCCTCTGTTTCCCAAGGAAGAATAGGACGGTCTCTCAGCAGCCCGTCTAGCATCCGTTATGGTGTTCTCACGTTCATGTTGTCCTTATGTAACCTTGAGTTTCGGGTAGTGCTTTTATTCTAAAAGCGTTTTCACATCTGTGACCTCATTTCATCTTCAGAGCAACTCTGGGGTGGCTGAGTGCATGACCCTGTCCTGGGCATGGTATCGGTGCCAGGACTGTGGGAGGCGCAGAGGATCTGGGCTGGGGCTCATAGCCTGTCTGTTTGGTTTCTAGCAACGATCCACGGTGGCATCCATGATGCATCGTCAGGAGACTGTGGAGTGTTTGCGCAAGTTCAATGCCCGGAGAAAACTGAAGGTGAGTGTCGTTTCTAGGCTGCCAGCCTCCTTGACATCATGCCTTGCACCAGTGTGGCTCCTGCCCCATTTCAGAAGGAAGCTCCCCTCCTGGCTGGAGCTGGGCTCTGAAGGTTGTACATGTCACAGGGGAGGGGGCCCAGAGGCCTGATGTCTTCAGGCTCTAGCCAGGACCTGCCTTTGCCTGAGACCAGCCTGCCCTTTTCTAGGGTCTCAGTGAATTCACAGGACCTTCCTCTTTCCCCAGGGTGCCATCCTCACGACCATGCTTGTCTCCAGGAACTTCTCAGGTATGTTTTCCCAGCTGTGTACTTTGATTATGCCGAGGTGAGTGGATCAGGAATGGGCTGTTGCCATCCCGGGCACCGCTGGGTTTCCTCGGCGTCCTGGGCCACACCTTGACCAGGGCGAGTGAGGATCCTGTTTTGAGGGGCTGCTGCTGCTGCTGAGTCCTGCTCCTGAGATTCAGGGGGCTGGACTCACATTTGTGAATTGTTTCCTAGAACTTCCCAAGGAGTAGCCTGCCCAACTTGCTATGTACCTTGTTTCTCTGGATTCTTATTTAACTCTCTGAAGACTCTCAGCACTTTACAGATTTTAGCCATTCTAGGATCTTGGAGGATGTGCTGGGGGAAGAAAAGAGAGATGAGGTACAGTGAGTCTTCTCAATTGCCAAATTGCCACCATTCATTTGCCTGCTGGGACGATCTCTTACTTCATTTTGTCCAAGTGGAGATGACTAATAGAAATTATTCCAGATGTTTAAACCTTTTGTGGCGACTTGTGCTTAAAATAGTCCCTGAGATACTAGCTATAACAGTGAAGAAATAAAGACCAGCAGGAGAGAGGGAAAGGAACTTGCTTAAATTTGCATAAAGAATTGGGAGAGGTGGGACCAATAATTTGTAAATCATACTTGACATTTATTTTTAAGATGCAAGACACTCCACTCCCCTCTTGCCCCCACCCTCACCCCAACCCCTATTATTGTTTGCCTTCAATTGGGAAGCACAGTGGCTTTTTTGTGAGGAAAAGATTAATGTCGAGACTGAAGACAGAGAGGGCTCTGCCCAGCTTGCCATCTCCCCCGGTCCTCCCTCCCTCTAACCCCTTGCCTCACTGTTTTGGTTCAAGACCCCCCCTTCTCCTTCCCATAATAAGACTCCCTCCCTTGCTTCCCCTCTGCACCACCATGGAAAGGGGGTTGTGTGGGAGCCTAAGCCACCACTCAGTGGGAGCCACTTCTGAATACCCGTCCTGCTGGGCTCGCCTGCGCTGGCTCCAGGTAACGCCAGGGCCTTGGCTGTGAGGATGCTGCAGGCAGGGAGCCTAGGGCTTCGTGGTGTAGCCTGAGAGCCATGGAGCTCCGGAAGGCCAGGGCTGGATAGTGAGCCCGGGGCTGGTGGTGCCCTGCCCTAGGCCTTCTCCTTTGACCCTGGTTTGGGGCTTGATCTTGTGTCATGGGTACCCACGACGGGCATACTGTGGTGTGGCTCCACCTCTCGCAGATGGGAACAGGGAAGCGTGGCTGGCTGCCTCCGGTGGAGTTGCAACTGTAGTCCCACACTTGCTTCTTGTGCTTTAATGACGCAGCTTCTACTTTTTGGGTCTACGAGCCTTTCCAGAGGACATTGAAGGGCGTTTCGGTGTTGCCCCTAGAGCGAAGCTCTGTCCTCTCTCCCCTCTGAGTTGAAGAAATGTGAAGACAGTCTGCTGCTTCTCTTTTAGCCCAGCCAGTCAATAGCAAGGGCCCTGTCTTGCAGCCCCGGGCCTCCACATCAGCCTCCCCCTCCATTTCAGGAAACTGGCATCCTGGTTTCAGGAAATCGGGTGTTAGGACAAAGCATTTTATTCATCCCTGTAGAGCCTCCTGTTCTTATTGGCCAGACCTAGACTGGCCTTTGAGCTCACTTTGCCTTGGGTCAGAGGAGACAAACAATGTTGCAAGCATTCCAGGATGGCCTCTTCTGCCCTGACTCTGGGACAGGTGAGGACAGAGTCTGTCCGGAAGCTTCTGCAGAAAGAGGTGTCTATGGATGCAATCAAGAAGGAAGGGCACCTGTGTGTTTCTCTAGGGCTGTTTTTTGAGTTGACCTCCAATAGGAGATGTGGCTTATCCTGGACTCTAGCAGTTTGGCTAACAGCGAATCGGGGCCTCCAGAGTGTATTGCTTCAGCAGCCTTTGTTTTCTTTCTCAGGGTTTATTTCTTGGGCACCTTTCACCTCAGCACACTGTGACACACAGACTGAGAATGCTGCCTCTCTCGGCTACCTCCCTTAAGACAGGGACCTGTGTCTCTGAGGGGTTGGGGGGCATGGAGCTGGGGCCCACCAGTAAACTTAGCTGCACAAGGGCCACAGACCCTCCCTGGGACCCCCACGCCAGTCCCTCTAGTGTGTGGGATGTAGAGAGGGGAGAGGGCTGCTCTGCGCCCCCGGCACTCTCATCGTGGGCTCATTTAGCTTCTAGGGAGGGAAGGACTAGAAGGGAGGGCGTTTCATCACAGCCTTAAGCTAGGGCCGGGCTACCTCAGAAGGGGCACCTGCCTCTCACCGGCTCAGGCATTTCGCTGTGGACCCTCCTCCGGAGGGGGTCATGAGACAGGCACTGCAGCCCTCTCCATCTGGTGGGGACGCAGTGTTCCCTATGCCCTGGCCCAGCCCGGTCTTCCCAGGCCCCCAGACTGCTGCAGGGCTGGCTGCGCCTACCTCCTCAGCCTGCCCCTGGCGCTCCGCTCCCCCAGCTCGGCTGGCTTGGCCACGCCGCCTGGGCTGCGCCTCGCGCTGGGGCATGCTCGCTGCTGACGGCCCCGTGGCTTTGCGGGGCTCTGTGCACTGAGAGACTGTATCCCCTCAGTTGGCAGGCAGAGCTCCGCCCCCGCCTCGCCTGCCGCGAGCGCCGCCGGCCTGGCCGGGCAAGGTACGTGGCATGAGTCCTCCCCGACCGCCTGCCTCGGCCCCCTGCCACCCCACCAGGAGGGCCAGCATGCCGGGCCCACTCACCAGGGAGGCGAGTCCCATGCTTGCGGGCTGAGATGGGCATGCCAGACAGACTACCTAACTTGGCATCTGCAAGCGCATCGTTGTTATGGAGCCCCCTAACCAGCCATGCATGCTGGGCGCTTGCCAACTTTCAGGGGGCAGTAGCCTGGGGGCATGGAGCTGGGCAGCGGGAGCCTTGCCAAGAGCCCGATGCCCTGGGAGGGCTGCAGCCAACAGTGGGCCCTCAGAGACAGTGCTGGGCATTGCCCTGAGCTGCCCGGTGCTAGGACTAGATTTCCGCAGCACTGTTTAAGACCCCACAGAGGAGCCGCGCTCCTCAAAATTGTGAAGTCTGGCGCTTGCTGGCCTCCAGGTCTGAAAGGCTCCAGAGTGCAGAAGCCTCAGAGCCAGCTGTTTCTGGGTTCACATCCTAGCCCTGCCACACCCTGAGCGAGTCACACCAGCTCTCCCAGCCTTAATTCCTCACCTCTCCAATGGGGATGATAAATAACATGGTGGTGCTTAAGATCACCCTGTCGAAGGCTCTCAGCCCTGCCTGTGCAGTACAGCTGTTACCTGGGAGCTCGTAAGAAGTCCTAATGCCAGGACCCCACCCCAGACAATAAAATCAGACCCTTAGGGATAAGATAGGTAGTACGCTTTTTTTAAGCTCCCAGGTGATCCTAGTGGGCAACCAGCGTTGAGAGCTGGCTGGTGAATGGAAAGCACTTAGACAGTAGGCGGTCAGGCACAGGAGTCAGCACATTTAAAAAACAACATTCAAACCCAGCACGACAAGATAAGATCAAAGGTCTTTTTCTGGAGTCAGAATTCTCGTAATGGAAGGACCCCTGTTCTCACTGGAGAGAGATGGAACACAGCTTGGGGAGGAATGGCTACCCAAAGGGCAGGAGGGTGGCAGCAATAGTGACAACGATGGTGGACACTTACTCAGTACTTGCTATATGCCAGGCACTCTAAGTGCTTTTCATGCATAATCCCACTGGATTCCCACCACTGTTTTGTGATGTCAGCCCTACTTTATCCCATTTTATAGATAAAGAAATTGAGGCTCAGAGAGGTTAAGTAACTCACCAAAGGTCACACAGCTGGCAAGTGGTGGAACCAAGATACAGACCCAGGGCAGGCAGTCCAGGTGTATCAGACAGTTGGGCTGATTCCATCTCCCTGTGCCTCCCAGACTCTCCTCCCCACTGTCTGCTACCTTCCTGTGGCCTTTTGTGGCCAGCTGGTGTCACCAGCCTTCTGGCACAGAGCTCATCAGCCTGGAGCGTCACCCTATGCCTGGCTAGAATCTGTTTGACAGCTCATTATTCTGCCGAGTCCTTCCTGCTCACAGGTCCAGAGAGTGGACACTGGGGAAAGGGTGGCAGCTAGGACCCAGTGAACCTGGTGAGGACCTGCTCAGTGAAGGCTTCAACCCCCTGGCAAAACCCTCCTGTAGGTGGTCCTGGTTTCTGTGTCTGTGTCTGTCTGTCCTCTGGTCTCCTGTGTGAACTGTGACACTCTGCTTCTTGAGAACACTCAGGAGATGTCTTGCATCCTTGCAGTTTGGCCATCCAGAGAACTTCCATGGCACCTAGGGATGGAGCCCTCACTCTTTCACCCTGGCACTCTGCTTCCAGGCCTGGGTGGAAGCTGTCAAAGGCAGAGTCCCCAGTGCCCCAGGCGGCTCCAGTACTGAGCATGGTTTCTCCTCTAAGTGTCGTGCATCCATGCCCTCCTCCACGCAGAGGAGATCCTGAGGTGCCACCCTGAGGGCTCTGACGCCACTCAAGATCCCCTTCTTGCTGAGAGGCTATAGGAAGTGCCTCTTTTGGGGGTTTCGGGAGACCCTTGGCCCCCTTGTCAGACACAGCACTCTCTTGTGGATCTGGCTGCCGGACTTCAGGTTGGGGAGAGGGTACAATGCAGGAGACTTGATATTCCTCTTTGTTTTCACAGCTGCCAAAAGCCTATTGAACAAGAAGTCGGATGGCGGTGTCAAGGTAAGTGTCTCCAGCCTCTGAACAGACTGGCCTCTTTCTCCCCGCAGTCACTATGGGAATTCTTGGCACCTGGTTCCCCCTTTCCCAGGGAATCTTCCTATCCTTGCTAGTCTGCTTTAAACCAGATGCCTTTGTGCTCAGAACAGAAGGTTCTGCTGGCCTGAGAGGGAAGTAGGGAGGTATTTTTCCTGGCCCTAGCTGGATGGGAATGACTCAGGGGAAGTGATCCAAATCATAGTTTATACCAGAGCTGAATCCGGAACCTGACTTCTACACGGATGCTTCATCTCCAGGGCTTGACTCTGGGTTTTTTAGGTCATTTGGTTATCTTTCTTTTTTTCCTTTTTAGAGCACAAATCCTTTTAATCAAATGAAAGCCAAATTTGCCTGAGTGATTCAGGCAGGGTATAGGGCTTGGAACCTGAAACCACTCTCCTTTTGGTCTTTTTCCTTCTCTCTACAACACTTTCAGATCCCACTGAGTGCAACAGCCTCGAGCTTTCTTGACGCATAGGCTCCTCAGAAAAAGGCAAAGGCCATGGTGGATCACGGCTTGTTCCCACTGGGTGAGGGAGCTTTTCCCATGGGACTGGGGCAAGAGGAGGGACCTGGGACCCACCAGGAGCCCTGCTGGGAATGGCTGCTTGGCCAAGGTAGAGGAGAGGTGACTGGGGCTACCCACAGGGCCCAAGACATTCTGTAGATGCTTTGGGGGCAGAAAGGATCCTGGGGCTAGGGCATTGGGTAGGAGCTCATGCTATCTTGAAGCCTCCCAGCTTACACTCTAGACTAGATTTTCACTGGGCCTTTTCCCAAGATCTTGTGTCAACAGCTGAGATACACACACAAGCCCCGTTCCCTCCCCGTTCCCTCCCCACTCCCTCCTCTTTCCCTCATTCTCTGCATGCCTGCTTCTGTGTTCTTCCGCCCCTCGCAGGGGAGCCTGGGCTCCGCGCACACCCTCTGACATGGAGCTGGGGGCATCGTGCGGTCCCCAAGCTCTGCCCCTGAGCTACATGGATGGAGCCAGGTGAGGAAAAGGGGCAGGTTTAGTTGGAGAGAGTGTTTAATAAGTACCTGTCAGTCAGATGTCCACGCAGCATTCTGTTCTGAGGGGTACACAACAGAGGTGTAAGAGGGGGTGTGGCTTTCAGTCGCCATAGGAAGGGGGCCGCACCTGGAGTCAGCTGAGCGCTGCTAGTGGACCCACGCGAGATGGTTTAGTCCAGGAAGCTCATAGGAGAGAGCGTACTGGAGAAAGCTGCAGGGACATAGGTGAGACTCACTTTGCAGTTTTACTTTCTGCTATATGTTTTCTTTAAATTGAAAATATGGGTCAGGCTTGGTGGCTCACTCCTGTAATCCCAGCACTTTGGGAGGCTAAGGCGGGTGGATCACCTGGGGTCAGGAATTCAAGACCAGCCTGGCCAACCTGGTGAAACTCCGTCTCTACAAAAATACAAAAATTAGCCAGTCATAATGACCGGTGCCTGTAATCCCAGCCACTCGGGAGTCTGAGGCAGGAGAATGGCTTGAACCTGGGAGGCGGAGGTTGCAGTGAGCCAAGATTGCGCCATTGCACTCCAGCCTGGGCGACAGAGCAAGACTCCGTCTGAAAATAAAGAAAAGAGAAAAGAAAACAACATGACATTTCTATAACTTAAAAACAACAAATTATATTTGTATGGGTTCTCTTATACATATTGATGTTCTCTGCCCAGTGAGAACACAGGGTGTGTGGTAGATTGATGTCAAAAATATGGTTGGATCAGTCTTATCAGGCAGAATTGGAAGTTTCTGTGTCAGACCATGGGAAATACCATAGGCCATTGAGCAGGGAAGCTATGGTGAGAGTGCTGATAGAAATGATTTGGCAAGCCGGGTGCGGTGGCTTCACTCCTGTAATCCCAGCATTTTGGGATGCTGAGGCAAGAAGATTGCTTGAGTCCAGGAGTTTGAGACCAGCCTGGGCAAAACCTTGTCTGTGAAAAAAAAAAAAAAAAATTAACTGGGCATAGTGGTGTGCATCTGTAGTCACAGCTACTTGGGAGGCTGAGGTAAGAGAATTGCCTAAGCCCAGGGAGTTTGAGCCTGAGGTGAGCCAAGATCAAGCCACTGCACTCTCCAGCCTGGGTGACAGTGAAACCCTGCCTCAAAAAAAAAAAAAAGATACCTGCTGTGCCCCTAGAAGTTGGGAAGGCAAAACTTAATCTACCTTTTAAGGTGTTTACAGTGGGAGAGACACAAGGCAGCTACTGTTTCTATGGAGTCTGCTAAGGTCTCAGGGAGGTGTGCACCTGGCAGGTGCTGGGGGAGCAGACAGATAAACATCCAAACCAGGACAGGAATCTTCTGGAAGGAGATGGCCAGGAATTGAGCTTGAGGGAGTAGCTGGATTTTGCTGGGTTAAGGAGGAGACAGGAGGGGAGGGATATTCCAGGCAGAGGGAAGAGCGCATGTGAAGATACACGAGGTTGAAACAGCATGATGATTCTGGGAACTTCAGTATCTTCTTTATGGCTGAAGGGAAGAGCAATTGCATAAAATGAGACCTGAAATAAAGCAGTGACTGTTGAGGTGGAGGGGAGAGGATGGAAAAGGCACCATTACAGAACAGGTTTCTAGCCAAACTTTCTAGATACTACTGGTGTCAAAGATGAAGGTCATGTGCAGCCATGTAAGATTAGCCCAAGGAGCCAGCTCAAACCATGCACATCCAGGGCCCAGCTTGGAATTCATGTTCTGGAGGCCTTGGCTGGGAGGCAGAATCTGTGAATTTTAAAAACACTTTCATGAATCCAAAGCACATGAAGGTTTAAGAGTCTGGTAAAGGCAAAATTTTGGGGTTATGTGTTAAGAAAGGGCTGGAACAAGAGTCGGCAAAGGAAACAGAGGAAGGACAGAGAGGTAGGGGGAAAAGAGAAATGTGCAGCAGCTGCAGCTCTTCCAGGAACCCTGAGGATGAGGGCTGGGCAGACACATCATTAGGTAAAGGCTTTAAATGAGGACGTGCGTGGGGAACCTAGCCCTGCAATGTGTTGTGTGTCTGACCCTGATATGTGCTCAGTAAATGAGTTTTATGCCACATTCTTTTGAGAAAAGAGCTTCAATATCATGGTGGGAACCAGAGGCCAATGATCACCCAAAATTAAAAGGCCAACCGCGTATTCGCAGCCGTTGTGATGGGAGGGGTTAATATTTTTATTGAAAGAGTTTCTGTGACAAATAATCCCTCTTAAAACCCAGTAGAAGCTGGGCGTGGTGGCTCACGCCTGTAATCCCAGCACTTTGGGAGGCCGAGGCGGGTGGATCACGAGGTCAGGAGATCGAGACCATCCTGGCTAACACGGTGAAACCCCATCTCTACTGAAAATACAAAAAATTAGCCGGGCGTGGTGGCAGGCGCCTGTAGTCCCAGCTACTTGGGAGGTTGAGGCAGGAGAATGGCGTGAACCCGGGAGGCGGAGCTTGCAGTGAGCTGAGATTGTGCCACTGCACTCCATCCTGGGTGACAGAGCAAGACTCCGTCTCAAAAAAAAAAAAAAAAAAAAAAAAAAACCCAGTAGATAGGCTAGGTGTGGTGGCTCACATCTGTAATCCCAGCACTTTGGGATGCTGAGGTGGGCTGATCACTTGAGGCCAGGAGTTCGAGACCAGCCTGGCCAACATGGTGAAACCCCCTCTCTACTAAAAATACAAAAAGTAGCCAGTAGTGGTGGTGCACGCCTGTAGTCCCAGCTACTCGGGAGGCTGAGATAGGAGAATCACTTGAACCTTGCGGGGGGCAGAGGTTGCCGTGAGCTGGGATTACACCACTGCACTCCAGCCTGGGGGACAGAGCAAGACTCTGTCTCAAAAAAAAAAAAAGGAAGATAGATGATCAAAGAAAATAAACTGACAACCTGAAAACAAGGAAGTAGAACTGGATAACAAATGTGGAAAAATTTCTAGCCTCACTAGTATCAGAGAAATGCAAATTGAAACAAGGTGCCATTTTTGGACTCTAGTTAGTGATGGTAGTGAAAACCAGAATGGTCCTTTCTAAAACAGCCTGTGTGTCAAAACCATAAAAATGCTTCTACCTCTTTTTACCCTGTTAATTCTACTTCTGAGAGTTTTTCCTAAAGAAATAATTCAAAATAGGAAAAAGCTAAAAGCAGAAAAATGTTGAACATGACATTATTTATAGCTGTGGAAAGATTGGAGGCTGGGCACAGTGGCTTATGCTTGTAATCTCAGCACTTTGTGAGGCCAAGTTGGGAGGATTGCTTGAACCCAAGAGCTTGAGACCAGCCTGGGAAACGTAGTGAGACCCCATCTCTTAAAAAAAAAAAAAAAAATTAGCTGAGTGTGGTGGAACGTGCCTGTAGTCCCAGCTACTTGGGAGGCTGAGGTGGGAGGATTGCTTGAGCCCAGGAGGCTGAGGTTACAGCCAGGATCACACCACTGCGCTCCAGCCTGGGTGACAGAGTGAGGCTCTGTTTAAAAAAAAAAAAAAAAGAGAGAGAAGAAAAAAAAGATTGGAGACAATTTGAAAAGCCAGTAAGGAGCCAGACACAGTGGTGCGTACCTATAGTCCCAGCTACTCAGGAGGCTGTCGCAGGACAGAATTGCTTGAGCCCAGGAATTCGAGGCCAGCTGGGCAACATAGTGAGACCCCCAACTCTTAAAAATGTTTTTAAATTTAAAAATAAAAAGATTTTTTAAAAGCCAGTAAATGACTAAATAATTATGGGAAATCTACTTAATAAACTATTCAAAAGTTATTAATTTTCATGACCGTAGGGATATTTTAAGTGAAAAATAAAGTGCAGAAATGTTTTATATTAAGTGAAGGAAGTGGTATATAAAGGAGTACAGACAAGCCAGGCACGGTGGCTCACGCCTGTAATCCCAGCACTTTGGGAGCCCGAGGCAGACAGATCACGAGGTCAGGAGATCGAGACCAGCCTGGCCAACATGGTGAAACCCCGTCTTTACTAAAAATACAAAAATTAGCTGGGCGTGGTGGTGCGTGCCTGTAATCCCAGCCACTTGGAAGGCTGAGGCAGGAGAATCGTTTGAACTAGGGAGTCGGAGGTTGCGGTGAGCCAAGTGCGCCACTGCACTCCAGCCTGGTGACAGAGCAAGATTCTGTCTCAAAAAATAAAAAAAAAAAGGAGTACATACACTATCATTCTAAATTTGGTTTGAAGAAACGTGTTTGTAGATATTTATTCAGTATATAATATGTGGATAAAAAAGGGACTGGAAGAAAGCCCACTGAAGTGTCAACAGTAACTTCACCAGGTGATGGGAATTTGAGAAACTTTTTTTCTTACACATTTTTCTGTATTCTATATTTTTCATCTAGATTGTGCACTACTGTTATCAGAATTTTTTTTAAATACTATTTTTTTTTTAAAGTAAAGCATAATACCAGGTGTGGCAACTCATGCCTGGTAATCCCAGCTACTTGGGAGGCTGAGGTGGGAGGATTGCTTGAGCCCAGGAGGTTCAGCCTGGGCAACATAAGCAAGACTCCATCTCAATTAAAAAAAAAAGAAAAGAGGTAAGACATGTGCTTGTATTATTATATCTTATAATGATATCTTTTTTTTTGTTTTTTGAGACAGGGTCTCACTCTGTCCCCCTGGCTGGAGTGTAGTGGTGTGATCTTGGCTCACTGCAACCTCCGCCTCCCGGGCTCAAGTGATTCTTCCACCTCAGCCTCCTGAGTAGCTGGGAATACGGGCATGTGCCACCACGCCCGGCTGATTTTTGTATTTTTAGTAGAGACGGGGTTGCCCAGGCTAGTCTTGAACTCCTGAGCTCAGGTGATCTGCCCGCCTCAACCTCCTGAAGTGCGGGGGTTACAGGCATGAGCCACCACGCCTGGCCTATAATGATATCTTAAAAGATTGCTTTCTTTTTTTTTTTTTTTTTTTTTTTTTAGACGGAGTCTCACTCTCACCCAGGCTGGAGTGCAATGGCATGGTCTTGGCTCACTGCAACCTCCGCCTCCCGGGTTCAAACAATTCTCCAACCTCAGCCTCCCAAGTAGCTGGGACTACAGGCGCGTGCCACCACACCCAGCTAATTTTTATATTTTTAGTAGAGACGGGGTTTTGCTATGTTGGCCAGGCTGGTCTCGATCTCCTGACCTTGTGATCCACCCGCCTCAGCCTCCCAAAGTGCTGGGATTACAGGCATGAACCACCGTGCCCGGCCAATTGCATTTTTTAAAAAGACTGGAAGATTGCTAGGAGTATTAGTGGTTTTCCCATGCCCCTTCTCTGTTTTCCAAATTGCTTGTATTGTGGCTGCAGTCCTTTTATAATATGAAACAGGTAAATAACAACTTATGTTGTGGCTGCATCAAAGGGGTGAGAAACGAAAAGGAGAGGACAAAGCAAGATGTGCAGAGTTCGACCTTTCCAGGCTCTCTCAAAGTCAAGGTTTTGATCAATGTTATGAGGGAGGCCTGTGAAGTAGCTCAGATGGTCTTGAGCTTTCAGCATCATGGATTCTTCTTTTAGATCCCATCTTCCCTTCCCAACTCCCCCTTCCTCAATTCCTACTGCTTAAGTGTCCATAGGGCGATTTCTTTTTCACTGTTCAGAAGCTTTCTGCAAGATGTTCAAAATACTAGCATTGGTTTGAGCAGCTAGTCTGTCTTGTGTTCTTGATTTGGGGGACTTAGCTTCTATTTAGATTTCTTTGAAGCTGGATGCCAGTGACCCAGGGTCTATGGAAGAGTAAGAGCCACTTGTGAGGATGACTGAAGAGGCCACAAACTCTCAGATCCTGAGAGTGTAGGACAACTTGTGCCTTCTGCTAGTCCCAGGCCAGAATGGCCATCCTATCTTTAAAAAAGAAAGCAAGCAAGAAAAACGAAAGGTTATAGTTATTTCCCTAAGTACTATTTGAATTATTTTGTTAAATTAAGTATGAGAAAGAGGTTTGAACGCTTTTCCAGCTTAAAATTTAAAATAAATATACAGTTTTTAAGTAAAAGTGAGATATGATTCTTTAGAAATCATCTGGCATTTAGCCAGGCATGGTGGTGTGCACCTGTAGTCCTAGCTACTCAGGTGGCTGAGGCAGGAAGATCCCTTGAGCCCAGGAGGTTGAGGCTGCAGTGAGCCATGATCATGCCAGTACTTCAGCCCGGGCAATAGAGCAAGACCTTATCTCTAAAAAAATAATAAAAAGACCTCACATTTAGACAATGTGGTAGTGTGCTGGTTCAGAAGGAGCCCAGCTATGCATGGCTAAGGGCAAATCCCTGAATGGAGAAGGAAATTGAAAAATGTTGACTAACCTGAGAAACAGTCTTTGGAAAAGGGTGATCTCAGGTTCTCATGCAGGACAATTTAGGAAAAAGAGAGCAAGCCAGGAGAAGGCTGAGAACTTATTCCCCATTAGTCAAAAATCTGCTTTAAGTCAAGATCCTGCAATGGCCTTTCACAACAAGCCCCTGAAAATCAGCAGAACAAAGACTGGGCCTGGTGAGTGAGTGCCTACGCAGAGTTCTTGCTGCCGTGATTCAGTGCAAGTTAGAAACCTGTGCTCTTCTTTAGCCTGGGGAAAAACCAAAGTCAGCAAACCCAGCTCAACTCAGCAAACTTTCGTCGCCTGTATGCTAACTATAAGGCATGTTGCTAGGTACTGTGGAAATTGTAAAGACACATAAGATAGGAACCTTCCTGAAAGCAGTAACACTTTAGTTGGGTAAAGGGATAAGGAGATATACACACACACACACACACACACACACACACACACCCCACTACTTATATATATGAATATAAGGGAACTCCTTCTTTTTGAGGGATGATTTTCGAAGTAAAATATCATATTTGAGCATATTTAAAAGGCCACTGTAAGGCTGTGTGCGGTGGCTCACGCTTGTAATCCCAGCACTTTGGGAGGCCGAGGTAGGTGGATCACCTGAGGTCAGGAATTCGAGACCAGCCTGGCCAACATGGCGAAACCAGTCTCTCTACTAAAAATACAAAAAAAAATCAGTGGGGCGTGGTGGCGGGCGCCTGTAATCCCAGCCACTCAGGAGGCTAAGGCAGGAGAATTGCTTGAACCAGGGAGGCGGAGGTTGCAGTGAGCCGAGATGGTGCCACTGCACTCCAGCCTGGGCAACAGAGTGAGACTCCCTAAAAATAAATAAATAAATAAATAAATAAATAAATAAATAAATAAATAAAAGGCCAATGTAAAAGAGGCCTAACTATATTTAGGTTTTTCTTTTCCTTTAAATCTAATTCTAAATTATGGACCATTGTCAATATTTGTAGCCTCTTTCGTTGATTATAATAATAATCCCTGAAAATGCCTTCTAAAGAATGCTGGCCGCTTGAGGGCAGGAGCAGTTTATCAGCTGTGTTTACCTGAAACAGCCCTCAGTGTTTGCTGGGCATTGTTAAATGAATGTGCAAAAGTTGAACGACAGACGGACATATTACAGGGGGACCTTACCCCCAGTGAGCTAATGATGACATTGATAATTACCCTTCATTTTTTAGACACAGTCTTCTGGGATATATTTTCAGTGTTCCACGTGGTCTTCATCTTGATGCGTCTGTTTCACATGTGAACGTAAAGTTCGTGAGCATCTAGTTGAGGCTGAGGAATCACTGCTTTCAACATTCCCTGTGGCTTACATCCCTGCATTTTTATGATCACTGTAGTTTTAATCACTGGCACTCCTGTGTTTCTATTTTCCACGAATTGCAAAATGCAATAAAAAATTCAAATATTGTAAACAAGCATGGCTATACTGACAAAGGAAGGCCAACATTTAACTGCTAGGTGATTTTCAAAAGCTCAGCATCTTTATGTAAAAAGCATAGTAGGGATGCAGCGAAGTCAGAAGTCAAATTTTATTAGAGCTGAGGAGAGCCTGTAGTAGCTTTTGCTTTTTCCCTGGTGGCTGCTCACTTGAATTTCAGACAGTTCTAGTAATGAGAGAAAATAAATAACATTACAGGGTGAGCTAACCCTATGAACCCAGACCTGTAAATTTGTAGCAAAATGATACTTAACCTCACAGACTTGTGTCTTAATCTCCTTAAGAGGCTTTTTTTGAGCAAGGCTGAGACATCTCAGAAGATACTAAATCTGTGTCTATGAACCTGACCACAAAAGAGTTCTTCCCTCCCAGGGTCTGGAGGGTGTGAGTGCCTGTCGGTCCGTGTGCTGTTTAACCCTCTGGTGCTGGACTCCGGGTCTCCCTCCGCTCTTTTCTCCCTGATGCAGAGCCCACACTGGTGCGCTAACCTGCAGCGTCTCTGTGCTTCTCTTCTTACCTCCTCTTTCCCCTTCTCTTTCCCTCTTGCTGTGGTGTGTCCAGAAAAGGAAGTCGAGTTCCAGCGTGCACCTAATGGTGAGCCTTGCCTGCCCACCCATCGCCCACTCCATGCTGCCTGTGCCCGCCTGCCAGCCACGCAAACCTGTTCTGCCACGTGCGTGTGCCTCACTCATCCTCACTGCATGTCTGTGCTGTGTGGGCAGGTGTGGCCTGTCCTGCCAGGCGGGGGCCATTGCCCAAGGTCACCCAGTAGCCTAAAAAGTGGACATTGGAAGGGGTGGTACGGCACCCCCTGCTGTGGAGCTTGGACAGACCCCAGCGACCCAGGGTAGGATGTGAAGCTGGTAGGGACTTGGGGCAAGCAAGGGAGAGACCCTCACTCTCTTGTCACCCAGAAGGAGAGGCCCTGCTTCCCAGGCATGAGGAGCTGCTTCCTACAGACTGGCAGCTGGAGGGCAACTGTGTGGTGGGCAGAGGAGCTGGTTGCAGGCTCCCACTTGTGAGTCTCGCTCTCCTGGCTCTGCCCCCGTGCAAATCCCATTCTCTCTAGCTGTGCCCAGTGGTTTATTCTGCCCACCCAGCCCTCGGGGGACAGCTAACTCATCTTTCTCACGGGACACTGGGCACCAAGGGCAACACAGCAGCCTGAGTCATTATGAAACCATCCATTAAAACCAGAGGTGGGGGCCGGGCGCGATGGCTCACGCCTGTAATCCTAGCACTTTGGGAGGCCGAGGCGGGTGGATCACAAGGTCAGGAGATCAAGACCATAACACGGTGAAACCCTGTCTCTACTAAAAATGCAAAAAATTAGCCAGGTGTGGTGGTGGGCGCCTGTAGTCCCAGCTACTCAGGAGGCTGAGGCAGGAGAATGGCGTGAACCCAGGAGGCGGAGCTTGCAGTGAGCCGAGATCGCGCCACTGCGCTCCAGCCTGGGCGACAGAGCTAGACTCCGTCTCAAAAAATAAATAAACCAGAGGTGGGGCCACTTGGGTGACATCCCAGCCCTCTGCAGGTTTTGTGGGCACCCTGGAGTCCTTGCCCCCTGTGAGGGTCTTGGCCTCAGCTGGGATTTACAGGTAGGGCAGCCCTCTCTAACCAACCCCGAACAGGTCAGCATCATTCACTGAGCTAGGTGGGCTTTGCTTCTTGGTGGGAATGAGAGACAGCAGAGCTCCCGTGAGTTTAGACCCACCGTCTCACTACTCCTGGGCCCCCTCTTCTCTAGCCTGTCGCAGTCTGTGGAGTCTTGTTCAGTGGAGTCACTTGGTGCCTGGCTTGAGGTTCCATGCCTAGCCCTGGGTTTGGGGATGTCTGAGCCATTGACAGCAAGCTGGCGGTGGACGGCTTCAGGTCTGGTCCAAGAGGCCTCCAGGCAAGAAGTAGGACAGTCAGGATGCTTTCTGTGTATGTCCTAGGAGAGAAGACACACATTCTAGCTGTCGATGTATCATCTGTGCCCTGTGCAGGGATGGTAGCCACACATTTGTCTCACTGCCTATTGAAGAACTTGCAGGCATCAGGCTGCTCCTCAGTGGCCCCCAACCCCACTGGAACTCAGTGAGATGGAGTACGCTGGTTAGGGAACTATCAGAGGCAAAGAACATCACATGGATATGGCTCCCTGCCCTGGAGATCAGCCTTCTTCCTTTCTTCCATCTTCCCCTTGCCCCTCCCTTGCTGTGCCCCTCCGTGTAATGTTTTTGTTTGTTCGTTTGCTTTTGGTTTTTTGAGATGGAGTCTTGCTCTGTTGCCCAGGCTGGAGTGCAGTGGTGCAATCTTGGCTCACTGCAATCTCTGCCTCCCAGGTTCAAGCAATTCTCTTGTCTCAGCCTCCCGAGTAGCTGGGATTACAGGCATGTGCCACCATGCCCGGCTAATTTTTGTATTTTTAGTAGAGACGGGGTTTCACCATGTTGGCCAGGCTGGTCTTGAACTCCTGACCTCAGGTGATCCACCCGCCTTGGCCTCCCAAAGTGCTGAGATTACAGGTGTGAGCCACCGTGCCCACCCACCACCATGTAGTTTTGAAAGGCAAGGAGATATCCCTGGTGGTCATGGTGCTGTTGGGAATGTTGGCCTGTGTGTGGCCTACTCTGTCCTGGGGGCTGGATTCTGGGACTACAGCTACAGCCCCGCTGGGTTTCACCTGCCCCTCCCCGGAACACTGCCCTTCTAGCTGATCAGGCCTAAGATTTGTCAGACAAAAAGGTGAACAGCACAGTCCTGACTCTGCTCCCTGAGGTCAGTGAATGCATTTTGTGTCTGAAAGGGACTTCCACCCCCATCCTCTGGACACCATCTCTTAGGCCAGGCATACTTTTCTTTTCTCCTTCCTCTTTGTTTCAGGCTTCGAGCTGGTGTTGTAAGAAGGAAATACAGGTGCTGGGTTGAAAGTGCAGCAGGAGACTGCCCACAGATAGGGGACCAGAGTTTCTGAATTTTGTTCTGCTTTCTTATAAACTACCCCCCTTTTTCCTGTACAGTGGGAAGAAGATCTTGAACTTCTTTGGGTCAGGTGTGGATTTTGCAATGACCTGGCACCTGGCATAAGCAGAGATTTCTGGAGGGATGCTTTAAAACAAGGCTTTGGGCTGGTCCCACCTTGAGGGTGCCCCCAGAGCTAGGTCTCTGGGCCCCACAAATACTTCCTCTGATCATCTCTCTAGCCATCGCTCCCATCTACACAGCGTTATGGAGGCCACCTCAGGCCTACCTCCTCCAGGCCAGACCAGGGGGCAAGGGAGGTCTGGGAGTTGAACCTGAGTGGCCTTGGGGACTCTGGAGGAACTAAACCATCTGTTTTCTTGTCTCAGCCACAGAGCAACAACAAAAACAGTCTCGTAAGCCCAGCCCAAGAGCCCGCGCCCTTGCAGACGGCCATGGTACCTCCTGACTACAGCTTCTCCGCCTCTGACCCTGGCTGCCTCCTGCCCCTTCCCTCTTCCTCCTCTTGTGCCCCCTCCCTGGCCTCCTGGCCTGTTCCTTTCTTGGTCCCCATAGAACTGACTGCTTTGTGTGCCGCCCTGTATGCCCCTTCCCCTTCATTGTCCCGCCTGGCCGCGCTCCATCCCGCATGGCAGAAGTGCTGCTCCTGCTCCTGCTCCTTTCGCTGGTGGGGGGAAGAGTGATCAGGGCTCTCAGCTGAACCTCCCAGGCCCAGCCCAGGACCCCTAGTGGGTCTGCTGTGGGGGCTGGGAAGGTGAGTTGCTTAGGAAAGGAGAGGGTAGGAGCTTTCTTGGGACCTGAACATCAGTTCTTGGAGGCCCCCTTGTAAAACCTGCCTCAGCCTCTCCTTTGCAAAGCCAGAAACAGGAAAGAGGGCTGGGGTCCCCACCTCTGGATGGTGCTGAGGTCTCCAGGCTCCTGGAGTGCCTCATGCTGGCTAAGTTCTCTCTGGGCTCCTCCAGGGGTTCTGTGTGCTCTTGGAGGTCCCTCTGCTAGTGGTGGCTAACTAGAGAGTCAGCAGGGGGGTGACTGGGAAAGAGGGAGAGGTGATGTTGCCTGCTACTCCCCTCCTTGCGGACCCTCATACCACATGACGTGGCGGCGTGGGGCCAGGAACTAGGGAAGGCAGAAGGCGGGCGCAGTGGGCAGCTCTCTGGGCTCAGCTTGCTGAGGGGGCCTCCTGTCCTGGCTCTTTCTGGGAGACCTCATTCTTCTGCCCATGTTCCTGCCTCACACATTCCCCGTGATGAACGCTGTGGGCGGGGCCCGGCCTGTGCCCTCAGTCCCACAGCTCCTCTAGTGTACCTGCCCCGTGGGAACCCCATGTGGAAAGAGCCCTCAGAACTGACAGGAATCAGGGACAGAGGCCCTTGCTGTCAGCCTCCTGGGCACCTGCACCTGCCAGGCCTCTCTTTCTTACCAGCCCAGTGCTGCTGCCAAAATCCAGGGCTATCCCAGCTGCCCGGGACCCCAGTTGAGCCGGGATATTTTGTCTTCTGGAGATGGCTGGTGGGCAGGCCTCAGTGGTCATCATAGGGTCTGCGGGGGTCCTGGGGTGCAGGTGGGGCTCCTCAGGGAAGAGCCATAGTCTGTCCCCAAGTCGGAAGGGTAATCTTCATCTTCTCTCACAGGAGCCACAAACCACTGTGGTACACAACGCTACAGATGGGATCAAGGTGAGTGGCTCCTGAGCCTGCCTCCTGCTTTCCAGGTCAGCAGGAGACAGGTGGGCTGGGTCCCAGGGGTCTACAGGCTGCACCCTGAGGCCAAGGTGTTTGCAGAGGCTCAGCTGAAGGTAGCCTGTGCCCACAGTTGCTCCATGCTGAGGAAGGGCATTATACCTTACAGAGCTCAGGCTTTGCAGTCAGACAGACCTGGTCTGAATCCTGGCCCTGCACCTTAGTATCCTTTATCTGCAAATTGGGGATGATAATAATAGAATCTTCCTCCATATGTCGGAAGTTTAAATGAGAGTAAACGTTCACTGAAAAAATAGGCAAGAGTATCTCCAGACCCTGGAGCGTTCTCCATGGCCTGACCCCTTTGTGCCCTTGATGTTTTCACCAGCATTCCTGAACATCTGTTAAGCCCAGATACCATCCATGGCTCTGGCTTACAGAGGTGACAAGACAAATTATCTGTTCAAACGGTGGGTGGGATGGGAGGCAGATAAAAAACCAATAAGCAAACAGATAAGATAAGCTGGGCACCGTGGCTCACACCTGTAATCCTCACACTTTGGGAGGCCAAGGTGCGCAGATCGCCTGAGCTCAGGAGTTAGAGACCACCTTGGGCAACATGGTGAAACCCTGTCTCTACTAAAATACAAAAAAGTAGGCAGGTGTGGTGGCGCGTGCCTGTAGTCCCAGCTACTTGGGAGGCTGAGGCACGATAATTGCTTGAGCCTGGGAGGTGGAGGTTGCAGTGAGCTGAGATCACGCCACTGCACTCCAGCTTGGGCTACGCAGTGAGACTTAATCTCTCAAAAAAAATAAATAAGATAAAATCTAATGTCAATAGGTAATCTGAAGAAAATGGCAGAAAGTAGAGAGAGGGCCAGGTGCGGTGGCTCATGCCTGTAATCCTAGCACTTTGGGAGGCCAAGGCGGGCGGATCACTTGAGGTCAGGAGTTCAAAACCAGCCTGGCCAACATGGCAAAACCCCATCTCTACTAAAGATACAGAAATTACCTGGGGATGGTGGCACATGCCTGTAATCCCAGCTACCTGGGAGGCTGAGGCAGGAGAATCGCTTGAACCTGGGAGGCGGAGGTTGCAGTGAGCTGAAATCGTGCCACTGCACTTCAGCCTGGGCGACAGAGCAAGACTCCATCTAAAAAATGAAAAACAGAAAAACCTCACCAAACTAGACAGAGAGAACAGGGCCTTGAATTAAGTAGTCAGGAGAGGGCTTCTTTCAGGAGGTGATATCTGAGCTAGAAACTGAATGGTGGGTGGGAAGGAGGCAGCCAGGCCAGCTCTGAGGCTGAGTGCCCTAAGCAGAAGGAACTGAAGCTCAGATGTGGCCTTTGTAATCAAGCAGAGGGAAGAGCAAAGTGAGACGGGGAGAACCATAGGAGAGTGATGAGGTTGGAGAAGCAGCAGGGCCTGCTACAGAGGCCCTTGTAGGAGTTTGCATTTTCTTCCAGCAGCAAGGAGAAGCTATTGGGAGTTCTTAGCAGGAGTAACAGAATCTAGTTGACACTTTAAAACACCACTCTGGCCTCATGATCAAGAACTCTAGGGAGGCCCGGGCGTGGTGGCTCACGCCCGTAATCCCTGCACTTTGGAAGGCCGAGGCGAGTGGATCAGCAAAGGTCAGGAGCTCGAGACCAGCCTGGCCAACATGATGAAACCCCATCTCTAATAAAAATACAAAAATTAGCCAGGCATGGTGGCAGGCACCTGTAATCCCAGCTACTCAGGAGGCTGAGACAGGAGAATCACTTGAACCCGGGAGGCAGAGGTTGCAGTGAGCCGAGATCATGCCATTGCACTCCAGCCTGTGCAACAAGAGCAAAACTCTGTTTCAAAAAAGAAAAACTCTAGGGAGGAGGTAAGTGTGGAAGTTAGGGAGACCATGAAGCTGTTATCATGGTTCAGGTGTGAGATGCTGGTGGCCTGGAGTCAGGTTGTAGCTGTGCATTGGAAGTGAAGAGGTAAGACATGGGGTTTACTTTGGAGGCAGAACCAGAAGATTTTATTTTAGATTGGGCGATCTGAATATAAGGGAAAAAGAGAAAGAGAAGGATTGAGGATGACTCCAGGTTTTAGCCTGAGTAACTGGGTAGATGGTGGCATTTACCAACTGGGGGAAGACTAGGGAGGGGATTTGGGAAGAGTCAGACAGCCAGGGTGGAAGCAGAACCTTCCACAATTCCTCCTTGCACCTCTTGTAGGAGCAGAAACTCTGCTTTTGTTCTGCTTTGCTCCTCTGGCTTCCAAGGGATGGAGCATATAGAAACATGTTCTTTTTGGCCTACAGGGCTCCACAGAGAGCTGCAACACCACCACAGAAGATGAGGACCTCAAAGGTAGGTGCTGGCCCTTGGAGGGGGAAGGACTCCAGCAGTGACCCAGGTACCTGGGCTCCAATGGGGCACCTGCCTTTTCTGTCCCCAGAACTGGGAATGCTGGCTCCTATGCCCCTAGGAGAGGGCTTGGTATAAAAGCTACTTTCCACGAGCCAAGATATGAGGCCCCTGTCTGGTGTTGCTGAGTTGGGCAAGAGGCTTCTCTTCTTTGACCCCAAGTCTAAAATAGCTAAGCTAGAGATTCTCCAGGGGCCAGGGCTCAGAGAACTGTTCCTGTTGCTGATAATGATGTGCCATCCAAGAACAGGGGTACCCCAAGTCCCTGCCGAAGTAGCCTGTAAGTGCTATGAGTCATAAATAGAGTGACCAATCACTCCTGGTTTTCCTCGGACACAGAACTTTTGGTTTTAAGACTGTGATGGGCCAGGAGTGCTGGCTCACACCTGTAATACCCAGAACTTTGGGAGGGCCAGGGCAGAAGGATTGCTTGAGACCAGGAGTTTGAGACAAGCTTGGGCAACATAGCAAGACCTTGTCTCTATTAAAAAAAAAAAATTAGGAACAAATAAATAGGCCAGGTGCGGTGACTCACACCTGTAATCCCCACACTTTGGGAGGCCGAGGCAAGTGGATCACTTGAGGTCAGGAGTTCAAAACCAGCCTGGCCAACATGATGAAACCCCGTCTCTACTAAAAATACAAAAAAAGGCCGGGCGTAGTGGCTCACGCCTGTAATCCCAACACTTTGGGAGGCCAAGGTGGGTGGATCACCTGAAGGTCAGAAGTTCAAGACCAGCCTGGCCAACATGGTGAAACTCCATCTCTACTAAAAATATAAAAAATTAGCCAGGTGTGGTGGCAGGTGCCTGTAATCGTAGCTACTCGGGAGGCGGAGGTGGGAGAATCGCTTGAACCTGGGAGGTGGAGGTTGCAGTGAGCCGAGATCACCCCATTGCACTCCAGCCTGGGCAACAAGAGCGAAACTTCTTCTCAAAAAAAAAAAAAAAAAAAAAAAAAATTAGCCGGGTGTGGTGGCGGGGTCCTGTAATCCCAGCTACTCGGGAGACTGAGGCATGAAAATGGCTTGAACCCGGGAGGTGGAGGTTGCAGTGAGCTGAGATTGCACCACTGCACTCCAGCCTGGGTGACAGAGCGAGACTCTGTCTCAAGAAAAAAAAAAAAAAAAAAATATATATATATATATATATATATATATAAATATAAAACCCAGATAGTCCTGGGAACACTGGGATGAGTTGGTCACTCTAGTCCTAAGATTTTGGCCTGAATGATGGAGTTGGAACTAATCTGACAACCGTGAGGCCACATTTGGTCATGTCCTGGTGGGCCCGTAAGGACCACTAGCCTAAGCTTGGGCCTGGCTAGAGTGCCAGGGCGGTGGGAGGGCATGGCAGGCTGGACCCCCGGGAATCTCTGTCCTGCTCTTTGATTGGGCCTCCTGGAATTGCTCCCTTTGCCTGAATTCAGTAAGTGACCTTGGGCCAGGACATCAGAAAAGACAGAGGAACACTCTAGGACAGAGCTGGGAGAGCATGCCCTGGGTGGCAAGGGGGCACCAAACCTTTTGGAACCAAAAAAAATAGCAGAAAGCTGCGAGGAAGTGAATCATAGTAGCTCCAGGCCCCTGTGAGTGAGGTCAGATCAGTTTTGATTCCGGCACTGCTGGCAACATAGGAGGCGCTGTCACTGCTGGGCTCTGGACCCTGTGGCCTGGCCCCCTGGAACATCTTCCCCGGGATCAGGGGTCCTTGGACAGGCTGTTGTAAGGCTCGTCTGGAAGCCACAGCCCAGGTCTGGGCACCTGCCTGGTGCCCTCAGCTGGGAGGCCTCTCTGGCAGAGGCGGCGGCGTGGGATGTCGTCCAGTGTCCACAGCAGCCTGAGGCGAGGCGTCCCCTTGCCCCGGCTCTGCAGCGCCATGGGCTCGGGGCCTGTCTGGCTTGCTCGCTCACCTGCCTTGTTCTGTTTGTTTTGGCTGCTCTGCCTTGCCCTGCCCTGCCCTGCCCTGGCTGGCTAGCTGCCCCGCTCCGCACTGGGAATGGCAGCTCGGTGCCTGAAGGACGGAGCTCCCGGGACAGAACAGCCCCCTCTGCAGGCATGCAGCCCCAGCCTTCTCTCTGCTCCTCAGCCAGTAAGTGTGAGGGAGGCACATTCTGGCTTCCGTCTCCCTGGCTCGTCCTGAAGCCCCTCAGGGACCCCCACCACAGCTGTCAGTCCCACCCACCTGCCCGTGGTAGTAAGCTCTGGGAGCATGGCCTCTGCTGGGGGTGGGGGGTAGACTGGAGGTGCTGTTGAGACCAGGCAGGGGCCCCTGAGTCTGGGGCCCAAAGAAATATGAGAAGTGTGGGTGGAAAAACATGGCCTGGGATGAGGGGAGTAGAAAGCCCCCAGGATGTGCAGTGGGCCTTGCCTCAGCGCTGAGCCAGGAAGAAGGGCAGAGTCGGAAGTCAGGTCTGTGGGGGTGGGAGTGGGATGATGGGGAAATCGTGACAGCGAGGAACTGTGTTGGGGATGTAGTGCTTCCTGAGTCTCAGCATAACAGTATTAAGAGCATGGGGTCAGAGGCAAGATAGATCTGAGTTTAAATCCCAGCTACACTGCCTTCAAGAGTGTGAAGTTTAACCTCCCAGAGCTGCAGGTTCCTTATCTGTAATGTGGAAATAAAATGGCACGCACCTCAGAGCCTTGTTAGATAAAAGACAAGGCAGTAGGAAGTCTTGATACGGTGCCTCGATGGGTTATCAGTAGCTCATCCTCATATTTCTAGTTACGTCTGTGCTGGAGGATGCCTTTGTCTGCTGCTTTTCCTCCCACCATCTATCCTTGCAGAGTTTCTAAGCACAACCCTCTTCGCCCGTGGGGCCCCAGTCAGGTCATCCAGATGGGTCTGGTGGGGTTGGAGAGGGTGTGTGTGTTGTGGGTGCACACCTGCCTGCTGCTTTTGGAAGCCGATCGAACTCCTTGCTTCCCTTAACCTGCTGCTTGCTCACCTGGAGCTGTGGCCTAGCGGGGCTGACGGCTGTGGGGCCCCCTCCTGGATGTGCCTTTGGCTGCGCTGCCCTGTCCCAACTGTGCTGCTTGGCTGTGCTGGCCCGGCTGGGCCGTGGTGGTGCTGTTCTAACGCTTGCAGTTGTCTTGCAGCCTTTTGCTCCTGTGAGGAAAGGGTTGTGGCCTGGCCCCGCCCAGGGCTCGGGTTAGGATGAGCCCAAGCTCAACCCAAGCTCTCCCTTACCCTGGTGGCAGCCCCTGCTGGTAGTGGCATTCCCTATAAGAGAAGCCCATGCCGGCAGGACATCACCAGCTGTCCCTTGGCTTTGGATGGGTTGGGGAGGAGGCCTCTGGAGGGCACCACCTCTGCCTGCCTGTCAGTCTGAGCCCTGTCTGGTTTTCCTGAGGAACACGTCCTGGCAATGAGAGCTGGTGTGAAATGTGCAGCTTTCCCAAGCCTCGAGAGGTAAATGGAGCAGCCTCTCTGGTACAGGCTGTCCCAAGTTTTTACAGTTCTGGGATCATTTCTCCCAGAAAAGCCCTGTGGAGTTGAGCAGTGGGAAGCATCCATCCTAGGGTTCTGATGGTCCTTTGGCACCCCAGCCCTAGCTGGATTCTGCTGTCAGGCTACCTGTCACCCAGGGCTGGGTCCTGGCCACTGAATGAGGGCTACGAGTGGGGGTGGTGATTGAGACCTGACTGAGCCCCTTCAGGTGAGAGAAGTAAATTGGGGGTGGAAGCGGCCTTATTGGGAGATGCTTGTGAGAGAGGCTGCTCATACAGGGGAGGGGCTCACAGCATTCACGATGTACCAGGCTCCTCACCTGTTAAAGGCAAGCGTGTTTTCTGCAACCTGGTTGTTGATGGAAAGGGAGGCAAAGGCCAAAGAACCATAACTAATGGCTGGGCTTCAGGAGAAAGTGGTCATTGTCTCTGCAGACTGCAGAGAGGGAGACGGGAGGGAAGGTGTGTTCGCTCTTCCTGCCAAGGGCCCTAGAGACAGAGAAGAGGGATGTCTTTGTCATAAGCGATCACAGGGGACTCCTGAGGACTGGGGAGGGCTCTCTGTAACTTGGGAGGTTCCCCAGTAGGTAAATTGATGGATTTTTCTCCCCCACAGTGCGAAAACAGGAGATCATTAAGATTACAGAACAGCTGATTGAAGCCATCAACAATGGGGACTTTGAGGCCTACACGTAAGTAGAGACCCATTTTTTTTTGTGACCTAAGTCATCTCCCAAGGCCTTCCCTGCTTCCAGACAACAATTAGGACCCTGGGGAAAGGGAGGTTGGACCTTGGGCAAAGTATCTGAGTTAAGCCCTCTCCTAAACTGGGAGCCCTTCCAGGTAGATTCCCTGAGCTCACCCATGGTATCCTGGCAGTGGGCCGAAAGCACAGGGCTGAGTGGCTCAGCAGGCAGGCCTGGAAGATCTTTGCTGTCTTGTCTGGCATGGCCACAGGTAGCCTGCTGCTACTGGATAGACACCGCTGATAAGGAAGGAAGACAAGTCACTCCATAGAAGCCTGATAGGCTGCTTTTTTTTTTCTCCCTGTAGGAAGATTTGTGATCCAGGCCTCACTTCCTTTGAGCCTGAGGCCCTTGGTAACCTCGTGGAGGGGATGGATTTCCATAAGTTTTACTTTGAGAATCGTGAGTGGGTTCGTGCTGCTGATATACTCCTGCCTGCCCCTTTACCCCTTTGTCTCTGTCTCCTGCTCACCTTCTCATCCCAGTTGCCCACTTTTCCCTTATTTGACCTTCGTGCTGCACTCCTACTCTGTATGCTTGTCCCCTTGTGCCCCGATGGTTGTAGACAGGCACCTTTGAAGGCCCTGCTCCTGAGCTCCAAGTGCCATTCATTCTGCAGCTGCTTTGTGGCAGTGCCAGTCACCACAATCAAGCTCACTTATTTCTTGCCGGGCGCGGTGGCTTACGCCTGTAATCCCAACACTTTGGGAGGCTGAGGCTGGCGGATCACGAGGTCAGGAGATCGAGGCCATCCTGGCTAACACGGTGAAACCCCATCTCTACTAAAAATACAAAAAATTAGCCGGGCGTGGTGGCGGTGCCTGTAGTCCCAGCTACTCGGGTGGCTGAGGCAGGAGAATGATGTGAACCTGGGAGGCAGAGCTTGCAGTGAGCCAAGATCAGGCCACTGCACTCCAGCCTGGGCAACAGAGCAAGACTCCATCTCAAAAAAAAAGAAAAAATTATTTAAGCCTCACCTCTTTCCAAGACGGATTGGAAGGAAACCCTTTGAGATTAGGTTGAGATGATCTCAGCACATAAGAACTAAGCTCTGTGTCTGCAGGTTTCACAATAGAGGAAATTAAAACCAGGATAAGAATGTGCAAACCAGGGCACTGTTGGTGATTTGCGAGATCGGAAGTTGTGGCTAGAATCTTCCTGACTATGGAGGAAGGCAGACGTCTTGTATAGGGGGTGGGGTGTACATTCTGGACAGTTCATGGAAAATAAGGGGATAAGAAGCTGAATCATCACCCCCTCCCATCTTTCTCTCTGCTCTATGAGACCCTCCCCTTCCTTATTTTTATCTCTTCCCACTTTATGCTGGGCCTTCCCTATCCTGCCCTGAGTTATAGTTAGTCACTAACTTCTCCGCTGGCTCCCACCCTTATCACATCTCAGCTACATATATAAACTCTCTGTTATCTAAGTAATTCTATTAGCCAGAAGCAATTCCAGAGTTTATATTAGTACTAGGAAGGTGTCATGTAGCCCCTGTCTAACATTTGAATTGAACTAAAATGTGAATCTCAATAAAAGCAACACAGTTTTCACAGCATATGCTGATAATGGCAATCCAACTTCTTTTGCCTTTTCCCCAGAGAATCCTGGGAATATCCTGAGCTTGGTGCTTTGATGATTCTATTTCAGCTTTGGTGCCTTAAAAAAAATTACAAATCAATTTTGAATGGTTTAAGTTCATGATTTTGTTCTGCAGCCCTAGCTAGGGGTGAGCCAAGCCTTATGAAATCTAAACTCAGCCTAACAGAATAGAAAATCTATAGGCTTTAGTTAAGAGTCACATGGTCCTGAGTTCAGGTGTGTGATTTGAGCAAATTATTCCTTGAGCCTATTTCCTCATCTTATAATGAAGAAAATATTATCCACCAAGAAATACAGCTCGGGCATGTAAAACCCCAGCACAATGCCTGATTAAAAGCGCAGCAGGTACTGTCACTGTTACCCATCTTTCTGTTCCTTTTGGATAAAGGAGACTAATGTAATGTGGCATCCTGGCCTCTGGAGGGCGTTCAGGGGTTCGGGGGTGGGGGGGGGCGGTACTTGGAGATTCTGGGAGTGGTTGCTTGGGAGATGGTAAGACTTGGAAGTGCAGGCTGGGAGGAAAATGCAGGTGCCCAGGCCTGATGTCCTCTTACCTACCCCACCCTGCCCTGCAGTCCTGTCCAAGAACAGCAAGCCTATCCATACCACCATCCTAAACCCACACGTCCACGTGATTGGGGAGGACGCAGCGTGCATCGCCTACATCCGCCTCACCCAGTACATCGACGGGCAGGGTCGGCCTCGCACCAGCCAGTCAGAAGAGACCCGGGTCTGGCACCGTCGGGATGGCAAGTGGCTCAATGTCCACTATCACTGCTCAGGGGCCCCTGCCGCACCGCTGCAGTGAGCTCAGCCACAGGTGCACCTGGTTGACGGGGGAGAGGGGCTGGAAGGGCCTGGGATAGGTGGGGTCAGAGGAAGAAGAGAAGGCTGGGAGGTGGTCCTGGGAGAGGAGGTGTGGGCCGTCCCAGAGGACTGGCAAAGCCTGGCAGAATGGTTGCAATAAGTTATGCTTGGAAATCAGACAGACTAGGGTCTGGCTCCGTGACTCCAAATTGGATGACCTCAGACAGGTTACTTCCCCTCCCTAAACTGTTTCCTTAGCTGTCAAAGAAAGGCAGAGAGTGGTGCCTACCTCATTTAATCATTGTGAGGATTAAGTAAGATACTATAAGTAAAGCACTTAGTTAGTGCTTAGCAAATGGGAGGCAGTTTTGTATTTAAGCATTAGCTTCACCCACTTTCCCCACCTTCTCAGGCCGACTTGGCCATGTGTTTAGCGTGCTAAAGTCGCTGGAACTCATCTGTGTGCTCATTGTCCTCTGTTCTGTTACCACATTCTGTCCTGTTTGACAGGGGCTTTAGGAGATTCCAGCCGGAGGTCCAACCTTCGCAGCCAGTGGCTCTGGAGGGCCTGAGTGACAGCGGCAGTCCTGTTTGTTTGAGGTTTAAAACAATTCAATTACAAAAGCGGCAGCAGCCAATGCACGCCCCTGCATGCAGCCCTCCCGCCCGCCCTTCGTGTCTGTCTCTGCTGTACCGAGGTGTTTTTTACATTTAAGAAAAAAAAAAAAGAAAAAAAGATTGTTTAAAAAAAAAAGGAATCCATACCATGATGCGTTTTAAAACCACCGACAGCCCTTGGGTTGGCAAGAAGGCAGGAGTATGTATGAGGTCCATCCTGGCATGAGCAGTGGCTCACCCACCGGCCTTGAAGAGGTGAGCTTGGCCTCTCTGGTCCCCATGGACTTAGGGGGACCAGGCAAGAACTCTGACAGAGCTTTGGGGGCCGTGATGTGATTGCAGCTCCTGAGGTGGCCTGCTTACCCCAGGTCTAGGAATGAACTTCTTTGGAACTTGCATAGGCGCCTAGAATGGGGCTGATGAGAACATCGTGACCATCAGACCTACTTGGGAGAGAACGCAGAGCTCCCAGCCTGCTGTGGAGGCAGCTGAGAAGTGGTGGCCTCAGGACTGAGAGCCCGGACGTTGCTGTACTGTCTTGTTTAGTGTAGAAGGGAAGAGAATTGGTGCTGCAGAAGTGTACCCGCCATGAAGCCGATGAGAAACCTCGTGTTAGTCTGACATGCACTCACTCATCCATTTCTATAGGATGCACAATGCATGTGGGCCCTAATATTGAGGCCTTATCCCTGCAGCTAGGAGGGGGAGGGGTTGTTGCTGCTTTGCTTCGTGTTTTCTTCTAACCTGGCAAGGAGAGAGCCAGGCCCTGGTCAGGGCTCCCGTGCCGCCTTTGGCGGTTCTGTTTCTGTGCTGATCTGGACCATCTTTGTCTTGCCTTTTCACGGTAGTGGTCCCCATGCTGACCCTCATCTGGGCCTGGGCCCTCTGCCAAGTGCCCCTGTGGGATGGGAGGAGTGAGGCAGTGGGAGAAGAGGTGGTGGTCGTTTCTATGCATTCAGGCTGCCTTTGGGGCTGCCTCCCTTCTTATTCTTCCTTGCTGCACGTCCATCTCTTTTCCTGTCTTTGAGATTGACCTGACTGCTCTGGCAAGAAGAAGAGGTGTCCTTACAGAGGCCTCTTTACTGACCAACTGAAGTATAGACTTACTGCTGGACAATCTGCATGGGCATCACCCCTCCCCGCATGTAACCCAAAAGAGGTGTCCAGAGCCAAGGCTTCTACCTTCATTGTCCCTCTCTGTGCTCAAGGAGTTCCATTCCAGGAGGAAGAGATCTATACCCTAAGCAGATAGCAAAGAAGATAATGGAGGAGCAATTGGTCATGGCCTTGGTTTCCCTCAAAACAACGCTGCAGATTTATCTGCACAAACATCTCCACTTTTGGGGGAAAGGTGGGTAGATTCCAGTTCCCTGGACTACCTTCAGGAGGCACGAGAGCTGGGAGAAGAGGCAAAGCTACAGGTTTACTTGGGAGCCAGCTGAGAAGAGAGCAGACTCACAGGTGCTGGTGCTTGGATTTAGCCAGGCTCCTCCGAGCACCTCATGCATGTCCCAGCCCCTGGGCCCTAGCCCTTTCCTGCCCTGCAGTCTGCAGTGCCAGCACGCAAATCCCTTCACCACAGGGTTTCGTTTTGCTGGCTTGAAGACAAATGGTCTTAGAATTCATTGAGACCCATAGCTTCATATGGCTGCTCCAGCCCCACTTCTTAGCATTCTTACTCCTCTTCTGGGGCTAATGTCAGCATCTATAGACAATAGACTATTAAAAAATCACCTTTTAAACAAGAAACGGAAGGCATTTGATGCAGAATTTTTGCATGACAACATAGAAATAATTTAAAAATAGTGTTTGTTCTGAATGTTGGTAGACCCTTCATAGCTTTGTTACAATGAAACCTTGAACTGAAAATATTTAATAAAATAACCTTTAAACAGTCCATTGTGTTACTGCTGTTGGAGGTTTACGGCCAGAGGCGTAGATTTTAGCAGCCTGGCTTACCAGGTTGGAGAGAGTACCTCCTCCTACTCCCTTTGGGTACTTTTGAGAATAAAACTTCCTCATGCCTGTAATCCCAGTACTTTGGGAGGCCGACGCGGGCGAATCACGAGGTCAGGAGTTCGAGACCAGCCTGGCTAATATGGTGAAACCCCGTCTCTACTAAAAAATACAAAAAATTTAGCTGGGCATAGTGGCGGGCGCCTGTAATCCCAGCTGCTCGGAAGGCTGAGGCAGGAGAATCGCTTGAACCTGGGAGGGGGAGGTTGCAGTGAGCCGAGGTCGCGCCACTGCACTCCAGCCCAGGCGACAGAGTGAGACTCCGTCTCAAAAAAAAAAAAAAAAAAAAAAAAAAAAAAAAAAAACTTCTCATAAACAGCCTCCAAACAGCGCTCGGTGCTGCGCAGGCGACGCGGGGCGGGGAGGGAGGGTGAGTGCCCTGGGAGCCGGCTGAGGGCCTCGCCCCGCCCCTGGTCCCGCCTCCGGTTAGGCCGCTCCGCCTCTTACTCCTCCCCTCCCCCGAGTGGGCCGGCCCGGCTCCCCCTCCGCGGGGCTGAGTGGATGAGCCCAGGCCTGAGCCCGCCCCTGCTCCGAAGTCGTGGTCCCCGACGCTCGGCCGGCAGTGCCATCGCGCGGAGAGGAGGGGGTGCGCTTCCGCGGGCGGGGCGCGGAGCCCGCCGTCTCGGAGGCCGCGGCTCGGCCCGGCACTGCGGAGGGCCGCTTGATTTCCCGGAACCCAGGTCGCGCGGCTGCTAGGGCCGGAGCCGGTGGATCCGAGCGGGTGCCACCAGCGGCGGCGCGCCGCCTCCCCCGGTGGGAGCGGTGGTTGGGCCAGGCTGCGGCAGAGCGTTCGCTCGGAGATGGCGGAGCAGCCGCGACGCGGCCCGTGGCCCCGAAAGCAGGGAAGCCGGGCAGCCCCGGGACGCGGCGGAGCCCGGGGACAGCGGGGACGCCGCCCAGTCCTCCGGGTGAGCCGCCCCTGAGGAGACCCCCCCGCCCACGGTCGCGCTCAGGCCCCCCCAACAGACTCCCTTGGATGTTGCCACCATCACCACCCGCAGGGTCGTCCCGGGCGGCCCAGCGTGCGCCGCGCCCCGGGTCCTTTCCGCCGGCCTCCCTCAGAACCGCCTCGCTCCCCTCCGGACCGGGCGGGCTCCCTTCTTCCCGCAGGGCTCTCCCAGCCCAGAGGCTGTCTCGATGTCACCCCGGAGTCGCCGCCGCGCGCCTGTGGCCCCTTCCCCTTTGGTGTCCCACATCCGGTGCGCTCTTCGCATCCACCTGTGCCCCCGTCTCCTCTCGGCGGGGCCCCTCCACCCGCCAGCCCCGGGCCCCCTCGGCGCCCGCAGCCTCCGCGCCGCTGCTCCGGCCGTCCCGGCCTCCCCAAGCCCGGGCCCGGCCCCGGCCCCCGTCTGGCTTCGCCGTCCTCAGAGATCTCCCGCACACACCCACCCCGCCCAGCCCTGCTGGCCCTCAGTGTTCACTGGCCCGGCCTGCGGCGCTCCCGGCGCCCCTTCCCTAAACCTTGCTGCTTCTTCCAGGTATGAAGCTAAAATGCAGCGGCTAAGAACGCGGCTCTGGAGCTTGACAGGCCTGACGTCGAATCCCAGCCCTCCCACCAACTGAGCTGTGTGATCCTGGGCAAGGTTCTAAGCTTCTCTGAGTTACTCATATGTGAAATGGGGATAATGGAGCATGTACCTTTTCCCTACCTCTTAGGGCTGGTGTGAAGATTAAATATATGTGAAGCTCTTAGAAGAATGGCTGGCAAGTTGTAATTTCTCAAATACGGGATGATACACCCTGAGTATCAACTTCCCGTCAGTGACCTCCTCACTACAATGTTTTCTCTAAAGTTGCATCACATTCTTAGCATTCACCCCTTCCCGTCACCATTTTGATCCTCTCCCCCAGCTGTCTTCTCGTGTCGTTTTACCTAGGCCAAAGCTGAACTGTTTTATTTTTATTTTTATTTTTATTTTTTTTTGAGCTGGAGTCTAGCTCTGTCACCCAGGCTGGAGTACAGTGGCACAATCTCAGCTCACTGCAATTTCCGCCTCCCACGTTCAAGTGATTCTCCTGCCTCAGCCTCCTGAGTAGCTGGGACTACAGGCGCCCACCACCATGCCCATCTAATTTTTGTATTTTTAGTAGAGACGGGGCTTCACCATGTTGGCCAGGCTGGTCTCGAACTCCTGACCTCAAGTGATCACCCGCTTCGGCCTTTCACAGTGCTGGAATTACAGGCGTGAGGCACCACGCCTGTCCTGAACTGTTTTTAAATCATCTCTGTCAATTCTGAAGGACCTCAGCTCTGCCTTATCACCCCTGAGATGTGTGTTTGGGGGTGGGTGGTAGAGAGGGATTGCCAGCCTTACAAGGAGGCTGAGTGGGGATAGTGACAATAAAGCTTACAGAAGCAGTCGATTTAAGAAAAAGAACAGACTCAGGAGGCTGAGGCCGGAGGATTGTCTGTCTGACCCCAGGAGTTCAAGACCAGCCTGGGCAACGTAACAAGACCCCCATCTCTAAAAAAAATTAAAAATTAGTAGGGTGTGGTGGTGCAAAGCTGTAGTCCCAGCTACATGGGAGGCTGAGGTGGGAGGATCACTTGAGCCCAGGAGTTTGAAGCTGCAGTAGGCTATGATCACACTAGCACACTGTATCCTGGGTGACAGAGCAAGACTCCATCTAAAAATAATAAAAGAGATCCCCAAAATTAGACCTCCTTAAAACTGTTTTCTGATCACACTGTCCTTTTTCCTTCTGTCATTGGTTGGATGTGACTTAAGCTCCTGTTGCTCTCTGTCATCCAGTCCTTACTCAAGTTGTTCTGTTTGTGTAACTGGACTCAATACCTCATGTCTCTCCAGACTAGCTCAGGGACTCTTCTGAGCTGTTTAGGAATAGGGTTGTAGAACTACTTAGGCTAAGTTAGGAAGGAGAAGTAGAGTGGACTCAGCTGTATGGCTTTTCTCAGCACCCAGTGTGTGGCCTGCTCAGGGGTTACATTTTTATCTCCTGACTGGCAAAGTTGAGGTGAAGGTCAGGGGCAGGTAATGTTTCACAAGCAACGGGTAAGGGAGTCCCTAATTTCTGGGTTTGGAAACTGGTAGAATGATTACCTATCATGAGGATTGCTCTTTCCTTTTGAACTCCCCCACCATAGTGTCCACCTGACTGCAAGTTCGTTAAAGCTGTTGGCTGTGATATTGGGTTTGATTGATGAGAAGATTAACAGACTCATGAGTTCCTTATCTGATATTTTGTTGGAGCATGGGACTTCTGAAGACTTCCGGGGCTTTCCGTCCCTTCCTCACAGAAAGATCAGAGCTGTTGCTGGCTGCCAGCTGCTCGGTCATGGGCTAGGAACTCCTTTCAGAGCAGGCCTGTTTTTAGCCTTCTAGGATATTTAGCCTCTTGTTGATGGGAGATTTGTTCCTATCATTTGCATATACTGCTCCATCTCTGAGCTTTGCTTAGAGAGGAGAATTTGGACATTCATTTGGGTATTCTAAGAAAGGGAAAGGGAACAAGCTGTGAAGCTAAGGTATAGGACTCAGCTTGTAGATTCTCCTAGAGGAAACTTTTTTTTTTTTTTTTTTGAGAACAGATTATCCAGTAAGCAGGAGGTAAGAGAGATGGGATGGGGAGGAGAATGGATTAATGACAATTTCAGAGGGAGGAGTAACCCACTGATTTCTCTGTCTTACAGGTAGAGGGGAAGAGATTGAACTTTGCTGACCTTTGATGTGAGGCGCTCAGCCAGGGCCAAGGGGAGAGCCTGGCAAGATTTGCAGCCTGAAGCCATGGGCCAGGGGGCCATGGTGACCTGAGACAAGTGGACTCTGTATAGTTGCCCCCTGCTTCCCCTTCTACCTCCCCTACCCTATGCTAAGGGGACTCGTCTCCACCTCGTAAAGGAAACTCCCCAAGGGAATCCCTGTCCCCTATTTTCCTATCCTTCTACCCTTCCAAGACAGTCCTAGCCTATAGAACTCCTACCTCCCATCCCCTGAGGTGGTCCCCATTCCTCCCTCCCTTCCTCCCCCCGCCATGCTCCAGTTGTGGAAGGTGGTACGCCCAGCTCGGCAGCTGGAACTGCACCGCCTCATACTGCTGCTGATCGCTTTCAGCCTGGGCTCCATGGGCTTCCTGGCTTATTATGTGTCCACCAGCCCTAAGGCCAAGGAACCCTTGCCCCTGCCCTTGGGAGACTGCAGCAGCGGTGGGGCAGCTGGTCCTGGCCCTGCACGGCCTCCAGTTCCACCTCGGCCCCCCAGGCCTCCAGAGACAGCTCGAACTGAACCCGTGGTCCTTGTGTTTGTGGAGAGTGCATACTCACAGCTGGGGCAGGAAATTGTGGCCATCCTGGAGTCTAGTCGTTTTCGTTATAGCACTGAGTTGGCACCTGGCCGAGGGGACATGCCCACATTGACTGATAATACCCATGGCCGCTATGTCTTGGTCATTTATGAGAACCTGCTCAAGTATGTCAACCTGGATGCCTGGAGTCGGGAACTGCTAGACCGGTACTGCGTGGAGTATGGTGTGGGCATCATTGGCTTTTTCCGAGCCCACGAGCACAGCCTACTGAGCGCCCAGCTCAAGGGCTTTCCCCTTTTTTTACACTCAAACTTGGGGCTCCGGGACTACCAAGTGAATCCTTCTGCCCCGCTACTGCATCTCACACGCCCCAGCCGCCTAGAACCAGGGCCACTGCCTGGTGATGACTGGACCATCTTCCAATCCAATCATAGTACATATGAACCAGTGCTTCTTGCCAGCCTTCGGCCAGCTGAGCCCGCAGTGCCAGGACCAGTTCTTCGTCGGGCCCGGCTTCCCACTGTGGTACAGGACCTGGGGCTTCATGATGGCATCCAGCGGGTGCTCTTTGGACATGGCCTTTCCTTCTGGCTCCACAAACTTATCTTCGTTGATGCTGTTGCATACCTCACTGGCAAGCGCCTCTGCCTGGACCTTGACCGCTACATCTTGGTAGACATCGATGACATCTTTGTGGGCAAGGAAGGGACCCGCATGAAGGTGGCTGATGTTGAGGTCAGTCTTGTTACTTAAATTTTTTTCTTAGAAGCTATTCACACTCTGGCCTGTCAGACTCCCTTCCTTGATTCTGAGCTTGTCATAGGTACACTCCCTGCCTTTCCAGGCAGGAAGAATGCTACTTCTCATGTATTTCCTGTTCAGTCTGCTCTCCTGATTTCTCTTGTCCCTGCTACTCTTCCCAGGCTCTGTTGACCACCCAGAACAAACTCAGGACCTTAGTTCCCAACTTCACCTTCAACTTGGGCTTCTCGGGCAAGTTCTATCATACTGGTGAGCTTATACCCCTACTCCTTTGGCATATCATAGTTTGACCTGTCCCTTCACTGTCCACCTCCCTGGGCAGACAAGTTGAAGAAAAGGGTCAAGGTTTGGGGTCAGACTGCTGTGAGGAGCTAGTGGTGGGCATGAATTTAGGTTCGCATGGGTGGCTGGATGGCAAGTTGGCAGTGGGGCAAATAGAAAGTCTTAGGCAAGGATCAGGGATGGAAGGTGGTCAGTGTTGTTACAAAATAAAGGAGGGAACAGGGGCTGACTGGCTGTGGTCAGTGGTCAGCGTGTGGTCATAGGGACAGAGGAGGAGGATGCAGGGGACGACATGCTGCTGAAGCACCGCAAAGAGTTCTGGTGGTTCCCCCACATGTGGAGCCACATGCAGCCACACCTGTTCCACAATCGCTCCGTGCTGGCTGACCAGATGAGGCTCAACAAACAGTTTGCTCTGGTGAGACCCTTGGATCTCTTCCCCATAATTTCTCCCAGCCATGCTTCCTTTTCTACCTTCCCCTAATGGGCTACCCTTTTCCTATCCTTTGCGTTTTTCTTTATTTGGAGGCTTCCCCACCCTCTTTACCCTCTACTCCCCAAACCTCACCAGGTCCTGGTGAGAGTCTATGCCATTCCCAGGAGCATGGGATTCCCACGGACCTGGGGTATGCTGTGGCCCCCCACCACTCGGGTGTGTACCCCATCCACACGCAGCTCTATGAGGCCTGGAAATCCGTGTGGGGCATCCAGGTGACCAGCACTGAGGAGTATCCCCATCTCCGCCCTGCCCGCTACCGCCGTGGCTTCATTCACAATGGCATTATGGTGAGGGACTCCCAATACAGGCTTGAATCAAACTCTAACATTTAGACAGCTTTCAACATGCATTGACCTATGTTCTCTATCAACTGCCAGTCCAAGTATGGGGGTACATAATTGGGGGTAGAAAGGTGAAAAAATTTTAACACCCTCAGTAAGAGCTTTATTGCTATAACTTCAGACTCAGTCCTCTATAAATCCCAGTGTCCTCCATCTACTTCTCATTCTATCTTTCAAATCTCATCTGTTTTTTCTTTTCCCTCCAGGTGCTGCCCCGGCAGACATGTGGCCTCTTCACTCACACAATCTTCTATAATGAGTATCCTGGAGGCTCTCGTGAACTAGACCGGAGCATCCGAGGTGGAGAGCTCTTTCTGACAGTGCTGCTTAATCCGGTAAGGTGCTGAGAGGAACGGCTAGAAGATTGGAGAGCCAAGGTGTTTGCAGGCTGGGACCTTTATTCACCAAGGCTAATTCAGAGGTGGGGTAGGCTCTCCAAATCTGACATGCAGGTACCCCTTACAGATCAGCATCTTTATGACCCATCTGTCCAATTATGGAAATGACCGGCTGGGCCTATACACCTTTGAGAGCTTGGTGCGCTTCCTCCAGTGTTGGACACGGCTGCGCCTACAGACCCTTCCTCCTGTCCCACTTGCACAGAAGTACTTTGAACTTTTCCCTCAGGAGCGAAGCCCCCTTTGGCAGGTAAAGGTGGAGCTCAGTCTGATGAGAGACATGATAGGGGTGGGGTGTTTTTTGTTGTTGTTGTTGTTGTTTTGAGACAGAATCTCGCTCTGTCACCCAGGCTAGAGTACAATGGCACAATCTCTGCTCATTGCAACCTCCACCTCCCAGGTTCAAGCGATTCTCCTGCCTCAGCCTCCCTAGTAGCTGGGATTACACGCACCCGCCACCACGCCCGGCTAATTTTTTGTATTTTTAGTAGAGACGGGGTTTCACCATGTTGGTCAGGCTGGTCTCGAACTCCTGACTGCAGGTGATCCGCCCGCCTCAGCCTCCCAAAGTGCTGGGATTACATATGTAAGCCACTGCGCCCAGCCGGGGTGGGGGTTTAAGAGAAGACTAGGCCAGGCCGGGCACGGTGGCTCATGCCTGTAATCCCAGCACTTTGGGAGGCCGAGGCAGGCAGATCACCTGAGGTCAGGAGTCTGAGACTAACCTGACCAACTTGGAGAAACCCTGTCTCTACTAAAAACACAAAATTAGCCGGACATGGTGGCACATTGCCTATAATCCCAGCTACTCAGAAGGCTGAGGCAAGAGAATTGCTTGAACCCAGGAGGCGGAGGTTGCAGTGAGCCGAGATCATGCATTGCACTCCAGCCTGGGCAACAAGAACGAAACTCCGTCTCAAAAAAAAAAAAAAAATAGGCCTTATCTGATTATTGGCCCTGGCTTCAGAATCCCTGTGATGACAAGAGGCACAAAGATATCTGGTCCAAGGAGAAAACCTGTGATCGTCTCCCGAAGTTCCTCATTGTGGGACCCCAGAAAACAGGTGAAGTATCCTTAGCTAACTTCTCTTGCCCTGCCTTAAACCCAAAGGATCCTTTTGTCAAGGAACTCTCTTCTCTCTCCAGGTAATCACAGGAGTGAAAAAAGTATTTTTAATTTTAATAATTTTTTTTTTTTTGAGATAAGAGTCTCACTTCTTTGCCCAGGCTGGAGCGCAGTGGCACGATCTCAGCTCACTACAACCTCCACCTCCCAGGTTCAGGCAATTCTGCTCAGCTTCCCTAGTAGCTGGGATTACAGGCAGGTGCCACCACACCTGGCTAATTTTTGTATTTTTAGTAGAGACGGGGTTTCACCATGTTGGCCAGGCTGGTCTCGAACTCTTGACCTCAAGTGATCCGCCTGCCTTGGCCTCCCAAAGTGCTGGGATTACAGGCATGAGCCACCGCACCCGGCCTTAATTTGAATTTTTAAGAGAGAAAAAAAGGAACTCCTTTTATACCCACCCCTCATTGATCCAGTCTCTTGAGGCAGTGATTCCTAACCCTGGTTGTATATCAGAATCATCTGTGGTGTTTTTACAAGATCACAAGTCATTCTGGTGCACAGTTAAAGCAGAGAACCACTGTTTTAGCCCTTCCCTGGGCCTCTCTCAGACTTGCCTCCTATCATTGTAGTTTGGCCATAGGGGATTTTCCTACCCAGAGTGGTTATTTTTTCACTTCCTTCAAGCTTATGCTGTTGAGCTGGCTTCCCTCCCACAATGGCTGCCTGAAGCTGGTCTTTCTCTCCCATTTAGGGACTACAGCTATTCACTTCTTCCTGAGCCTGCACCCAGCTGTAACTAGCAGCTTCCCTAGCCCCAGCACATTTGAGGAGATTCAGTTCTTCAACAGCCCTAATTACCACAAGGGTATTGACTGGTGAGACTGGGCCCCATTTGAATGTTTCTCAGAGGAACACTCCCTTCCCCCAAAATACCCCATTCCAGCTTCCCTCAGCACAGACTTCTGGCCACTTCACTCTGCATATTTTTCTGCTTCTCTCTCTTCTGTGCTACTTCCTAGGTACATGGATTTCTTCCCTGTTCCTTCCAATGCCAGCACTGATTTCCTATTTGAAAAAAGTGCCACCTACTTTGACTCTGAAGTTGTACCACGGCGGGGGGCTGCCCTCCTGCCACGAGCCAAGATCATCACAGTGCTCACCAACCCTGCTGACAGGGCCTACTCCTGGTACCAGGTCTGCCTGAAGCTAGGGACACACAGGCTAAAGGTTGGGGGGAGGGGGGAGGGGACAGTGACTGCTAGAGAGGGAGAAAGGAGTGAGGTTTGAGAAACTTAACTAGTGCCTTGGGGACGGGTACCCGTGCTGTGCTGTCTGTCTCCAGACCAAGCGTAAGGGCAGAATACTGTCAAATCACCAGTCCTTCACCTTCCTTCTCTTTGTCCTTCAGCATCAGCGAGCCCATGGAGACCCAGTTGCTCTGAACTATACCTTCTATCAGGTGATTTCAGCCTCCTCCCAGACCCCTCTGGCACTACGCTCCCTGCAGAACCGCTGTCTTGTCCCTGGCTACTATTCTACCCATCTACAACGCTGGCTGACTTACTACCCCTCTGGACAGGTATAATCCCCACAAGAGCCCTCAGTGGGGTTCCCCTTCCCCTCTTCTTCCCTTCAGCCCAGAGGCTTCTTAGGAATATAGAGGGAACCACATCCCTGTCCTTTTAGTTGCTGATTGTGGATGGGCAAGAGCTGCGTACCAACCCAGCAGCCTCAATGGAGAGCATCCAGAAGTTCCTGGGTATCACACCCTTTCTGAACTACACACGGACCCTCAGGTGGGAGAGCATGACCCAGGGGAGGAGTACTGTATGGGAAATGGGGAAGCAGGTTGACCATGTCTGTTAGAGACATAGATTTACTCTGTCTCACAAGGAGAGACATGTCCCTGTGGGCAGGGAAGGGCATTGTGCATTTATGGAACTTGAGTTTCTCTTTTCCCTGCCACCTCATGGCCTCTTCCTGTTGAGCAGGTTTGATGATGATAAGGGATTTTGGTGCCAGGGACTTGAAGGTGGTAAGACTCGCTGTCTAGGCCGGAGCAAAGGCCGGAGGTATCCAGATATGGACACTGAGGTAAGTAAAGCCAGGGGCAGGGGAATCCCTCTCCACTTCCAGGATCTGATTCTGTGTCCCACTTCTTACCATTTCTGCCTTCATTTTCTCCTGTCAGTCCCGTCTTTTCCTTACGGATTTTTTCCGGAACCATAATTTGGAGTTGTCGAAGCTGCTGAGCCGGCTTGGACAGCCAGTGCCCTCGTGGCTTCGGGAAGAACTGCAGCATTCCAGTCTGGGCTGATGTCCCAGCCTCCCATACCAGCAAAATGCCCCCTGCTTCCCTAAGGGGCAGGTCCAGAGCAGGGCCCACAAGGGGGATTAGAGTGGCCTGGCCCCTCCCCCTCTACCTCAGTAGCCCCCAGGCCTGAGATGGCTGAGAAGGGAAGGGTATCCTTTTCCCACAGTTCTGGGACAAATAAAGGGGCTTCCTTTGGTACCCCACATAATAGTGCTAGGTACCTTTGACCCATCATCTTGGGAGGTGGGGAGGAATGAGAGGGTCCAGGCAGGGTGTAGGGGAATGTATTAGTCCAATGAGATTTCCCTCTTCATCCGCAGCAGTGTATCTATTCTATACCTGGCTATGGGAGAGACCCCTTGCATGGGAGGGACCCCTTGCTATGGCCCCTTTAGCCAGGCAGTGGGATCTACCTGTGGCCCGGCCTCCCTAATGTCATTCACATTGAATGGGGATGAGGTCGGACAGTGGCTCATAGAGCCGAGTATGAGCCCTAGCTGTGGGCTAGAAATGTCCTTAATAAACATCCTTATTTTTCTGTTTTGTCTGCCTCCCTGGAGTGGGAAAAACCTAGACTAAAGCAAGTGTCAGAAGTTTCCTCCCCAGTTGAAGGTTCATCTGCACATGGAATTTGGAAAGAAGGGAAAGGCCCAGGTCGACTAGAGTAAAAAAGGAGTTTATATATTTATAAATGCCAAATAAATACCAGAGGCCACCCAACGCCCCCTCCCAGACAGGGCTGTCTCCCCCAGCCCTAGGCTTCTAGGGTGTGAGACATCTTGGCCCCAAGCTATAGCCCAAGAGCAGCTGTCAGTCTGTGCTACCAGGGAACTGAGTGAGGATGATCTGTCCAGCCAAGTTTCACTCCCCCTGTGTGAGGGGCCCCCATAGCCACAGGCCTGGGTCCCTGTATAGGACCCTAAGGGTGAAAGACTCAGGGGGAGAAGGTGGCCATCTCGAGTGAGACCCGCTGCCACAGCTCCTTGGTCTGTTTGCTGCGCTTGAGGTTCTGTAGGATGTCGTTGAACTGCATCATGCCCATGGGCGTCAGGCAGAAGGCGCTGCGGGCACTCCGGATCGCATTCACAAAGTCGTCGTAGTCCGCAGGAGTCAGGTGAATCAAGCGGTGGTGGATGTACTGGAGGAGGATGTGTGCAGGATGAGCCTTAGTACAAAGCACAGAAACAGGCCCTGCCTCCCTCTGGTCCAAGACCACCCAGGAAGTGCTCCACCCTGCTCCATAATTCTAGGTTGTCACCTGCATGTATGCCTGCTGGCAGCGCTGCACCAGTTGGTGGAAGGCCGGGGCACGCAGGTGGTTGTGGGCATGAGCGGGACTCAGCCGCTGCAGCGTCTCCATGACGATCTCCTGCAGCACAAACGGGCTCAGCACCCCCTTGGCTGCCCCCACACAGAACTGGTGCACGTAGTTCACTCCTGGGGGGCAGGGGGAGGGGCATGAGACGGGGGTGGCCACCTCTGCCCTAGGGACCCAACTTACAGATCTCAGCTCTGGCCTGGCAGAGAGCCTCCCTCCACCCCAGGAGCTGAGGTAACCCTCCGCCCCCCGCGCACGCACACATACCCGACCAAGGCCTCAACTCTGAGCAAGAGCTAGGAAGGAGGTCTGGGATAAGGAAGGTGGGGAGAGCAGGTGGGGGGGGGGCAATGGTCCTAGGGAGGGGAGGTGTTACCCAGCTTTGCTGCCAGCCCCAGCAACCATTTGACATCATCAGTGTAGGGGGGGGAGCGGGAGAAGTTGTTGGGGTGATCGTTGTGTGCCCGGCGACCCAGCATCTCCAGTGCCAGCATTCCTGGGAGATAGATAAGGGTGGGCACATGGTACGGTGTATCCTCTTCACCCTTTACCCCAACCTGTCACCTGACCCCACAGTAAACAAATGAAGAGCTAGAGGAAGGGTCCTCTGAAGAGCCACTGGCACAACTGCAGGTAGGAGCACAGAAAGGGATGTCCTCTCACCGACACGGTAGGCAGCATGCAGGTGGTGCAGGCTGTGGGGATTGACTGGCTGACTGTGTGTCTCCTCCTCGGGCGGTGGAAAACCTCCGCTCACCAGAGGGCTGGGCTGTGTGGTCAGGGCAGGCAGTGAGGCACCTTGGATGGCTGGAAACGTGGATGCTGGATGGACACTGCTCACTAAGTGGGGTGAGAGCCATGTGAGGAACTCAGAGCCCAAAGAGAGACAAAGAACATTCCCTCCCCACCTCCCCTGCCCAGTGTGCCTCCCCTCCATTCACCTGTTCCCTGGCCCCACAACTCACAGGCCACACTGGTGGGCAGTGGAAGCCCTGGCTCTGTGTGGTAGGGATGTACTGTGATGGGTGCCATGGAAGGAACGGGGAAAGACACAGCAGTGGCAGCAAGTGAGGGAGGAGTCACTGAATAAGGGTACTGAGCCCCTAGGAATGCAGGATGCACACCCTAGGGGCAGGGAGAAGAAAGGGGAAGATGCCAAACTTGATTAGGATGTTGCTGTCGTGCTTCACCCCCACAAGCTGCTATCCTGACATGTTTTTTTTGAGATAGAGTCTCGCTCTGTCCTCCAGGCTGGAGTGCAGTGGCACGATATCGGCTCACTGCAACCTCTGCCTCCCAGGTTCAAGTGATTCCCATCTCAGCCTCCCAAGAAGCTGGGATTACAGGCGTGCACTCAGCTAATTTTTAGTAGAGACGGGGTTTCCCCATGTTGGCCAGGCTGGTCTCGAACTCCTGACCTCAAGTGATCCACCCACATCGGCCTCTCAAAGTGCTGGGATTACAGGCATGAGCCACCATGCCCGGCCGTCATTTCTTATTTTAGTTGGGCTGGGTCCCCCAGACTCCCACCACCTCACCAGGACTCTCCGACTGACCAATTATACTCCCAGAGTACCCACTCCAACCCCCTATGAATTCCCAGTATTTTCCCATGCCTTACCCCCCAGCAGAACACTGGTCTCACCTGTGGGTATGCAGAGCTGGGCACAGGGAAGACGGCAGGCCGGGGCATGTGAGGCATGGGGTGGGCAGGGTGAGCTGGGTGAGTGAGATACTGAGGGCTACAGGGCAGGTGGGGCTGTAGAGCAGTGTAGGGGTGCAGGCCAGGGGAGTGGCCATGCCCCAGTCCTGGACCCGGGTATAAACTAGACCCCACCGATATGACGGGCACCACTGTGGCTGCTGCTGTCACTGCTGCCGCTGCCACTGTAACCGGCTCAGTCCCTGGGCCCCCTCTACCCTCAGGCATACCCCGCCCAGCTTCCCCACCTGCCCTGATCCCACTGGCACTACAGCTTGTAGCCCCTTCACGGGCTGTGGATGAGCCACCTGCAGTTTGCTCATACAGCCAGAACCACTGGTGAGCAACCTCAAACAACACTTCAGGGTACACGCCCCCACCCTTAGCTGCCTCTTCCACTGCCATGCAGGCCTTCTCCAACATCAGGTTGTCCTGGAAGAGAGGGGCACAGAGTGTTAAGGGGGAAAGGCCTTTACCACATGGAAGGTGTTAGATGAGATTCCAATGTCTCCCTCAGAGCTGTCTCATTCCCAGGGAATCATCAGAGGTCAGTGTCAATGCTTAGAGTCCATTATCAGAGCAGTGAGTGCTTCACACACTGAGTAAATACTGACCAAAATGAGTCAAGACCCAGGTTATAGTCCCAGTTCCAAACTAATTTAACAGCCCCCTCCCATTCAAGTCTTAGATGTATGAGGCCTTCCCTAAGTTTTCTATCCTGAGTGATCATCTTGGTCCCTAAACCGTAGGCCTCCATTTCCTTATCTGTAAAATAGAAATAAACCTAACCTTTGAGTTGTAAGGTAAAGGAAAGATGGGTGTGAAAGCACATTAATGGGTAAAATGTTGCCATGAGAGGACCAACAATCATCTGTAAACTCCAGGATACGGGAATCAAGAGCTGGGCCCTTAGCTTTCCCATGCCCAACCTCCCTGCCCAGATGCCCCAGAAGAGGTTCCCAGATTGCCCGTAGAAATACCTGTTCCTTGCACTGCACCAGGGCCCGCTGGATCTCATTAGGGTTCAATGCATGGGCGTGAGGCAGGCAGCTCAGGGCCAGCTCTGCTGCCGCCCTCACCATATTGGAGTCTCTTGCCCGTGATGCCCTGTCAGCCAGGGATGCAACCTCAGGGGGTGTCAGGTGCCCATCCCAGCATTCTACCAGTATAGTCAGGGCTGCGCTGCCTATCTCCATGGCCTGGCCTTAGGGGAAAGGAGAGAAGGGCAGAGTTGGGTTAGTGTGGGCACCACTGGGGTGTGAGAATAATGTCTTTTTATCAGATCAGTAACCCCACAAAGATAAGGGTCTTATCCCCACCAATTAATCCCCCTCCCATACCCAAGTCAGGTCAAATGATTTACCTGTAATCCAGGAAACGTGGGAAGAATAAGTACGTGAGAGCCAGTTGGGAGAAACAAAGTTGTGCAGGCCAAGGGCATAAAGCCCAATCTCGAAGGCGCAAAGGTGCAGGTTGCGGTGAGGACCCTGGTGGCCCCCTGAGGAAGATGGATGTGTGAAAATGGAAGTGCTGCTGTTGCCCCCTGCCTTGATCAGCACTGTCTTCGCCAGCTCGAAGTAGAAGTGTGCAGCTGCCTCTGATGGCTGATTGGGTACATGAGGGGCATGACTCTCGGGGCGGCGGCCCTTGTACCTGAAGGGGCAATGGGGTAGGGACGGGGGTTGGGGTTTCTTTGAAATGGGCATCCGGGTAGGTTGGGAAGGACCAGGGAAAGTGAGGATGCTGGGAGACAATGGTTGGATTGCACTAGGGGTGTGGCTCTGAGGGTGGGCCAGATCAGGGAAGATGGGGAGTTCTTCCCACTGACCTGCCAACTTCAACAGTCTTCGCCCGGGCTCCTCCACTGGCACTGGCCCGGCGACTTCCACTGGAGGATGAGGAGCCCAGGGAGTCCGAAGAAGAGCTGCTAATGCTGTCACTGTCCTGACCTCGACCCCAGGAGGTGGGGGCCCAGCCCCCTCGAAGTGGTCTCCGGCTTAAGGTGGGGGAACTATCCGATGTTGTTTCAGGGGCACTGCTGTCAATGCTGGCCATGCCTAACCCCCAAGAGAAGTCAGTCTCAGAAGTCAGGAGTCCCAGATGTTAAGACTCCAACCTTCAGGATTATCCTTCCCTCTATGCTAGCCCACAGGCTATCCTACCTGTGTGCTTCTTCTTAGGCCGTCCTGGGGACCCCCATCCCCGTCCATTATAGCCTCCACGACTGCCAAGTGCCAAGCGGCTAGGAACCTTCCCTTCTGGCCTTGGGGTCAAAGCTGCCTCAGATGGAAGACCCTCACAGGGGGAATGTGGGGAACTCTCTAGGTGAGGAAAACAGGACGCTGGGATGAGCCCAGGAAAGGGGACCTCAACATAGGTCCACACCATTCATCCCCCCTGCCCAGTGCCCCCACCTCACCAGGCACATTCTTCTCTGTGAAGCCCTCAGTGGGGCCTGGCCCAGCCCCTGCCACACTCCCTGGTTGAGCAGGCCCTGCAGAGCCTGAGGTCAGTGGTTGCAGGGCCCCTGGGGCAGATGGGCCCCCGTGCTTTGAAGGAGACCTCTGGCTGGCTGTGGTTGGGCGGCTAGATGAGTAGAAAGAACTCAGCGTCTGTGGCTTATGTGTCTGGCTCTCTCGGTCCAAGAGTTTGTCTAAGATCTGGAAGACAGAAGCAGTGACCTCCAGAGAAGCAGTGACAGGATGCCCTTTAGCTCCTGACTTCTATTACCTTCCTTTCTCCTTGAAACAGCCAATTGCTACATCCTCAGGGAGCCTTCCCCACTTACAACCACAGGATGACCTCCTGGTTTACATGTCTTTTTGTAACTTATTTAACCCCAACATATCTTGGTATCCTCCATTAACACCACAGGGCAGAATATACTGATAGTCAATAAATACTGAAATAAGTGAATGAATGACTTTATGCCCTCTGCTTCTCTTCTTCCACCCCATGCCCAAGCACTCCTATAAGAACCATTGGTCTTCTCTTATTCTTTATGAGATGTCCCCAAGATTCCCTACTTACCTCCTATGGGCAGAAGAGCACTTTTCTTTTTTTCTTCTTCTTCTTTTTTTTTTAAGAGACAGGGTCTCGCTCTGTTGCCCAGGCTGGAGTGCAGTGGTATGATTATAGCTCACTGTAGCCTCAAACTCCTGGGCTCAAGCAATTCTCCCACCTCAGCCTCCCGAGTAGCTGGGACTACAGGCGCGCGCCACCATGCCCGGCTAATTTTCTAATTTTTTGTAGAGACAGGGTCTCACTATGTTGGCCAGGTTGGTCTCAAACGATCCTCCCGCCTCTGCTTCCCAAAGTGCTGAGATTACAGGCATGAGCCACTGCACCCAGCCTAAAATAGCACTTTTCTCATTGTACTGGAAACTCCCTGAGAAAGGTAGTAAAATGTGCTCTCTTTCTCTGCCTGTCAAAGGCCCCAGTACCTTGCCTTTTTTTTTTTTTTTTTTTTTTGAAACAGGGTCTTGCTCTGTCACCCAGGCTGGAGTGCAGTGGCGTGAACCCAGCTCATTGCAACCTCTGCCTACTGGGTTCAAGCAATCCTCCCACCTCAGCCTCCCGAGTAGCTGGGACTACAGGCATGTGCCACCACACCCAGCTGCTAATTTTTTGTATTTTTTGGTAGAGACGGGGTTTCGCCATGTTGCCCAGGCTTGTCTCAAACTCCTGGGCTCAAGCCATCTGCCCGCCTCTGCCTCCCAAACTGCTGGGATTACAGGCATGAGCCACCGCACCCAGCCCCAGTCTCTTACCTTCTTAAGCTTGGCCTGGTCGTCCTTGTAAGTGATCATTAGTGCTAATGCCAGGTCACCCTTCTCCCGACGTGTGCCTTCACATAAGAGGGGATGTTCTGCCTCGCTCACTGTTGTCTTCATGCCTGCGAGAAAGAGGACCTTATGGGGATTGAGAGTAGTCATAATTCCCAAGACAGCAAAGGTAAGAGGCCAGGGTTCCCAAGCCATCAGCATATGAAGTAAGGGGTTCCCTTGGTCCAACCCACATCACCTATAGAAGTCTTCGTTGACTATTATATCCAGCCTAAGCTCTGGTGTGCTTTTCAAAACCTTCATAACCAGGTCCAATCTGCTTACCCAGCATGTACTTATCATTTTAGGGAAGCTGGCCTCCTCATTCTCATGAAAACTTGATTGCGTTGTGTATTTACTCATGGTGTTCGCTGGTTTAGGACCTACTGATCTTTTAACCCACATTCCATATTCTACCACTTCCCTTAGGCCTTTCTCTAGATTTTTGTTTTGCTGCCCTTACAATACCCAATACCCATAGCACACAATTTTTTTTTTCTTTGTTTGAGACAAGGTTTCACTCTGTTGCCCAGGCTAGAGGGCAGTGGTGCAATCACAGTTCACTGCAGCCTCAATCTCCAGGCTAAAGCAATTCTCCCACTTCAGCCTCTGGAGTAGCTGGCAGCACAAGGCATGTGCCACCACACCTGGCTAATTTTTTTTTTTTTTTTTTTTTTTTTTTTAAGTAGAGATGAGGTCTTGCTAGGTTGCCCAGGCTGGTCATGAACTCCTGAGCTCAAACAATCCTCCTGCTTCAGCCTCCCAAAGCGCTGCGATTACAAGCATGGGCCACCACGCCCAGCCATATAGCACACATTTTTGCCCTGAATTCCTGTCTTACAGGCACTAGTTGGCTCACACATGTCATCCTGACCTTCCCATTACCATACAGCCCTTCACAACAAGGCACAGGTCTCATGTCCTTCAAGACCTGAACCAGGCTTAGCTCGTTGATATGCTCAAGACTCACCCAAGGCAGCAACTGCTGCTTCAAATCCAAGCTCCTCATCCCCAGGTGTCTCGCTGTTCCAGTTGCGACTTGGGGGCCGGGAACCTGTGGGAGAAACCACTGTATAAAAGTTGGGGTAAGTCAGGCAGACAGAAGTATCATGCATGGGAAAAAATACAGGGGAACCCAAAATCCTCATCATCACAGACCTACCCATGAAGCTGCCTGATGGGTCCTAAAGGTGATTCAGAAACTTGGGGCTCTTGGTCTTTCTTAGAGAAAGCTACCCCTACCCCAGTTCCCCACTTACTGTAGGGTCAGGCATCATACCTGGAGCACAGAGAACGTCAAAGATGAAACTGGCCAGCATGAGAGGCAACACAGGCCGATAGTCACAGAGTGTCCCCTCCCGAAGTTCCTCTGCCCGGCACCGCATGGTACTCATCTCACTTGGACCCAGAGGGATCTTCTTGAGCAGGGCAGCCACCTCAGACTCCTGGTATGCCAGCTTCACCTGAGGGCACAGGAAGGAGCTCAGACCTCTGGTGTGTCAATAGAGATCAAGGTGCAAGGCTCTAAAGAGACTGAAATACAAGGCTGAGATGGAGCCTCTGACCTCCAAGGCCTTGGTAGAAGCTGGAGGCCTCTGTAGCTCCAAGGCAAACATGCCAACTCGGAAGGCCAGGTTGTGGTGCTCTGGACGCTCACTTAGCACTGTCAACAGGAAGGCCGCCTTGCTCAGGGTGTTGGTAGCCACCCAGGTCTGACGGCTCGTGGATACCTTGTTCTTCTTGCCCTAGAAAGGGAAGAAACACAGGAGACAGGCAGATGATTCTGACTTACCTTGGTGGAGGTAGAAGGATGCTCTCACTTGGGGTGGGGCATGGGAGCAGGTTGGGGGTAAGTGGGGGAGGGGAAGGTAGAGGAAGGGGGTCTCTCACCTTGGCAGGGGGCGGCTCTACCTTGAGGTCGGGTGGGTTGGCTAGCAGATCCTGGGCAAGCTCCACAGTGAGACGGGAGGCCTCACTGCTATAGCCATGCGCATGCAGGGCCTCAGCACAGGCAAACAGTACCTGGAAGGAGGACATGGGACCAGACAGGTTAAAGTCCCAACTTCCAGGAGCAGGACATCATGCTCACTCATGCAGCCAACATTCCTTGAACACTTGCTACATGCCAGGCCCTGTGCCGCTCCATAGGAGCTCTGGTTAGAAAGACAGACACATAAACACACATGCCACCGTGATGCCAGCTATTACAGGGAAAGGTCAAGGGGAAGCAGGTGGGATATCTTGGGGCACAGGGACAGTATCAGAGAGACTCCCTAGAGGAAGTGATCTTTAAGATCCCTGAGACCTGAAGGAGAAACACGGGCTAATGGGGAAGAGCATTCCAGGCAGAAAGGTCAATCTGTCCAAAATCCTGGAGGCAAGAGAGAGAGCATGGCAGATACATGAGTGATTCAGCTGACTGGAGTGCAAAGGACAGAGCAGCCAAGTGAGGCTGGCAAAGCAGGCAAAGACCAGATCAAGTGGACCCTCACAGGTCATGCCAACCACTTTCATTTTATCATAAGGGCAACAGGAACCCATTGAAGGGTTTTAAGCAGCAGAGTGACACCATCACATTTCAGGAAAATCTCGTGGAAGCAGAAAAGTGAGTAGACTGAAAGCAGGGAGACCAGTTCGGCGCCTGCAACAGGGTTCTCACAATCCTGCTGATGGTCCTGACACTCCCAACTAGAGCTAGATAGCCCCTCCCAGTTGTGGCTAAGGAGCACCCAGCCCTCCCTCCTTCCATCCCCTCACCTCCATGCGACTCTCCTGTTCCAGTGGCTTCAGCCCAGCAAACAGGTCGTGCTCCTCCCCAGCCCCGCCCTCGGCCTTCTCTTCCTCGCCCCCAGCCCCATCCTGGGCATTCAGATAGTACGCCTGGTAGTCATCATCCTCCTCTCCAACTGCAGGGGCTGCCTCTTTGGTTTTGGGAAGCCCATTGCCACTCTCATCTGTAGAAGGGAGGTCGTCCTGGGTACAGACATCCCCAGGCAGTAGGCCAGGGGGGCCAACAGAGGCTGTGGGAGGCTCAGGCCCTTCCGAGAAGTACACACCACCATCTTCTTCATAAGTATCTGGGGGCTCAGGAAGGAAAGTGGAAGGGCCTCGGGAGCCACCGTGGAGAGGACAGGGTGGAGGGCTCTCAGGGAATCCCCCGAAGGTGCTGGCCTCTGCGCCCAGGGCCAGGCTGCTGTCATCCAGGCTCATCTCGGCCAGGTCTGGCTCCAGGGAGCTGTCTTCGCTGCTCAGCCGTCGCTTGCTTCCGCCACCTGCTGAGCCCTTGCTCCCACTGCCAGCCCCACCCAGTGCCTTGGCTTTGCCCCCACCTGGACCCATCTTATGTAGAGCTTTATCTCCCCCTTCAGCTGAGAGGCGGCGGGGACCCCGCTGTGATGAGGGGACCCCCTCACCCAAGCCCTTTCGCTTGGTCCCAGGCTCCTTGGGCCGCACAGCTGGCTCAGTAGGAAGGGGTCGGGGCCGGTCCCGGGATTCCTCCAGGCCCCCAGAGCGGGAGGCACCTGGCCGAGAGGGCAGGGCCCGGGCCCAGCACAGTGCCAGCTTCCTGTCAGTGCCGCTGTAGGTGACACCAGGAAGTGGGTAGGCCTCTTCCCAGTTGAAGTAGCAGGCCTCCACCGCTGGCCGGAAGCCGGGGAAGAGCCGCTCCAGCGTCTTCTTGTGTTGGCCCCGCTTGACGTTCTCAATCACCTTCAGTTGCCACTGCCGCAGCTGCGTACACAGTTCCCGGCGCCTGTGGGAACAAGGGGCAGGAGGCTGCTGAGGGGCTACTGGGAAAGGATGGGCATGGAGTAGGTGTACACCCCAAAGAGAGGCATGGGGAAAGGATACAGGAAAGTACTTCTTGACCCAGCCCCATAAGCATCACTGAAACACTGGAGAATTTTGAAAAGTGGGTGTTATTTAGGGGAAGGAAGGATGAAAGCCTCTCAGAAAAAGGACTCGTAAATCACTGCTAACACCAGTGCTCAGCACCTCCCGTTTCCCGAGGACTAAAATCATGGTATGTCTCTGCAAACAAGGAGATGAAGGCTCAGTCTGTCCTGAGCTGGCCCAGGCTCAGTTCTGTGGTGAGCCTCAGGGGAGACTCACCGCTGGGGGCTGAGTGCAGGGTCCAGCACGGCCAGCCTCCACAGTGTGACCATCTCGTCACACATGCTGGCACAGGCATGGGCTGCCACCTCTGACTGCCCGTTGCTACGGCCCGTGTGCCCACTGGCACTGCTGTGTGAGGCTGAGGTACGTACGCTATACCACCAACCTGTTATCTGGAGACAAAGAAGGCTGTGAGCTGCACCTGAGAGCTCAGAGAAAGGCAGAGTAGCCCTCCCAGAGTCCATTTCAGCAAGAGGAGGATGAGGCAGGGGGAGGGAAAGAATGAGCTACCACGGGGCTCCCCAACGCTGAGTGATTACCTGTTCATAGGTGAGGCACTGGTCAGTGAGGATTTCCAACAAGGGGGCAGCATTGCTGTCCCTCCGCTTGAACATCTCCCGCACAATGCTTAGCAGGTTCCAGACGCCCTCTGGCTCACGGCCCCTCAGAGGGCGCAGCAGACATGCCCATTCAGCAGCGGCTGGCGGCTCCGTGGAAGACAGATACATGGAGTTCACATCACTGTAAAAGCAGAGGAACAGAAAACCATGACAGTAAGACGGGGCTGAATGAAACCTAAAAGGGCTTCCGGCCCCAAAATACAGAAGATAGAGGGAAAAAGACATCTGTAACAAAATTTTTTTTTTTGAGACCAAGTCTTGCTCTGTCGCCCAGGCTTGAGTGCAATGGCGCGATCTCACCTCACTGCAACCTCCACCTCCCGGGTTCAAGCAATTCTCCTGCCTCAGCCTCCCAAGTAGCTGAGATTACAGGCGCCCGCCACCACGCCTGGCTAATTTTTGTTTTTTTAGTAGAGATGGAGATTCGCCATGTTGGCCAGGCTGGTCTCGAACTCCTGATCTCAGGTGATCTGCCCACGTCAGCCTCCCAAAATGCTGGGATTATAGGTATGAGCCACCGCCCCCAGCCACAAAAACTCTTTAAAAAATCTTTCTCTGTTTCCATTTCCTGATCTATCAAAAGAAGAAAAGGAACTCTTGCTAGGTAAGAGCAGACCACTCTGTGACTGTACAAGGTCATCATCTTCCATCAATTCGTTAGTGACAACTGTGTGCCAGGCACTGTGCCAGTTCAGGGAATAAAAGGTAGGGGTCACAGGCATGAATAGAAGAAAGGATCTGTCATCAGCCTGAGGGACGCTCCCCCTCCACCACAGACACAGGTATGCAGAGATCCGATTTACCTGAAGACCACAGGGGAGGGGCCACAGAACTTGTGCAGTGTCTTTTTGATGTTGTCAGTGAGTGTCGATTCATCCAGATACCAAGTACTCTGGTCCGATGCTGAGGGCCCTGCTGTGGGGTCTGAGGATGACAGGCAGTCAGTCATCTAGAGATAGGGGCCTGGATTTGCCTGACAACAGCAAGCCTTGAGTAAATGGCGCTCTGTACTACAAGCTGGCTTTCTTCCTACTGCCAATCTTTCTCACCACACTCACCCGGAGCTCCACACACTGTATTGATGGCTGTTGACTGGGAAGACAGGAGTTCGTCCAGGAGACGCTGAGCTGTGGGGAGGATCTGAGGGAGAAAGAGACGGAGGCAGGCAGAACACGGCCTAGGTGAACCCATGGAGGCCTGGGCCTAACAGGAAGGCTGTTATGCGGCCTGGCCCGGAGCTAATTGCAGGAGGGGGTGCCGACCTCACCCACCTGCTGAGGGAGCTCACTGATGAGGTACTGAGCAAACTTTTGCAGCTGGTCCCTCTGTAGCCGGGACAGGGACTCTGAGACTGGGGCTCGCAGGCAGACTGCAGAAGCCTGAAGGGGACACAGAGAAAAATGGAACAATCTGAGAACAGGTTTGCTGGAGCTGGAGCTGGGGGACAGAGAGGCAGAGTAGGCGAGGCGAGGGGGCTCACATTGTAGCCAGGCATGCAGCAGAGAAGGGGGGGATGGAGTGTAGGATAGGGCCGGGATAAATTGGGAGGGCCTCACGTTGTGGATGCGGAAGAGACAGAGTGCCACGACGTGGGTGCACCATTTGGCCCCAGCCCCACAGGTACAGCTGCAGGAAGTGACCCGGCAGCGGTCAAACATCACAGCCACGTTGTAGGCCCCTTTAGGAGGGACCATCTGAGGTGGCACCACTGTAGCACTCAGGTGGAACCCTGGGGAGAAATGGGGGCATGGTCAGGGAGTGCTGTCAGGACCTGGGTCTCTGCCCTTGACCCTGGCCCTGCAGTTATTCAGACAACATGCTCCAGCTTCTTGCGGTGTGTTCTTACTTCATAAGCCAGGGGATGGGAGGAGCAGGATGTGCCACATGGCATGATGGCCCACTCACCTATCTGCAATGGGTCCTTCACAGCCCGCATGCGGAAGAGCTGATCCCCTCGCTGAAACTCATCCGCACTGCCATTGGCCAGGCACGAATACAGCCTGGGGGTGAAGAAGAGGACACAGCCACAACTCAGCAAATAACCTTTGGCAGACCCTGTCAGAGACCACAATGCCCTAGGCACTCTCTCCCTAGCCTCATTCCTTCCCCAGGGCGGGGGGTGGGGGGGAGGGAGTGGAATCCCAGGCAATCCCTCCCTTGTCTTCCTCTTACCACTGCCCCAAATACAATGTCTCCTTTGTTCTATGGGAAACCCAGCAGACAGTGTGGAGTATCAGGACCCCGCTCCCCACCATCAGTCCTTTGGCCTCACCGAATGTCCTCTTCATTCTCAGGGAAGCTCCAAAAAGCAATTCGGAGCTGTAGCTGCTCAGGCACTGGTGGGTAAACTTTCTCCACCACTTCAAATGGGATATGAAATGCCACCTGCTTTGCTGACAGCTCCACCAATGGGATCACCAGTCCATCTTTGCAAACAATGGTTGGGATCAGGGGAAAGAGAATAGGAAATGAAAAGGGCCATGGTCTCTTGGCACTCATGCCAGTACAACATCCTGGGCCTCATCTTCACTATGAAAGAAAGAAGAGACCTGGATGAAAGTCCTAGGGATCCCCCTATCAGGATACACTAACCCTTAAGGCTCCATATGGGAAAGGGGAGCTGGATAATCCCCAGCCCACAGCCGGCTACACCTAAGGTCTAGAACAGAAGATACCAGAGATATCTTAAGAAACTCCTGGCCAGACAGGTGCGTTCCAGGACCCTAGCAAGTAACCCTGCTCACATGGCTCAGCACTGAATTTCCCATATTCCATGAGCATTTTAAATTCAAATTACATGGTTAATGTCTCTCCTCTGGCATTCTTGTCTCCGATTGCCTTTTTTTTTTTTTTTTAACCATCCCTTTTACTCTAGATGACTGTAGGCCCCCAGCTAAGGAGACAAGATAGACCAGAGCCCGGAAGGGATCTCAAGAAGCACGAGAGGCCAGACCACTTTTGGCGCGCCTAAATGACAACTTCCCACACTGGAAACCCTCAAGGGGAGAGAGTTATCGCAGGGCACCTAGCTACTGCTGCAACTGGAATCACCTGGACTAAGATAAAGTTACCACTCAAGGTTTTCCACAGTGTTTTAACCAAAAAGTAGTGATAACATGACAAACTACATCTCACAAAATTGCTAGTCACATTAATAGATCAGAAAATCATAGAATTAAAAAGAACCTTTTTAGAAGAGTTAACCCCTTTATTTTATTTTTTTGATTTTTATTTATTTATTTTGAGATGAAGTCTCACTCTGTCACCCAGGCTGGAGTGCAATGGTGCCATCTTGGCTCACCACAACCTCTCCCTCCTGGGTTCAAACTTACCTCCCACCTCAGCCTCCCAAGTAGCTGAGATTACAAGCGGGTGCCAACACACCCAGCGAATCTTTTGTATTTTTAGTAGAGATGGGGTTTCACCATGTTGGCCAAGCTGGTCTCAAACTCCTGACCACAAGTGATCCACCCGACTCGGCCTCCCAAAGTACTGGGATTACAGGCACGAGCCACCGCACCTGGCCAACCCCTTTATTTTACAAGTCAGTGACTGAAGTCGGGGGACTGGGGTAATATGGCATGTTTTCCCAGATTTTAACCTGACCAGGAAGATACCAATATGTTAACAATCTTCATCGCTATGACTTCAGTTACTTCCCTCAAAGTGAGGGAGCACTAAGCCCCAAGACCACCCACATACTCAAATATGAAAGAAGCCAGAAGGCCACAGAAGACCCACGGTAAAACTGCCTATGATCTGTGTGTGTTTGTGTGTGTGTACACAGGCCATATCCTCTCTCCAACTGAAGCTGAATGCCACCAGTCCGCCACTCCTAAAAAGTGATATATATGCCGGGAGCGGTGGCTCACGCCTGTAATCCCAGCACTTCGGGAGGCCGAGGCGCGCAGATCACCTAAGGTCGGGAGTTCAAGACCAGCCTGACCAACATGGAGAAACCCGGTCTCCACTAAAAATACAAAAATTAGCCGGGCATGGTGACACATGCCTGTAATCCCAGCTACTCAGGAGGCTGAGGCAGGAGAATCGCTTGAACTGGGGAGGCGGAGGTTGCGGTGAGCCGAGATCGTGCCATTGCACTCCAGCCTGGGCAACAAGAGCAAAACTCCGTCTCAAAAAAAAAAAAAAAAAGTGATATATGTAAATTTCTCTCTGTCCCAAAGGAGCACCAGAAATCTCCACAAGCCAGTTTGGAAAACAGGACTCTTGGAAAGGCCTGAGTAGAATCACACAAATTAAACATCTCAACTGCTGAAAAAAGCCAGCTTCCACTGAGGACCAGGACAAAAACTGTGCCATGAGGAAGGCACAGCAGGCAAGTCCCAGCCTTGGCTTCTGACAGATATTTGACATGGCCAGAAGCAAAGTCTATGATCTAAACCTATGAACTATGGACTCTCTGGCAGGCCAGTTCACCTCTATTTTCCTCTGGGTAGGATCCCTTCTTGGTGCTTCTGGGATCAGAGATCATCACCCCGAAGCAAGAAGCTCCCAATGCACTTTGCAATGCGGTGACAAGCCACAAGTGGTCACTTCTTCACAATCAGCCCCCTACCCACATTCTCTTCCTCTACTTTCCGGTATGCCTCAGACTGAACTCACTTAAGTATTCCCAAGTCAAAGACAAGATTCTTCTCCCTTATCCCCTCTCTAAGGCAAAGGAGTGACGAAAGATTTACTTTCTGTCCACAGGATCTCCCTGTCACAGCGCGCGCACGCGCGCGCGCGCACACACACACACACACACCCACACACACACAGGTGTGGAGAAGCCAGCCCACCCCAGGAAGGCCGGAAAAGCGAGTTCTGAAGTCTGTTCTAAGCTTGGGACAGCTCCCAGTCGGGGACAGCTCCCGGCCGGGGACAGCTCCCCTTTCTTCCCCTGGTTGAAGAGAGCTCTTGGTCGGGGACAGCTCCTGGTCCCGGACAGCTCCCGAGCGAGGCCCAAGCAGGGCCTGCCGCTCCTCTTCCCCCCAGCTCACTCTCACCTCGCATTCTGGTACCGCCACTGCCACCTCCGCCACCGCCGCCAGTGGGGGAATTGGGCCCCGCTGACTGTTTGCGCCATCCCCGCCAGTTCTGGCAGAGGCTCTCGGCCTCGGAGATGAAGGAACAGAGTGAATCCTCCTCAAAACGGTCCGAATCCTCGAATGAGAAGCGCTCTCCGTCCTCCCACTCTGCAAACATCAGCTCCATGGGGCCCGCACCCCCCGGGGCCGGGTCCCCCCCCGCGGATCCGGGGCCTGGGCCGCCGGCCGGGGGTTGAGGGGAGGCCCGGGGCCTGAGGGGCGAGCCGGGGCTGGGGGTGGCCGGGGCGCTCAGGGCGGCCGTGCCGGGCGAGAATCTCAGGCCTGGGAAAGAGACGGGACCGGGCCTCGCCCAACAGCGCGGTGCAAGCGGTGATCTTGGCCAGTCTCCGAGACTTAGGGCCGGGACGAAGCGCTCGGCGGCTGGGGCCTCTAGGCGGCTGCGGAGCCGCCTCCCCCATCAGCTGATCTGGACTTCCGGCCGCGCGGGCCACCACCACTTCCGCCCTCGCGCGCTCGGGATCCGGATCGGGTACGGGCGGATGTAGGGGACATTTTTATTTAATGGCTGCATTTGCTTTTTTTCCCTCGAGCCCACCCTCAGACATCATAAGAGGAAGCCAACTCCCAACGTTATACGAAGCAACTACAGATCCCAGCAACAACTCGGAGTCCATAATGTCCCCAAGGCATAAACAGCCGCCATGCATGTTGGGAATTGTAGGCTGTCAGGAGAGGACAGCAACTATTGGATGGAGTTATTGTCTTAACTCTGGATAGGCCCCAGGGCCGCACCACCTTCTGGGAATCGTAGTCCAGAAGTCTGCAATCCAGCCGACCTTTTTATAGGGTCTAACTGGGGAAACATCAGAAAAGAATGCATTTGATTTCAGGAAATGGTTGTACTGTTTGTCCATACGGCCTTTGGATCTAGTAACTCAACCTTTTTTTGTGCCATGGACCCTTTAGCAGTCTAGGTAGGTTTCTGGACCCCCTTCTCAGATCGTTTACAAATGCACAAAATACCAAGAATTACAAAGGAAACCAGTTGTTTAAATACAATTATTAAACTATTAATAGAACAAATCTGTAACGTAATAGTGCTCCTTTATTTACACATTAAATGACAAGATCTAGGAGGAAGCGTAGTAACTATCATAATTTTGAAGCTAGTGATGAGTATAAATGCTTTTTGAGATATTTGTAACCAACTGTAACATGGTATGAAAATACCATGATTTCATATAGGTTTTGATAATGTTACTGTGGTTTGTTTTCCATAGCCCTGACTGAAATGCTAAATTTCAGTTGGAGTTAAAAATATAAATTATCCCCCAAGTTCACAGACGTCTTAACTGGAGTCTATTGACCTAGGTTAAGAACTCCTAAGGCCAGGCGCGGTGGCTTACGCCTGTAATCCTAGCACTTTGGGAGGCTGAGGCGGGCAAATCACGAGGTCAGGAGATCGAGACCATCCTGGCTAACACGGTGAAACCCCGTCTCTACTGAAAATGCAAAGAATTAGCCAGGCGTGGTGGTGGGCGCCTGTAGTCCCAGCTACTCGGGAGGCTGAGGCAGGAGAATGGCGTGAACCCGGGAAACGGAGCTTGCAGTGAGCCAAGATCGTGCCACTGCACTAGCGCGGGCGACAGAGCGAGACTCCATCTCAAAAAAAAAAAAAAAGCTAACTGAATTATGCCTGAAAGGGCAGAGTATACATAAAATGCTATGCAATTTTTCCTAGTATCAGGGGAATCACAAAAGCGAATGCCTTCAGCAACTAGGCAGCTAACTTGAGAGAAGGAAACAGGTAATAAACAAAGTAGACATTTGTTAATTCTGTTTCACCATTTTGTAGAGTCCAGTGGTGAGGTCACTGGAGAATGCAGACAAATGATAATCAGCTCTACCTAATTACTGCCAGGTGGAAATAAGAAAATAAGGCTGCCAGAGCTTTTAATTTTTTTTATTAAAAAAAATAAGTGGCTGGGCACAGTGGCTCATGCCTGTAATCCCAGCACTTTGGGAGGCCAAGGCGGGTGGTCCACTTGAGGTCAGGAGTTCGAGACCAGCCTGGCCAACATGGTGAAACCCCGTCTCTACTGAAAATAGAAAAATTAGCCCGTCATGATGGTGGGTGCCTGTAATCCCAGCTACTCAGAAAGCTGAGGCAGGAGAATCACTTGAACCTTGGAGGCGGAGGTTGCAGTGAGCTGAGATAGTGCCATTGCACTCCAGCCTGGGCAACAGAGCGAGACTGCGTCTTAAACAAATAAATAAATACAGCTAAAATGTGAAATTTTAATGACTTTTTTTCCTATTTTTGAACGTGACCAGCTAATTTTAAAACTTTTTTTAACTGCGTGGATCAAATAAAACATATCTGCAGAACCTCTAGGTCACCAGTTTGTTAACTTTATTATTCAGAGAGCACCTTGCAGGGACTACGCACAAAATAGGCAATCACTAAGTATTTACAGACGAAGGCAACTTCAACTTCCTTATTGCATCCAAAAGCAAGGGCACTAAATGGTGTAAAAGACTTCAAATGCAGGGAAAGACAATACAACGGTATTTGTCCTGCTCCTAGGGCAAATCAGGAAGGAAAGAATTTCCAGGGTCTAGGGGAGGCTCAAGAATGAAGAGAGTACCTAATTCACAACAAAAGGCCAAGTTCTGTTCAGAGGATTTTATTTCAAGATAAATCATAACTTCTACCCATACTATGATTCCAAAGGGTGAAAAAAGTGTTTTGCCTCTTCTACCCTCCAAAGAGGGCATGGCAATGCCAATGTCTCTAAAATGCCTCTGCATAGTTGTCAGAAGCTATATTTCAGTCATTGAAAATACTTGTCCATTTTCAGCTGAGGTAAGGTTTGTTAGGAAACCTCTGTAACAACTTATTCAATTTATTTGGAAGTAAACTCCCAGACTCTCCCAGGGTTTCCTGTATTGATCTCATCTTTCGGGCTTCCTGAAAACACAAAACAAATACAAGAATGACAGCTCTACAGTTTGTCTAGTCCAGACTTTTAAGATCTGACCCAAAAAACCAATCAATCAATCAAGTTTGTCCTGATGTAGGCCCATAGTTCTCACAATGCCCTAAAGCACATGAAGATGTTAACCAGCCTGGAGAGATCTATGTCAGCCTCTTTTCAACAAAAGGGCGTTGGGACCTACAAATGAGACTATGTTCAGAAGCTACTATCTCAGCTAACAATTAAGCCTAGACAGGAAACCAAACTATTGTCATTATTTAGTTTTAGTCTCTTTAGTTCTATTTCACACAATAATGTCTACTTGAGCAGCAATTTACATTTTTCAAAATGATTTTCCCATTCATTACTTCATCTGACACTCACAACATTCTTTAAGGTGGTATTGGTTAGCCTCATTTTACGTACAGTAACTCGAAAGTTCAGAGCAATGAATAAATCCGTCAAGATCACACAGCCTTCAAAACTGTAACCTTTCCCACTTTGGCGTGAATAATATACCTCCCAAATGAATGAAAGGGCCTTTCCTAGCAAAAGGCAGGGAGAATCATTACTTCTATCTCCCCCATTCTTTTCCTGAGAAAGCACCCCAGGAGCCATCGGTCACCTGAGCCCTCGCGGCACAATCGAGGAAGCCCTGGATCTCTTTTCTGCACGCATCGTCGCGGAATTCATTCTGCTTCCAGCAAGCCATCATCACCGACATCTCCGTGATGCAAGTCGCCTCTGGAGGGGCAGATCCGGGGGACCTTCAGTCACAAGAAGACCCACCTTCCTGCCCTCCTACCCACCCGCCCCTGCTCATGCTCCGGCTTCCGCTCCGGGGCCGTCCTGACTCCGACTGCTCACCGCCCTTCTCCCGGCGCCGCTCCCCGACGCGGTTAGCTAGAATGAGAGGTTTATTGGGCTTCAGCACAGGCTTCCGCGGGTTCCCAAACCGCGCCAGACGACCCCGCAGGCTGGGTGTCGCCATAGCGCACCAAGCTCCCGGCAGGCTTTGCGGTTCCGTGCGTGACCTCGCGTGACCCCTACGGGCTGGACGAATCGGCGCGGAGCTCGGGGAAGGCTCGTTGGCTTGCTGGCAGCCACCTCTTTCTTTTACTTGGCCGGGGCTGCGGCGACGCTGGGTTCGAACAGCGGCGGGTTCATACTTGTCAGCAGATTAGGAGGAGACTCTGGGTTCGTACGCCGACTGAGGCTTCTCCTTGATGGGCTCCGGGCCCCGAAGTCTGGGGGCAGTACGGGGCCGGGGACATGCAGGAAAGGGCCCTGGTAAGTGGACACTGTTCTGGTGGTAGCCGGCTTGGTCTAGGGGCGATTGGCATAGGGCGGGGTTGGGGGGGGGGGTGGCGAATCAAAATTTGAGACTTTAAGATGTTGGGTTGGGAAAGATTCGTGTTTTACTTTAATAAACCTGAAAGAACTGTCGTTTTTCACTGCCTATAGGACCACTACAAAGCCGCAAAGAAAAATTAGACTTGTTTCATTTTATAACAACAACAACTGCTACTACTGCTACTAGTTAGATACCGTTTGCTCATTTATAACAATCTCAGTTGGTAGGATGAAGCTTAAACACTTGGCATTCATCGTCTTTTTCAGTCCTCTCGCCAGTCTTACAGACTTGGACCTTCAGTTGTGATGCTTAATCAGAATTTTTTTTGAGATAGGGTCTCTCTTGGTTGCCCAGACTGGAGTGCAAGTGGCACGTTCATAGCTCACTGCAGCTTTAAACTCCTGAACTCAAACGATCCTCCCGCCTCTGCCTCCTGAGTAGCTGAGAACACAGGTGCAAGACACCACGCCCAGCTAATTATTTTTTGTAGAGACGGGGTTTTGTCATGTTGCCCGGGCTGGTCTCGAACTCCTGGGTTCAAGCGATCTTCCTGCCTCGCCCTCCCAAAGTGCTTTACATGACTGAGCCTCCGCGCCCAGCCAGACTTGTTTCTCAAGTGACTTCTTCTGGCCATTTTCACAACTCATTCCAAAGATGTGCAGCATATTCTCAAAGCATTTCCAAATAAGCTCCAAGAAATGTTTTTGGTAATGGAAGCAGAAAACAAGCCTGTAGCTCATGACTACTTTGGAGGAAGAACATTTGGATTTGTAAATTTAGTGTGTTAAAAAAATCACTTATCACAGATGTTTGGAATCTTCCCACTGATTTCTGCATGGCTGCTTATTTTTCTTCCCTTAAGTCTCAGTTCATGTCACAGAGGGCTTCCCTGACCTCTCACACCTCACCACCATCAACCTGTTTTCTCCATAGCACCTATCACAGTCTGAATTGTCTTATTATGGCCTTACCTATCCCTAACACCCATTTAAAAATGTAAGCATGAAAGAAGGAACGTTGTCTATCTTGTTCATTGCTGAATCCCCAGTGCCTAGAATAGTACCAATAAATACTTGTTAAATGAGCAAATGTTTTATTTATTTATTTATTTTTGGATTTGGGGTCTTGTTCTGTCACCCAGGTTGGAGTGCAGTGGAATATTAGCTCACTGCAGCCTTGGCCTCACTCCAGTGATCCTCCTGCCTCAGCTGCTGGAGTAGCTGCGACCACAGGCTCACACCACCAAACCCGGCTGGCTTGGTTTTATTTTTTGTAGAGATGGGGTCTCAGTATGTTGCGCAGACTACTCTTGAACTCCTGGGCTCACGTGAGCTTCCCTCCTTGGCCTCCCAAAGTGCAGGGATTACAGGCATGAGCCACCACACCCAACCTGAAACTTTTTTACAAATCTCCAACTTTATTACACCCACCCCCAAAAAAATAATGAAGCAGAAGACATTGTTTAACAAGAAGCAGTTTATTACACAAAACGAAACCTGAGATAATAGAAAATAACACTTGCAGTAATAAAGGAAGCAGCCTTGCACTCCACCTCCACACTCCAGAGTATAATTAAAAGACTCCTATCAGACATTTCTATCACCAATAATGCCAACCTCTGTATACAGCAGCAGGCTGGGCCCCAAATCAGAAGATTCATGTTGCTTGCTTTCTCTATAGGGAAAGTGAAGCTTTCGGTAAGTATCATGTGGCTATTCCTGGTTCTACTTTCCCTTGTGGAAATGTAATACCTGGTTTACACTGCTCTTTTGTGAGTACGTATATGGTGATAGGAATAAAGGAGAAAGTCTGGAAAGCACCAAGCACAAAGCAGGCCTGAGGCTCCAGCAACAGTCATTCAGAAACAACTGCCCACTTTATACGTAAAAGTATGAAAGGAATGCCAATGTGAGCCCATGTCATTAGGAGAGGTAAGGATAATCTACACCTTGCTTAACCATCACTTAACCTTTTTATTGCACATAATGAAATTTAAGCCCTAACCTAGGTCTGTACTTGTGTAATAATTATGCACTCTAAATTAGCATCTGCATTTAGATAGATTGCAAGCTTAGAAATCAGTCCTGCATTTGACCTCTTTTGTCAGTGCCTACTATATCAAATTTTAACAGATTTTTTTTTTTTTTTTGAAATGGAGTTTTGCTCTTGTTGTCCAGGCTGGAGTGCAATGGCGTGATCTTGGTTCACCACCACCTCCGCCTCCTGGGTTCAAGCGATTCTTCTGCCTCAGCCTCCTGAGTAGCTGGGATTATAGTCATGCGCCACCACGCCCAGCTAATTTTGTATTTTTAGTAGAGATGAGGTTTCTCCATGTTGGTCAGGCTGGTCTTGAACTCCCGACTTCAGGTGGTCTGCCTGCCTTGGCCTCCCAGAGTGCTGGGATTACAGGCGTGAGCCAGCTCACCCAGCCCAACAGATTTTTTTTTTTTTTTTAGACAGAGGTCTCACTGTGTTGCCCAGTTGGCACTCATAGGCGCACTCACAGCATACTACAGCCTCAAACTCTTGGGCTCAAGCGATCTTCCTGCCTTAGCCTTCTGAGTAGCTGGGACTGCAGACCCATGCCATCACATCTGGCTTAGATATATTTTTGAAGGTTTTTTTTTTTTTTTTTTTTAGTTTCTGGAGTGCAGTGGCGATCCTCCCACTTCAGCCTCCCAAGTAGCTGGATCTACAAGGCACACACACCATGCCCAGCTAATTTTTTCTGTTTTTTGTAGAGATGGGGTTTTACCATGTTACCCAAGCTGGTCTTGAATCCCTGGGCTCAAGCGATCCTCCTACCTTGGCCTCCCAAAGTGCTGGGATCACAGGCATGAGCCACTGCACCCAGCCTGAAGGTCTGTCTTCCCTCTTGTTCTTTTCTGCAAAAGGTCAAACAGGGTAAGCAAACTTTCTGTAATTTATGAAGATCATCTTTTATTAAAGGACTAAATGAAAAAAGAACAACTTTGGCAATAAAATTCAGCCTAATTACAGCTTTTCTTGGCCGCATCCTTAGATGTCAGTATATTAAGTGTAGACCCTAGTTGTTGAAGCATCTAACATATATCTATCTATATAGGTAGATATATAGATATAGGTATAGATAATATTAAACTGTGGAACTTCTCTAGTGATAACTCACTAATACATTACAACTAGAGTAGCCCTAAGGTCCAAGGTATTCTTTCCTGTCCCACTGCCCCAGAAAGAGCTAATGGTCTCCCTGCTCATTAGACTGTATGTTCAAACCACAGCAACAGAAGGGTTTGGCTGCATCCCCAAATCTGACTAAGCTTTTTTTTTTTTTTTTTTTTTGGGATGGAGTTTCGCTCGTCACCCAGGCTGGAGTGCAATGGTGCGATCTCAGCTCACTGCAACCTCTGCCTCCCAGGTTCAAGCAATTCTCCTGCCTCAGCCTCCCAAGTAGCTGGGATTACAGGTGTGAGCCACCGTGCCCAGCTCTGACTAAGCTTTTATTTAGCCAGCCACTTGTGGCTTAAACCTCCTCATCCCCTTGAGTGGGCTCCATCAAAAAGTAGTCTCAGGCTGGGCACGGGGCTCACTCCTGTAATCCCAGCACTTTGGGAGGCCGAGGCGGGTGGGTCACTTGAGGTCAGGAGTCCGAGACCAGCCTGGCCAACATGGCAAAACCCTGTTTCTACTAAAACAAATACAAAAAAATTAGCCAGGCATGGTAGTGCGTGCCTGTAATCCCACCACTCTGGAGGCTGAGACACGAGAATTGCTTGAACCTGGGAGGCAGAGGCTGCAGTGAGCCAAAATCACGCCACTGCACTCTAGCCTTGGTGATGGAGTGAGACTCTGCCTCAAAAAAAAAAAAAAGGTGGGGGCACCTGGGCACGGTGGCTCACGCCTGTAATCCCAGGACTTTGGGAGGCCAAGGCAAGTGAATCACCTGAGCTCAGGAGTTCGACACCAGACTGGCCAACATGGTGAAACCCCATCTCTACTAAAAATACAAAAATTAGCTAGATGTGGTGACGGGCGCCTGTAATCCCCACTACTAGGGAGGCTGAGGCAGGAGAATCACTTGAACTGGGAATGCAGAGATTCTAGTAAGCTGAGATCGCGCCACTGCACTCCAGCCTGGGCAACAAGAGCGAAACTCCATCTCAAAAAAAAAAAAAAAGTCATAGGGAAGCGTATTAGTAATACAGTGAATGAAGCTGGACTATTCATTGCACTTAAAGTGAAAAGTGCTACAGATTATGAAATAATTACTAAAACATACAGCCACACTGTTTCCATAACTGCAGAAGATGGGACTTTGTAGCATATAAAAACAATAAAATAGAGGGAACACTTCATTAGGCAAACAAAAGAATTAGGACCTATAAAAATTTGCACTTTTTTTCCTGGATTTTTTTTTTTTTTTGTCAACCTACTCACCAAAAAATTTGCACTTTGACTCATATTGGCCTATTTTAACATTTCAAAATCATTTAAAGAAAAATATGACTTTTTCTGTCATAATTCCCAGTCTTAGTCTCTATCTTTGATCAAAAAGAGGATAGGGCAATACATTAAATTGACAAGGCATATAACAGCCACTGAATCTTTCTGTTCATGAGAAGAAATCCCAGATACACCATAAATGAGATGCAAACCAGCAGTAAGAATGATGGCAAGGTTTCTGTATTTCCATCAGAAATTGTGGAAAAGGGCCTAAAACCAGGAAAGACAAGGCCATTAAAAAAATGTATTTGAGGCCGGGTGCGGTGGCTGACACCTGTAATCCCAGCACTTTGGGAGGCCAAGGCGGGCGGATCACGAAGTCAAGAAATCGAGACTATCCTTGCCAACATGGCGAAACCCTGTCTCTACTAGAAATACAAAAAATTAGCTGGGCGTGGTGGTGCATGCCTGTAGTCCCAGCTACTCAGGAGGCTGAGGCAGGAGAATCGCTTGAACCAGGGAGGTGGAGGTTGCAGTGACCCGAGATCATGCCACTGCACTCCAGCTGGTGACAAAGCAAGACTCCATCTTAATATATATATATAATTTGAGACGGTGTCTCGCTCTGTCACCCAGGCTGGAGTGCAGTGATCATGATCATAGCTCATTGCAGCCTTAAATTCCTGGACTCAAGTGATCCTCCTGCCTCAACCTCCCAAGTATCTAGGGCTACAGGTGTGCACCACCATGCCCTGCTAATTCTTTTATTTTTTAGAGACAAGGTCTTGCTAGGATGGTCTCAAACTCCTGGCTTCAAGCAGTCGCCTCTCCTCGGCCTCCCAAAGTGTTGGGATTACAGGCATAAGCCACTACGCCTGGCCAGAAAAAGCCAAAAAAAAAAAAAAAATTAGGGCTGGGTGAGGTGGCTGATGCCTGTAAACCCAGCACTCTGGGAGGTCAAGGCGGATGGATTGCTTGATCCAGGAGTTGGAGACCAACCTGGGCAATGTGGCAAAACCTCATCTCTACAAAAAATATTTTAAAAAAATAAATAAATAAGTAAAATAGAAGTTTGACATGAAAGTATATAATATAAAAAAATCCAACTCCGGAAAACCAGAATACAACTCACCAAATGTTTTGCTTCTCCACCAACGTAACAATTTATAAAGCAAGAGATGAGAAAAAGAGATTATTGGGAAATGTACTGAATAATGAGGAGTCTGGGGAATAGAACAAAAGTTGTAAGTCGTAACCTGACCCATCTTACTTCACTGGTAATCAAGTACAGTCGAAAGGATGAAATAAAGAAGTGAGTAGTTTAAAAACTCTGTTGGACCAGCACCTTGAATCAAATGGATGTTTTAGGGTTCTGTTTCCCACTGAACCAAGAATTGTATCCCTCCATCTCTCCTTGAGGAGAGGCCCTATGTTAGACCTTGGCTACTCATCATTAAGATAAAATCTTAATAGATAAAACTGGAATTCCTTGAATCCATGAAAAGACAGTGTTCATTAAGGGTTTGTGCAGTGGATGCTCCTTATGTCCCATGGTAGAATAAGATCTCCTTAGCTCCGCCAAGTTAAAGGCTCTTGCAAGGGCACTTAGAGATGTTGCCTCTTCATGAAGATTTCATGTAGGTAATCCCAAAATTTCGTCTGCTCTGTTTCATTGTTGTGGATCATGGCAGTGAGAGCTTCCCCCTGGTCCAGACCTTGCCAATAATCTTGCAGCCACATCTCTTTCCAACTGAAATATCAAAATGGGGGTTGGATTATGGAACTGCAGCATAGTTATGAGTCCTGCCTTTTTCCGAGTGGGGCCAAAGAAATCTTAAGCAGATACAGTGGTCTCTAACTTGGACAAGACTGCTGTGAAAGGAAGACAAAGTGAAGTAAATCCAATATAAGCCCAAGCGACAGGCAGTAAGTCACAAACACAAAGACATCACACAGACTACCCAATCAATTACGATTCCTGACTTGCCTGCTTCTGGCTCCCAAATGTGGAGGGGGTTCAGAGGCAGGCAAAGCAGAGGCCAGACTGGAAGTGGCAGTCTCCATAAGGAAAGCAAGGGGGCAGGGGTCTTTAGATGATTATCTTTTAAGTTTCACCTTTATGCCAATAATCAAAATGAAGGTGCATCAAAATGAAGTAGCATCCAGTATCTAGAAAAGACATAACCTGAATATTTATTTTCTTAATGTTTCATATTTTTTCATACTTTTCCTCTAGTAAATCATATTATGTTCAGATACAAACAATTTGTAATTAGATACAAATTACTTGGTGAAGGATTCCAACCATCAGGACAAAACTGCCAGCAGCATCTGTTAATAAATGGCCTTCTGCTGCCATCCACTGTCCAAGTCGGTTTCTATAGGCCATTCTAGCAGCCTTACTTCAGCTTAATAATCTTATCACCTCTCCCCCAATAGGTGTGGCTTGCTACAAGTGGTTTCAACATTTTCCCACCCCACACCACACGCTGGCCTTGTTTCCCAGTACCACCACCTTTTGCCACCTACTACAGTAGCCTATTCGCTTCCCTTCTGATGCGCATTGTGCATTGTTTTGTGTGTGTGTGTGTGTGTGACAGGGTCTTACTCCAACCCAGGCTGGAATGCAGTGGCACGATCCTAGCTCACTACAGCATTGAACTCCTAGGTTCAAGCAATCCACCTGCCACAGCCTCCCAAGTAGCCAGGACTACAGGTATGTGCCACCACCCCAGGCTTTTAGTTTTTAAATTGTACAGAGAGGCTCTTATTATATTGTCCAGGCTGGTCAATATATTATATTATATATTATATTGTCTCTGGCCTCAAGTGTTCCTCCCCCCTTGACCTCCCAAAGTGCTGGGATTACAGGTGTGAGCCACCGTGCCCGGCCATGCCTAGTTTTTCTAGTTACACAGGCAGTGTGTCCCCACCTGCACCAACTACATGGGGCTCATCCTCAGCACAGCCGCTTAAAAAAAAAAATTATGGCTGGTTAACAGGTGTAACCCCTGACTACTGCAGAAAAGCCTCTCTAAAAGTGCTCTTCTCTACTGCCCAACCCCATTTCCACTCTATAAAAGGTGCTCAAATAGCTGAGTTGATTTTTAGTGCAGTGCAAACTCCTGAACCTGGTATTAATGATATTTATAGCCTTGTCCCTATTTATTTGCCCCATTTTCTCTCTCCCCTGTCTGCACAGGCCCTGTACTCTGGTTCAATCTTTTTGAACCACTACTGGAAACATTGTTCACATAAGCTGATTTTCATACGTTGCCTTGAATTATATTTTACATCTATTCAGCTTTTTCAGCTTGTCTTATCCCCCCAACTAGACTGTTGACACCTTAAATACAGAATGAGCCCATGTGATAATTTCCTCCTGCACCTGCTCAGCACCTAGTGCTACTTAATTGCCCACAGTAAGCAAGTAAGTAAATGATTTGATAGCTGCAGGGGACCCCAGCACTCTTACCTGTCATTCTCAGGAATCTCTTCCACATTGCCAAAGCCAGGTGTGGGCACTGGGCAGTCCATGTGTGAGGGCTGGGCAATGTGGGGCTCAAAGACGGGGCTGTCCCCGGGAGAGGCCGCGTGGGCTTTCTCGGCATCCAGCCGAGCCAGTTCGTAGTCACAGACGAAACACTCGAAGCCGTTGAGGTAGTTAGGCAGCAAAGGATCATTCACTCCCCACTCCCGATGCTTCAGACTATCCAGAAGAAATTGGTTGGTGATGCCCCCAGGTTGCTTGTATGCCAGGTATTTCATATACTCCTCATCATTCTTGTCCAGAAAGTCAATAAACTCTGCCAGCTTCTGAGGAGACTCAAAATCATCAATCAGGATGACGGAGTGATTGTTCGGCATCCAGTCCCTCACAGAGGGAGAACCGCGGTACACGGGCACAGCGCCCAGGTGCATGGGACGCCACAGTTTTTCTGTCATGTAGTCGTTACAGATGGCATTTTCCAGGGCCAAGTGGAACTTATAGCGGGACAAGAAAGCCAAGAGCTCTGGATCCTCGGTGGTGGCCGTGGCTGTGTCCTGTAGCCGCGCGGTAGGCAGCTCCCGATTCTGCAGGCATTTCCCGTAGGAGTCTACCTAGACCGGGTACAGTAAGGCTGTCATGAGGGTGCGGCCCTGGAGGCCTGGACACCTGGAGTCCTGGACACCTGGAGTCCTGGACACCTGGAGTCCTGGCCTCAACCCGCCCTCTCCTTTTCCTTCCCTCCGGCCCGCCCTCACTCACCGGGATGTGGCGCATGAGCTCGCGCACGTAGCGGTCCCGGTCCGCTGGCACGTCGCAGTGTGACTGCAGATAGAGCAGCGGCGCGTAGCCGCGGCGGCGCCACTCCGCGCGTTCCATGGGCGGAGGCACCGGGCGGCGCAGATAGGCGGTCCCGGGCAGCCACTGCAGCGACAGCGGGTAATCCGAGTGGCGACTGAAGGTGGAGGTAAGATTGAAGAGGCGGATGCCCGGGCCGTGGCTCAGCAAGAAGTTGTTGAGGGGCGACTCCTCGTGGAGGAGCGCCCAGCTCTGGTGCGCCAGGCGCGGCAGCGGGGCGGCCGACGCGCGGAAGTCTGTGCCGTAGAAGAGCAGCGCGCGCGTCCGCGAGTCCCTCAGCGCTCGGCGGTTCCGGGACGCCACGCACGCGCCGCGCGCACACTCGATGCGCTCCGAGTCTCCCGGGAAGTGGGGGAATAGCCCTGGGCTCCACCACAGCAGTACCGGCAAGTCCCCCGCCTCCTCCCTCCCTGGCCGCGGCGTCCCAGAGCTGCGCGTCACCCCCACTGCGCCCAGCGCCGAGGGCGGCCGGAAAACCGCGCCATCCCACGGTTCCGCCCACTCCGCCTCCCCGCCGGCCTCCCTCTCCGCTACGGACCCATGGCCGCTGGCTGCACAGACACTGAGCACCCCTAGAAGGACCAACACCACCCTAATGGGGCCGGCCGCCATGTCCACTCCGGCAGCCGGCGCCCCCTCGGCCAGCACCGACCCCGCCCAGCGGATAGTCGTGACCGGACGAGGCCCTACGCCACGGGGGCACGTGGCGCATGCGCAGCTCGCTCAGCCGACGGCCAGGACTAAAAGCAAAGTGAGCTTTCGGGAGTAAAGATGAGGCTAATGGTTACATCTTAATTTATTTTATTTCTTTACAAATTAAAGATGCATTGAAAAATAAACCAATGAAGAGAAATGAGAGGTCCAGAGCAGGGGCATCCCAGGTGGGGAGCAGGCAAGCCTGGCCACCATCAAGCCTAGCCCTTGTCCTGCCCCCAAGCCAGTTGGGGTTGGAAGATAACTGTCAGCCACTCAGTCAATACCAAAGCCCAAGCGGTGTCCCAGCAGGAGAGAACGGCGCTCCAGCTGCCTCTGCCTCTCTCCCCAACAACCCCGGGCCTGGAGAAGCAGTGTTTCTCGTGGGAGCTCAGAGTGGGATGTGAACTGGCTCTGTGAGGTATTGCAAGTTGATGACCAGGCTCCCTAGGCTCCCTACAGAACCATCCAGTGTTGGGGCCTCTCCAGCTGGAAAGGAAGCTGGTACCTCTACCAGATCTTAATATATTTTGCAACTCAGTTCTCCGGTCACCTCTGACAGTGTGCCTCTCTATCCACGGAGTGATCATCAATCATTGCAGGAGAGAGCGAGCGAGCAGTGAAAGCAGAGAAACTTGACTGCTAACCTCCAGGCCCAAGAAGGACTGACCACTTTTCTCTCCACCACCTATGGGCTATACCCCAGCTCTTGTGCACCTATATGTTTTATCCCTAATATAGGAAGTTGTGGATGACACTGAGCCCCCTGTAGTAACCTTAGGATCCCCACTCTTTCCTGCCTGCCCCTCTCCTCTTGGGAGACTGGTCCAAAGGGACACATAATATTGCCAGGGTCTGGGTGCCTCCAAACCCCCAATACCGAATCATATACAGTGAACTGAGAAGCTACATTCATTATGACAGGATTAGCAGGAAAAAGAGGGTAGAATGAGGGAACAGGGGCACCTTCCATCAGCAGGACATGACAGAGTGGCAGGATACTTGAGCCCAGAAAGAAGGTGTCTCCTTATATCTCCCCCTCCCCCCAGAGAGACTGAGGTCAGCTTACATAAGATATGTTACTGTCCCAATTTCTCTGACATCCTGGGGTGCTTTCTGGAAGCTAGCCTGGGCCCTATGCCATTTACCCACTTGCTTTAGCTCAGTAGCTGCCGAATCTCCTTGTGCATATGACAGAGAAAGTCCACATAAGATGCTCCCCCACTCAGACTCTTGTCTTCCACCAGGAAGTGCTTGAACAGCATCTCCATCTTGTCTTCCTGTTTCACCACGGTAAGCTACGGCCAGAATTCAGGGTTCATAAGGCAAGGCCAAAGGAAATTAAACATGCCCAGAAATCTCATTAGGCAGTCACTTACTCATTCCCCACCCAACCCCCACTTCTAGGTGAGGACTTGACAAGGTAAGAAATCCAGGGTTCAGATCAGTGTTACCTTCATGTACCGGGATCTCTGTGCCCGTAAGCTATCAATGAGGCCTCGAACCTTCTTGGACAGTGGATTATCCAGAACTGGCAGAACACTCTAGAACACAAAATTCATTTATCCTTATGGTAAGGCACTCTGAGTTCAGTCAAGGTGGGGCAGCATACATGTATGCATCATCTGAAACAGGCAAACCTGGGAAGAATGACAGCAACTGCCCTTGTCCCCAAGTGTTCCCTGATATTTGAGGGTACTAGCACACTAACTATATTGGCTCCCAATTGTTTCACAAAGTATACTTCCACACCCATATTCTCCTTGACTCCCTGCCCTCACCAAACCACTGGTGATCTGACTGAAGGAGGAGACGCTGAAAAGGCTCTGGACAACACCCTGTTGGACGCTTGCTCCCACCCAGAGGAAGAGGTTGAGCCCATTCTCCAGTAAATATATATCCCCATTGCTTAGACGCTCTTCAGAGGCTCGAACTGCTGGTGGTTCGGTAGTACTCTCAACGGGAGACTTTGTCTAGACAAAAGGAAGGGAGCAAAAGGTTACCAAGGACCATAAGACAAGTCTGCCCCCCCGCACCACACACAAAATTTTGAAAGCTAAGTCCTCAGACACCACCCCTTCTGGGGTCTCAGTAACTCTCTCAGTGTGAAAATTACATCAGCTAAAATACATAAAAACAAATTCCACTAGTGTCTGACTGATACTAGCCTATCCTTTCCTCCTCCTAAGAGGCCCTTTGCTCCGTGCAAGATCTCATACTCCAACCCTCAATCGCACCAAAGGTAAGAGCCGAGGGTAGAAGAAGACATTGGTCTCAGTCACATCCATGGAGGTAACTAGCTGTCGGACATAGGCACGGTCATCAGTAGTGACTTCAGCTCCAGGCTGCAGGACATCACTCTTCAACACACAGTTCAGGTAAACTGGGAGTAGCTTCATGCACTCAGGAAGGATCAACTGAGGGGATTATCAAAATAAAGTCAATGATCATGAGAAATCCCTCCCAAATGCAAACATTTGTCCCAACAACCCCACCTCCCACTAATATACTTGCCCCACCTGTCCTGCAGAGGAGGGGCTAGCACAGTTCTTTCTGTAACAGGCCAGGATCTGGGCACACTGGGTGATGAGCGTGTCACGAACAGCCTTCACAGGGCTATTCAGGACTCCCCGATATGCTGGATGGGAAAGCAAAGATAGTCACTGGTCAGCTGCCCATCATGTGTGCATTCCCACCATCACAACTACCCACTCACCATCCTGGACCTCTCAGCCCCAATCCCACCCTGCCCTGCTTCTACCCTCACCAAACTTGGCCATGTAGTTGATGAGCGTGTCAGTCTCACAGTTTCGATATAGATCAGCCAGCTGGGTGCAGCAGTTCAGGGCCAGATTATGGATGCGGAGCCGACGCTGCCCTGCACAGCTGGTGTAAAGCAGGGCACACTAGGGGAAAGGAGAAAGGGGGAACTCACACCCCTCCCTCACAAAGGCCCTTTGCTACACTATTAAACTGGAAGAGAGAAATGAGCCACTCCCGTGCCCTGTCTCTTCTTTTAGTGCTCTCTACCCATTCCTCACCCTCTTCTATACCAAGCGAATGAAACACTTCCTGCCCAGCCCCGCCTCCCGCCTGCCACCTGCAGGAGAGCTCCGCTCTCTTCATTGAGCCGATCGTCATGCTTGAACTCCACAGTCACTGTTTTGTCCCCATCTAGCCCAGCCAGCTCCACATCTGTCGTGTTGCTCATGTAGAAAGCTCCAAAGAAATCTACAGCACGGATACCTGAGGCCACATGGACAGGGTCAGGGCAAAAAGTATGACAAGTGCCACATGCCTCCCTTCCATATTTAGCCCCCCAACCTGCTCTTCAATCAGGACTGACCAGTGCTTGTCCGGACCCGCATCACAGCATCAAAGCCAACAACCTTCTGGACATCACGACGCAGGTCACTCAGGAACCGCTCCTGGTCGTTCTCCACCTGCAGGCCCCCAGGTCCAGAGTCATGTCACTGACTAGACATAGCTCATCGTGCAGACAATCTCCCTGTACCCCTTCCACTCTACAAGGCCACCTAATTATCATCATCATAACAGTGAGGATGATAATGATGATGACAATAATAGCTTTTAAACACTTAGACTGCATGCCAGGTACCACACAGAGTGCTTTACATATAATTATTTAATTCTGTTGACAAATCCTACTTAAGTATTTTAACACCATTTTGCAGATGAAGGAACAAAAGAGGAAGTACTTAAGAAATTTATCCTAGGTCATGTAGCTAGTAAGTGGTGGGGCCAGAATATCAATGCAGGACTGATTCCAAGGCCCATGTTCCTAACTGCCACATTCTCGGGCTCACTTCTTCAGACTATGCAGTCTTCTCTTCCAACACTATTTCTTCTTTTTTGGAGACGGAGTCTTACTCTGTCGCTCTGGCTGGAGTGCAGTGGCGCAATCTCGGCTCACCACAACCTCCACCTCCCGGGTTCAAGGGATTCTTAGCTTCCTGAGTAGCTGGGATTACAGGCGCCCGCCACCACACCCGACTAATTTTTGTATTTTTCGTAGAGATGGGGTTTTGCCATGTTGGCCAGGCTGGTCTTGAACTCCTGACCTCAGGTGATCTGCCTGCCTCAGCCTCCCAAAGTGCTAGGATTACAGGTGTGAGGCACCGTGCCTGGCCCCAACACTATTTCTATTAATGAGTCAGCCACTGCATATATAAGCAGATATTCCCAGCCCTGCTGCCACCTGCTGCCCCAAATCCCACACCATACCTGAAAGGAAGCATATTTGTAGACAGAGCCACCAGTGAGCTGGGGCACAACAGAGAGTGTGGCCACATCCACATACTGGTTAGGGAAGAGAAAGAGATCTACACAGCAGCCTTGGGCCACACACTCTTTGGCCAGGGTCTGATAGGCACCTGTCTGAGGCTGGAACAGAGTCTAGGGGGAAAGAAAATGGGGAGAAGAAAATGTTCAAATATCTCAGCTCCGCCCTATTTGAAAACTGTATATCTAGCATGGGATATTCAAATTCATGGAAGACTTCAGATCTACTTCCAAGGATTTTCCAATAGTAAAAAATTTTCTTTTATATTATTTTTATTTTTTTGAGACAGGGTCTCACTCTGTCACCCAGGCTGGCATAGAGTGGCATGATCTCAGCTCACTGCAACCTCTGCCTCCCAGGTTCAAGCGATTCTCCTGCCTCAGACTCCCAAGTAGCTGGGATTACAGGTGTGTGCCACCACACCTGGCTAATTTTTGTATTTTTAGTAGAGACGGGGTTTTGCCATGTTAGTCAGGCTGGTCTCAAACTTCTGGCCTCAAAAATCTGCCCGCCTTGGCCTCCCAAAGCGCTCGGATTACAGGCATGAGCCATCATGCCCGGCCAAAAGTTCTTCTTTAAAAAATAAATAAATACAAGAGTCTACCAACAGCTTTGGCATCAGATGGAGTAGAGAAGTATGGCAGCAGTGGAGGTTGGCAGTCACAGATATGGTATTTGAAAGGGTGGAGTGTCTGGTCCTAGCCACCATCAAGAAAGTAGAGTCCCCACTTCCTCTGTAATGAAAAATCCTTCCCCTCCCCCATTTTCCAGTCCCACACCTTCTCCTTGTCTGTATTGATCAGCTTCCTGTCATCTCTGTTCTTCAGTTTCCCTGGGGCCTCTGCAATGGGCAGGGATGTATGGAATAGAAAGAGCTTCCCTGCACACTCAGCAGCCTAGGAAAAAAGAGAGGACTACTTGTTTATTCTTTATTCATCCATCTCTTCCCTTGTCATTTATTAAGCACCAGCTATGTCAGACAGTCTAACACACTGGACAGTCACCCACTACTGAAGAAAGAGAGGTTGTATCCCAGGGGATAAGATGGTCAGAGGAAAATGGAGTTAGAGGAGGTTGCCCGATACTCCAGCCTTACCTTCAGAGCCTCCATTCCAGCCTGGATAACTGGTACAAATACTGTCTCTGTTTCCCTTGTGTCTGCAAACATTTCTGGAATCTGATCCAATAAGCTAAAGAGATAGGTGACGGAAAACAACCAAAATTGCTATACAGATTCCAGATACCTCAGTTCTCGATTCCCTGAAGAGTCATCAAGCCTCTAGAATCTGACAACTCCTGGGCCACAACCCCTTTCCATCTACTGTCCAATACCTCTGTTCAACTCCATGACCTTCTATGGTGGTACCCATGCCACCCCCAACCTTTACCTCCACAATCTGGCTCTTACCTGGTGATAACTGCCCGAGACTCATTGACGTTGACCAGGAAGCCATCCAGCAGTGGCACAAACATGTCAGCCACATCAGACACAACCATCATCTGTGGCTGGGCCAATGAGCTCTTCACATTATAGAAGTGGAGCACCTTATTGTAGGTGACAAAGCCAACGCGGATTGCTGACTCTTCTGCCCCACCCTCCCTGTAGAAGGTGACATTGTTACCTAGACTTGCCACCTTTTCCACCACCCACAACTTCATGACACCAAGCTACATTTCTTCAGTCAACCCAGACACCCTATCATTAACCTCAGGAAACACCTCAGTTCTGTAACTCTCACCTAGGTAGAAAGTCTAACAGTGACTTGAGCTCCTCACAGAGGAGCCTAACAAGACCAGTCCTGATGGCATTGTAGGAGACGTCAATCATGAAGATAAAGGCAGGAGGGCTGGGGAACTTATTGTTCTGCAGAGGAAGAAAATGTTGGGGAGAGGGGGAATGGTAAGCAGGCCAGTTGACTATAGAGAAGTCAGCATCAAAAAGGGACAAAAAAGGGGTGAGGGAAATGATAACAGCCATTCTCAGCTGTCTCATTATCCTCCACTCACTGCTCCTCCCATGCTACCTTCCCTCACCTTGCAGTAATCTACAGTGGCCAAGAATTCATAAGAGCCCAGGGATAGCTCAGGGCGGTCATAAGCATCCACACGTTTGCCGGTATGATCCAGGTGCTGAAAATACTGGGGGGGAACTGTGGGAAGCATGGCAGTGTGTTACTCGAAGATCCAGTTTCAATCTTAGTATTCTGGCCCTAGCTGAGCTCACACCACTATCCCTCATTCCCATGTGCCCTACTTCCCCAGCTCCTGAAAGATGGACCCTCATCTCTCTAACTATTTAATAGAGAACAAGGAAGATACAATCAAGACCTTCCCCCAAATCCCAGCTTCCATGAACATACCATCATTGATACAGCTGCAAAAACAGCACTGGAAACGCCTCCCTCCTTCAATGAACTGCATGAAGGGACACATGTATGCTTTGCAGCGGTTGCAGCGCAAAGGGCCAGATTCCCCATGGTCCACAACATACGGTGAAGCCTAAGGCGCAAAGGGGAAGGGATCAGACATAAAGGAAAACCACAGTAGGTTCAGCCAGGAGATGAGGAAGAACAACCGGAGGAAGAAGGCGCATGGCGCAGATATTCTGTCTGCAGAGGGAGTAGGGAGCACAATGATGAAAGGGAGTAAAGACAAATCACAGGAAAATGTCCCTATGAGTAAAAATTATATAGTTCCCTCTTCCTACATCCCACCCCCAGAGCTGCATTTCTCACTGAAAGAGAAGAGGAAATGCAAAACCGGCCATATCAGACTAGGGGCTGCCATGGGCATATGAGGGAGAAAGCCAAGATTATCTAGGATTCTCCTTTCTGGCCCCATCTCTAATGCCCTTCACTCTTGCTCTAAGAATCTTGATTCCAGCTCCTTCCCTAACCAAATATCTGTAACACCTCCTCCCGTATCCCTGGGATTCTGTGCCAGTTACTGATGCCCCAGGCAAATGTCACCCTACACATAAGAGACCAGTGCCCAACTATCCCCAATGGGACCCAGATAGAAATAGACAAACACACAGAGAAAGACGGAGAGATAAGCAGAATATAAACTGAGCCTTTGGCTTCTAGTAACAGAGAACCCTATCGTAAGATAAGCAAGGCTGAATATGAGTATCCTACCAAGGCCTGGTGGAGCAGCTGCCTGGCTCGCTCTCTTCATGCTGGTATCAGGTACTGGGGTGACAGATCAGGTCCCAAAACAGGTGACAGAAGGATCACTGGATCCTAATCTACCTTTTCTCTTATATGCTGTTCTAACAGCACTAACCTGGGATGACAGGACAGTCAGGAAAACATGGAATGATGTCCTTCTCATCATCTGGAGATGACCATGATACGAGAGGTTCCTACATTCAGCTGTCTTCTCCCCTACAATTTGGCCCTACCTCTTGTTTTTTTTTTTTTTTTTGAGACAGAGTCTCGCTCTGTTGCCCAGGCTGGAGTGCAGTGGTGCAATCTCGCCTCACTGCAAGCTCTGCCTCCCGGGTTCACGCCATTCTCCTGCCTCAGTCTCCCAAGTAGCTGGGACTACAGGCGCCCGCCACCACGCCCGGCTAATTTTTTGTATTTTTCATAGAGACGGGGTTTCACCGTGTTAGCCAGGATGGTCTTGATCTCCTGTCCTCGTGATCCACCCGCCTCAGCCTCCCAAAGTGCTGGGATTACAGGCGTGAGCCACTGCGCCTGGCCTGGCCCTACCTCTTTTCATCCTGCTTGTTTCCTCTAGAGACTCTGTTCCTTCTCAGCAATGTCTTGGGCTTTTGCTCTCATCCCTACCATCCCCTCTCCAGGCATGGGCCCTGGGATAGAAAGCCACTAAAGACAGTCTCCTCTCCTGCCTAACTAAAATATCTTCCATTGTGAAGCTGGAATCACATCCAGGAAGACGCTTTAGACCCCTCTCTACCTCCCTCCCTTTCATTACACTCTAGCCCCTTCCCTGACTCACCTCCTCTGGGGGCAGCCTTGCCAGCGGTTTGATGACTGCTGCCAGGGGCACCTGAGCCTGCTTAGCCATGTCAGATGTGCAAGGGATATTATAGGATGTACATCGGATGTATCGGGGACTTGCATTCCCTGAAGAAGGAGGCAGAAGACCCGAGTCAGATCACAGAATCCTTCCAGACACCAGCTCTCCATTGGTGATCCACACCATCAACTCCACAAAGCTAGAGGTGATGGTGGCTTTTTCCCCCAGAGGGACTAGAGGGAACTTGTCTCTGGTTAAAAACTAAAAAAAAAAAAAAAAAAAAAAAAAAAAAAAAGCCCCAACCATAAGCTGATAATCTTGAAGAAAAAGCCCCTGTGGGAGGAGCTAATTCCATTCTCACCTTGGTCTTTCACCAGGAAGTTGGTAGTGACTAAGGGTGGCACCTGGCCCCGTACTCCAGTAACAAATGGCTCTGTACCCCGGTTGTTCCTGTCATCTTCAATGACCTGAATCTGCAGAGAAGTGCAATGAATGAGGTGACAGAAGAAAAAGGAAGTGTGAGGTCCCAGAGTGCCAAGAGTGAAAAAGGCTAGAGCTGTAACACAAAAACTAAAAATTTGCCAAGGAACACCTCATACACCAGGCCTGTTCTCCTTCTGGAGATCATATAAAATGCTGTAATGCCAATCTTACACTCTACAGCAGCCAATCTTTCACTCCCAGCAGCCTGCTGGGCAGGCAACATGAGAATGGGCTTCTTTATGAATTGCCCCCTACCCCCCATCAATGGTGAACACCCTCTCATTCCTCCCATTCCAGGAAAAGCCCCAGCTCTGATCACAAACCTTCAAACATGATTAGATTCCATTCCCCTCCCCCATCATGCCTTCCCCGATCCTCTCCCCAAGACACATTCTGAGTCAGAGCAGGAAAACAGACAACAGTAACCACGTAAAAATGAATCTACCTGGAATGACTCTACACTCAATGAAATTACAAGGGACAGGGTGAGGAGAGATTTAAACAGCCAGAAATGATCAAGTAAGGTGAGGAAGCAGATGCTGCCTTACTTTCAGGTAAGCATCAATGTGTATATATAGGAGGAGAGGAGAAGTACCCAATCCTTATAGCTCAATCCTCAGTCCTCCACATTTTGACAGACTCAGCAAAGGAAAATAAAGGACCTGCAAAGCTGGTATTCAGACCTTTATGCAGGCTAATGACCTTTGGTCAGTTACTTCAAGATGGGTTTGGAAAACCAGAAAAAGCAAAGGGCAAATAAGACTCTATCCCATAGCAGAAAGGTTGAAGCTTAGAAATATATCAGAGTCAAAAAGACTCTTCAGATGAGAAAGCACCCACACTTTCCCAAACCAGCAGTCCCTTCTCCTGTAAGAAATGCCAGTTTGGGATACTATGAATCTGTACATTCCTACTCCAATATTTCTCCACAACAGGCTACAGACAAATCAAATCCAAAGTGGAATGATCTACCGTTCAACTTTGTCCTCTTCCATCATACATCACCTGCAGGCTCCTGGAGGTGCCAGCAGAACTAAAGCCAAAGCTTGACATGCCACCTGACCCCACCCTTAGAGCCTGACCTTCCACCACCCCATACTCAAGGCAAACAGCTTGCTACCTCTTCATTACCTGGTGACTTGAGGCATGCATATCCTTTTATCTTGTATAAGTGAGTATCTAGAAGGGCTAGGCTAAAGGAAGAGAATGGGGAGGAATGGACATGGTAGATGAGGTGAAGATGAGGTCACAGGCATGCATGGATGGCACTAACACAGGAATGACATGCACAAACACCCACCCCCTGCACTTACTGGACTAGGAATGGCATCGGGGTCTATTCTGTGCCTGGTTTTCTGCTGAGGAGGCAGCTCACTGAGTTGCTTTTAGTGTTTTAATAATAAATGCAGCAGGGGAATACAAGGAGGGAGACAAAAGAACAAGAGGCAGATGTTACTTCTCTCAACCCTGTTGAGTTAGACATGAACAGCTGGAGCCCAGCTCATATTGCTGAAATCAAGCCCCCTCTAGATATGAAATTCCAAGTCTTTCTGGCCCAACACAGAGGCTTTAATGGCTCAGACTATGATGTAGAAAGATAAGGAAAGGGGCAAACAGGAGGCAAGCAGGAGTTACACAGGGAGGGGCTGAGGCTGAATGGAAGAAACCTTAAGGAAGAAGAAGAGGAGTGTTCCCCCTAAAAGGCCAAACCTCCCATTCTAAGGACTATCTTATGCTGAAAGAAGCCTCCCTTCATGTCCAACCAGACTCTCCTTCTCACTGAAGGAGGGGGAAGGAAGGAGAGGCTGCTTAATCCTCTTGAGTTCTCCTTGGCCAACAGGCTCCCTCACTGTGTTGGTTACCCAAAGGAGGAAGAGGGACGAGAACAGAATGGAATATGACAATGGCTAAGCATGGCAAGGTAACTGACATAGCAAATGTTACAGGTGGAACTATAAAGTGGCCCCTACTTGGCAGTACAGTCCTAGTCTCTATTCTGAGTCTGATAAGGAGGGCCTGAGGATTCTGATGGCTCCAAGGGTGCAATTCACCCTCTTCCTGAAAAAAGCAGCTCTCCAGTGGGACTTTACATACACACTGCCCTCATAAACTGTCGTTCACTCTTCCCCATCCACACAGCAGAAGCCTACCAAACAAAAGTACTGGGGACTTCCTCCTAAAACTGTCCAAGTAAGAGCAGAGAAACCAGTGAGGCTTTCCTTCTCTTAACATCTAACATCAGAGAATTCCCACCTGCTCTACCCATTAGGAAGAATGCCATCCTTCTAGATCTAAGGGGACAAGACCCAGTCACTGCTCCACAGAAGGACAAAGGCTACTATACTATGTATGTACAGTAGTGACAGAGTGCAGCCCTCAGACATCTACTGGTGCTGCTGCTCACTCTTGGTTTCCCTTCCTTCTCTGCCCAGCTATAGAGTAAAACAGCCCCCCAAAAGACTCCTAGAACCTCAAGTTCCAGTTCAGAATCAAATTATATGTAAGTTCTCCAAGAAGATGAACAAAAAGGGAAAATTATCAGAAAATGCTAGGCAAACATTTCATCTAGATTGACCTGCCTATCTGGCAGACACAAACCCTTCCTCAGGACCATGAAAGTTTCTACTTACAGGGCTTGGGATGGCATCAGGGTCCAGGCGCTTAGGAGGCAGTGGCTGAGGAGGCCCAGGCTGACTGCCAAAGGTGGGTGCTGCTGGGTAGGGGCCTCCATAATTAGACTGAGGGCCCCGGGCTGGTCCGAAGGAACCTGAGACAAGGACACAAGGTTGATGAACTCAAAATCCCATCCCTATCTCTTCTTAAGGCCTCAGGAAAATGACTAGACTCCTAAAAACATAGAATTATGAGGCACACTAATGCCTGGCAAAGACATTCAGAAAAATACCATGTTATCAGAACGACAAGAAAAAATAATGTCTTACAAACCCCATATCCTAGGAATAATACCCTGAAGCTACCCATCTAATTCACCACTTAGCAAGTAATACTAAAAACAAACAAATAAAAAACATCAAAAACCACCTGAGTAGCTGAAGCCTCTAGCTTCTAAGACAGACCTTGGGAAAGACTCACCATTTTGTTGGGGCTGATAGCCTGGCTGCTGCGGGGAGTGCATAGGTGGCAGTGGTCCCAGGGGCCCAGTCATCTGGGTGCCAGGGGGCAGAGCTTGAGGAGGTGAAGACACATGGTTGGGCTGGCTCACTGAGGGCCCTCCAAAACTCTGTCCAGGCAGGAGTGGACCAGTCATCGAAGGCAGCCGAGGACCCCCTGAAGCTGGGGGTGTGAAGCTGGAGGCCTGTGATGGGGCAGATCGCTGGGGAGTCTGGATCCCAGGATGACCTTGGGCCTGGCTAAGGGGAGGAGCCTGGCCCTGAGGATAGGAGCCATACAGACCAGAGTTAGGGAAACTTCCTGAGGCTGAAGCCAGCGATGTTGGTGGGCCTGAGAAGTAGAATAAAGGTAGAGTCAAAAGCCCAGTCATTCTGCCTCCTTGTTCGGTATATCACTTCCCTTTCCACACAAGAGGGGCAAATATGACTGTCCCATCTTCTGAGGCTCAGAGGCACAGGAAATACAAGGGAAATAAAAGAGATTCAGGTATAACCCCAGAGTCTGATGCCTCTGAACAGGGGACAGTAACATTCCTGTGTTCACAGCCACTCACCAAAGCCCAGCCCTGAAGAAGGAGGGGCTGGGGCCACAGCACCGCTGATCTGCATTCCAGACAGCTGCGTAGCCACCTGTGCACTTGTCGGGGGAGGGCCATAGGGCTGAAGCACAGGTGGCTGGTTGCCCACAGGGGCCAATGGGGACCCAAATGGCTGAGACCCAGGCAGCCTGTGAAAAGAAAGCAAGCAGAGGTGACTAGTGGGGCCAGGACACCCTTTGAAGTCTACAGAAGTGTCACATCATACAGGAAGCTACATTGTTTTGTGACATCTTACTCTCACACCCTGAGTTCTTTTATGGCTTCATACTTTTGTATATTTGTGGGTAAATTATATTCCTGATTATTCATGGCAAATCTTGTTTTCCATTAAGCTCACTCCACAAACATAAACCAAGCACCTTCAGGTCAAGTACTATTTACTCTGCTAACTAAATTACTGCTTCCTCTGCTTCAATTCTTTGACAAACCTCTTCAGTTTTGTAATCTGAAGCCCTGAAAGCACTGAAAGGGAAGGCACGCATAAGCATGCATGAACCTTAATAAATATGAAATCAAACAAATGCAGATTGATTGTCCAGCTTTTTTTTTTTTTTGAGACAGGGTCTCACTCTGCCACCCAGGCTGAAGTGCAGTGGTGTGATCACAGCTCATTGCAGCCTCAACTTTCCAGGCTCAGCTGATCTTCCCACCTCAGCCTCTCAAGTAGCTGAAACGAAAGTCACACGCCACCATGCGTGGCTAGTTTTCGCATTTTTTATAGATACGGAGTCTCGCCATGTTGCCTAGGCTGGTCTCAAACTCCTGAGCTCAACGAATCTGCCCGCCTCAGTCTACCACAGTGTCTTTCCAATATACTTTCCATTCAGTGTCTCCCTCTCTGATTATTCCCATCAGCACAAAAACATACAAACATCTCACACACACACACACACACACAAAAACCAACTATAGTGGAAACATCCCAAATGTCTATCAGCAGAAGAATGGATAAACAAAATGTGGCATGTAGCTACACAATGAAAAACCACTTAACCACAAAAAGGAATGGAGTACTAATATACACTACAACATAGTTGAACTTTGAAAATATTATGCTAAATTAAAGAAGTCAGTTATAAAATATCACATAGTATATGATTCTATTCTAATGAAAAGTCCAGAATAGGGAAATCTTTAGAGACAGAAAGTAGATCAGGAGTTGCTTAAGGTTGGAAGAATAGGGGAATGGGGGAATAGCTAAACAGGGGTAGTTAAAGAATGCAGTATTTCTTCTTCAGATGATGAAAATGTTCTAAAACTGACTGTAGTGATATCTGTCAATATACTAAATTGTGACAGCACATATCTGTCAATATATTAAAAACCACTAAATATACAAAAACACTTTAAACAGACGAATTGCACAGTATATGAATTATATCTCAAAAAACTTTTTAAAAATCCAACCAAATTACCTCACAGCCCCCTCAAACTTTTGCTCCCCTTTTAGCTAAACATTACAAAAGAATAGGTCTATACTCTGTCTCTACTTTTTTTTTTCTTTTCTTTTCTTTTGAGACAGAGTCTCACTCTGTCGCCCAGGCTGGAGTGCAGTGGTGCGATCTTGGCCCATCACAACCTCCACCTCCTGGGTTCAAGCAATTCTCCTGCCTTAGCCTCCCGAGTAGCTGGGACTACAGGTGCCCACCATCATGCCTGGCTAATTTTTGTATTTTTAGTAGAGACGGGGTTTCACTATGTTGGCCGGGCTGGTCTCGGAACTCCTGACCTCGTGATTCGCCCGCCTCAACCTCCCAAAGTGCTGGGATTACAGGCGTGAGCCACCGTGCCCAGCCTTACGTTTTTTTTTTTTTTTTTTTTTTTTTTTTGAGACAGGGTCTCGCTCTGTCACCCAGGCTGGAGTACAATGGCACTCACTATCTGTGGCTCACTGCAGCCTTGACCTCCTGGGCTCAAGCAATCCTCCCCCTAAGCCTCCCCTCCCAAGTATCTGAGACCACAGGCACACACCACCACACCTAGCTAATTTTTTTTATTTTTTGTAGAGACAGGGTCTTGCTATGCTGCCCAGGATAGTCTTGAACTCCTACCCCGGCTTCACAAAGTGCTGGGATTACAAACATGAGCACTGTGCCTGGCCCAACTCTAATCAAAGTGCCTTTCTCCGATAATCCCTTCCAGCCCGGACTGAGGTGTGGTTGTTCTACATTTGTTTCCAGAAGGTACTCCAATAATGACAGTGTCACCCTAGATTGATTTTTTTTTTTTTTTAGTTTTTGAGACAGGGTCTCACTCTGGCACCCAGGCCACAGTGCAGCGAAGCCATCATGGCTCACTGTAGCCTCAACCTCCAGGGCTCTAGCAATCCTCCTGCCTCCACCTCTGCTTCCCAGGCACACCAACAATGCTCAGCTATTTTTTTTTTTTTATAGCGACAGGATCTCCCTATGTTGCCCAGGCTGGTCTAAAACTTCTGGCCTCAAGTGATCCTCCTGTCTCAGCCTCCCAAGGTGTTGAGATTACTACAGGCATGAGCCACTGCACCTGGCCTCTAATTTAAAAAAAAAAAAAATTAGGCCAGGTGCAGTGGCTCATGCCTGTAATCCCAGTACTTTGGGAGGCCGAGACAGATGGATCATTTGAGGTCAGGAGTTCAAGACCAGCCTGACCAACATGGTGAAACTCCATCTCTACTAAAAAAATACAAAAATTAGCCCAGGCGTGGTAGTGCACACCTGTAATCCCAGCTACTCAAGAGGTTCAGACAGGAGATTCACTTGAACCTGGGAGGTGGAGGTTGCAGTGAGCCAAGGTCACACCACTTCACTCCAGCCTGGGTGACAGAGCGAGACTTCATCTCAAAAAAAAAAAAAAAAAAAAAAAAAAAAATTGGCCAGGAACAGTGACTCACACCTGTAATCCCAGAACTTTGGGAGGCCAACACAGGTGAATCACTTGAGGTCAGTTCAAGACCAGCCTGGCCAACATGGTGAAACCCTGTCTCTACTAAAAATACAAAAAATTAGCCTGGCATGGTGGTCATGCCTGGAATCCCAGCTACTTGGGAGGCTGAGGCAGGAGAATCACTTGAACCCAGGAGGCAGAGGCTGCAGTGAGCTGAGATCGTGCTATTGCACTCCAACCTGGGCAATAAGACCAAAACTCTGTCTCAAAAAAAAAAAAATATTACTGAGATGTAATTTCCATACCATTAAATTCACTTCAAGTGAACAATTCAATGATTTTTAGTAAATTTAGTTATGCAACCATCACCAGAATCAAATTTTAAAACATTTTCATCATTCCAAAAAGATGTCATGTCCATTTGCAGTCCCAAGAACTTTTTTTTTCACCCATCCACAGCCAGCCTGAGAGAAACAGCACTCCTTATCTCCCCTTTCCAGCGTGCAGACTTTTTTCCCCTAGTCAGCTTGTTCAATGAAGGTGCAGCCCAGGTCCAGACTTTATAAACAATGTCTCAGTTCCAAAACTACTCTCAGGAAAGCCCAAGGACTCATCTGCCTTCCCCAGTACCTGCTTAAATTTAAGGCCCTGGCTTCTCAAGATGATGAATCCACCCAATCTACAGGCAGCTCCAGAGTCAATTTACCACTCTGATTTTCAGTCCTCACTTGATGGCCAGGCACAGTGGCCCATGCCTGTAATCCCACCACTTTGGGAGGCCAAGGTGGGCGGTTCACCTGAGGCGAGGAGTTTGAGACCAGCCTGGCCAACACGGTGAAACCTCATCTCTACTAAAAATACAAAAATTAGCCGGGCATGGTGGCCCACATCTGTAGTCCCAGCTACTTGGGAGGCTGAGGCAGGGGAATCGCTTGAACCTGGGAGGTAGAGGTTGCAGTGAGCAGAGATCGTGCCACTGCACTCCAGCCTGGGCGACAGAGCAAGACTCTGTATTTAAAAAAAAAAAAAGATTTTCAGTCCTCACTTGGTCTCTAAAACTTAAGAATTTCACATTTTCTTTCAAGCTTAACTTTGCACTTAAAAATTTTTTTTGTTTCTATTTTCTCTCTCCTTTCTAGACTTTGGTAGCAGAGGGTTTTCAGATTATGTCAATCTACCACCCGGTTGAAACTTTTTTTTTTTCCTGAGACGGAGTCTCGCTGTCTGTCGCCCAGGCTGGAGTGCAGTGGCAAGATCTCGGCTCACTGCAAGCTCTGCCTCCTGGGTTCACGCCATTCTCCTGCCTCAGCCCCCCAAGTAGCTGTGACTATAGGAGCCTGCCACCGCGCCCAGCTAATTTTTTGTATTTTTAGTAGAGACGGGGTTTCACCGTGTTAGCCAGGATGGTCTCGATCTCCTGACCTTGTAATCCACCCGCCTCGGCCTCCCAAAGTGCTGGAATTACAGGCATGAGCCACCGCGCCTGGCCTGAAACTCTGACTCACTCCAACTGGGTAGTTTTCTTTATCTCTACACTGAAACTGCCTTTACCAATGACGCCAACCTTGCCAAATTCAATGGTCAATTCTCCATCTTCATCTTACAATTTGGCAGCATCTGACACAACTGATTACTCTCTCACCTTCTTGAAATACTCTCTTCACCTGACTTCAGGACACCACACTCTCCCGGCTTATCTCCCACCTCACTACTGCTCTTTCTCATTGTCTTTTGTTTTTTTTTTGTTTGTTTGAGATGGGGTCTTACTCTGTCATTCAGGTTGGAGTGCAGCGGTGCGATTTCGGCTCACTGCAACCTCCGCCTCTTGGTTTCAAGCCATCCTCCCACCTCAGCCTCCCAAGAAGCTGGGACCACAGGCATGTGCCACCACACCCGGCTAATTTTAGTATTTTGGTAGAGACAGGGTTTCACCATGTTGCCCAGGCTTGTCTCGAACTCCTGAGCTCAAGCAATCTGCCTGCCTCAGCCTCCCAAAGTGCTGGGATTACAGGAGTGAGGCACTGCACCTGGCCCCTCATTGTCTTTTAATGGCGGCTCCTCTTTACTTTTAAATGTTGCTAAGCTCCAAGTCTCAGTCCTCAATTCCATTCTTTAATCTCAATACTCACTTTTTAAATGATTTCATCTAGTCCCACGGCTTTAAATATCTATAGACTGAGGACTCCCAAATTTTTATCTCCAGTCCTAGCATCAGTCTTGAGCTGCAGATTTGTATATGCACCTGCCTACCTAACATCTCTACTTGAATAGAGTTTATATGAGGGACTTGAGCCTTTGTGGATTTTGGTATCTGTTGGTCAGGGGAGGTCCTGGAACCATTCCCCCATGGATACTGAGGAATGACTGTAGTGAGATTTGGGATACATCTTGAAGGTGGAATCAATAGAATTGGATGTGGGTTATACGGCATCATATTTGCATATAACCTCCCATATACTTTTTTTTTCCTGAGACGAAGTCTCACTCTGTCGCCCAGGATGGAGTGCAGTGGCACAATCTTGGCTCACTGCAACCTCTGCCTCCTGGGTTCAAGCGATTCTCCTGCCTCAGCCTCCCAAGTAGCTGAGATTATAGGTGCCCGCCACCACACCCAGCTAATTTTTGTATTTTTAGTAGAGATGGGGTTTCACCATGTTAGCCAGGCTGGTCTCAAACTCCTTACCTCAGGTGATCCACCCACCTTGGCCTCCCAAAGTGCTGGAATTACAGGTATAAGCCACCACACCCAGCCTCCTCCCATGTACTTTAAATCATCTCTAGATTACTTATAATACCTAATACAATGTAAATCAGGGGTGTCCAATCTTTTGGCTTCCCTGGGCTATACTGGAAGAAGTGTCTTGGGCCACACATAAAATACACTAACACTACACTAATGACAGGTAATGAACTTAAAAAAAAAAACCTCATAATGTTTTAAGGAAGTTTATGAATTTGTGTTGGACCACATTCAAAGCCGTCCTGGGGCACGCAGACTGTGGGCCACAAGTTGGACAAGTGTGATGTAAATGTTATGTAAAGAGTCCAAACTGTGGGAAATTCTTTGGGTTAACTGTTTTCTTCAACAGATAAATACTAAGAAAAAGAAGACAGAGGTGGAGCTTATAGACTTAAGACACACCAAGTGTTTTTCCTGTGGGTAAAACTAAATTGTGGTACGTGGGGTTGTACATTTGAGTGTAAACTTTTTCTTTGTGAGACACAGTCTCGCTGTTTCTCAAGCTCTGGAGTGCAGTGGCGAGATCACACTCAGTGTAGCCTCGACCTTTTGGGCCCAAACGATACCTCCACTTCAGCCTCCCAAAGTAGCTAGGACAACAAGCTTGCCACCATGCCCAGCTAACATTTTATTTTTTGTAGAGATTGGGGTCTCCCTATATTGCACAGGCTGGTCTCAAAAATCTGGGCTGAAGCAATCTTCTCACCTTGGCCTCCCAAAGTGCTGGGATTATAGGCATGAGCCACCTCACCCAGCCAAGTGTAAACTATTTTTAAAAAACCACAAGAAAGTCAGCTGGGCGTGGTGGCTCACACCTGTAATCCCAGCACTTTGGAAGGCTGAGGCGGGTGGATCACTTGAGGTCAGGAGTTCGAGACCAGCCTGTCCAACATGGCGAAACCCTGTCTCTACTAAAAATATAAAAAAATTAGCCATGCCTGATGGCAGGCGCCTGCAATCCCAGCTACTCGGGAGGCTGAGGCTGGAGAATCGCCTGAACCCAGGAGCTGGAGAGTGTAGTGAACCGAGATCACACCACTGCATTCTAGCATGGGCAACAGGGCAGGACTCTGTCTCAAAAAAAAAGAAAAAGAAAGTAATTACTGTAAGAGTCAGGATAATGCAGGATAGTTGTTATTTATGAGGGGAGGGAGAGAATAATGTTTGAATTGGGGCACATGGAAAAGGCTTTTGGGGTGAGTGGCAAAGTTCTATTTCTTCATCTGGGTCGTAGTTGTAGTTACAAAGGAGTTTGCTATATAATAATTTACTAAGGCATATGCTTGTTTCGTATGGGTTTTTTGTTTTGTTTTGTTTTTTTGTGACAGGGTCTTGCTTTGTCACCTAGACTGGAGTGCAGCAGTACAATCATGGCTCACTGCAGCCTTCAACTTGTGAGCTCAAGCAATCCTCCCACCTCAGCCTCCCCAAGTGCTGGTATTAAAGGAGTCAGCCACTGCACCCAGCACGGACCAATGTATTTAAAACAGCTCCCTACCCCCTCACTATATCCTCACCCTGTTTTATAACTTTATGTACATTTGTGTACTTGTTATCTTCTATGTACCCCACTTGTTTGACTTACCCAGGCTTACATTCAATGCTTAAAATGTGTGTTCTGGACACCCAGTTAAAGTGTCAGAAAGTGACTTTTCTATTATCATACCCCTTTCCCACAGTTATATTTTACTCTTTATTTACCAAACACAAACAACACTCCTGACCAGGTGCAGTGGCTCACTCCTGTAATCCTAGCACTTTGGGAGGCCAAGGTGGGCAGATTGCTTGAGCTCAGGAGTTTTGAGATCAGCCTGGGCAACACAGCGAAACCCCATCTCTACTAAAAATACAAAAAATTAGCTGGGTGTGGTGGCGCATGCCTGTAGTCCCAGCTACCTGGGAAACTGAGGTGGGAGGGTCACCTGAGCCTGAGACATCCAGGCTCCAGGGAGTTGTGATCCTGCCACTGCACTCTAGCTTGGGCCACGGAGTGAGACCCTGTCTCAAAAAAAAAAATTAAAAAATTTTAAAAAGCACTCTAATAGAGATGACTGCCCTCCTTTAATGGACTTTCATGCTAAGATGGGTTTATTGGGTCACTGTACCACTGAAGTTTTCACCATTTATGTGGTTTCCCTTTTAGTATCTTTCAGTTCATAACTGGCCATGCCCAAACTTAACCAATCAGTCCTACTAAGTGCCTGTTCTAGAGGAAAGGGGCAAGTCAAAAGAGATGCAAATAATCCTGAAGTTTCCTCTTCCCATTTCTCCCTTAGGGTAGTCTCAACAGGACTGCAACCATTATTGAAGATGTATGTCTAGTAAAGCAAGAAACTCAAGTTCACAGAAAATGAAGAATATGCAAAGGAACCCAGGTACTAAGATGGGTCAATAATCCACAGGGCTGGACGTCAGCAGTACCTGTAACCTGGAAAAAAGAAGACAAAGTACAAAAGGGTAGAGGGAAGAGAAAAAGTGATCTACAAGAAAGGCAAAGGAGAGAAAAAAAACAAAACAAAACACAAACCCCCATACATTCCTAACCTTTCTACTTTCATCAGATCAATTTTATTTATTTATTTATTTATTTATTTATGAGACGGAGTCTCACTCTATCGCCCAGGCTGGAGTGCAATGGCACGATCTCGGCTCACGGCAACCTCTGCCTCATGATTCTTCTGCCTCAGCCTCCCAAGTCTGGGATTTCAAGTGCACACCACCACACCTGGCTAATTTTTTATTTGAGAAAAGAGATGGGGTTTTGCCATGTTGGCCAGGCTGGTCTCAAACTCCTGACCTCAGGTGATCCACCCACCTCAGCCTCCCAAAGTGCTGGGATTACAGGCATGAGCCACTGCACTCAGCCTCATCAGACCAATTTTAGATTGACCAAGTACCTACCTTTGCATCTGAACAGTGGAGCTTGGCCCATTCTGTACATCTCCTTGGCCAAACTGGCCATATGCAGCCTGGCCACAAGGAGCCTGTGCTGTTGAGGCTGGAGGTGCCCCCGAGGAAGGTGGGGCTCTTGACATACCTGAGGGTAAAGGACAGAAACTAAGTGATTGGGAAATAACTTTCTCCTCCACCCTGAGCCAGGAATGCAAAGCAAGGATCAATAAACTCAGACCTTCACTGGCCCAATACCACAGTTTAGGCAGTGAAAAGGACACTACCAGCATACAACTGTAGCTACAGCAGTATTCTAAACACAGATTCCCAACAAGGGGCCTACACTCCCCTAGACAAGCATACTAGGGGTGAAGCTGTAGCCAGAGGCACAAGAATGTAGGGCCTTCCTTTGATCACCATACTCTCAGTCAATCCAAGACTGCCTGATATTCTTACCCTAGACAACAAGCCAACCCTTTTAAGGAAAAGATCTTACTCCAGAACTCAGAAACTTGGAGCATATATGAAAAAGGAGACTCAGAAGATGACCAAGTAATATACGGAACTAGGCTGCAAAGAAAGGCATCTCTTGGGGAGATTATTCTGCCACCTTCTTCTTCATTCATTCTGCTTACACTAACTATATCCTTTCATCCACTTCTAAGTGTGAAAACATGAAACAGCACGATTCAGGAACGTGTTCCTATAGATCGGAGACCTTGTTTCTGCCCAACAGTTCAGTAAGGACAGCTGGCCTGTCCTCCCATCAGCATTGCCACCTATGTCCTCACAAAAGCTGTACTCCATCCTTCCTATTCCTTAGAACCACCACCAAAGCTACTTACACTACCCTTAGCCATTCTTCACATATGAAGTTCAGGGAGAAAGCAATTAGTTACTTGGCACATCACTTTTGAAATGTGGATGACCTCTGTTCAAAGAATGCTTTTCTTTTGCTCTGCCCTCAGTAGAGATTAGACATTATAGAACCTGCCTACAGGAACATGATTAGCCTAAACTTGCTCACCAACCATGACAGAATCAGATATGTTTTCCTCTAACAAAGCTTTCTCATGAGAGAATGCCAAACTCGAGCACTTGACAAAGCAGAGGTGGACTCTGTCCAGCCAAAGTCTCAGCTTAGAATTAAGGTTCTTCCAAAGACCTGGGGCCTAATCTCATCACAATATTTTTTCCCCACAGTTAAAATCATCATACTTCATTATTTCCCAAATCTTACCAGTACCTCCTTGATGCCTTCTTTTTTCCATATCTCTTTATGAAAGCATAGAGTTTGGCATACCCTAAATCATCGGCTAGCCTAAGCAAAGATCTACTGTTAACTATTTCCAAAAAGCCCCTCTGGAGAATCGGTAGAGTACTAGCTGCTCTTCTTGAGAAAGTAAGGTAAGGCTGGACGTGGTGGCTCACGCCTGTAATCCCAGCACTTTGGGAGGCCAAGGCAGGTGGATCACGAAGTCAGGAGTTCGAGACCAGCCTGGCCAACATGGTGAAACCCTGTCTCTACTAAAAATATAAAAATTAGCCGGGCGTGGTGGCATGTGCCTGTAATCCCAGCTATTCGGGAGGCTGAGACAGGAGAACTGCTTGAACCCGGGAGACAGAGGTTACAATGAGCCAAGATCGTGCCACTGCACTCCAGCCTGGGTGACAGAGTAAGACTCTGTCTCCAAAAAGAAAAAAAAAAAAAAAGAAAAAGAAAAGGTAAGGTTAAAAGCCAAACACTGAACCTAGAACAGCATCAGATTAGTATTATCTTATTACCATGACATTACAGAGCATCTAAGAAGCAGAGGAAACTCAAGCAAAGGAAAAGGATGGATATCAGAAGACATGAGACGCACCAAAAGTCAGGCACACAAATATCACACTTTTCACCCCCATAAACTACACTGTCCCAGGGTCATTCATACATAAGAATCATCAGTCCAACAAGAGGCTTTCTCAACATATATGACGAATAAATTATTTCAAGGAGACTACAAGTCAACAGGAAATATTCGGTCCTGGTCACAGGATCTAGAGGGGTGTGGACCACAACCCTTCCATTTAGCTCTGAACAATGTGACCAGGTAAGGCTGCACAAGGTGATACCCACAGGAAGTGAACAGTCAGTGAACCTGGGAGATGTGTTCCCACTAGATGGCTTAAGGCAGAAACACAGTACCTTATCTAAAAACAGGGAAGACAGCTGGGCGTGGTGGCTTACGTTTGTAATCCTAGCACTTTGAGAGGCCGAGGCAAGTGGATCACCTGAGGTCAGGAGTTCGAGACCAGCCTGGCCAACATGGCAAAATCCCATCTCTACTAAAAATACAAAAAATTAGCCAGGTGTGGTGGTGGGTGCCTGTATCCCAGCTACTCAGGAGGCTGAGGCACGAGAATCACTTGAACCTGGGAGGCAGAGGTTGCAGTGAGCTGAGATTGTGCCATTGCACTCCAGCCTGGGTAACAAGAGCCAAACTCCAGCTCAAAAATAAAAAAGAAAAAAAATAAGGCCAGGTACGGTGGCTCACACCTGTAATCCCAGCATTTGGGAGGCTGAGGCGGGTGGATCACCTGAGGCCAGGAGTTTGAGACCAGCCTGGCCAACATGGTGAAACCCCATCTCTAATAAAAATACAAAACATTAGCCGGGTGTGGTGGCACATGCCTGTAATCCCAGCTACTTGGGAGGCTGAGGCAGGAGAATCACTTGAACCTGGGAGGCGGAGGTTACAGTAAGCTGAGATTGTGCCATTGCACTCCAGCCTGGGTAACAAGAGCAAAATTCCATCTCAAAAAATATTAAAAATAAGGCCAGAGGTGGTGGCTCATGCCTGTAATGTCAGCACTTTGGGAAGCCGAGATGGGTGAATCATTTGAGGTCAGGAGTTCGAGACCAGCCTGGCCAACATGGTGTAACACTGTCTCTACTAAAAATACAAAAAATGCCGGGCATGGTGGCGGGAGCCTGTAATCACAGCTACTCTGGAGGCTGAGGCAGGAGAATTGCTTGAATCTGGGAGGCGGAGGTTGCAGTGAGCCGAGATTGTGCCACTGCACTCCAGCCTGGGCAACAGAGCGAGACTGTCTCAAAAAATAAATAAATAAATAAATAATAAAATAAGTAAAATAAAATAAAAAAACAGGGAAGGGGCCGGGCGTGGTGGCTGAAGCCTGTAATCCCAGCATTTTGGGAGGCCAAGGCTGGTGGATCATTTGAGGTCAGCAGTTCTTCAAGACCTTCCTGGCCACTGGTAAAACCCCATCTCTACTAAAAATACAAACAGTGGCCAGGTGTGGTGGCTCACGCCTGTAATCTCAGCATTTTGGGAGTCCGAGGTGGGTGGATCACTTGAGGTTGGGAGTTCAAGACCAGCCTGACCAACATGGAGAAACCCCATCTCTACTAAAGATACAAAATTAGCAGGGTATGGTGGTGCATGCCTGTAATCCCAGTTATTCGGGAGGCTGAGGCAGGAGAATCACTTGAACCCAGGAGATGGAGGTTGTGGTGAGCCGAGATCGTGCCACTGCACTACAGCCTGGGCAACAAGAGTAAAACTCTGTCTCAAAAAAAAAAAAAAAAAAAAATACAGGCCAGGCACGGTAGCTCACGCCTATAATCCCAGCACTTTGGGAGGCTGAGGCGGGCAGATCACAAGGTCAGGAGTTCAAGACCAGCCTGGCCAAGATGGTGAAACCCCCATCTCTACTAAAAAGACAAAAAAATTAGCTGGTGTGGTGGTGGATGCCTGTAATCCTAGCTACTCAGGAGGCTGAGGCAGAGAACTGCTTGAACCTGGAAGGTGGAGGTTGCAGCCAAGAGGGTGCCACTGCACTCCAGCCTGGGCGACAGAGAGAGACTCTATCTCAAAATAAATTAAAAAAATACAAAAATTAGCTGGACGTGGTGGTGCATGCCTGTAATCCCAGCTACTGGGGAGGCTGAGGCAGGAGAAGTGCTTAAGCCCAGGAGGCAGAGGTTGCAATGAGTTGAGATCATGCCACTGTAATCCAGCATGAGTGACAGAGCAAAACTGTCTCAAAAAAAAATTAAAATAATAATAAAAAAAGGGAAGGGAAGGGCGCCCACGGGGCTCTCAGCTACACAGGGCCAGATTTATGTTCCTCAATCCCAGTTATCCAAACTTCTCAGGTAGCTTAGCTAGAGCAATACAACCCAACCTGAAGACTCTGCTGATTTCCCTCCCTAGCTCAAAGGAAACAGAAACAGAAACATACCTTGGGGAGGTGTTTGCTGATAGCCTGGTACTGGGCCATTGTAGGCTCCATAGGGAATGGCGGGGGCTGTGGACCCTGATTGCCCACCATAGCTGGACTGATGATACCCTGGGTAGATGGGCTGGGGCTGCCCAAATGGTGGCACAGGTGGAACTGACTGGTTGACGTTCATTATGAAAGCATTCCCAATTTGATCTCACCTGTGAGAGAGAGGAGAAATTAGTCAAAATGAACTTTCTAAAGAGAGCAACTATTCAGGGCAGGAAGTAGAGATAAAAAGAAATTGACCTTATCAGACAGTGATCAGTTTAATAATCCTCACACTTCCACAGGATCTTAGTAATTTTCTGCCCCAGCCAGCATTCAGATTATCTCCTAAAAGCAAGGATTTTGTTATTCTGACCATCCACCCTTTGTCACTGTCTAAATAGTATAAATTTCAACTTCAGACAGATCCACTGAAATGGAGCAGCAGCCTCCATTCCCCAGTGGTATGATTTCTAGTGTCTAGTCACACAGTCTTGTGGCTGATGAACTACCTTGATGTTACAGGTGAAAGAAACAATGTTCCCACTTTCCATTCATTCACTCTAGCATCCATTCATTCAGCAAACATCGAGTACCCTCTAGTGTGCTGAACAATTGATTTAAAATCAATCAGGCTAAAAATCTAAAACAGATCTGCTAAAATCCTTCCCCCTCAATGACAAAATTTAGGCTGAGTTACAGAAATGACATTCTTTAGCTAAACTGCCATAATACAAATGATACTCCAACCCAAGTCTTTCCACCAAAAGAGTGTATGGACCTTAAAACTGAAGGTTTTTTTTTTTTTTTTTTTTTTTTGAGACGGAGTCTCACTCTGTTGCCAGGCTGGAGTGCAGTGGCGCGATCTCGGCTCACTGCAACCTTCACCTCCTGGGTTCAAACGATTCTCCTGCCTCAGCCTCCCGAGTAGCTGGGATTACAGGCGCGTGCCACCACACCCAGCTAGTTTTTGTATTTTTAGTAGAGACAGGTTTTCACCCTGTTAGCCAGGCTGGTCTCGATCTCCTGACCTCGTGATCCACCCACCTTGGCCTCCCAAAGTGCTGGGATCACAGGTGTGAGCCACCACGCCCGGCCAAAACCGAAGCATTAAAATCAATAAAAGTTGGCCAGGCACAGTGGCTCATGCCTGTAATCCCAGCACTTTGGAAGGCCAAGTCGGGCAGATCACTTGAGGTCAGGAGTTCATGACCAGCCTGGCCAACACGGTGAAACCCAGTCTCTACTAAAAATACAAAAACTAGCCGGGCATGGTGGCACACGCCTGTAATCCCAGCTACTTGGGAGGCTGAGGCAGGAGAAATCGCTTGAACCCGGGAGGCGGAGATTGCAATAAGCCGAGATCGTGCCACTGCACTCCAGCCTGAGCAATAGAGCAAGACGCCCTTTCAAAAAAATAAAAAATAAAGGACACCTGAAAACTCTAGCAAGGTAACAGATTAAAACCAAGTGCAGAACAGGCACCAAAACTTCTTCACATAATCTGAGGAAACAGTTCAAGAATCAGGGGCAAAGTTAGAGTTAGATTTCATGGAAAAAAATCATTCACCTCATCCCTCAAGCAGAAGACTATGAATATTCTAAATTCCAATGCACTTCTCCAACTCTCCTGTTTCTGCTCCCCTTACGATTGTTATGAATCTCAGCCACCATCAAAATTATTACAATCTTGCTCATCAACACAGGGATGAATTAGAGGGCCTTTTCTAAACAGGGTCCTTCCAAGAAAACTATCTCATCACATCTACTTTCAACAGCTGTATCATTCCAATTATCCTGTAGACAGAAGGGGCCCAGAAAGCAGGAGCACTCAGAGTTGCTGCAAAGGGAACAATGGACCTCTCCCCCTTTGCTAGAAGGGCCACCTTGACTATAGAAAAGGAGCTGATCCTGGTCTAAAACTCTTTAAACTCAAAGTTATCTCAATAGCTGTTCTTCCAAACCCTAAACCTTACAGAGGTAGGTCACTGACACTAAGTTTAAAATATGTCCTCTCCCTTTATGTTTCCAAAGCCGGGGGGAGGGGTAAAGAAAGGAGCTTCTTCTCCAGAAAATAATCCCCTCAAACACATTCAAGAGCTTGGAGTCAGACTGAAGTCTCGACTCCATTCTGGGTGGATAGTCGAGGGTGACAACCCAAGGGGGCGGGGCAAGCTTCCTAGAACTCTGAAAGTAGTCAAGCCATGGAGCCTCGGAGAGCCGAGGATCAAAACCGAGAAGCCAAGTCGGCTTCTAGGGCCACGTTAAGAGAGGGGGCTGCTCTGTTAAGCACAGAGACCAAACGTCTTGCACCTTTTAACAGGCTCGGGGCAGGAAGCAGGAGCCGGAATCTGGGCCGGGAGACGAAGGGATGGTCTAGGACCTGCTCCTGGATGGTGGATGCGTGAGGTGAGGGTCTCTACCCAGGCCCCGCCCCCAGGCTCCTCCCTTCTTTCTGAAACCGGACCCCAATCTGGCCAGTAATACCCTGACCTCTCCTTTGCTTTCCTACCCGCCAACCTCCCGATGCCACTCCTCACCCGGCTCCAGATCCAGGTTAGACTTCGTTCCTAACGTCAAGGCTCCCAGGCTCCACTTCCGGTTCCGAGGGGGCCGTCCCGTCACCCCCGGAAGTTCCTCCTCCACGCTTTAGGGCCGGGCCACTTCTTCTGCCACGTCTGCATTTCGGGGACCCGGATGCCGCGCATGCGCCTCTTTCATCTTCCCATCATGGCCGCCGCCTGTGCGCCTCTGCTGAGTCGTATGTATTTCCCTCCTGACATTTTTTTTCAGATGTTCCAGTCACTTTATGGCCTCACCAACAGAAATGAGATTAAAAAGAATTTGTCAAACTATCTTTAATAATGCCCCTTCACTCTGCCTGTGACGTATTAGTGACCTCTGAGCTAGAGTCTTGTAGTCACTTCCTGGTGACCCCTGACCCCGTTGATTTCCGTCCGCTAGGTTGCTCTCACCCATGGCGTTTGCTGGTTATGAGATTTGCGGAACGTGTGGTGGTGGTAAAGGGCACCAACTGTTGTCAACCTGCATGTGGGGGTCTGAGGTCTGGCTCTACAGCTTGTAAAATGGAAATAATAATGCCCAGAGGATGAAATTAGGCCACATAGGCCGCTTGGCATCATAGTAAGCACTCAGTAAAGGTCAATTGTTATTAACCATTTTTATACAGCGCCTTTGTTTAGGTGCAGAGCTTTATCAGAGCCAAAAGATCTCTGCGCTCTGTTGGAAAAGATAGTTCCTGCAGTAATTATTAGTACCCCATTTAATGGCTAAGTAATTATAGCTAACAGTGCTAGGATTTCTTTTTCATATATGACTTCATTTGAACTTTTCAGTACTATTTGTTGATTTCATAATTTTTCGAGCACTGCTGTTGAAACTGCCTTTGCAAAATTACAACTGAGGAAATTATGATAGTGGAAGAAATCAGACTTAACCGACTCCATCTTGCTTCTAACCTTTAAGCTGTCCTTATTCATTCCTGGGTGTAGGTGGAACTAACTTTGGGGAGGAATTCAGTTTATGGTTTGAAACAAAATTGATAATAGCCCCTTCCCGAAAAGACCCCCTTCTTGCCTGGGGACCAGTCTGTCTTTACAGGACTAACAAATTAGCTACAAGATTACAAATTACAGTTTAGGGGACATGCAGCCTCTCGCTCCAAGAGTCTGAACCTCCCCAAATTGCTTTTAGGAATAACATAACTATTGTAAAACCTAAGATTAGTGCTTGAGATGTTTTGCAGACCCTGCACTCATTGGATCAGCTGACTACCTAGACCAGTAACCTGGCTCAATCAGTTCTGCCATTCCACCCAGGAACAGAAAACAGCAAGAAAACCTCACTTTGACTCCCTGTGATTCCGTCTTCAACCTGACCAATCAGCACTCCCCGCTTCCCAAGCTCCTACTCGCCAAATTATCTTTAAGAACTCTGATCCTCAAATGCTCAGGGAGACTAATTTGTGTAATAATAAAACTCTGGTCTCCCACACAGCTGGCTCTGCGTGAATTACTCTTTCTCCATTGCAATTCCCTGGTCTTGATAAATCAGCTTTGTCAAGGCAGCAGGCAGGGTGAACCCACTGAGCGCTGACATTGTGTGCCAAGCCATGTTCTTGGGTCTGGAAATAGAGCAGTGAACAAAAGTGTTTGTTCTCATATTATTGACAGTAAATATCAGTTATTCTGAGGCACAGAGTGGTTTATTCACTGAAAAATTTGCACTTTAGGCTGTGCTGGAAACTATATATTAGGCATTGAGCATGCTTTACTAAACAAGCAGATTGTTCTTGTCCTCTGTTTTGTTTTGTGACAGTCTTGCTCTGTCTCCAGGCCGGAGTGCAGTGGCCCAATCTTGGCTCACTGCAACTTCCGCCTCCTGGTTTCAAGCGATTCTTATGCCTCAGACTCCCGAGTAGCTGGGATTACAGGCATGCGCCACCACCCCAGCTAATCTTTGTATGTTTGGTATAGACAGGGTTTCACTATATTGGCCAGGATGGTCTTGATCTCCTGACGTTGTGATCCGCCCCCCTTGGCCTCCCAAAGTGCTGGGATTACAGGTGTGAGCCACTGCGCCCAGCCTGTTTTGTTTTAGAGACGATTTTGCTATGTTGCTCAGGCTGGGCTCAAGTGGTCCTCCTACCTCAGTAGGAGTAGCTGGGTAGTTGAGTAGCTAGGGCTACAGGTATGTGCCCCCACATCTGGCTAATTTTTTGTAGAGGTGAGGTCTCCCTGTGTTGCCCAGGGTGGTCTCAAATTCCTCCCACCTTAGCCTTCCAAATTGCTGAGATTACAGGTGTGAAGCCACCACACCTGACCTATCAGTTTATAGTCAGTGGTTAAGTGTGATCCTCAGATCAGCAGTATCAGTAACACCTGGAAACTTGCTTGAAATGCAAATTTCAGACCCGCTTTACATAGATAAGAGCCAGAAATTCTGGAGGTGGGGCCCAGCAAGCTATGGTTTAAGGCCCTCCAGGTGATTCCATTGCTGATTGAGAACCACTAGTCTAGATGAATAATTTGCCAAATTCAACTAAGATATGTTGAGCACCTGACCTAAACTGGTCCTCTGCTAAGCATTTTCACATGATTCATCCCACTTGACTCATATCGATATAGGAAAGTAAATATCCTCTGTCTTGCTTAAGGTTGCACCCACTAGGGCCGGGCATGGTGGCTCATGCCTGTAATCCTAGCACTTTGGGAGGCCGAGACAGGCGGATCACCTGAAGTCAGGAGTTTGAGAGCAGCCTGGCCAACCCTGTCTCTGCTAAAAATACAAAAATTAGCTGGATGTCGTGGCACATGCCTGTAATCCCAACTACTCAGGAGGCTGAGGAAGGAGAATCGCTTGAACCCAGGGGACGGAGGTTGCAGTGAACCAAGATTGCACCACTGCACTCCAGCCTGGGACACAGGGCAACACTCCATCTTAAAAAAAAGGTTGCACCCCTGATAAGTGGTAGATCCTAGATTCAGTTTCTTTCTTCCCCCTCCCCCCACCTTTTTTTTTTTCTATTTGAGACAAGGTCTCTGTCACCCAGGCTGGAGTGCAGTAGCATGATCTTGGCTCACTTCACCCTCTGCCTCCCAGGCTCAAGTGATCCTCCCCACTCAGCCTCCCTAGTAGCTGGGACTACAGGCATGTGCCACCACTCTTAGCTAACTAAGTTTTGTATTTTTGTAGAGATGGGGTTTCACCATGTTACCCAGGCTGGTCTCAAACTCCTGGGCTCAAGCAATCTGCCCGCCTTGGCCTTCCAAAGTGCTGGGATTACAGGCATAAGCCACCATGCCCGGACCATAGTTCATAGTTTCTTTCTTTTTTTTGTTTTTTGAGAGTCTCACTCTCAAAAGGGGTATGGGGCGGCTCCAGGGCCAGGGATGGGACGGCCACAGTTGCGGCAGCTCCAGGACGAGCAAGTGGATCCCGGGAAGCGCTGTGAGCTCCCGAGCCAGCCGGGAGGACGCTTACTACAGCTGCTCAGAAGCACTGCTGGAAGCTCAGATGTGGGCGCCCCAGCCAGAAACCTAGAGGGGTACAGGGAAACTACCGAGAAGCCCCTCCTGATGCCCCAGGGAGCAAGCCAACTCCTTCCAGGCTCCAGGAACACCACAAAGCAATATGAAACCTGTTCATGAGAGGAGTCAGGAATGCCTTCCACCAAAGAAACGAGACCTCCCCACAACCAGCTGCTCCACTAACCACACACCCTCCAGTGATGCCTCTGAATGGTCCCCAGGGGTTGTGGTGGCTGGGCAGAGCCAGAGTCCGCCTCGGGGTGATGGAGCTGTGGCCATCACCGGTCTGACAGTGGACCAGTATGGCATGCTGTATAAGGTGGCTGTGCCGCCTGCCACCTTCTCACCAACTGGACTCCCATCTGTGTGAATATGAGCCCCTTGCCCCCAGAAAAAAAAATTTCATGTACAGTTGATTAAAGGGAATGCTCCATGGCTACTAGGAATGATGAAAATGGGTTGGGCACGGTGGCTCACGCCTGTAATCCCAGCACTTTGGTAGGCCGAGGTGGGCAGATAACCTGAGGTCGGGAGTTTGAGACCAGCCTGACCAACATGGAGAAACCCCATGTCTTCTAAAAATACAAAATTAGCCGAGCGTGGTGGCTCATGCCTGTAATCCCAGCTACTCAGGAGGCTGAGGCAGGAGAGTCACGTGAACCTGGGAGGCGGATGTTGCAGTGAGCCGGGATCGTGACGTAACACCCTAGCCTGGGCAACAAGTGCAAAACTCCATCTCAAAAAGAAAGAATGATGAAAATGTCTGGGCATAGTGCCTCACACCTGTAATCCCAGCACTTTGGGAACTGAGATGGGAGGATTGCTTGAGTCCAGGAGTTCAAAAACATAATGAGACTTGTTTCTCCAAAAAAGAAAAAAAAAAGTTATAGTTATTATTTATTTATTTTTGAGTCAGGGTCTTGCTCTGTCACCCAGGCTGGATTTCAGTGGCATGATCTTGACTCACTGCACCCTCCACCTCTTGGGCTCAAGTGATTCTCCTGCCTCAGCCTCTCAAGTAACTGGGATTACAGGCACCTGCCATCATGCCCAGCTAATTTTTGTATTTTTAGTAGAGACGGAGTTTTACCATGTTGGCCAGGATGGTCTCAAACTCCTGACCCCAAGTGATCTGCCTGCCTTGGCCTTCCAAAGTGCTGAGATTATAGGTGTGAGCTGCTGCGCCAGGCCAAAAAAAAAAATTTTTTTTAAACTTAGCTGGGTTAGTCAGGAGGCCAAGATGGGAGGATCCCTTGAACCGAGGAGCTTGAGGCTGCAGTGACCTGTCATTAGGCCACTGCACTCCCGTCTGGGCAACAGAGTGAGATGCTGTCTCAGGAAAAAAATATTTTAAAAAAGTGATGAAAATGTAATATGTCATTAGGGAACATGTCCTAATAATGTAATAACATATATATGTAGAATAAGTTCATTTTTATAAAGCAAGTATATAATTGTATAAGAGTACAAAAAAATGGCCAGGCATAGTGGCTCATGCTTTTAATCCCAGCATTTTTGGAGGCCAAGGTGGGTGAATCACCAGAGGTCAGGAGTTCGAGACCAACTTGGTCAACTTAGTGAAACTTCGTCTCTACTGAAAATACAAAAAAATTTAGCTGGGTGGGCATGGTGGCAGGTGCCTGTAATTCCAGGTACTTGGGAGGCTGAGGTGGGAGAATTGTTTGAACCCGGGAGGCAGAGGATACAATGAGCCAAGTTCGTGCCACTGGATGTTAGCCTGGGTGACAGAAAAAAAAAAAAAGACAAAAAAAAAAAAAAGAATAAACCTGGTATCATATATGTAGCACACATATTACCAGTGATCATCTTTGTGATTCTATGGGAATATGGGAAATCCTCATTTTCTACATTACATATTTACATGATGCTTGAATTGAAGAGAAAACCAATACGGATATTTTTTAAATTGTGGTTGTGGAGGGCAATACTAACTTATTCAAGATTATTCCTAGTAAAGGGCTACTCAAAATTTACTGGTTTGAAAACTTTGTTATCACCTGATAATTGAGAGCATTTGGGAACTCTTACAGCAAGTTGATATTGCCCAGACTTCCAGAAGTGTCATCAGTAGATGGTTCTTGTTGAACAGGGTATAGACCGCCTTGGGTTACTGAACTTGCATGGCTAGTTGCATGTAAACTAGTCACATGCAGTAAAACCACATACCACACCAGGCGCAGTGGCTCAAACTTGTAATCCCAGCACTTTAGAAGGTGGAAGCAGGTGGATCACCTGAGGTCAGAAGTTCAAAACCAGCCTGGCCAACATGGTGAAAACCCTTTTCTACTAAAAATACAAAAGTTAGCCAGGTGTGGTGGCACATGTCTGTAATTCTGGCTATTTGGGAGGCTGAGGTGAGAGAATTGCTTGAACCTGGGAGGCAGAGGTTTCAGTGAGCCGAGATTGTGCCACTGCACTCCAGGCTGAGTGACAGAGTGTGTCTCCATCTCAAAAAAAAAAAAAAAAACACAAAAAAAAGGATGCCAAATCAAACATAACATTTTAGAAATCTATCATAGGATAGCCAGGCACGGTGGCTCATGCCTGTAATCCCAAATCCCAGCACTTTGAGAGGCTGAGGCAGGCAGATTATGAGGTCAGGAGATCAAGACCATCCTGCCCAACATGGTGAAACCCCGTCTCTACTAAAAATACAAAAATTAGCCTGGTGCAGTGGTGGGTGCCTGTAGTCCTAGCTACTCAGGAGACTAAGGCAGGAGAATCACTTGAACCCGGGAGGTGCAGGTTGCAGTGAGCCAAGATCACCCAGCCTGGGCAGCAAGAGCGAAAACTCTGTCTCCAAAAAAAAAAAAAAAAAAAAATCTATCATAGGATTATATGAGGAGACCAATTTTATTTATATAGGAACTATCTGTCTTTTTACTAGATCTCTGAGCTCTGGGCAGAGCCCACACTGATTCCTGGGATCTCCAAAAAGGGAGCATTATTACGAGGCTAGAATATGTGATGCTTTTTCAGTGCACTTAAAAAATTTTTTTAAATGAAGACACTTCTGTGTCCGGAATTGGTGGGTTCTTCGTCTCACTGACTTCAAGAATGAAGCTGCAGACCTTCGCGATGAGTGTTAGAGCTCATAAAGGCAGTGCGGACCCAAAGAGTGAGCAGCAGCAAGATTTATTGCAAAGCGCAAAAAAACAAAGCCTCCACAGTGTGGAAGGGGACCTGAGCTGGTTGCTGCCCCTGGCTGGGGCAGCCTGCTTTTATTCCCTTATCTGACCCTATCTCCTATTACAAATAGTAGGAGGCCGGGCATAGTGGCTCACGCCTGTAATCCCAGCACTTTGGGATTCTGAGATGGGTGGATCACCTGAGGTCAAGAGTTCAAGACCAGCCTGATCAACATGGCAAAACCCCATCTCTATAAAAATACGAAAATTAGCTGGGCATGGTGGCACATGCCTATAGTCTCAGCTACTCGGGAGGCTTAGACAAGAGAATTGCTTGAACCCGGGAGGTGGAGGAGATCGCACCACTACACTCCAATCTTGGCGACAGAGCAAGACTCTGTCTCAAAAAAAAAAAAAAAAGATTTTTTTAGATGTTCCCACTTTATACCAAAATCTATGTGGCCACACAATAAAGCCCTTCTTTGCTAGCTCCATGGTGAACCTCCTTGTGATCTTTTCCAATTCATTATCCTGTAAAATAAGAAAACAATAAAAATAAGATATAAAAATCGCTTGAGATTATAGCTAGCATCTTATTTTCTATTTATAGTACATTCTCATATGTCTTCTCTTGTAATCCTTAGAACAACTCATAAAGTAGGCATTGCCATTTTAAAGGTGAGGAAATAAGGGATCAAAAAAGTAGATTATAAAAACAGGATAGTAGAACTAGGACTCAAATTCCCATTCTATTAATTCCCCACTGAAAAATATACTAAGTCTTTTTTTTTTTTTTTTTTTTTGAGATGGAGTCTTGCTCTCTCGCCCAGGCTGGAGTGCAGTGGCGCGATCTCGGCTCACTGCAAGCTCCGCCTCCCGGGTTCACGCCATTCTCTTGCCTCAGCCTCCCGAGCAGCTGGGACTACAGGTGCCCGCCACCACACCCAGGTACTTTTTTTTTTTTGTATTTTTTAGTACAGACGGGGTTTCACCATGTTAGCCAGGATGGTCTCGATCTCCTGACCTCGTGATCTGCCCGCCTTGGCCTCCCAAAGTGCTGGGATTACAGGCGTGAGCCACCACGCCTGGCCTACTAAATCTTAATTAAGATTAATTGAAATATAATTATATTCCATGTAAATGGTGAATTTTAAAGAGAATAAAAATCATACGCGTTTATGTTTGTATACAGATAATTTAGTATTATGTAAAGCATTGTGACAACCAGTTTGAATTTGCTTGGAACTGACAGGATAAAAAGTAAGGTTTTTATAGGCTTAGTTAAGATATTTGTCTAGAATGAAATCCTGACTTAAAAACTTCAGATCACAGTAATACTTTTTTTCTTTTTGAGACAGAGTCTTTCTCTGTTGCCGAGGGTGGAGTACAGCAGTGAAATCTCGGCTCACTGCAACCTCTGCCTCCTGAGTTCAAGCAATTCTCATGCCTGAGCCTCCCAAGTAGCTGGGATTACAGGTGCGCACCACTACGCCTGATTAATTAGATCACAGTAATTCTTAAATATGGGTTTAAGTGTCTAACAATATGAAAATATTAATTACCTTTTTAATAAGTAAGAACATAATAATACAAAAAGCAAAAAAATAATACAAGACTCATAAAAACAAAACCAAACAAAACAAAATGATAAAGGATATAGATATTAAGTAGGTGACCTTTATATGGCAAAACACTCAATGAGTTAATTCTTTACTTTTTTCATTCCATTTGAAAAGCAATGGGGACCATTGATCTCACTGATATGGGGGATACAGAGAAGCCCAGTAATTTCAAGTCCTTCATAAATGCACTGTGTGCACAAATATCACTTTGAGGCCGGGTGCGGTGGCTCATGCCTGTAATCCCAGCACTCTGGGAGGCCAAGGCGGGCAGATCACCTGAGGTCAGGAGTTCAAGACCAGCCTGGCCAACATGCTGATACCGCCTCCCCTACTAAAAATACAAAAATTAGTTGGGCATGGTGGCATGCACCTGTAATCCTAGTTACTGAATCAAGGAGAATCGCTTGAATCCGGGAGACGGAAGTTGCAGTGAGCCGAGATTGCACCATTGCACTCCAGCCTGGGCGACAGAGCAAGACTCTGTCTCAGAAAAACAAAAACAACAACAAAAAAAAACAAGTATCACTCTCATATTTACAGTATAGTTCTTGGGATTGATCTTAACACCAGCTTTAGCACCCCCAAATGGCACATCTGAAAGACAAGGCTGATGGTTGTTATTCCATATAAAGGTTAAAAAAGTAAAATGACAGAAAATGCCACACAATATTAGAAAAACGTGTGATGCTTTAAGCTTGAATTTCTGAAAGTTCAAGAAATAAACCTACCATAGTTTTCTAAACTGTACTTTAAACAACATTTTATTGAACAGAAATTGTTCAATAAAATTGGCTAGCCAAGTTCTAATATATATATTTTATATAATTAATAATAATTAACCAATAATAATAAATACTTCAACCTCTAATCCATAGATTGCAAATACAATGATAGCTTATTTTCTTGGGGAACAGCAGTTGGTGGGGACAGAGGGAATGGGAAAAGGACTTTTGCTGAAAGGAGGGATGACAGGAACACAAGGCTATGGGTGAAAAGAAGAACAAATAGAACAAACAGCAGAGAGGGCAGCTGGCCGGGGTGGGGTGGGCGCCTCCCTGGCCTTGCTCCAGGACTCAGGACTGGGTCCTGCCTGGGCCACCCCTCCTGCCAAGGCCCTGGCCTCTTCCCAGGGTGACTGGTCCACTCCTAGACCCTAGAACATCTGAAGGGCAGGGGTCCCAATGGCCTGAGAGGGTATGGGCCAGGGGCAGCAGGCTGACCCACCTGGGCCCAAAAGCCACCTGTGTTTGGGGGCCGGCATGCTGTCTAGAGAGAGTGCCCTGGGAAAGGGGCACACGGGAGTTTCTCTCCTGAGAAGCCCCCATGCAGGTCGGGGCAAAGGAGAGGGCTTTATCTGCCTTGAGGGCAGCGCTCCCTAAGTGAAGCAGGCCTACCCCAGAAGCACAGGGACTTGGCTGGCGCCTGAACTTCCTGTGCGAAGCAGCACCTGCTCTTGGAGCCCCTTAGCCTGCTGGTGCACACCTGGTTTCCAAGTCCTGCCTGGGGACTTGCTAGGTGGGGGACGGACCTGGAACAGGACCCTAAGCCCACCCCCTCCGCATACCTGGCGGTCCAGGGCTCCCCGCCCAGTGGAGCCAGCACAGGCTAGCCAGGCCCCACTCCTGCGTCACCCCCGGAGGCCAAGCTCCTCTCCTGCACTGGTGCCGTCCTGCCTGGCAGGTAGTTCTGGGGGCAGGGTCAAAGGAGAAGGGAGGGCCGCAGCCCTCTGGGAATGGCCTTTCTGAGCCACCAGTGGCTGGACTGGGGCTCTGGCAGGAGTTGGGGACATTAACAACACCCCCATCCTCCCCTGGGCTCCACCTCATCTGACGCTCCAGAACCCCCTGCCCCAAGCCCCTACACACTCTGTTCTATTCCTCAGCCCCTCTCAACGTCCTGGCACCATGGGGCCCAATGCCTGTCCTCCCTTGAGAAGGAACAGCTCTGGGGCAACGGGCAGCGGGGTGCCCTCCCTGCCACCAAGATTTGGTGCCTGGAGCTGGTGGAGGGCTGGCCGCATCTCTCTGGCACACCAGCTCCTGCTCCCCCAACCTATGGCTTTGGGGCAGAGCCTGAAGGGAGGAAGAAGGTGGGGGGGGGGGTCCGCGGCTGTTTGTGGCAAATAAGCTTTTTTTTTTTCCTTTTTTAATCCTTTTTCTTATGTAAAAAGTGCACAAAAGCTCGGCAGCCTTTGCAAGTGTCAGCAGTGTTTCCTGGGGTGGGGGAACTGGGAGGGGCACCAGGCCTGGCACCCACCTTGCGACTGAAGGTGGCCTCGTATTGCTTAGAAAGGTATGTTTCAGTTTAAATACCAGACAGTAAAAATAGAGCTCGAGGACCACCTGCACTGTTGCCAAATCATTGCCAGAATGAATAGCTTAAATAAATAAAAAATAGAAATATTTACTTCTCAATAAAAATAAAAGTAAAACCATTTACCTTTCTTTGCATTATATATAATATATATTTATAACGGGTCTGGCTGTGGGCAGCGGAGCTAAGGGCAGCGGAGGGGTCAGGACATCTCGATGACCTCCACGCTGCCCGAGAAGCTCGCCTGCTTGCCCATGGCGGCCAGCTCCTCGCCGCGAGTGCGCCCCTCCAGGATGCCCTCCTCGAACTCCATCTGGCAGCTGCAGCGCTTGATCTGCGTCTCCGTCTCCGGGGCGGCTCGTCGGGCCAGTTGGTCCGCGCGTCCCGGGGCTCAGCCCTTGCTGCCTCCGGCCGCCGCAGGTCGCTGCCGCCGCCCCGTCTCGGGGCGCCCGCCTGGCCAAAGGGCGCGAACAGCACCCCGCCCGCCCCCTGCGCGCCCTCGGGGCTGAAGCACTAGGGCCCGTCGGGCGACGGCGTGCCCGGGGAGTCAAGCGGTGGCGCCCAGACTCCGGGGCCGGCTGGCCAGGGCCGGGCAGCCTGGGCGCCGACAGGGCCGAGAGGCCGAGGCTGTGCGCGGGGGAGCGGGGAGCCGGCTGGGGGCCTGGGCCGCCCGCAGGGCCGTGGGCGCGCGGCATCCGGGCTGTCGGGGCTGGGCGAAGGTAGGCTCAGCGTGGCTCCGACGGGCCGTGCAGCTTGCAGAGCTTTGGGACCTCGCCGGGGTCGGGTGACCCGGGGCCGTTGGGCCGCCGGCCGGGGGTGTTCGCTGATTTGATGTACAGCGAGAAGGAGCGCTTGAGGCGGTTGGTGTCCTGCAGGCGGTCAGAGGAGAGTACAGGCCGCGCAGCCCTGCTGCAGCGCGCAGGTGTCTGGGGGCGTGGGGGGCAGTGGGGGCTCCCCGCCCGCGCTCAGGCCGCCCTCCCTGGCAGCTGCACTCCCGGTGGCAGCGCTTTCTGAGGTAGGTGGTGGCAGCCATGGCAGCCGGGCCCCAGCCGCAGGGCTGGGCGGAGGCTCCGGCGTCCCTGAGGGGGTGCCCGCATCCCCCTGCACGGTGGCCAGCAGCTTCAGGCTGCGCTCCTACTCCAGCAGCTGGCCCAGGAAGTTGAAGTTGGGCGAGATGGACTGGCGCCTATCCTTCATGAACCTGTAGGTGTCGTCGGAGGATATGCCCATGGTCTTCATGATGTAGGCGATGGCGATGGTGGCAGAGTGGGAGATACCGACCAGACAGTGGACGATGACTTGGCAGCTGGACAGCTTGCCTTTACAGATGAACTCCATAGACTTGTCCAGCCAGGGCAGCAGCTTTTCACAGTAGTTGTCGTTGATGGGGACCCGCATGAAGCGGCTCTCGCAGATGAAGTCAGGCTTGGGGCAGGAGTTGCTGGCATTGAGGACGTAGCTTATTCCATTCTGTGTCGTCAGATCCTTGTTCAGAACGTCTTTCTGCGAGCCCAGGTAGAGGTGAGGCAGGATGAGGGTCAGGCTCACGCTAGGCACGGGCAGGCAGGGCTGGGAGAGGCTCATGGGTAGCAGGGCAGCAGGCTTGCCCTGGCAGAGGCTGGGGAAGCAGGAGGAGAAGGTGGCGAAGCCCCCCGTGAGGATGGCCACGCTGTCGAAGCAGCTGTCCAGCTTGCTCAGCAGGATGGAGAGGAAGCGGTCTGCGGCCAGCACACTGGCGTCCCGTGTGCTCTGGTCATAGACCACCATATCCTGTGGCTCAGTGGCCTCCATTTGGCTGCGTGTGGCCAGCCAGATGAACTCTGCAATGGTCACCTTGCCCTTCTGCAGCCGGCACTTCACCAGCTTGGAGCAGCAGATGTTGACGGAGCTGAGCACATGCCAGCTGTTGTACTCCAGGAAGGAGCGGCTGTAGATGACCAGGCACCCTAGGCCCGCCCCGCAGCAGGCTGGCCAGCTTCTTGGCGTCCATCATCTTCCTCGGGAGCCGGTCTCCGGCCATGGTGGGGCAATGGGTGGTGGGGAGGGTGACCCCTGACGTGAGGAGGGGTTGCTCGGATGGCCCAAGTGTGGCCTTGCACTGGGAGTGACCTAGCACATGGTGCCGGACCTCGTTAGCGCTCGCCTCGGGGGGCGTTCCGGGGGACCCGCGCTGCCCTCGCCAGCTCGGCTGCGCCGACCATGGGCCCTTTGGCGGGGGCCCGCGCAGCCAAGGCAGGGGCGGGGTCTCTAATATAGAGTTAATCAGTGCTCTTTACAACTTCTAAAAGATAATAGCTTATTTACTATCCTTCTACTATAATTTGGTCTTATTTATAGAATATGTTGAGGAATTGAAAACAAAGATCTAGACTTAAAATTCAATAAGCTCCTATAAAAAAAATCCCTCACATAAAAAAAGGCTATATATTAATTTAGACTAATTGAAAAATGATGCAGGTCTTAAAGAGGACAACTTAAAAAAAATCAGTTCTGATAAGGTATATTTCTATAGCATCTTAACAGTAACCATGTGAGTAAACATATTTCCCCAGAGTTCTCATTAGGTAGCAAGAAAGGCGATCACTTACCAACCACTGCACACTTGTATGTCATCAGGGAAGCCAAAGTTTTTACTTCATCTACACTCACATCAATGCTGTAATGGATATTTGGTGGTGTTTTTTTTAAAAATGTGTTGGGGTAGGTGAGAAAGAAGGGGATATATTTAGAACAAACTTCAGTAAGTTTCAAAAAAGAAAGCTACAAATTGAAAATATCCACTTTTTACATTTTACACCCAAGCTATGTCCAAAAACACTTGAAGCAGCTCATATGTCAGAACACCATAAAAAATGAATATAAAACGTTTAAAAAACTGCTAATAACAGTAACTATGATTTCACAAGACAAAAATCACTGTGCAATGAATTTTTTTACACTTTCCAGAAGGCTTTTTTATGTTCCTTTTACCTTTTGGTTTGGGTGACTCCGGGGTGGCCAGGACCAAATGTGTCTCCTTCTGGCTTTTTGCACCACACCAAGTAACCCGCGCCAGGCCGCACAGCTGCCCTGGCCTTGGGGAGGACTAAGGCAAGGGCGGTGTACGCTGCTCCGGAGTCCCACCGCAGGAGTTGAGGCAGCGAGTTCCGAGGGCGGGGTGGGGCGGAATCGGGAGGGATACGGACCCGGTGGAACGCACTGCGTAGACGGCGCCGGCGCCCGCACTCAGCTGTTGACAGTCTTTCTTCCAGCTCTCCCCTGAAAGTCGTCCAGGCGCCGGTCTCTTTTTTCTGCCTTTTTGTTTCCCTCCGGAGAGTCGGCGCGACGGTGAATTTCCGTTTCCGGTGGTGTCCAATCCGACCTGAGGAGTCACAGTTGTGAGCAAGTTCGGTGCCGCGGGCTGGGGTAGGCGGCAGTGGGGTCCCTGGCTTTGGGGCACTGGGAAGATCGCGAGTGGGAAGGTCCTCCCGCGGTCCTCCGGGTCATCTTTCCTCCTGAGGAGCAGCATATTTCGCATCTGCCGGAGGTGTGCCCGGGGTCGTTGGGAGAGTGACGGGATGAATTGCTGCAGAGAGCCCGGACGGGGAGGGAAGGTGTCGGGGAGACGTCGTTTCCTGGCGACGTGGTCCCGGCCGGCGACTTAGACCTGAGCCGAATCTGTTGACCCCAAATTGTGCTTTTCCCACCAAGAAGAAAAGGGAGAGAAACATTAGTACAAGTTCGGAACTAAAATATAGTAGAGAAGCAACATAACCTCGGAAATCACACAGCTGTTCGGTTTCAAAGCGTTCCTAGTGCCCAGCTCTCCTAACTCCCGGCCAGTGTTCCTTGACATATGGTGATATATAAAGACTTTCTGTTTCCGCTCGTGTGTGTGTCTGTGGGAAGCCTCTGACTCACTTCTGTGCCCCAGTAGCACCCTGTGCAGCCTTGCAATGTAGCCCTTATTGCATGGCACGGAAGATACTAGTTTGGATTTCCTCTGCAAGTCAGATCATAGCTATATCCATTTACTGGCACAGTGGCTAGCACATCATAGACAGACACAAACATTTACTAAACGGAATGAATACAGGACCTTAATTGAATGAAATGGCACCCTGCCCCGCTTTTTTCCAATCAAGCTGTCAGATTTTATGCAGCTGGATATCCTTAAAAAACTCACTAATTCAGTGATTACCAATTTATTGGCCACAGATTCCCAGGTACCTCAGAAATCACTGGAAGGGTCTCTGTAAGTCCATGGGGTCTCCAGGCATCATCTAGAACTAGTCATGTCTCACACATACAGATATTGCTATTTTTCTTTCTTTTTTTTTTTTTTTTTTTTTTTTTTTTTTTTTTTTTTTTTGAGACGGAGTCTCGCTCTGTCGCCCAGGCTGGAATGCAGTGGCGCAATCTTGGCTCGCTGCAAGCTCCGCCTCCGGGGTTCACGCCAGTCTCCTGCCTCAGCCTCCCGAGTAGCTGGGACTACAGGCGCCCGCCACTACGCCCAGCTAATTTTTTTTTTATATTTTTAGTAGAGACGGGGTTTCACCGTGTTAGCCAGGATGGTCTCGATCTCCTGACCTCGTGATCCACCCGCCTCGGCCTCCCAAAGTGCTGGGATTACAGGCGTGAGCCACCGTGCCCGGCCTCTAGATATTGCTATTTTTCAAATGTATGTAGAAGAGTTGTAATTTAGGAGTTTTGCAGAGTCAACAGGTACTAAAAGTAATACTGTGATCATGTTGGAAGTTCATAAAAGCATTTTAAATTTTTTATTAAAATTTAAGTTTTAGTTTAAGTTAGGAAACCACTTCATTAGTCCAGTTGATATCTAGGTCTGAGCTGTCCAGTATGGTAGCCACATGTGACTATTTAGAGTTGGAATAAAATTAATTAAAAATTCATTTTTTCAGTTTCTCTAAGTACATTTTAAGTAACCACATGTGGCTAATGGCTAAATGGCTGAAAAGTACAGATATAGAATGTTTCCATCCTTGCAGAAATGGATACTGCTGATGTTGACACTTAAGATGAATAAAAAGTAACTTAACCATAAAATGTACCCTTAGCAGAGGTAACTCATCTAATTTATAGCATAACAGAGATAAATGAAATTGGGGAGGGTTAAGCAGTTTCTACCCTTGTTCAGTGAACAAATATATCATCTCTTCATAAAGAAATAAATAAAATTTAATGTTTTTGCCCTGGGTATTGCCTGGATTGTAAAATGCTTCTCCCACCTCCTTACCCCAACCTTCTTCCTTGTAGATTAGAATTACTTGTTATTGGTAAATAGCCACTATGGAGACTAAGGACCAGAAGAAACAAAGAAAGAAAAATAGTGGACCCAAAGCTGCAAAGAAAAAGAAGCGGCATCTGCAGGATCTCCAGCTAGGAGACGAAGAAGATGCCTGGAAGAGAAATCCCAAAGCTTTTGCATTTCAGTCTGCTGTGTGGATGGCTCGATCCTTTCACAGGTATGTTTAGCTACAGTCTGATGCTTCTTCCATTGATTCTTTTTAAATAGTAGGAGCCTCTCACAGGTGACATTTGGATTCACAAGTCTAGTCCAGCTCCAAAGGACATGGAGATGCATGCTGTGTGGCTTTTACCAAAACATGAGAGGCTTTGCTATAGAAGCTGCCTTGCCTCCAGCATCTGCACACTGGTTGGTGTTTCTTGCCCAAGATACAAGAATTTATAGAATTTGTTTCCTCCTAAACTTTAAACTGTTTCTATGGTGATAAGTGTGCTTTTTCCCTCTGGATACGTTTTACAAAGTTGTAATATAAAATACAAAAATTACAATATTTATTACTAACATAGCTTTATTTAGTGAGTCCTTGTGATATTCTTAGCAGTGTACTTTAAACGTTATTCAACTAAATCCTTCCAGCAGCCTTACCAGAGTAGGAATCATTCTTGCCCTCATTTTATGGACAAGAAAACTGAGGTCAAGAAAACAAGTTACCTCCAATAATATAACCAGTAAGTAGGAGAGCCAAATTTAACTCCAGAGCCTCTGCTCTTATCCATTATGATGCACTGCCTTGGTATTTACCTTTTGGTTTTTAAAAAACTATTCAAATCACCCATAAAACAGTCAGATTTAAGGTGTGTTCAGTTTTCAACTCTATATACTATTGAAGTCGTCTTGTTACATCTTTATCCAACAGCAATTATTTGGATGGGGGTGAGAAGTTAAGTTAATAATTGACAAGTTCATTATATTTATATATTGTCTGTTGTACTCTATAAAATATACTAAAGTACTCATATCTATAAGTATACTAAGAAAATTCTACTTATAAGGTTGATACCTTTTTCTCTATTTTGAAAGTGAGTTTACTTTTTTCTTTTTTTTAATGAATAGGACTCAGGATTTGAAGACAAAAAAGCATCATATTCCAGTGGTTGATCGAACTCCACTAGAGCCCCCACCAATAGTGGTAGTGGTGATGGGGCCTCCAAAGTTGGAAAGAGCACTTTGATACAATGCCTCATTCGGAACTTCACCCGGCAGAAGTTGACCGAGATCAGAGGCCCTGTGATGATCGTGTCAGGTAGGAGATGCTGCCACAGACACAGAGTTGGCGTGGCTATTGTCATCTGAGGGACATGCATGTGTTTGTTGCTTTCTTGAGTGGAACATGTTAAATTTTGTCATATCATGTTACCTCTCTTATACTTTACTAAGTTAGCTATAACTTCAGAAAAGGGTAAGTTCCCAGAGATAAGGATGTGATACATATCTTATCCTGAGTGCTCTATGGCTTTGCCAAGCATGTTCCTTGGAAGAGGGTAGCAGGCCTGGTCACTGTGAACATATCATTTAACAGACAGCACGTACCTCCTATGTGCCAGGTGCATGCACATCCTTGCCCTTATGAAGCCACATGCTAGTGGAAGTGCGCGTTTTCTCTTTTTCCTGTGAGAATTTGTCTGCTTTGGGAGATGGTGACCTTTCCAAGTTTGAGGAAAGATGAAACAAACTTCCAGTGGTAGAATGCCAATGTACACTCAAGTCTCTTGTTATTGCAATAATATAGTTGGATTGAGGCTTTTCTTTATCTTTGGAGCATCCATATTTTCTTTTTTGAGACAGTCTTACTCTGTGGCACAGGCTGGAATGCACTGGCGTGATTACAGCTCACTGTAGCCTCAACCACCCAGGCTCAAGCAATCCGCCTACTTTAGCCTCCTGAGTAGTGGATGCCACCACGCCTGGCTAATTTTTCTTTTTTTTTTCCTTTCTTTTTTGTTTTTGTAGAGATGGGGTTTCCCCATGTGGCCAGGCTGGTCTCAAAACTCCTGGGCTCAAGGGATCCACCTGCCTTGGCCTCCCAAGGTGCTGGGACTACAGGCGTGAGCCACTGTGCCCTGCCCATATTTTCTTGACTGTTTTCTTTTTACCTTAATTTAGAAATGATTATCGTTATGAATATTCTGTTGGATAATGTTTGAGGATGTTTTTAGTGATAGTGGGAATATGGGAAGTTTTGATAGAGGCAAAGACATTGGCCTACAGCTGAACAGCAGGATCATGGTTATCATGGAGCCTGTCCAGTCAGAATTTTCCCTGTTTAAGCACTTGTATTCATCTGGGTAGACTTTGGATATTATTTAAATTTAGAACACAGCAAGAAAAACAGGATGGAATTTATTTTATTTTACCGGTAAATGTGAACTTCTCGTACACTCCTGTAAACGTATATGGTGTTTTACTGGATACAGGTAAAAAATGAAAGTTAGAGTTGATGCTTAGAGTTTTTTCAGGGTCTTTTTAAAGTAAAATTTTCATCTTTTCACTTATAGGTAAAAAGCTCCGACTCACCATTATTGAATGTGGGTGTGACATTAACATGATGATTGATCTGGCTGAAGTAGCAGATCTGGTAAGTGAGCAGGGGCAGCCTGGGGTGCTGATGGAGACTTACAGCATTGTGATAGGTTATTTACCCCGTGATGAAGGGAATAGAGTTTTATGATTATTAAAGGAATCATGGTCATCATCAAGGATACAATAGATGTGATTGAATTGATGATAATAATAATAGTAATAAATGTTGTTATATTAATAATACAAATGGAATGTGTACAATAAAATGTATTCCAAAATCTAAAAGCAAATCACAGGATAGAGAAAACCTTTAATGAACACAGCTAATAAGAACTCATTAACATGCATACATATATACCTACAAATATATCATAGTAAGTACCATTTCTTCTTGGACCCTTCCTGGCACTGTGCTAACTGCTTTCTACAAATTTAGCTTACATAAACCCTTGATACACCCTTGAGGTGAGTAGGTATTATCTGTAGTTTACATAAGATGAAATAGAGCCTCCCAGCAGTTAAGTAACTTGTGTGAAGATGGGACCCTTGTTCCTAATGGTTCTAGAACCTTTATCCTTAGTGATAATAAGTAAGTACATGAATTGCCTGAAGAAGTGGTCAGAGTTTATCATAGAAAATCTAGATAGTACTCAGTGTGTGGAAAAATGTACACGCTCTTGCATTTATGGAAATGATAATGTTCACTATTTCTGATATTCTATTAACTATCTTTTTTTTAAACTATCTTTTAAATTAACTAAAATAAAATACAAATTACCAAAAAAAAAAAAGAAAGAAAGAAAAAGGCCAGACGCAGTGGCTCATGCCTGTAATCCCAGCACTTTAGGAGGCTGAAGTGGGCAGATCACCTGAGGTTGGGAGTTTGAGACCAGCCTGACCAACATGCAGAAACCCCGTCTCTACTAAAAATGCAAAATTAGCTGGGTGAGGTGGCTCATGCCTATAACCTCAGCTACTTAGGAGGCTGAGACAGGAGAATTGCTTCAACCCGGGAGGCGGAGGTTGTGGTGAGTCGAGATCCCGCCATTGCACTCCAGCCTGGGCAACAAGAGCGAAATTCCATCTCAAAAAAAAAAAAAAAAAAAAGCAAAAAATAAGCCATATTGATTAGGAAGTGTGGGATGACAGATACCTTGGTTTTTTCATTTTTATTTAGTTTTTTCTAGAGCTACAGATTTCATACTTTGGCCCAGGAAGACTCCTAAAATATAAAGTAAAAGGTAATACAGATTTTAAAGTCGTGCCATTGTAATGTCTGTAATGTCAGAAAACTAAATAACATTCAAATTTTGAACATGTAATGCTACTATTAGTAAAAATAAGTGTTATTAATGTAAAGTTGTGTAAGGATTACTAAATCTTGTATACTTGAAATGATTGAATAGTTCATAGAAGTCATTTGTTTCTCTTTTATTTAAGATGTAGCAAGTTTCTAATTTTAAAGACATATTAAGAGATGCCTTTACTTTTTTTTATTTTTAGTTATTATGGATACATAATAGTTGTACATATTTATGGGGTACATGTAGTATTTTGATAGAAGCATACAATGTGTGATGATCAAATCAAGGTAATTCAGATGTCCGTCACTTCAAACATTTATCATTTTTTTGTGTTGGGAACATTTCAATTTCATTCTTTTAGTTCTGAATTATATAATAAATTATAGTCACCCTATTGTGCTGTTGGACACTAGAATTTATTCTAACTGTATTTTTGTACCTGTTAACCTTTCCCTCTTTTTCCCTCCCTCCCTGCTCCCCTTCCCAGTCTCTTAACCATCATTGAGAGAGATGCCTATGTAAATCTTTTTAAGATTTTCAAAAGGAGCACACACATTTGGTAAAGCACTCTAACTGTAATGCAGGGTATACACAATGCACATTTTCTTTTTCCTTGCTCTAAGGCTGGTCTCTCAGGTCCCTGCAGAGCAGTATCCTTCCAGATACATATAAACACACATGCCACCCTTTAAAAACACAAATGGTAGCTTATTTTACACGCTGTTCTATGCTTTGCTTTTTTCATGTAATATATCTTGGAGGTATATAATCAGTAAGTACTGTAGCTCTGCCTCCTTCTTTTTAATATAATATTCCATTCTGTGGACGCACCATAATTTATTTAGCTTAGCTTATGTTGATTGCTCTGCTCTGGGTTTTCAAAGCCTCCTGAGTACAGCAAAGGCACAAACGATATGTGGATTTGGGTGTGTACGTGTGTGTGTGTGTGGATTATGGGAGTAACACTGGCTTAGATGACAAAGATTGGCAGCTGAGGGACTGTTTGCTCCCTGTTCTTCCTGATCCTACAACCAGCTGCTTGCCCCTTGGCACTCTGTGGCATCAGATGTGGTGTGAGGATATTCCACTTATTCTTTGAGCTGGTCCACTGTTGCTGGAGAGCTCTGCTTGCTGCCTCGGTTTCCAGAGGCATCTGTGCTTTCCTACAAGCCCAACTTCATATATTCTGTGGTTTCGGGTTTTGAATGTTTCCTAGTTTAATCAAAGATGGGCATTTCTGTTTCCATTTTTTGTTAGTTTTAGTTATCCATGGAAAGATAAAAACAGAACTATCTTTAATATTAAAACTAGAAGTTTCCAGGAATCAATTCTGAAATTTGCATCTTTGAAGTGTCTTAATTTTAAAAATTGGTCTTATCTGCTTATATTTTCTTATAGACTACCATTCATCGTAATCTTACTGTTTTTTGACTTAATTCTAAACTGGTAGCTATTTAAAGAAATTCCTGAGCAATTGAGTTATACAAATTAACATACAAGATAGAGGTATACACTGCATACTTCCCAGCAAAAAAAGTTTTTTTTTTGTGAGGACATTGAAAGAAGAGGTTGGTTTTCTGTACATATTAAATATATTTCATTGATTATCACTTTCTTCCCATTCTTTGGATGTCAGAGACCTGTTATTTGGCTTAAAAATACATTATAGAAAACTTCATTTCTTTAAATTAGGATTTCTTAGGTACGGGCCTGGTTAGATCCAGCCTTTTCTGAGTTACTTCTCATGCATTAGAATTCTTAAAATGGATGTTTATATCCTAGTGGCCTTGTCTTATGGTTGCCTTTTAGAGCAAGTCAGAGGGTGGTGGTTTCTCTGGGTGATGCCTGTGTAGTCATTTGATTTAGTCTGGAGTGGGACTTTTCTGTCGAGGGCCAGATAGTAGATATTTTCAGCTTTGTGGATCATATCTTTTGCAGCTACTTAGCTCTGCAGTTGTAGTGCACAGGCGGCCATAGACGATATGTAAATGAATTAATGTGGCTATGTTCCAATAAAACTTTAGTTACAAACACAGGTGATGGGCTGGATTGGGTCGATGGGCCAGTTGCCAACCCCTAGTGTAGGTGGTCTGTTTTGGTAGTTTCTTTGAGAAATAATGTGTTCTGCTTGTAGGTACTGATGCTTATAGATGCCAGCTTTGGGTTTGAAATGGAAACGTTTGAGTTTCTAAACATCTGTCAAGTACATGGCTTTCCTAAAATTATGGGAGTTCTCACCCACCTCGACTTCTTCAAACACAATAAGCAACTGAAGAAGACAAAGAAGCGATTAAAACACAGGTTCTGGACAGAAGTTTACCTGGTAGGAAGAGAAATAATTGTTAGATGCTAACAGTATAATCCTTTTAAAATAGACTGAAGAGGCTGGGCACAGTGGCTCATGCCTGTAATCCCAGCACTTTGGGAGGTAGAGGTGGGTGGATCGCTTGAGGCCAGGAGTTTCGAGCTCAGGGCAATGTGGCTAAACCCCGTCTCTACTAAAGATGCAAAAATTAGTCATATGTGGTGGCGCGCACCTGTAATCCCAGCTACTCTGGAGGCTGAGACGTGAGAATTGCTTGAAGCTGGGAGGCAGAGGGTGCAGTGAGCTGAGATTGCACCACTGCACTTCAGCCTGGGTGACAGAGTGAGACTCCGTCTCAAACAAACAAACAAACAGACTGAAGAGACATTACTAAACGTCTGTCTAGGATTTGCCTCCTGAATTCCCTTTGCGTATGTGTTCCCAGTCTCTGGAAGGTTTCCCTCAAGAGTGGTTATTCTGGGCCTCTTGGTGTATCTCATTTGTCTCTGTACCTGCTGCACCAGGCAGTGTCTGGGTGTTTGGGGGTTGGGACTTAATGGAGTACGTCAGAAGTTTCTCCCAGTTACAGGACCAGGCACTGCCCCTTCCTTTCCATACTGCTCTGGTCCATCAGCCACAGAATCGTTTCTGTGCTCAGAGGCCTCACCTCCCTCTCCTCACCATACTTAGATGGATGCCCCTGCTCGGCTGCAGAGCAGTCTGCCTCTGTGTGGTTCTAATAAGTCCTGAAAGAAGCCAGCAAGGCTCTGCAAGCCTCAGGACAGTGGCTTTGCTGGAAGTCTCCCTTCTTAGGATTGCTTCTTGTTTAGAGCTTTTATTTTGTTGCAGTATTGACAAGAATTTAGTTGAAATTTAATTTTTAATTTTCCTTTAATGTTTAGGTTGCCAAGCTGTTCTGCCTTTCTGGAATGGTGCATGGAGAATATCAAAACCAAGAAATGCACAATCTGGGCCATTTTATTACAGTTATGAAGTTTAGGCCTCTCACATGGCAGACTTCTCATCCTTATATCCTGGCAGACAGGTAAAAAGTGATTGTAAACTTTTAATTCCTGGACCATATATTTCAAAGCTAAAAAGGCTAGAAAAAGAACAGTGACAGGATTTATTTTGTGCCTATTTGAATAGTGGGGGTAGAAGTGTAGTGGATGGAAAATGTCTACTGATATCATTGCTCAAAGATGCTGTGCCTTTGGGAGTAAATTAACTATGAGATGTTTAGGAAAGTGGGAGGACTTGGAAGCATTTAAGGCCACAGGATGTGGCCCCATCCTATGTTCAGCCTCAGATTTCAGTGATGCTGCCTTCGTGCCTGGGTGCTTGAGTCCTTTGTGTGTGCCTTCAGTTTCCTTCCTTTGTGCTGTGGTTTTCTCAGCCTGGAATACCCTTTTTCCACCTGCCAGAATCCAAGCCACAGTACAAATCCCAGAGCACAGGCTCACCCTCTTCCAGAAAGGGATTTTCTGAATATGTTCTTTACTCTTCTCTGACCCCAGGTGGACGTCATCTCCCTGTCTGGTGTCTTACGGAATGAATGTCACTTTCAGCCTAGAGACACAGTTGTGTGCCTGCCCCTTTTCCTCTGGTGCTTCCTTATTTCTGTATTTTCTAGTTTTCTAAACAATGTGCTTAGTGGACAAGAGTGTGATGAGTCACTGACACATGAAAGGAGGTATAGGAACTTTTGGCATTCATTTCTGCTGTATGATTGAGTTTATTTTTCTAGGGTGGAAGATTTGACAAACCCAGAGGATATCCAAACAAACATCAGATGTGACCAGCAGATGTTACTTTACGGTTATTTAAGAGGAGCGCACTTGAAAAATAAAAGCCAAATTCACATGCCAGGTATTCTCTTGTTGTAGAACATACTAGAATCACACATAGGATTCTTGGGATGGCTTCATTTCTCAGGAAAACTGAAAAATGACCAAACAAGGGAAGATGGCCTTGGTGGAGGTTTTAAAAGTAAGCCAGCTATGTGTAGGCCTGCAAAGGTGTTACCGAATGCCTCTTCTCTGACCTCTTGTCTTGTAGCTAGAGGGCCACTGTTCCAGTGTGGCACAATGCCCTTCTTTAGGGTCATGGTTTAAGCCCTTGGAGTGTGCATCGTTTTTAACCCCCCAGTCAACAGTAGATACTTACTGACTTCTTGTCAGTTGAAGCTGGCTTTTTGGGTCCTGTCTTCCAGGGGTAGAAGATTTTGCCATGAGTGACATCAGTTTCTTCCCAGACCCTTGTGCTCTTACTGAACAACAAAAGAAGTGCTGTTTAAATAAGAAGGAGCAGCTGGTTTATGCGCCTGTTTTTGGAGTTGGGGGTGTGCTGTATGACAAAGACGCTGTCTATGTTGACCTTGGTGGCAGCCACGGTTTTCAGGCATCAGTGAGGCAGGAGTCATTGCTCTGAACTCTCATTATTCTTTCCGAATCTATTTTTTAATTAAAAAAAGTAATATACTCAGCTTTTATTTATTGAAGATTTTTCTCTCGTACTTATAATAGAGGCCCAAATGCATATTGTCAATATGTAGAATAAAAAGAATACCATTTTTTCATTGTACCAAGCAGAAGAGTCCTGTCCTCCATGCCTCCTTGATCCATGGCCCCAGCATGGGCACTGCTGCCAGTGTGGCACCTGCCCGGCTTATCTCCGTTTCTACAAAATCAGTGTGCTTTCCAGCTCTCATTGGTCTTTTTCTTTTTCTCATTCACAATGGTCTCCTCATTCTTTATTTTAAAGTGGATTTCCAGTATTTTTAGTTCTGAAGTGGAATTTTATTGGGTTAAAATCAGGGTTATTTTAAAATGTTAGAAAAGCTAGCATTGTTGTAGGATTGGAACTGAGATTTTTCTAGCGAGGTGTTTAGGTTATCAGGTTGTATACTCACTGAGGTTTGGAAAAGTTTAATGGAGATGGGGATCCATTTCAAGCTTTGTTATAAGGATTTTCTTCTCTGGTTTTTGAGGCATTAAGAAAGGTTCTCAGGAAATGTGTCTAAGATAATTTTGAGAACTGAGTGAAACCAGTGTCTCTCCAGGATCTTTGTGCTTTCCTCACGTGCCCTTTCTTGGTGGTCTTGACAGGACGAGGTGGGGCCCACCCATGAGCTGGTCCAGAGTCTCATCTCCACCCACTCCACCATTGATGCCAAGATGGCTTCAAGTCGAGTGATGTTGTTTTCTGATTCCAAGCCACTTGGGTCAGAGGCTATAGATAATCAAGGGTAAGTCTGCTTTTTTTCTATTTTTAATAAAAATATATATTACAGAAGATCATATCACCCATAATTCTGCCATCATAACACATTTTGGTGGGATTCATTCTATGTTGTTTTGTTTTTCTTTGTGTGTGCATGTGTCTCTGAGGGCTCTTCACTTACCTGACATTATGAGGGAGTCTTTTCTTGAAATAAAATACAGGATGCATTTTTCAAGAGACCCCAAATATTCCTCAAATACCACGCCATCTTCCATAGGTTGCTTTTTTGTTTTTTAAGAGACCTGAGGCCACTTGGCTTTCTTTTGGTGGCCAAAACACTAGAGCAGAAACAGGGAGTTTGTGGCTGTCCAGAAGCCACATGCCTTGTCTCTGAAAGTTTTATTTAGATTATGTTGTATTATCTCCTATGGGTAGGTTTCCACTGATGTGTGGCTTATGTGAATTATTTTTCAGCCTTTCTTGGGAATTTGTATACCTTTATGCTTAGTGGATGTTTGCAAAACATTGGTTTTGTTGTATTAGTTTATGACTCCCAGTAAAATTTATCTGAAAATTTTGAGATAATCTAGTATGTAATTTGTTACAATGTGCACAAACTACGTACTAAAGTTCCTGACATAATGAGTGTTATTAGCTATTTTCATTTTTGCATATCCTTCTGGTCATCCTTGTCTACAAGAATACTCTCTTCTAATATAGTTACAGGTAAAATACATAATTTATTTCTATATTCTGAGCGTTTTGTTTTCTATACAGTCTTTATGTAGTTGTCATTTTGTTGTTCCTGGTGTTTTTTTTTGTTACTGTGGTTTTTTTGTTTTGTTTTGAGATAAGATCTCACTTTGTCTCCCAGGCTGGAGTGCAGTGGCGTGATCTTGGCTCACTGCAGCCTTGAACTCCCAGGCTCAAGTGGATCCTCCCTCTTCAGCCCCGCAAGTAGCTGGGACTACAGGAGTGCACCACCACCCCCATCTAATATTTTTTTGTTGTTATTCTAGGGACGAGTTCTCACTATGTTGCCCAGGCTGGCCTCGAACTCCTGGGCTCAAGCAATCCTCCTGCGTTGGCCTCCCAAAGTCCTGGGATTACAGGTGTAAGCCACTACGGCTGGCCTATTATTGCTGTATTCTAACTTATTCATCTCCTATGGTACGATTTTTCATTTTTTCTAATTTATGTTTTCATACTTTTATATATCGTGCTATGTTAAATAGCTTCATATAGTTTTCTTTTATGCAGTGATTTTAGCCTCTTGATGATCTTCTTTATCAGTTATGGCACTGGTGACTTAAAATGGATGTTCTTCCTCTGTCATTCCTCCGACGTTTGTTAGCTGGCATTTTTAACAAAGAGCTTTCACTTCTCCTTTTTATTTCGGTATCTCTGCTGACTAATGCACTTGCATTTTATTCCATGGGTTATTTTCCATCACTGTCATTGTTCTTTCTGATGCCTATGCTGTCCCAGATTCGACCGTGGGAGCCTTCAGCCTGTGTCCTGTGTCCTTTCAACTGTCTCTATTAATCTTTGAGCATTTCTTACTTTCTCACAGAACAAAAGTATCCAGGCTTATGTTGCCCTCTTTCTGCCTTGGGCCTGGACTCAGCCATTTCTCTTAAGGATTATCTTAAGCATCATTTAGCTTAGAAATTAATCAGCTTTCCAAAAGATGTACAAAATGCTAACTTTCCTTTTGAGCAATTTTTTTCTAAAATTAGATTTTTTTTAGAGGATTATTCCTTTATTCTTTCTATAAGTTCATTTGAAGTGTGGTGTTAGGAAACCATGCCTGAGTTTAACTCTTCCAGTGTTTATCAGATCATTTTTTCCCTGTGCTGTATCATCTTAAACATCTTAAACAATTCCTTGACATTTTTATATTTCTTTGTATTTTCATTGACTGTATTGCCATTTCTAGATTAGCTGGTTAATGTACAAATTGGATTATTTTGCATTTCCTTGGTAATATAGGCTGTTGATGCTAAAGGAGGAAAAACAAATGGACTTGAAAACTGGTCGAATGCATCGGAAAGCCATTTTTGGAGATGATTCTATGCTAACATCCTCTCTCCTTTCTTGATCTCTTAATTTTTTTTTTCTTACCCAAGTATATACAGGTTGATTTTGTCTTTCTGGAAGATCCAAGATCTTTGGTTTAGAGATATATTCTCTTAATGTTAACTGGTATTAGAATACTCTTTTCTGTATTTTATTTCAATACACTTGAGAATAGAAATGATTGTATTTTCTTTTAACTTGTGCAGTAGAGTGTGGCATACAAATGTTGTATTCTCAGTATTTCAAAAAATTACCTTCTTACTGTACAAGTTGTATTCAGCATATAAAGTCTATTCCAGCTTTGTTGTAGATGCAGTGTGATTATTACATGCCGATAAGGTATGAATTGGAGATGGGATCCAAAATTACTGTACTTAGTGTAATTTTTAAGCTAATTACAGGGTTGGTGGTGAATATTTTACTTCTGCAAAATGAAAACAGCATTTCATCAGAAGTTGTTTTATGGTCTTTCAGACATTTTATTGTATATCTTTGGTGCTTTTTGCCCATGAAGTATCTCTTTTGTGTGTTTGTGTGTATGTGTATTGATCTGCTGTAAATTTCACAGCACTCATTGTCAGGGATCAGCAGAATCAGGCCTAGGCAGAGAGCTGAGCAGTACTCTCAGTACGTCTCTGTGTCCTTGTTGCCACATTATCTCTGTTGTTTATTTATAAGTTGGAGAACTCTCTGACCTGTAACAAAGGTTGGATAGGTCAGAGACAATTGGGAGAGGAATCCTCTGCTCTATTGTCACCTGTGCCTCACTCCAAAATATGCTCTGAAATCAATATTTAAATATTAAATTTGTATGGTGAATGTATTCTTTTTTAATGTTAATTAAATGATTGGTCAGCCCACTTAATATTTACAATGCAGGACTTACTTTGCGTATTCTCTGTCTTGTATTTTTGCTTTATTTAAGCTAGGCTAGCCTCCAAGCTGGAAGCTGAATTGACAGTTGAAAAATAATGACATGTATACAAGGTATGTTTGAAGGATTGCAGATGCAGGGGCACCATATGCTAAAGGAGTGTTGGAAGCTCACTGCAGAAGATGACAAAAGCAGACTGATATGTATTATTTGCTGAAATATAAGCTGGAGGCACAGGTGAAGATTGCCAAACCTAATGAACAGTTTGGCAAATAAGACAGGCTGTCAGGCCATGGCAGTTCAGCAGTGGGCGTGCTGCCTGTGAACCAAGTCATTTGTTCCAGAGGACTACACTTAAATACCACAAATAAAATCTTCCTTGTCACTGATATCACAGTGAAATAGATGTTGTCTTTCAGATTTCTGGTTGAATTACCAGCCATTAACATCTGGTGATTTGGGTTGTAAAATTATTTTTAGTTTTGCCTGTTCATATTTCATCCAGAAAGCCCAAACAAGATATATTTTCCCACATAAGAATGTAAGCAGTATAATGCCCCGTCCGGGAGGGAGGCGGGGGGCAGCCCCCACCTGGCCAGCCGCCCCTTCCAGGAGGGAGGTGGGGGGCGCCTCTGCCCGGCTGCCCCGTCTGGGATGTGGGGGGGGCCCCTCTGCCCGGCCGCCACCCCGTCTGGGAGGTGTACCCAGCAGCTCATTGAGAACGGGCCATGATGACGATGGCGGTTTTGTCGAGTGGAAGGAGGGGAAGTGTGGGGAAAGGAAAAAGAAATCAGATTGTTGCTGTGTCTGTGTAGAAAGAAGTAGACATGGGAGACTCCATTTTGTTCTGTACTAAGAAAAATTCTTCTGCCTTGGGATGCTGTTAATCTATGGCCTTACCCCCAACCCCTTGCTCTCTGAAACGTGCTGTGTCCACTCAGGGTTAAGTGGATTAAGGGCGGTGCAAGATGTGCTTTGTTAAACAGATGCTTGAAGGCAGCATGCTCCTTGAGAGTCATCACCACTCCCTAATCTCAAATACCCAGGGACACAAAAACTGCGGAAGGCCGCAGGGTCCTCTGCCTAGGAAAACCAGAGACCCTTGTTCACATGTTTATCTGCTGACCTTCCCTCCACTATTGTCCTATGACCCTGCCAAATCCCCCTCTCCGAGAAACACCCAAGAATGATCAATAAATACTAAAAAAAAAAAAAAAAAAAAAAAAAGAACACTGCAAGAACATCTGCCCCAGAACTGCCTGTCCAACCTGGACTGACATCATCCTTGTTATTGATCTTTGTAGCCAAATATAATTATTTTAAAACAAACAAAAAAGAAGAATGTAAGCAGTATAAGACTTTAAAACACACAAATGAAAAATATACATGACTACATGCTTCAGTGAACTAAAACTTTCATCTGTGATCTTTATTTTGCAACGTTCTGAAGTAACATTACAGTCTTTTCAGTGTGCTGTGTCATTTATATCCCTTACTTTATCCTGGGAATCCTGTATTGCCATTGAGCATATGCAAATTGAGACATGTGCATAGCTTCTCCCCGTTGAGCCCATCAGTGGGGAGGAGCTATGTACCGGGGACATTTGGCAAAGATTTTCATGAGTCTGTTGGATGTAACAGCTCCTTAAGAAAACCTCAGTTTACCTTCCCTATTTTTTACCATTTGTAAAACTAAGGCTCAGTGATGTAAAATATAACACATTCTGTGCTGTGGCATAACTGCAGCTTAGGTTTTTATATTCAAGACAAGCAGAGGTATAGTTGAAAAGGTATGAACACTTATTATGCTTCAAGATCCCTTTGTTGGTTTAGTTGTGGCATTTTAGAACAGCGGACTTGGGACTAAAGCATCTTTCTATCTGGGATCAGTATTTCTAAGTTGCCTTTAAGCTGAATAAACATTTGGTTTTTATATTTAATTGCTTCGATGTGAAACACTGCAATTTAAAAAATTACACATATGTAATACAGTATTTTACACTAAATAATAGTGACTGGCAGTCCATTGGCCGAAGAAGTATTATTTTTCAGATATTCTGCTCTGTCATCAGCTGTAGACACTGACCTGGTATTTATCTGGAAAGGCTTGCTGTCAGGGGTTCACAGTGCTGCTTGTGGGTTATCTCCAGACCCTTTACATACAGCACTTTAGGACAGCGTGAGTCACAGGTTGCACTAGAATTTGCCTTTGAAATTAGACCTAAACTATGTGGAACTGGAACCCTTGTACACAAAGCTCTCTATCATCCAAATCCTGCTGAACTCTCTTAGGAAAGAACAGTTTTACAGATTCATTCTTTCCACACACAAGATTTCCCCACTGCCCAGTTACTCTCACCTTTTTATTTTCTTGACTGTTATGTTTTACTTGACGCTGGAATCTTACCTTGTACTCTCACATTTACATGGAAGTATAGCTTATTTCACCAATTATACTGTCTATCAAAAGCAGAAGTAGTTACTTACACCTGAAAATTTGTACTGAGAATGTAACTGTGAATATGTTTAAGAAAGTATACTTAAAGCAGAAATCCAAGGAAGTATATTTAAATCAAAGCAAGAAATCCCATTTCCAAATGGCAATAAAGCATGTGTTACATAGAATCAGTGCATGAAAGTGTTTTAGTAGCCCAGATTAGATTGTACCCTGGCAAATAAGCAAGAGTTCTTTTTCATTTTCATCTTGCAATTCAACTGGGTATTTGGGTTCTTTTTCTATTCACTCATGTCAGATAGAGACATACATGTTGTAAATTATTTTGTCAGAATGAAAGCCTGGCAGATTAAATGCTTTCTTCTCTTCTTGCTTTACTTGATATCAATCTCTTGTTCATTTCTTGATAATATGTTTGGTTATTTTTGTTTTCATTGCTTTTAGTGTCAGAGATGGCTTTGGATTCCCCGTTCTGTGTGCTGCTGTCTGGCTCCTGAACCCAGCTGTAGAGGTGTGTCAATCCCAACTGGTGAAGTACTGAGAGGAAGCTACACAAAAGGCAGCAAAGTATTAGTAAGTGTACCTCTGACATTTTAACCACCTCTGACTTTTCCATGGAATGGACAAGTAGTAGTCTCTGTCAGAGCTACATTTTAAAGGAGAAAAAGAAACGTGAAGTCATGAACTGTTAATTTATGCTGTTATTTTTGTGTTTACTCACCTCATTTATATTGACTTGTAAATTAGTAATTTGTGAACTATTATTTATCAATTCATTGCCTACATGTCAGGAAACAAATTTTCTTCTTAATAAAGAATCCGGTTGCTGGGCACAATGGTTCACACCTGTAATCTCAGCACGTTTGGAGGGCAAGGCAGGAGGATTCCTTGAGGCCAGGAGTTCAAGACCAGTCTGGGCAATATAGCAAGATTTCATCTCTACAAAAAAATGAAAACATTGGCTGGGCATGGTGGCTCATTCCTATAGTTCAGGCTACTGAGGAGCCTGATGTAGGAGGATCATGTGACCCCAGTAGTTTGAGGCTGCAGTGAGCTATGATCCTAACACTGCTCTCCAGCCTGGGTGACACACCAAGTTGCCCTCTCTTCAAAAAAGGAATCTAGAGACATCAGTGTGTGCACAAGCATGGTTTGTGAATTTGGAAGTGCGTATGTGCATAGTTGTGCTCAAGAATGTGTTGATGATTATACCTTCTCAGAATGAAGGTAATTTTTTTTCTTTTTTTTTTTTTGAGATGGAGTCTTGCTCTGTTGCCAGGCTGGAGTGCAGTGGTGCTCTCAGCTCACTGCAACCTCTGCCTCCCGGGTTCAAGCAATTCTCCTGCCTCAGCCTCCCAAGTAGCTGGGACTACAGGCACACACCACCACTCCCGGCTAATTTTTTGTGTTTTAGTAGAGATGGGGTTTTACCATGTTGGCCAGGATGGTCTCGATCCCCCGACCTTGTGATCCATCCACCTTGGCCTCCCAAAGTGTTGGGATTACAGGTGTGAGCCACCGTGCCTGGCCTGAAGGTCATTTTTATAAAGATCTCTCCATGTCTTAGATTTGATTCTTCCTTTGAATATTTTTCTCATTGACATTTGAAAGCACCTGACCTTATATAAAATGAACAATTTTCATAACTCCATAAAAGGAGAATTATGGCATCATCTACTATTTCTTTCTCTTGTCTCATAAATCTAAACCATCAACCTGCTTATTTTTGTATACTGTCACACTGTGTATTCCCTGCATTGAATGCCTTTCTATTGACATTGTCTATAAAAATTGTGGGAAGTTTTCTGCACCCTGAAATTTCTGTTATGCGGATTAAATATCCACTATCCGTGTTTTTCCGAGTCTTACAGCAGAAAGGGTAAATGCAGCCCTCACAGCAGCCTGTTGTTCGTCCTGCAATTGTGTTTCCATCACATTACACAAAGCCTCTTTGTCTTCGTGGTTCTACCCTACTAATAAGTTTTTTAAAAAATTATGTAATGTGTGTATATACAAATACCTATATGTTTGTGTGTACACATACAGCTAATATCTGCTGAGATTATGTATGCATGAACTATAGAATTAACTTGTAATTTTAAGAAAATAAATTATTTTGTAAAGATAAATCTCATGTTTAAGAAGAGGAATTACAATTGAATCATTTAGGGATGCCTCAGCCTAAACATAATATGGAAAAAGCCATAACCAAAAGTCATTTTAGAGTACTGCTAGGTTACTCAACCTATCATCACATTTAATTAAAATGTCAGTTTGAACCATGGCCAGTCTATTTTGGTTAATATGTTATTTAAATCAACTTGTGAAGTCTTCATTTTAAATATAGAATTTGTGTTAATGAACTGGAAAATAACATTCTATTCTTGGAAGATGTGTTAAAGTCTAAAGATTTATGACTTTGTAAAAGAAGAAAACCAGCTGGTGATCAGTTGGCATTAGTATATGAGGATGTACTCATATTTGGTAATAGCCATTTTTTTCTAACTAGAGTAAGGGAGTTGGGAATGGGAGGCAGAAACAAGGACACAGACATGTAAAAAATCATAGAACAAAACTGTATTGAGTTCTGCGTATGGGTCTGTGATCCATGGTTCAGTTTGAGAGGTTCATGTGTCCCTTATGAGAAGGGACAGGAAAGCCAGGAGGACAGGAGTATGTTTGGGCCTGTGCCTCTGCTTCCACCACAGAAGTCAGCAGCTCTACCTTTCTCTTTTCTCCTCTTTATCTAATAATTGTCTCCTCTTCAAATTTGGGAAATGAACTTAATCAAAGATTTGTTGTGTTTTTTTGTTTGTTTGTTTTCGAAATGTGGCCTCAGTGTGTTTGCCCAGGCTGATCTTAAACTCCTGGGCTCACATGATCCTCCCTCTCAGCCTCCTGAGTAGCTGGGACTACAGGCATGTGCCACTACACCCAGCTAAGTTAATGCTAATGTGTAGTTTATCTGCTTCAATTTTGAAGGGTAGGATATATATAGTTATGTGTGTGTGTGTGTGTGTGTGTGTGTGTGGTGGGGGGGTAGTGTTTGTGTGTGTGTGTATATATATTTATATATTCCTAGTCCATTGCTGCTACAACAAACTACCACTATGTCAGGGCATAAAACAAATTTATTACACTCCTGTAGGTCAGAGTATGATGTGGATCTCACTGGGCTAAAATCTAGGTGGTGGAAAGGCTACCTTCATCTCTAGAGGTTCTAGGGGATCTTTTTTCTCGCCTTTTCCACATTCTGGAGTCTGCCTGCATTTTTTGGCTTTGGGCTCTTCTCCACTGTCACCATTAGCAACCTTGCATCCCATGGACCTGTCTTCTATGGCCACATGTCTCTGTGGCTCTTTCCTTCCCCCTTCTCTTCCACTGTTAAGGACTCATGTGCTTACTTAGTCCTGAATGGAGACACCGTCATCATCCACATAGCCCACTGTCGTAATCCATACAGGCTGCTACAAGGAAATGCATTAGACCAGGTAGCTTATAAACAATAGAACTTTGTTTCTCACAGTCCTGGAGGCTGAGAAGTGCAAGATCAAGGTGCCGGCAGTCTTGGTGTCTGGTGAAGGCCTGCTTTCTCATAGAGGCTTCCTTCTTGCTGTGTCTTCACATGGGGAGAGGAACAAACAAGCTCCCTTGTGCCTTTAATAAGGTGCTAATCCCAGTCATGAGGGCAGAGTCTCATGTAAGGCTTAACCTCCTAATACATCACCTTGAGGGTTAGGATTTTAACACATGAACATTGACGGAACACAACGTTCATTCCATAGCACCAGGGTAGTCTCCTCATGTGAAGGTCTTTACCTGAGTCACATGCATGATGTACCATTTTCATGTAAGGTTCTAGGAATCTGTGGACATCTTTGGGGGGGGCCGTTATTTTGCTGATCACATATTACATATATTTTAATATTCTAGACTAGTATGAAAACAATGCCACTTCCATTGCTTTATATATGTATATATATATATACACATTGTCTAATGCTATAATTAAAAAAAAGTTGTAGACACAAATATACCCATTTAAAAAAAAACCCATTTTTTGCTATTTTACTTTATACTGCCAACTCCTTTTTCCTGAAACTGCTTCAACTCTGGAATTCTTTTTTGCTGTTAGTTTTATTTTATTGAAATATTCATGAACGAGCATACACTTGTATATGGATTTAAAATTCACAGTAAAGTTCTCATGAATTCATCTGTGAATAACATTTTATAGACAAAATGTCTGCACTAGGACAAGAGAAAGATGTATAATTCCCTTGTTCTAAGGTACCGCCATTCATTGTTATTATTTTAAAATACGAGTGTTGACTGATGTTAAAACACAAAATGGGGCCGGGAGTGGTGGCTCCCGCCTGTAATCCCAACACTTTGGGAGATCGAGGTGGGTGGATCACCTGAGGTCAGGAGTTTGAGACCAGCTTGGCCAACATGGTGAAACCCCGTCTCTACTAAAAATACAAAAATTAGCTGGGCATGTGTTGCACGCCCGTAATCTTAGCTACCCGGGAAACTGAGTCAGGAGAATTGCTGGAACCTGGGAGGCGGAGGCTGCAGTGAGCCGAGATCACACCAGTGCACTCCAGCCTGGGTGACAGAGCGAGACTCTGTTCTTCCCCCCACCCCCAAAAAAAAAAAAAAAACACAGAAAGGGATAATTGGCCGGGCACAGTGGCTCACGCCTGTAATCCCAGCACTTTGGGAGGCCAAGGTGGACAGATCACCTGAGACCAGGAGTTCAAGACCAGCCTGACCAACATGGAGAAACCCTGCCTCTACTAAAAATGCAAAAATTAGCCTGGCATGGTGGCACATGCCTGTAATCCCAGCTTCTCAGGAGGCTGAGGCAGGAGAATTGCTTGACTCTGGGAGGTGGAGGTTGCTGTGAACCAAGATTGCACCATTGCACTCCAGCCTGGGCAACAACAGCAAAACTCTGTCTCAAAAAAAAAAAAAAAAAAAAAAAGATTTATAACTGGGCAGTGGAATTGAAAATCATTTTTAAAAATATCCAAAATACCTAAGGAACTTGTATAAATAAATAGGAAAAAAAAAAGAGAAAAACGTCAAGAAGCCCACAAAAAAGCAGATTTGTAAATGGGCAATGGATTTGAATAGACATTTAGCCAAAGAAGACATCCAGTTGGTGAAAAGGCATATGGAAAGGTGCTCAGCATCACTGATTATCAGGAAAATGAAAATCAAAACCACCACAAGTGCTTTAGACCATAGCGGCATGCATGAAAGTTTTCAGGCCTCCAGTTGTTGGGAGTGGCTGAGGAGATTGGGGAGCTTCTGTCTGAGCTGGAAGAGTGGAGTCTCAACAAGAACCAGTGTATTCTGGACATGTGTGGGCCCTGGAGTGTGCATGGCTGGATGCCTTGTCTACCTGTGCCTTACAGAGTGACACCATTGTGGTGTGGTCGATCAGAGGGCCAAGTGGCTTTCAGAGGGAGTGGGAAGTGGTGGGGGTTGGTTTGTTTGCCCATGGATGAAAGCAAAAGTGAGTTGGCTTCCCAAGAACTTTTCCCAGTAGCCTGTTTTGCTACAATTCTAGACCCAGACTGGGGTCCCAAGGCATGATAGCCCACAGCTTCTTAGCAAGTGCATGTTCAGTTGGATCCCCCAGCTCAGCCTGGGTCATCCCCACCTTCTGCCTCTTGGGCCATAGCTCAGCTCTGCACACTGAGCCATCATCCTATGGTGAGCAAGACCCCATTCTTGGGCTTCAGTCTCTTTCCTTGCAGCAGGCAATCAAGGTGGTGGCTGGAAAGGGCCAAGGAGCCACATCTCACAGTGCCCTGCTGCCTGAACAAGGACCAGAGGCCTGTGGAACACATGGCTCTCAGATTTCTCCCATTTGATGACTCATCAGCTGCCCCCACATGGCTTTCTAGCTCACAGCAGATCTAGCCTTCTCTGAGCAGTGAAGATGGGATGTTTTGTGGTCCTTTTCCCTGGTGTGCAGAGCCCAAGTGGAGTTCTTCAGCACACCCTAGTCCATCCCCTCACTAACACACCCACCTGTCCAGTCTTACCTGCCTTCATATCAAAAGCACACAGTTAACCCAGAGGGCTTCTGCCCTGCCCTGCCTGACTTTCTGGGAAACCCCCCTCTCCACCCACCCTAATCAGGACACTGTCTGAAGGTTCCCCCTCATCATTTTAAAAGGAAGAGAAATTTTCTGCCACAGAGGTTCTGGTGAAGTGGCCTGCTCCCACATCACAGGGTGATGGCGGTTTGGGCTGGACCAGGATCAGACAGTGCTGTCCTGAGGCTGGCCGTCTGATAAGGGGCTCCAGAAAGGGCAGTGGTGGAGCCCTGGGAGGCTTTCTGCTCTCCTGATCGCAGGTTTTTGGTGAGAGGACCTATTGGCCACTAGGGTGTCTGTGTGTGTGTGTGTGTGTGTGTGTGTGTGTGTGATGTGTGTTTACTTGGATTGACTTCTTTCAGCATGAAGCCCACTGTTTTGCTGAATGTATCTCACTGTTTCCTGAAACTCAGTACATTCAGCTGGCTTAAGGGTCCTGGGGCCTCGCTGCGTCATATTTGCACAAGCCTAGTGTCTGTGCAGACTGTACACTGGAGTTCAGTTGTAAGACCCTTTTGATCCCTTATTCTGTTCCTGTAATAGAAAAGCCATTTCACTCAATGGAATAGAAACCCAGATCCGATGGAGAGATGTTCTAATCTGCCATACACTGGGGCAGTGGCCAGTGATTTGGACTTTGTGGCATAGATGGAAATTTCCAGGTTGTCTAGGTGGTAGACAGAGGCCTCACTTCTTAACAAACTCCCCCACTCCACCCCTGCCAATGAGGATGTTGCTTAGAGGTATTTCTATCAGTGTTGAGTAGAAGAGATCATTTCTTGATGTTGAACTTCAGGTAAGGATGCCAGCTTCTGCATATCAGGGTGGTGATGCTTGGGCTGAGACAGGTCTAGACAGCACTGTCTGAAAGGGGGCTCAAGGAAGTAGCTGTGAAAGGCCCCTGGGATGTTTTCTGCTCCCCTTTCTGCAAATTCCCTGGAGGGAGATCCTGTTAGTCACTACAGGGTGTGTGTGTGGGTGTGTGTGTGTGTGTGTGTGTGTGTGTGTGTGTTCATCACTTGTTGCTTGGGGGTGGGAAGAGACAACAAAAGCCTACAGAATCTATAGTTCTCAGTTCATCTCCCATCCTAGTCCAATCATGGCCTAACATCCTTAGCTACTGATCGCAGAGGAGACTCTGCGCATTTGTGTTCATGTGGCCTTGGATGTTGGCAGATTCAGATTGGTGCCCCAGGCATCTGTGCCTGTAACTGCAGTTTCAGCGGGCTCAGGACCAGGCTGAAGGGCCTCCAAGCTTCCTCCAGTTTCCTGGTGCATGCATGTGCAATATACTCCCCTGGCCTTGGTCTTTCCTAACGCTTCTTGCCAGTTGGGTCAGAACTAGCTTATTAACCAGTTTTTTCTGAGCTTTAATCGAACTGGCTCCAACCAGTTGGAGACTTGAAAAGGGCTACGTGATAGTTATAGATTTTTAAAGATATATTATTATTTTAGAGTAGTTTTGAGTGCACAGCAAAATGGAGTGCAGAGTCCAGAGATCTCATATGGCCTCGATTCCTGTACACTCTCAGGTCACTCCACCAACAACCTCCTACACCAGAGCCACTTTGAAACATTAGAAAATATATTTGAGCATTCAGAAATGTATAAACTAGGCAGCTCCAGACTGCAAGCAGCTCAGAGTTCCAACAGAGAGGCTTAGGGAGGGTGGGGGAAGAATTTTATATGGTGAATGTGGAAGAAAAAATACTTGATTGGGTAAAGTGGAGCAGTGGCCTCATTTGGAACATTACAGTGGAAAGTCTCTAGTTAGATATTAGTTGGTGGTTTCTGACTGGTTAAGCTTAAGTTTCCTTTTATTATTTACACTGAGTCAAGTTTTGGTTTATTTAAGGAGGAATTGAGTGCACTGCAGCCACCTCAGCCTCATGGCCACCTGTTTATTTGATTATTTTTAAAAGAGAAGAGCCTTTTAAAAATATCTGTTGCCCTGGCTGGAGTGCAGTGACGTGATCATGGCTCACTGCAGCCACAACCTTCCAGCTCAGGTGATCCTCCCACCTCAGTGCTCCCCACCCTGAGTAGCTGGGACTACAAGCATGTGCCAGCACACCACCATGCTAGGCTAATGGTTTGTATTTTTTTGAGAGATGCAGTTTCCCTAAGTTGCTTAGGCTTCTTTTGAACTCTTAGACTCAAATAATCTGCCTGCATTGGCCTCCCCAAGTGCTGGAATTACAGGCCATCTAAATCTTTTATCTCAGATTTGCCTTGTGACAAATGGAGGGGTACTTTTTCTGACATGATGAGGCAGAGAAAGGTGAGGTGGGCGCATCCTGTGCATATGATTTTCTCAGGTGATGGGAATATGGTCGGCTCTTGCCTAATGGGATATATTTTCTCTTTGAATGATTTGGCAAGATATCAGATGAGAGAAGTTGAATAAATGTTAGAAGAACATAGAAAAAATAGGTTATACACGTTGGGTTTCTGAAGAAATGATGTCTTTGGAGAAACAAAACTTTTATTGATTTCTGGAAACATTTAGGGCCAATTTTTTATGTAAATAATTTGAATTTATGATGATATCTCTGACCACTTTTTGATATTTTTTTCTGGTTCAGGTGAGTGGTGTCATTGAGCAAACACGAAGTCGGGCTCATCCAAGGATGAGATTTTGCCAGAGAAAGGACGAGCAGCAAGTCAGGGAGCTTAAGGTAATTATGGGAAAGTGACTATCTACAATTGCTTAGGTAGAAGGAGACAGATTGGATTTTTGTGTGTTTGGTATTTGGGATAAGAGGGATGTGGGTGTGTACTTGACATGGGTTGTTCTCTCTCTCTCTTTTTTTTTTTTTTTTTTTTGAGAGGGAGTCTCACTCTGTCACCCAGGCTGGAGTTCTGTGGCACAGTCTTGGCTCACTGCAACCTCCGCCTGCCGGGTTCAAGGGATTCTCCTGCCTCAGCCTCCCAAGTAGCTGGGGTTACAGGTGCCTGCCACCACGCCCTGCTAATTTTTGTGATTTTTTTTTTAGTAGAGACGAGGTTTCACTATGTAGGCAAAGCTGGTCTCGAACTCCTGACCTCAGATGATCCACCCGCCTCAGCCTCCCAAAGTGCTGGGATTACAGGCGTGAGCCACCGCACCTGGCCTGTTTATTCTCTTAAGAGAGAAAATGAGGGGATTAATGGACTGTAGTTCTGGACAAGGTGGAAAACTCTTAAAGTGGAAGTATTGGGGCAAGTGCTCTGACAGGCTAGGATGGTGCAGTCAGTCCCTTCACCCAGAAATCAGTAGAATGTTAACAGTTCAGACTCAAACCTTGTGAAAAACAGGTGGTGGAAAGGAAATCCCTCACAGCAACTGGCACCATAATCAAGACAGAATGTTTGCAGAATAAATGGAGTTACCTGCTTTCAGCCCCAGGTTGTAGCTATTGTCTGCCCTGATGATATGTGATAATAATTTGTGATCCTATTGTCTTAAAATGGGGTCACTCATCTCCAGTAGAATTAAGTCCACAGTGAAGTTGTCCCCCCATCCCCAAAGAGATAAACATATATGAATGAACTCACATGATAACAACTACTGCTGCCTGGGATCATGAGAGACCTGAACTGAACTGATAGGAAGTGAAAGGTGGCTGAGATAATGAGAATAGACCCATCTGCAGAGGATCATAAAACCAGCAAAGACAAGATCTTGTCTAAGATGCCTTCACAAACTTTGTCCATGAGAACTCTAAGGACTTCTCCAGACCTGTTGGCTGCTGCTGTGATCTCTGCCCAAGAGGAGCCTCTGACCAACATCCAAAGGGCTTCTGGACCCACTGGACTCCTCTGGAGGTACCTTGGTCTCCCGATCCATGGCTGTGGTTTTTTACTCCGTTTATCACTCCTGTGTGTAGAATGATAATTGCACAATTGATAGTGTGAACACCTCTTGATAAATGGTAAATCTGAGCATATGTATTTGGCTGACATGTCATTGTGAAACCTCACAGCTTCAGTCAGTGTCAGCACAGCTAGGGAGCATGTACCTAATGCACATATCACTGGGCATAGTCTACAGGCACCTAATAACTCAGGTACCTTAACAGTCACTAATGAGTGTCTCTCCAAGGTCAAAACAATGGAAGACTGTAGAAGATGCTATTCATTAAGATATCTCAAGAATGTGGAAGACTATTATTCGCTTCTCATGGGACAGGACTTTATAGGGCACCTGAAAAAACTCCCATGAAAAATCACTTTTACAAAATGTCAAGTTATGATATCCAAGATGAAACCAATGAGTCACAACATTCACATAATACACTGTACAACCCTGATCTCTTGACTGTCATCAAATGTTTCTTACCTCTAAACCAAAGTTTCATTTTATAATTTAATTTTTCTCATTTTTTCTGTTCTCTTAGCTTAAGAAAAGATCATTACAAACTTTTTGTATGTTTTTCATATATGCTTGCAAAGGGTTGTAAAACTTTATTGTGATTATTCTTGCTTTAAGCTGAAACTTCCCTAATCTTTCTTTAGAGATTGTGGCATAGCATGTTAGTTTCTTTTCCATATCCAATTGTTTTCTGTAATGAATACAGAAATATGGGCACTATTTTGTAACTTTAAATAGACATCATCTCAAGTCTACAAGAATTATCCAAAATGGTATTTAATGACATTTCTAGGTCTTCAGACACTATTAATGTAGATTGTAGCCTCTAGGTCCTGAGGATTTTTACTGGATACTGGTTACTGAAACTGAGCTTTCTTGAATTCTTTTTCCTTCCACTGTGGTTTCCCGCATTTCAACACATCACCTATTTTTGTCCTCAAACGTTACTTAAATTTTTTCCACAGAATTAAATTAAATATGAATCATCCCTCCTCTGATTTTTGAAATGACCCTTTGCTTCCTATGATAATGATTCTTCTGGTCCGTTTTGTAGTTATATGTTAGAGTTTGTAAATATTCACACATTTTGCAACTGCATATAATTTTCTCATTTTTTCCTCTTCCTCTAAAGCTGCTGTTATTTCTTTTAACTTTTTGTGGGAAAAATTAAACCCATCTTTCACTTTGTTGATATTTATAATTGAACTCCTTGATTTTTGCTTGAATTGCTTTTCAAGTTACCCACTTTTAGGGAAGACATTATTTGGGTTTTGTTTAGTGTATCAGGCTTTTTTTAGTTAGTTGTATCAAGAAGTGTAGACTTTTCTATACATAATATCCTTTTTCCCACAGTAGTTTTTTTTTTTTTAAAGTCTAGCCGGGTGCAGTGGCTCACGCCTGTAATCCCAGACTTTGGGAGGCCGAGGTGGGCAGATCACGAAGTCAAGAGACCGAGAACATCCTGGCTAACACAGTGAAACCCCGTCTCTACTAAAAATACAAAAAATTAGCCGGACATGGTAACGGGTGCCTGTAGTCCCAGCTAATCAGGAGGCTGAGGCAGGAGAATGACATGAACTCAGGAGGCAGAGGTTGCAGTGAGCCGAGATCGTGCCACTGCACTCCAGCCTGGGTGACAGAGCAAGACTCCATCTCAAAAAAAAAAAAAAAAAAAAAGTCTGTTAAAATAAAGGTCATCAAAAGATCTTTTCCTAAACCTTTCCTTTACCAGAAATATCTCTAGAGTCACATGGTCCTTTCTCCCTTCTTGCTTTTGTAGGAGTCCAAAGCTAATCTGTCCCTGATCCGGATTGCATGCACCTGTGCCTTTTGGGGCCCTTCTGCATTAGTTCTTCCTTCTCTTCTAACCTCAAAAATGTGTTTTCTCTGTTGGCTCTTTCCCTTTAACATAGAAGTATACTCACGCTTTTGTTGAATCTTGGAATAAAAGTCTTCCTTTACCACATATCTCCCTTTAATACTACATCTCTCTTCTCAGCCAAATACTTGGGAAGACAAGCCCTGAGTTTGTGTGATTGTTTTCTCACCTCCAGTTCACTACTTTGAACAGGCACTGTGCTAGGTGCTGCTGTTATAGATATGAAAAGAAGGCATCATCTCCTTTCTAACAACTCATAGGAGCAGCCATTCCTGATTCATACGCAGGTCTCTTGATTCTCAGTGCTCACTTTTGCAAGCTTCACTTAATGCCGTGTAAATCACCCTATTCTCCAGGTCTTCTTTCTTCCCAGTTCTCCTTACTATACACAACTTCTCAAGGCAGTCACCTCCACGCCCATGGCTTCAATTGCTTTCTCCATTCTCTGAGAACAATAGAATTTTAAATGTTTTTTTTTCATGTATTAGTTTTATTTTATACAAGGTGTCTCACTTGCTGTAACCATAGATTCAAAGTTGCTCCATGAAACTAATAAATGAAAAATGGTGATTTTTTAGCATGTAAATTTTAGGAAATTTCCCCAGTTACACTTAATGGCTTGATTTAGTATGTTATTTTTGAAAACATATGTTGGGATGTCACAAATGGACTTAGCCTACAGAGATTTATATTCAACTTTTGACCAGAGAGTTCCATTTTAATGTGACACTGAGAGTAAAAAACTATCTTTTCCTCCTTACCTATTTCTCTTCCTACATTCTCGGCCAGGAGGAAGGCACTGCTACATACCCAGTCTTCCCCAGCAGAGCCTGAGCAGCTCTGTTTTCCTTCTACTTCCCCTCTTCTTTCACATCTCATGACCAAGCACTTCCTATTCTGTCTCCCAAATGATCACAGATTTTTTCCTCCACTTTTGTCACTGCCACTGCCCTTAGCATTACTCTGCCTTTAGAGAAAGTCTCTTAATTGGTTTGGTTGCTTCCTTCAGTCCTTATTATACAGACCACTACACACACATCTGACAGAGACTTTTCACCTTTTTATGGTTCAATGACTGAAATTCCCAGAATAAAATTAAAACCACCCCAGCATCAAATTTGAGGTCAAATAGAGGTGGATTTGTATCCCAGGTTCATATACTATCCAGCAGTATGGTCTCAGAAAACTGACCTCCTTAAGCCTTTGTTTGTGTATCTGCCTACACTCATTGAGAGTTGGGACTATTTCACACATACAGTGCCTGGCATGTAGAAGGGACTTAATCAATGTTGAAAGAAGGGGAGGCATTTTAAAATCCACATCAAAAAAATGTTGTTCTGTTCGGGAGTGGTGGCTCATGCCTGCAATCCCAGCACTTTGGGAGGCCAAGGCAGGTGGATCACCTGAGGTCAGGAGTTCGAGATCAACCTGAGCAACATGGTGAAACCCCATCTCTACTAAAAATACAAACATTAGCTGAGCATGGGGGCGGGATCCTGTAATCTCAGCTACTTGGGAGGCTTAGGCACTTGAATGAGAATCACTTGGACCCAGGAGGTGGAGGTTGCAGTGGGCAATGATTGTGCCACTGCCTGGGCAACAGAGTGAGACTCTGTCTCAAAAAAAAAAAAAAAAAAGTAAAAAAAATTCTTTTAAAAATATACGAATCTGGCTGGGCACGGTGGCTCATGCCTGTAGTCCTAGCACTTTGGGAGGCTGAGGCAGGCCATGACCAACATGGAGAAACCCCGTCTCTACTAAAAATACAAAATTAGCCGGGCATGGTGACGCATGCCTGCAATCCCAGCTACTTGGGAGGCTGACGCAGGAGAATCGCTTGAGCCCGGGAGGCGGAGGTTGCAGTGAGCCAAGATCACGCCATTGCACTCCAGCCTGGGCAACAGGAGCGAAACTCCGTCTCAAAAAAAAAAAAAAAAAAAATAGTGTTCAGCAAGGTTGAAGCATAAAACGTTAATAGCCAGAATCATTTATCAATTGTATTTCTATACATCTACAAGACACAATCTGAAAATGAAATTAGAGAAACAATTTCACTGGGCAACAAGAGCAAAACTTCATCTCAAAATAATAATAATAATAATAATAATCTACAATGTCATTTCCCATCCAAGCTTGACTTCTACCTTTACTTTCTGATGTGGTTTTGCCATGTCCCCACCCAAATCTCATCATGAATTATAATCCCCATAATCCTGATGTGTTGAGGGAGGGGCCTAGGGGGAGGTGATCAGATCACGGGGGCAGTTATCCTCATGCTGTTCTTGTGATATTCAGTAAGTCCTCATGAGATCTTATAGGGTTTTGTTTTGTTTTGTTTTTTAGGATGGAGTCTTGCTCTGTTGTCCAGGCAGGAGTGCCATGGCACGATCTTGGCTCACTGCAGTCTCTGCCTCTTGAGTTCCAGTAATTCTCCTGCCTCAGCCTCCTGAGTAGCTGGGATTACAGGCATGCACCACCACACCCAGCTAATTTTTGTATTTTTAGTAGAGACAGGATTTCACTACATTAGCTAGGCTGGTCTCAAACTCCTGACCTCAGTTGATCCACCTGCCTTGGCCTCCCAAAGTACTAGGGTTACAAGTGTGAGCCACCATGCCCAGCTGAGATCTGATGGTTTTATACATGTTTGACAGTTGCTCCTTCACATGTTGCCACTCTCTGTGCGGCCACCATGTAAGTCGGACCTGCCCTTCTGCCATGATTGTAAGTTTCCTGAGGCCTCCCCAGCCATGTGAAACTGAGTCAATTAAACCTCTTCCCTTTAAAAATTACCCAACCTCAGGTATTTCTTTATATCAGTGTGAAAACAGATTGCTATACTTTCTGATAATCATGCTTAAGCAATTGGGGAATTCAGACTACCTGGGATCAAACCAGGGCCCCACCCTTAGCAGTCATGTGACCTTGGGGAGGTTACTTACCTTCTCCGTCTCAACAACTTCTGTAAAATCTGTAACATGAGATTGTTTCTGAGGGTTAAATGAGCATAGCACAGTGGGGACACTGTCAGGCACACACTACTTGCCAGATGTCAAGTATTCATCTTTATTGAAATAGGACTGTGGTAAGCCACTTTATGGCTCTCGATTCTGTATGAGAAAATCATGCTTAGTGCCTTGTTAGTAAAAGAAAGAAAATCTGAAAGTCCCTGCCATGGAAGGAAGAAATAGCGGGGAGAAAAGGGAGTTGGTAAGTTTCAGCATTTCAGAGCTTGGAGGGACAAGTTAGGTTTCTATTTTATGGAGAAGGAGGTGGAGGCAGGATGGGTCCTAAGGTGTCATTCAAAACACACAGCCATAACTCTTTATTGAGAGTAGAGCTAGGGCCGCAGGGATTGCTGTGGTCACGTTGCGGACAAAAATGACCACTCGTTGGAAGACAGGAGAGGAGTGTTTAGTTACAAAAGCAGTCAACAATTCAGGTGTATCTATATTCAGTCAGCAAATAAAAGTTGTTCAACTTGGTTGCTAATGGGACCCACTCTACTGAGGCTTTGTATAGAACTCATAGAGGAAGATGGCTTCAAGCAATGAACTACCCTGTGCTTTTCTTAGGACTAAAATCTCAGGAAGTTGGTGATGAATGAAAACCTTAGTCCCACTGGCACTGCACGAGGGGCCAGGAGAGCAGCAGCATCATAAGCCACAGGGTGGGGCAGCCAAGGCAGGGGCATTCTGAGCTGTTGGGGAGGGGTGGCAGGCAGGGTGGGGCACTGTGAGGTGTCGGGGAGGGCATTGTGAAGTGTGGGGTGGGGCATTCTGTGCCACATGCCTGGGCTCCCACCTGGGGCCAGTGGGCTTCAGTCTGTAGGTGACTACAGAAGGAGGAGGAGCTCCGTCTGTTCTCTCTTCAGGCAGTTGTTGTGTCTCTCAGCGCTTGTTGGGTTCACAACCTATTAAATAAGCCAGCTGGTCTTCACCCTCCCAGACAAGTCAACTCAGGGGAGGCAGCAGGGTGTGGGCCTTGACCCGCAGCCCTAGCCGGGGCCGGGGCCGGGGCCAGGGATGGTGCCCGGGGCCGCGCTGTGAGGTGGGCAGGCGAGGAGCGGGAAGACCATCTCTGCAAGTGCAGCATAGCCTCGGCCTAGGACAGTGGGAGTGTGTGGCCAAAGCTGTGAGCAGAGGCACAGGTGGTGGCAGACAGTAGAGGCGCCCCATGGGGAACATACTGACCTGTTGTGTGCACCCTAGCGTCAGCCTCGAGTTTGACCAGCAACAGGGGTCGGTGTGTCCCTCTGAATCTGAGATCTATGAGGCAGGAGCTGGGGACAGGATGGCAGGAGCGCCCATGGCTGCTGCTGTGCAGCCTGCTGAGGTGACCGTTGAAGTTGGTGAGGACCTCCACATGCACCACATTCGTGACCAGGAGATGCCTGAAGGTAAGGAGGTGATAGGTGCCATCTACCCTCGGTTTGCCTCTGGCTGCTGCTGTCCCCAAGGTTCCCTTTACGGCATCCCCCACTTTGAGCTCCTTTCTGCTTGTAGCCAGCTTTCCCGGGGGCTGGCCAGGAACAAAAGCTGGCTCTGCCTTGAATTCCCACCCCTTAGTCTTTCCTCACCGAGTCCAGTCAGTTTCTTTTCGCCTCCCCTCCCAATCGCCCAGTTCTTGCTCTCTCATCTCATTCTCCCAGGCTGGCATGGGACCATTTATTTATGGCTCTTGTCAAATAAGCAGCAGTTGAATAAATGAGTTGATAAATTTTTATAAATGATTACATCTTTTTTCTTTTCTCCCTCTATACATATAGCTTTGGAGTTTAGCCTTTCTGCCAATCCAGAGGCAAGCACAATATTCCAGAGGAACTCTCAAACAGATGGTGAGACAACAGTGTCTGTAGCTCTGTTTATTATCCTGTGGGACTTTGTTTAGGCTTCTTTGAGCTATTCTCTTCCTTTTCTCAATAAAAACTCAAATATCCCAACTTTTCAGTACCCATCTTATTTTTTCTTTGTACCTATCCAGATGGTACCTAAGTGAAGGAACCAGGTAAGTGCCTAATTGTTTCCTTTGTTAAAGTAGCCAAATCTCAGGACAGTTCCTATTCAAATATTTGGGGGTTTCTTATTTAAAATCAGAATGGAGGTTGCCACGGGAGAGGCTATATGGTATTCTTAATGGGCTGCTTTAAGTCACCTTGATAGAAGCTGCTTAGTTTCTTCTAACTGTAATTTGAACACAGAAGGAAAAAGAAAAAAGAGTGCTTAAAATAATTGTGAAAGGTGTGAAATGTCACAGCCGGGGCTGCAGAAAAATGGTTGTGTGTGTGTGTTTGGGGTTTCTCAAAGGAGTTTACCTATGAGGCTCTGATTACTTTAAAATTCTTACTTTAACAGAAAATGTGTCTCCAGATTTATGCTGGTGACTTAACAGACTTTATTTACCTCCTTGTTCTAAAAGAGAGGTGGGGATTGGTTCATGGTCAACACTTTCAAAAGACATGAAATGTCAATGTAGACTTTTAATATGTAATATAAAGATTGCAGGTTAAAATGTCAGACCTTCCCTGTAAGAGTGTTTGTTGCCGTGGCTCCCCCTTTGTCCCTTCCCCTCCTGACAATAGCATCTTGTTCAAAGATAAGAAAGTTACAGTTTTGGCTGGGCTTGGTGGCTCACGCCTGTAATCCCAGCACTTTGGGAGGCCGTGGCAGGCAGATCACCTGAGGTCAGGAGTTCGAGACCAGCCTGGCCAACATGGTGAAACGCTGTCTCTACTAAAAAAAAAATACAAAAATTAGCTGGGTGTAGTGGCGCATGACTGTAGTTCCACCTACTCACAAGGCTGAGGCAGGAGAATTGCCTGGACCTGGGAGGTGGAGGTTGCAGTGAGCAGAGATCACGCCAATGCACTCCAGCCTGGGTGACAGAGCGAGACTCCGTCTCACAAAAAAAAAAAAGGAAAGAAAGTTGGAGTTTTTTAGTCTCTACACTGCTGGCAGAGGCAGGGGATGGGAGCTGGTAGAAAAGAGAAAACAATTAGTTGGTTTGCCTCTAAAATTTTGCAAAGAGATGAATCTAAGTAAAAGTAATTCTGGGTAATAATATGGTTCTTGAATAAAAACTGAAATTTTCAAAATAGAAAACATTGCATCATAAACATATTAAATCCAGTTGGCTTATTGGTTTCATTTAAATGCCAGAGATTTCATTACTGTAGAGGAAATGTCTTATAGCTCTTCTATTTAAACTTTGGTTGGGCTCTTAATTTTTAAAGAGGTAGGATAATTAAGACTCATTATGAGTGTGACTTTGTAACTTGGAAGTACTATCTTCACATTTCAAGATATTTAAGGATTGCTTTAGAATAAACAAATGTATTATGTGAATTAATTGATTGTACCTTTATACACAAAGCACATAAGTACTTGTGTAAACTTATACTCTGCTTGGTGATGTTAGGAAAGCCTGATGGATGTTACACACCAGTTAGTAGATGGGTAGTGTTGGATGAGAGCCCAAAAATGGCTCTTTATTGTCATTCTTTAGGATTACAACACAGTTTATGTAGTCTCACTTGGCCCTTTCCAATACAAATAAGGCCTGTGTATGTTCTCCCTATGTATTGCTAATGAAGAAATGAAAACTTAGAGATATCACATGACTATGGAAGACAGCTACTCAAGAGAACTAAGGTTCTGTGTCCTCAGAATGAAATGGAAGTGACAGATATGATGAATTTACTTTTTAAAAATTTTAAAAACTCTAGAATACATCTTATATTTTGCCTGTAAAATAGACCTGTCTTTTAAAACTTACTGCCATCTTGATTTATTTTATGCAAAGTTGATTTTACACAACTCAAAGCCAAAATTTACCTCTTCATTTTTTTTTTTTTTTTAAATAAAGGAGGGTGTCATTGTGTTACTCGTGCTGGCCTCAACTTCCTGACCTGGGTTCAAGTGATTTTCCCATCTCAGCCTCCTGAGTAGCTGGGACTACAAGCATGTGCCATCTTGCCTGGCTCTATCTTATGTCTATACATTCATTTCAATGTATAAGAATCAAAGTAGAGATAGTGAAATAGCCTAAATGCAGCAGTTGAATAAACGAGTTGATAAATTTTTATCAATGATTACATCTTTTTTTCTTTTCTTCCTCTATGCATATAGCTTTGGAGTTTAACCCTTCTGCCAATCCAGAGGCAAGCACAATATTCCAGAGGAACTCTCAAACAGATGGTGAGACAACATTGTTTTTTCCGCCAAGAGAAAGAATAAAAGCTCTTGTTTGATCAGGTTATAGAAAGTATTTAGAAAAACTCATATTGGTTTAAATTTTTCACCCTTTCACATGTTCACTTGTCTTATTTTAATATGTGATATACTTTCCTTTAGTTGTTATGATGTTAGTGAAAACGTGTAACCTTTTTGTTTATACATTTTGCCATCTTTTTATCAACACAATTAATTTGTCATGTGATGGAGGAGTCATGGATTTCTCTTTATAATTTTTGGATTTATCTTTATTTATAATTAATGGATTTATCTTTATTTATAATCCCTTTTCCCTTGCTCCAAAAAGTACACTTTAAAGATGAATGATAGAACTTAGGCTTCAGCTTGGTTTTCATTTAAACAAATTAAAAAACATAGTTGTTTATCATCAGGGATTGAATCTGTGATTTGGGCCTCCTCTTACGCAGACCTCTGACCACATTCATTTACCACATCCAAGTTTATGCTACTCAAAAGTTTTAGGTTATTAACTTTTTCATTTGATGTAATGTAAATTTAAACATGCCCTACTCCTGCTTATTTCCCTTAATGTTATGTTAAATCCTCATTTATTTGCCAACAAGCCATACACAGCCAAGTTTTCCAGTTGACTTAAACAGCAAGAATACAAGTGAGGGTTCTATAATAATATGCGAAGTAATGCAGCACAGTAAAACACGGGAGTTTGTAACCTTTGTTTTTATAGTTTGAGTAGACTTTGCCCATCTTGAGTCAGTTATTTCTGGTTAGAATTTGTCTTCATTTTTTACATTACTATAAAGAGATACCTAAGGCTGGGTAATTTATAACAAAAAGAGGTTTAATTGGCTCAAAGATTTTCAGGCTGTACAAACATGGCTTTAACACCTACTTCTGGTGAGGGCCTCAGCAAACTTACAATCATGATAAAAGGCAAAGGGGAAGCAGGTGGTTCCACACAGTGAAAGAGGGAGGAGAGAGGGGAAGGGGGAAGGTACCACACTCTTTTTTTTTTTTTTTTTGAAATGGAGTCTCACTCTGTTGCCCAGGCTGGAGTGCAGTGGCATGATCTTGGCTCACTACAACCTCCATCTCCCAGGTTCAAGCAATTCTCCTGCCTCAGCCTCCCGAGTAGTTGGGACTATAGGTGGGCACAATAACACCTGGCTAATTTCTGTATTTTTGGTAGAGACAGGGTTTCACCCATGTTGGCCAGGCTGGTCTGAAACTCCTGACCTCAAGTGATCTACCCGCTTCAGCCTCCCAAAGTGCTAGCATTACAGGCTTCAGCCACCGCACCTGGCCAGTACCACAGTCTTTTAAATTACCATAATAAGAATTTGCTTTTTACCATGGGGATGGGACCAAGCCATTCATAAGGAATCCACTGCCATTACCCAAACACCTCCCACTAGGCCCTATCTCCAACATTAAGGGTCACATGTTAACATGAGACTTGGAGGGGCAACATATCCAAAACATATGAGAATTGTATTTCCCAGTTCCTTCCGGAGCCATGGGCTTCTCACACCTAGAGAGCATGGAAGCAGTAAAAGAAAAGCTATTCCATGTCCCTCACTCTTCAGTGGTAGGAACTTTTGCCTACAAGGCCCTTCCAGCATCAAAGGCAGAGGCAGTGTGGGAAACAAAGCATGGCCCAAGTCCCTCTTGGGGCTTTTATTATTCTGGCCTCTTTTTAGGGAAAAAAAATGATTTTTTGTGCTGCAGACACCATGTCCAATTAGGTTTGTATACTCATTTTAACATCAAAATTTAGGCCAGGCTCTGTGGCTTACACCTGTAATCCCAGCTCTTTGGGAGGCTGAGGTGGGTGGATCACGAGGTTAGGAGATCAAGACCATCCTGGCTAACACAGTGTAACCCTGTCTCTACTAAAAATACAAAAAAAAATTAGCTAGGCATGGTGGCACGTGCCTGTAGTCCCAGCTAGTCAGGAGGCTAAGGCTGAAGAATTGCTTGAACCTAGGAGGCAGAGGTTGCAGTGAGCTGAGATCCCGCCACTGCACTCGAGCCTAGGTGACAGAGTGAGACTCTATCTCAAAAAAAAAAAAAAAAAAAAAAAAAAATTTAAGATAGGTTACTTTCCAGTTGTGTAAAGACCGTTTTTTAATTTTGTTTTGTTTTTAGTGACATATTAGTAGATAACCACTAAGTGTGGTTCAAGATGCTTACAGGGATTATGTTGCATCTAGAGATAGGTGTCTGGTCAGGAAGTAGTTGTTAGAGTTGTTAGCTCTTAGAGTCTGATAATTAAAGTAAGCTATGTGTAAATGCAGAATTAGAGAATACTAATGGATCATGGCTCATATATGCAACAGTTAAACTTTTTATTAGCTAAATTTTTCATCTGGCCTAATTTTTTTGCCCTTTTCTTTTGTACATGAGGATTCTTTCATTTGTATGTAATAGAAACAAAAAGTAAACTAAATGAAAAACTAAGTTTTTAGATTTGACTTATGAAATTAATCATGCCAGATAATTTAAATTATAAATTATTGAAAATTATTTTTTTAAATGGAATTTTGTCTCATTTTACATAGGAGTAATCAGTAAGATGTTAACAACTACTTTTATTTTATGGTATTTGTATCAGAAGTGACCAGTTTTTTTTTTTATTCTTAGTTGTAGAAATAAGAAGAAGCAACTGTACAAACCATGTAAGTAAACACTCAAATAGTTAAGAAATTGATAGTTTGACATAAAAGGATGTCTCTCTTGATTTCTTTAAATTACAATGTGGACCTGGTGGTGGTAGCATGGACCTCTTTTTGTGGATTTTCTAAATCTCTTCTATTTTCCTGAGTATTAAATTTATCCAGAAAAGTGTTTAGCTTAGCGTGTCCACCTTTTAAAGATTTCTGACATTTAAGTTAAATTTCAATAGTCTGGTTCAAAAGATCTGCCTTAAGGCTGGGCATGGTGGCTAACGTCTATAATCACAGCACTTTAGGAGGCCGAGGCAGGCTGATCATCTGAGGTCAGGAGTTTGAGACGACCCTGACCAACATGGTGAAATTCTGTATCTACTAAAAATACAAAAGTAGCCGGGCGTGGTGGTGCATGCCTGTAATCTCAGCTGTTCAGGAGGCTGAGGCAGGAGAATCACTTGAACCCAGGAGGCGGAGGTTGCAGTGAGCCAAGATCGCGCCATTGCACTCCAGCCTGGGCAACAGAGCGAAACTCCGTCTCAAAAAAAAAAAAAAAAAAGTGCCTTAAATATTTAATCTTATTTTTAATGAAAGAACAAAAATAGAATAGCTAAGTTAATTGCCAGCACTGTCTATTGACTTTCTATCACAGCAGGTAAAAGCATACCTTCCCCGCTACACCATGATCTTATGTTTCTCCCTGTGTTTCTTCCAATTGTAGCACACTTTTTAATTAAATCAGTAATATTTACATGATTATGACTCTGCAAATATTATTCACTGCTAAGTCATATGGTGTTTTCACTGTGCCTCTGCATTACATGTCCTTCATCCTGTCTCTGAAACAGTTCTGAAATCTGAGCACTTCTGCAATTCTTCTGGATCTTCTTTTTTCCTAGCCTACGTTAGTTTATCTATCCAAATATCGTTAAGTAGCCTCTGGGTGCTCTGTTTGCTTTCACATCCATTATTTTTTAGCATGAAGCTAATTTTCTGACTATATTCATTTGCCTGTTTTCTAACAGCTGTTTTTCCCCCAAGTATTGTAGCATTTATCACATGCCTTTCAAAGATATTTTCCATCTGCGAAAACACACCTGTTGCTTTTTATGTTTGTTTGGGGGGCAACTTTCTTTGGCCTTTTGTCATCCTAGTTCAATATAGCGTGGGTTTCCCTAGATATGCTTGATGTCTGCTTTTCTGGGCTAACTCCTTAAAGTCTTTTGGGATCTCACGTAACTGCTGTCTTGTGTGGGATCGCCTGTGTCCTAGATTCTGTGTTTCCTTCTGTCCTGTTATGGTCTCTAGTTGTACTTGAACACATTTTCCTGGGTGGAGATGTTAAAATCCCTCCTCTTTGATAGAGAGTACACCTCTAGGTTGAATCTAAATTTTATGGTTCTGAAGACATTTTGCAGTTGTGCTCTTTTTTTTTTTTTTTTTTTAATTGATCATTCTTGGGTGTTTCTCGCAGAGGGGGATTTGGCAGGGTCACAGGACAATAGTGGAGGGAAGGTCAGCAGATAAACAAGTGAACAAAGGTCTCTGGTTTTCCTAGGCAGAGGACCCTGCGGCCTTCCGCAGTGTTTGTGTCCCTGGGTACTTCAGATTAGGGAGTGGTGATGACTCTTAAGGAGCATGCTGCCTTCAAGCATCTGTTTAACAAAGCACATCTTGGCACCGCCCTTAATCCATTCAACCCTGAGTGGATACAGCACATGTTTCAGAGAGCACAGGGTTGGGGGTAAGGTCACAGATCAACAGGATCCCAAGGCAGAAGAACTTTTCTTAGTACAGAACAAAATGAAAAGTCTCCCATGTCTACCTCTTTCTACACAGACACGGCAACCATCCGATTTCTCAATCTTTTCCCTACCTTTCCCCACTTTCTATTCCACAAAACCGCCATTGTCATCATGGCCCGTTCTCAATGAGCTGATGGGTACACCTCCCAGACGGGGTGGTGGCCGGGAAGAGGGGCTCCTCACTTCCCAGTAGGGGCGGCCAGGCAGAGGGGCCCCTCACCTCCCGGACAGGGCGGCTGGCCAGGCGGGGGGCTGACCCCCCACCTCCCTCCCAGACGGGGCGGCTGGCCGGGCAGAGGGGCTCCTCACTTCCCAGTAGGGGCGGCCGGGCAGAGGCGCCCCTCACCTCCCGGACGGGGCGGCTGGCCGGGCGGGGGGCTGACCCCCCCCACCTCCCTCCTGGATGGGGTGGCTGCCAGGCGGAGACGCTCCTCACTTCCCAGACAGGGTGGCTGCCGGGCGGAGGGGCTCCTCACTTCTCAGACGGGGGCGCTGCCAGGCGGAGGGGCTCCTCACTTCTCAGACGGGGCGGTTGCCAGGCAGAGGGTCTCCTCACTTCTCAGACGGGGCGGCCGGGCAGAGACGCTCCTCACATCCTGGACGGGGCGGCAGGGCAGAGGCGCTCCCCACATCTCAGATGATGGGTGGCCGGGCAGAGACTCTCCTCACTTCCTAGATGGGATGGCGGCCGGGAAGAGGCGCTCCTCACTTCCTAGTTGGGATGGCGGCCGGGCAGAGACGCTCCTCACTTTCCAGACTGGGCAGCCAGGCAGAGGGGCTCCTCACATCCCAGACGATGGGGCGGCCAGGCAGAGACGCTCCTCACTTCCCAGACGGGGTGGCGGCTGGGCAGAGGCTGCAATCTCAGCACTTTGGGAGGCCAAGGCAGGCTGCTGGAAGGTGGAGGTTGTAGCGAGCCGAGATCACGCCACTGCACTCCAGCCTGGGCACCATTGAGCACTGAGTGAACGAGACTCCGTCTGCAATCCCGGCACCTCGGGAGGCCGAGGCTGGCGGATCACTCTCAGTTAGGAGCTGGAGACCAGCCCGGCCAACAGAGCGAAACCCCGTCTCCACCAAAAAAATACGAACACCAGTCAGGCGTGGCGGCGCGCGCCTGCAATCGCAGGCACTCGGCAGGCTGAAGCAGGAGAATCAGGCAGGGAGGTTGCAGTGAGCCGAGATGGCAGCAGTACGGTCCAGCTTCGGCTGGGCATCAGAGGGAGACTGTGGGGAGAGGCGGAGGCGGAGGCGGAGGCGGCAGAGGCAGAGGCAGCAGAGGCAGAGGAGACAGAGGAGGCAGAGGAGGCAGAGGCAGAGGCAGTTGTGCTCTTATTACAGTGTTGTTCTTGAATCTATTGCCAGTGTGTGATACGTTATTTACAACCAGGTTTTAGTTATCTGCGGAAGCTTTTTAGAATCTCTCTCTCTAAGGTTCTGAAATTTTATAACAGCTTGTTGGGGATCTTTTCATTTTATTGAGGCTACTAAACCTGCAGACTATCTCTTCTTGAGAATTTTTTTTTATTTTCTCTGTTACTTTTTTACTGATAGTCTTGTTATTCAGATGCTAGGCTGCTTAGACCAGTACACCTGCATTGATTTTTAATTTTTCCCCTTCTATTTTTTTCAGTTTGTCTTTTTATTCTAGTTCTGGGATATTCTGTGACTTTATCCTCTACTATTTCTATTGAATTTTATATTTTTTGAGAGTGTTTTAAGGTTTTTTTTTTAAGTTTTGCTCCTGATTTTGACTGGTCCTATCAATTCCTTTTTTCTATTGTTTTGATCTCTTTTCTTGGAGGCTTCCCTCCAATGTGTGGTGGTCCCTGGCCTGCTTTATTTGGAAGCAGGATTTCTGTTAACTGATAGCACTCAGTGTGAGGCCTTAGAAGCCTGACTAGCTTTTCATTTGGGAGACCTCAGTGTATTATTTGGGGATCTTTATTGAAGACATTTCAGTTTCTTCTGAGAAGGATCTCCCAATTTTCTGCCTGGAAAGTAAAAGCAGGCCTGGAAAGTAAAAGCAGAGTTAGCGCAGAAAGTTGGAGTTCCATTTTTGGTGTACAGTTTTCTTTATATCTCAGGTTTAAGCCATGGTGTCTCTGAGCCAGAAATTCTCAGGTTTGATATATCCAGAGAACACACATCTAAGTTTCTTGTCAGATGGAAGGACAGGTGGACTTGAGGCTCTAGTTAGAGATTTGCAACTGACCTTGCTGGCTTTTTTTTTTTACATTTTACCCTGCTTTCCAAAGTGCCATTTGCCTGTAAGTTCACAACCTGCCTTTAGTTCTGCAAGACAAACTGGCTTGCTTCTGTTCCAGTCACTTTCTGTAGGCACCAAAGTTGTGTTTCTGTGTTATTTACCACTCCTTTATCTACTTTTATGTCTCAGCATTTATTAAAAATTATCTCTGTCAACCTTCTGTGCTGGTCATGGGTGTAACCTTTATTTTATGACTAATGAGGTTTCCGGAGGGAGATGAAATAAATTTGTGGTCAATCTATTATATTTAATCCAAATTTAGGACCTATGTTTAAATCAAAGTCTAATTTGAGTATAATTAATGATATTAAGGCAGAGAACTTTTTAAATTAATGTATGTATAATAAGCATATTACACTTTTCTCCTAAGGCCTTGTTTAATATTTTCATTCAAAGTTTATCCACTGCCATATACTTCCCATTACTTCACAACATATATGGAGCTGTTTTCCTGAATGCCCAAAGTGTTAGAAATATTTAAGTTAATTAAGATTTGTTCATTTTTAGCCTGGTCAACATAGCAAGACCTCATGTCTACAAAAAGGTTAAATAACAAATTAGCCAGGCCTGGTGGTATGCGCCTTTCATATTACCTACTCAGGAGGCTGAGGCAGAGGATCGCTTGAGCTCAGGAGTTTGAGGCTGCAGTTAACTATAATTGCACCACTGCACTCCAGCCTGGGCAACAAAGGGAGACCCTGTCTCGGAAAAAGGAAAAAAGTTACTAATTCTTTAAAAACATATATAAAATTTGTCCTGCCCAAAAGGAGAGTGAAAAATATAAACTTTAGTCTTTGTTTTATTTTATGTTTGCTGAGAAAAATGCTGTACTTTATTTATTTATTTATTATTTCCATAGGTTTCTGGGGGAACAGGTGGCATTTGGTGACATGACTAAGTTCTTTAGTGATGATTTGTGAGATTTAGGTGCACCCATCACCTGAGCAGTATCCGCTGAACCCAATTTGTAGTCTTTTATCCCTCACCCTCCTCCCAGCCTTTCCCCCAAGTCCCCAAAGTCCATTGTATCATTCTTATGGCTTTGCATCCTCATAGCTTAGCTCCCACATCTGAAAGAGAACATGATATTTGGTTTTCCATGCCGAGTTATTTCACTTAGAATAATAGTCTTACTTCCATCGAGGTTGCTGGGAATGCCATTAATTTATTCCTTATTATGGCTGAGGTGGTATTCCTCATATATATATATGTATGTATATCACAGTTTCTTTATCCGCTCATTGATTGATGGGCATTTGGGCTGGTTCCATATTTTTGTAATTGTAATTTGTTTGAGTTCCTCATAGATTCTGGATAATAGCCCTTTGTCAGATGTATAGACTGTGAAGATTTCCTCCCACTCTGTGGTTGTCTGTATACTCTGCTGATTGTTCCTCTTCCTGTGCAGAAGCTCTTTAGTTGAGTCTCACCTATTTGTTTCTGTTGCATTTGCTTTTGTGTTCTTGGTCATGAAGTCTTTGCCTAAGCCAGTGTCTAGACGGGTTTTTCCAATGTTATCTTCTAGAACTTTTATGGTTTCAGGTCATAGATTTATGTCCTTGATCCATCTTGAGTTGATTTTTGTGTAAGATGAGAGTTGAGGATCCAGTTTCATTCTCCCGCATGTGGCTTGCCAATTATCCCAGCACCATTTGTTGAATAGGGTTTACTTTCTTCACTTTATGTTTTAGGTGGCTTTGTTGAAAATCAGTTGGCTATAGGTATTTGAGTTTATTTCTAGGTTCTCTATTCTGTTCCATTGGTGTATGTGCCTATTTTTATATCAGTACCGTGCTATTTTGGCGACTATGGCCTTATAGTATAGTTTGAAATCAGGTAATGTCATGCCTCCAGATTTGTTGTTTTTGCTTAGTTTTGTTTTGGCTATGCCAGTTCTTGTTTGGTCCATATAAATTTCAGGATTGTTTTTTCTAGTTCTGTGAAGAAGGATGGTGGTATTTTGATGGGAGTTGCATTGAATTTATAGATTGCTTTTGGCAGTATGGTCATTTTCACAATATTCATTCTACCCATTCATGAGCATGGGGTGTCTTTCCATTTGTTTGTGTCCATGACTTCATTCAGCAATGTTTTGTAGTTCCCAACGGCATATCAAAAAGATAATCTGGCCAGGCACGGTGGCTCACACCTGTAATCCCAGCACTTTGGGAGGCTAAGGCGGACGGATCATGAGGTCAGGAGTTCGAGACCAGCCAGGCCAACATGGTGAAACCCCATCTCTACTAAAAATACAAAAGTTAGCCGGGCGTGGTGGTGCTCACCTGTAATCCCATCTACTCTGGTGGCTGAGGCAGGAGAATCGCTTGAACCTCGGAGGCAGAGGTTGCAGTGAGCCAAGATCACCACACTGCATACTCCAGCCTGGGCAACAGAGCGAGACTCCATCTCAAAAAAAAAAAAAAAGATAATCCACCATGATCAAATGGGTTTCATACCAGGGATGCAGGGATGGATTAACATACACAAGTCAATAAATGTGATACACCACATAAACAGAATTAAAAACAAAAAATCACATGATCATCTTAACAGATGCAGAGAAAGCATTTGACAAAATGCAGCATCCTTTTATGATTAAAACCCTCAGCAAAATCAGCATACAAGGGTCATAGCTCAATGTAATAAAAGCCATCTATGACAAACCCACAACCAACATAATACTGAAAGGGGGAAAAGTTGAAAGCATTCCCCCCGAGAACTGGAACAAGACAAGGATGCCCACTCTCACCACTTGTATTCAACATACTACTGGAAGGCCTAGCCAGAGCAATCACACAAGAGAAAACAATAAAAGGCATGCAGATCAGTAAAGAGGAAGTCAAACTGTTGCTGTTTGATGATGATATGATCATATACCTAGGAAACCCTAAAGACTCCTCCAAAAAGCTCCTAGAACCGATAAATGAATTCAGCAAAGTTTCAGGAGACAAAATTAATGTACACAAATCAGTAGCTCTGTTATACCCCAGAAGCGACCAAGCTTAGAATCAAACCAAGAACTCAACCCCTTTTCTGATAGCTGCAAAAATAAACTAAAATAAAATAAAATACTTCGGAATAGACCTAACCAAGGAGGTGAAAGATGTCTACAAGGAAAACAACTTTAGTATTTTTAATGGGTTAAAATGAGAGGCAGCAGGTACAGCAGAAGTCAGTGCGTGGGCATCCGCATCCAATGGGTACTGCACCTTTGATGGTAAGGCTTTGGTTTTGACTTACTAAATTACTAGGTACGATTATTTTCTAGTTTTTGTCATTAAACCTTAAAACTACTAAGTAACCCCTTCCATTTCTTGTTAAATATTGTAAAATTTCATACTCTCATTTATGCTGACTGACGTTAGATTATTTGTTTCTATTTTGTGACTACCTTAAATAATACCTATAAAGAGTAAACTGTTAGTAGTGTTTTTGCTGTAATTAAATGTAGTAAGACTTACCTTCCAAATGATAACTGAATTGTCAAACACTTGTCGAAGTTTTGGATTTACTCAAAATTCTATGCTCAGCAGCTGGAGGTAGGAAGAGTAAGGGCCCTCCCTTACTCTTATGGAGAGGCATACTTTCTCATGAGGGGAATACTCTGCAGGAATTAGCATCTTGTAAGCAGTGGTGAATTCAACTAATTAGTGTATAAAAATACATTTTTTGGTGTGGCTGCCGACAAAGAGATCCAAGAGGGTAGATGGAGTCGAGCTTGCTGAAGCAAGGAAAGAGAAAAGCAGTATTCTAGGCAGAGAGCAGGGGTAGAGCAGGAAAATGGCTAGGTGCAGGTCAGATGATTTATAGAATGCAATTGATCAAGTTTTGAAGTGAATGCAAAGTATTCTCCGAGAGTCTCATTTGAGTCATGTCTTGGCAGTCTTATTTAAACATGAAGTGAAAGTTAGATTTTTTAAGTTGTCATTTGTTTTTAGGGTGTGAGAGAATATTTAAGTGATACTCTTTTTATCCTCCACATAAGAAAATAGGACTAGAGAAACCTATGGCTTCCTCACTTGTTGGTGGCCTAGCAGCCCTGGCACACAGAGCCCCTGAATCTGAAGCACTTCTTTTGTAACAATATCACCTGAAATAATACATTTAGGATTAGTAATTTAGTAAATGCATTAGTCTTGTATTCACTGCAATAAAATGCTCTTGTAGCAGGATTATTTAATACACTACATTTTATCGTAGTAAATAAATAATAGAAGGGCTGGGCGCCGTGGCTCACGCCTGTAATCCCAGTACTTTGGGAGGCTGAGGCAGGCAGATCGCGAGGTGAGGAGATCGAGGCCATCCTGGCTAACACGGTGAAACCCCGTCTCTACTAAAAATACAAAAAGTTAGCCGGGCATGGTGGCGGGCGCCTGTAGTCCCAGCTACTCAGGAGGCTGAGTCAGGAGAATGGCGTGAACCCGGGAGGCGGAGCTTGCAGTGAGCCGAGATCGCGCCACTGCACTCCAGCCTGGGCTACAGAGCGAGACTCCGTCTCAAAAATAAATAAATAAATAAATAAATTAATTAATTAATTAATAGAAATTCTTGGCTGCTTTTTATTGCTGTAGAAAAAAATATGAAATCTCATTTTAAACTTTTCTTTCTTTTTTTTTTTTTTTTTTGAGACGGAGTCTCACTTTGTCTCCCGGCCTGGAGTGCAGTGGCGCGAACTCGGCTCACTGTAAGCTCTGCCTCCTGGGTTCACCCCATTCTCCTGTTTCAGCCTCTCGAGTAGCTGGGACTACAGGGGCCTGCTACCACGCCCGGCTAATTTTTTGTATTTTTAGTAGAGACGGGGTTTCACCATGTTAGCCAGGATGGTCTCGATCTCTTGACCTCGTGATCTGCCCGCCTCCACCTCCCAAAGTGCTAGGATTACAGGTGTGAGCCACCGCGCCCGGCGAAGCCGACTTTTCCCATTATTTTTAACGGTAATTCATAAAATCCTTGTTAGGTTTGATGACAGGTACCATATTAAGGGCAGCATTTTATAACCCATATCTTAAACATCATCTCTGGAAGTTGAGAGCCTCCAATGGGTTTTCTATAGAGTGCACATGATACCACACTCAGGCAGTTCATGGAGTGTAAGACATATCTTAGTGCTTTGTCATTTGACATTTTAACTGAGAAAAAAATACACTTTGATAAATTTGACTTACACTTCCCTTCCCCTTCAGGTATCTACTGAGCGTTTCAGTCAACAATACAGCTCGTGTTCGACAATATTCCTTGATGACAGCACAGCCAGCCAGCATTATCTTACAATGACAATAATATCGTGAGTACAACTATGCTGCCGAGGGACAGATTCCTTTATTCGGAAATTATTTCAGCCATTTGGTTGTCCTCTTCAGCAATCAGCTTAAGAAATTGGAGTCAACCATATATTGATATCCAGATTCTCAATATTAAGTATCAGTTTCTCTTTTAATCTTAGACGTCGTGGTGGAAGGAAAAATCAGTTAGCAAAGAAGCAAACCCAGAAACAGTGTATCTTTTTGATGCCTTTATGCCTTTAGACAATGTTGAACACAGTGAGAAGGATAGGTTCCCTTTATTGAATGTTTTTTGTGGAAACTTAGTTTTTCAATGCATCATAGGCCCAAATCAGTGTGCACTACTTTGGACATTATCCTTGGAAGAAGGAACAGCTTTTCTTCTTCTGGCACCACAGTGTATCTGCATTTGAATTTCTCCCATTGTGCATGAGCACCTCGTGGGCCACAAAGATGCGCTTTGAGAGCACCCTGAGATGAAGTTTATTTTAAAAGGAACAACAACCAACACCACCACCAGCTCCACAGGGGCCGTCCAGTGTACATTATTCTCATCTCCTTGGGTTATTAGTCTTGATTTTTAGAACACAGTTTGGAAAGTCCTAATTTAGAATATTAATGTCTTTATCTTTAATTTAACTTTTCATTCTGTAAACATAACTAGCTTATAAACAATTTTGTTTCAGATGCACTAGCCTTTTTAGCTAATTCAATTGTCAATAACTTTTACTTCAATTAAAAGTGGCAAGTTTACACTCATAATAATGTCACTTTCCTCCCTCCCTTTTAACAATAGTTGAGAGGAAATTGTGTTTCGAACAAAAACTGGACTCAAACTCTGTCTCAAGTCCTGAGCTTTGGGACCTATTGAGTAATCACTAAATGTCTGTAGTCAGCCAAGTCTCTTAAATCTTTGAGCACACATACACAAAAATTACTTTGACTAGAGTCCCTGGCTTCTTCTGAGTTCCAAAGATTTTGATAAGTTAGCATATAATTCAAAAGCAGCTTTGAAGATTAATTTTGCTGAAACTAATTTCGTGCTTTTTTCCTCATTATTCTACTTTTTAGAAGTCTACTTTTGAGAGTATAGTAAGTTTTAATTTGCCACCAGCAAGTTTGAGAAATAATCATTTGGTGTATTCACTATTGGTGAAATAAAGTTATTGAACAAATTAATAGGGCAAATTGGCTTCAAGAAGATATTTTGAAAAATGTTTTATCATGAATCAGTAGTGCACTGTTGTCAGTGGGATAGGTGGCACTCGCTGAGATCACTTATGCAAGGTTTTTTTCAAAATGCAAGTCTGCAAATACATGTATCTTCCCATCTCCACTTTCCCTCTATCTGTAGGCACTGAGAAGCCTTTTAGGAAAATCAGGATGGATGTGAGGCATCTTTCTGTGAAGAAAAGCATCCCAGAAGATTCTGATTTTCACCCCAGCTCAATCATTCCAAACTTTGCTGCTGATTGAAATCACCTGGGAAACGTTTACCAAGAACCTTGATGCCCAAAGCCATACCCAATACTAATTAAATTAAAATGTCTCATGTGGAAGATGAGGCAGATATTAAAGCTTCTCAGGCGATTTTAATGTGCAGCAAAGTTTGAGAGCCACTGCTTAATTTGAGTTTAGGACGAGAAACTGCTCCTATTTGGTGGGACCTTGGGCAAGTCAGTTTTAAGGTTTGTTTCCCTGATCTGTAAAACGAGTGTTGAATTAAATGTCACATAAGGTCATTGGTCCTTTCCAGCATGTAACTTTAAATTCTGTGATTTTAAAATTATTTCAGAGATGAAAACTACTTGAAGCACTATAGACATATCCATCTCACATGCTAATGTTACAGGCTTTTTAAAAAGTGCTAATATTGTGTAGACCTATTAGTAGAATTGAGATTTACCTTCCCTCAGTTGTTTTGAGCCTCACTCTACAAAATTAGCTGGGCGTGGTGGTACATGCCTGTAATCCCAGCCACTTGGGAGGCTGAGGCAGGAGAATCTCTTGAACCCGGGAGGCAGAGGTTGTGGTGAGCCGAGATCACACCATTGCACTCCAGCCTGGGCAACAAGAGCGAAACTCCACCCACCCACCCCCCCCAAAAAAAATTATCTGGGCATAGTGGCGCAAACTTGTAGTCCCAGCTTCTTGGGAGGCTGAGGCGTGAGAATCGCTTGAACCTGGGTGGTGGAGGTTGTGAGGAGTCAAGATGGCACCACTGCAGTCCAGTCTGAGCAAGAGAGACAGACTCTGGGTCAAAAAATAAATAAATACATAAAATAAATCGCATGGGACGAAAGGTTTCATCGGTAGAAAAGCATATAACAGGGAAATCTGTTATTATTTATATATTGTAATCACCAACAGAAACGCGTCTTCTAACGGCATATTTCCTTGCATTTTGGTTCTCATATTTTTGTAAAAAACAAAGAAATGAAAACAAAGTGCCCTTATGGTACTGTTCTGAACTAGAAGATTTGAATTTCAGGGCCGCTAGGAGAGTTTCCTCTGCCCCCCTTTTAAAAAATGTCTTCAGGCCTAACAAATGATAACATCTATTGTTATGAATTTTTTTTCCTTCCACAGTGTGACCTTGGAGATACCTCATCATATCACACAAAGGTGAGCTTTTTAGAAACCTGTCTTGTTATTCTAGCTAATTACTTTGCAAGATATCAAGCTCAGTGTTAGGTCACAGCTCTAGACATCATAAGCTGTATTGTGCCTACTAAAATATCGAAGCAAATTATTTGTATTTTCTTTGTTCCTTAAGACTCTCATAATTCTTAAATGATTGAGAATCTCAAAGAGTATATGCTTATATTGATTATATTGATATTTAGTGTGGTAGAATTATACAATTGAAATTTTTTCAAAATCTATTTTTAGTTTAGATTTCACAGCCTTACCACTGTTGATATTATGGGCTAGATAATGCTTTGTTGTAAGGACTGTCTTGTGCATTGCAGAGAGTTTAGCAGTATTCATGGCCTCTACCAACTAGATGTCAGTAGTAACCCATGACCCAGGTTATAAAAACAGAAAATATTCCTTGAGAACAGTATTGTTAACAGAAGTTTTTCATTGAAAAAAAACTTTTCTACAACAAAAAGTTGAGTAAAAAGTGTGTCATTTGTTTATATTATTTAAAGTCTCTCATGTTGAGCTTAATAGGAGACAAATGGATTCTCTAGAGCTTTCTTTGCAATTTGCTTCAAAGAAGCAATATGAGGCTGGGCACAGTGGCTCACGCCTGTAATCCCAGCACTTTGGGAGGCTGAGGCGGGCGGATCACAAGGTCAGGAGATCGAGACCATTCTGGCTAACACGGCGAAACCCCGTCTCTACTAAAAATACAAAAACTTAGCTGGGCATGGTGGCACGCACCTGTAGTCCCACCTATTCTGGAGGCTGAGGCAGGAGAACCGCTTGAACTTGGGAGGCGGAGGTTGCAGAGAGCTGAGATTGTGCCATTGCACTGCAGCCTGGGTGACAGAGCAAGACTCTGTCTAAACAAACAAACAAAAAAAGCAATAAGCTGGTGGGGCGCAGTGGTTCACACCTGTAATCCCAGCATTTTGGGAGGCTGAGGTGGGTGGATCACTTGAGGTCAGGAGTTTGAGACCAGCCCGACCAACATGGTAAAACCCGCCTCTACTGAAAGTACAAAAAGTGGCTGGGCATGGTAGTGCATGCCTGTAGTCCCAGTTACTTGGGAGGCTGAGGCAGGAGAATCGCTTGAGCCTGGGAGGTGGAGGTTGCAGTGAGCCGAGATCTCGCCATTGCACCCCAGCCTGGGTGACAGAGAGAGACTCTGTCTCAAAAAAAGAGAAAAAGAAGCAATAAGATGACCTAACCTCATGCAAATATGTAGTTGGTAGAAGGTGTATTTTTAAAGTTTTCAGACAGTTGTGGGTATTTGTTAAAACACTAAATCAAAACTTCACAAGTGGTGGTTTCTTAAATTAGTTACGGTGGCATTTTACATATTAATAAATTTATTCCATCAGTACTCATTGATCTTTCTTGCACAGTAAATGGATCTTTTGCTCCATACTTGCATTTATAATATCATGCATTAGTTACTTGGAATATATTGGCTTATGTTTTATTGTGTCAAAAATCACTTTTAGTTTAACCACCAATCTTACTTTAACACGCCTTTAAGTATTGAAAAGCTGCCAAGCCTACAGTAGAAGGAACAAGTTTTTCAAAGTCCACAGGAAAGCTTAAATTTTATCATTGGGAACAAATACGTATTTCCCTTGAAGTGACAACCTCTCACTTCATTTATTTTTGAGAATGATAGTTGAACTGGTTTTTTAGACCGAGTTTCACTCTGTCACTTGGCTGGAGTGCATTGGCATGATCTCAGCTCAAGCAATCCTCTCACCTCAGGCTCCTGTGTAGCTGGGACCACAGATGTGTGGCACCACGCCAGGCTAATTTTCTTATATGTTTGATAGAGACACAGTTTCGTTACGTTGCCTAGGCTGGTCCCGAACTCCTGAAGGAGCTCAGGCCATCTGCCTGCTTTGGCCTCTCAAAGTGCTGGGATTTTACAGGCGTGAGCCACTGCGCTGGCCCAGTTGTACTTTTAAATAAAAATGATGTTCTGTGAAAAAAGTGATTTTTCAGTTCACAGTTAAATCACGGATTCTTTAAAAACAAAAAAAAAAGCACTTCTCATTAACTTTCCACTTATTCAGAATATTAGAGACATGTCAAGATTTAACAACATTAATTTTTATTGCTTCATCAAAGACGTTCTTAAGAAATTCAGGCTATGTTTTTTACCTGTAGGGGACAGTGAAAGGGACTACTAATGTAATTGGTACCACTGCCTTGATTTATGCTGAGAAACCAGCCATTGTACCTACTTTTGCTTTTATACAATCATGGCAAGTGTCAACGAAAAAGCAGGCAATGACTTTGTATTACTTTCACAAATTTTTAAAATTTTTCATCAGCTTTCTCAGGTTTAATTAGTATGATTCAGAACAGTGTTGGCCAGGCACAGTAGCTCAGGCCTGTAATCCCAGCACTTTGGAGGCCGAGGCAAGTGGATCGCCTGAGGTTAGGAGTTCAAGACCAGCCTGGCCAACATGGTGAAACCACATCTCTACTAAAAATACAAAACTTAGCCAGGAGTGGTGGCAGGTGCCTGTAATCCCTGCTACTTGGGAGGCTGGGGTAGGAGAATCACTTGAACCTGGGAGGCGAAGGTTGCCATGAGCCGAGATCACACCATTGCACTCCAGCCTGGGCAACAAGAGTAAAACTTGGTCTCAAAAAAAAAAAAAAAAAAAAAAAAAAGAACAGTTATGACCTCTTAGGCCTTCTGGAAGGGGTCTTCGGGATCCCGAGAGGTCCACAGAGCACATTTGGAGAACCACTGGTTTATACACAGGCACAATGCATTAGTTTTACAAAGTTTAAAGTTCCTCAAAGACTGGCCTCTTAAAAAGGCAGATGAGTTTGTCATTCAGACAACAGAAAATACATAAAAACATCATGAGAGTATACTACAGAGAACTAAAGAGAAAGGAAGCTAGGAAATCTGAATCACATTTACATTTATTAAAGTTTACTACTACTGCTTTGTAGAACATTCTTGTGTTTCAATGTGTGGTTAGAAGAGTGAAAATATGTTTGGTTTATTGCCATGGCCTGTTAGGGAGAGTCAATATTCATGGGCATTTCTGACTGGTTATCATATAAAAGGCTTCACGGTACAGGCCATGATGTGCTGAGAAAGAAGAAGTCAGGAAACCCTCTGCAAGTCAGGATCCAGGAGAAGAATTTGTAAAAACTGCTTTGGTAAAGTAAACACCAAAGCACACAGGAGGAAGTATTTTACTCAACAAATATTATACTAAGATATTAACAGTTTTTGAAGTAATGCACTTTCTTATTTTATAGAGATGCAGATAGATCTTTGAGCATACCTGATGAACAGTTACACTCATTTGCGGTAAGTGGCACTTTTATTGAGGTTCTATTTTCATCGTACACTTGTATCTGTTTCATGCTGAAGTCAAAGCCATCTTTTTTTAAATCTTCCCCATTTCATGTTGCATTTAGTCATCTTAAGTGTTGTAAAAAGAATGTGCTGGAGTAAGAACTGATCTGCAGCTCTGTTTAGTTAGTGAGCTAGTATGAGTAAATATACTATCCAAACAACAGAAAATGTATCTTTTTTTTTTTTTGATGGACTCTCTTTCTGTAGCCCAGGCTGGAGTGCAATCGCGCGATCTTGGCTCACTGCAGGCTCTGCCTCCCAGGTCCCTGTTCAAGCAATTCTCCTGCCTCAGCCTCCCGAGTAACTGGAATTACAGGCATGTGACACCATGCCCAGCTAATTTTTTTTTCTTTTTTCTTTTCTTTTTTTTTTTTTTTTTGTAAAGACAGGGTTTCACCATGTTGGCCAGGATGGTCTTGAACTCCTGACCTCGTGATCCACCCACCTTGGCCTCCCAAAGTGCTGTGATTACAGGTGTGAGCCACCATGCCTGGCCCAGAAAATGTATCTTTTTAAAAGGTAATTGTAAGCTGTCTATAGGACCCTGCAAGCCACTACCCAATTTTTGAAGCCATTCCTCCTTCTGTTCCACACAGGTTTCCACCGTGCACATTACGAAGAACAGAAATGGAGGTGGGAGTTTAAATAACTATTCCTCCTCCATTCCATCGACTCCCAGCACCAGCCAGGAGGACCCTCAGTTCAGTGTTCCTCCCACTGCCAACACACCCACCCCCGTTTGCAAGCGGTCCATGCGCTGGTCCAACCTGTTTACATCTGAGAAAGGGAGTCACCCAGACAAAGAGAGGAAAGCCCCGGAGAATCATGCTGACACCATCGGGAGCGGCAGAGCCATCCCCATTAAACAGGGCATGCTCTTAAAGCGAAGTGGGAAATGGCTGAAGACATGGAAAAAGAAATACGTCACCCTGTGTTCCAATGGCGTGCTCACCTATTATTCAAGCTTAGGTGATTATATGAAGAATATTCATAAAAAAGAGATTGACCTTCGGACATCTACCATCAAAGTCCCAGGAAAGTGGCCATCCCTAGCCACATCGGCCTGTGCACCCATCTCCAGCTCTAAAAGCAATGGCCTATCCAAGGACATGGACACCGGGCTGGGTGACTCCATATGCTTCAGCCCCAGTATCTCCAGCACCACCAGCCCCAAGCTCAACCCGCCCCCCTCTCCTCATGCCAATAAAAAGAAACACCTAAAGAAGAAAAGCACCAACAACTTTATGATTGTGTCTGCCACTGGCCAAACATGGCACTTTGAAGCCACGACGTATGAGGAGCGGGATGCCTGGGTCCAAGCCATCCAGAGCCAGATCCTGGCCAGCCTGCAGTCATGCGAGAGCAGTAAAAGCAAGTCCCAGCTGACCAGCCAGAGCGAGGCCATGGCCCTGCAGTCGATCCAAAACATGCGTGGGAACGCCCACTGTGTGGACTATGAGACCCAGAATCCTAAGTGGGCCAGTTTGAACTTGGGAGTCCTCATGTGTATTGAATGCTCAGGAATCCACCGCAGTCTTGGCACCCGCCTTTCCCGTGTGCGATCTCTGGAGCTGGATGACTGGCCAGTTGAGCTCAGGAAGGTTATGTCATCTATTGGCAATGACCTAGCCAACAGCATCTGGGAAGGGAGCAGCCAGGGGCAGACAAAACCCTCAGTAAAGTCCACGAGGGAAGAGAAGGAACGGTGGATCCGTTCCAAATATGAGGAGAAGCTCTTTCTGGCCCCACTACCCTGCACTGAGCTGTCCCTGGGCCAGCACCTGCTGCGGGCCACCGCTGATGAGGACCTGCAGACAGCCATCCTGCTGCTGGCACATGGCTCCCGTGAGGAGGTGAACGAGACCTGTGGGGAGGGAGACGGCTGCACGGCGCTCCATCTGGCCTGCCGCAAGGGGAATGTGGTCCTGGCACAGCTCCTGATCTGGTACGGGGTGGACGTCATGGCCCGAGATGCCCACGGGAACACAGCGCTGACCTACGCCCGGCAGGCCTCCAGCCAGGAGTGCATCAACGTGCTTCTGCAGTACGGCTGCCCCGACGAGTGCGTGTAGTATCTGTTTTATTTGACTGCAGTCTCCTTGGTGCAAAAACAAAATGGGAAAAATAAGGATAACTCAGAATTTCAAAAGGAAATCACAAATTCAGCTAGTAATAGCATTTTCAGTACTTTTCATAAACTAAGTAAATACACAAAATGTTGATTTTTCTGACCATAAGACATATTTTATGTCCTTTTGCCAAGGTGGATGTGTTAGTCTCAGGCCCTCCTGGCCACATTGCCCAAGTCACACAGGCTTCTGTATTATGTATTTAGATAAAATGTGTGAAAATATATTTGAAAAAAAAGTTCATAAATATGCATTGATTTTTGTACACATGGCACCTCTTTTTCATTTTTATTTTTATTTTTTTTTTGGACGATGTTTTGCTCTGTTGCCCCAGCTGGAGTGCAGTGGCATGATATCTGCTCACTGCAAGCTCTGCCTCCCGGATTCACACCATTCTCCTGCCTCAGCCTCTCAGGTAGCTGGGACTACAGGTGCCTGCCACCACACCTGGCTAATTTTTTGTATTTTTAGTAGAGACGTGGTTTCACCATGTTAGCCAGGATGGTCTCGAACTCCTGACCTCGTGATCCACCTGCCTCGGCCTCCCAAAGTGTTGGGATTACGGGCGTGAGCCACCGTACCCGGCCCATGGCACCTCTCTTAATTTATAAATTGAACTGGATGTGAAGTAATAATGTCAGCTAGTTGAGATAAGAGGGTTACAGTTCGGCTGGGCGCAGTGGCTCACACCTGTAATCCTAGCACTTTGGGAGGCTTAGGCGGACTGATCACCAGGTCAGGAGATTGAGACCATCCTGGCTAACATCATGAAACCCCATCTCTACTAAAAAATACAAAAAATTAGCTGGGCATGGCCGGGCGTGGTGGCTCACACCTGTAATCCCAGCACTTTGGGAGGCCGAGGCAGGCGGATCACGAGGTCAGGAGATCAAGACCATCCTGGCTAACATGGTGAAACCCCGTCTCTACTAAAAATACAAAAAAAAAAAAAAAAATTAGCCAGGTGTGGTGGCAGGCACCTGTAGTCCCAGCTACTCGGGAGGCTGAGGCAGGAGAATGGTGTGAACCCAGGAGGCGGAGCTTGCAATGAGCTGAGATTGCACCACTGCACTCCAGCCTGGGCAACCAAGCGAGACTCCATCTCAAAAAAAAAAAAAAAATTAGCTGGGCATGGTGGCGGGCACCTGTAGTCCCAGCTACTTGGGAGGCTGAGGCAGGAGAATGGCATGAACTCAGGAGGCAAAGCTTGCAGTGAGCAGAGACTGTGCCACTGCACTCCAGCCTGGGCAACAGAGCGAGACTCTGTCTCAAAAAAAAAAAAGAAAAGAAAAAGAGGGTTACAGATCATTGCACATGGAAAATATTCCCAGCAGTAAACACTTCCATTAATGTGATCTACAGCTTTTAAAAAGGAGCATCTCAGAATAAGATGGTGGTACAATTTGCTTATTGAGAAAGGAAAAAAAAAACACACGAGTATATTACAAAGGGAAAAGAAGGAATGTGATTTCTCATGATTGAAAGCTTGATTTAGATTGCATACAGCTTTTGCTACCCAAGACCAAGCGGCTCTGGCAAGACAGGGTGGTTTTCCGAATGCCAGACCGAGGTGCCTTATGAAGGCAGCTGCCGATGGTTCCAGATGTAGAGAGATAGGTGATGCAGGAGGGAAAGCTGGATTGGAAAAGGGAGAGTTTTGTAGACCGGCTACACTCATTGTGCCTTTGAAAGAGCAGAGCCGGCAGCCTCTAGTCATCATTTGGATATACAGGACTGGAGCATGAATCTGATGTAGAGCTACAGAATGAAGAGCAACAGCAGCTGTTTAAATACCGAGAAAGTGTGTAGAATGAAATTGGACAAGCCAAGCATGGTGGTTTCATGCCTTTAGTCCTAGCTACTTCGGAGGCTGAGGTGGGGGAATTACTTGAGCTCAGCAGTTTGAGTCCAGCCTGGGCCAGATGTTGAGACCCTGTATCTTAAGAAAAGAAAAAAATAAGACCAGGTACAGTATCTCATGCCTGTAATCCCAGCACTTTGGGAGGCCAAGTTGAGAGGACTGCTCGAGTGTAGGAGTTCAAGACCAGACTGGGCAATAAAGTGAGACCCATTTCTTTTTTTTTTTTTTTTAACTTCTTAAATGCACAAATTTATTTTTTCTCAACAAACACACATCTTAATGCCTTTACAACTTTTATCTCCCCAAATATATCTTGCTTTTCTTTATATGTGCTGTATACAGAGTTGTTTTCCTTATATTTAGTAGTTATTGCTTTTTTGTGCCCTTTTGCGTCCTGAATTTACACATCAGGCATAGATCTTGGGACAGGAAAGAGCTGTGAAGCAAATTCCTGGAAAATCAAACCCCTTCCAGCATGGCCAGGTAGCACAGCTGAGCCAGGGATGATGGGGCCATATTGGGTTTGGCTCTGCCTTGCAGCTGGCAGTCCAAACACTGAGGACATGCATATTTCTGCAGGCCAGTGAGACCCATTTCTACCAAAAAAAAAAAAAAAAAATCAAGAAATTAGCTGGACATGGTGGCACATGCCTGTGGCCCCAGTTACATGGCATGGCAGGCTGAGGCAGGAAGATCACTTGAGCCCAGGAGGTGGAGGCTGCAGTGACCCATATACATGCCACTGCACTCCAGCCTGGGCAACAGAGTGAGACCCTCTCTCAAAAACAGATAAAGTGGACAGAAAATAGGTTGGTAAGGACTAATCATTTAAGGGACAAGCCCCCAGAAGAGTGGCTACTAGAGTGGGAGGAGGAAAAGCAGAAGGAGAAAGAGTTGAAGACAGGCGAGGCTGTGGTCCCAGTGCTGAATTCTGCCAAGCAGTGACTTGATTCATGAACACTCACTGGATGCTGACTCTGTTGCTCTTCTGAGTGCTGGGGTAGAGGAGAGGAGAGGTGGAGCCCAGTTCTTGCTTTTAGGAGCTTATGTTCTAGGAAGTTCAAGTATTTTTTCAGGTAGTATGAAATAGCAGGAAGAGGAAGCAGGCTAAAGGGACACAGAGTGATTGGGGGCTATTTTAAGTAGAATGATAAGGAAGAGCCTGTCTAGAGAGCTATTTGAACAATGACCTGACTGAAGGGACAACAGAAAGCAGTGCTGACATTACAGGTAGCAGGATGACTGCCAAGACAGAAACGCATTTCATATGTGTTTGAGGAACAAACAGCAAGGTGACCAGCATGGGGAGAGTGAAGAATGAGGGAAACCTTGAATGAGAGTAAAGCAATTCCATCTTGGAGGCTAATCTGCCATATTCTGATTAATCCCAGTTCCAAGAATTCATCTACAATTTCTATTTTATCTTTTTAAAAATATTATTTTTTATTTTTTATTTTTTGAGACAGTCTCACTCTGTCTCCCAGGTTGGACTGCAGTGGCACAATCTCAGCTCACTGCAAACTTCACCTCCTGGGTTCAAGCGATTCTCCTGCCTCAGCTTCCCGAGTAACTGGGATTACAGGCGCCTGCCACCATGCCTGGCTAATTTTTGTATTTTTAGTACAGATGAGGTTTTACCATGTTGGCCAGGCTGGTCTGGAACTCCTGACCTCAGGTGATCCGCCCACCTTGGCCTCCCAAAGAGCTGGGATTACAGGCGTGAGCCACCGTGTCTGGCCATACACATCCCTGCCGAAGCCCGCATTACCCTTCCCCTATGCTATAGAAGCCCTGGGTCGGGGGGGTGGGGGTAATGGCACAGGGATCCACCATCTTATCTTGGTGCCATCCCTGACTTGGCTTCTGTTCATAAACGCCTATTAAATGTTTCTTTCTGAGAAACTGGATTTGTCAGCCTCTTTCTTTGGTATCTCAGGTTCCTTGGCCTTTGCGGGTAGGTTTATATAGACCTGCTCAGCACAGGACAGGCAGTTTCTCAAAAAATTAAAAATAGAATTACCAAATGATCCAGCAATATCACTTCTGGGTATATAGCCAAAATAATTGAAAGCAAGGTCTCATAGAAATATTTGTACACTGATATTTATAGCAGTGGTATTCACACTCATCAAAAGATGGATGCAGCCTAATTGTCCATAGGCAGATGAATTGATAAAATGTGGTATATACATACAATAAAATATTCTTCAGCCTTAAAAAGGAAGGAAATTCTAACACATGCTACAACATGGATGAACATTGAGGACATTATGCTAAGTGAAATAAGCCAGTTAGAAAAAGACAAATACTGTGTTCTTTCACTTATGTGAAGCATCCAGACTGAGTAAGCAAACTAATAGAAACAGAAAGTAGAACGGGGGTTGCCAGGGACATGGGGAAGGGAGAAAATGGGAAGTTGCTTAGTGGATATAGAGTTTTGGTTTTGTCAGATGAAAAAGTTCTGGAGATTGGTTGCATGGCAATGTGAATATACTCTACATTACCCAACCCAAGGGCTCTCCTTAACCCCTGTTCCGACTGCCACTTAGAAGTGGTTAAGGTAGTAAATTTTATGCATATTTTACCACAATTCAAAATAGAATTATTATTTTTTTATTATAATTTTTTGAGATCCCTCACTCTGCTGCCCAGGCTGGAGTGCAATGGCACCGTCTCGGCTCACTGCAACCTCTGCCTTCTGGGTTCAAGCGATTCTCCTGCCTCAGCCTCTCAAGTAGCTGGAACTTACAGGCACATGCCACCATGCCCAACTAATTTTTGTAAGTTTAGTAGAGACGGGGTTTCACCATGTTCGCCAGGCTGGTCTTGAACTCCTGACTTCAGGTGATCCACCTGCCTTGGCCTCCCAAAGTGCTGGGATTACAGGTGTGAGCCACCATGCCCGGCTGTCAAATAGGTGTTTTGTTTTTTTGTTTTTTTTTTTTTTTTGAGATGGAGGTTTGCTTTTGTTGGCCAGGCTGGAGTGCAATGGCAGGATCTCGGCTCACGGCAACCTCCACCTCCCGTGTTCAAGCAATTCTACTGCCTCAGCCTCCCGAGTAGCTGGGATTACAGGCATGCACCACCATGCCCAGCTAATTTTGTATTTTATTTTAGTATAGATGGGGTTTCTCCATGTTGGTCAGGCTGGTCTCCAACTCCTGACCTCAGGTGATCCACCCACCTTGGCCTCCCAAAGTGCTGGGATTACAGGTATGAGCCATTGCGCCTGGCCTTTTTTTTTTTTTTTTTTTTTTGTGATGGACTTTTGCTCTTCTTATCCAGGCTGGAGCGCAATGGCACGATCTCAGCTCACTGCAGCCTCTCCTCCCAGGTTCAAGTGATTCTCTTTCCTCAGCCTCCTGAGTAGCTGGGATTACAGGCATGCACCACCATGCCTGGCTAATTTTGTATTTTTAGTACGTATGGGGTTTCTCCATGTTGATCAAGCTGGTTTTCAACTCCTGACCTCAGGTGATCCACCCGCCTCGGCTTCCCAAAGTGCTAGGATTACAGGCGTGAGCCACTGCGCCTGGCCTGAAAAAAATTTTAAAGTTTGAGAAAATACAAAATTTTCATAGTCTCCAAGTATTTCTCCTAAGATCTTTCCCCCTATGAGGGGGAAAGATAGTAACTTTACAATGGAGAAACCCAGCAGAAACCTGAACCAAATGAACAAGTTCAACATCATCAGTAAGAAGAACTATCAATGCCATAACTCTGATGGAATGCACTGGGAAGGATTCCACATCATTTTTGTGCTGTAATTGCCAAAAGTGTGTAACTTCAGTCCAATCATGGAAATACATCAGACAAACCCAAATCGAGGAACATTTGACAAATAGTGATCAGTACTGGTTCAAGATGTCACGGTTATGAAAGATAAGGAAAGATTGAGGAACTGTTATTGCAGTCCTACAAAATGGCGAGAGACTAAGAAATAACTAAATGCAGCGTGATCCTGGGTGGAATTTGGGAACAGAAAAAGGACATTAGTGGAAAAAGTGGTGAAACTCCAATAAGGTCTTTTGTTTAGCGAATATGTTCATTTTAAATTAGTTAAATTATTTAAATATATTTAAACATTATTTAAATATATTTAAACATTATTTAAATATATTTAAACATTATTTAAATGTATTTAATTAAATTAATAAAATTGGTTATTTTGTGAAATAATTTTAATATAGTTAAATATGAGAATGTGGACTTCCTGGTTCTGATCACCGTACTGTGGCTATCTAAGAGGTGAATGTTCAGGGAGGCTGGGGGAGGAATAAATGGAAATTATACTATTAAGTTGGAAGAGAGAAACCTACCCCATCAGTCACGAAACCCTCACATTCATGGCAGTGTGTCGGAGGTTCCAGTATGAATGGCATTTCCCAGATGTCAGCGCGAGGTCCCTGTGGAGGGAGTGGGGCTCCCTGGGAATCTAGTGGAGAGCATTCGGGGCTCCCTTCCTCAGGAGCCTGCCCTTCCTGCACAGAAGTGTCAGCCTCACCTCTGTACCACTGCCCCTCTGCCTCTCAGAACCCACTCGGCTTCAGGAAGATTCTACTGCCATCCTCCTTTCCCGGATACAGCCTCCAGGGACTCAGCCCTGCCTTCCCAAGTGTTCCTTCCTCTCTTGGGAAGGGGTGCTCTCAGATCCCACACCCCTGGACTTCCCCGGGCACCACCTGCTCCTTCTTCACTTCTCCAGCTCTGCGTTCTCACTCTGAGGGTCCTCTCCTGCTGGGAGTGTGTGTTGCTGGCAACAGTGAAGATTCCCCCCTGGGTTGCCCCCTGCCCTGTTCTTCTGCACTTCCCTGGCTTCCTGCGTTGGTTCTGCTGGTGTCTCCTGCTTTTGGTTTACATGGCTTCCCAGCTTCCTAATTTCTCTGAAGTTGAGTTTGATGTGTGTGTTGATGATGGGCTTTTTCCTCCTCCTCCTCCTTCTCCTCCTCCTCAGTCTTGTTGTTGTTCCATATAGTTTCCAGAAGGAGAAAAGAGACACTGTAAAATTTAGCTGCTGCAGGCTGGGCACAGTGGCTCATGCCTGTAATCCCAGCCCTTTGGGAGGCCGAGGCAGGCGGATCACCTGAGGTGAGGAGTTCAAGACCAGCCTGGTCAACATGGTGAAACCTCACCTCTACCAAAAATACAAAATTTAGCAAGGCGTGGTGGCATGTGCCGGTAATCCCAGCTACTTGGGAGGCTGAGGCAGGAGGATCTCTTGAACGCGGGAGGCAGAAGTTGCAGTGAGCCGAGATCATGCTACTGCACTTCAGCCTGGGTAACAAGAGCAAAACTCCATCTCAAAATAATAATAATAATAATAATAATAATAATAATAATAATGCCATGTTTCTATCAGACCCAGAAATCCCACAGAGTGAGCTGGAATTCTGTTTCTCTGTTTCCCCTCCATACCCACTGGCTCCTCTCTGCCCACTCCCTCTTGGACTGCATCACCAGGGTGCCTCACTGTCTGGCCCTAGTGGAATTCAAACAGTGGAGGATGTCATAGGAGGTGGGAGAGAGAGAGGAGAGGTGGTTATTTGCTCAGATTCTTCCTTGCTGGTTTGGCAGTGGCCACATCTTTCTACTGATGGCTGCAGCTCCTGATGATCCTCCTCTACAGCCACAGCTCTCTTTGGGATCTGTGGACACCTTTCCTAGACCCAGGGAGATAACAGCTCCCACTCTTGCTGGTCCAGGACATTCCTCATCTCTTACTGGTTCTCTTAACTCTGTCCACACTTCTGTGAACAGCCCCTTTCCTCAAATACCCATTCGAATATGTCCTCTGGCTTCCACCAGGAGCCTGACTGATACCCACAGGTGGGTGAATGCTGGCATGCTGCTGGGCCCCTCTTCCTCTGGTGACTGGCCAGCCAAGTCTCCAGGAGTCTCGTTAGGGTGGGCAGGTGGTGGGCACAGCACAAACTGTGAGCTCAAATCCACAGAGCAAAAGTGGGAGAAGACACTGGCAGGATGGACCGCCACAAAAGTCTTGGCATTCATGACGTCTGTCCTTTAAAGCATGCAAGGCATCATCATGCTTCAGACATGAGACAGCCTAAGTATTTAAGTATTTCAAATAAACAAGTTGTTTTCCAGAATTGGTCATTTCTAAGTTGGCAAATTACTATTGGAAACGTTGGCTGTCCTTGACTCAATGATTCAGCCAGCTAGTCCCTTGCCAAACTAGTTTGTTGGGCAAATTCCACCTTGAGAATTTATCTGCTCCTGTCAAAGCCAGATTCTCCCTGCCTGAGGGGAGGCTGGACTTGACCTTCTGACTCAGGATATGCTGACTTGGGTCCCTAGGTCCAAGGGCGGCCCTCTTGGGCCTACTGTGGGCTGGACCTCTTCCATGATGGGGTGGTGGAGGGCAGGCCCCACCTGATTCACACTTGACCTCATCCAGGCAGGTGAAGTTCCCTGCAGGAGTCACCTGAGCCCAGCCCCTCAGACCAGGATCCATCATGTTTAGGAGGATTTGGGGCTATCTCATGTTCTTTGGCTAGAAAGGGGTCCCACTCTTAGGGGTCTGCCCTCTGTGGGGCACAGATGGCTTGCTGGGGCCCATGGACTGGGCTGGGTGGACGGGAATCTGGTCACAGCAGCAGCAGCTGGAAGGCCAAGAGGGAGGGCACCAGGGCCTGGGACCCATGTCTGGTCCTGGGCCTCCCCGGGCCTCTTGCCTTCTCCCCAGCAGGCATTTGGGATCTGTGTCTGGACCCAGCCTTGCCCAGAAGGCCATGGTATGTTGTCATTAGAATCAGTGCTCACACCAAGGCAGTGCATTAAATTAGCAGGGCAGGGTCTCATGGGCAGGGGACCATGTGGAGGGGGTGGGGGGAAGGGCAGTTGTCCCCAGAGGCTGTGGTGGGCCTGGCTCTGGGCTGGGCAGTGGGCCAGGGTCCTGCTGTGTGGCTGAGCTCTGACAACAGGCTGTCTGAGTCTGGTGAGCTCCTGAAAGCGGGGACTGGTGGAGAGTACCCTAGGGTGGGAGCTCATGAGGAGGGGGTCTGTGGGGTCTGGAAGCCATTCTAGAGCAGGCAGATGACATTTATCAGCGGAACAGGCATAGAAAGGACCCTTGTGCGAGTGGGGAACACACAGCCTCAGAAGAAACAGGGAAGGGGCTTTGACAGGTCCAGGGAGAATCCCTGAGGTTTCCTAAAACAATTCCCACCAGCCATGTCCCAGGTGTCCCCCCATCCCCCAGGCCTCTGCAGTGCCAGCCCAATGCCCTGGGCAAAACATCCTGGACTCTGGCTGTTACAAAAGTAGGACAGGGTCACCTGGACCCGCCTGAGCTCCAGGCCCCCGACTTTCACAGCCCCTTCTGGGTCCAGAAGTTCATACGTATATAAATGAAAAATGTGCAAGAATCATATTATTGTATTCTTTTTCATAAAGAGGGCCCCTCTAAATTGTTTAAGCCCCAATTCACCCCTGCCCAAAGGAGATAGCAATGGCATGTGTGGGGCCGTAGTCTTGAGACCCAGAGGTCCTGCTGCCCACGATACCCACTGTCCACCCTAGGGGGACTGGCCATAGCCCTGGAGCCCGCAAACACCATGCAGGAATGCAAGAGGGTCTCAGCTCCCGAGTCCCAGGCTGGGAGGGCCCACAGTCCAGTAAACTAATCAGGCCCCAACACACCCAGGAGAGCAGCTCCAGGAGCCTGCATTGGGGAGAGAGCCTCAGACCCCTGCCACAGGCCTGCACCCCAGAAGTAGGAGCATGGGAAGACCTCTCCTTGGCTCCTGGCCAGTGGAAGTAACATTCCCCAGCCCTCTGGCTCCAAGGCAGCCTCAAGTCCCAGTCACTCCTTGGCACACCCTACCGGTTGGTCAGAGCTCACTGCCAAAGGGCACCTCAGTGATGAGTGGAGGGAACAGGTGTTTATCAGGAGCTTGCATGCTTTGTCTCAGGGACGATTAGTGACACAGCCAGGAAGGCAGGCTATCCCCATTTTACAGATGAGGAAACGGAGGCTCAGGTTGGGCTGGTGACTAAGGGAAGCAGCATGTGGCAGGGGGCTTGAGGCACGTCTGTCCATCATGAGTAACTAGGGAGCAGCCCTGCCACTCCTCATGCGATGCACCAGGAGCCGGGGAAGCTGCTTTCTAGGGGATTCTAGCTAAGGCCAGAAGCATCTCCCTGAGTGGTGGTGGAGGCCTCTGTCTACTCCTCCAGGACTGCCAGGGGATAGGAGGGCACCGCTGACCTCACAGACACTCTTGGGTGAGTGAGCATCAGCTGAGCGACGCCTGGTGACTACGCTTCTGCCCAGTGCTGTGCCCCCCTCTGACTCGGGCAAGGCACCACCCTGAACACCCCACGCTGTCCCATGGAGGCCGCAAACTGCTCTGCAGAGCCAGGGTCTCCAGGAATGGGGAGGGCAGTCACCCTCACTCCACTTGTGTTCATGACCCAAAGGACTGCCTAGGTCTCCAGGCCCATAGAACCCCCAAACCTCTTACTAGGCCACACTGGGGACCTTGAGCAGCAGGCTTGGAATCCTAGGCCTTGTCTCCAGGTACATATCAGTACCCAGGCTTGGGAAGCTTTGGTCTCAGGGGGGCTGGCACTCAGGCCCTCTGCCTCAAGGAAGAGGCATGTCCAGATCTCTCCTGTCCAGCCCTGCTCCCTGCCCCTATCCTTCACGGGGTCCCTAGGACAGGGTTATAGAAGCTTCATGCTGTCAGGGGATGCTGCCACCCCAGTGCCAGGGTGGCTCCGCCCAGCCCCTTCCTGCTGCCGCCCTCGCTGACTCACCTGTCCAGCCTCCTACTGGGCTGGGGCGAGGGCTTGTTGCCCCAGAGCCTAGATAGGCACCAGAGGCAGCTATAAAAGCATGTTGGGCCAGTCCTCAGCCTCCTAGTTCACCACTGTCTGCTGCCACACGATGTTGGGAGGCCTGGGAAAGCTGGCTGCCGAGGGCCTGGCCCACCGCACCGAGAAGGCCACCGAGGGAGCCAGTGAGGACCTGGGGCTCCTTTCTACCTGGGCTGGGGGGATCTGGGGCAGACTGGGTCCATTGGAGGTGGATGTTACTAGGCAGGCGAGGACCTGCGGGGAGGCCTTGGCCCCTCAGGAACCCTGGTCTCCTGCTCTACCAAGTCAGCACGGAGTTGAGGGGTGCAGACCTGGGGAGGTCTCCTGGGGGCAGGGCATGAGTCCTGGTGCTGGGTGAACACTGGCAGCTTGGACCCTTCCCTCTGGAAATCTGGGGAGCCTTTCTTGTCAAAACAGCCTATTCTGAATAACTTATGCAGGAAAAGGAAGATGGATTTTTATTTTTACCATAACTTTAAAGCTTCAAAGATTTCTTAACAAGTCACCAAGTCTGTTCAAAGTCAAAAAGGGCATTTTCAATTTCATCCGAGTCCCCTAAAGCATTTTTATTTTTATTTTTATTTTTATTTGAAATGGAGTCTTGCTCTGGCACCCAGGCTGGAGTGTAGTGGTGCGATCTCGGCTCACTGTAACCTCTGCCTCCTCGGTTCAAGTGATTCTCATGCCTCAGCCTCCTGAGTGGCTGGGATTACAGGCACCCACCACCACGCCCGACTAATTTTTGTATTTTTAGCAGAGACGGGGTTTCGCCATGTTGGCCAGGCTGGTCTCAAACTCCTGACCTCAAGTGATTCATTCCTCTTGGCCTCCCAAAGTGCTGGGATTACAGGCGTGAACCACTGCACCTGGTCCCGAAGTGTATGTTGTATTCAGAGGTCAGCAGCTATGTGTGGGGAGGCCCAGCCAGGCGCCACTCATGGGTCATCGTGTGAAAAACAGTCTTGCCTGAGTTTGTGTCCTCTTTCTAAATGGCAGCAGACACGTATTTTGTTTGTGACTCTGCAGCTGGTGTGGACCACCTGCTTTAACATTTCACTAGCCTCTGAGTTTTGTATGATTCCTGTTGGGAGAAAAGCTGAGTGTTGGGAGAGAAGCTGAGGCAGGGCTTGCTAGACTTGCTGGCTCCTTGCTTCTAGCACTCCCATTCTCTCAAGTAGCCATATGTTTCTCATTCACTTGATACACCGTTTCCTTTCAACCGCCACATCCTCACCACCTGTTTCTTTGTTAGATCACCAATAACTAGCGTGGGCTCCCAGAACTCGGGGCCTTCGCAGCCTCCACACTCGCGATGGCGCCCCGCTCCCATTTTCTCTCTCAAACTGTCTCTTTCTCATTCCTTTGACTCCACTGGACTTGCCGCCCCCGCGACCTGGTGTTGGGTCTCATCACCCCAACAGATTCCCATTCTAAAGATGAGGGAACCAAGAGGTGGAAGGTACAGTTAGAATAAGAACCGTTTCTTCTGACTCTGAAATCTTTCAGTTCTAGCATGCTACCACCCACACTTTAAAAAACTCTGAAGTAGGCAGAGAATTCCCTTTTGTTGGAGGAATTGCTTTGAGAGACCTGGTTTTACTGGATGAGGCTTTGGAAACCAACCTGAGGCAGGCGCTAGCACATCCTGAGAGGGGTGTGACCTGGCACAGAGGCCCAGCCTGGGCTTCATGTCTCAGCTGGCAAGATGGCCTGCTCATTGCCATTCCAGGCCAGGCAGGGCCAAGGGGCTTCAGGGACCCATGCCCTCATGGGTGAAATGTGTACATCAAGCCCTGGATTTATTCCCATTTGGATGGAAACACTAGGCAAGGTATTTTCTTGTTGATATAAAACATTTTACATATTTATGGAGTACATTTGAGCATTTCTTACATGCACAGAATGTGTGGTGATCAATCAGGGTGTTTGTGGTGTCCATCACCTTGAATATTCGGTATTACTATGTGTTGGGTACATTTCAAGTCCCCTCTTCTAGCTACTTTGTTTTTTCTTTTTGTTTCTGTTTTGAGAGAGAGTCTTGCCCTGTCACCCAGGCTGGAGGGCAGTGGCGTGATCTCAGTTCACTGCAACCTCTGCCTTCCATGTTCAAGCAATTCTCCTGCCTCAGCCTCCCAAGTAGCTTGGACTACAAGCGCAGGCCACCACACCTGGCTAATTTTTTATTTTTTATTTTTCGTATTTTTAGTACAGACGGAGTTTCACCAAGTTATCTAGGCTGGTCTCGAACTCCTGACCTCAAGTAATCTATCTGCCTGCCTGGGCCTCCCAAAATGCTGAGATTATAGGCATGGGATACTGCCCCTAGCCTTCTAGCTACTTTGAAATATACAATACATTGCTGCTAACTATAGTCACCCTAGGTGAAGTATTTCGCAACAGAAACACTTTGCATTTCCCCCGCGTCTCCTCTGCTGAGGTGGACACTGGCACTGGGGTCTCTGCTGCTGGTTGGATAGGTCCCCATGATGAATCAGATGCTTCTCTCTCACACTAAGATCTTTCACGTCAGGAAGGGGCTCTTCTGGAAGAATAGTTAGTATCTGTGCTACATTTCCTAAAAAACTGTTTCCCCAGAAACTATATATAACTTTCAGGCACCTCAGTGCTTCAAGAACACACTAAAGAAGGACCCTCATTTGTCTTGCATGTTTTTGGTATTTTTCTTGAGATGTTCTTGCAGGACTCAGGGCAGATAACAGACCAGCTTGATGAAGAATTTAGCAAGGAAGGCCCCCACTGAGCTGCTTCCTGTTCTCACAGAGATCAGATAAGCATTTCTGCTGGACAGTTACAGAATCTGGTCAAGGAGAGACTGAGTCACTGCTCAATCATCCTAGAAGCCGCTGTTGATTTTTTTTTTTTTTTTTTTTGAGATGGAGTCTCGCTCTGTTGCCCAGGCTGGAGTGCAGTGGCATGATCTCAGGTCACTGCAAGCTCTGCCTCCCAGGTTTACGCCATTCTCCTGCCTCAGCCTTCCGAGTAGATGGGACTACAGGTGCCCACCACCACACCTGGCTAATTTTTTTTATTTTTTTTGTATTTTTAGTAGAGACGGGGTTTAACTGTGTTAGCCAGAAAGGTCTTGATCTCCTGACCTCGTGATCTGCCTGCCTCAGCCTCCCAAAGTACTGGGATTACAGGCGTGAGCCACCACACCCGGCCTTTTTTTTTTTTTTTTTTAAGACGGAGTCTCACTCTGTTGCCCAGGCAGGAGAGCAGTGGCATGGTCTCGGTTCACTGCAACCTCCACCTCCTGGGTTCAAACAATTCTCCTGCCTCAGCCTCCTGAGTAGCTGGGACTACAGGCACCTGCCACCACACCCAGCTAATTTTTTGTATTTTTAGTAGAGAGGGGGTTTCACCAGGATGGTCTCGATCTCCAGATCTCGTGATCCACCCGCCTCAGCCTCCCAAAGTGCTGGGATTACAGACGTGAGCCACCGCACCTGGCCCAGAATATTAATTGAGAGACTGATGTCAGGCCTAAGTGTTGATAGTGGGTAGTAGTGGGCAAGATGCCTGGCCCTCTCTCTTTCTTCTCATGAGCAAGTCAGTATCAGAGAGGTTAAACATATCTTTAGCATTTAACTTAAAATTTTTTTAATAAAAAAAGAAATAATTTGTAAAAATGTTGCATCCCCTTTTTCTCTTGCTGGAAGCCATTTGTTCTTAGAAGAAATGAGAAGAAAATGTGTTTTGCTTAAAAAATAAGTGAGCTGCTCACCCTTTCTCTGGATCTCATCTGGAATTGGCCTCACAGTTTGTGAACAGCCCAGAAATAGCCAATGTCTTAGCTTTGGAACGTTTGCCACTTTCCAGCTACAGCTGGACCTTGTATCCTGGTTTGGTTCCTGATGACTTTCAAATTCTCCTGATCCAAACGCAAGCTCAGAGGCACGAGCACATTGTTGGTGGCAGTACAGACTGAAACACCCTCTTTGGATGGCGGTTCCTCTCACAGGACTTTATTCTCCAGGTGTGCACAGGCACACACAGGTGCCCAAAGGATAAACACACAGATCTATTGTAGCATATTTGTATTATTGAGAGATTAGAAACATCCTAAAATGTTAATCAAATCACTTGGATGAAAAGTTTTGCTCTGCTTATTAGGTTTGGCATACAATATGGAGGTGACATCTATTACTTCCAGTGTATTATAGATACTTTAGCTCGAAAAATGAGACCTGTACCTAGATGGGCACCAAAAGGGACTGGTTAACAAATATTGCATATACAGGGGTTGCCCAGGCTGGAGTGCTGTGGCACTATCTTTGCTCACTGCAGCCTCCGTCTCCTGGGTTCAAGCGATTCACCTGCCTCAGCCACCCAAGTAGCTGGGATTACAAATGTGTGCCACCACACCTGACTAATTTTTGTATTTTTAGTAGAGACAGGGTCTTACCATGTTGGCCAGGCTGGTCTCAAACTCCTGGCCTCAAGTGATACGCCTGCCTTGGCTTCCCAAAGTGCTGGGATTACAGGCCTGAGCCACCATGCCCAGCTCGGTACCATAGTTTCTTGAGGATAGAGACTAATGTGTTGCAATTTATTGGTTTCTGTATCTGCACTCAGTGGTTCTCAACCTCGGTTGCATATTAGAATCATCTGTGGCGCTTTTTATTTTTATTTTTGAGACAGAGTTTTGCTCTTGTTGCCCAGGCTGGAGTGCAGTGGTGTGATCTCGGCTCACTGCAACCTCTCCCTCACGCGTTCAAGCGATTCTCCCAAGTAGCTGGGATTACAGGCATGCGCCACCACGCCTGGCTAATTTTTGTATTTTGAGTAGAGATGGAGTTTCACCATGTTGGCCAGGTTGGTCTCAAACTCCTGACCTAAGGTGATCCACCTGCCTTAGCCTCCCAAAGTGCTAGGATTACAGGCGTGAGCCACTGCACTCGGCCTTGTGGTGCTTTTTAAAATGCCACTACCAGGTACCAGACCAATAAAATCTGTCCCTAAGGATGAGATCTGGGTGTGTGTGTGTGTGTGTGTGTGTGTGTGTGTGTGTGTAAAACTTCATTGCATCATCATTTAATCCTATATGCTGATATGCTGTCTTTTTTTAGGGACTCAGTAGCTGTAAACGTTTTCTAGGTGATTTTAATATGTACTGAGGGTTAATTGAAATCCATTGGTATAGCACAATGGCTGACATGTAGCTAACACTCAATAAATGTTTGAATAGTGAATGAATAGATATTTAGATCCTCTTTTTTTTTTTTTTTTTTTTTGAGACAGAGTTTCGCTCTTGTTGCCCAGGCTGGAGTGCAATGGCGTGATCTCAGCTTACTGCTACCTCCACCTCCCAGGTTCAAGCGATTCTCCCGTCTCAGCCTCCCAAGTAGCTGACACTACAGGCACCCGCCACCATGCCCGGCTAATTTTTGTATTTTTAATAGAGACGGGGTTTCTCCATGTTGATCAGGCTGGTCTTGAACTCCTGACCTCAGGTGATCCACCCACCTTGGCCTCCCAATGTGCTGGGATTACAGGCGTGAGCCACCGAGCCTGGCCTAAATCCTCTTTTTACTGGTGAGGCCAAGTGACTGCCCTGCCTGAGGTCACACAGCTAGTAAGTTATTGAGGAACCCAAATTCAAGCTGGGTACGGTGGCTCATGCCTGTAATCCCAGCATTTTGGGAGGCCGAGGTGGGCGGATCACCTGAGGTCAGGAGTTCGAGACCAGCCTGGCCAAAATGGTGAAACCCCGTCTCTACTAAAAATACAAAAATTAGCCGGGCATGGTGGCGGGTGCCTGTAGTGTCAGCTACTTGGGAGGCTGAGACGGGAGAATCGCTTGAACCTGGGAGGTGGAGGTAGCAGTAAGCTGAGACCATGCCATTGCACTCCAGCCTGGGCAACAAGAGCGAAACTCGGTCTAAAAAAAAAAAAGGGGGTGGCCGGGTGCAGTGGCTTTCACCTGTAATCCCAGCACTTTGGGAAGCTGAGATGGGCGGATCACGAGGTCAGGAGTTTGAGACCAGCCTGGCCAACATGGCGAAACCCCGTCTCTACTAAAAATACAAAAAGCTAACTAAGTGTGGTGGCACATGCCTGTAGCCCCAGCTACTCAGGGGGCTGAGGCAGGAGAATTGTTTGAACCTGGGAAGCAGAGGTGGCAGTGAGCCAAGATCTCCATTGCACTCCAGCCTGGGCGACAGGGCGAGACTCCATCTCAAAAAAAAGAACCCAAGTTCAATTCTTCTGACCCCAAAATCCCAACTATTTTCTTCTTGGAGATCAGGTCTCCCTCTGTTGCCTCCAATGTTTTCTCCCCTTTTTCTTTTTTTTTTTTGGAGACAGGGTCTCACTATGTCACCCAGGCTACAGTGCAGTGGCAGGATCACGACTCACTGCAGCTTCGACCTCCAGGGCTCAAGCAACCCTCCCACGTCAATATCCCAAGTAGCTGGGACTATAGGAGCATGTGACCAGGCAGGCCTGGCTAAATTTTTTTGTATTTTTTTGTAGAAACAGGGTCTCACCATGTTATCCAGGCTGGTCTTGAACTCCTGGGCTCAAGCAATCCACCTGCCTCAGCCTCTCAAAGTGCTGGGATTATAGGCATGAGCCACTGCACCCAGCCCAAGTGTTTCTAGGACATAGAGGCATATGCCAAGGCAAACGGTATTTAGCATACACTAGGTGGGCAGCTATTTTATGAAACTCTGTAGCCTTTGATAATCACAGTTATAGCACCATAATGTTATGCCTTGTAACAGAGACATTCTCGTAATGGAAACCTAGAGACAAGTAGAGATTGTATTAACATGGGTTGGTATGTTTATGCACACCTACACACCTTTCCATGACCACGTATGTATTGCAATAGGTAATTTGTTTTTTTATAGTTTTTTGTTTGTTTGTTTGTTTTTTTTTTTTTTTTGAGACGGAGTCTCGCTCTGTCACCCAGGCTGGAGTGCAGTGGCACGACCTCGGCTCACCACAAGCTCTGCCTCGCGGGTTCACGCCATTCTCCTGCCTCAGCCTCCAGAGTAGCTGGGACTACAGGCGTCTGCCACCAAGCCCAGCTAATTTTTTGTATTTGTAGTAGAGACGGGGTTTCCTCGTGTTAGCCAGGATGGTCTCAATCTCCTGACCTCGTGATCCGCCCACCTTGGTCCCAAAGTGCTGGGTTTACAGGTGTGAGCCACCGTGCCCAGCCTATAGTTTTTTGGTTTTTTTTTTTAACTTTTTTTAATAATAAGAAAATAGAGATGGGGGGCCATCTCACGATGTTGCCCAGGCTGGTCTCAAATTCCTGGACTCAAGCAATCCACCCACCTTGGCCTCCCAAAGTGCTAGGATTACAGGCGTGAGCCACCATGCCTGGCCCACCATTTATTAATTAACAGATAAATTTATATAGCGAGAGTGCATTCTTTCCTGGGATCTTGGAGCAAGCCCAGCCATTCTTTGCCAGCTATGGAATTGAAGCCCCTGCTGCTGCCACTTTGAAAGGGTCTTTGGAGGAAAGCAGTTGAGATTAGCCCATGGTCCTATTAGAGAAGGCACAGTTCCTGAAAGGGTGTACATTGGTTATAGAGCCCAGAGAGTTTGTATTCTGAGTCCTGAATAAAAGGCCCATGCAGGAGAATTGGGAACATGGAGGGCAGAAGTTTGTACTATAATTAGCTCTAGGAGTAACACAGAAGGGGGAGGGAGGGGAGTACAAGCGGCATCTATTTTGAGCACATCTGCGATTGACGGGACATGTGTGCTGGACTGTAATGATCCCAGGGCCAAGTTGCCTGCCTGTGGTGTGTGGTGTGGGGGGGAGGCCTGGGGCAGCAGGAGCAGGACAGCCGGACAGGAAGCCCAGACGGGGTTCGAGCACCTCAACTTCTCTCCTGGGGACACTGTTCAAACTCCGGGGGCCATAGGCCAAGCTGAGCGATGGGTGCTGAGGAGGAGGTGCTGGTCACACTATCAGGGGGAGCCCCCTGGGGCTTCCGACTTCATGGGGGGGCCGAGCAGAGGAAACCGTTACAGGTGTCTAAGGTAAGGGAGAGCCCCTGAAATGAGGCTTCAGGGAAAGGGAACCCAAGGGATCCTGGGAAGAGATGTGTGGTGGCATATGGCGGGGGTTGGGGGGGTGGGAGGCTGTGAAGATGGGGTGGGTGGTGGGCAGGGAAGTATGCTCAAGTCTCATAGTGGGAGTAGCGTCTGACCACAGGCTTCCTGTGGGGGTCTATTAGAAAAGAGAATTCGCGGTTTCCAGGGAGCAGAGGAAAAGGAAAGGCTCTGCTTCAGTTCCCTGCAGCACTGTGGTATCAGAGGCCCAGCTCTGGTCATCCAGTGTTTGTTCTCTTGGGTATGTGCCTCTACTCCAAACTCCAGAAATACGGGGAAGGTTCTAATTTCTCTCTGACTAAACTGATATGTGATGAACTGAAACTGCCTCGAACAGCCTAGCCCAGCCCAGCCCTACCCTGCCTCACCCTGCCCTGCCCATGCCTTCAGTGCTCTTTCCCTAGGTCAGATCCTTTCTCTCACTAGGCAAGACTTTTTTAGGTGCTAGGAGGGTTATGGCAAGATCTGGCCTCACAGATGAAGTCATTATCCTTTTGGTTTCACCCTACAGGCTTAGTTTTCCGAACTGTAAAATGTGGGTAATAATAGTACCTGTACCTACTTCATGGAACCATTCTAAGGATTAAATGCAATAATACATGTAGCACAGTGCCCAACACTTAGTAAGAACTCAATAAATGGTAGCCACTACTACTATTATTACTTTGGCATATATACATTTGTGTGTATACATGGCACACATATACCCAAATAATCACAATCTCCCAGAATACCGCTGGACTCCCTCCAACCTGGAGTACTGTTCTAAAATCTTGACTGTGTAATGGCGCCTGGGGTTACAAGGCCTAGTAGAGAATTACCAGCCAATATAGATATTGCCCTTGGAGAAAAAGCTTGTGGAGATAATCACCATTTCTTTCCGTTTTTTTTCTTTTCTTTTTTTTTGCGACAGAGTCTTACTCTGTTGCCCAGGCTGGAGTGCAGTGACATGATGGCTCACTGCAACCTCTGCTTCCTGGGTTCAAGCAATTCTCCTGCCTCAGCCTCCCAAGTATCTGGGATTACAGGCGCACACCACCACGGCCAGCTGATTTTTGTACTTTTAGTAGAGACAGCGTTTCACCCATTGGCCAGGCTGGTCTCAAACTCCTGATCTCAAGTGATCCACCCACCTAGGCCTCCCAAAGCACTGGGCTTACAGGCGTGAGCCACTGCACCCAGCCAATAACCACCATTTCTAGTTACCTACCCCATGCAGTTCTTCCCAAGCCTCTTTCATTCAATGGTTACCCTATTTCCCACCATATGATGTATTTCTTTCTCCAGTCTGTATACTTTCTTCCCTCTAGACAGGCCACTTCAACTGCAGCCACTTCCATGCATCTCCCCACCCTTCTTACCCTGCAAAGTAAAATCCCCTCCTGTGGGTCCTTCCCATCTTTTCCTTTCATTCTATTCCCTTTGGAGCCCCCTCTTACCTACAGTGTCTCCTTCAACATCTCAGATTCGAAGACGGAGCCAGGCTGGCAGAGCAGGACTCCGAGAGAGGGACCAGCTCTTGGCAATCAATGGGGTCTCTTGCACCAACCTCTCCCATGCCAGTGCCATGAGCCTCATCGATGCCTCAGGAAATCAGCTTGTCCTCACTGTGCAGCGGTATGGACCTCTCTCCTCTTCTCTTCCCCTAATCCAGGGCTCCCATTGCCTGTCTCAGCTCTATGTCTCACTGGCCTGGCTTTAGCAACTAACAGGTACCTATTTCTGCTCGTGCGTTTCTGCTGGAGTGCAGATGGTTTGTGTCTGCCTCCCAGAGGGCTTGAATGTATCTGCAATTAAGGGATGGGGATGTCAGTGGGTATTTGACTGATGAGCCTACTTCAACCCCTGGCCTGTTTCCTCCTCATTACATCTTCCTCTAAGCCTATTTCCACTCACAGCCCTTCAAGCACATTTGCCTCCCAGTTTGTCTTCATATCTCCACTCTTCCCGGCCCACCCATTCCAACTGTATGACAGCCTTCTCTCTCCCTTACCTCTTCCCTCCCCCTTACCTCTTCCCTCCATCCCTTCCAGATCTCTCTAGCTGTCAGTACCCAGCCCATCTCTCAAGCTCTGTCATCTTTCCTATCCAGGTTAGCAGACGAGGGTCCTGTGCAATCTCCATCTCCCCATGAGCTTCAGGTGCTGTCACCCTTATCTCCACTAAGTCCTGAGCCCCCTGGTGCTCCAGTTCCTCAGCCTCTTCAGCCTGGGAGCCTTCGTTCACCTCCTGATAGTGAGGCTTACTACGGAGAGACTGACAGTGATGCTGATGGCCCTGCCACCCAGGAGAAGCCCCGTCGACCTCGCCGCCGAGGCCCCACAAGGCCCACCCCTCCGGGTGCCCCACCTGATGAGGTCTACCTGTCTGACAGCCCTGCAGAGCCAGCACCTACTATCCCTGGCCCTCCCAGCCAGGGTGACAGCCGTGTGAGCTCCCCGTCTTGGGAGGATGGGGCAGCCCTTCAGCCACCCCCAGCTGAGGCTCTGCTGTTACCCCATGGCCCCCTCCGACCTGGTCCTCATCTCATCCCTATGGTGGGGCCTGTTCCCCACCCAGTGGCAGAAGATCTTACTACCACCTACACCCAGAAGGCCAAGCAAGCCAGTGAGTGCCTGAACCCCTTTTCCCCAGCCAGGATCCTTCAATCTGAGCCTTAAATCCAGCCTTCTATAGCCGTACATTCTCCCTACCTTGGGACCCTTGGATACAGTCTTGGGGACAGGAGGGGTAATGAGTAGAAGGGGAGCATAATTATTCTCATGGCCACCATTATTTTTGCTGTTTGAACCAATGTGGCAAAAGGGTAAGGTGATTCAGTTCAACCCAGGAACAGGGTAAGTAGGGAAATTGGAAAGGGACACAAATAGATGAAGGGTTTGGTGGTGGTGATAATTGTTATTGTGTGTCATGATTGGGTGAAAGCAGAGTACAGACACAGGACAGGGGAGTATTTAAAAGCAGGTTGAAGGCGGGGCAAGGTGGCTCATACCTGTAATCCAAGCACTTTGGGAGGCTGAGGTGGGAGGATAGCATGAACGCAGGATTTTTGTTTTGTTTTGTTTTTTGTTTTTTTGAGATGGAGTTTGGCTCTTGTGCCTAGGCTGGAATGCAATGGCGTGATCTTGGCTCATTGCAACCTCCGCCTCCCGGGTTCAAGCGATTCTCCAGCCTCTGCCTCCCGAGTAGCTGGGATTATAGGCACCCGCCACCACACCTGGCTAATTTTTTGTATTTTTAGTAGAGATGGGGTTTCACCATACTGGTCAGGCTGGTCTCGAACTCCTGACCTCAGGTGATATGCCTACCTCGGCCTCCCAAAGTGCTGGGATTACAGGCGTGAGCCACCATGCCCGGCAGAAGCCAGGAGTTTGAGACCAGCCTGGACAACATCGTGAGACTTCGTCTCCAGTAAAAATTTTAAAATTAGCCAAACACTGTGGCACATGTCTATGGTCCCAGCTACTTGGGAGGCTGAGGCAAGAGGATTGCTTGAGCCTGAGAGGTTTGGGCTGCAGTGAGCCATGTTTGCGCCACTGCACTCCAGCGTGAGCAACAGACCAAGACCCTGTCTTAAAAATAAATAAATAAATAAATAATAAAAATTAATAAATAAAAGTGGGTCAAAGCTACAGGGGTTCTTTTTTTTTTCTGGTTTTTTTTTTTTTTTTTTTTTTTTGAGATAGAGTCTTGCACTGTCACCCGGGCTGGAGTGCAATCTTGGTTCACTGCACCCTCCACCTCCTGGGTTCAAGCAATTCTCCTGCCTCAGCCTCCCGAGTAGCTGGGATTACAGGTGCCCGCCACTACACCTGGCTAATTTTTTGTATTTTTAGTAGAGACGGCGTTTCACTATGTTGGCCAGGCTGGTCTCGAACTCCTGACCTTGTGATCCACCCGCCTCGGCCTCCCAAAGTGCTGGGATTGCAGGCGTGAGCCATTGGCCAAAGGATTCTTTATAGTATTAATAGCAGGCACCTTTGACATTTGCAAGTTCAGTTCGGATTCCTGGGGACTGAGAGGCTATGGGATGATCATGAGATCCCGAGGAAGTGGCAGAGGGAGGGAGCTTTGGCTCCTTATCTCAGGCAAGAATGTTGGCCTGGGCAGAAAAAGCCCATTCCACTTATCTCAGGCTTTGCTATTTTTGATGTGAGCTACAGAACAAGGTCTAAGGGTAAACGTTCTCCCTGCTCTATGCCTCCCGTGCTTTCCCACAGAGACCGTTCTTGTTACCTCCAAAATCTCATGATTCCCCCTCTAGTTATATTTCTTCCCTCTCCTCCACCATTTTGATTCCTGATCTATAGAACTTTGTGTCTCTCAGTTTGGAGTGGAGGCTAAGGACATGAGAGTTGAGAGTCTGACATCCCTGAGTGTCCAATATCCCAGGAATTCCAGATGCGTGCCTAGGATCCTATGCTTTCCTCAATTCTCCACTTATCTCCCCCTCCCTTCCCATAATGCTGGATGAGACTGTAGCTACTGGCTCAGAGATATTTTTAGTCAAGCAGACCTCATTGTCTACTGGGGTGGGGTTGGGGGAAGGGAAGGCAGGTGCCCACATCCATCACACCGGCACTTGTGGGGCAGCCCAGAGAAGGGAGAGGGCCAGGCTCCAAAAATAGCACAGTGAGCTCATTCAGCTGCCAGCTCTGGGGACAAGACAAAGGGGCTTTAAAAGGCGTGGGGGGTGGCTCAAGCTGGTCCTGCTCCAGCCAACACCGCCTTTCTCAGCATGGAGACCTTTGAGCCCATCAGCCAAGAGCCCCTCAGCCAAGCCAGCTATGACAAAGCCCCAGACCCAGTTCCTGAGCTCCAAGACTCGTTCTATGCAGGTACTACCCTCCCATATCTATGAGAGTCTGGGGTCTAGAATGGAGGGGAAGATGTCAATAGTTTAGGAAGGGTAGTCTTTGGGAAAGGTCTTACTCTCTTGTTCCTTTTTGCTGTCCTCTTCCTCCTTTTCTCAGGAGAGTTTCACTGCCCCTTTCTCAGTGATGCTGTGGTCACATGTCAAAGGGGTTTCTGACCACAAGAGCTGTAGAAAACTCATGGGAACAGAGCGTGTGTGAGTACATTATGAATACATGAAGGCATGTATGTGTGAGTCATGGGAGAAGATATGTGTGAACAAGAAAGTATCCATATATATCAAGAAAGTATAGTGTCAAGAAGACTTCAATAGTAATGGTTATAGTGGGCCTTCACACTGTGTTAAGTGCTAAATTTACTATATTATCTCAGTTAATCCTTATAGCAATCCTATGAGGTAGCCATTGTCTACCCTCATTTACAGATGAGGAAACCGAACTTTAATGAGGTGAGGTAACTATCCCAGAAACCAAAAACCTGAACTGAACTCTGACTCTAGGGCCTGTTGTCTCATCCATACCACTATTCTGTGGTATAAACACTGGGATGAGAGGAATGACAAAAATGAAAAAGTTCCATCTACTTTCCACTCAAGATACCACGCTCATTACAAAGGAGCTCATTACAAAGCTCATTACAAAGGAGCTCATTACAAAGGAGCATGGTACCTTGAGTGGAAAGTAGATGGAATCTCAATAATTTTTCAGGAGGAACTGGGGACCATGGACCAGAGAGTATCCATGTGCAAGGCGGGGTCCTCGCAGCAGGGTAGCCCTCCCATTTCCTGGCCCCACCTACCCAGGCCCCACATGGCATGGAAAGCCCTGCCCTGGTTCCCTTTAGCACATAGTCTTTGTGTGCCTGGCTGGCAGTGGCTGCCTGAGCTCTCTACGTAGAGACAGTTCTGACCCCTGAAGAAGCCCACCCCACTACCATCCCCAGCTTGGGGTAAATAATATATTTAGCTGGCGACCTTGAGGTATCCTAAAGATTTGGAGTGTTGCCTTGGAGAACAACACTCTAACTTTTCCTGCATCTTGGATGGAGACTACCCCTGACTGTGAGTAGCAGGGGTGTGAAGCCCAGAGGACTGCCCTGGCAGTTGGAAGGCCGAGATCAACTTTAACTTCTGTCTAAACTGTTAGTAACAGGGTCTCTGCAGGGAGGTCTCTGGGAAGAAGGGCCACCTAGAGCATGTAGGTGTGTGAATGTATTTGAGTGATGGTGTTTTGATGTGCACACATGTGTATTTACATAAGTGTATGTGAATGGAGCTGTATGTAAGCTGGGGTATATGTGAATGAGAGAGAAAAGTAAATAGGAGAAAGTACGCCTACAGTTGGCTTTCACTAGATGGATATTCTTGTTGAAGTGCTGTGTGGTGGGAGTTATTTCTGTGAATGTGTATGATGTGGATTGCATGAGGAGGGTGGAATTGTGAATGAAGATCCTCATTGCTAAGGGTTCTTTGTGCTCATATCATAGGGGTAAGGGGTAGTGGAGAGGATGAGTCCTAAGCTTCATGAGAAGCCTCCTAACATGGTCCCTATGATGGGTGGAAAGTGTTCCTTCTCATCTTTCCTCTCCCTGGGACCTGCTTATCTCCCTGTCTGCCACGGAGAGTGACACATCCTTCTCCTCCCCCTCCCATTGCCAGTCAGGAATGGGAGGCAGGTGAGGAATGTGTGTGGGGTGGATAAGAGCACATCTCTTGGAAGATAGGAGCAGAATAGCAGTAAAATGGGATGGAAGAGCTGTGGTCAGAGCAGTGTCAGGGCAGCCAACTGGACTCTGCCTTATCTTTAACTGTCCTTGGTTTCACCTTTCACCCTCCACTCTGCCCCTAAGTCAGAGGACTTTGTCACAGGGGACATTGTGGGTCGGGTCAGTGCAAGAGGGAGCTTGCTGGGATGGGGGGTGAAAGCCTTGGGGAACAGGACTAAAAGAGGCTGGGAAGCCCCCCTGACCATTTTACCTCTTGGCCTCCCCAGAACTGCAACGTGCAGAGAGCCTCCAAGAGAAGAGCATAAAAGAGGCCAAGACCAAATGCAGGACAATTGCATCCCTGCTCACTGCAGCCCCCAACCCCCACTCCAAAGGGGTACTTATGTTTAAGAAACGGCGGCAGAGAGCCAAGAAGTACACCCTGGTGAGCTTCGGGGCTGCTGCTGGGACAGGCGCTGAGGAGGAGGACGGCGTTCCCCCCACGAGTGAGTCCGAGCTGGACGAAGAAGCCTTCTCTGACGCCCGCAGCCTCACCAATCAATCTGACTGGGACAGTCCCTATCTGGACATGGAGCTTGCCAGGGCGGGCTCAAGAGCATCAGAGGGCCAGGGCTCTGGGCTGGGAGGGCAGCTGAGTGAGGTCTCTGGGCGAGGGGTGCAGCTCTTTGAACAGCAGCGCCAGCGCGCAGACTCCAGCACCCAGGAACTGGCACGGGTCGAACCAGCAGCCATGCTCAACGGGGAAGGCCTGCAGTCACCACCTCGGGCCCAGAGTGCTCCCCCAGAGGCAGCTGTGCTCCCACCCAGCCCCTTGCCGGCGCCTGTAGCCAGCCCCAGACCCTTCCAACCAGGTGGTGGAGCCCCGACCCCAGCTCCAAGCATCTTTAACCGGTCAGCCAGGCCCTTTACCCCGGGCCTACAAGGGCAGCGGCCAACTACCACCTCGGTTATTTTCCGGCCTTTAGCCCCCAAAAGGGCGAACGACAGCCTGGGGGGCCTCAGCCCCGCCCCACCCCCCTTCTTGTCTTCGCAGGGGCCCACCCCTCTGCCCAGCTTCACTTCAGGGGTTCCCAGCCACGCGCCAGTCTCTGGTTCCCCCAGCACCCCACGCTCCTCGGGCCCTGTGACAGCCACCAGCTCCCTGTACATCCCAGCCCCTAGTCGGCCTGTCACCCCAGGTGGAGCTCCAGAGCCCCCCGCTCCTCCTAGCGCAGCTGCCATGACCTCCACCGCTTCTATCTTCCTATCTGCGCCTTTGCGACCCTCTGCGCGCCCAGAGGCGCCTGCCCCAGGCCCAGGGGCTCCTGAGCCCCCCAGCGCTCGCGAGCAGCGCATCTCTGTGCCAGCTGCCCGCACGGGTATCCTGCAGGAGGCCCGGCGCCGGGGGACCCGGAAGCAGATGTTCCGGCCGGGAAAGGAGGAGACGAAGAACTCGCCCAACCCCGAGCTGCTATCGCTGGTACAGAACCTGGATGAAAAGCCTCGGGCCGGGGGTGCAGAATCTGGTCCTGAAGAAGATGCTCTGAGCCTCGGGGCTGAAGCCTGCAACTTCATGCAGCCAGTAGGGGCCAGGAGTTACAAGACCCTGCCTCACGTGACACCTAAGACCCCCCCTCCAATGGCTCCCAAGACCCCGCCCCCTATGACTCCTAAGACTCCACCCCCAGTGGCTCCTAAGCCCCCATCTCGAGGGCTCCTTGATGGGCTCGTGAATGGGGCAGCCTCTTCGGCTGGAATCCCTGAGCCACCAAGGCTGCAGGGCAGGGGTGGGGAGCTGTTTGCTAAGCGGCAGAGCCGTGCGGACAGGTATGTGGTGGAAGGTACACCTGGTCCTGGTCTTGGCCCTCGGCCTAGAAGTCCTTCTCCTACCCCGTCTCTGCCCCCTTCCTGGAAATATTCACCCAACATCCGTGCCCCGCCTCCTATTGCTTACAACCCACTGCTCTCTCCCTTTTTCCCCCAGGCGGCCCGAACTCTCCCTAAGGCCCAATCCCAGGGGCCTCGGGCAACACCCAAGCAGGGCATCAAGGCTCTAGATTTTATGCGGCATCAGCCCTATCAACTTAAAACTGCCATGTTCTGTTTTGATGAGGTTCCCCCGACTCCTGGCCCTATCGCCTCAGGGTCCCCCAAAACTGCCCGAGTCCAGGAGATTCGCCGGTTTTCCACTCCGGCACCCCAGCCCACTGCAGAACCCCTGGCTCCCACTGTGCTTGCCCCCCGAGCAGCCACTACACTGGATGAGCCCATCTGGAGAACAGAACTGGCCTCAGCCCCTGTTCCTAGCCCAGCCCCTCCTCCAGAGGCTCCCAGGGGCCTTGGGGCTTCTCCCAGCTCCTGCGGTTTCCAGGTAGCCAGGCCCCGATTTTCAGCCACCAGAACAGGATTGCAAGCTCATGTGTGGAGGCCTGGGGCAGGGCACCAGTGAACAGGCACAGGTCCCAGGACCAAGGAGAGGTGGAACATCCAGTTCCTAAAGTTGCTTCTCCTACCCTATCCCATCCCCTGTCACGCATCTGGAAGCTAAATTGCCTCCTGCCAGAGATGGTTTCCAAGTTGATGTCCCCTTCCCCCACCTTCCTCCTCACTCTCTACCTCCCTGCCGCTTTCCAACCAAGTATGTCTGCTTTGGTATCTTTGCCTCTCTTTGTCTCTGCATTTCCTTTCCTGGATCTCTGTCTTTATTTCCAGGCTTCTCCACCCATATTCCTCCACAGATCTCTCTTCCTTGACATTTGTGCTTTTCTCCCTGGGCCTCATTTTAATGTTCAGTGAGAAGTAAACAGAGCAGAAGTGACCACTGGGACTTCAGGCAAGAAGCTCACCACCAGGCACACAGCAAAGGGACTGAACTGACCCCTGTTTGCACTAAGCCACCCCCACCCCCCACTCTGCTTTCCCAAGCTTGACTGGCATATACCTAGGCCTGTGTGTGTGTGTGTGTGTGTGTGTGTGTGTGTGTGTGTGCTCTTCCGTCTAAGGCATGAATAAGAGGGGAGGTCAAAATAAAGACCCAATCTGAGGCCGGGCACGGTGGCTCACGCCGGTAATCCCAGCACTTTGGGAGGCCGAGGCGGGCGGATCACGAGGTCAGGAGATCGAGACCATCCTGGCTAACACGGTGAAACCCCATTTCCACTAAAAATACAAAAAATTAGCTGGGCGTGGTGGCGAGCGCCTGTAGTCCCAGCTACTCGGGAGGCTGAGGCAGGAGAATGGCATGAACCTGGAAGGCGGAGCTTGCAGTGAGCTGAGATTGCGCCACTGCACTCCAGCCTGGGCGACGGAGCGAGACTCTGTCTCAAAACAAACAAACAAACAAAAGACCCAATCTGAGTCTTATCGTTGTACTGATAGAAGGGTCAGATATCCCCACATGGAGTTGAGTGGGAGAAAGAGATTCACTAGAGAATAACTCCTTAGAGACCAATGTCTGTAGCAGGTGTACAGCATCTTGTGAAAGTTATGGAGCATGAAAAGACTGAAGGGCCAGGACAGTTTGCATGGGCTGAGTTATACCAGCTAGACCAGGAATAGAACAAAGAATTCTATACCTCAGGATTTCAAAAAGTTAGCAACTTGAGAGGCCAGTGCTGAGCAACCCAGTACCCAGGAAATGAAAAAAAGAAAGAAAATTCCCTCCGAGAATGAACAAATCATTGGCTTCATTGCCTCATGAGCTTGAGAGAAAGGAGAAGAGAGCCAGAGTGTGGCAAGTGAGGCCAAAATCAGAAGCATGGCAGAAATGAGTGTAAGTGATTGAGCCACAGACAGAAGTGTGGCGAGGGACAATGCCATATTGGGAGAAGGTAAAGTTGAGTAACAAGAAACCAACCGTGTGTGAGAGGGGGATTGGAAAAAAATTTGAGGGAGAAGAATGTTAGAATGGAAGGGAATGATGGTGGAAGGGAGGTGTGAGGGTGTGTGCTGAGTGTTGAAAGAACGGTTGGTGTCTGTGTGATTTTCCTTGAGTCTGTTCTTCAGTGTGTCTTCTGCAGCTTGCCATGACTGCCTGGGAAAGAGTAGGGAAATACCCAGAGCCAAAACCTCCTTTCAGTCCCACCCCATCCCTCAAAACCCCAGCTATTGCTTCTTTTCAGCTTCAGGTCCTGATCTCCAATCTTAGTATGGACTCCCTTCTCACCAAGACCACCACCAGCTACGTTTGCTGTGTAATCTGGAAAGTGATAATTTCCTTTGCTTGTTGGGTGTGAGTCACAATACTTTGGTTTGTGCACAAGAATAAATTTATGCCCCATACCTTCTGTTGCTGTTATCTTCTAGTTTTATTCCTAAATCCTGATCTCTCCTTAATCTTCTTTAACCCATTCCCCTGATCTGATTTCTGATCTGTCTCTTTTCCTGCCCTCCCATTTTTCATCCTTTTGCCCTTTGTTCCCAGGTCTTTTGCTCTTTTATACAAATTCTGTCCTGCTTTGATTTAGCCACCTCCATCACTCTTCTTGGTTCCCTCTCCCCACAGTCTTCATCCAAGTTCTCCCCTTTCCCTCCCTTGCCTCATACTTTCTAGGTAAGGCTTCAGTTCACAGAACTCAGAGAAGTTGGAAAGGCCCTCTGAGCCCTTTGCTATCAACATTTCCTCGCTCCTTAGAGGAAGCAACCATATTAAACAGTCTCTGGGAAGTAAATGAAGAGAAAGCAATGGCTGGAGGGCTGGAGGGGAAGGTGGGATGGGAGAGGGAAGAATAAAGCTGAATTGAGACTACTAAAGAAGGGAGGGCGTTGGAGGTAGGTGAGAATTAGACTTCAGAGAAGGAAAGTGCCATTGCTCTGATTCTGCCAGCAGAGGGCACATTTGTGCCAATAATCAGACCCAGGCCGCAGACTCTTCCAAGTGCACTGTCTTAGAATTCCAAAAAAAGATCTCAGAGACCATAGGTTAAATAGCCTGTCTTCACCCACTCAGTCGTTTTGGGTACTCAGTTGAAGGAGATCAAACTTTCAGTTTGTTTTTGTTTTTGAGGGTGAGGGTGGTAGTGATGATGAAGTCACCTTTAGCTATTTATAGTTCTTCTTTTTTTTTGAGATGGAGTCTCCCTCTGTGGCTCAGGCTGGAGTGCAGTGGTGCGATCTCAGCTCACTGCAACCTCTGCCTCCTGGGTTCAAGTGATTCTCCTGCCTCAGCCTCCCAAGTAGCTGGGATTACAGGCACGCACCGCCATGCCTGACTAGTTTTTGTATTTTTAGTAGAGACTGGGTTTCACCATGTTGGCCAGGCTGGTCTTGAACTCCTGACCTCAAGTGATCCACCCACCTCGGCCTCCCAAAGTGCTGTGATTACAGGCATGAGCCACCACGCCCGGCCTATTTTATCTTCTAATTGCTTCCTTGGGTTGGGAGGGGATGGAGGAGGACAAAAGATGAGGGGTCTGGAGGCATAACTAGCCTGGGCAGAAGCCAACTGTGAGGGGATACCTTTTAGGGTCTCCACAGGATGGAAAAAGGACATGGTCAGGAAGAGTAAAGAGCTCAGAAGGGGACAAAGGAAGTTACAAAAGCCACTTCCTGGTGCGTGCCTGTAGTCCCAGCTACTCAGAGGCTGAGGTAGGAGGATCACTTGTGCCCAGGTGTTCAAGTCCAGCCTGGGCAACATAGTGAGACCCCCATCTCTAAAATAAAGAAAGAAATAATTTTTTAAAAAGCCAGCTAGGCACAGTGGCTCACGCCTATAATCCTAGCACTTTGGGAGGCTAAGACAGGAGGATTGCTTGAGCCCAGGTGTTTGAGACCAGCCTGGGAAACATAGTGAAACCCTGTCTCTACAAAACATATGAAAATTAGCTGGGCGTGGTGGCATGTACCAGCAGCCCTAGCTACCTGGGAGGCTGAGGTCGAAGGATTACCTGAGCCTGGGGAGGCTGAGGTTGCAGTGAGCCAAAATTGTGCCACTGCACTTCAGCACAGGCAACAGAGTGAGACCCTGTCTCAAATAAATAAATAAATAAATAAAGCCACTTCCTCAGGTAGCAGCAACAGGGTTGTGGTGGCTGCAGCAGAAGTGCTGCAGCAACTGGTTCCAGAATCTAAGCAGAAGGTGGAGGAAGATCATGCAGCTACTGAAGAAGGGCCTGGGGAAATGATAGGCTTTCCCCAAAGGGGCTTTCAAGCCTGTGGCCCTGCCCAGAGACTCCGCTGGAACAGTACAAATGGCACAGTCCAGATCCTATGTGGTATGTGCTCCCTTTGCAGGAAATCTCAAGTAGAAACCTCAGAGAGCCTGTAATCCCAGCACTTCGGGAGGCTGAGATGGATGGATCACGAGGTCAGGAGATCGAGACTATCCTGGCTAACACGGTGAAACCCCATCTCTACTAAAAATACAAAAAAAAATTTAGCCGGGCGTGTTGGTGGGCGCCTGTAGTCCCAGCTACTCGGGAGGCTGAGGCAGGAGAATGGCGTGAACCTGGGAGGTGGAGCTTGCAGTGAGCCGAGATTGCGCCACTGCACTCCAGCCTGGGCAACAGAGCGAGACTCCGTCTCAAAAAAAAAAAAAAAAAAGAAGAAGAAAAGAAACCTCAGAGAGCCTATATGTGCTTCTCAGGGAGACATCGATGTCTATCCCGCACAGCAGGTTGAACTGAGCATCTCAACAGCAAATGGAGGTTAAAAGGCAGATCCTGGCTGGGCGTGGTGGCTAGAGAATAACTCCTTAGAGACCAGATCCTGGCGGTGGCTCACGCCTGTAATTCCAACATTTTGCGAGGCCAATGTGGGTGGATCACCTGAGGTCAGGAGTTTGAGACCAGCCTGGCCAACGTGGTGAAACCCCGTCTCTACTAAAAATACAACAATTAGCCGGGCATGGTGGTGGACACCTGTAATCCCAGCTACTCAGTAGGCTGAGGCAGGAGAATTGCTTGAACCCAGGAGGTGGAGGTTGCAGTGAGCCGAGATCGCACCACTGCACTCCAGCCTGGGCAAAAAGAGCGAAACTCCATCTCAAAAAAAAAAAAAAAAAAATGCAGATCCAAGTGTTTGTCTTTTATTAAAACTGCCAGAGCTCAAGAGGAAAGAATAGGGAGTGAGGCAGACAGAATAATTGTCAAGTCTTCCCCACATCATTCCTTTGTAGGAGGTACTGGGTTTAGTTAATTTGGTCCCTTAACCTGCCAAGATCTAGCCCTTACCGAGAAAAGACCAACCTATCCAGGAACTTTAAAAGAGCAGTTCCACTGTGAAGACTTCCCTTTTTGTCCCCAAATATAGCACTTTAAGCCCTCCCTGCTCCAAATACACCCACAGGTCTCTCCACTCTGCCCTGGATTGGCTCTGTGTGGCCCTCAGGGCATGTTCCCCAGACTCTCTCTCTCTGACTGAATTCCTATCCAATACTTGCTGTCTACTTCCTGTCTCCCTCTCAGTCTTCAGTTTCTCCCTAAGTGCTTCTTTGGATCTCAGGCTCTAGGTGCAATGTGAAGGGGAGTCCCTGGGCAGACTGATCCCTGGCTCAGACAGTTCAGTGGGAGAATCCCAAAGGCCTTTTCCCTCCTTCCTGAGCCTCCGGGCAAGGAGGGAGGGATCTTGGTTCCAGGGTCTCAGTACCCCCTGTGCCATTTGAGCTGCTTGCGCTCATCATCTCTATTAATAACCAACTTCCCTCCCCCACTGCCAGTGCTGCCCCCACGCCTGCCCAGCTCGTGTTCTCCGGTCACAGCAGCTCAGTCCTCCAAAGCTGCTGGACCCCAGGGAGAGCTGACCACTGCCCGAGCAGCCGGTAAGTCTCCAGCTCTATCGTTAGAAAGGCTGGAGCCCACTGTGTTGACTTCTGTGTCTGTGTCTACAATTGTGATTCTTGATCCTGGGGGAGTCTCCCCTCTCCTCATCTATGCTCAGCTCCCAGCTGTCCAGTTGGAAGGAGAGGGGAAGGAGAGTTGGAAGGAGAGGGGCCCAGGAGGTTGGGGGGAATGGAGATGTCGGGGGAGGCACTGGAAGAATGGGAAGGGAGACCCCACTAAGTCAGTAGAGTTGCAGATGTATTTTTTGAGACAGGACTTAGAAGAGGACAGCATTTCACTGAGTGCCAACTTCTCTTAAGAAGGGATTGGAGTCCATCTTATCCCAGTTTGTCCCTTTCCATTGCCAGATCCTATTACTATGTTTCTGCCCCACCTCAATTCCCCACTGCTATGATATTGCTGAATTGACGTGTCGGGATTTGAATGCTCCCTACCCTTCCCAGTTCCACACCTGCCTCCACTCTGGGGTCTGTGGCGGGAGTGATTGCAGGAGCAGGGCCATGACTTCCCAGGCCATGTTCCAGCTGGCCTGATGAAGGAGCAACAACCTCTCCTTCCTATGGAGAGTGTTTTTGGCTGAATCTCCTCAACCCTGGCAGAATATTTCTCTGTCCTCCTGGGGACTGGGGGAAGACTGAGGAGAGACCAGAGCCTGGAATCACAGCCCCAGTCTGATATCCCAGTGCAAATAAAAACTTCAAATCATGCCAAGCCAATGAAACCTGGGTGCATTGCCCTGCTTGTGTTATTGTTTTTTAAACACTCCCCACACCTAGCTATGTTCCTAATTCCTGCACTGACTCTATGAAAAACAGCTCACAACAGGTTGGTAGACAACAGGGGCTGGTGTGCATCTATACTTCCTGTCCTGTATCCCAAGAAAAGAGAAGCCCTAAAGCGCAAGTTTTCACCTTTTGGGGAAATACATGCTTCTTTGAAAATCTGGGTCAGGTGAAGTGGCTCACCCCTGTAATCTCAGCACTTTGGGAGGCAGGAGGACTGCTTGAGCCCAGGAGTTTGAGACCAGCCTGGGCAACATGGCAAAACCACATTTCTACAAAAAATACAAAAATTAGCCAGGCACGGTGGTGCGCACCTATAGTCCCAGCTACTTGGGAGGCTGAAGTTGGAGGATCACCTGAGCCCAGGGAGGTTGAGGCTGCAGTGAGGCATGATTGTGCCATTGCACTCCAGCCTGGGCGACAGAGTGAGATCCTGTCTCTAAAAAAGAAAAAAAAATTTTTTTGTCCCCTCAAGCCCTTAAACCCAGGTTAAGAAGTGCTGCTCTCCTACAGACACTCACTCTTCCCAGTCCCTGTCCATCCACCAACTCCTCCTTCCCACCCTGTCCAGGCTGAATCCACCTCCACAATGCCGCTCTCAGGAACCCCGGCCCCTAATAAGAAGAGGAAATCCAGCAAGCTGATCATGGAACTCACTGGAGGTAGGACATGTTTGCATCTCCCTAGTGTGGGACTTCTTAAGAGCATCCCTAAACCAAGAGTCCCAGAAATATATATCTTAGGGTGAACAAACAAGAGAAATTAAGTGGTGGGAAGGCGGGTGATGGGGAGTGGGAGAGGGAAGATTAAGAAGGGTAAGGAGAAAGAGAGAAAAGATTCAACACCTTCTACCCTTTTCACTTCATAATCTGAGACAATACCCTGCCATGTTACCTGCACAGGTCCAGGACCACAGGACCCATGAGTCAGTGAGGTATATTTGAGGAAGAAAATATAATGGAGACTGGCACAGACTCAGGTCTCAATAAGTGGTTAATTTCCCTTACTTCTTTCCCCAGAGCTAGGGAGCTTGTGTAAGTACTTAAAATGGAAAACTGCACAGGCATGTTTCCTGGGGGTGGGCAGGGGTGCATGCATGTGAAGAGCTCTTCAATACCTAGAGACTCTTTGGAGCCAGAGCTCACTGAGGGAAAGAAAAGGGAAAGTAGTTAAGACAGAAGTCTGGGCCAGGTGCAGTGGCTCACGCCTGTAATCCCAGAACTTTGGGAGGCCAAGGCTGGTGGATCGCTTGAACTCAGGGGTTTGAGACTGGCCTAGGCACATGGTAAAACCTCGTCTCTACAAAAAGTACAAAAATTAGCCAGGTGTAGTGGCATGTGCCTAGAGTCCCAGCTACTCCAGAGGCTGAGGTGGGACGATCGCTTGAACCCGGGAGGTGGAGGCTGCCGTGAGCCATGATTGCGACGCTACCCTCCAGCCTGGGTGACAGAGTTCATCCTAAGATATATTTATTTTGTCTCAAAATAAATAATACAAATAGGGCTGGGGCTGTGTCTCATACCTGTAATCGCAGCACTTTGGGAGGCTGAGGTGAGAGGACCACTTGAGCCCAGGAGTTCAAGACCAGCCTGGACAACATAATGAGACCTCATTTCCATTAAAAAAAAAAAAAAAAAAAAAGTCCAGGCGTGGTGGCTCATGCCTGTAATCCCAGCACTTTGGGAGGCTGAGGTGGGCCAATCATCTGAGGTCAGAAGTTCAAGACCAGCCCGGCCAACATGGTGAAACCCTGTCTCTACAAAAATAGAAAAATTAACTGGGCATGGTGCCGGGTGCCTGTAATCCCGGCTACTTGGGAGACTGAGGGAGGAGAATCACTTGAACCCAGGAGATGGAGGTTGCAGTGAGCTGCAATCGCGCCATTGCACTTCAGCCTGGGAGACAGAGCAAGTCTCTGACTCAATAAATAAATAAATAAATAAATAAATAAATAAATAAATAAATAAAATGTAGGCTGGGCGCCACGGCTCACGCCTGTCATCCCAGCATTTTGGGAGGCCGTGGCTGGTAGGTCAGTTGAGCTCAGGAGTTTGCGACCAGCCTGGCCAACATGGTGAAACCCCATCCCTACCAAAAAATATAAAAATCAGCCAGGGATGGTGGTGCAGGCCTGCAATCCCAGCGACCTGGGAGGCTGAGGCAGGAGAATTGCTTGAACCTGGGAGGCGGAGGCTGCAGTGAGCTGAGATCGCGCCATTCCACTCCAGCCTGGATGATAGAGCAGGACTCTGTCTCAAAAAAATGAAAAAAAAGAATAAAAAATAAAAACAAATATATATATATATATATATATGGCATCTGTATTTGGACTCCACACAAGATTGGCCTCTGGGTTTTTCCTGATGCCATGGTTTCTCCAATGGCCTCCATCTATGATGTTCCTTTACTCCTTTTGCTCTGTACCCCATGCCCGTACCTCTTTTACCCCATTGGCCTCTCCACTCTAGTATTCCCATTATCTCCACAGTGCACCCCAGTTCCCATGCATTCTCTCCAAGTCCCAGGAAATCAAAATCCCTCACAAACTAGACAGCATTTGTTCCCCTAAATGACCTCTGCCAGGACACACATACACACTTAGTTGTGGATGAGGTCTGCATTCTGAGCCCAGAAAACCCTACTTTCCTCTTTCCCTTGATTCTTCTTCTTTGCCTCCCTGAAAGGTGGACAGGAGAGCTCAGGCTTGAACCTGGGCAAAAAGATCAGTGTCCCAAGGGATGTGATGTTGGAGGAACTGTCGCTGCTTACCAACCGGGGCTCCAAGATGTTCAAACTGCGGCAGATGAGGGTGGAGAAGTTTATTTATGAGAACCACCCTGATGTTTTCTCTGACAGCTCAATGGTGAGTCTGGAACTTTATCACTATCTCAAAGCCTGGTGCCTGTTCTGACAGCTTGTTAGTAGGCCCTGAACCTCCAAAATGCAGTCAACATCCCCTCCCTGAAAATTTATAAATTTGTTAAACCCCCAGATATATTGAGCCCGCAACAGCTCCAGGGTGAGTTACAGCCCACCTCTGAAACCCAGTTTTCATCATAGAGCCACTGAAGGGTTGGAGAATACCACACCCTTAGGGAGAAAATTCCTTCCCAGTAAAGGTAAGTGTTAAAGATAGATTGCCAGATAAAACACAGGATGCCCAGTGGGGCAGTCCAGTCTTGTATTTTGAAGTTGAGATACACAATGAATAATTTTTTAGTGAAGTATGCTCCATGCAATATTTGGGACATAAAGATAAAAATTTAAAAAAATTTTAGAAAGAAGATAAGGCAGCCAGGCATGGTGGCTCACACCTGTAATCCCAGCACTTTGGGAGGCCGAGGCAGGTGGGTCACCTGAGGTCAGGAGTTTGAGACCAGCCTGGCCAACATGGTGAAACCCCCATCTCTACTAAAAATACAAAAAATTAGCTGGGCGTGGTCGTGGGTTCCTGTGATCCCAGGTACTCAGGAGGCTGAGGCAGGAGAATCACTTGAACCCAGGAGGTGGAGTTGCAGTGAGCCCAGATTGTGCCACTGCACTCCAGCCTGGGCAACAAGAGTGAAACTCTGTCTCAAAAAAAAAAAAAAAAGAAAGAAAAAAGAAAAAAGGAAGAAGATAAGGCAAAGAATAAAATTGAAATTTTAAAATACAGAATATACAATTAAATTTGAGTTTCAGATGCACAATGAATTCTTTTTTAAATATGTCCCATGCAATATTTGGGACATTAAAATAAAAATACAGGATGTCCACTTAAATTTGAATTTCAGATGCAAATGAATAATTTTTTTAGTATAAGTAAGTCCCAAGCAATATTTGGAGGCATATCTATACTAAAAAAGTATTTGGGTCAAGTGTGGTAGCTCACACCTGTAATCCCAGCACTTTGGGATGCCAAGGCAAGAGGACTGCTTGAGTCCAGGAGTTGGAGACCAGCCTGGGCAACATGGCAAGACTCTGTTTCTACAAAAAATTAAAAAGTTAGCTGGGTCTGGTGGCGCACACCTGTAATCCCAGCTACTCTGGAGGGTGAGGTGGGAGGATGGCTTGAGCCTGGAAGGTAGAGGATGCATGAACATGAGCCATGTTCACACCACTGCACTCCAGCCTGGGTGACAGAGAACCCATCTAAAAAAAAAAAATAAAAATTTGTTGTGCATCTGAAATTCAAATTTAAGTGGTATCCTATATTTGATTTGCTAAATCTGGCAACCCTAGAAAGAGTTAATTGAGTTTTTACAGCCACCTCCCATTTGAGCCATTCTTCCATTTAAAGGGTCAGTCTATTCCCTAAGAAGCCCCAGGTGTGGAGACTGAAACGGTCCTTCAAGATATATTCTAGTCAGGCTCCTTCTCCAAAGAAAGAGGAGACTGGAGAGGGGCCAGGCACAGGATGGTATAGCTGAGGAAGAAGGGCCTTCTCCATTTCCTTTCTTCCTCCTCCACCCTCTCTGAGTGGCTGGGGGAGAGTGGAAATAGATGCCTGCATGGGGCCGGGGGCAGAAGTGTCTGTCATTGGTCCTCATATAGGAGCAGAGTAAAAGTGCTGAGCTGCTCATATCTAACTTTAGGAGGCCAAAAGCACTCTTCTCTGCCTGGGTCTGGTTACACTGGGTGGAGCATTGGGGTGTACATGGTGGGATGGCCAGGAGAGCCTCCTGAAGAAGTTGGTGGGGTTATTTTTAGGCTTTGGGTTTGCATCTAATGTTGCCCTTTTGGCCACACTTCCCCCCACCTGCTACAGTGTCACTGTCACCAGTGAGGTCCAACAGGCACCAAGAGGAGAGAGGAAGAGAAAGAAGGAGAGAGAAGAGAGTTCTGACTGTTGGACAAGCTGAGGAAGGGAGGGGGCAGAATTTCTCTAGTCCTTGTAATTAAGACTGGGTGCTCCATGGCAACCCCATCCTCCCAAATTTTAGTTGGGGCTGGACACAGCTCATGCCTGTTATCTCAGCACTTTGGGAGGCTGAGGCAGATGGATCACTTGAGCCCAGGAGTTTGAGACCAGCCTGGGCACATGGCAAACCCTGTCTCTAGGAAAAAAAAAAATACAAAATTTAGCTGGGTGTGGTAGCATGCCAGTAGTCCCAGCTACTTGAGAGGCTGAGGTGGGAGGATTGCCTGAGCCAGGGAGGTGGAGGTTGCAGTGAGCCGAGATTGTGTCACTGCACTCCAACCTGGGTGACAGAGCCAGATTCTGTCTCAAAAAGCAAAAGAATTTTTTTTCATTTTTTTTTTTTAAAGCTGGGCAGGCGTGTTGGTCTTTTTTGACTTGTTAAGGATGAGAAAGGGGAGTGTGGAGAACACGCTGCCCTTACCCTAGGTATAACTGGAGGAAACGAGCCAAGGGAGTCCTACCTCTTAAGAAGAGTTTAATTCGGGCTGGGTGCGGTGGCTAACGCCTGTAATCCCGGCACTTTGGGAGGCCGAGGTGGGTGGATCATCTGAGGTCGGAGTTTGAGACCAGCCGGACCAACGTGCAGAAACCCCACCTCTACTAAAAATATATCAAATTAGCCGGGTGTGATGGTGCATGCCTGTAATCCCAGCTACTCGGGAGGCTGAGGCTGGGAATTGCTTGAACCTGGAAGGCTGAGGTTGCGGTGAGCCGAGATCGTGCCATCACACTCCAGCCTGGGCAACAAGGGCGAAACTCTGTCTAAAAAAAACCACAAAAAATCAAACAAACAAAAAGAAGAGTTTAATTCTCTTAGTCAGCCCATGTACTACCCATCAACTGGAGGGGGAAATATCAGAAAATTCAGGGTCTTCTGGTTAGCCACTATTTCTGCCTTTGCTAAACATACCTCTGTTTTTGTATATTTTCCATACCCATTGCTAACCTTCCCCTCACTTTGTCTTCTTTTCAGGATCACTTCCAGAAGTTCCTTCCAACAGTGGGGGGACAGCTGGGCACAGCTGGTCAGGGATTCTCATACAGCAAGAGCAACGGCAGAGGCGGCAGCCAGGCAGGGGGCAGTGGCTCTGCCGGACAGTATGGCTCTGATCAGCAGCACCATCTGGGCTCTGGGTCTGGAGCTGGGGGTACAGGTGGTCCCGCGGGCCAGGCTGGCAGAGGAGGAGCTGCTGGCACAGCAGGGGTTGGTGAGACAGGATCAGGCAAGTACACTCACCCAAGAGTAATGTGTTTGGTCCCTAGAGCAGAGTTGTCCCAGGAATGATGTCTACGCTGAGTGTGGGGAGCAGAGGAGGTCAGTTTAAATATCTTAATATTAAATATAATAATATCAGTTTAAATATCATAAATATCTTGGTGAATTACCTGGGTCCAGGAGTATATAGAGATGTGTCTATTCTACCCAGAAGCCTTGTTTTTCAGTTACTTTCCTGGCTTTTCGGATTCAGTCACAGATCTGCCCACAGACTATCATTATGCCACAAACCTTATACAATTACCAGGATATTATATCTTTAGTCCCTGGCTCTTGCAATTTCCCTAGTGTAGGGGCGTGGGATTACCTTTCATTGGCTACTAAATGCTATTATTTGACTGAATTTTCTCTCCCATGGCTACCAGGAGACCAGGCAGGCGGAGAAGGAAAACATATCACTGTGTTCAAGACCTATATTTCCCCATGGGAGCGAGCCATGGGGGTTGACCCCCAGCAAAAAATGGAACTTGGCATTGACCTGCTGGCCTATGGGGCCAAAGCTGAACTTCCCAAATATAAGTCCTTCAACAGGTAGGGGTGGTGAGGAAGGAACCAGATGCATTCTAGTGTGAGGCACTGTGTCTTTAGTTAGGATGGAGACTAATTCAAATGTTTCAGAAGGAGGCTAAGGAGAGATGGCAGGGATATGGGGGTCCTAATCAAAGGCCCTGCTCTTTTCACTCTATCTCAGCTTCATCATAGCAGTGTGATGAAGGAAAAAATTTGCTGGGAGGCAGGATTTGAATTCTAGCTCAATGGTCATTTATTAGCTGTGTAGGCATGGGAAAATCACTCTACCTCTGAGCCTGGGTTGCTTTGAACGTTACACTTATTTATTTTTTGTCTTTTTTTTGCTTCCTTTTTGTGGAGAATGGGGTCTCGCTATATCGCCCAGGCAGGTCTCGAACTCCTGGGCTCAAGCTATCCTCCCGCCTCTGCCTACCTGAGACCTGGGATTACAGGGGTGAGCCACCGTGCCCGGCCTGCTTTGAATGTTAAATGCGAATAACATTTTACATGTCTGAAGGCCTCTTGAGGCTCTCTTCCATTCAAGGTTAGGATGCCATTATTCTCCCTGTAATATGATTCTATTTCCTTATACTTTTTTCTTTTCTTTCTTTCCTTCTTTTTCTTTGACTCAGTTTTGCTCTTGTTGCCCAGGCTGGAGTGCAGTGGCATGATCTCAGCTCACTGCAACCTCCGCCTCCTGGGTTCAAGTGATTTTCCTGCCTCAGCCTCCCTAGTAGCTGGCATTATAGGCACCCGCCACCACGCCCAGCTAATTTTTGTATTTTTAGTAGAGATGGGGTTTCACCATGTTGACCAGGCTGGTCTCAAACTCCTGACCTCAGGTGATCTGCCCGCCTCGGGCTCCCAAAGTGCTGGGATTACAGGCGTGAGCCACCATGCCTGGCCACCCTGCTTTAGATGGCTCTAAGTCTCTGTTCTTTTGGAATTAGGCTTCTCTAGCCCATGGAGAGGAGGTCTGTGTGAAAGGATAGGGAAGAGCTAGAAAGGTACTCTTGTATTTGGTCCTAAGGAGCCTGGATTTTCCAGGCAACAATAATTACTCTTAGCCAGGCTATCCACTGTCCACTAGGGTTGGAGAGAGGGGGTCTCTATATTGCAATTTTTTTTTTTTTTTTTGAGACAGAGTCTTGCTCTGTTGCCCAGGCTGAAGTGCAGTGGTGCAGTCTCGGCTCACTGCAACCTCCACCTCCTGGGTTCAAGCAATTCCTATACCTCAGCCACCTGAGTAGCTGGGATGACAGGGGTGCGCCACCATGCCCAGCTAATTTTTTTTTGGGGGGGGGGTGTTTGTATTTTTAGTAGAGATGGCGTTTCACCACGTTGACCAGGCTAGTCTCAAACTCCTGGTCTCAAGTGATCCACCCACCTTGGCCTCCCAAAATGCTGGGATTACAGGCGTGAGCCACCGCACCGCACCTGGCCTTTCTACATTGTCATGTAAGGTGACCTCAGGCCCTTGGGTCTATAGTATTTGGGGTCACTTTCTCTGAAATGCTGGTCTGGGTCACAGCTATCCAAGAGTCTCTAGTACACACTAGACTCCTTTTCTCATTATTAGCTTTGGGGAAACAAGCTAACCAGGAAGGCAAAATGGGATGCTAAGGAAGAAGAAGGAGTACAGATGCAATCCCAAACTAGAATTCACAGACTTCCCTATTCTCAAAGAGGGTAGCATCTCATGATAAGGCTCTGTTTCTTTTATTCTGATTCTTAATTAAATAATGTGTCCCCTTCTCAGGACGGCAATGCCCTATGGTGGATATGAGAAGGCCTCCAAACGCATGACCTTCCAGATGCCCAAGTTTGACCTGGGGCCCTTGCTGAGTGAACCCCTGGTCCTCTACAACCAAAACCTCTCCAACAGGCCTTCTTTCAATCGAACCCCTATTCCCTGGCTGAGCTCTGGGGAGCCTGTAGACTACAACGTGGATATTGGCATCCCCTTGGATGGAGAAACAGAGGAGCTGTGAGGTGTTTCCTCCTCTGATTTGCATCATTTCCCCTCTCTGGCTCCAATTTGGAGAGGGAATGCTGAGCAGATAGCCCCCATTGTTAATCCAGTATCCTTATGGGAATGGAGGGAAAAAGGAGAGATCTACCTTTCCATCCTTTACTCCAAGTCCCCACTCCACGCATCCTTCCTCACCAACTCAGAGCTCCCCTTCTACTTGCTCCATATGGAACCTGCTCGTTTATGGAATTTGCTCTGCCACCAGTAACAGTCAATAAACTTCAAGGAAAATGAACTCATTCTTCCTTTGATATTTGAGAGCAGATGAAAGCCGAGGCTAACAATGCACAGAGACTAATTAAAGCCAAATACTAAACATTAATTATGCAAACTTTAAGACAGATCTGAGCTCCAGTTGCTTACACACCTACACCCATACGCACAAAACCACATTCATAGTTACTTACAAAGACGTTTATTCAATAGTACATGAGACAAATAATCACGCACAAACACATGTGCCGGCCCAAATGTTGGCAAAGCTAAAAAGCTGCTGTGCACCGCAGTTGGGAAATGGGTGTTGGTGACCCTGGTGTTCACCCGCTTTATGTAGTTGATTAGAAGCTGGTATAATCAGGGTTATCCTGATTGTCACAGACTAGAGCATGCCATAAAGTTTCCAGATTATACCAAAGTGGGTTTAGGAATATAAGTGTCAAAGATTACACATTCCCAAAAGGATGAAATAGAATAGGGGGCCATGTGGAATCCAGAAGGAAATGGGAGAAACCAGCTACAGTTATAGTATGCCAGGCTCTGTGTTGAACACAGCAAGAAAAGATCTAAGGGTTACAAGGGCACTACAGTGGTACCTAGAAAGCAGTATGGTTGGGAAGAAATCTTAAGAGCCCGATAGGAATGCGCAACAATATTCTTTTTGCTCATTACAAGGATGGGGACTCTCTAAGAGTCCCAGGCCTACTGCCATGTTCCACAAAGTAAGACTAATGCAGATCAGAAAGAATGAAAAGATGGCAATAAGATCTGAGAAAATAACTTCTAAGGAGAGCTGGCTGAATTCAGTCAACTCCATGAGCTGCTAATGGTTAGATTAAGTTTGCCAGAATCTGCATTAGATGGATCATATTTTAGTGCACCTTGGGTCAAATGGCATTTACCCTGGTCATCTTCACTTATAATCTAATGAGCAAATTCCAGAGAATTCATACCCCCTCTAAGCATTTTTTTTTTTTTTTGAGATAGGGTCTCACTCTGTCGCCCAGACTGGAGTGCAGTGAAGTGGTGCAATCTTAGCTCACTGCGGTCTCCACCTCTCAGGTGCAAGTGATCCTCCCACTTCAGACCCCCAAGTAGGTGGCACTACAGGAGCTCGCCACCACGCCTGGCTAATTTTCTGTATTTTTTTGTAGAGATGGGGTTTTGCCATGTTGCCCAGGCTGGTCCTGAACTCCTGAGCTCAAGCAATCTGCCTGCCTCGGCCTCTCAAAGTGCTAGGATTACAGGCGGAGCCACCGTGCCTGGCCTACCTCCTTTAAACGTGTATACAAAACTTTGTACCTTTTCCTTTTTTTTTTTTTTTTAAATGGAGTCTCGCTCTGTCACCCAGGCTGGAGTGCAGTGGCGCGTCTCGGCTTACTGCAGTCTCTGCCTCCTGGGTTCAAGCGATTCTCCTGCTCCAGCCTCCCGAGTAGCTGGGATTGCAGGCACCCATCACCATGCCCATCTAATTTTTTGTATTTTTAGTAGAGACGGGGTTTCACCATGTTGGCCAGGCTGGTCTTGACCTCTTGACCTTGTGATCCACCCACCTCAGCCTCCTAAAAGCGCTGGGCTTACAAGCGTGAGCCACCACACCTGCCCCTCTGTACTTTTTCCTAAGGAGAGGGTTGTCATAGTTTGTATTCTCCCACCCACCCTAAACAGACCCTGAAAGAAAGATTTGGATGCAAGACCAGTTCATTTGGGATATGATCCCAAGAAATCCAAACAGTATAAGGGAGTGAGAGGAAAGCCAAAAGTCCCTTTGAGCTATTGGGGCTGAATCCCACTGGGGAGTCTTAGAAACAATGCTACTCAAAACGTGGTCTAGGCTGGGTGCGGTGGCTCACGCCTGTAATCCCAGAACTTTGGGAGGCTGAGGTGGGCGGATCGCCTGAGGTCAGGAGTTCGAGACCAGCCTGACCAGCATGGCGAAACCCCATCTCTACGAAAAGTACAAAATTAGCCGGGTGTGGTGGCACATGCCTATAATCCCACCTACTTGTACTTGGGAGGCTGAGGCAGGAGAATCACTTGAACCCGGGAGGTGGAGGTTGCAGTGACCCGAGATCGCGCCATTGCAATCCAGCCTGAGCAAGAAGAGTGAAACTCCATCTCAAAAAAACAAAAAAACAAAAAAAAAAAAACAAAAAAACAAAATGTGGTCCATGGATTGGCAGCAGCATCAGTATTCCTAGGAGCTTGGTTAGAATGCAAACTCTTGGGCCCAAGAATCTCTATCGTTTTTCTTTTTTTTTTTGGAGACAGACTCTTCCTCTGTCACTCAGGCTGATGCACAGTGACGCAATCTTGGCTCACTGTAGCCTCAACCTCCCAAGCTCAAGTGATCCTCCCACCTCAGCCTCTGAGGTAGCTGGGACCACAGATGTGTGCCACCATGCTCACAAAGTCTCACCATATTGCCCAGGCTGGTCTCGAACTCCTGGGCTCAAGTGATCCTTCCGCCTCAACCTTCCAAAGTGCTGCGATTACAGGTGTAAGCCACTGAGCCTGGCTGGAATCTGTGTCATATTCATCTCTCCAGGTGATTATCATATGCTAGAAAATTTTGAGAAACATTACAGTAGAATATGCTTCAGAATGGCTCCACTAAGGGGATGAGGAACTGGAATATTTAGCTACCAAATCCCATCTCTCATTGATTGTAGATTGTCTCTCATAATGTTAACTCTGCTAGCACTTCCAGATAGAGTTACTCAGGTGTTTGAGGTAAGAAGTTCTGGGCCTGTACAAGATCTGTCTACCAAAGTTGAGGTGAACTCTGGGGTAGTTTGAGGGAATATGGATAGGGCACAGTTAAGATCTGAATAAGCCTTAGCCTTCATCAGATTCTCGGGTTTTAAGTCTGTGAGCCCCTCAAAAGTTTTAAGGACTATATTCCTTTAACAAATGTTTATTATGTGCCTTCTGTATACCAGGTACTGTATCAGGCAAAAGCAGTACAAAGACAAATAACTTTCCTGTGACAAAGAGCTTTCACAGTCAACCATAAAATAATTAAATGCCTTCTTGTAGGCCAGGTGTGCTGGCTCACACTCCTAATCCCAGCACTTTGGAAGGCCAACGTGGGCGGGTCACTTGAAGCCAGAAATTCGAGACCAGCCTGGCCAACATGTCGAAACCGTGTCTCTACTAAAAATGCAAAAAAATTAGTCGGGCACAGTGGCACGTGACTGTAATCCCAGCTACTTTGGAGGCTGAGGCAAAAGAATCACTTGAAACTGAGAGGTGGAGGTTGTATTGAGCCGAGATCATGCCACCGAACTCCAGCCTGGGTGTGAGTGAGACCTTGTCTCAAAAAAACAAAAAACAAAAAACAGAAAAAAAACAAAACAAAACAAAAAAATATATATATGTGTGTATATATATATGTGTGTGTGTGTGTGTATATATATATATATATATATGTATATGCCTTCTCTTAAATTTGGAGAAAAAAATGTCTGGAGTCTGCTAGTGAACAGCTTTGAAAACCTGGAAATAATTTTTTCAAGCTCAGAATGTCTAAAATTTTAACTATAATAAAAATCATGATATCAGCTTATTAATTTATAGGGAGCCCAGGTTGGCTGTAAAATTATCTCCTCAGTAGGAAACTCTACTTAGAAGTCAAATTATAATCCTAAATTGCAATGATGGCTTAAAGTGCACACACTTGTACAGGACCCAGAAAGAAATGTGGTCAGGTTTTCAAGGTTTGCCATCCCTTTGCCTAGTTACTATTCTTCTGTTAAAATACCCTTTCTACAAGAATTAGCCAGGTGTAGTGGTAGGTGTCTGCAGTCCCTGCTACTTGGGAGGTGAGGTGGGAGGATCGCTTGAGTGGGAGAGGTGGAAGTTGTAGTGAGCCGAGATCATGGATGACTAGAGAGACCCTGTCTCAAAAAAAATAAAAAACAACAAAAAATCCTTGTGTTTCATACATTTGAATACCACGGTTCACTGAGGCAGTATATTGGCCGCAGAGTTAGCTGTGTGTCCTACTCACAGACATCTTGTTTGGCATCACTGTGTTTTAAAACTCAGGAAAAGTGGCTCTTTTAGATAGGAGTTTGTAGTCTCCAGTGGGTCCTAGTCCCTATGTCAGGTCATCTTTTATTGTTACTTGCCTAGCCTCTGCAGCCATTTGAGTTAGCAATTTCAAGAGTTTCTTTTACATACACCACACACCCATGATACCACCCCCCGGACATCTAGAGAGCTCATTCATTACTCTAGAGTCTAGGACTGCGCTGTCCGATACTCTCGTCACTAGTTGCATGTGGCTCTTGAGCTCTTTAAATGCTCCCAGTCCTTAATGAGATGTGCTCCAAGTATAAACACCAAATTTTGAAAACTTAGTACGAAAGAAAGAATGTAAGTTATCTTGTTAATAACATTGGTTATATGTTGAAATGATATTTTGATCTCTCTCACACTCTTTCTTGAGGCAGAGTCTGGCTCTGTTTGATGGAGTGCAGTGGTGTGATCATAGCTCACTGCAACCTCCACCTCCCAGCTCAAGGGATTCTCCCACTTTATCCTCCCGAGTTGCTGGGACTACAGACGCGTGCCACTATGCCCGGCTCATTTTTTTTTTTTCTTTTTTGAGACGAAGTCTCGCTCTGTCGCCAGGCTGGAGTGCAGTGGTGTGATCTTGGCTCACTGCAGCCTCCAACTCCCTGGTTCAAGCAATTCTCCTGCCTCAGCCTCCCGAGTAGCTGGGATTACAGGCACACGCCACCACGCCCAGCTAATTTTTGTATTTTTAGTAGAGACGGGGTTTCACAATGTTGGTCAGGATGGTCTCGATCTCCTGACCTCGTGATCTGCCCGCCTCGGCCTCTCAAGTGCTGGGATTACAGGCGTGAGCCACAGCGCCCGGCCGACCAATGTTCTTTACATCCACCTTCTGTTCTAGATGCTGTTCAATTAGTCTGCTTTTATAGTTGTCTGAGAGCAGAGAGAAAAAGCCCCACAACTAAGTGCTGAGAGTCACCAAGTAAGGGGGACGTGGCCACAAGGCAGGAAACAAGAAGTCCAAAATTCAAATCACACACCAACGCGGTTCCTTTCTGCATCCAAGGTCAATAAAAAAAAATTTTTTTTTTGGTAACTTCCTATATTGCTGGAGCGAACTGATGGAGCAGGGCACCTGTGGACAAACGTTTTTATGAAGCCAAATACCATTTACAAACCAGGGTGGGGAAAGAACGATGAAAAGTTCTTGATGGAAGGGAATGAGGAGATGGGAAGGTCAGTTTCTGGCTTGCCCTCTGTCTCCAACTACTCCGCCTGGAGAAGGAAAATGCTGGGAAAATGAATCTTCGGCTAAAGACGACGCTGCTCTAAGTTTGAGGCAACTGGGAAAAGAAGGCCATATCCCTAAAGTTATCCCAGTTTAGGGTCTGCCACGCTAAGTTTCCTCAGCCCCGACGGACGCGGTCCCGCCTGCAATCGTTTTCCGACTCCTGGCCAACTCAAGCTTCATCCTCGCCTGCGCCCCACCTCCACGCCTGTCCGGGACACCCGTGAAACGCCTTGAAGCCGCCATTTTAAACAGTGCTATCGCGAGATATACTTCGCTGTTTCCAGCCTGACTCATTTACTTTCTTGCGAGAGTCTCTTCTCGTGTGCTCTCGCCATGGCCAAGGAAAGTGTCGCGAGAGCTGGTTGCCTTGGCTCCCTGTAGCTATAGCAGCCGCGGCGGTTAAGTATGCGGCGCCAGGAGCTGTGAGTGCGACACCCTCAGGGGGGCGGGGCCGGGGGTAACGGGGTGCAGGGGGTAGCGCCTGGGGAGGGGGTGCGGGGAAGGTTAGGTCGCGGGAGGAATGGACCTGAGTGTGACGTGTGGGGCAGGACCTGGGTCCTGTGGGTACAGGGACGCGGCGCCGGTCTGCTCTAGGGCACGCGGGGAGGACTAGAGCTGCTGGGAGGTCCAGGGGGAGGGACCCGGGTGTAATGGGGTTCAGGGGGCGCGGGCTGGAGCGTGGAGGGGTGTGTGTGTTGGGAGCAGGGTGTTTACGGAGACTCGGAACTGGATAAAGGGACCAGGCTACATTGGGAAAGAAGTGGGAAGAAATGGGGTACAGCGACGAGGAGGGTATGTTGAATGAGAGCACAGACGCTGGGCCCAGTTTGCTTTTCACTGGTTAGAGGGGTGGAGGGAGGAGAAGGGATCAGACCTTTACAGATCCCCCGGCTCTGCCTGAGGCTAGTCGGGGACCGCGCGCCGGGACCTGGGTCCTAAATGGCCGTGGCGGGAATGGTGGCGTCCCAGATCGTCGCCGCCTCCTTTCCCTCTTTCCGGAGAGATACCCCACGGACACTCTTGAGATGCGAACGGAGAGTCCTGGTGAACTAGTATTAGTTGGGAAGGTTCTTTTCGCTGAGAAACTACGAGTAGGATAATGAATGATTGCTACTCTAAAATAAAGCGCAGGGTAGGGGGGCGGGAGAGAGCGATTCTTGAGAAGAAAAAAACACTAAGGTTGCTTCCTCTGAAGCGTATTGAGTTGGAAGAAGGGGGTGTGTGCTAAGCTTACGTTTCTTCCCAGACTCATTCAAGTGTACAATTTCTTTACGGTGTGCTTATGAAATACCTGGAAGGTAGTCAGGTTAGATGGTATGGTGAAAAAATGTGCAATACGACACTTAAACCTTCCGCAAATGTAACTTAAAAAACAATTTTTTTTTAATTGCAGCAGCAGGCTGAACACTAAATCTAGGGATAGTTTTAGTTATTTGGATGTAAAACCTGGTGTTCCTAAAGTGTGCTTATCAAGCTATTTGCCTTTTAAGAAATGAATGAGATTTTATTTTAGGAGACAGAACATGTTTTGAATGTCTCAATGTTGAAATAAAAGATGTCTCTCAGGAGTTAAAAATCACAGAGGGGAAAACATCTAGTCTTTGAGTCTTAAGGACTGTTTTCTGGAAACAGGTGTGGACCACTTTGCTGGTTAACTGTTATTTGTAGTGAAAACAATGGCTTCAAGTCAGGCATAAAAATAATTTATTTCAATCGACAGATACAAGTTTTCTGATCATTTTTCTATCTTTTGTAGGTATACATTTGAAAGGGATAACTCTCTTGTGATTATATAACTGGATTTTTTTATGTTGAGGTTCACAAATGCATTAATTAGAATAATGGCTTTTTGGCTGGGCGCGGTGACTCACGCCTGTAATTCCAGCACTTTGGGAGACCGAGGCGGGCAGACTGCTTGAGGTGAGGAGTTCGAGACCAGCCTGGCTAACATGGTGAAACCCCCCCCCCCCGTCTCTACTAAAAAAATATAAAAATTAGCCGGGCCTGGTGGCGCGCGCCTGCAATCCCAGCTACTCGGAAAGCTGAGGCAGGAGAATCGCTTGAACCCCGGAGGGGAAGGTTGCAGTAAGCCGAGATCGCACCATTGCACTCCAGTCTGGGCGACAGAGCGAGACTCCGTCTCAAAAAAAAAAAAAAAAATACATATATATATATATATATATATATATATATATATATGGCTTTTAAAAATCCTTCTTCAGCTGGTCTTAATGTGGTTAGTCACTGAACCCATTTATTTGATATATGTTAGAGTAAAACCTAATTTGTAATGTCAGCAGCTAAACATTAAAGTAGAAGTGCTTTTCTGATGCAAGATAAAGCTTTGTGTGGTGGTTGAGTCCAAAAGATTTCTGCATGAATCCAATAACAAGCTCTACTGAACTCCTGTTATGTGTAAAGTACTGTGTAAGGCATTGCAGTGAAAAAAGATTAATTCATTTAGCCACTTAATATTTATTGAGACCTATTTTGTGTCTGATTGCTAAGCCTTCAGGATACAAATACAGGTAGAACTCGATCTTTGCCTTGGAATTGCTCAGACCCTGTGAGGGCAGACTGATAGAGAAAAAAATACTTACAATGTAATAAGCACAATATATGAACATGAAAGTATGAGACAAGGTTCTGCCCCTGAAGAGTTTATATAGTAGTTGACAGGACAAAGAATTTGTTTGTTTGTTTGTTTTGCAACAGGGTCTCACTGTGTTACTTAGGCTGGAGTGCAGTGGCAAGATCATGGCTCACTGCAACTTCAACCTCCTGGGCTCCAGCCATCCTTGTACCTCTGTCTCCTGAACAGAGCTGAGACTACAGGTGAGGGCCACCATGCCCAGCTGATTTATTTTTAGAGATGGGGTCTTGCTATGTTGCCAGGCTGGTCTCAAACTCCTGGGCTCAAGTGATACTCCTGCCTCAGCCTCCCAAAGTAAGAATTTTCTTTTCTCTTTTTTTGAGACAGGGTTTTGCTCTGTTGCCCAGGCTGGAATGCAGTGGTGTCATCACAGCTCACTGCCACCTCAACCTCCTGGGCCCAAGCTTTCCTCCCACCTCAGCCTCCTGAGTAGATAGGACCACAGGTGCATGCAACCACGCGCAGTTAATTATTAAAATTTTTTTTGTAGAGACGAGGTCTTGCTATGTTGCCTAAGCTGGTCTGGCTATGTTACCCAGCAATCCTCCTGCCTTGGCAGCTTGGCTTCCCAAAGCGCTGGGATTACAGGCTTGAGCCACCATGCCCAGCCTAAGAGTTTTCAAAATTACAAAGTGTTAACCAAACTAAACTGTGCTGCCTTAGTGAAACACATAGTAAGTTTCTCAGAAGAGATAAAAGAATGGAAGTTTGAGGAGAAAATTCACTGGTCAGTTCATAATTTAAGCCCTTTTTTTTTTTTTTCTTTAAAGACGAGTTGTCTGTTGCCCAGGCTGGAGTGCAGTGGAGTAATCACGGCTCACTGCAGCCTCAGTCTCCTGGGTTTAAGGAATCCTCTTGCTTTTCAGCCTCTCCAGGAGCTGGGACTACAGGTGCTTGGCTAATTTTTGTACTTTTTCTAGAGACAGGATCTCCCTATGTTGCCCATGCTGATCTCAAGCACCTGGGCTCAAGTGATCCTCCCACCTCAGCCTCCCAAAATGCTGGGATTATAGGCGTGAGCCACCTCGCTGGTCCTATTAGTCTTTTTTAGTACTCCTTTACTGTAGATGTAAATAAATACGGACCAGGCACGGTAGCTCAGGCCTGTCATCACAGCACTTTGGGAGGCTGAGGTGGGCGGATCAGTTGAGGTCAGGAGTTTGAGATCAGCCTGGCCAACATGGTGAAACCCCATCTCTACTAAAAATACAAAAATTAGCTGGGCATGGTGATGCCTGCCAGTAATTCCAGCCACTCGGGAGGCTGAGGCAGGAGAATCGCTTGAACCCAGGAAGCGGAGGTTACAGTGAACCGAAATCATGCCACTATACTCCAACCTAGGCAACAGGCAAGATTCTGTCTCAAAATAAATAAATAAATAAATAAATAAATAAATAAATAAATATTACAACAGTCTTAAGGCAATAATAATAATAGATAACATTCATTGAGTGATTATTAATGTGCCAGGCACATTATCTCATTTTATCTTATAACAACACTCTGCTCTGCAGCTGGTACTAGTTACTTTAAAGAAAACCAAGGCTTAAAAAGTTCAGGAAGTTACCAAAGATTATTGAGCTAGTAGATGGTAGAATAGAGATTGGTGTGGGAAATTTATGTGATTCTAATATACTAAGAAAGATTTCTTTCTTTTGTAGGGAAGGAGGGAGTCTTGGTATGGAGGAAGTGGGGAGAGGTTGCAGGTGGAACTGGCCAGGACACCAGAATTCTGGGTGGGACTTGGAAGGTATAAATGGATAGGGGTATCTGTTTTTTTACTCATACATTTTCTCCCTCAGATATTTACACTACCTATGGGGAACTAATGTGAATGTTAGCATGGTGCTAAATACAAAATTTGTATTGTTATATAGAGAATTGAGTAAATTACCAAATTTCTGCTGTGTATAATTGTATAGGGAGCTATGCTTGGGAAAATAGTTGTAGCAAGCAATTATATATTTGTAAGCTTCCAGCAAGTGATCATTTTAGTAGTGGAAATGGTTATCTGTATTCATATATAGGGGAAATGTTATTACAACAGACTTTAAGGCATTTAGTCAAACATATTTTCATACAGTAGTTTTTTTTTTTTTTTTTTTTGAGACGGAGTGTCCCTGTGTCGCCCAGGCTGGAGTACAGTGGCGCAATCTTGGCTCACTGCAAGCTCCGCCTCCTGGGTTCATGCCATTCTTCTGCCTCAGCCTCCTGAGTAGCTGGGATTACAGGTGCCCGCCACCATGCCCGGCTATTTTTTGTATTTTTAGTAGAGACAGGGTTTCATTATATTAGCCAGGATGGTCTTGATCTCCTGACCTTGTGATCTTCCCGTCTCGGCCTCCCAACGTGCTGGGATTACAGGCGTGAGCCACTGTGCCCCGCCTTCATACTGTAGTTTTTTTATATTGAGAAAAATGTATGTATGTGTCACATGTTTTTATATATTTGCTTTCAGGTTTTTTTTTTCACTCTATATTCCAAAGTCCAAAGTACGGTTTTCTGGTTGAAATTCAAATTTTACATCTTTGTATTATTTGTTTGTTTTTTGAGACAGAGTCTTGCTCTGTCACCCAGGCCGGAGTGCAGTGGCACAATCTTGGCTCATTGCAACCTCTGCTTACCAGGTTCAAGCGATTCTCCTGCCTCAGCCTCCTGAGTAGCTGGGATTACAGGCACGTGCCACCGAGCTCAGCTAATTTTTGTATTTTTAGTAGAGACGGGGTTTCGCCATGTTGGCCAGGGTGGTCTCCAACTCCTGACCTTGGGCGATCCACCCGCCTCAGCCTCCCAAAGTGCTGGGATTACAGTGGTGAGCCACCGCATCCGACCTGTTTGTTTGAGACAGAGTTTTGCTCTTGGCCTCAGCCTCCGGAGTAGCTGGGATTACAGGTGCCCGCCACCACACCCAGATAATTTTTTGTATTTTTGGTAGAGACAGGGTTTCACCATGTTGGGCAGGCTGGTCTTGAAGTCCTGACCTCAGATGATTGACCCGCTTTGGCCTCCCAAAGTGCTGGGATTACAGGCGTGAGCCACCACTCCCGGCCCCCAAATTTTATATCTTTGTAAATGGCTTCTTTAAAAATCTACGTGAGATTATGTCTGTAATCCCAGCACTTTGGGAGGCTAAGGCAGGAGGATTGCTTGAGGCCAGGAGTTCAAGACCAGCCTGGCCAACAGAGTGAGACCCTATTTCTACTGAGAAAAAAAAAAAAAAAAAGAATCCCCAGAAACCTAAGTGAGAATGATAAATACCATTAATGAAGTATTGATAATCAGTTCTAGACTTACTAGAATGCTTAGCGGTCAACCAGTCCATTCTATTCATTTTATATTGAGGAAACTAAAGCCTAGAGAACTTTCTTTTTTCTTTCTTTCTTTTTTTTTTTTGAGATGGAGTCTCGCTCTGTCGCCCAGGCTAGAGTGCAGTGGCACAATCTCGGCTCACTACAACCTCCGCCTCCCAGGTTCAAGCAATTCTCCTGTCTCAGCCTCCTGAGTAGCTGGGACTACAGGCGCCCGCCACCACGCCCAGCTAATTATTGTATTTTCAGTAGAGACAGAGTTTCACCATATTGGTCAGGCTCGTCTGGAACTCCTGACCTCAAGTGATCTGCCCACCTTGGCCTCCCAAAGTGCTGGGATTACAGGTGTGACCCACTGTGCCCGGCAAGCCTAGAGAACTTTTAAATGACTTACCCAAAGTCACACAGCTGCAATGTCCCAGATGTCCTGGTTTCCAGTTAACTGTTCCTTGTACTCTACCACATTGCCAAGTTATATTTAATAATTACTGTAGAGTTATAGATGCCCTCAGCTAATTTTGGGAAACCAGTTTTGTCAAGAGGCTATTTACTGATAGATGACAGAATACAAACTGATTACTTGTTTACCTTAAACTGTACTTATACTTCCTACTTGTACTAAGGATAAGTAATTCAGGTGTTTTATTTAGGTGCTTCCTATTTTTGGTTTGCTATATTACTGTTTAATTTTTTTGTCTTCAGTTGCACTGCTGGGCCATTTAATAAACGCTTCTCTGATTTAGAAAAAAGTGGAGGAATACAACTGCGTTATAATACATATTAGGCTGGGTGTGGTGGCTCACGCCTATAATCCCAGCAGTTCTCCCTAGAGAACTTTCTTTTTTCTTTCTTTTTTTTTTTTTTTGAGATGGAGTCTCGCTCTGTCGCCCAGGCTAGAGTGGAAGGCTCAAGGTGGGTGGATTGCTTGAGCCCACAAGTTCAAGACCATCCTGGGTATGGCAAAATGTAGAAACCCTGTCTCTACAAAAAAAAGTGAAAAATTTAGCCAGGATTTGGTGGCATGCACCTGTAACCCCAGCTACGTAGGAGGCTGAGGCAAGAGGATCACTTGAGCCTGGGAAGTTGAGGCTGTAGTGAGCCATGATTCCACTACTGCGCTCCAGGCTGAGTAACTAACAGACACTCTGTCTCAAAAAAAAGAAAAAAGAAATACATGCAGTTTTGTTGTTTGTTTTGTTTTGCTTTTTTTGAGACAAGTCTTGCTCCATCGCCCAGGCTGGAATGCAACCTTCACCTCCTGGGTTCAAGTGATTCCCATGCTTCAGCCTCCCGAGTAGCTGGGACTACAGGCACGCCCCACCATACTTAGCTAATTTTTGTATTTTTAGTAGAGACAGGGTTTCACCACGTTGGCTAGGCTGGTCTCGAACTCCTGACCTCAGGTGATCTGCCTGCCTCGGTCTCCCAAAGTGCAGGGATTACAGGTGTAAGCCACCTGCCTGGCCTCTACCAAAAAAATTTTTTTTGAGATGGAGTCTCGCTCTGTTGCCCAGGCTAGAGTGCAGTGGCATAATCTCAGTTCACTGCAACCTGTGCTCCCAGGTTCAAGCAATTCTCCTGCCTCAGCCTCCTGAGTAGCTGAGATTACAGGCACCAGCTACCACGCCCGGCTAATTTTTTTTTTTTTTTTTTTTTGAGATGGAGTCTCGCTCTGTGACCCAGGCTGGAGTGCAGTGGCGCAATCGCAGCTCACTGCAACCTCTGCCTCCTGGGTCAAGCGATTCTCCTTCCTCAGCCTCCCAAGTAGTTGGGATTGCAGGCGTGAGCCCCATGCCCAGCTAATTTTTGTACTTTTAGTAGAGAGGGGGTTTCACCATGTTGGCCAGGCTGGTCTTGAACTCCTGACCTTAGGTGATCCACCCCGCCTCATCCTCCCAAAGTGCTGGGATTACAGGCGTGAGCCCCTGTGCCCGGCCCCAGCTAATTTTTTACCAAAAATTTTAAAAAATTAGCTGGGTCTGGCAGCATGCGCCTATAGTCCTGGCTACTTGGGAGGCTGAGGCAGGAAGATCCCTTGAGCCCAGGTGTTTGAGGTTGCAGTCAGCTAAATCATGCCACTACACTCCAGCCTCAGTCTGACTACACGTCAGAGTGAGAGTGAGACCCTGCTGCTAAAAAGAGAAGACAAGTGATCTCATTTTATTTATTTTTATTTATTAATGTTTTGAGATGGAGTCTTGCTGTGTCACCCAGGCTGGAGTGCAGTGGCGCAATCTCGGTTCACTGCAACCTCCGCCTCCCGGGTTCAAGCAATTTTCCTGCCTCAGCCTCTCGAGTAGCTGGGATTACAGGCACCTGCCACCAAGCTCGGCTAATTTTTGTATTTTTAGTAGAGATGGGGTTTCACCATGTCGGCCAGGCTGGTCTCGAACTCCTGACCTCAGATGATCCGTCAACCTTGCACTCCCAGAATGCTGAGATTACAGGTGTGAACCACTGCCTTATTTTTATTTTTATTTTTATTTTTATTTCTTAAGACAGGGTCTTTGTTGCCTAGGCTGGAGTGCAGTGCAATCACGGCTTACTGCAGCTTTTGCCTCCTGGACTCAAACAATCCTCTCACCTCAGCCTCCCAAGTAGCTGGAACTACAGATGTGCACCACCATGCCCAGCTAATTTTAAAAAAGTTTTTTTCACCCCGCCCTCTCAACAAAGCTTTTCCTGACTCTGCTAGGAACCAGGAAGAGAAAGTCTAATTTTTAATTTTTTTGAAGAGATGAGGTCTCACTATATTGCCCAGGCTGATCTTGAACTCCTGAACTCAAGGAATTTTTCCACCTCAGCCCTCCAAAGTGCTGGGATTACACGTATGAGCCACTGCACCTGGCCAAGTGATCTCATTTTAAATTTCCATTTATTTGAGATGAAGTTGAATATTTTCCATATTTATTATTATTTTTTATTTTTATTATTATTATTTTTAGACAGAGTCTCTCTCTGTTGCCCAGGCTGGAGTGCAATGGCATGATCTCAGCCCACTGCAACCTCCGCCTCCTGGGTTCAAGTGATTCTCCCACCTCAGCCTCCCACGTAACTGGGATTACAGGCATGCGCCACCGCCTGGCTAATTTTTTTTTTTTGAGACAGGGTTTCGCTCTTGTTGCCCAGGCTGCAGTGCAATGGTGCGATCTCAGCTCACCGCAACCTCCACCTCCTGGTTTCAAGCGATTCTCCTGCCTCAGCCACCTGAGTAGCTGGGATTACAGGCATGTGCCACCATGCCCAGCTAATTTTGTATTTTTAGTAGAGACGGGTTTCTCCGTGTTGGTCAGGCTGGTCTCGAACTCCCGACCTTAGGTGATCTGCCCGCCTTGGCCTCCCAAAGTGCTGGGATTACAGGTGTGAGCCACTGTGCCCAGCCTAACATCTTTTTATTTCTTTATTGGCTGTATTTCTTTCAGTGGAATTGCTTATTCTTTGCTTATTTTGTAACTGGGCTTTTTTCTTCTCATTCTACCCCTCCCATCCCATTTTAGTTTTTCTTTTGTATCAAAGCTACATTTATTCTCTGAAAACATTTTTTTAAGTTTTGTTTTGTTTTGTTTTGTTTTTGAGACAGAGTCTCTCTCTGTTGTTAAGGTTGAAGTGCAGTGGTGTGAGCTCAGCTCACTGTAGTCTCCACCTCCCAGGTTTAAATGGTTCTTGTGCCTCAGCCTCCTGAGGAGGCAAGATTACAGGCACCTGCCACCACGCCCAGATAATTTTTGTATTTTTTTTAGAATTTAATTTAATTTTAAGTTCCTGGATACACATGCAGGATGTGCAGGCGTGTTACATAAATGTGTGCCATGGTGGTTTGCTGTACCTATTAACTCATCACCTAGGTATTAAGCCCTGCATACATTAGCTGTTTATCCTGATGCTCTTCCCACCCCCGCACAGGCCCTAGTGTGTGTTGTTCCCCTCCCTGTGTCCATGTGTTTTCATTGTTCAGCTGCCACTTATAAGTGAAAACGTGGCATTTGGTTTTCTGTTCCTGTGTTAGTTTGCTGAGGATACATGAATGGAACTTGATTTTTTTTTTTTTTTTTTTTTTTTTTTGAGATGGAGTCTTGCTGTCGCCTAGGCTGGAGTGCAGTGGCGCAATCTCGGCTCACTGCAGCCTCTGCCTCCTGGGCTCAAGCAGTTCTCCTGCCTCAGCCTCCCAAGTAGCTAGCATTACAGGCACTTGCCACCATCCCTGGCTAATTTTGTATTTTTAGAAGAGACAGGGTTTCACCATGTTCGCCAGGCTAGTCTTGAACTCCTGATCTCAAGTGATCTGCCCACCTCGGCCTCCCAAAGATTACAGGCGTGAGCCACCTTGCCTGGCTTAAGTAATTTCTGTATTTTTAGTAGAGACGAGTTTTGCCATGTTGGCCAGGCTGGTCTTGAACTCCTGGCCTCAAGTAATCCTCTCACCTTGGCCTCCCAAAGTGCTGGGATTACAGGTGTGAGCCACTGTGCTGGGCCTTTTTTTTTTTTTTTTTTTGAGACTGATCTCTTCGTTGCCCAGGCTGGAGTGATTTCGCTCACTACAGCCTCAATTTCCCAAGCTCAGGTGATCGTCCCACCTCAACCTCCCGAGTAGCTGGGACCACAGTGTGAGCCATCATGACCAGCTAATTTTTGTATTTTTTATAGAAAAAGGGTTTTGCTATGTTGCCCAGGCTATTCTAGAATTCCTGACCTCAAGCGATCTGCCTGCCTCAGCTTCGCAGAGTGCTGGGATTACAGGTGTGAGCCACTATGCCCAGCTTTATTTTTAAAAAAATATTTTATTTTTTTGTGGATACATAGTAGGTGTGTATATTTATTGGGTACATGAGATGTTTTGATATGGGCATGCATTGCATAATAATCAAATCATGTAAAATGGGGAATTCATCCTCTCAGCATTCATTATTTGTGTTATAAACAATTATACTTGTAGTTATTTAAAAATGTACAATTAAATTATTGACTGTAATTATCCATTTGTGCTATCAAATATTCCCTCTTACTCATTCTTTCTATTTTTGTTTTTGTTTTTGTTTTTGAGACAAGAGTCTCGCTCTGTTGCCCAGGCTGGAGTGCAGTGGTGTGATCTCGGCTCACTGCAACTTCTGCCTCCCGGGTTCAAGCGATTCTTGTCCCTCAGCCTCCTGAGTATACTCAGTTGGGATTACAGGTGGATGCCACCATGCCTGGCTAATTTTTGTATTTTTTAGTAGAGACAGGGTTTCACCATATTGGCCAGGCTAGTTTTAAAGTCCTGGCCTCAACTGATCTGCTGCCTTGGCCTCCTAAAGTGACGGGATTACAGATGTGAGCCACCACAGATGTGAGCCACCACGCCCAGCCTTTCTATTTGTTTTTGTACCCATTAACTATCCACACCTCTCCCCACTTTTCTCTTTAGACTAATAGGAACTCTCTCTGTGTATCCCTGTATTTTAAACATATATTGCACATATTTTCTACAATCTGTTGCATCATCTGTAGTGTCCGTTGATGTGCTAAAATTTCATATCTGTCTTTTTTCTTAATGGTTTCTGGGTTTTGAGGCTTGCTTAAGTAGGCTCTCTCCATCCCAAAATTATAAAAATATTTTATATTTATCCTAACTCTTTACTAGCTTATTTAACTCTTTAACTGATTTGGAATTTATCTTTATATGTTTTTGGAGGTACTCTTTTTCTCCACAAATATGCAACTGACCCAAGCCTATTTGTTGAATATCGTGTCTTTAATGATATGAAATCTTATCTTCATCATGTTCTCAATTGCCATATATCCACCATTTGTGTATGTATGTATGTACGCCTGTGTTTCCTTTTTTTTTTTTTTTTTTTTTGGAGACGGAGTCTCACTTTTGTTGCCTAGGCTGGAGTGCCGTGGCGTGATCTCGGCTCACTGCAACATCCGCCACTGGGGTTCAAGCGATTCTCTGCCTCAACCTCTGGAGTAGCTGGGACTACAGGTGCATACCACTACGCCTGGCTAATTTACTGTAATTTTAGTAGAGACGGGGTTTCACTATGTTGGCCATGCTGGTCTCGAACTCCTGACCTCAAGTGATCCATCCGCCTTGGCCTCCCAAAGTGCTGGGATTACAGGTACCAGCTATTGCGCCTAGCCTGCATGTGTTTATTTTTGAATATTTCTGTTCTTTTCAGTTGTTTATTCTTGGGCCAGTACCATACAGTTTTTTTGTTTGTTTTTTGAGACAGGTATCACCCAGGCTGGAGTGCAGTGGTGCGATACTGGGTCACTGCAGCTTTGACCTCCCGGGCTCAAATGATCCTTCCACTTTAGCCTCCCCAGTAGCTGTAACTACATGTGTATGGCACCACGTGTGACTAATTTTTGTATTTTTAGTAGAGATGAGGTTTCTCCATGGCCTAGCTGGTCTCGAACTCCTGGCCTCAAGTGACCTGTCCTCCTCGGCCTTCCAAAGTGCTAGGATTACAGGTGTGAGCCACTAAATCCTTTTGCTAACTATAATTTTTTCTTCTGTGTTTTTTTTTTTTCTTTTCAAGACAGAGTCTTGCTCTGTCACCTAGGCTGGAGTGCAGTGGCACAATCTCGGCTCAACTGTAACCTCCGCCTTCTGGGTTCAAGTGATTCTTCCCTCTCAGCCTTCTGAGTAGCTGGGATTACAGGCACGCGCCACCACGCCCAGCTAATTTTTTGTATTTTTAGTAGAGACGGGGTTTCACCATGTTGACCAGGGTGGTCTTAAACTCCTGGCCTCAGGTGGTCGGCCTGCCTCAGCCTCCCAAAGTTTTGGTGTGAGCCACCACGCCCAGCCCTTTTGGGTTTTCAAGATAGTCATATTTCTAACTGTTCACGTCTTTGCCTATCTCTGTTTTGGCATATGCAATTTTTTTCTTATTTTGACGTTTTGAATCTCTTTATAGTAAAAATATTCTTTTTTTTGGTGGGGGTGACAGGGTCTCAAAAAAAAAAATGGTGGTAGGCCGGGTGCGGTGGCTCACGCCTGTAACCCCAGCACTTTGGGAGGGGGAGGCCGAGGCAGGTGGATCACCTGAGGTCCGGAGTTCGAGACCAGCCTGGCCAACATGGTGAAACCCCATCTTGACTAAAAATACAAAAATTAGCTGGGCATGGTGGCATGCACCTGTAGTCCCAGCTACTCCGGATGCTGAGGCAGGATTGCTTGAACCCGGGAGGTGGAGGTTGCAGTGAGCCAAGATCACGCCACTGTACCCCAGCCTACGTAACAGAGTGAGACTCCATCTCCAAAAAAAAAAAAAAAAAAAGAGGCTGGAATGCAGTAGCACGGTCACCACTCACTACAGCCTTGACCTCCTGGGCTTAAGCAATCCTCCCACCTCAGCCTCCTGAGTAGCTGGGACCAGAGGCACGCACCACCATGCTTGGCTAATTTTTTGTGTTTCTTGGAGAGACGGGGCCTCACCATGTTGCCAAGGCTGGTCTCAAACTCTTGAGCTCAAGTGATTCTGCTATCTTGGTCTCCCAAAGTGCTGAGATAACAGGTGTGTGCCACCACGCCCAGCCAAATATATTCTTTTTTTTTTTTTTTTTTTTTTTTGAGACAATGTCTCACTCTGTCTCCCAGGCTGGAGTGCTTTGGCAAGATCTCTGCTCATTGCAACCTCCACCTCGTGGGTTCAAGGATTTTCCTGCGTCAGCTTCCTGAGTAAGTGGGGTACAGGCATGCACCACCACGCTCAGCTTATTTTTGCATTTTTAGTAGAGACTGGGTTTTGCTATGTTGGCCAGGCTAGTCTTGATCTCCTGATCTCAGGTGATGTGCCAGCCTTGGCCTCCCTAAGTGCTGGGATTACAGCCATGAGCCACCTCACCCGGCCATCAAGTATATTCTTTATCATATAGCTGGCAATGTTTTTTCTAGTTTGCTGTTTACTTTTAGGGGAAATCTCTTGACCATCAGTGAGTAAAACACTAGAATAGGCTGTTATAATGCTTGTAATATCTTGACATGAGGAAAATTCTAGGATGGCTGGAATTTGTAAAATCAAGTCTGTTGAATAAATTTATGAATTAAAACAAGGGGGAAAAAGCCTACTTTTGGGTACAAATGTGATTTGACTATAAAATTCTGGTATTCATTTAATGTTTTTTACAGTTATGTGCCATCTGAGTTAGAGGGGTTGCATTTAAAATTGGGGAGAAGCTAGCTCAATAAAATTGATCAGATTAAAAATCCTCAATAGTATATGTAAATAATAACTATCTGATATTTAATTATACATATAGGATAAATTAGGTTTTCTGTCTATCTATTTTATTTTATTTTTGAGACAGGGTCGAACTCTTTCCCAGGTGGGAGTGCAGTGGCGGGATCTCAACTCACTGCAGCTTCAACCTCCCTGGGCTCAGGTGATCCTCCTGCCTCAGCCTCCCGAGTAGCTGGGACTATAGGGGCATACCACCGTGCCTGGCTAGTTTTTTTGTATTTTTCGTAGAGATGAGTTGTCACTGTGTTGTGCAGCCTGGTCTGGAACTCATGAGGTCAAGTGATCTGCCTGCCTCGTCTCCCAAATTGCTGGGATTTACAGGTGTGAGCCACTGCACCTGGCCTATTTTATTTCATTTTTATTACTATTTTTTTGAGATGGAGTCCCGCTCTGTTGCCCAGACGGAGTGCAGTGGCGTGATCTCTACTCACTGCAACCTCCGCCTCCCAGGTTCAAGCGATTCTCCTGCCTCAGCCTCCTGAGTAGCTGGGATTATAGGTGCCTGCCACCATGCCCAACTAATTTTTTTTTTTTTTTTTTTAGTAGAGACGGGGTTTCACCATGTCGACCAGGCTGGTCTCGAACTCCTGATGTCAAGGGATGCACCTGCCTTGGCCTCCCAAAGTGCTGGGATTACAGGTGTGAGCTACTGCGCCCAGCCTATTTTTTATTTATTTATTTTTTCTAGATCTGGGTTCTCACTATGTTGCCCAGGCTGGCCTGGAACTCCTTCACTCAAGCCATCCTCCCACCTTAGCCTTCCAAGTAGCTGAGCTTATAGATAGGAGCTACCATACCTTGTACTTCACTAAGGTTTTTAATTTAGTTTATCAATATTAAAAAATATGGACACATTTTTAATATTTAATGAGAAGTAGTAGAAAAATGGAATTCACTTTAAGGCTCACTTTTCTGTCTTTTTCTCCCAGAGAGTATATTGGTAGAAAAGCTTATCCAAATTTTACTTATTTTAGTTTCAGGGATACTTTCATATAATAAATTTGTGAATTATTTTATTTTTATGGCTTATATCAGGCACATATATGAATATTTGTATATTAAGGAGGTATGATGGTAGAATGTACAAAAATGTTTTTTAAAAAACTCACTGTTGCTTTTCTAGAATTTTTCTTATTTCAGTTTGTCTGTATAAATATTCTCTATAGATAAGTGACTTTTAAGGAAAAGCTGTTATATTCATTACATAGCTTGTTGCAAATAGGAAATCTAGCCCTATTATTGTTGGTATGAAACTAACAAGCTTTTCTGAAAGCCATATTTTAGTGTTTTGGCACTGTGTGGTAGCATTACCTTCCCGTGCCATGTTGAAAGCAAGAAACATGTTCTACAAAGCACATTTTTTTCAAATAGCATTTGAGTTTTTAAATGAAAACAGAAGCTGAGGTAAGGCTATATTGTATTCTTGCAAAATACATTTTTGTTTTATTGTGACCTGTGTGTAGGTTCATTTTTTCTAGGATGTTTGAAAAGTTTCTTTCTTTTTTTTTTCTTTTTCCTGAGACAGAACTGTCTCAGAAAAGTGATAGATGTCAGTTCTTGCTCAGTGGTCCAGGCTGCAGTGCAGTGGTGCGAACTCGGCTCACTGCAACCTCTGCCTCCTGGGTTCAAGCGATTCTCCCACTTCAGCCTCCCAGATAGCTGGGACTACAGGTGTGTGTGCCACCATGTCCGGCTAATTTTTGTAATTTTAGTAGAGTTGGGGTTTCACCATGTTGGCCAGGCTGGTCTCAAACTCCTGACCTCGAGTGATCCGCCCACCTTGGCCTCCCAAAATGCTGGGATTACAGTACAGGTGTGAGCCGCTGTGCCTGGCCAAAAGTTTCTGATATAAAGCTGGCAGGAAGTCAGTGACAATTATTAAGTCTTGGAAGAAAAATTTCTAAGTTTCTCCTGAGAAGAAATTTCTGAAGAAACATCTTGTAGATAATGTAGTTTCACAGTAAAGTTTTTTTATTTTTATTTTTTTAATTTGAGGCAGAGCCTTGTTCTGTCACCCAGGCTGGAGTGCAGTGGTGTGATCTCAGCTCACTGCAGCCTCCGCCTCCCAGGTTCAAGTGATTCTCATGCCTCAGCCTCCCAAGTAGCTGGGATTACGGGCATGTGCCACCACACTTGGCTAATTTTTTTTTTTTTTTTTTGGAGACAGAGTCTTGCTCTATCACCAAGGCTGGAGTGCAGTGGCGTGATTTTGGCTCACTGCAACCTCCGCCTCCCAGGTTTAAGCAGTTCTCCTGCCTCAGCCTCCTGAGTAGCTGGGATTACAGGCGCACGCCACCACACCCAGCTAATTTTTTTTTTTTTTTTTTGTGACGGAATCTCGCTCTGTAGCCAGGCTGGAGTGCAGTGGCATGATCTTGGCTCACTGCAACCTCCGCTTCCCAGGCTCAAGCGCTTCTCCTTCCTCAGCCTCCTGAGTAGCTGGGATTATAGGTGCCTGCCACCATGCCCAGCTAATTTTTGTATTTTTAGTAGAGATGGGGTTTCACCATGTTGGCCAGCATGGTCTCGATCTCCTGACTTCATGAGCCGCCCACCTCTGCCTCCCAAAGTGCTGGGATTACAGGCAGGAGCCACCATGCCCGGCAATTTTTGTATTTTAAGTAAAGACAGGGTTTCACCATGTTGGCCAGGTTGGTCTTGAACTCCTGACCTCAAGTGATTCGCCCACCTCGGCCTCCCAAAGTGCTGGGATTACAGGCGAGAGCCACAGCACCCAGCCTCATGGTAAAGTTTATATAGAAAAATGTATTCTCTGTGGAAACAAAACTTATTTGTGTGCCATTGTTTCATTTCTGACCCGGGCTGAGCTTTTATTTCTCTGTGCAGATCCATTTCCTTTGATGGTACATCCTGTCTTGGATGTTGACCCCAGTCAGAGCTGTATAGTGCCAAAACAAGATAGTTCTTTGGTTCTTTTTTGCCATTTCTTTCAACTCCTTGTTTATCTTTACTCATGGTCATTGAAGATCAGAAGGGTATTTAGGAACAAATGGGAATTCTATGTGTTCCTTCAGTGTTAGGGGAACACCAGGGAGACGCAATATCATTTTAATATTGGGTTTTCACCTTTCCTGATGCCCACTAGGTCTAAGGAAACATCAAGCTTATTTTACAGCTTGATATAAGAAACTTTGTAATTACCAAATTAAGCTTTAGACACCTCAGTGTTTTGGAGTACTTACTGATATCTATAATACATATTCCTAGGGCCTATGCCTTTCCATATAAATTTTACTTATTTTTTGAGACAAAGTCTCACTCTGTCCCCCTGGCTGGAGTGCAGTGCTGTGATCTTGGGATCTTGGCTCACTGCAACCTCCACCTCCCAGGTTCAAGTGATCCTTCCACCTCAGCCTCCTGTGTAGCTGGGACTACAGACACGCGCTAGCATGCCCTGCTAATTTTTTATATTTTTAGTAGAGACTGGGTTTCATCATGTTGGCTAGGCTGGTCTCGAACTCCTGGGCTCAAATGATCTGCCCACCTCGGCCTTCCAAAATGTTGGAATTACAGGCATGAGCCACCAAGCCTGGCCAAATTATTAAATGTTTTTGAACCTCACTTCCCTTATCTGTGAGATTAGGATAATAATAACCTACCTGAGCAAATTAAATGAAGTGATAGATGTCAGTTCTTAGCACAGTAGCCATAATGTTATAGGGACTCTAAATTTCAGTTTTCTTTTTCCCTTCCTTGAGCTGATTTAAGTTTTAAAAGATAGTGATTGTAAAATTACTCGTAAATGTATACAGTTATTTCAAATATTGTTCATGTTTGTGTTAAAAACAGTCAAACTCATTTTGGTTATGTTGGTATAAGAGGGAAACGTAGGGAAATGAGACAATAGAGAAAGTCTGAATAACTGTTTTTTTTTGTTTTTTTTGTTTTTGAGATGGAATCTCGCTCTGTTGCCCAGGCTGGAGTGCGGTGTCATGAACTCGGCTCACTGCAACCTCCGCCTCCCGGGTTCAAGCAATTCTTTTGTCTCATCCCCTGAAGTAGCTGGGACCACAGGCACGCGCTACCATGCCCGGCTAATTTTTGTATTTTTGTTAGGGACAGGGTTTCACCATATTGCCCAGGCTGGTCTTGGACTCCTGACTTCGTGATCCACCCGCCTTGGCCTCCCAAATTGCTGGGATTATAGGCATGAGCCACCGTGCCCGGCCAAATCTGAATAACTTGTTGAGTAATATCGTGTGGCAGGAGCTAGGCTTAACACTTCGCACACTGCAACTCATTTAATCCTTACTACTCAATTAAGCACATTTCTTCCTCTGAAGGATTACTTCTTAGTTTTCTTTTTTTTTTTTTTTTTGAGACGGAGTCTTGCTCTGTCTCCCAGGCTGGGGTGCAGTGGCGTGATCTTGGCTTACTGCAACCTCCGCTTCCCGGGTTCAAGCAATTCTCGTGTCTCAGCCTCTCAAGCAGCTGGAATTACAGTGCATGCCACCATCCCTGGGAAATTTTTTGCGTTTTTAGTAGATACAGGGTTTTACCATGTTGGTCAGGGTGATCTTGAACTCCTGAGCTCAGGCTCTCCATCCTCCTCCGGCTCCCAAAATGTTGGGATTACAGGCGCGAGCCACCGTACCCGGCCTACTTCTTAGTTTTTAAAATTAAAGTTTTCGTATTTCCACCCTTTTGAATAATAAGCCTCAGGAATGGGGCTCTTAATAACTTAATGCAGACTTCAAACTTTGTATAGAATATGACAAATAATTAAAGACTTTTATTTCTAAGCTACCATCCTTTGTATTTGGAGACTATGTTCTTTAGGCTAAGTCTTCTTTCTGTTTATTTTTTTTTTTCTTTTTTTTTTTTTTTTAAGCAAACTCTAGGAATGATTTTGTGGAAACCAGGTCTCACTGTCCTGCAAGATGGAGTGCAATGGCAGGATTATGGCTCACTGCAGCCTCCACCTCCTGGACTCAAGTGATCCTCCTGAGTAGTTGGGACTACAGGTGCATGCCACCACACCTGGCTAATTTTTGTATTTTTTGTAGTGATGGGGTTTCACCATGTTGCCCAGGCTGGTCTCAAACTCCTGGGCTCAAGCTATCCTCCTACCTTGGCCTCCCAAAGTGCTGGGATTACAGGCATGAGCCTCTGTGCCTGGTCAATATTTACTTTCTAATTCCTGCCTCTAGAAATATATTAGCTGCCCTGAACATATTAGGTTTTTCAGTTGTATGAAACTGTTCAGTTAGGTAGTTGGGAGTAATGAATTTGATGCCTATTGGTCCATTTCTTTTTTTTTTTTTTTTTTTGAGATATTGTCTCGCTCTGTCACCCAGGCTGGAGTGCAGTGGCACGATCTTGGCTCACTGCAACCTCCACCTCCCAGGTTCACACCATTCTCCTGCCTCAGCCTCCCAAGTAGCTGAGACTGCAGGTGCCCGCCACCACACCTGGCTAATTTTTTTGTATTTTTAGTAGAGACAGGGTTTCACCGTGTTAGCCAGGATGGTCTCGATCTCCTGACCTTGTGATCTGCCCACCTCGGCCTCCCAAAGTGCTGGGATTACAGGCGTGAGCCACTGCGCCCGGCGCCTATTAGTCCTTTTCAACAAATATCACTAGTAAGGCTTGAATTGTTTTTTGAAATGAGAAAAGCAGCAGATTGTTTATTTGAATTTGAATTTAGAGTGTTTCTCTCTCAACATCTTATACTGATCAGGCTAAGAGATGGGCTCTCCTGTGTTGCCCAGGCTGTACTCGAACTCCTAGGCTCAAGTAATTCCTTCCCACCTCAGCCTCCTGATTGGCTGGGACTACAGGTGAGCAGCATCACACCCCACTTTGTGTTTTGATTAGTTCTCTTTATTTTTTAAAAAATTGTGGTAAAATACACATAATATTTATCATCTTAACCATTTTAAGTGTACAGTTCAGTAGTGTTGCATACATTCACATTGTTGTGCAGCCAATCTTCAGCACTCTCATTTTTTTTTTTTTTTTTTTTTTTTTTTTGAGACAGCCTCACTCTGTCGCCCAGGCTGGAGTGCAGTGGGGTGATCTCAGCTCACTGCAACCTCTGCCTCCTGGGTTCAAGTGATTCTCCTACTTCAGCCTCCCGAGTGGCTGGGATTACAGGACTGTACCACCACGCCTGGCTAATTTTTGTATTTTTAGTAAAGACAGGGTTTCACCATGTTGGCCAGGCTGGTCTTGAACTCCTGACATTGGGTGATCCACCCGCCTTGGCCTCCACAAGTGCTGGGATTACAGGTGTGCGCTACCACACCTGCCCACCCTGTTTCATCTCATAAAACTGAGACTCCAAATCCATTAAACACCCCCCGATTCCTCCTTCCCCAAAGTGCCTAGCCACCACCATCCAACTTTCTGTTTCAATGAATTTGACTATTCTTCATGCCTCATATAATGGAGTCATTGGTATTTGTCCTGTTGTGACTGGCTTATTTCACGTAGTATAATGTCCTCAAGTTCATCTGTGTTGTAGCATGTATCAGATTTTCCTTCCTTTTTAAGGCTGAATCAGTTCTATGTATGTACCACATTTTGCTTACCTGTTCTCTTAGGTGGCTCCTACCTGTTGTCTATTGTCAATAATGTTGCTATGAACATGGGTATACAATTATCTCTTTATTTATTTTTTGAGACAGAGTCTTGCTCTGTTGCCCAGGCTGGAATGCAGTGGCACAATCATGGCTCACTGCAGTATCGATATTCTGGGCTCAAGTGATCCTTTCACCTCAGCTTCCCAAGTAGCTGAGACTACAGGCACACACCACCACATCCAACTAATTAAAAAAAAAATTGGCTAGGTGCAGTGGCTCACACCTGTAATCCCAGCACTTTGGGAGGCCAAGGTGGGCGGATCATGAGGTCAGGAGATGGAGACCATCCTGCCTAACATGGTAAAACCCCGTCTCTACTAAAAATACAAAAAATTAGCCAGGCATGGTGGCGGGGGCCTGTAGTCCCAGTGAGAGGTGAAGCCAGCTGGACCTCCTGGGTCGAGTGGGGACTTGGAGAACTTTTCTGTCTAGCTAGAGGATTGTAAACACAGCAATCAGTGCTCTGTGTCTAGCTAAAGGATTGTAAATGCACCAATCAGCACTCCGTGTCTAGCTAAAGGATTGTAAATGCATCATTCAGCACTCTGTAAAAATGGACCAATCAGTACTCTGTAAAATGGACCGATCAGCAGGACGTGGGTGGGGACAAATATGGGAATAAAAGCTGTCCACCCCAGCTAGCAGCGGCAACCCGCTTGGGTCACCTTCCACACTGTGGAAGCTTTGTTCTTTTGCTCTTCAAAATAAATCTTGCTGCTGCTCACTCTTTGGGTCTGTGCCACCTTTAAGAGCTGTAACACTCATCGTGAAGATCTGCGGCTTCGTTCTTGAAGTCAGCGAGACCAAGAACCCACTGGAAGGAACCAACTCTGGACACACCAGCTGCTTGGGAGGCTGAGGCAGGAGAATGGCGTGAATCAGGGAGGCGGAGCTTGCAGTGAGCCAAGATTGCACCACTGCACTCCAGCCTCGGCAACAATGCGAGACTCTGTCTCAAAAAAAAAAAAAAAATTTGTGGAGATGGAGTCTCACTATGTTGCCCAGCCTTGTCTCAAACTCATGAGATCAAGCAATCCTGCCTCAGCCTCCCAAAATACTGGGATTACGTGTGTGAGCCAATGTGCCTGGCAAGTTATCTCTTTGAGAGCATACTTTCAGTTCTTTTGGATATGTAACCAAAAGTAGAATTGCTGGATCATATGTCATTTTATTTTAATTTTGAAGAACTATCATACTAATTTTCATACTGGCTATACCATTTGACATTCTTACCAATGTGCACAAGGATACCAATTTCTCCACGTTCTTGCCAACACTGTTTTTTTTGTTTTGTGTGTGGTTTTGTTTTGTTTTTTTGAGATGGACTCTCGCTCTGTCGCCCAGGCTGGAGTCAGTGGTGCGATCTCGGCTCACTGCAACCTCTGCCTCCTGGGTTCAAGCGATTCTCCTGCCTCAGCCTCCTGAGTAGCTGGGACTACAGGTGTGCACCACCACACACGGCTAATTTTTGTATTTTTAGTACAGACAGGGTTTCACCACATTGGCCAGGCTGGTCTCGAACTCCTGACCTCATGATCTGCCCCCTTCGTCCTTCCAAAGTGCTGGGATTACAGGTGTGAGCCACTGTGCCTGGCCACCTTTTTTTTTAATAGTAGCCATCCTAATAAGTGTGAGGTGATATCTCACTGTGGTTTTGATTTATTTTCCCTAATGATTAGTGAACTTGAGTGTCTTTTCCTGTGTTCATTGGCCATTGGTGTATCTTCTTTGGAGAAATGTCTGTTCAAGTTCTTTATTTTTTAATTGTATTTTGTTGTTGTTGACTTGTAGTTTTTTTTTTTGTTGTTTTTGTTTTTGAGACAGGGTCTCACTCTGTCACCCAGGCTGGAGTTGAGTGGTGTGATCTCGGCTCACTGCCACCTCTGCCTCCCGGGTTAAAGTGCTTCTCCTGCCTCAGCTTCCCAAGCAGCTGGCATTACAGGTGTGCGCCACCACGCCTGATTAACTTTTTTGCATTTTTAGTAGAGACAGGGCTTAATAGAGACAGGTTTAGTAGAGATGGGGTTTCGCCATGTTGGCCAAGCTGGTCTCAAACTCCTGGCCTCAAATGATCTGCCCGCCTTGGCCACCCAAAGTGCTGGCATTACAGATGTGAGCCACTGCACATGGCAGGAGGTCTTTATATATTGTGGATATTAGCCCCTTATCAGAATAATGATTTACAAATATTTTCTCCCATCTCATGGGTTGTCCTTTCTCTTTTCCTTTGATTCACAGTTCTGTTTTTTAAAAATTTTATTATATATTTTCTAAGACATTTAAAAGAATAACACAGTAAACATCTTTATAATCGCCATCCAGCAAATTAAATATTAGTAAATTGGTTTGCTCCCGAGTTTCCCCTTATTGATTACAAGTCCCTCACCAAAGGTAACCACTAATGAATTTGATTTTTCTCTGACATAGTTTATACTCCTTAGACAGCCTGTTAGCGTATTAGAAGCTTGTGATGACTGAAGTAAAAATACTGCAAAGGTCCTGGGGAAGGCTAATTAGGGTGGGATGAGTTCTTTCTTAGATTTTTGTGATGCTGTTTTCAAAAGCCCAGTTCAGCACCCTATCAGAGATACTTGCACATAATAGGTGTATAGAAATGTTTGTTGAATAACTATTTGGAACCCATGTACTTCTGATTGAAGATATTTTGTACCACTATTATACTATTTTTTTTTTTTTTTTTTTTTTTTTGAGACAGAGTCTTGCTCTGTCGCCCAGGCTGGAGTGCAGTGGTGCGATCTCAGCTCACTGCAACCTCCACCTCCTGAGTTCAAGCAGTTCTCCTGTCTCAGTCTCCCAAGTAGCTGGGACTACAGGCGCACACCACCACGCCTGGCTAATTTTTGTATTTTTATTAGAGACAGGTTTTCACCTTGGTCAGGCTGGCCTTGAACTCCTGACCTCAGGTGATCCACCCGCCTTGGCCTCCCAAAGTTCTGGGATTATAGGCATGAGCCACAGTGCCTGGCCACTATTATACTATTTTTTTTTTTTGAATCAGAGTCTTGCTCTGTTACCCAGGCTGGAGTGCAGTAGCATGATCTCAGCTTACTGCAAGCTCTGCCTCCTGGGTTCACGCCATTCTCCTGCCTCAGCCTCCTGAGTAGCTGGGACTACAGATGCCCGCCACCACGCCCGGCTAATTTTTTTATAATTTTAGTAGAGATGGGGTTTCACAGTGTTAGCCAGAATGGTCTTGATCTCCTGACCTCGTGATCTGCCCACCTCGGCCTCCCAAAGTGCTGGGATTACAGGCATGAGCCACCGTGCCCGGCTATTATACTATTTTTTCATGAAGTGAAGTTTACATATCTCTGTATTAGGATTACTGTATACTTTACCAATAAATAGACTGCTATGGCAGAATAAAGGTTTTCTTAGAGGTAGTAAAACTGAGGGCAAACCTGAGTTGGGAACATTTTAGCTCTAAATACATACAGTACATTTAGCTGCCTTGGCTAATTTAACTTTTAGACAGGGCAAATGGAATAAGGCAGATGTTGAGGTGCTACATTGTTGGTTCAGAAAAATGGTTGTGAGTTTTGAAAGAAGGCATGATTCTGGTAAGATCTGACTGTGGGCAAGGGGCTGTTGAAACAAACAGTGCAGTGTTTCCAGGGCAGTGGTGAAGGACTTGACCTCCGTTGTAGCTGAAAATGAAGTCCTTCTCTAACAAAGCCATAGTAGCAGCAGCAGCAGCTGTTGCCACTGCCACCTGCGTTCAGTGGCTGTGTGAGGTGGCTAGACCAGGAAATGATTCCATGGCACTAGGCATGTATAAGGAAAGACTTACTTTGGCTCTGGCAAAGTGGTTGTACAGGTTGTGGGTGTCACTTTAAACATACAAAGATCTGCTTGCTGGAGGAGGGGCAGCTTCTTGAGGATCAGGTGTGCATCTGAAAGGGATGAGCTCATCCTTCTAACCAGACCTGCTCTAGACGCTGACTGAATGTTTTCCTAGTTCCAAGTCCTGCAGCTGGGAGAAGCAGGAAATGATTGACACTTCAGGCACTTGGTGAGTAGCAAAAAGGAAAAAAAAAAAAGGCATTTTTGGGGAAGCTTTTGAAATGTGTGTGTGAGTATCAGGTTGAAGGTGACATACACATTCAGTCTTTCTCTAAGTTGAGGATTGCAGTAAAGTGTATGGTGGTATTGAGGAAAGCAAAGCTTAGGTGGTTCTAACTTTATTCTACTGCTTCTTTTTGAGGTGACTTTCCATGACTTAACAATTTTGTTTCCTACACTGTCTTGACTGGTTTCATTTCTCTAGGAAATAAGAATCCCAGGAGCTCCTTTTTTATTTTCAAGGATCTTCATGACTTGTTTTGGAGCTTTTATTGATGGAACTTACCCCACATTAGAAGACTTCTGTGTTGGATTTCAGAGCTCCTATACATGATCCTGTTTTGTTTTAATTTACCCAAACTTTCCTATTCACTTTAAGTAAGGTTCTTAAACATGAAATTGGTTTAGAAAAGAAATATCATTTATTATTTATTTGTAACCTTTATTTTAGGTTCCAGGGTACATGCGCAGGTTTGCTATATAGGTAAACTGCATGTTACAGGGGTTTGATGTACAAATTATTTCATCATCCAGGTAATAAGCATAGTACCTGATAGGTAGTTTTTTGAGATAGAGTTTCACTCTTGTCACCCAGGCTGGAGTGCAGTGGCGCGATCCCGGCTCACTGCAACCTCCGCCCCCCGGGTTCAAGCGATTCTCCTGCCTCGGCCTCCTGAGTAGCTGGGATTACAGGTGACCGCCACCACACCCAGCTAATTTTTGTATTTTTGGTAGAGATGGGGTTTCACCATGTTGGCCAGGCTGGTCTCGAACTCTTAACCTCAGGTGATCCGCCTGCCTCAGCCTCCCGAAGTGCTGGCATTATAGGCGCGAGCCCCTGCGCCTGGCCCCTGATAGGTAGTTTTTTGACTCTCACCCTCCTTCCACCTTCTATCCTCAAGTAGGCCCCAATTGTTTATTATTTTGAATGGAACTTTTTATCTTGAGATAATTCTAGATTTATACAGAGTTAAAATAAATAATAATATTGACCTGATGTACCATTTACCTCATTTCCTCCAATGGCAATATCTTCCAAAATTATAGTACAATTTTACAACTGGGGTATTGATGTTGATACAGTCAAGGTACCAAATATTTTCATCACCACAGGATCTACCATGTCCTTTTATAGCTACCCCCACTTCCCTTCCACCCCTACACCTTTCTTAACTCCTGTCAACCGCTAATTAAAAAATCAATTTTTAGCAGAGAAAATTTTATGTGCAATCCTGAGAAGTTCTGTATTAAAGATCCACATGGCCTTATGAAAAGAGCCCTTGGGCCGGGCGCGGTTGCTCACAAGTGTAATCCCAGCACTTGGGAGGCCAAGGCGGGCAGATCACCTGAAGTCAGGAGTTCGAGGCAGCCTGACAAACATGGAGAAACCCCGTCTCTACTAAAAATACAAAATTAGCTGAGCGTGGTGGTGCATGCCTGTAATCCCAGCAACTCGGGAGGTTGAGACAGGAGAATCGCTTGAACCCAGGAGGCAGAGGTTGCAGTGAGCCAAGATCACGCCATTGCACTCCAGCCTGGGCAAAAAGAGCGAAACTCTATCTCAAAAAAAAAAAAAAAAAAAGCCCAAAGTGCAATCGATTTTGGTTCATTGTAGCTCTTTACCTTGGGCAAATAATTTTAATTTCTCTGTGCTTCAGTTTCCTTATCTGTAAAATGGGATAGTGGTATATTAACCTGTTTTGCAGGATTTTTGAGAAATTGTAAAACTCTTACAAAAAATAAATATATAGATTATTATTAGCAGCAGAGATAATTGTTTTCAAACTGGAAAGTATATAGCAAGTTAAAAACTGGAAACTGTAGCCTAAGATGGTAAGAGTGAACATTTTTAAATGAATTTAAGTCTTAAGGCTGAAATGAATTACATTTCGGGGTGCTGAATTAACTGGCTGATGATCTCAGAGCCACTGTCTTTGAGAAACCATAAAGACTAGAGAGAGACAAATGTCTTTATATCCAAAAAGAGGAAAGGAAAGTAGTTGGAAAACCATAGACATGTAAAATTGTTAAATCTTGGGAAAATTCAATTATAAAGGACTAAACATGATATGCAGTATTAAGGAGAAAAAAGAGTATGGGTTGATTGATCATAACAAATTACTTCTGTTTCTATTTTTGAATTTCATTACTTCTATTTAGGATTAAGAGGTTTGTGGATCAGGGGATTGTTCTACATATAGTGAGTCAAAATCCCGTCAGTTTCACCGTCTTTCATGTGGCTGATAATGTAGTGATACAAATTTCATTGATTGGTTAAGTGAATGTGTCAGACATCGAATAACTGTATCCACTGATCATCTTGATTTTACCAGGAAGATCCTGGTAGGTTATTCTTATTTTTTCCATGGGCAGTCAGTCTGCATGGGTTATTTTATTTTTTTTGAGACGGAGTCTTGCTCTGTTGCCCAGGCTGGAATGCAGTGGCGTGATCTCGGCTCACTGCAACCTCCCCTTCCTGGGTTCCAACGATTCTCCTGCCTCAGCCTCCCAAGTAGCTGGGACTACAGGCATGCGCCACCAAACCCAGCTAATTTGTTTGTTTGAGACAGAGTCTCTCTCTGTCGCCAGGCTGGAGTGCAGTGGCGCTCTGTTGGCTCACTGCAACCTCCATCTCCTGGGTTCAAGCGATTCTCCTGCCTCAGCCTCCCAAGTAGCTGGGACTACAGATGCACGCTGCCACGCCCAGCTAATTTTTATTTTTATTTTTATTTTTAGTAGAGATGCGGTTTCACCATGTTGGCCAGGCTGGTCTCAATCTCCTGACCTCGTGATCCACCCGCCTCGGCCTCCCAAAGTGCTGGGATTACAGGTGTGAGCCGCTGTGCCTGACCAATTTTTGTATTTTTAGTAGAGATTGGGTTTCACCATATTGGCCAGGCTGGTCTTCAACTCCTGACCTTGTTGTGATCGGCCTTCTCGGCCTCCCAAAATGCTGGGAGTACAGGCGTGAGCCACTGTGCCCGGTCAAAAGTTTTAATTTTGATGAAGTCCAATTTATGTATTTTTTTCTTTTGTTACTTGTGTGGTGTCTTTGCCTAACCCAGGGTCATGAAGATTTATGTCTATGTTTTCTTCTAAAAGTTTTATAGTTTGAGCTCATTCATTTAAGTTTTTGATCCATTTTGAATTAATTTTTGCATATGGTGTGAGATAGGAGTCCAACTTTTTCTCTTGCATATGGGGGATATTCAATTATTCCAGCACTATTTATTAAAAGACTACAGTAGTTTCTCCTTATCCATGAAGGATATGTTGCAAGACCTCCAGTGGATGCCTGGAACCATGAATAGTACTGAACCTGACAGCTGTTAATTGGAACATAATTCTGTTCATTTCTTCCACCCACAAATTTAGTGCCTTTTCCAACCTTTTTTTTGAGATGGAGTCTTGCTCTGTTGCCCAGGCTGGAGTGCAGTGGCGTGATCTCGGCTCACTGCAACCTCTGCCTCCGGGGATTCAGGTGATTCTCCTGCCTCAGCCTCCCGAGTAGCTGGGATTACGGGTCCCCACCACCATGCCCAGCTAATTTTATATATTTAGTAGAGACAGGGTTTCACCAAGTTGGCCAGGCTGCTCTTGAACTCCTAACCTCAGGTGATCCACCCGCTTTGGCCTCCCAAAGTGTTGGGATTACAGGAGTGAGCCACCACACCTGGCCGCCTTTTCCATCTTAACTAAGCACTTATATAACCACTGAATGGGTTCATTCTGCCCATTGCCCCAATACAGCTGATTTATCAAGACAGGAGAATAGCAATGGAGAAAGAGTTTAATTCACATAGAGCTGGCCGCACAGGAGACCAGAGTTTAATTATTACTCAAATCAGTCTCCCAGAATATTCCAGGATTGGGGTTTTTAAGGCTACTTTGGTGGTTAGAGGGCCAGAGAGTGGGGAGTGTTGATTGCTTAGGTCAGCAATGAAATCACAGGGAGTCAAAGCTGTCCTTTTACACTGAGTCAGTTCCTGGGTAGGACCACAAGACCAGATGAGACAGTTTATTAATCTGGATGGTGCCAGGTGATCCATTGAGTTCAGGGTTTGAAAAATATCTTGAGCACCAATCTTAGGTTTTACATTAGTGATGTTATCCCTAGGAGCAGTTAGGGAGGTGTAGAACCTTGGGGCCTTTAGCTGCATGATTCCTAAAGCATAATTTCTAATCTTGTAGCAATTTGTTAGTCCTGCAAAGGCAGTCTAGTCCCCAGGCAAGAAGAGGGTTTGTTCTGGGAAAGGGCTGTGTTTTTGTCTTTGTTTCAAAGTTAAACTATAAGTTCCTCCCAAAGTTAGTTCGCTTTATGTCCAGGAATGAACAAGGACAGCTTGGAAGTTAGAAGCAACAGGGAGTCAAGTAAGTCAGATCTCTTTCACTGTAATAATTTTCTCAGTTATAATTTTTGCAAAGGTGGTTTCACTTACCATGAACTATGGCCATGACTTTTTGCAGTTTGAGGTGTGACAGTAAAACTAGCATGAATTTCCTTTCCTTCTTCACAATGTCATGCATGGATTTGTTCTTATGGTAGACCTTAGCAGCTTTAGTGTATGATTCTTTTTCTTTCCTTATTAAGTCGATAACTTTCACTTTTTCACTTAAAGGAAGCACCTTATGGCTTCTCTATGGCCTGTTAAATTGCCAGTATCACTACTCTTGCATTTGGGAATATTATTAAGTAAAATAAAGTTACTTGAACATAAACACTGAGAAACCCTTTATTCCTTTTTTTTTTTTTTTTTTTTTGAGACAGGATCTCACTCTGTCCAACTCAGACTGGAGTGCGATGGCCTGATCTCAGCTCACTGCAACCTCCACCTCCCAGGCTCAAGTGATTCTCCTGCCCCAGCCTCCTGAGTAGCTGGGATTACAGGCGCGTACCACTACTGCCTGGCTGATTTTTTTTTTGAGACAGAGTCTCACTCTGTCACCCAGGCTGGAGTGCAGTGGTGCGATCTCGGCTCACTGCAAGCTCCGCCTCTCGGGTTCACACCATTCTCCTGCCTCAGCCTCCCGAGTAGCTGGGACTACAGGCGCCCGCCACTACGCCTGGCTAATTTTTTTTGTATTTTTAGTAGAGACAGGGTTTCACTATGTTAGCCAGGATGGTCTTGATCTCCTGACCTTGTGATCTGCCCGCCTCGGCCTCCCAAACTGCTGGGATTACAGGTGTGAGCCACCGTGCCCAGCCTAATTTTTGTATTTTTAGTAGAGATGGGGTTTCACCATGTTGGTCAGGCTGGTCTTGAACTCCTGACCTCAAATGATCTGTCCACCTTGGCCTCCCAAAGTGATGGGATTATAGGCGTGAGCCACTGCACCCGGCCTGTTTTTTTTGTTTTGTTTTTTTTTTTTGAGATGGAGTCTTGGCTCTGTTGCCCAGGCTGGAGTGCGGTGGCACCATCTCAGCTCACTGCAACCTCCGCCTCCTGGGTTCAAGCGATTCTCCTGCCTCAACCTCCTGAGTAGCTGGGATTACAGGCACACGCCACCATGCCCAGCTAATTGTTGTATTTTTAGTCAAGACGGGTTTTTCACCATGTTGGCCAGGCTGGTCTCAAAATCCTAACCTCAAGAGATCCGCCTGCCTTGGCCTCTCAAAGTGTTGGGATTACAGGCGTGAGCCACCGCGCCCGGCTGATTACTTTCTGTAAGACTAGCATTTAGGTAATTCTTTGGTGTGCTTGAGAGGGATTTTCATACTCTTCTTGCTTTCTAGGAGCTTTAAGTCCAGTCCAAGACTTTTAAAAACCCTTGTTCTATAGACAGGGTGGTTAATGTTCATAATGACATAATGCTATTTGATATACTTTTTAGAATTATGCAAGATATAGTTAAATAAATGAATTTAAACAATAATGATGCTATAATTAGAAGCCCAAATGTGTGGCCCCTATCTCCCTCTCTTCTTTAGAGTCCATTTATATGAGAAATATAGAGATTTCTTGTATGATTTTGCTGCTCAGGTCTGTGATTAACAGCCAAAGTTTCTCCAAAATGTATTCTTTGGATCAGTTTTTTTCTCTTCCCTCTACCCTTTCTGCAATATTCCTCTTCTCAGTAATGCATACTTGAGTGAAACAACCAGCTCTTTAAGGTACACATGCTCTGCCAACATTGTGAATAAATCTCAGAATAAAAACTAGAGTCACCTCTGATTGCACAGGGATTGCACCTGTGACTAGCCACTGCACTCCAGCCTGGGCAACATAGTGAGACTCTGTCTTTAAAAGAAAACACCAGTGGGGCTTGGTGGCTCACGCCTGTAATCCCAGCACTTTGGGAGGCTGAGGTGGGTGGATCACCTGAGGTCAGGAGTTTGAGACCAGCCTCGCCAACATGGTGAAACTCCATCTCTACTCAAAATACAAAAATTAGCCAGGTGTGGTGGTGTGCACCTGTAATCCCAGCTACTCTGGAGGCTGAGGTAGGAGAATCACTTGAACCCGGGAGGCAGAGATTGCAGTGAGCTGAGATTATGGCACTATACTCCAGCCTGGGTGACAGAGTGAGACTCTGTCTTCAAACAAAACCAAGATTAAAAAAAAAAAGTTAAAAAAAAACCCACTAGACTCAAATTAGTTATGTAGTTTTCCCTGTTTTTCATCTACTTCATGGTATATTCTTCCTTACAACCTAGAGTCAAAGGCTAGAATATTTTCTCTTAGGTTCCTTATTAGCTAAGATCAAGTCCGTCTCTAATTTTTGTTTGCTAGAACTCCAGTTTAACAGCTCTGAATTAAGCTTCCCCTCTCCCCAGGATCAAATGATAAAGGCTTTCATTTGATATAAAGCAGTCTCTTCCCCACCCCTCCCCACCCCAATCCTCCAGTTTATTTAAAAGTCTCAGCCTAGGTAACATACTAAGACCCTGTCTCCAAAAATCTTTAAAAAATTAGCTGGGTCTGGTTGTACACACCTGTAGTCCCAGCTACTCGGGAGGCTGAGGGTAGAAGATTGCATGAACCCAGGAATTTGAGGGTTCAGTGAGCTGTGATCACACCACTGCATCCAGCCTGGGCAACAGAGGAAGAACCTGTCTCTTAAAAAGTTCCCAAATTTTGTCACTACATTCTAAAATCTAGAGTCTTTTATTGGCTGGGCACAGTGGCTCACACCTGTAATCCCAGCACTTTGAGAGGCTGAGTCAGGTGGATCACTTGAGGTCAGGAGTTCGAGACCAGTCTGGCCAACATGGTGAAGCCCCATCTCTACTAAAAATACAAAAACTAGCTGGGTGTAGTGGCACCTACCTGTAATCCCAGCTACTGAAGAGGCTGAAGCAGGAGAATCACTTGAACCTGGGAAGTGGAGGTTGCAGTGAACCGAGATCGTGTCACTGCACTCCAGCCTGGGTGACAGAGCAAGACTTGGACTCAAAAAAAAAAAGAGTCTTTTATTTTCCAATCTCGTGTTCCTACTGCGGAGCCACTCAGTTCCTGCCTTTACTGCCGACATCAGCATTATCATTAGCATCTCAGAAATAAAAGACAATGATGGTTTGACTTTGGGGTTACTCCAGAGGGAGTTATTTTGGTTTTTCTTAGAGAAATCCTCTGTTTCTCTTTTATGACTTTTAAGAGAAGCAAAATGTTCTTTCAATGCATTGAACATTCTGTTGTACCTTACTCTATTTGCTAGTAGAAACCAATAATGAAAAGCTACGGAATGTGACCAAATAGGACTTTTCAGCCTGTGCTTTTCCATTACCCTCCCCACTACCCTCCAAGGATTTTTCTTGATTGATTTACTCAAATCCTAAATATTGTTTCTCCTTGCTAATAATATTTATATTTTTTCAGAGACCTTTGTCTATTCTGGTCTAAGGTGGACCTATTGTGGTGTTACATATTCCCTGCAAAGTACTTGAAAAATATGACTTGTTAAGTTTTGTTGAAGCACAGTTTTACAAAGTACTGTTGTAACTAGTCATCCAACTTTAGAATACCTGAACATTTAAACTAAAACCCTATTTTAAAAAATAATAATCTGAAACACTATGTATCACTCTCCCTCTTGACGTAGTTAGCAATCATGTACCCAAAACCTTTTCTTTCTATTTTTATTTTTCCTTTTTTTTTTTTTTTTTTGAGACAGGGTCTTGCTCTGTGGCCCAGACTGGAGTGCAGCGACACAATCACTGCTCACTGGGGCCTTGACCTCCTGGGCTCAAGGGATCCTCCCACCTCAGCCTGGAGTAACTGGGACCAGAGAGGTGCGTGCCACCACACCAGGCTAATTAAAAACTTTCTTTCTTTCTTTTTTTTTTTTGTAGAGAAGGGGCCTCCCTGTGTTGCCCAGGCTGGTCTTGAACTCCTGGGCTCAAATGATCCTCCCGCAATGGCCTCCCAAAATGCTGGGATTACAGGCGTGAGCCCCTGCACCCGGCCTATAAAACCTTTTCTACAGGCAGTTTGACACTCACCTAACAAAAACTTGTAGTTACCCAATTTATTTTGAATGGCGAAGCCCAGTGGTTGATACAGGGTTCTCTTTCTATTTGGCACAGAACCTCTTGTGCAGTCTTGAAGAGGGAATAAGAAATGTCTGAAAATAACTTATGCAAGGCAGAATGTGAGTATCATAGCAGAGTTTTATGGGAGGTGTTTTCTGAGGGGCCTCTGGAGAGATTACAATCTATTAGAGTGAGATTTCCCTGTGGATCACTTCCCTTACCTGGATGAGACATGAAAAGTAATGTTGTCTAGTTGTAATCAGGGTTGAAGCTCTGTAACTCTGTCCCAGTACTCTAGTTTTATTTGATTAGTTTCACAATGAATATATACCTATATTTTAATGACTTGATTGAAGAGCTTGGTCTTGATGTTTGTATGTCTTTATTTGCAGTCAGCACTTATCAGTAGAAATTTTGTGTTTCACACTTTGAAATGGCATTACTACCTCCTCCTCCACCTAGCACCACTAGGAGACCTGAGTTAGAATGCTAATGGTTAACAAGAAAAGCAACAGTATCTTTTTTTTTTTTTTTTTTTTTGTGGCACTTTCCTTGTGGCCAAAGGACTACTTCAATTTAATATACTGTATTGTTAAAATGTAAGAGCTTAATTAGTTTTGGACATTGCCCATGTTTGTTAAATTTTACCAATAAATCTTAATTACATCTTTTTTTTAGTCAACTCGTATATTTTCTCTCAACCTATAGAAACACAACAGACCTTCATATTTGGCAAGGATTCTGCTGATGAGTTTTTTTCATCAGTATGCTTATAAAACAACTTCTTTCAATAAAACTGTTTTATAACCTCAGGTAATACATAGAAGGGTGTGTGTTGGTCCTCTGGGGCCTTTGTGCCCTGCCTGCAAATGCAAGTTCTCGGTTGACTGATCACATGTTTGGGGGTGGGACTCTGCCTGCTGTTTGTTCTTGGTGATGTAACTAGGTCTCTTCCCCGAGAGAGGGGTGGAGATCTTTCCCTGTTGTGGACTTTGGGGTTGAGAACCCTTAGATCCCAAGCATTTTAAAATTGACTCAGTAGATTCCAATGGCTCAGTTTAAATAATAATTTTCTTTAATAGTGTGGCTCGTTTAAGACAGTTGGAGGAGTTTTGCCTATTAAAATGATTTGATTTAATTTAAGCCCAGTCTTGGAATTCTGAATTAGGGATTCCAACAATAACATTGTTTTGATTATTCTGTAAACAACTACAAAAATGTTGTCTTCTCGTGCTCCTTTTGACTGCAGTGCAAAGGAATTTTTTTGTGGGGGACTGGCCCTTCTTTGGAAGCAGCAGCCACCCTGCAAACCTTATTGTTTAATGACCTTTGTCATCAGGAATGCCCCAGGAAACAGCTTCATAATTGTTTTTCTTAAGCCTCAGGTGAAGTTTGTGATAACGTCCTTTCAAGTTACTTTTGGTTAGTTTCTTAAGTTTACTTTGTTTTTAATTGGAAGCTCCACCTTTTTAACTTTGTCATGAATTGTCAGTGCTGAGTTCCTGGTAGTTGGTAAAAAGAATTGCCTTCTCTCTGATATCCTGTTCTGCGGGAAGTCCTTGTGGTTTAGATTCACAGTTTCTCATTGTTGCTAGCTACAGTCGTCTCCTCCCTCCTAGCCTTCCCTCCCCACAGCTCTAGCTATTCCCATATCCCTCCCCATTCTTGTATCACTTGCCCCACAGATACCCTCGTGATTAGAGGTCTTTTGCTGGAGGTTGACTGTGCTGTCTGGTAAGTATTGTAGTTGTTGTGGTAAAAACAGATAGATAGAAGATTCAGGAACCGGTTAGTTTTTGTGAAGTTTTCTTTCTTTTAAAAAAAATATTCCCAAGCACTGATTAATAAGCTATTTCTTTTAATAGCAGTAGATTAAACTTTGAAATTGAGATTTTAGGACTCTCAACTTTCAAGAGGCATCTTTCAAGCTGTTGTTTGTGCTCTTTCCCCCTCCTCTCTGTTACAATTATTAGATTTTGGAGATTTCATATTTTTTCCAAAAAAAAAAAATTCATAGATTTTCTTGAGTTCCTTAGAATTAAAGGCAAGAATTGTGGATTTAGTATTTTAAATTTCCTTCAAACAGAAGAAGGTTATTTGTGATTTCTTTATACCTATTTTCAGTATTAACATACTGGTTAAAGTAGTAATGAAGAAAAAAGAGCCTATTTTGTGGCTAAATTGGAAAGTAGCTGAATGATTCTTTTTTCCTATCAGCAGAATAGTGTTGGCAAAATCCACTAAGATTTTGGCAATATGTTGTCAATTCTAAGAGATGGTTTGCCAAGTACTTCAGGTTAACAGATGCTTCTGGGAATGATTTTTGGGAAGTTAGATAAATTTGTTCATTAGCACCTGCTTCCTTGAGGCATGAGGCCTATGATCCTTTTGAAAGTAAAATATTTAATATTTGATATTTAGATTGAGTCAAATATCACTTTCATAATGGGCTATTTCCTTGCGTTTTGTGTTTTGAGCTTCTAAGAATATTTGTGTGTGTATTAAAAAAAAATTTTTTTTTGGATACTGGATGGTTGATACTTTGGTATTTCAAGCAGTTATAAGTGATGAGCTTTGGATTCTCCCAAACTACTGCTAGTTAGAAGTCATCTTTATGGTAGATGATGTGAGAGGAAACTTGTTTCTGGGATTTCATTGCTGTTCAGTTGAGGCACTTATTCAAATGATGGTTGTATTCGTACAGTAATGATTTCTTGAGCTCCTAATATGAGGTAAGTGCTGGGTCCTTGCTAAGTGCTTTGCATTTACTTCTAATTCCCAGTACAACCTGGCCAGGTAGTAGTATTGTCCCTCTACAAAGCGGCTATACATAGGTAGAAAGAACATGGGTTTTCTTTCCTGCAAAGTGAGAAAAATAATCACTATTTGGCAGGTTAATTGTGAGAATTAGAGGATATACCATGTGTCCAGTGCCTAGCGCAGTGCCAAACATGTAGTTTGTATTCACTAAGTGGGCTACCATTATTATAATTTTACACCTGATGAAAGAGGATAAGTAATCTGCTGAAGGTCACTCAATTGTAAGTGGTAGAGCTAGGATGTGAACTGGCTCAAAGTGTGAAGTCTGGTAGCATGTTTTCATTTGAGTATTGTAAAGGCTGTTAGAGTAGATTTCATTCCTTCTCATCCCTTCACCTCCTGCCCCTACAGAGGAAATCTTCTTTATAGATATTCTCCTTTCTTTGGTATCCTCTGTCGCCCTCCCAGTCAGTCATGTGCTTGCTCTCTCACACTGGAGTTGCTTGTGCCATTCAGTACCAGTGTTCTCCCAACAGAAATGAGTCAAGCCAGTGCTGTCAGTTTGCTTCCCCTCCTTTTTTCCTCTTGTTGATAGCACTGTCATACTTTCATTATTGTTTGTACTGAAATAATTTGAGTACGGGTATATTTATAATGATTAATAAATAATGCATTGATGGAATCAAGTGTTTAAAAAGTCTTAGTGATTCATAAAATTCGGGATAAAAATCTCTGGTTCTAAATGATTAAATCAGAAGGTTATTATATAGGGTAACTTTCTGGAACTCATTGTTTTGCTATCCAGGGGCCTAATAAATTGCTATTGATTTTTGTTCCTTTAACCACTGCTATTACTAGTTTGCTACTATTGGCAGTAGGGTTTAGAAAGAACATTTCGTTTGTCCTACTGACCATAAAATAGAGTATCTTTCTTCTGTAGACCTTTTGGAAGCGCAAGGTATGATTTAGATGCGATATGATTTTGGCAGGAGATTCAGGGACAAGCTAAAGAGCTGTTTGGTTATGCCTGTAACTGAGTTATCTCTAAACGGAAAAATGTGAGTTTGATTGGTCTCATGAAACTTAGTTCTTCATTTATTTGTTTAACAAGGAATGAGCATTTGTTGAGTGTAAGGCAATGTAACTTTCTACCTTGTATTCTAATAAAGTATTGATATACTGGTTAAATATTGATTCATGATGTTCCTGGGAGGGAGAGAGAAGTCCCAGTTGGTGTGGAGAGGTATTTAAAAAGACAATCATTTGGGAAATGAATTAATGTAAATGACTGCTCCTTCCTGCTGATGTATGACTATTAGTAGTTCCTATCACTGTAAGTAGCCAGTGGTATGACTTCTTCAAATAGGTTTGCTCAGTGGAAAAGATTGCTAGTATTAGGTAGGACTGGGAAGATGGGAGGAGCATTCGTTGATTGAGAAATACAAAAAACAAAGTAACTGGGCATGTGCACAGAACAAATCTTTTTGTATGTTTTAAGGGTAGATGAGGTTGGAAATGTGCAGGGGATAAGATTGTGGAAGGCCATTCAAAGCCAGAGTTTTGGCTGTATTTTGTCACTGAAGTTTTCTAAGCTAATTGTGATTCATCAGTTTGCTTTTGCAATATTGTATAGATGGGATTAGAGAGGAAAGAATAGTTAGAAAGTTTCTGCAATAGTCTGGGTGAATTGTATTGAGAATGCACTGGTTTTAGAATACATTTTTCCCAGGCTGGGCGCGGTGGCTCACGCCTGTAATCGCAGCACTTTGGGAGGCTGAGGTGGGCGGATCGCTTGAGGTCAGGAGTTTGAGACCAGCCTGGCCAACATGGTGAAACCCCATCTTTACTAAAAATACAAAAATTAGCTGGGCGTGGTGGCACACACCTGTAATCCCAGCCACTATGGATGGAGGCTGAGACAGGAGAATTGCTTGAGTCTGCGAGGCGGAGGTTGCGGTGAGCCAAGATCACGCCACTGTACTCCAGCCTGGGTGACTGCGAGACTCCGTCTCAAAAAACAAAAACAAAAACAAAAAACAACAACAACAAAGGATACATTTAAGAAAAAAAAAAGGATACACTTTTCCCCATTTTTTATATGGCCTTGGGATTTATGCTATCAATTATAGTTTAATCTCCTGAAATTTTTATAGTAGTTATATGTGTGTGTGTGTTTGCCTGTAAGAGAAAGAGAGATGGGGGAGAGATAATGCATATAGAGGATGGTCAGTCATCATAATCACAGTTACTCTTTATGGAATTCCTGTTTTGTACCTGGCCCTAAGTATTCTGCGTACATTATTTTGTTGCATCCTTTCAGCAGATCACATTTATTATAGGTAGTAAATGGCCTGAATGTGATGGAGCTAGGATTGGAATGTAGATTCATCTTATTCTTCATCATCATTATCCTCACCATAATCATCATCAAAACATTTATTCCACACTTACCACATATTAGGCACTGGGCTAATTATACGTATCTACATTATTTTATTTAATTCTTATAACAATCCTATGAGATAGATGTTATTATTAGTCACATTTTTTCTGATGAAGTACCTAAGAGTTAGTTCAATAACTTGGTCAATATGCCACAGCTGTTAGATGGTGGAGCTGAGACCTGTTCTATTCCACTAACTCTGTGTCCCCAAGTTGTATAATTCACATAATGTTCTCTAGGAATGGGACCCTTTGGATCTCCACTAAAAGCATGTTACCTCCCGAGGTTCTGCAATATTGTTGGCCCTGCAGAGGGTGCACTTTTTGTTTTTTTTGAGATGGAGTCTCGCTCTGTTGCCCAGGCTGGAGTGCAGTGGCGCAGTCTCGGCTCACTGCAAGCTCCGCCTCCCAGGTTCACGCCATTCTCCTGCCTCATCCTCCCGAGTAGCTGGGACCACAGGTGCTCGCCACCACACCCGGCTAATTTTTTTGTGTTTTTTAGTAGAGACGGGGTTTCACCGTGTTAGCCAGGATGGTCTCGATCTCCTGACCTTGTGATCTACTTGCCTCAGCCTCCCAAAGTGCTGGGATTACAGGAGTGAGCCACTGCACCCGGCCTGCAGAGGGTATACTTTTAACCACTATGTTCTTTCTACTACCATGCTGCTTCCTTTAGAAGTCAGTAAATTATACAACTTTAGATCTTTATAAGGAAGGGCTAAGTAGCCTGCAGCTGTCATTTCTTAGTTCTTATAATTTGTCAATTATAACAAAGTGAAACGTGCCTTTTTGTTTTCTTTCCAACTACTTTTTAACAAATTTTAGACAAATTTGTTATACATGACAGTTATCTAAGTTCTTGTGCAGGAAAAATAAGACTTTTTGTCCTTTATCAGCATACAATTCTTCTGTTGTACATGATGTAATAGTTTGAAGCTGCCAAAGTCCAGCCCTCAGGAAATTGTTTGAGTTGAGTAACTATTCGCTGGAGAGTTTAAGATAACCAGCTCATAAATCAACAAATAGCTTGGCCCTTTTTATGGTTGTAGATGCTTATCTCTTTCTATTTTCAAGCTTGAATCAGAAGCAAATATTGTTTCCATTTATATAGTCACTATTAGAAAAAGTTGTCAGCAGTATCTCAAGCTAGATAAGGCCATTTTGTGAGTTCTTTTCTTTAAGGAGAGTCAGAATTTATCAGGATGTTAGAATTGGTTGTTCTAGGCTAGGTACCTTCAAACAAAAAGTTTTCTCTTTCAATGAAACTGTCAGTGATTCAATGCCTATTATATTCAACCTCTGTGTGGAATTAGAAAGATGCCCTTAAGACAAAATGTAGTCCACGTACCCAAATAACTGTAACATGAGGGAGAATGTGAGTATTGTAATCCAAACCCCACCATGCACTGAGAGCACAGAGGAGGATGAAATAAATTGGGAGATTGGAAAGGTGAGAGGGTGAGAGAATGATCTGGGAAGGCTTTTCCTTGTAGGATAGTTAAGATTTTCAGCAAGAATAAATGGAGAGGAAAGGCATTCCAGAGAGAGGCAATATTAGAGTCAAGACAATGAGAAAGTAAAGGACAGGGTATATTTGTTATAAAGAAAGGAGTCTAGTGTACTTGGAGTGGAGGATGAGTGAGAGGCACATAATGGATGATCAATGAAATGTTTGATCAGTGAGTGAATGAGTAGATGAAGCTGGAAATGGTGGTAAGGTCCGGTGATTCTCAAACTTTACGCTGGTGCCAGACATATTTAATTCTATCTTATAATTAGGAATTAATTTTTTTTTTCTTTGAGCTGGAGTCTTGCTCTGTCACCAGGCTAGAGTGCAGTGGTGCGATCTTGGCTCACTGCAACCTCTGCCTCCCGGGTTCAAGATTCTCCTGCCTCAGCCTCCTGGGACTACAGGCACGCGCCACCACGCCCAGCTAATTTTTGTATTTTTAGTAGAGACGGGGTTTCACCATGTTGGCCAGGATGATCTTGATCTCTTGACCTCGTGATCTGCCCACCTCAGCCTCCTAAAATGCTGGGATTACAGGTGTGAGCCACTGTGCCTGGCCAGGAATTAATTTTATTGGCAGAATATGTGAATATCAAAAATATGCAGCATAAAAATCACAATCATGAACATGATTCAGTGATATGATTTGGATGTTTGTTCCCTCAAATCTAATGCTGAAATGTGATCCCCAATGTTGGGGCCTAGTGGAAGGTATTAGATCATGGGGGTGGATCCCTCATGAATAGCTCAGTGATGAGTGAGTTCTCACTCAGTTAATTCACACAAGATCTGGTTGTTTAAGAGAGCCTGAGACCTCTCCCTTGTCTCTCTCGCCATGTGACACCTGGGCTTCCCTTTGCGGTCTGTCATGATCGTAAGCTCCCTGAGGCCTTGCCAGAAGCTGAGCAGATGCTGGTGCCATGCTTCCCATACACAGTGCAGAACCATTAGCTGATTAACTTCTTTTCTTTATAAATTACCCAGCCTTGGGTATTTCTTTATAGCAGTGCAAACATGGCTTAACACTGTCAGTTAGGAAAAAAGGTGTTAAAATAGTTCCAATTGACTGCTTTGATTTTTTTCCCTCTTAATTTTGCTACTATTTGTTCAAGTTTCTGTAGTGCTAGCAGTAGACTAAGTAGGTAAGAAAAAATTATGGTAGAGAAACTTATGAAAAATCCATCTATTAATTTTCTTTCCTGTGAATTAGAAAAATACCATTGTTCTTTTCCAGCCAAAAGAATATCTCCCTCTAGGAGCCATTAAATATTTTGAAAAGGAGTGACATGGTGTGGAATGTGTTTTAGGAGTCAGGTGGTAGTGACATGTAGGATTAGAGGACTGGCAATGAGTCAGTAATGTGGTGCAGTGGTCCAGATGTGGTGAGGATCTGAACCTTAGTAGCAGCAGCAGTGAAAATAGAATGAAAGGAAATAGAGATCCACACCAGGCCCTCTGTTTCTAAATAGGAAATAGTTACCAATTATTAACCAGCTTTCATATTGTTAGGATATTACGGGTCTCAATGGTCGGTTATCTCTGGTCTCAAGTCCTTTCACTCTATTTTTAGGGAAAATGTGTTTAAACCCCTATTTTAAGGAAATGATAGTTTATAGATTATTTATAAATTATAGTTAATTTAGAAAATAGAAAAAAGGAAAAAAATCCATAATTTCATCATCCTAACAAGACCGCTATCATTTTACATTTACTTACCCCGATGTTGCTGAGTTTTAAACTTCTCTGTTAATTCATTCTGCGCACATTTAGCTCTGAGAAACAGGTTTCTGAACTAATAAAACACCCAATAATTGCCATACTGTGATATTAAACAGTAAACCAAGAGGTTTCACATATAACCCTCAGTGGATTGTAGGATCACAAACTACGTCAACGTCTCTTCTTTTTTTTTTGAGACAAAGTCTCACTCCATTGCCAGGCTGGAGTGCAGTGGCGTGATCTTGGCTCACTGCAACCTCCGACTCCCTGGTTCAAGCAATTCTCCTGCCTCAGCCTCCCGAGTAGCTGGGATTACAGGCACATGCCACCACGCCCGGCTAATTTTTGTATTTTTAGTACAGATGGGGTTTCACTATGTTGGCCAGACTGGTCTCGAGCTCCTGACCTCGTGATCTGTCCGCCTCGGCCTCCCAAAGTGTTGGCATTACAGGCGTGAGCCACTGTGCCCGTTCACATCTCTTCTTTTCCTATAAATCAATCTTGGTCCATCTACCTTTAGACATATAAATATTTATTTCCCAAATGCCTCAATCCCTTTTGGGCCCAAAGTTCCATCTTCTTCAGTGAATTATTTGCATAATTTAAAATGTTTTTTATTTTGAATTTATAGAAAAGTTGGAAAAATAGTTACCTCTAATGATACCATCTTATATAACCATAATACATTTATCAGAACCAGGAATTAATAGTATTGGTATAACACTATTAACTAAAGAGCTTTCCTGAATTTCACCAGTTTGCCTACCATTATTATTTTTCCTTTTTTATTTTCAGTTTTTTTAAATTGTAATTTATTTTTTTTTTATTTTTAAAGACAGGGTCTTGCTTTGTCACCCTGGCTGGAGTGCAGTGGCACAGTCATAGCTCACTACAGGCTTGAATTTCCAGGCTCAAAAAGTCCTCCTGCCTCACCCTTCTGAGTAGCTGGGACTACAGGCAAGCATTAGCCTGGCTAATTAAAAAAAATTTTTTTTGGCCAGGTGCAGTGGCTCACGCCTGTAATCCCAGCACTTTGGGAGGCTGAGGCGGGCGGATCACCCGAGGTCAGCAGTTTGAGACCAGCCTGGCCAACATAGTGAAACCCCATCTTTACTGAAAATACAAAAATTAGCTGGGCGTGGTGGCAGGCGCCTGTAATCCCAGCTACTCCAGAGGCTGAGGCAGGAGGATTGCTTGAACCCAGGTGACTGAGGTTGCAGTAAGCCAAGATCGCGCCATTTTACTCCAGCCTGGGTGACAAGTGAGAAACTTTGTTTCAAAAAAAAATTTTCTTTGTTTTGTAGAGACAGGGTTTCGCCATCTTGCACAAGCTGCATTGTTCTTTTTCTGTTCCAGGATCCTATCTGGAATCTCACATTGCATTTTAGGTGTTTTTCTTCCTTACTCTTCTGTATTCTGTAAAAGTTTCTTAGTCTTTCTTTGTCTTTTATAACCTTGACATTTTTGTAGAGTATTGATCAATATCAGTTTGAGGGCTATTTGTCAAATATTCCTTAATTTGGATTTGTCTGATATTTTTCTGATGATTGGACTGAGATTATGGTTTAGGCAAGAATACCACAGAAATAATTGTGTCCTTTTCAGTGCATCATATCATGGCATTCATGATGTCAATATGTATTATTACTGGTTATTTTGACCTTGATCACTTGGTTAAGGTAGTTTCTGCTGGGTTTCTCCATTGTGAAACTACTATATTTTCCTTTGTAGTTAATAAATGCCTTAGTGGAGATACTTTGATACTGTCATTTTTATTAATGTCATGGAGTTCTCTACACATGCAATTAATAGTGTCTCCTTAAAGACTTTATTGAACTTTAGTTACTGTGAAGTCAATTAGCTTAAAGAGTCCATCTCCTTGGATGGGCGCAGTGGTTCACGCCTGTGCCACCGCATGGTTCACAACTTTGGGAGGCCGAGGTGGGTGGATCACTTGAGGCCAGGAGTTCAAGACCAGCCTGGCCAACATGGCGAAACTCTGTCTCTACTAAAAGTACAAAAATAGCCAGGCATGGTGGCGCATGCCTGTAATCCCAGCTACTCGGGAGGCTGAGGTAGGAGAATTGCTTGAACCCGGGAGGTGGAGGTGGCTGTTGCAGTGAGCCAAGATCGCATCACTGCACTCCAGCCTGGGTGACAGAGCGAGACTCTGTCTCAAAAAAAAAAAAAAGTCCTTCTCCTTAGAAACTTCCCACACTTTACACCTGGTTTTATCAAAGGGTTCCCAGGCTTTGCACGAACAAATTCTATCTAGTCTTCATTGATTTCAGTTCCATTCTAGCTCTGCTCATAATGAATCTCTTATGCTAATAACCTGTAGCTCTCTGGGCCTCATTTACCCCTCTGTCTCTTAGGGCGCCAGGCTCCTCCTGGCCCAGTGTCCTTCCAGGCCTCATCTCCCTTTATGCACAAGCCAGTTCCTTTGAATGACTGCTTTGGGTTTTTTCCGAAACAGGCTGAGAGAAGCTGACTTTGTTGGTGAAGAATACAGTGGGGGATAATTAGGGTGGCTGCAGCTGGAGCCTGGTTTATTACTTTGGCCTGAGAAAAATGGTAGCACATTAAGCTGTACTGTGTATACTTGTGAAAGAATCATTCTCTGTATTTCACTAATACAGAGAAAGTGTTTTTTTCTAAAGGTCACCAGCTTCTAGAGGTATGTCTTTAATTCTGGCAACCTTAATCTGTAATGATCTTTTCAATTTAGCCCTGTTGACTGTGGAGTTACTTGCTGTGAGCACAAGAATCCAAAATCCAAATGTGGACCAAATATTATATTTAGATCTATTTAGTTCAAACAAATTTTATACAGTGAATAACATTAGATGTTTCTTTGATTAATAAAATACAAATTTATTAGTATTACTGAATTCAAAGTAGCTTTTTGAATTATGTATTTTCTCAAGTGACATATACTATAAAAGCCCCATTTATGTAATGTGGATGGGGCAGACTTAGATTCTCTGACACTTGAAGCTTATGCAATTCAGAGGGCCTCCTTTAAGGAAAATATTTTTTGAAACAGAAAATGAGATATTGGGCCTTGAGAATCTGTGCAAGAGAAAGAGTCCTGAAGCTTAAGTTTCAGTGGCTTGGTAAATCTGCCTCTGGATGTGAGGCACTGCAAAAAGGTTGAGACCCACTGTTTTCCATCATTTCATACATGGAAAGGTTTTTGGCTTACCCACAGGAGGCTAGTGTTTTCAGATTGGGAACAGTGGGACATATAACTTAGTAACTGTGTTACACAAGGAAATACGTAATAAGATGACATGCTTCCATCCCAATTTTGGCTTTTACTTTCCTAGAAGTTTACCATGTTGCCCACGCTCACCTCGAACTCCAGGCCTCAAGTGATCCACCAGCCTTGTCCTCCCATTCTGGGATTTTAGGCATGAGCTACCATGCCCAGCCCAATTTTTTATTTCTTTATGGTAAAATACCTAGGAGTAGGATTGGTAGGTAAAAGTATGGCAAAAGTGCAGCCATGTTTTGCTTAACAACAGGGATGTGTTCTGAGAAATGTGGTGTTAGGTGGTTTTGTCATTGTGTGAATATCATTTAAGTGTATTTGCATAAACCTAGATGGTATAGCCTACTACACACCTAGACTATACGATATAGCCTACTGCTGCTATGCTACAAACCTGTATAGGATGTTACTGTACTAAATATAATAGATGCCAGGCACGGTGGCTCACACCTGTAATCCCAGCACTTTGGGAGGCTGAGGCGGGAGGATCACCTGAAGTCAGGAGTTGGAGACCAGCATGGTCAACATGGTGAAACACCATCTCTACTAAATACAAAAATACAAAAAATAGCTGAGCGTGATGGTGCGTGCCTGTAATCCCAGCTACTCGGGAGGCTGAGGCAGGAAAATCGCTTGAGCCCGGGAGGCAGAGGTTGCAGTGAGCCAAGATCACACCATTGCGCTCCAGCCTGGGCAAGAAGAGCGAAACTCCATCTCAAAAATAAATAAATAAATAAATAAAATAAGCAATTGTAACACAATAGTAATAGATGTGCACCTAAACATATCTAAACATAGAAAAGTTACAGTAAAAATAAGGTAAGTCCCATAATCCCATAATTTTATGGGACTACCATTGTATATGCGGTCTCTTCTTGACTGAAACATTGTTATACAGCTCATGACTATATATTTAAGTTTAGAAGTAACTGCCAAGTGTGTCATTTTGCATTTCTTTTTCTTTTTCTTTCTTTTTTTTTTTTTTTTTGAAATGGGGTCTTTCTCTGTTGCCTAGGTTGGAGTGCAGTGGCTTGATCTCGGCTCACTGCAATGTCCACCTCCTGGTTTCAAGCAATTCTCCTGCCTCAATGCCCCCTAGGAGCTGGGATTATAGGTGCCTGCCATTGGCTAATTTTTGTATTTTTAGTAGAGACAGGGTTTCACCATGTTGGCCAGGCTGGTCTTGAACTCCTGATCCAAGGTGATCCACCCGCCTCAGCCTCCCAAAGTGCTGGGATTACAGGCGTGAACTACTGCACCTGGCCTGTTTTGCATTTCCATAAACAATGTAGGAGAGTTCCAGTTGCTCTGATTCCTCATCGGCACTTGTTATTGTCAGGTTTAAAAAGTTTTTTTGTTTTTGTTTTTAACTATTCTAATAGGTGTATAGTGTAGTTTTAATTTCCATTTCCCTCATGGCTAATAATGTTGAACATCTTTCCATGTGCTTATTTACCATTTGTATATCTTGTTTGGTGAAATGTTCAAATCTTTTGCCCATTAAACAAAATTGGGTAGTTTTTTTTTGTTGTTGTTGTTGTTGTTTTTTTGAGATGGAGTCTTGCCGTGTCATCCAGGCTGGAGTGCAGTGGTGCAATCCCAGCTTACTGCAACCTCCACCTCCCGGGTTCAAGCGATTCTCCTGCCTCAGCCTCCCAAGTAGCTGAGATTACAGATGTCTGCCACCACACCCAGCTAATTTTTTTGTAATTTTAATAGAGATGGGGTTTCACCATGTTGGCCAGGTTGGTTTTGAACTCCTGACCTCAAGTGATCCACCTGCTTCAGCTTCCAAAAGTGCTGGGATTACAGGCATGAGCCACTGCGCCTGGCCAAAATTGGATAGTTTTTCTTATTAAGTTTTGAGGATTCTATATATTTTAGATCTAAGTCATTTATCTATTATGTGACTTGCAAATATTTTCTTTTAATCTTTGACTAATCTTTTCATTCTCTTAACAGTGTCTTCCAAAGAGCAGACATTCTTATGATGAAGTTCAATTCTATAATTTTTTCCTTTTATACATTATGCTTTTGTTGTATCTAAGGAATCTTTGTCCGGGTGCAGTGGCTCACACCTGTAATCCCAGCGCTGTGGGAGGCCGAGGATGGTGGATCATTTGAGGTCAGGAGTTCAAGTCCAGCCTGGCCAACATGGTGAAACCCCATCTGTACTAAAAATACATGGTGGTGCATGCCTGTAATGCCAGCTACTGGGGGAAGGGGGTGGGGGTGAGGGTGATGGGGCTGAGGAAGGAGAATCACTTGAACCGGGGAGGTGGAGGTTACAGTGAGCTGAGACCACGCCACTACACTCCAACCTGGGCGACAGAGGGAGACTGTCTCAAAAAAAAAAAAAAAAAAGGAATCTTTGCCCAACCAAAGGTTATAAAATTTTCTCCTGTCTTCTCCTAGAATTTATAGTTTTAGGTTTTTTGTTTAGGACTGTGATGTATTGAATTATTTTTGTATAAGATGTAAGGTATGACTCAATGTTCAGTTTTTTGCATATGGGTGTCCCAATTGTTCCAACATCATTTGTTGAAAAGACTGTCATTTCTCAATTAAATGGCCTTGGTACTTTCATCAAAAATCAATTGACTGGCTGGGTGCGGTGGCTCATGCCTGTAATCCCAGCATTTGGGAAGTCAAGGCAGGTGGATCACCTGAAGTCAGGGGTTTGAGACCAGCCCCTGGTGAAATCCCGTCTCTACTAAAAATACAAAAATTAGCCAGGCATAGTGGCACATGCCTGTAATCCCAGCTACTCGGGAGGCTGAGGCAGGAGGATTGCTTGAACCTAAGAGGCGGAGGCTGCAGTGAGCCAATATTGCGCGACTGCACTCCAGCCTGGGTGACAGTGAGATTCTGCCTCAGAAACAAAACAAAACAAAACAAAACAAAACCCAAAAAACAAAACTAGGTAGTGAGAGCCATACAGATAAAACTATAATTCCCCTCCTCACATATCTTCAGTAAATGGTATTGGAGAAGGATTACATTGTTTAATGCTATATCTACAATTTAAGTGAAATGTTTTTGGTGTTAGTATTTCTCTGGACCACTTGTTACTGCCTCTCTTGTCTGGTCCTTTATGCTCTCACTTCTAGTTGGTGACACATCTAGAACAGGTCTGAGAACTTACTGCTTTACCCTACATAATACTGCCATTCAGAGCCTGAGAATCTTTTCTCTGCTACTGCGTTTTTCTCCTTTTGCTCCCTGTACTCAGGAGTGTGTGTCATAGGGCAGGCTGAGTTTCAGTTAGCTCCTAATGTGGATATTGGAAACCCCACCTGCCTGCCAAGTCCTTTTGGCTGTGAGCAAAGTGGAGGCTTGGTACTTGTCATTCCTTTGCAGCAGTTGAGCTGAAGGAATGCTGCATGGCTTGTTGGAAGTTGCTTAGTGGCCTTGAGTGGGGTGTGTATGAGGGTGTGTGTAGAAAGGTGAGGGTCTTATAGTCTGTGTGGGAGATATGGGTTCTTTTCTAGTGTCATGTTAATCATCAGGCAGTATTTATTGACTGCCTTCTTATGACTGGCACTGTAATAGGAGCTTTTGGAATAGAATAATAAAATATATAATTAAGTCATTGTTTAATAGTCAAACATTTCTAGATCTGCCACTTACCAGTGTTGAATTGGGCAAGTTAATGTCTTTAAGCCTCTCTTTACTTTTCTGTAAAATGGAACTATTAATAGCTATCTGATAGGACTGTTGTGAATATTAAATAAAGGACATAAGTATCGTGTTTAGCACATACCTGACTGTAGCTACTATTTCATTTCATGTAGTCATATTATGACGGATACGATATAAAACAGAGAGTAATAAAAATAGAGAATAATGTGACAGTAGGCTGTATAATCAAATACTTTAATTGGGACATGTAGATTATAAATAGTCTGGGAATTTACAGAAGGGAAAGAACAGTCTTATGCAACCATTTAATATTCCTGTACCTCAGTTTTTCCATTGGACATGCTGTAGACAATGCTAGGTGATCTCCCAGAGAATGATTAAGATGTTAAAGCATTTTTGTGTTTTTAGATGGTGCATATGATGGTGAGAAGGAAGGGAGAATGAGGAATTGTTGATGTTGGCAAATTTAACACTTAACATTTAAAAATTTTTCCTTATGTAGATGGACATGGCAGCCTTATAGGAAAACTTAAAGCTGGAGATGTGGTGATTTCCTTCCAGGGAACATACTTGCTTTGGTATTACTCTCTGTTGCCTCACTGGCATTTTAATTAGTTGAAAACTAAAGTTGGTCAATGGATTGCCTCTGATTGTGAGCCCTTGGATATAATCTGGAGATTAAATGATTTGTAACCCAAATTATCTCTCTGATCCTCTGGCAAAAATGAAACAAACAAACAAACAGGGCAGGAGAAGATTTAGTTCTCTTGGACTGCATGTTAAGGACATGTGGTTTACTCGCCATCAGTGTTTCTCTGGATGGAACATCTTTACTCAGAACAGATCTTAGACTGCTAACATGGCCTTCCCACCTTTAAGCACGTTTTCATAAGCATATTCATGGAAAACACCTTTTAAAAAGTGCTTTATTCACAATGTCCAAAAGGAACTTTCAGTTCCTAGTTTGTGTGTGCTTACTTGGTGATTTGTTTTGTGTTAGCCTGATACTGGAAAGTTTGTATTTTGTTTTTATTTCTATCCAGATCAACTTTCTTCTGCTTCAAGAAAATTTCAGAGAATTTTCCCCTGAAAGTAAAGCTGTTCATACCTTTTTTTCCTTCTCTTTAGTTTGGGTGTCTCTCTCTTTTTTTTTTTTTTCTTTTTTTCTTTTTTTTTGGCATTGTTTGCCAAGGTTTCAAGTTTATAGTGAGAAGTGAGGCAACGTTGATCTTGGCAGAACAGTCCAAAGCCAGTAGAGTCATTAAGTGACGCAAGCTTTTGATTTTTTTTATTTCTGTTAAAGCTCTCTGACACAGCTGGCTATTCTAGTCCCAGAAGAAAGAGGAGAGACTTGCTGAAGATCTGGATGGGACAATAGAAGTTTGGGGCACATTAAAAAGAAGCAGCAAGAACATCAACAAAAACCTCAGATGATTCAAACAGGCTTCTTCTTGGCTTTGTGGAACCTTTTGCAGTTGCTCAGAATTTGAGTTTTTGCTTCAGAGGATGATGAGACAAGGCAATAGAGGGTGAGGAGGATCATGTTGGATTCTTGCTTCTCTGTCTGCCTCTCCTTCCAGTTGGAAAAATCTTCAGTCCATAAGAAGCATTATCAACAAGCCTGAAGAACACATCTTACCCTGATCCTGGATGCTGTTGGAGTTGAGAATTACATCCACTTCACCAGGACTTTATGGAGGCTGTTCAAGAAAAATAGAAGGAAGCAATACTTAAGGATTTCTCTGTTTGCATTAGTCCTGTGCCATGTTACATTTTGGAGATTGTTTGGAACAAGTGAGGGAGGGCTCTGTCATCTTGATCTAGGAGGATACCTGAGTCCCTTGACTACACAGATGATATTTGGAAGGTGGTAAAGTCAAAATCTTCCAAAATAAATTCACTAAATTCTGGATTCCCTTTCCTTTTAGAACTTTAGCAGACAGAAATTCCTGCCAAAAAGGCACAAATCCTTCTCCATTTTTTTTTCAGGCTAAATGTGAACAATAATGTCTTGGAAGAGAAATTATTTTTCAGGGGGTCGTGGTAGTGTACAAGGGATGTTTGCACCTCGAAGCTCAACCTCCATAGCCCCCAGCAAAGGCCTCAGCAATGAGCCAGGGCAAAACAGCTGCTTCCTCAACAGTGCCCTGCAGGTAAGGGTCATTTCTTTATTTTTGGTGAACTTTGACTTTTAATTGCTGATGCTGTATTTCTGATAACTCTTTTTAAATAAAATGTTTGATAGTCTCTGTTTGAGGTTAGTAACCTGAGATAATTTTTACATTTATCTGTGTGATCTTTGGCAAGTCACTTTATCTCTTTGAATCTCAATTACCTCATTTGTAAAAAAGAGGGATTAATAATGATAAGAGAAATAATAATAACTGTAACTACTATTATTTACATGCCTAAAGGGAGGTAAATGGACCAGGTGATCTTTCAGACAGAGTCTTGCTCTGTCGCCCAGGCTGGAGTGCAGTGGCGCAATCTCGGCTCACTGCAACCTCCGCCTCCCAGGTTCAAGTGATTCTCTTGCCTCAGCCTCCCGAGTAGCTGGGACTACAGGCGCCCACCACCATGCCCAGCTAATTTGTGTGTTTTTAGTAGAGACGGGGTTTCACCATATTGGCCAGGCTGGTCTCGAACTCCTGACCTTGTGATCCACCTGCCTTGGCCTCCCAAAGTGCTGGGATTACAGGCATGAACCACCGTGCCTGGCCTATCTTTCTATTTATCAACTTTTTTTCCTGAACAGTCTCTACAGGTTCCTATTTTTCTTTTCTTTTCTTTTCTTTCTTTTTTTTTTTTTTGGACAGTCTCACTCTATTGCCCAGGCTGGAGTATAGTGGCCCAATCACAGCTCCTGCAGCCTTGACCTCCAGGGCTCAGGTGATCCTACTGCCTCAGTCTCCTGAGTAGCTGGGACCATGAGCGATCTCGGCTCACTGCAACCTCTGCCTCTTGGGTTCAAGCAATTCTCATGCCTCAGCCACCCAAGTAGGTGGAATTATAGGTGTGCATCACCACACCCGGCTAATTTTTGTATTTTTAGTGGAGACAGGGTTTTACTATGTTGGGCAGGCTGGTCTTGAACTCCTAGCCTCAAGTGATCCGCCTGCCTCAGCCTCCCAAGGTGCTGGGATTACAGGTGTCTGGCCTGTTTTCTGTTTCTCCTTTCGGGAGTAAGGTGTGTTATCCTAGTTGCTTTTCTCTAGTATAGAAGCAAAATTCTTTCCACAAGTCAAAGACTTTCAGGTATGTTAATCTCGTCTCTTAATATTCAGGCTTTTGGCCCACATATTGAATGGAGTCTAGTCTTTGTCCAACTTATCTCCTCTCTTTGAGCTCTCCTGTTTTGGCTCATAACTGGTGTCTAGTCAGATACACTTGAACAGAGCTAGGGGAAAGTGAATTCCCTTAAGTTGATTATCTACCCTACATTTTCCCTTTCACTGTTGCTTGCCACTTGAGTGATCTTAGAATCCCAAAGCTTTCTGTCTGTCTGCTCTGCCCAGTCACGCCCATAGCATGTTAAGTTCATCCCCCTTGGCCTAACTTTCAAGTAATTACTTTCTCTTCTTTTCTGCTCTTCAGTGTAAAAGTAAATGAAATTTGCCACCCAAGATAATTATACTTGGGTAAAATATTAGCTTCACTCCTCAGATGTTATGAGAAAATGGGTTGCTATGAGAGAAGACAAGATATTTAGTATAAAGAACAATGGTCCTGGGCATTAGGAGGAGACCTGGGTTGTAGTTTTAGCCATTCTGTAGACTAGTCTTGTGACTTTGTACAGGTAATAGTGTCTGAGTTTCCTCATTCATAATACAAGAATGTTGCCAAGCTTATCTAGGTAATAAAAGTTTCATGCTCTTTCTCAGTTTTTATTTATTTATTTTTCAGACAGAGTCTCACTCTGTCGCCCAGGCTGGAGTGCAGTGGTGGGATCTCAGCTCACTGCCACCTCCGCCTCTTGGGTTCAAGCGATTCTCCTGCCTTAGCCTCCTGAGTAGCTGGGATTACAGGCTGTGCACCACCACGCTGGGCTAATTTTTGTACTTTTAGTAGAGACGGGGTTTCGCCATGTTGGCTGGGCTGGTCTTGAACCCCTCACCTCAGGTAATCTGCCCACCTCGGCCTCCCAAAGTGCTGGGCTTACAGGCGTGAGCCACTGTGCCCAGCCTCTTTCTCAGTTTTTAAGTTTTTATTCGAAAACAATAAAAAAAAATTATGTGCTGGCAAGCCTATAGAAAAAATTTAAGTGCTTTCCCTAATTATTACCCAAATTTCATGTAGTTAGGTGGAGTTGGTTAGGTTTTTGTCCTGGATGATGCATATTAGTTTTCTTTCTTTATTTCTTTCTCTTTTTTTTGGAGCCAGAGGTCTCACTCTGTTGCCAAGGCTAGAGTACACTGGTGTAATCATAGCTCACTGCAGCCTTAACGTCCTGGGCTCAAGCGGTCCTCCCACCTCAGCCTCCCTAGGTAGCTAGGACAACAGACACATGCTACCACACGCAGCTAATTTTTTTTTTTAATTGTTTGTGGAGAGAGGGTCTCACTATAATTGCTTAGGCTGGTCTTGAACTCCTGGGCTCAAATGATCATCCTGCGTTGTCCTCCCAAAGTGCTGGGATTATAGGCATAAGCCACCACACCTGGCCACATATTAGTTTTTTTAGTTACTTTGTATCCTGATAATACTTTTGTGATTTAGAAGCAGGCAAAATAAGGCATTGATATAAATGTGTTTGTTTACCCGTGTCTTGGCCATAGTCCCATTTTTGTAATTGTTTTTTTCTATGTGGTCTATTTATATTGTCAGTTGAAACAATACTATTTATGATTTCCCATTCTAATTTCCAGTGCCATATACAATACATAATATATATACACATACATATTTCTGTATCCATACTTAATGATTGAGGCATTGATGGTTTTGGAGTCCCTATAATAATCATGTTACATGTTGAAAATAATTGTTGTTATGAGCTAATATTCTAACTTTTGGTTTCAAAGCTGTGTTTACCACAGATGAGTTGAACCTATTACATTTGTTATAAAAAGGTGTTATTTACTTGGGAGCATAGCCAGTTTCAAAGAACTTTTAGAGTGTGTATCTTGAGACATATAAGTAAGAAGAAGCTCCGGAGGTGTGCTGTCATCTGGGGCTCCAGAAATTATGCTTTTTCATGTATTATGACATTAAATGTTTTCCTAGCAAGGGGGAGCTTCCTAAGGCATTATGCTATATACTACATCATTTCTTTTTTAACTAAAAATTGCAATTTATTCAGATTTCCTTAGTTTTTACCTGGTGTCCTTTCCTGGCCCAAGATTTCATCCAGGATACCACATTTAGATTTACTTGTCATGTCTTCTTAGGCTCCTGTTAGCTGTGACATTTTCTCAGAATGTTTATGTTTTTGATAAACTTTGACAGTTTTGAGGAGTACTGATCAAGTATTTTTTTGGATATCCCCCTTCCCCTATTGGAATTTGTCTAATGCTTTTCTCATGATTAGACTAGGGTCATAGGTTTTAGGGAGGAAGACCACAAAAGTATAGTGCCATTCTCAACACATTGCATCAAGGGTATATACTATAACATGATTTACCACTGTTAATATCATATTTTTTTCCCATTTCAACAAAAGTATAAAAATCATTATTTTTTACCCTATTGACTTAAGGAGATCACACTTCTCTTAGAAATGTCTGAAAATTGAGAGTCCTAACAAAGATAAAATTCCACACTACAGCTCACATTTCTACAGTTCACATTTCTAATATAAGTTTTAAAATATTTTTGCTTTTCTTGTGTGGATAATGAATATAAATCCTTATTCTTCAGCTTTAACCCGTAAATTTCCTCTTCCGGATCACATTTGATGTATATCATGTCATATTTTAACTGTATTACCTTCACTTTATGTTCAAATTAATATCTTTCCCAGAATATGACCATTTATTTTTCTTGTTAGATACCTCACCTTTTTTCACATTTGTTTTAATATACTAGAATGAAGTTTTCTTTTGGGAATAAAGACATCTTCTGCAGTCATTACCTATGTTTGTTTGAACTCTTTACTTTAAAATTAAATGGTAGCTTTTTATAGAGTAATGAAATATTTTCCTTTTCTCATCAGGTTTTGTGGCACTTGGATATCTTCCGACGTAGCTTTAGGCAGCTTACAACTCACAAGTGCATGGGAGATTCCTGCATCTTTTGCGCTCTCAAGGTAAGTACTTCCAATTAGTTTCTTCTCACTACCATTGGGTGGCCAAATGGTCAATATCAAGGTGGTTTGGTTAATCAGGATGATGCCAAAGAATTTGTTACTGAATTATCTACCTGTGGTTTAGTGCAAAAATGGATATGATTTGTTTGCTTGCTTCAAAGAATTAGTACTTGGCTTGGGTAGTCTCTTTTACTGAACCTTTTTTGCTTATGCAGCTCTGTTTGATGTGATAGAATACTATGCAAGTATGCTTCTCCTTTTTTTTTTTTTTTTTTTTTTTTTTGGGATGAAGTCTCACTCTGTCACCCAGTCTGGAGTGCACTGGTGCGACCTCAGCTCACTGCAGCCTCCGCCTCCTGGGTTCCAGCAATTCTCCTGTCTCAGCCTCCCGAGTAGCTGGGATTATAGGCGTGTGCCACCATGCTCGGTTAATTTTTGTATTTTTAGTAGAGACGGGGTTTCGCCATGTTGGCCAGGCTGGTCTCAAACTCCTGACTTCAGGTGATCTGCCTGCCTCGGCCTCCCAAAGCACTGGGATTACAGGCGTGAGCCATTGTGCCCAGCCTGCTTCTACTTTGAGTGTTTATTTGAAAAGCTAATTCTAAATTTTCATTTTGAAAGAAGATGCAACTAGGTGTTTTTAACGTAATTAATTTTGTTTGTTAAAGCTAAATTTAGCAATAAACTCTTCCTATTGATAAATGCCAGTACAACGGGTGAGGTGGCACATGCCTGTAATCCCAGCCTTTGGGAGGTCAAGGTGGGAGGATTGCTTGAGCTTAGAAGTTAAAAGCTGCAGTTCTGATCATACCACTGCACTCCAGCCTGGGCAACAGAGTGAGACCCTGGCTCAAAAAAAAAAAAAAAAAAGAAAAAGGAAAAGAGAGTAATGCCAGTACTAAAATTTTTCTATTCCCTAGTTTCCCATTACCACACTTAAAAGATTCTTTTATACCAGTTCTCTACCCCATGTATTGTTTAGTTTTAAGTTTTTCATTTCTGTTTTTTTTTTTACTTCCCCACCTGTTTCCAAGTTTTTCATTTCTGAATAAAATGAAACCAGAGATTTCTTTAGAGCAAAGAAAATGGCCTAAAGTGAGAGATTTCTGACTTAGAGATTTTAGGTATGTTGCTAAAGAGAAAGAGCTATGATGTGTAAGGGCCAATTCTGTTGCTTTCTCTGTTTCTCCAACATGTAGTTTCCCTACAGTTTCTTAGTCCAGATATATAATGGATTATATGGATGAGTCTGTCTGATTTCTGAGTAAGCTTCCACAGTCATTTTTGGTCTCATAAAGTCTGAATTCTTGGTTTGTTACAGGGATGTTTGGATGTGATCGTTATATGTTTAATTTATAATAGTTGCTTTTACATCCTGAAATAGGAACTGTAACCAAAAACTTTAGATTTTCCCAGTTATATTAGTTATTTGCAATAACTGACTCAAAATTTTTTTTGACCAGTATTACTATGGAGGGTGTTTTTTTTTTTTTTTTTTTTTTTTTTTTTTTTTTTTTTGGAGATGAAATCTTGCTCTGTTGCCCAGGCTAGTCTTGAACTCCTGGGCTCAAGAGTAGGCTGGGATTACAGGCTCATGCCACCACACCCAACTCACTTTGGAGTTTTAAGCCCATGATAGGCAGATTTTTTTTTTTCTTTTTTTTTTTTGAGACGGATTTTCACTCTTGTTGCCCAGGCTGGAGTGCAATGGCGTGGTCTTGGCTCACCGCAACCTCTGCCTCCCTGGTTCAAGCAATTCTTCTCCTCAACCTCCCGAGTAGCTGGGATTACAGGCACCTGCCACCACGCCCTAGCTAATTTTTGTATTTTTAGTAGAGACAGGGTCTCACTGACTTCAGGTGACGCCCGCCTCGGCCTCCCAAAGTGCTGGGATTACAGGCGTGAGCCATCACGCCCAGCTGGAACCATTATAACTTGTAACAAAATATAGAATATAAATTATTGGTTTATTGGGGAGTTCAAATATGAATTTTAATAAAACCAAATCTTTTACAAGTTGAATATAACATTTCTTACTGTGCCCATTTAGACAGGGGTCCATCCAAAGGGCATTTTATCTGATTTTCTGAAAGATACATTAAGTATCTAATTTTAGATAAACAAGAAATACAGTAGTCCCATGGTAAGTCCAGAGGAAGTCTGATTCATGGCATTAGAGCCATGCTAGGGAGAAAAAAACAACAACAAAAAAAGTCATTCAGAAAGGGAGAAAAAAACAAAAAAACGTGTTTGGGGATACTTACTAGGGAAATGTGCATCCTGGAGAAGTCCCTATAGAAGAACTGTCTGACACTGGAAACTCTTGTCTGTACCAAGAAGGGATGAGAGCACTTACATGACCTCTGATAGTCCTTTGACTAGTCGGGACTGTGCTATACTCTTCATTGATCTGGGTGGGACTCTGGAGAACTGGCTGCCACATTCTTGTTATATTTCATTTTCCTGAGGGACAAATTGTTACTTAGTATAAATCAGTATCATTATATAAGCCAGAAAGATGAAGAAAGTCAACCGCTAGACTTACCCTCTGAGACACACAAGTACAGAAGGGAAATTGTCAATTTGTTGGGCTGAGGAAATATTTTGGGACTCTTTCAGAGAGACAGTTGCTTGTGGTGGATAGATAAATGGGCTTGGGGATGTATTTATCAAAGGCTATATTTTGGGTCTTCATAACTCTGGGGATGTGTTAGAATTCTGGTACTTTCCTCATTACATCACTGCCTGATCTAACCAAGAGATTTATTTTCCTTCACTGCTTCATTTGTTGTGTTGGGAGTGTATTAAAATTTGATTTTTTTTTCCCCTAAGGGCTTTTCAGTTCCTCAGTGCTATATAGATGTTAAATAATTAGGCTCTAGTTTGAACACACTTCACGTTTTAGATGGCGTTGTTTCTATTCTTTTAATTATTGTATACTTGATTTGAAAATTATAGACTTGTAATGCAGATAGACTAATTTGGAAGTGTGGATGAGCTGAACTTGATTTTAATAGTTAAGAAGTTTAAATTGTTAGAATAGCCAGTTTTCAAGAGCTATTCCCTCATCCAGGATGGAGAGCTTCATTTTCTGAGAGAAGGGAAAGGATGATAAACATATGAAGGAGTAAACTTGAAATGAGCCATCAGCACCTGGGTCCTCCTGTACGATGTCTCTTTTGTTCCCCACTTTAAAACTACTTTTATAGGGCTGGGAGCAGTGGCTATGCCTGTAATCCCAGTGCTTTGGGATGCTAAGATGGGAGGATCACTTGAAGCCAGCAGTGTGAGACCAGCCTAGGCAACATAGCAAGACCCCATCTCTACAAAGAAAAAAAAATTAGTGGGACATGGTCGCACATACCTGTAGACTCAGCTACTCTGGAGGCTGAAGTGGGAGGATCACTTGAGCCCAGGAGTTCAACACTGAAGTGAGCTATGATTGTGCCACTACACTCCAGCCAGGGTGATAGAACAAGATCCTGTCTCTAAAAAAATAAAAAATAAAAATACTTTTATTGAAAATAATACAATTCATCACTGAACTAGATTCTAGTCATTGTAAATAAGACAAAACCAAAGGAAAGATATAAAGATTATAAAGGATCAAACAAAGTTGCCATTATTTGCAGATGATATGACTGTTACAAAAAAACTCAATCTACTGATAAGTCAGAAGCAGCAATGAGAGAGTATAGTGGGTTGTTGCATCAAGGCATAACATTCAGTTCTGTTTCTTTTTTTCTTTGAGATGGAGTTTCACTCTTGTTGCACAGACTGGAGTGCAATGGCGCGACCTCAGCTCACTGCAACCTCTGCCTCCCAGGTTCAAGTGATTCTCCTGCCTCAGCCTCCCGAGTAGCTGGGATTACAGGCACCCACTACCACGCCCAGCTAATTTTTTGTATTTTTAGTAGAGCTAGAGTTTCACCATGTTGGCCAGGCTGGTCCCGAACTCCTGACCTCAGGTGATCCACCCTCCTTGGCCTCCCAAAGTGCTGGGATTACAGGTGTGAGCCACTGCACCCAGCCCAGTACGGTTTCTATAGCTGGCAACAAACAGAAAATGCAATTTAAAAAGCATTTTATAATAGCAACAAAGTATATGCAGTAAATATGAATAAATCTTACAAAAATGGTATAAGACATTTGTGTAAAACCACAGAAATCCAGTATAACGAGTAATCAAAGTCAACACCCTTGCAGTAACTCTTCAAGTCAAAATAGAAAATTGCCAGTACCGGCAGGATGTGGTGGCTCACGCCTGTAATCTCAGCACTTTGGGAGGCTGAGGCGGGTGGATCACCTGAGGTAAGGAGTTCAAGACCAGCCTGGCCAAGATGGCGAAACCCTATCTCTACTAAAAATACAAAAAAATTAGCTGGGTGTGGTGGCGCATGCTTGTAATCCCAGCTACTCAGGAGGCTGAGGTATGAGAATCACTTGAACCCGGGAAGCGGAGGTTGCAGTGAGCCAGGATCGTGCCACTGCACTCCAGCCTGGGTGACAGAGCAAAACTCTGTCTCAAAACAAAACAAAACAAAAAAACAAAAGAAAGTTGCCAGTACCATGTACATTCTCCTCCCTTTTTTCTCAATCAGATCTCTTTTCTCCCAGGGACTTCCTAATGTTTGTGGTAGTCATTTCCTTGTTGTTGTTTTTTTTGTTTTGTTTTTTTGTTTGTTTTTTTGAGACAGAGTCTCACTGTGTCGCCCAGGCTGGAATGCAGTGGCATGATCTCAGCTCACTGCAACCTCTGCCTCCTGGGTTCAAGTGATTCTCCTGCCTCAGCCTCCCAAGTAGGTGGGATTACAGGTGCACGTCACCATGCCCGGCTAATTTTTGTATTTTTAGTAGAGATGGGGTTTCACCATGTTGGCCAGGCTGGTCTCAAACTCTTGACCTTGTGATCCACCCGCCTCGGCCCCCAAAGTGCTGGGATTACAGGCGTGAGCCACTGCGCCTGGCCCATTTCCTTGTTTTATCTGGTGTTTTACTACCTATATATTTATTCTTAATCTAATTTTAAAATTATCTGTTTTTGAGACTTCATTGTAAATGGAATCATTGTATGCAAATTTTGTGTGTGTTTCTTAGCTCAGCAATGTGTTTATAAGAGCATCTACATTGTTGTGTGTAGGTCTAGTTCATTTTCATTACTGTATGGTATTTCTTTTTCTTTTCTTTTTTGAGACGGAGTTTCACTCTTGTTGCCCAGGCTGGAGTGCAATGGTGCGATCTCAGCTCACTGCAACCTCCGCCTCCCGGGTTCAAGTGATTCTTCTGCCTCATCCTCCCGAGTAGCTGGGATTACAGGCATGCGCCACCACGCCCGGCTAATTTTGTATTTTTAGTAGAGACAGGGTTTCTCAATGTTGGCCAGGCTGGTCTCGAACTCCTGACCTCAGGTGATCTGCCCTCCTTGGCCTCCCAAAATGCTAGGATTACAGGCATGAGCCACTGTGCCTGGCCTTGGTATTTCTTTGTGTAAATAAATCACTGTTGGTGATCTCTTCTACCAGATGACTACCAACATGACTACCAACTACCAAATGTTGGTAGTCATTTGGATTGTTTCCAGTTTTTTATTTTTATGAAGAGTATTACTAAGAACATTTTTGTACATGTTTACCTATGTGTACATATTTCTTTTGTACACATGCCCAGGACTGGAATTGCTAGATCATAGAATATGTATGTCTTCAACTTTTTTAGATAATGCCATTTCTTTTCCAGTGTGGTGGTACTCATGTATACTCTGATCAGTAGGCTTATTTTGGAAGTTGAGAAAAGACAGTTCTGAAATTTACGTAACAAACGGAAAAATATGACACTGCTGAAAAGTAACAACAGAGTGAGTGACCTCAGAGTAGGTAGGCTAAGTTATTTATTTATTTATTTATTTGAAATAGGATCTTGTTCTGTTGCCCAGGCTGGGGTGTAGTGGGGCTATTATGGTTCACTGCAGCCTCAACCTCCTGGGCTCAAGGAATCCTCTTGCCTCTGCCTCCCGAGTAGCTGGGACCACAGGCAGGTGCTACCATGTCTGGCGATTTTTAAATTTTTGGTAGAGATGGGTTCTCACTATGTTGCCTAGGCTGGTTTTGAACTCCTGGGCTCAAGCAGTCCTTTCACTTCGGCTTCCAAAAGTGCTGGGATTACAGGCATGAACTACCATTCCTGGCCCAGAGTATGCTAAATTATATTGTGGTAACAAACAACCATAAAATCCCTGTGATTAATATACCAAAGATTTATTTCTCATTCACTAAAGATAAGTAGGGATACTACTGATTATATCACTTAGGTACCAAAGCTACAATCATATTGAGTATTATTATTTTTTAGAGATAGGATCTTGCTCTGTCACCCAGCCTGGAGTACACTGGTACCAGTCATAGCTCACTGCAGCCTCAGTTTCCTGGGGTCAAGCAATTCTGTGCCTCAGCCTCCCAAGTAGCTAGGACTATAGATGTGTGCCACCATGCCCAACTCCTTTTTTTTTTTTTTTTTTTTTTTGGTAGAGATGAGGACTTGCTATGTTACCCAAGGCTGGTCTTGAATTCCTGGCCTCAAGTCATCTTCCCACCTTGGCCTCTCAAGGTGCTGGCATGAGCCACTATGCTTGACCACCATATAAAATATTAGTTGCTAAGCCAGAGGGAAAAAAGAGCTCTGGAGGATTTTGCACAGGCAGTTAAATGCTCAGCAGGTCATTTCACTTTTGCTCACAGCTCATTGAAACAGAATTAATCTTGTCCCATTGACCCACAAGGGAACCTGGAACTGTAGTCCTATGGTGATCCTTGAGAGGGGTAAGACCAGAGATATTTGCCAAACAGTATTAATGACTAGCATACTTTACCAGATATCAAGAATTATAAAACTAATAATTAAGATAATGTGGTATCTACACAGTATGGCAAATAAATCAATGGAACAAAATTTGTAGTTCAGAAATAGTCATATAGGAAACTTGCTACTTGCCCTGTGAATCTAAGGAGAAAATGGATTTTTCAATAAATGGTGTTTAGACAATTAGTTCTCCCTATAGGGAAAAGAAAAAAGGAAATTAGTTTCCTATTTCATACCGTACCAAAAGTAAGAATTTCAGATATTAAGGACTAAAATGTGACTCACACCTCTAACCTCAGCACTCTGGGAGGCCAAGGTGGGAGGATCGCTTGAGCCTAAGAGTTTGAGACTAGCCTAGGCAACAAAATGAGATCCTGTCTCTACAACAAGTCAAAAATTAGCCAGGCATGGTGATGCGCACCTGTCGGCCCAGCTACTTGGGAGGCTGAGGCAGGAGGTTCACTTGAGCCCAGGAGGTCGAGGCTGCAGTGAGCTGTGTTTGTGCCACTATACTCCAGCCTGGGTGACAGAGTGAGACTCTGTCTCAGTGTTTTTTTTTTGTTTTTTTTAAGTTTTAGAAGAACATATGAGAGAGTATCATGACCTCAGGGATAGGGAAGTACTTATTAAATAAGACATGAAAAAAAAGTTAGGAAATTGATAAATTTTACTACAAAAATTCAAAAACTTTCATTCATCTAAAGACTCCATAAAGAATGCAAAGAGACAAGGCTACAAACCTGGAGAAAATATCTTCAACATATATATGTAACAAAAGATTAGTATCCAGCATAGAACTCCAGAAAATTCCTATAAAAAATAAATAAAAGGCTGGGTGCGGTGGCTCACGCCTGTAATCCCAGCACTTTGGGAGGCCGAGGCGGGCAGATCTCCTGAGGTCGGGAGTTTGAAACTAGCCTGACCAACATAGAGAAACCCTGTCTCTACTAAAAATACAAAATTAGCTGGGCGTGGTGGTGCATGCCTGTAATCTCAGCTATTTGGGAGGCTGAGGCAGGAGAATCACTTGAACCCGGAGGGTGGAGGTTGTGGTGAGCTGAGATCGTGCCATTACACTCCAGCCTGGGCAACAAGAGCGAAACTCCATATCAATAAGTAAATAAATAAATAAAAGATAAATGAGTCAAGAGAAAAATGGACAAAGCTACAAACAGGCCTTTCTCAGGATAGGAAACCCAAATAACCCCTGAGCATATGAAAAATGCTTGCCCCCATTAGTAATCTAAGAAATGTAAATTGAGCCATACCCTTCAGGTTGGTGGACATTTAAAAATCTGATAAAATTGTTACTGCCAGGCTGTGGTGGCTCACATCTGTAATCCCAGCACTTTGGGAGGCTGAGGCAGGAGGATCGCTGAGCTCAGGAGTTTGAGACCACCATGGACAACAAAGTGAGATCCTGTCTCTACGAAAACATTTTTAAAAATTATCTGGGCATGTCGGTGTGTGCCTGTGGTCCCAGCTACTTGGGAGGCTGAGGTGGAAAGATCACTTGAGCCCAAGAGATTGAGGCTGCAGTGAGCCTTGATCATGCTGCTGCACTCCAGCATGAGTGACAGATAGGGTCTATCTCTAAAAGAAAAAAAAATTGAGTGTTACCAAAAATGTGGAATAATGAGAACTTTACATACATTGCTAGCTAGAATATAAATTGATATCACTACTTAGGAAAACAGTTTATCATTACTTAGTAGAATTGAACTTGTACCATGTAACCACCTCGCAGTTCCACCCCTAGCAATACATTGTAGAAAACTTCTTGATACATAATGTGCCAGAAGATATATTTGAGAATGTTCAAAGTAGTATATTTTGAGATTGTAGAAAAATGGAAATAACACATTCCAACTACACTAGAGTGGATTTAAAAATTATGGTTTATTCCAATAGTAAAACACTATATAGTAATGAAAATGAATTCTGCAGCTGCATGCAGCAACTTGGGCTAATCTCATAAAACATCACATTGATTGAAAAAAGCAAGTCATAGAAGACTATATGAATCATGATTCCATTTATATATAAATCAAAACCAGGCAAAACTGAAGAACATATTGTTCAGGGGTACATGCATGTGATAAGTCTGTAGAGAAAAAGGAAGTGCTTTTCACAAAATTCAGGATAGTTGTGTTCTGTAGAAGGTGGAGGGTAGATTTCATGTAAGTATGTAATCAGTTGGAGAGGTTTAAACTCGTGGTTTATTTTTCTATTTCTTAAATTGGGTGGTGAGCACATGGGTGTGTGGGTGTTTATTATTCTTTGGCTATGTATGTGTATATGTTATGTTTATTCTCTTTTTATGTGACTATTTTAATTATAAAATATAGAAAAGCACTGCAACCATTCTAGGAAGCACACTAAAGTGTAAAGAGGAAAGCTGAAAATTGCCTGAATTCTAGCATGGAGATTGTAATTTTTTTCTCTCTCTCTCTCTTTTTTTTAATGAGACAGAGTTTTGCTCTATCACCCAGGCTGGAGTGCAGTGGCATGATCTCGGCTCACTGCAACCTCTACCTCCTAGGTTCAAACAATTCTCGTGCCTCAGCCTCCCGAATAGCTGGGATTACAGGTGTGTGCCACCACGCCCAGCTAACAGATTGTCATTTCTTTTTATGCTTCCCGTCTGGTCTGTATTTCTGGTAGTAAGTCTTTTTGCCCACTGTTTTTGTAAAAAGATTACTTTTTTCCAGATCCCTAAATTGCCCCTCTATCTGTAGTATCTTCCTACTTCATTTGTTTTTAAACCTAAGAATACCCTGGAATGCTATATTGAAGTTAGTATCTTCTCATAATCCTGAAGTGGCTCCCACTTGTTTCTTAAATCACTTAAAAATGCATGATTACAAACATTTTAAAACTTAATTTTATATTTCTTTCCTTTCCTTCCCTGGGCATTCTGCATTTCAACTGTGATAACAATGCACTTGCTATGTCTACCTCTTAGACATTTCAGATGCCATTCACTTTGCGTGGAGTGTTTTGCCTCCCTTTTGCCAAACCACATTCACTTTTCAGAACTCTGCTTCAGAAGTTAGCTTCTTCATGAAGTTTTATTTAAATTTTAAATTTTTTAATTAAAAAAAATGGAGACAGGATCTTGCTATGTTGTCCAGGCTGGCCTTAAACTCCTGGCCTCAAGTGATCCTCCTGCCTTGGCCTCCCAAGCTGCTAGGATTACAGATGTGAGTCACTGTGCCCTGCCCTTCATGAAGTTTTAGAAATGCTATCTATCTAGAACTATGATTGTTTGACTTAATAGTATTTAGCATGGCTGAATGAATTTTTGGGAAAATAGCTCAACTCTTCTCTCTTGTTATTTCTCACAGTGCCTAGTACAGTGCTTGGACCATACTATAAACACTCTACTTTTCTGTGTTTTCTGGGTTGATAGAATCTTTTGGTAGTTCTTGGATTTCTTTTTTTTTTTTTTTTTTTTTTTTGAGATGGAGTCTCGCTGTGTCGCCCAGGCTGGAGTGCAATAGCATGATCTCGGCTCACTGCAACCTCTGCCTCCCGGGTTCAAGCGATTATCCTGCTTCAGACTCCTGAGTAGCTGGGATTACAGGCACCTGCCACCACGCCCGGCTAATTTTTGTATTTTTTTAGTAGAGACAGGGTTTCACCATATTGGCCAGGCTGGTCTCGAACTCCTGACCTTGTGATCTGCCCACCTCGGCCTTCCAAAGTGCTAGGATTACAGGTGTGAGCCACCGTACCCGGGCTTCTTGGATTTTATTAAATAGTTACGGAGTTTTTGGTAGTTGCCTTCCATTTTTCTTCCTGTCTTTTATGACCTTTCTCACTCTTGTCCTATTTGATGGAAAGAGGTTTTCATCCTGTGACTTTTGGTCTCACTTTTTTTTTTTTTTTTTTTTTTTTTTGAGACGGAGTTTTGCACTGTCACCCAGGCTGGAGTGCAGTGGCGCGATCTCAGCTCACTGCAAGCTCTGCCTCCCGGGTTCACGCCATTCTCCTGCCTCAGCCTCCTGAGTAGCTGGGACTACAGGCACCCGCCACCATGCCCGGCTAATTTTTTTTTTTTTTTGTATTTTTAGTAGAGACGGGGTTTCACCATGTTAGCCAGGATGGTCTTTGATCTCCTGACCTTGTGATCCGCCCGCCTCGACCTCCCAAAGTGCTGGGATTACAGGCGTGAGCCACCATGCCCGGCCTGGTCTCACTTTTTTTAGTAGGCCTTTCTCATTTGGTAAGGGAAGGGTGAAATATGTGTGTATTGTGGGTGAGGCTAGAGTGATGATGGAAAAGACCTGCTGAAAGAAGAAAGCAGGCCTGGGATTCTGTCAGCAAAGCATTTATCTGGTATTCTGTGGTTAAGTTACATGTTATCTTGTGGTGTTTCCAGTGTGGGTATAATTTTATATACTTAAATCCCATTTTTTCACTGCTTCCTATTTAAAAATTAGAGGGATGTTTGATGAGGCTAATAAGAATTCCTTTTTGCTGAATCCTTAAGATCTGTTTGCATTCCCTCTTTTTTTTTTGAAATGGGGTCGCTTTGTCACCCAGGCTGGAGTGCAGTGGCACTATCTCAGCTAACTGCAACCTCTGCCTCCCAGGTTCAAGTGATTCTCCTGCCTCTGTCTCCCCAGTAGGTGGTGGCTAATTTTTGTATATATTTTTAGTAGAGATGTGATTTCACGATGTTGGCCAAGCTGGTCTCGAACTCCTAACCTCAAGCTATCTGCCCTCCTTGGCCTCCCAAACTCTGCTGGGATTCCAGGCATGAGTCACCATGCCCGGCCCTGTTTGCATTCTCTAATGTGAAGCTGATATGTAAAATACTTTTTTTTTTTTTTGAGATGGAGTCTGGCTCTGTCACCCAGGCTGTAGTGCAGTGGTGCGATCTGGACTCACTGCAACCTCCGCCTCCCAGGTTCAAGTGATTCTCTTGCCTCCACCTCCAGAGTAACTGGGATTACAGGCGCCTTCCACCACGCCCGTCTAATTTTTTTTTTTTTTTTTTTAGGTGGAGTTTTGCTCTTATTGCCCAGGCTGGAGTGCAATGGCGCAATCTAGGCTCATCGCAACCTCCACCTCCCAGGTTCAAGTGATTCTCCTGCCTCAGCCTCCCTAGTAGCTGGGATTACAGGCATGTGTCACCATGCCTGGCTAATTTTGTATTTTTAGTAGAGACAGGGTTTCTCCATGTTGATCAGGCTAGTCTCGAACTCCCGACCTCAGGTTATCTGCCTGCCTTGGCCTCCCAAGGTGCTGGGATTACAGGTGTGAGCCACCGCGCCCAGCCTACTAATTTTTTGTATTTTTAGTAGAGACAGGGTTTCACCGTGTTGGCCGGGCTGGTCTTGAGCTCCCAACTTCAGGTGATCCACCTGTCTTGGCCTCCCAAGGTGCTGGGATTATAGGCATGAGCAACTATGCCTGGTTGTAAAATTCTTGTTTTGTAGTTTTGTTTTTCAAAACAGGAAACTCCAAACTTTCTCAATTTGAAATACAGTTAACCGTTGAACAACACGGGTTTGAACTGTGTGGGTCCATTTATATGTATTTTTTTCAATAGATATATTATAAAATTTTTTGAGATTTGTGACAATTTGAAAAAACAAACCATGTAGCCTAGAAATATCAAAAAAATTAAGAAAAAGTTATGTCACAAATGCATAACATATGTAGATAGTAGTCTATGTATTAATATTGATCAAGTATTTATATTATTGGTAAGGCTTCCAGTAGACTATTAGTAGTTAAGTTTTTGGGGTGTCAAAAGTTATACACAAATTTACAACTGTATGGGGTCAGTTCCCCTAACCACTGAGTTGTTCAAGAGTCAGCTTTATAAGGACTTGCCAATTCTGTAAAGTCAGATTTCTTTTATTTGGAGCATAATTATTCACTCTAGGAACCACTGGTAAGGACAAAAGGAAACACTAACATGTTTCTAGATGAATCAGAGGCTGGCCAACTTTCCCTTAGTCTGATGTTTAGATGAGGGACTTGCCTTTCCATGTCTGGCTTAAAGATATATATTCCTGAGGCCAGGTGCGGTGGTTCATGCCTGTATACAATTTTATACATTTGTATAGTATTGTATACTATAATGTATACTATAATACAATCCCATGCCTGTATGCAATTGTATAGTATTGTATCCAGTACTTATAATCACTTTGATTTGTACATAGAATTTATGATCCCTTTCCTTTGGTTCTGTAAAATGTACTGGGTTTTTTCTGTGTTACTTGATACTAAGTCCCTACAGCAAATTCAGCCTCAAAATCTTGCATGCAAGTTACTAATTATGCCTTTCATTGAAAATAGTTTGTGTCAGTATGTCATTCTGCTTACTTTGAACCATGATGCCTGTCAATTCTGACTTAAAAATTGAAGATTGGGCGTGGTGGCTCATGCCTGTAATTCCAGCACTTTGTGGGGCCGAAGTGGGCGGATCATGAGGTCAAGAGATCGAGACCATCCTGGCCAACATGGTGAAACCCCGTCTCTACTAAAATACAAAAATCAACTGGGTGTGGTGGTGTGCACCTGTAGTTCCAGCTACTCAGGAGGCTGAGACAGGAGAATCACTTGAACCCTGGAGGCGAGGTTGCAAGTGAGCCGAGATCGAGCCACTGCACTCCAGCCTGGGCAACAGAGCAAGACTCCATCTCAAAAAAAAAAAAAAAAAAAAAAGAATAATAGCTCTTTAAATCCTTCTTGAGCTGGTCTTGATGTGGTTAGTCACTGAACCCATTTATTTGATAAATAACCCATTTATTCTCCTTTTGAGAATAAAACTTCCTCAGGCCTGTAATCCCAGCACTTTGGGAGGCCAAGGTGGGTGGATCACCTGAGGTCAGGAGTTTGAGACCAGCCTGGCCAACATGGTGAAACCTTGTCTCGACTAAAAATACAAAAATTAGCTGGGTGTGGTGGCATGCGCCTGTAGTCCCAGCTACTCGGGAGGCTGAGGCAGGAGAATCGCTTGAACCCGGGAGGTGGAAGTTGCAGTGAGCTGAGATCGCGCCACTGCACTGCAGCCTGGCGACAGAGTGAGACTCCGTCTCAAAAAAAAAAAAAAAAATTAGCCAGGTGTGGTGGGCGGCACCTATAGTCCCAGCTACTTGGGAGGCTGAGGCAGGAGAATCACTTGAACCTGGGAGGTGGTGGTTGCAGTGAGCGAGATTGCGCCACTGCGCTTCTGCCTGGGTGACAGAGCAAGACTCCATCTCAAAAAAAAAAAAAATTGAAGAAGTTTGTGTGCTAATTACCCTGTCCCCTCAAAAGCCCCAAATTTATTCTATCTCATATCACTAAAATATTTTTTCTGACCTAAGTTACTGTTATGCCTGTAGCCCAGTGGTCTTATTTATTATTCACAATGAATCTACTCTTACACCCCTGGCCCCCAGGGTATGACTTGACTTTGGTGTTGGCTTATTTATTTATCTCTGTTCAGGATAGGAAATCCGTCCTCTGTATTTAGTGTGCCACAAAGATTTTGTTCTTCCAGGGATTGTACTAGAGGCTTTGCAGTGCCAGGATGTAGGACAGAGTGTTTTTTGTTATAGGCAAAGCAGAATGTGCATTGATTGATTAAATTAAACAAATCTTCTCAATTAGTGATTTTTCTTTTAAGAATGCTAGTATAAGGCATAAAAGCCTGGGAATGGTGCTGGTAGAGGGTGGGTGGGGAGGAAACAGAATTTCGTATATAAGGTATCCTGTAATATCTATATGTGGAGAGCGGTTAGACTGTTCTAATGGGGCAGGAAGGTATGTGTTTTACTCGTAGTCCACTTGTTAATTGGGGGAAATGTGAGAATTCAAGGAATCTCTAGTATTTTTCAAGTTATACCTTATGCCTGTTTCTCTGTTGTGTACTGAAGCATAAGCACAGAGAATAAAATGATATAAGAAATTACTCAGCCCGGGCGCGGTGGCTCATGCCTGTAATCCCAGCACTTTGGGAGGCCGAGACGGGTGGATCACGAGGTCAGGAGTTGAGGACTAGCCTGGCCAAGATGGTGAAACCCTGTCTCTACTAAAAATACAAAAATTAGCCGGGCGTGGTGGCAGGTGCCTGTAATCCCAGCTACTTGGGAGGCTGAGGCAGAGAATTGCTTCAACCTGGGAGGTGGAGGTTGCAGTGAACCGAAATGGTGCCACTGCATGATTGTTGCCTGGGTGACAGAGGGAGACTCTGTCTCAAAAAAAAAAAAAAAAGAAAAAAAAAGAAATTACCCATTGTTCATTATTAATCCATTCCTTTCTTTTGCAGATTGTAGAAATGGAAGGTTCTTCATTGTTCTTTAGTCACAGCCACTATCAGAGAAGAGAAAACTCATTATTCTGAACTGATTCTTGAAACCAGGAAATTAGATTTCTAGTATATTCCCTAGAAATTTTAGCTGGTAATAAACAGCTCTCACATAAGGAAGTATGTCCTTATGTCTAATCCAAATATCATCTACTTGAGTTAACTTCATTGTTTTGATCACCTATGTATGAATATGAGCATATTTATATGGTCCTTTGATCATCCTTCCCTTAGTTTTAAGTTCCTATTAGACTGTGACTGGTTTAAATATTCTCAACTAATTTATCCATTGGCAAAACTTGAATAGTATAAAATGAATGCTTCAGCTTTTTTTTAAAATTTGGAGTTCAGAATTGTATATGATATTCAAATAGAAGGGGTACGACTGCAAGGAAACATGTAGTGAATCATCATGATTCTTTCCTTGCCAGAATTTATGGCAGATCCTACAGTTTAGACAATCTCAAAACCTTGTGCATATCCAGAAGGGTGTCCCCTTTCAGTTTTTCCTGTGGGGTAAGTGGTTATGTATTCTCAAAATTTGATTTGAATACTGTTGGTAATTTATAAGAGTCTTGCAGTTTTGATCTTGGCAAAAATTAGTAAATTGACTACTGTATTTTATAAAACCTCAACATTAGCTTATTATTTCTCATTAAAAGCAATACCTTTCTGTGGCGAATTTGGCCCATCTCTGTCTCTGTCCATTGTCTTGAAGTCTTGGTGTTACTGTTTATCTGTGTCTCTTGTCTTTGTGCATATGTGAGTTGCCTCTATTTTGCATAGCTGGTAGCAGGAATGAGTGTGATATGTAGCTTATGATTGTCTTTAACCTCACCATTGCAAGTCCAAAATATTGTTATGAACAGAATGCAAATAAAGTCTTAAAGTTATGAGGTGATATGGTATTGATAATTGACTTTAATTTAAAGAGACTGGTAAAGGATAGGTATGTGCTTTTCTAATTGAGAGTCCAGAAGGTAGATATATGGTTAGAGAATCTCAAGGGAGAAACTAGCCAGCTCTTCTCTGCCTTCCCCAAAGTTAGATCAAGAGTTCGTATTAAATTACATATGTGATGATATTAAGACATTAATAACTTTTGGGGTGTGTGTGATAATGATATTATTATTTATTTAGTTATTTATTGAGACAGGGTCTTGCTCTGTCACCCAGGCTGAAGTGCAGTGGTGCAATTATAGCTCACTGTAGCCTGGAACTCTTGGGCTTAAATGATCTTCCCACCTCAGCCAACTGTGTAGCTGAAACTACAGGCATATGCCACTGTACCCAGTTAATTTTTTTTTGTAGAGACAAGGTCTTGCCTTGTTGCCCAGGCTGGTCTCAAACTCCTGGCTTTAAGCCATCCTCCCAAAGTGCTGGGATTATAGGCATGAGCCACAGTGCCCAGCCTTATGGTCATGTTTCAGAGAAAAAGTTATTATTTTTTAGAGATATATTTTGAAATATTTACAAATGAAAAATGTTTGGCACTTGTTTCAAAATGATCTGAGAGTAAGTTAAGTGGATGGGTGGTATAGATGAAATAAGATTGGCCACAGGTTGATAATTGTTGAAGTTGAATGATAAATAAAGGGAGTTGATTTAGCTCTTCTGTCTACTCTTGTATGTTTGAAATTTTTTACAATAAAATGTTAAAATCCTATGTTATTATTTTTGAGTGCCAAAAGGGTAAAATGTTTTTCCCCTCTTAAAAGACAACTTTCAACATTCTTTTGAATACAGAAAACCAAGTGAACGTCTCTTTTCCAGTAGTCAGTGATCCTCAAGGACTAGCTCCTTTAACTTACTTACAGAGGGTAGTGTTTACAAAGAAGCCAGACTGGCCAATTAAGTTCTATGATTCCCAGGAGATGTAGCGAAAGCAGTGATTATGAGAGCCAAAATTGGGAAGTCCAGGTTGAGAAGAGAAACCCTAAGAATTGAGTTAATGGCAGGGTGTAAAGTTTGTCACACCTTTGCAGAAGGTATTGCAGGGATGAAGTGGGCTGCCCACTGGAGCACTTTCCAAAGACCTTGAGCTCAAAAAGCACCAAAATTAGTGACAACCTTTCTCCTTAATCCTCACCTTCTCTACTCATGACTTCTTTTAGATATAAGACTGGGAAATCCTGAGAGAGAAAAAAACAGCTGTTCCCCACTTAAAGACAAGAGTCTGTTTTAGGGGAAAAATACTTAAGCAACAGCTGCATTTGTAGATGTCGAAGCATAAAGACTTTCTGTTTTTATGGCACTTCTATCTTATTTACATGGTTTTTACTAATCCAAATAATTATGTGCTCATGTGGATAGAATTGTTTGCTGCTTAATCAAGAGAGATGGGTGGGGAAGCACCTGCTTTTAGTCGTTAAAATCTTGTTGCTTTTGTACTGCATCCAAGAAACTAGTTAACAGACAAAAAGTGATTTGCCTTTTCCTGAGAATGAAAAGGAAGACCTCTTTGGTTTCACCCTGTGAAGAAGAGCAGAGAGAAACTCCAAGGTGGATTTTCTCTACTTGTTGAAATGGAACCATCAGGGACCTCACAGGAAAAGTGATTCTTGGGTTTTGGTTCTTCCTGCCCTTTCTCTCTGCCTGTCATAGAACTCAGCAATTGGAAGAATACCAGTTTTTGTTCCTTATTGGTGCTGCCACCTGTTCTTACTGCTGAACTAAATGTTCTTGGCTTTCTTTGGTGTGAACAGGATCTCCCTCTGGGAAAGGTGGGAGGAGGGTGAAAAAGAGAATGGGAGGAGGCCCATTCCAGTCCCTGTGCTCATGTGAGAGGGACACACAGAGGTTAGTGTGCTGCTCTAACAGAGGGGCTTTGTGCTACAGCTTCTTCCAGAGCTCCACAGATGCATGCTGGGCGGGCTCAGTCAGCTTTACCCCTAATACACTTGCTTCTTCCTAACAATAGCAGAGCAAGACTGACAACAATAATTAAAATAAGAGAATAAAGAAGATGTAGTCAGAGGCCATTCTGAATGCATTCAGATTCTCAGTGTGTATGAGGAAGGCTGCCTGTAATTAAGAGGTGAGAAAAGATTATATTGTGGAGACGTTGATACCACTGAACTGGGGAGCCAGATCTATTGTTACAGACCCACTCTGGGTGCAGTCAGAGCTCTGACCTTAAGACCTTTCCCTTTCTCTACTGAAACCCTTGTTATCTAGGTCATGGGAAATATGCCTCCTTTGAGTGGGAGAAACAGAATGGAGAAGAGAAAAAACTGTAGTTCTTCCTACTCAGATCTCAGAGACTGAGGAAGTAGCTCAAGGTAGAAGCACCTGACTCAGATCCCTTCTTTCATCATAGGACAGTGACAGACAGGCTCTTTAGCAACGTGAAATGACTCCCAAATACAATAATAGTAATAATACCTAACATTTAGCACTTATCACACTGACAGAGATTAGTCTAGGATATATACATTTATATTTTTGTTTGTTTTTTTCCTGAGACAGAGTCTCACTCTGTCGTCCAGGCTGGAGTACAGTGGTGTGATCTCAGCTTACTGCAGCCTCCACCTCCCGGGTTCAAGCAATTCTCCTGCTTCAGCCTCCTGAGTAGCTGGGATTACAGGTGATTGCCACCACACCTGGCTAATTTTTGTAATTTTAGTAGAGATGGGGTTTCACAATGTTGGCCAGGCTGGTCTCGAATTCCTGACCTTAGGTAATCCTCCCGACTCAGCCTCCCAAAGTGCTGGGATCACAGGCGTGGGCCACCACGCCCGGCTGATGTATATCTTATATATATATGTGTGTGTGTGTGTGTGTGTACTCATTTAATCCTCAAATAACCCTGGGTAGTAAATACTTTTTTTTTTTTTTTTGAGATGGAGCCTCACTCTATCACCCAGGCTGGAATGCAGTGGTACGATCTCAGCTCACTGCAACCTCCGCCTCCTAGGTTCAAGCAATTCTCCTGTGTCAGCCTCCCGAGTAGCTGGGACTATAGGCGCTCACCGCAACGCCCGGCTACTTTTTGTATTTTTAGTAGAGACGGGATTTCACCATATTGGTCAGGCTGGTGTAAATGCTATTATTAAACTCTCTTTTAAAAGAGAAACTGAAGCCTTAAGAAGTTAAATAATTTACCCGAGATCATATAGCTGAAGTGTCAGCCTTGGGATTTTGAACCCATTTTAGCTCCAGAATCCAGTCTCTTAACCATTACACCATACCGTCTCTGAGTGGAGCCCTGTCTTTCTCTAACAGGGTCATCTGAACCACACAGAACACAAAGTGATTAGAGTGACTATTTTCTTAATTCTCTCCAAGATGCCATATAGCTAGTGCTATGCATAGGAGAGTTGCTATTTCATTAGGAACAGTTGAGGCCCTAGAGTATTAGGGCTTAATTCTTGAGGAAATCCAGTTGAAGAAGACTAAAGGGGCCAGAGTTTATAAATTTCAGATTTGTATAGAACTATCCTGGAAATAATTTCCTATTGGTTTGTTTTGGAACCAATTTTGGATTTTGAACAAAGGACCAAACCTCATCCATCCTTTGTTCTGTAATAGAGCCTATGTCAGCAGTAATTTCTTACCAGTAACAATTGAGAAGAGCAACAGGCTGGGATGTAATAGTGGTCACTAAATTTTGCCAAGCTGGGTTGACCTTCTTTCAACAAATCATCATGTCGTCAGGCCACTATGCAATTTGTAAAAGCAGTCACTGCTTTTTCCCCCTTCCTTTTCCTTTGTTTCTCCTTATTTCTCCAAAGGTTCAAAATCCCATAGGTCACTGGACACATATCCAATTATTTAACTGTGGACCTAGATCATTCCTTTTGGTCTAGTTTAAGAGGTTACTGATAGACATTCTTCCCCTTCCAGTAACAAATTATGGAAGGCCTGCCCTGCCTTTCCTTGACCTTATAGTGGACTTGTGTATAAATTTCTAGGTTAAGCCAAAATAATGTGGAGTAATTATAACAGATTTCCCTCACAGCTTATTAAATAATACTAAATATGTATTGCTGGCACTGCCTCTCCCACATCATATGGAGACATTTGTAGGAACATAATAGCAGGTTACACAGTAATCTGTTCTTGAGCTGCTGCAGTAGATATTCAGTGTGTATGAGGAGGAAAGGTGCTAGTGAGAGGGCAGAATGGGAAAAACAATTTATTTTTTTTGAGACAGAGTCTTGCTCTGTCGCCCAGGCTGGAGTGCAGTATGCAATCTCGGCTCACTGCAAGCTCTGCCTTCTGGGTTCACGCCATTCTCCTGCCTCAGCCTCCGCAGTAGCTGGGACTATGGGCACCTGCCACCATGCCTGGATAATTTTTGTATTTTTAGTAGAGACGGGGTTTCACCTTGTTAGCCAGGATGGTCTCGATCTCCTGACCTCGTGATCCGCCCACCTCGGCCTCCCAAAGTGCTGGGATTGCAGGCGTGAGCCACCACGCCTGGCCGGAAAAACAATTTTGACCTGAAATTAGCAGAACTAAATTTAGTCTTATTTTGTCCTAACCAGTAATATTACCTTAAGAAAGTTTTTCTGCTTTTTAAGGTGATTCCTTACTTATTTAAAAAAAAACAGATTTTAATAATATCTCCCCCTTAGATCTACCTGCATCACATAATGATTAATTGATTCATTTAAAAATAGTTATCGGTTACACTTTGTATGCCAGTACTGTCCTAGTTGCTGGGAATATACACAGAATAAAAGGATAAAGATTTATGTCTTATATTCTCAATATTGGAATCAGACAAGTAAAATATATAGTATGACAGATAGTAATAATTGCTATAGAGAAAAAATATGTAAGAGTGGGGAGTTTGGGGAAGGGAGGGTGGAGCTTACAATTTTAAAGAGGGTGATCAGGAAGTACTCTATTATAGAGAAGGTAGTATTTGGATAAAAAATCCACAGGAAATGAGTGATTGAGCCATACATATCTAGAGGAAGAATGATCCAGGCATAGAACTCAAGTGCAGAGATATACATGGTAGGTTTGGGGCATAGTGAGGGGCCAGCTGGTGTAGGGTGAACCAGAAGTAGAATAGTATGGCTGGGCGTGGTGGCCCACGCCTGTTATCCCAGCACTTTGGGAGGCTGAGGCAGGTGGATCATCTGAGATCAGGGATTCAAGACCAACCTGGCCAACATAGCAAAACCCGGCCTCTACTAAAAATGCAAAACTTAGCCGGGTGTAGTGGCACATACCTGTAATCCCAGCTACTTGGGAGGCTGAGGCAGCAGAATCGCTTGAACCTGGGAGGTGGAGGTTACAGTGAGCCGAGATCACACCATTGCACTCCAGCATGGGTGACAGAGTGAGACTCCATCTCAAAAACAAAACAAAACAAAGAGAAGTGGAATCGTAGGCCAGATTACGTAAGGACTTAGCAGTTTGGCTTTTACTGTGTATGCCATGGGAAGCCTTTAGAGAGTTTTGAGCAGAAGAATGATATGATCTGATTTATATTTTTAAAAAATCATATGATTGCTGTATTTGTCTGCTGTGTGTTTCTGCAGGGAGACAAGGGGATCAGTCAGGAAACTTGCAATTATCCAGTGAAGAGGTGAGATGACTTGGACTAGGCTGATAGCAGATGAGGTGGTGAACAGTGTAGGGTCTAGATATATTTGAGAGTGGAATAGGGTCTAGATATATTTGAGAGTGGAAATAGGGGATTTGCCTGTAGATTGGATGGGAGTTGTGAAAGCAAGGGAAGGGTCACAGGTGGTTTCCAAGGTTTTCGACCTAAACAACTGCAAGGATGGTGGCGGTGTTTACTGAGATGGGACAAGAAGGCAAAATGTGGATGTTGGGAGGAAACATAAAACATTTAGTTTGGGGAATGTTAAATTTGAAATGCCCATTGATATTCAAATGTAGACGTCCAATATATAGTTAGATACATTAGGTTGGTACAAAAGCAGTTGTAGTTTTTGCCAACTACAAATTTGGAATTCAGGAGGGAGATTTGGGCTGTTAGTGTAATTTTGGGAATTGTCAATGTATGTGTATGTAAAACCATGTTAGATGAGACCACTAAGAATGTGAGTGACTTTAGGGAAGTCAAGAGGTCCAAGGCCTGAGTTTTGGAATTGAAAAGGAACCAGCAAAGGAGACTGATAAGGAGTGACCATTGACCACTGAGGTAGGAAGAAAACCTGAAGGGGTGCCCTGGAACCAGGGGAAGGAAGTATTTTAAAGATTAGCTGAGTTAAATGCTGCTGATAGGTCAAGTAAGAGGAAAACCAAGAATTGACCACTCAAGGTTGGTGGGGCCTCCTATTCTTAGATCACATAGGTAGGTTTATAAAATGGTCTTATTTCTGGTCTTGTTAGTAATATGTCTGAAAAATAAAACTTGGATATTTTAATATGAATAAATTACTTTTTTAATAAAATTATACTTTAAGTTCTAGGGTACATGTGCACAACGTGCAGGTTTGTTACATAGGTATACATGTGTTGGTTTGCTGCACCCATCAGTTCGTCATTTATATTAGATATTTCTCCTAATGCTATCCCTCCCTCAGCCCCCCACCTCCCGACAGGCCCCGGTGTATGATGTTCCCTGCCCTGTGTCCAAGTGTTCTCATTCTTCAATTCCCACCTATGAGTGAGAACATACGGTGTTTGGTTTTCTGTCCTTGTGATAGTTTGCTGAGAATGATGGCTTCCAGCTTCATCCATGTCCCTGCAAAGGACATGAACTCATTTTTTTTAAGGCTGCATAGTATTCCATGGTGTATATGTGCCACATTTTCTTAATCCAGTCTGTCATTGATGGACATTTGGTTTGGTTCCAAGTCTTTGCTATTGTGAATAGTGCTGCAATAAACATACGTGTGCATGTGTCTTTATAGTAGCATGATTTATAATCCTTTGGGTATATACCCAGTAAAGGGATTGCTGGGTCAAATGGTATTTCTAGTTCTAGATCCTTGAGGAATTGCCACGCTGTCTTCCACAGTGTTGAACTAATTTACACTCCCACCAACAGTGTAAAAGTGTTCCTATTTCTCCACATCCTCTCCAGCATCTGTTGTTTCCTGACTTTTTAATGATCACCATTCTAACTGGCATGAGATGGTATCTCATTGTGGTTTTGATTTGCATTTCTCTGATGACCAGTGACGATGAGCATTTTTTCATGTGTCTGTTGGCTGCATAAATGTCTTCTTTTGAGAAGTGTCTGTTCATATCTTTTGCCCGCCTTTTGATGGGGTTATTTTTTTTTTCTTGTAAATTTGTTTAAGTTCTTTGTAGATTCTGGATATTAACCCTTTGTCACATGGATAGATTGCAAAAATGTTCTACCGTTCTGTAGGTTGCCTGTTCACTCTGATGGTAGTTTCTTTTGCTGTGCAGAAGCTCTTTAGTTTAATTAGATCCCATTTGTGTATTTTGGCTTTTATTGCCATTGCTTTTGGTGTTTTAGTCATGAAGTCCTTGCCCATGCCTATGTCCTGAATGGTATTGCCTAGGTTTTCTTCTAGGGTTTTTATGGTTTTAGTCTGATATTTAAGTCTTTAATCCATCTTGAATTAATTGTTGTATAAGTTGTAAGGAAGGGATCCAGTTTCAGCTTTCTACATATGGCTAGCCAGTTTTCCCAGCACCATTTATTAAATAGGAAATCCTTTCCCATTTCTTGATTTTGTCAGGTTTGTCAAAGATCAGATTGTTGTAGATGTGTGGCATTATTTCTGAGGCCTCTGTTCTGTTCCATTGGTCTATATCTCTGTTTTGGTACCAGTACCATGCTGTTTTGGTTACTGTAGTCTTGTAGTATAGTTTGAAGTCAGATAGCGTGATGCCTCCAGCTTTGTTCTTTTTGCTTAGGATTGTCTTGGCAATGCAGGCTCTTTTTTGGTTCCATATGAACTTTAAAGTAGTTCGGGCTGGAGTGCAGTGGCATGATCTCAGCTCACTGCAGCCTCAGCCTCCCGGGTTCAAGTGATTCTCTTGCCTCAGCCTCCCGAGTAGCAGGACTACAGGCATGCACCACCATGCTGGGCTAAGTTTTGTATTTTTAGTAGAGACGGGGTTTCACCATGTTGCCCAGGCTGGTCTTGTTCTCCTGAGCTCAAGTGATTACAAGTATTGGCATTATAGGCGTGTGCCACTGCACCTGGCTGATTCTACTCTTTGGACATGATATTCATCAGGGTTCAGATGTAGGTAAAGATGGAAAAGATACATTTAATTACACCAAAATTAAAAAGTGATGTGCATTCAAATACACCAAGGTCAGTAGATTGGGAGAATATATTTGCCACAAGTAATACAAAGGACCCAGAAAGACGAAATTAAAGACTAAATTAAAACTAAATGGTCTCACAGTATTAATTTTTGACAAGAATATGGGGAAATTTTTACTATATATTGGTAGAAGTATAAGTTGGCATTGTGTCTTTGTAATAGCAAAAAATTGGAGACAGCCAAAATGTCTGTCAGTAAAGAAATGGATAAATAGATGTGGGTTAGTGACCCGATAAAAATGCTATACAGCAGAGAAAAGGTGTACCAGGTCTATATCTATATCATCATGGATAGATCTCAAAAACGATGCTAAATAAAAAACAAAAAACAACAAGTAAAATTCAGTGTGATACTTTTTACATGAAAAATACTAATAAGGCTGGGCGCAGTGATTCACGTCTGTAATCCCAGCAATTTTAGAGGCCAAGGTGAGAGGACTGCATGAGCCCAGGAGTTTGAGACCAGCCTGGACAACATGGTGAGACCCCATCTCTTACAAAACAATTAAAAAGTTAGCGGTGTGTGGTGGTGCATGCCTGTAGTCCCATTTACTCAGGATGCTGAGGCAGGAGGTTGAGGCTACAGTGAGCCACGTTCATGCCACTGCACTCCAGCCTGGGTGACAAAGCAAGACCCTGTTCAAAAAAACAACAACAAGAACACACACAAAAAAACAAAAAACCCACAAATATACACAAAAGTATCCTATGTATTATTTAGGGATATATATGTAAAACTATTAAAAACAGATTATACAACAAATTTATGATATGAGTGGCTGGTAGAGAGTGGGGCAGTCTTAAACAAGACTTTAGCATTATCTGTAGATGAAAGTAAACATGATAGAATGTTTATTTCTGGGTATTAGACTCACAGATTTTTGTTATATTAGTCTTTGTACTTTTTGGTAATTTTATATTAGCTGGAAATTTTAAAAGAAAGGGGGTCAAGATTCATAGGATGAACCCCCAGAAAATAATTTGTTGATAACGTTTACGTGTAATTTTTCTTTTTTTACCTAACCCATTTACTTCTGTCTGTATTAGAGGAAGAGGAAATGAGGTAACTGCATTACATTAATTCATGACAGTGGTTTCTCCTAATGTGTCCTTGGCATCACACTCAGATGAAGGAGTGAGGATCTTTATTAGCACAGATCATGCCCTTCATTCTGACTCTTGATTTTATTTTTAATTACTAACTGCAAGCATGTCAACCCATGGGAAGCACATTTGGTTTCATAGCTATCATCATGGAGATGCTAGCATGACAGACTAGGATGTATAGAAGTTTAATAACAGCATTGTACTTTTTCTCTTGTCTAACCTCTTCCCTATAGGGAATCTTTAACCAGTTTCAGTGTAGTAGTGAAAAAGTGCTTCCATCTGACACTCTCCGCAGTGCTCTGGCAAAGACTTTCCAGGATGAACAACGTTTCCAGCTGGGAATTATGGATGATGCTGCAGAGTGCTTTGTAAGTGCTGGCCTCTGGCCCTCTTTGATATGGGGTGGGACTGCTGATGGTCTCCATCAGGGACTGGCTACTTTATGGTGGAATTTGCTGTGCCCTTATCTCTACAGTTAGAACTAGGAGTTTTCTCTGATTTTTCAGGGATCTAAAATGTCTCTGTTATAGCAGTGTGTTATTATTTTTCCTTTAGGCTGGTGGTTTTGTGCTTGTCATTGCATAAAACATCAGCTCTCACCTTCAGAGGATCCAAGGCTCATTAAAATACAGATTGTACCCCCAGAGCTTCTGATACAGTAGGCCCGGCAGAGGAGTCCCGGAATATCTGTATCTAACAGGTTCCTAAGTGATGCTAATACTGATGCTGCTCCTCCATTTCTAAAGATAATTAATCAGGGAATAACTGAGTCCCTAGCATAAGTGTGATGTGCTATATGGCTACATTGCCTCCAGTGCCCCTCGCTCTTCTGAACTCTGTGTTCTATACATCAACCTTCGAAAGACTCTCTGTAAATCCATTTAGAAAATTTGAGGCCGGGCATGGTGGCTCATGCCTGTAATCTCAGCACTTTGGGAGGCCAAGGCAGGCAGATCACAAGGTCAGGAGTTCAAGACTAGCCTGGCCAACGTAGCGAAACCCCATCTCTACTAAAAATACAAAAATTAGCCAGGCATGGTGGCGGGCGCCTATAGTCCCAGCTACTTGGGAGGCTGAGGCAAGAGAATCACTTGAACTTGGGAGGAGGAGGTTGTAGTGAGCCTAGATAGCACCACTGTACTCCAGCCTGGGTGACACAGTGAGACTCTGTCTCAAAAGAAAAAAAGAAAAAAAAAAGAAAATTTGAGAGTGATACATATCTCATCACAGGGTAAAATGTGGCCCCAAATCAGAGGTGCTCCTGAGGAACTGGATCACTGATATATTGCTGGTGGGAATGTAAAATGGTATAGCTACTCTGGAAAACAGTTTGGCAGTTTCTTAAAAAGCTAGACATGTAAACTACCGTATGATCTAGCAATTACATTCCTGGACATGTATCCCACAGAAATGAAAACTTATATTAAAACAAAACCTGTTTATGAATGTTCATAGAAGTGTTATTCATAATAGTAAAAAACTGGAAACAACCCAAATGTCCTTCAGTGAGTAGACGGTTAAACAAATGATGATACTTCTGTACCGTGAAGAACTATGCAGCAATACAAAGCATTAAGTATTTTTATAAAAATAAAAAGAAACTATTGATTTACACAACTTGGACAGACCTCAAGGGAAAGTGAAAAATGCAATATCAAAAGGTTATATGCTGGCCGGGCTCACTCCTGTAATCCCAGCACTTTGGGAAGCCAAGGTGGGCGGATCACTTGAGGTCAGGAGTTCGAGAGCAGCCTGGTCAACGTGGTGAAACGCCGTCTCTATTAAAAACACAAAACTTAGCCAGGCGTGGTGGCACATACCTGTAATCCCAGCTACTTGGGAGGCTGAGGCAGGAGAATCTCTTGAACCCGGGAGGTAGAGGTTGCAGTGAGCCGAGATCGCTCTACTGTACTCCTGCCTGGGCGACAGAGACAGAGTGTGTCTCAAAAAAAAAAAAAAGGTTATGTGGTATGTGATCCCATTTATATAACATTCTTGAAATAAAATGATGGAGATGAGAGAAGACATTAGTGATTACCACAGGTTAGGGTTAGGTTTGGACGGGTAAGGCTCTAAATGGTTAGCATGAGGGAGCCTTGTGATGGAACTGGTCTATATCTTGATAAAATGGCATAGAGCTATACATACACACACACAAATGAATGCATGTAAAACTGGTGAAATCTGAATAAAGTCTGGATCCTATCAATGTCCATTTCCTGATACAGTTATCAAAGTTGTGCCGGGTGCGGTGGCTCACGCCTGTAATCCCAGCACTTTGGGAGCCTGGGGCGGGCGGATCACGAGGTCAGGAGATCGAGACCATCCTGGCTAACACGGTGAAACCTCGTCTCTACTAAAAATACAAAAAATTAGCCGGGCGTGGTGGCGGGCGCCTGTAGTCCCAGCTACTCGGGAGGCTGAGGCAGGAGAATGGCGTGAACCCGGGAGGTGGAGCTTGCAGTGAGCCAAGATTGAGCCACTGCACTCCAGCCTGGGTGACAGAGCGAGACTCCATCTCAAAAAACAAAAAAACAAACAAAAAAAACACAGATGTTACTGTTGGAGGAAGCTGGGTGAAGGGTACAGGGGATCTCCTATACATTTTTGAAACTTGCTATGAATTTATAATTTTTTTAAACTAAAAATTTTTAAAAATCAAAATATTCCTACCTTCCAGAAGGGTTGCTGTTTCTATGGGTAAGCTGCTTACCAATTTATGTATTTGTCTATTAAATATTGTTGGTATACTGCTTTTGTTCTTTCCCTGTCAGGAAAACCTCCTGATGAGAATTCACTTCCACATTGCTGATGAAACCAAAGAGGATATATGTACTGCCCAACACTGCATTTCCCATCAGAAATTTGCAATGACATTGTTTGAGCAGGTGAACTCTAGCTCCATCTTTTTTTAGACATTTCTTCCAGAACACTTTATCCTGGGATGTGGGGTGTTAAATGGGTGCCAAAACAGTTCCTGATTATGGTTGCTTGGTTTTGCCTTTTTCTCTTTTGCCCAGTGTGTATGTACTAGCTGTGGTGCCACTTCTGATCCGCTGCCTTTCATCCAGATGGTACATTATATCTCCACCACTTCCCTTTGGTGAGTCTTACAAGATTTTCTGTTGTGCGTTTAGGCATTCCTCCAGTTGATTGGACTTTTTTTTTTTTTTTTGAGACAGAGTCTCGCTCTGTTGCCCAGGCTGCAGTGCAGTGGCACAATCTCGGCTTACTGCAACCTCCGCCTCCTGGGTTCAAGCGATTCTCCTGCCTCCATCTCCCAAGTAGCTGAGACTTCCAGCTACTTACAAATAGTACACACTGCGCTAATTTTTTTGTGTTTTTAGCAGGACGGTGTTTCATCATGTTGGTCAGGCTGGTCTTGAACTCGTGACCTCAAATGATCTACCTGCCTTGGCCTCCCAAAGTGCTGGGATTACAGGCGTGAGCCACAGTGCCTGGCCTATTGGACTTTAATTGGAGACATTCAAATAGTTTTATATCTTGGCCGGGCATGGTGGCTCATGCCTATAATCCTAGCACTTTGGGAGGCCCAGGTGGGCGGATCACTTGAGGCTAAGAGTTCGAGACCAGCCTGGCCAACATGACAAAACCCTGTCTCTACTAAAAATGTCAAGAATTAGCCAGGCATGGTTGCGCGTGCCTGTAATCCCAGCTATTCTGAAGGCTGAGGCATGAGAATTGCTTGAACCCAGGAGGCGGAGGTTTCTGTGAGCTGAGATTGAGCCCCTGCACTCCAGCCAGGTAACAGAGCGAGACCCTGTCTCAAAAAAACCACCACCAACAACAATAAAAACACAAATAGTTTTATATCCTTATTGCTGAATCTGTGCTATATTGTAGGAATGCAGAACAGTAATTTAAAAATAATTTTTGTTCTCCTTCTTTCCTCTCCCATCCCTCCCCTTTTCTTAGGCTCAGTACTGGCCAGCAAAGTGGGAGGAGGAGTGGGGATTCTATGAGCTTTGGATCTGGGGACAGGTAGAGGTACTTACTGTGTTTATGGGACACTGAGCCTGGTCAGGGGCTTTGGTATAGGGGGCAGAGGAAGAAAGTCAAATGTGTGAGTTAGGAATGTACATTAATGTTTGATTTAGCAGTAACTAAATACAAACCATCATCCCCCTTCTATTCCCCATCTTGAAGCAATCAGGCTATTTGTATGCTGGAAAGACGAGAGAAACCTTCACCAAGCATGTTTGGTGAGCTGCTGCAGAATGCCAGCACCATGGGGGATCTGCGGAACTGTCCAGTGAGTTAAATCAGGGGTGGGGTTTGGAGTGGGAAAGGGAACCATCGATCAGTGGAATTGATGCAAAGCCAGTGGGAAACATGTTGAACTAGCCTTATATATGTATTTCAGAGCAACTGTGGAGAGAGGATCAGGATTCGCCGTGTGTTGATGAATGCTCCACAGATTATCACGATTGGGCTGGTATGGGACTCAGACCACTCAGACTTAGCAGAAGATGTTATCCACAGCCTGGGAACCTGCCTTAAGCTGGGTGATGTGCGTGTTAGTTACCTTTATCTCTCACTTTGAGTTCTTGCGTCTTAGTATTGCTTAGGAGCAGTGAGCACTAGACAAACAGGTATGTCCTAGATGACAAGTATTATAATGTTTTGGACAGATAAACTTATTTGTGTACAGATACCCGTGCTTGCAGGTATGTGCTCATATACCTCCTTTTATAGGTGGCAAAGAGTTTTTAAGAAGAAATGGGATGACTTGACCTTGAAAGACAGGATAGGCAGAGCTTAGCTACTGATAAAAATAAATCAGTAATTCAAAGAGTTATTATATGTTCTATTCATTGTTAGTTTATACGAGTATAAAGTAGGGAAGGGTGTTCAACCATGGGAGGTAGTAAGGTCCAAAGAGGGGCATTCCTGACTAGAACTGCTATAGTAGGTGAAGAAGTTAAAAGTTGGTGACCTGAGCCCAAAAATATGAAATTCACAGTGTGGAACTAATGTCTGGGATAATACTGGGACTAAAGAAAACCTTTGTTATTGTTTTTTAATGTCATTAAGCCATGACTGAGAATAAATGAACTTTCTGGGATCTTATTTTAGGTTTTCTTCCTAAGGAATCTTACCTGAGTAGGCTGTGAGCAATAAAATCTCCATTTTTCACCAGTGCCTACCTGTAGTCCCAGCTACTCAGGAGGCTGAGGTGGGAGGATTGCTTAAGGAGTTCAAGGCTGTAGTGTGCAATGATTCTGCCTGTGAATAGCCACTACATTCTAGCCTAGGCAGCATAGCAAGACCCTGTCTCTTAAAAACAAAAGCAATTGTTTCTTTTTTGTTTTTTTGAGATGGAGTCTTGCTCTGTCGCCCAGGCTGGAGTGCAGTAGTGTGATCTCCCTTCACTGCAAGCTCCGCTTCCTGGGTTCATGCCATTCTCCTGCCTCAGCCTCCCCAGTAGATGGGACTACAGGTGCCTGCCACCATGCCCGGCTAATTTTTTGTATTTTTAGTAGACACGGAGTTTCACCATGTTAGCCAGGATGGTCTCGATCTCCTGACCTCGTGATCTGCCTGCCTCCCCCTCCAAAAGTGCTGGGATTACAGGCGTGAGCCACCGCGCCCAGCTGGTTTTTTTTTTTTTTTAATCCAACTTTCCTGGCTCCTCTTATGATAGGCCCTGGTAAGAAAATTATTGAAAGGTATGAAGAAAGATCATCACCATACCAGTTTACTGGCCACTATCTGTCTTGCTTTTCCTTACTTTTTGTCTTTTTGGGTTAATTTCTTTCTTTCTTTCTTTCTTTTTTTGAGATGGGGTCTTGCTCTGTCGCCCAGGCTGGAGTGCAGTGTCATGATCTCGGTTCACTGCAATCTCTGCCTCCTGCCTCAACGTCTCAAGTAGCTGGGATTACAGACATGCACCACCACACCCAGCTGATTTTTGTATTTTTAGTAGAGATGGGGTTTCACTATGTTGGCCAGGCTGGTCTCGAATACCTGACCTCAAGAGATCTGTTCACCTCACCCTCCCAAAGTGTAGGAATTACAGGCGTGAGCCACCACACTGGGCCTAAAGATAGGGTCTTGCTATCTAGTCTAGGTTGTTCTCGAACTCTTGTCCTCAAGTAATTCTCTTACCTTGGCCTCACAAAGTGCTGAAGTTAAATTCTGATGATTAATCTAAACTAACAAAAATCTTAAACTGAAGGGAAGAGAAGCAAGTCAGTACCTTACTTAAGAAATGCTGGTGGAGTCTGCTGAGAGATGATGTGGAATGGTTGAATATGTGACTGTGCTTTCTTTTCTCTTCTTTCCCCTCAGCTGTTTTTCAGAGTGACGGATGACCGGGCCAAGCAATCTGAACTGTACTTAGTTGGAATGATCTGTTACTATGGCAAACATTATTCTACATTCTTTTTTCAAACAAAGATTCGCAAATGGATGTATTTTGATGATGCTCATGTCAAGGAGGTAGGAGTAGTCAAGTCCTTTTTGAAGTGTTTGGTGACTACAAAAAAAAAGAATAATCATTTGTCTTTAGTGTTTCATTTTCATAATTTTGAATGGGACCTCCCCACATTTCTATAAAACATATATATATATATATTTTTTTTTTTTTTAATTTTTTTTTTTTTTGAGATGGAGTCTCACTCTGTCACCCAGGTTGGAGTGCAGTGGCTTGGTCTTGGCTCACTGCAATCTCTGCCTCCTGGGTTCAAGTGATTCTCCCACCTCAGCCTCCTGAGTAGCTGGGAGTACATGCGCATGCTACCACACCTGGCTAATTTTTGTATTTTTAGTAGAGACAGAGTTTCACTATGTTTGCCAGGCTGGTCTCGAACTCCTGACCTTGTGATCCGCCTACCTCAGCCTCCCAAAGTGCTGGAATTATAGGCATGAGCCACTGTGCCCGGCGTATTTTATATTTTTATGTCTGTCTGCCTACTGAATTCATGAAGGTATCATTTTGTCTTCCCCTGAAGATGGCTAGTTCTTCGAGGATAGGAACAATGTATCTTCTATTATATCCTCTGAATCCCCTCACCAGGCATTCAGCAGTTTTGTATTTATAGGTGACAAAGCATTTTACTTTATTTTTTGAGATAGGGTTTCCTCACTCTATTGCCCAGGCTGGAGTGCAGGGGCGTGATAATGGCTCACTGCAGCCTTTATTTTCCAGGTTTAAGCAATTCTCTCACCTTAGTCTTTTGAGTAGCTGTGACTATAGGTGTGTGGCCACCACACCCAGCTAGTTAAAATTTTTTGTTTTTTTGTTTTAGAGATGTTACCCAGGCTGGTCTGGAACTCCTGGGCTCAAGTGATCCTCCCTCCTCAGCCTGCCAAAGTGTTGGGATTACAGGCGTGAGCCACAGTGCCTGGCCCAAAGTGTTTTTTTAAACTATAATCTCCTTTTTTTTTTTCTAGAAAATAGTTTTTCTTCAGTCCTGAGAAGTCAGCTCCTTACGTGGGCTTTGGTGGAGCTCATGGGTCAGCACTCGAAGGTCTAAATCTGGGTGGGGATGTTATCACCTTTTGGGCTCGGGGAGATTGATTACTGACTACCTTGCTATGAATGGCACAATTCATGTAGTAACGTAGCTTTACCTACAGCTTAGGAAGCACATAGGCATCAAAGAAATTTACTTCAGAAATGTCCTTGACAGCTGCAGCCTTTACTATGTTTTGAATGAGAAACTTTTTTTTTTTTTTGACATAGGGTCTTGCTCTGTCACCCAGGTTGGGGTGTAGGGGCGCGATCTCAGCTCACTGCAACCTCTGCCTCCCGGGCCCAAGTGATTCTCGTGCCTCAGCCTCCCGAGTAGCTGGGATTACGGGCGCGTACCATCATGCCTGGCTGATTTTTGTATTTTTAGGAGAGATGGAGTTTCTCCATGTTGGCCAGGCTGGTCTCAAACTCCTGACATTAAGTGATCCACCCGCCTTGGCCTCCCAAAGTGCTGGGATTACAGATGTGAGCCACCACGCCCGGCCTTGAATGAGAAACTTCTTAATAGCCTTGTCCTTGGGCATGCCTCAGGCACAGTTCATGCAGTGAGTGAGCTGCACATAGCCACAGCCCTTTTTGGCATGCCATGTTCTTTCCTTTCTTTGTCTTCTTGGAAGCTAGGACCCCAGAGAGGAATTTTTTTTTTTTTTTTTTTAATGTGTGTGTTGATTGATTTGAGTAGGAACACTCTAATGCCTCAAATGAGGTTATAAGGTTAATACAAAGTTCAGAATTTCAGATCTTGGAGTTATCAGTGGGTACTACTTTGTCTCGGGGCTGCTGTAAATTATTCTTTGTTGTCTCCCTGAAGTGCCCCATCACAGAGTAACATGTGTTTTGGGATAGTTATAAGGCATGTAGGGTTATAATGACAAAGCAGGAAAGTTGGTACTGTCTAAACCACAGAGTTTGTGGTTGAAGTGGCTTATGTGATCTGCATGAGTTAGGAAGCTGCTTGTGATAAGGTTAGCAGATAAGGAGATAAGGTGTGACTATAATCTACACCAATCCACAGACTTTAAGCAGTGTCTTCCACAAATAGTAAAGTATTTGTCAAATTCCCTTATTCTTTTCTTTGTCTCTTTTGCGTTGTTGTAATTTGGGGCAATTTATTTAAGTTCTTTTAGATTTAGGGTTTTTATTTGAAAATACCCTTACAAAGTAGTAAATATGATTATATTAATATGTGAAGAGCATATAAATGTTTTAATTAATAACTCAGTTTTAAGTTTACTGGACATCTGTTGTGAACATATCACTATGCTAGTTGTCTAACCCCAAGAGCAGCACATTATCTAAGAAATGTGACTGGTTCAAGCTTAAGATGGTGTGAGTTTGAGGATTGGGTTGAATTGATTCTGTGGCTGTTCTCTCTTTTCCACTATGGTAACAGAGCTGAATCCAGCACAGGGCTAAGGCCGAGAGGTTCAATTGTCTATTCTAAGCAGTTTGACATTTTATATCCTACCATTTGCGAACTCTGAAACTGAATGTCATTTGTTCTAAGGCAGTCTGTGAAAGAGTTTCTGTCTGCTCTTCAGCTTCATGAAAGTGATTTTAATATTTGGGAGAAAACTAAGGAAATGCAGATTTCTAGTGAGGGCTTAATTTGATGTCTGTGAAAAGAAATTGGTCACCAAGGCAGCTGAAGTTCCCTCACGTAGCATATCCACCTTTGAGGACTTTTATTCCTATTTTACAACTGAGTTGATGGTTCACAGAAATAAAATTAATTTTATTCATTCTTTTATTCTCCTATAGGATTTTAGTGCTTTCTAAAAGGACTTAGCAAAGAAAAAAAAGATTTAATTAAAAAAGTGTTAGGTCTGAGATCTTTTTTGCTGCCTTTTTACCCAATTCTTATCTTTTCATCTCTTTTATTTTCTTTAGAAATACAGAACAGAAAGATATGTTGTGAATTGTGGGTATAAAGTATAATTGTCATGTTCTTCTGGTTGTTTCTGGTTCAGATTGGGCCCAAATGGAAGGATGTGGTGACCAAATGCATCAAGGGGCATTATCAGCCCCTGCTGCTGCTTTATGCAGATCCCCAGGGTACCCCAGTTTCCACCCAGGACCTGCCTCCCCAAGCTGAGTTCCAGTCATACAGCAGGACATGCTACGACAGTGAAGATTCAGGTGAGCAGCCAGGCTCTTTACCTCTCCTCTCTCCTCACCCCATGCGATCAAACAGTTGGGACTCATAGTTAATTATGTGCTTAGCTCGTAACCTAGCTTGGAGAAAGAGGATCCATTAGAGGTAAGAAAGAAGTGCCAATTTGTGCTGAAGCCTAACTTGGGCCAGCCTTTATTTCCTTCAGTTGTCAAAACAGTGTTGCCTAAATCACTTGGCCTCAACTCAGAAGTGAAAAGGAAATTATGTTTATTTAGACTGAGATATTAAGTTTGCAAGGCTCAATATTTAACCTTCTAATATTGGTGAGGATGGCTGATTTTTATTAGCAATTTACCAGTGACTTAATTGAGTTGTTTTATTTGAGCCACTACAAGGCTAGTTATTTTGTTTGGCATGAGATATTTTTGTTTTAAAATTGCAAATGTGTAGCTGGGCAGGGTGATGCATGCCTGTTATCCTAGCTATTTGGGAGGCTGAGGTGGGAGGATCACTTGAGCCCTGGAGTTCGAGCCTAGCCTGGGCAAAATAGCAAGACTCTGTCTTGGAGGGGGGAAAAATTCCTTGTCCAGTAGTAATATTCCTCTGCTTATGAATCAGTTGTTCACTTCTAAGTTAATTTTTCAGAACTTAAGTAACGACTTTCTGTAAAAACAATTTTCAGCTTGATGGCTAAAGTTCTAGGGTAGCTCACAGAATCTTATAATATATTTGAGGTATAACCTAATAGTTTTGGCTTGATTACTGAAAAGGAGGAAGAAATATTATTTTACCCTTCTGGATCTGGTACTGGCCCTTGATATAATTTTGAAAGAGAAGATACTTGACTTTGACGTCTTTCTTTCTCCCCTTTGTACCTCCCTCCTGCTTGGTACCTGGTGCTTTCTTCCACCTTTCATACCCCACCCAGACCTGTTCTACCTCTTCTCCCTTCAGTCAAATACCCATTTGTCCTATTATGCTTATCTCAGCTAGGTATTCAGAGGGAAGCAGTCTGATTGAACTAATTTATACTAATGTATGTCATATAACAGCCCCAATAATTTCTCAGAGTCATTAAAAATGCATCTGGTATCAATTCAAAAATTTAAGTGACATTCTTGGCAGTATAGGAGAAAGATTATGGGATAGGAGAACAACTGACTATGTATGACAGGTTGTCCTGGGACTTTCCATCTAAATAGATCTTACTTTTCACAACTTTTTCATCACTTCTGCTTTTCCCCCGATAGGTTTTATAAAACCCTCACAGTTTTTCACAGTGGCAGGCAAAGTGAGGGCTTCAGCAGGGTAGGGAAAGGGATGGGAGGAATTTTACATGTGTCTGGGTGATCTGGAAGTTGGGTGTTGGGAAGAATGGCTTGATGGTATAGCATATCCTTCTCACACTTGTGTCTAGGAAGTTCTTGCCTTATGGAGCTTTGTTGTGTCCATCTCTTTTCCTTCTCTTTGCTACTGTTCTGTTTCCTCACTTTTTGCATATGTGTTTCCTCCTCCTCTCAGGGAGGGAGCCCTCCATCTCAAGTGACACTCGAACAGATTCCTCAACGGAGAGCTATCCCTACAAACATTCCCACCATGAGTCTGTGGTCAGTCACTTCTCTTCTGATTCTCAGGGGACAGTCATCTATAATGTGGAAAATGATTCCATGTCTCAGAGCAGTCGGGACACAGGTAGGGACTTATACAGAGGGTCCTGCTTGCCTGAATCAATTCCTGCATAGATCTCCTAAGAAAAAGAAACTGTGAGGCCAGGCGCAGTGGCTCACACCTGTAATCCCAGCACTTTGGGAGGCCGAGGCGGGCGGCCAAGGTGGGTGGATCATGAGGTAAGGAGATGGAGACCATCCTGGCTAACACACGGTGAAACTCCGTCTCTACTAAAAATACAAAAAAAAAATTAGTTGGGCATGGTGGCAGGCACCTGTAGTCCTACCTACTCGGGAGGCTGAGGCAGGAGAATGGCATGAACCCAGGAGGCGAAGCTTTCAGTGAGCTGGGATCGTGCCACTGCACTCCAGCCTGGGCAACAGAGCGAGACTCCGTCTCAAAAAAAAAAAAAAGGAGAAAGAAACTGGGGGAAGTCAGAAATGTTCGTTACGCAAAGGCACAATGGCACAGAATTTGGGCAATTCAATGGGATACAAAGAAGCAACACAGTTTTGAATGAACCGTGATGCTCCATTGCACATACTCCTGTCAATAGCAGCATGTCAATAAAGACGATTGTAATGTGATTATTGATGTGATTATTCTGAAGTGTGCTTTTCTTCTCCTATACTCTTGATTCCCGTAGTATCCCATTAAGCCCCTGTGATCTTGCACATCATCATGTTCTCATGCCAGGCTTTGTCCTAAGTGAAGAGCTTTGATAGAAGGGGCCTATTTATGGGATTGGTGAGGGACAACTGCATGTCAGCTTGCTAAGCTTCCTGAAGGATAGAGAAGCAAAAGAATGAAAGATACCTATTTGTTATTGTGAGTTCCATGCAGAGAATATTCTTGCATTGTTTTGTTTATCTGTAGGAGAGTATGCCCATGTCAGAGGAAGAAATCAATACAGGGAAGAACAGTGAATGACTGCTGAGATGGAAAGTTTATTCTGGGAGATAGAATGCCTAAGGCATAGAACAGTGTCCATATTCTTAGGGACTGTGAGAATTTGTGAGCTCATTGTTTGAGATTGGTGGTTTATAAGCTGTGGGGGCTTTTTTTTTTTTTAAATATCAAGAATTTCAAAGATATTCAAAACTGTATAGAATAGTGTACTGCCCATTCATGTACCCATCACCTAGTTTCAGTAATTATAACTCATGGCCAGTCTAGTTTTACCTGTACCTTTACCCACTCCTGGATTATTTTGAAGCACATCCCAGGCATTATATCACATTTTCCATAAATATATCTTATGTTTGCTCAAACATAAGAAATCACTTTTTAAACATAGCATTATAACACCTTTTTTTTTTTGAGTTGGAGTCGCTCTGTCGCCCAGGCTGGAGTGCAGTGGCACGATCTTGGCTCACTGCAATCTCCACCTCCCAGGTTCATGCCATTCTCCTGCCTCAGCCTCCCGAGTAGCTGGGACCACAGGCGCCCGCCACCACGCCTGGCTAATTTTTTGTATTTTTAGTAGAGACGGGGTTTCACCGTGTTAGCCAGGATGGTCTCGATCTCCTGACCTCGTGATCCACCCACCTCGGCCTCCCAAAGTGCTGGGATTACAGGCGTGAGCCACCGTGCCCAGCCCAGCATTGTAACACTTAAAAATAATAATGATGATTCCTTAAAACTGATAGGTAACCAATGAGTGTTCACATATCCACTTATAAGTATCATAATATTTTCATGGTTTATGTGTTTGACTCAGCATCTAAATGAGGTCTATGCATTCTGATGAGTTGATAAGTCCTTTGCATTTCTTTTAATCTACTGTTTTTTCCTCTATTTTTTTTCCTTGCAATTTATTGCTAGAACTAGGTATTTTGTCCTGTAGATTTCCCACATTCTGAATTTTGCTGATTTTATTCCTATGGTATACTTTAACACGTTTCTGTGTCCTATATTTCTTGTAAATTGGTAGTTGGACCTAGAGGTTTTGTCAGACTTGTGCTGGCTTTCTTTTGATGACTACTGCATTGATTGTGTCAGGTGTGAGTTTTTTAGACCCACTTTTTGAAGCTGTGAACCAGAGAGAAGCCAAGCCACAGGATAAACTAAGCATATTTTCCAGTAGAGGCAGATTTGTGTTAATGGTTTGAACATGCCCATTGGTTTAACATTTGTAAGACTTAGTTGCGGCCGGGCACAGTGGCTCACGCCTGTAATCCCAGCACTTTGGGAGGCCGAGGTGGGTGGATCACGAGGTCAGGAGATCGAGACCATCCTGGCTAACATGGTGAAACCCCGTCTCTACTAAAAAAAATACAAAAAGTTAGCTGGGTGTGGTGGCAGGCGTCTGTAGTCCCAGCTACTCAGGAGGCTGAGGCAGGAGAATGGCGTGAACCCGGAAGGCGGAGCTTGCAGTGAGTTGAGATCGCACCACTGCACTCCAGCCTGGGTGACAGAGCGAGACTCCGTCTCAAAAAAAAAAAAAGACTTAGTTGTTCCAAGTTATTTCCTCCTCTCTTAAATCTTTCTTGTGGGCACAGAGGTAGCAAACGACCAAATAAAAGCAATACAAGATTCCAAGGGGCAACTGATTGAAAATATGTATCCATATCACTACACTGGTGATACTTGAATATGCATAAGGATTCTCATATGCTATCATGTGAAAACAAATTTTTGTTAGCTCTCCATGCATTTGACCTAGGTTTTTTTTTTCTAAGCATATCTTCAAACTTAATTTACCTGCTTAATTCATCTCTGGCTTCTAGCAATTTAGTTGCTTATATCCTTTAGAATCTGACTTTTGCTGTCATCAAATCATGCTCATGTATTTGCATACTATGGGCATGAAGCAGGGCAAGTTACATAAAAGAGCCCAGCTCTCCTGGTTTTCCCAGTGATTAGTATTAAGGAACTATGAAGTGTAATCTCTGGATGGAGCCAAGTTTCGTGAAGATGGGTTGGGGATAGGAATGAGAATCAAAGTTGAAATGCCCTTTAAATGATCCACAATTAAGGAAAGCTTGGAACTGGGTCTTAAAGCCATATAAAATCAGACCTCTTGTGGGCAAAGTCTGGAGTATCCAGGATAATACCAGATGTACTGAAAATCAGACTTTATTTGATATGTGTTGCTAAATAAATAAAAGGAAAACTCTGTCTTCAATTTATGAGAGTGAAAGTATATGGCTACCTGACATTTTTATATAATCTTTAAAACTTTTGCCTTTAAAAAGTTACCTAGAAACATGTCATTAGTCCTTCTGGGTCACTGGGGAAGATTAGGAGTGGGATTGAGATTGGTCATTGCTCAGGAGACATTGTAAATTTGGATGCTCCCAGCTTCTCTGCATTTATCTTTTTTTTTTTTTTTTGAGACAGTCTTGCTCTGTCGTCCAGGCTGGAGTGCAGTGGCGTGATCTCGGCTCACTGCAACCTCCTGGGTTCAAGTGATTCTAATGCCTTAGCCTCTCAGTAGCTGGGACTACAGGCACATGCCACCATGCCGGACTAATTTTTGTATTTTTAGTAGAGACAGGGTTTTGCCATGTTGGTCAGTCTGGTCTCGAACTCCTGGCCTCAAGTGATCTGCCCGCCTTAGCCTCCCAAAGTGCTGCAATTATAGGTGTGAGTCACTGCACCTGGCCCTTCTCTGCATTTATCTACTGGGAGGTTCCTACACTGAAATCAGATAGCCTATGCCCTACAGCTTCTGTTCCATGGGTACTCTAAATTTGTGGCACTCCCAAAGGGAGATTAGGTAGGTTCTCAGGAGGGTGGAGGTTAGTCTCAGATACCAGCTTACCCCAATTTCCTTGTTTTTTCAGGACACCTGACTGATAGTGAATGTAATCAGAAACACACATCCAAGAAAGGGTCACTGATAGAGCGCAAGAGGAGCTCTGGTCGGGTTAGGAGGAAAGGCGATGAGCCCCAGGCCTCGGGATACCACAGTGAAGGCAAGCCCTTCTGCACTGCTTCTCTTTCTCCTTCATTCACTCTATCAAACTTCTGTCATGCTCCAGACTGTTGGCTTCTCCTTTCTGTTCAGAGGGCTTTTCTTTGCTTTTTCGACATTGGGGTCTAGTATCCATGATCACTTTAAACATCTATATTTCTTTCATTCTTTGTGTTTTTAGGAGAAACACTGAAAGAGAAGCAGGCTCCTAGAAATGCCTCCAAACCATCCAGCAGCACCAACAGGCTGAGAGATTTTAAAGAGACAGTCAGCAATATGATCCATAACAGACCATCCCTGGCTTCTCAGACCAATGTAGGCTCTCACTGCAGGGGCAGAGGAGGAGACCAGCCTGACAAAAAACCTCCTAGGACCCTGCCTTTACACTCTCGTGACTGGGAAATAGAGAGTACCAGCAGTGAGTCAAAATCCAGTTCTTCCAGCAAGTATCGTCCCACATGGAGACCCAAACGAGAATCTCTGAATATTGACAGTATCTTTAGTAAGGACAAAAGGAAGCACTGTGGCTATACCCAGCTTAGCCCCTTTTCTGAGGATTCAGGTGAGGAGATAATTAGGGAAGAATTGGGCTTTTGAATAAAGTTGATTTATGTCTTTTTAAAACCTGGGTTTTTTGGTACATCTGGCAAGGGGCACTTTTACTCTGATGTCGGGTGTTTTAGGGATATGAGTTCAGTGAATAAGTAGCTAGAGGGAGGAGCTAGTTAGGTCTTGATTTTAGGCAAATGCTAAATCTACCTCATTTTCCATACCTGTCTTTTGATTGGGATAGCTAAAGAATTTATACCAGATGAACCAAGCAAGCCACCTTCTTACGACATTAAATTTGGTGGACCAAGCCCCCAGTACAAGCGCTGGGGCCCAGCACGGCCAGGCTCTCACCTTTTAGAGCAGCACCCCCGACTAATCCAGCGAATGGAATCTGGCTATGAAAGCAGTGAGAGGAACAGCAGCAGCCCTGTCAGCCTGGATGCAGCCCTGCCTGAGAGCTCAAATGTCTACAGGTATTGTTTGGCCTTTGAACAGCAACATTGTCTCTTGCAGCAATGTGAGCCACCTACTTGGGGCTTTCAGGCATGGCTGAGACAAGTGGAGGGATGGCCTTTGCTATTATCTCTATGTGCTCTTTCAACTTCCTATAACAACAGCACCCTCTGCTGGAAGAACAGAGGCACTTGAGAAAGGAGAGAGAACTTTCTATTTGAAATACAGTTATCATGTATAAAATAATTTTAAAAAATTAGGTTCAGGGGGCATATGTGCAGGTTTGTTAGGATAAACTTGTGTCATAGGAGTTCATTGTACAGATTATTTTGTTACCCACATATTAAGCTAGTACTCACTAATTATTTTTCCTGATCCTTTCTTTCCTCCCACCCTCCACCCTCCGATAGGCCTGTGTCTGTTGTTCCCCTCTGTGTGTTCATGTGTCCTCACCATGTAGCTCCCACTTATAAGTGACAATATGCTGTATTTGGTTTTCTGTTCCTGTCTTAGTTTGCTAAGGATAATGAAATAATTGTTTAGTGCTTGCTTTGGTAGCACATATACTAAAATTGGAACAATACAGAGAAGATTAGCATGGCTCCTGCTCAAAGGTGGCACAAAAATTTGTGAAGATTTCTGTATTTTTCAGATATGTAGGATAAACAAGTCTAGGGATCTAATGTAAAACATGACTACAATTAATAAAATTGTACTGCATATGAGATTCATGGTAAATGAGTAGATTTTAACTCCTCTTGCCACAAAAACAAAAAAAATGGGTAACTATATGAGATGATGGGTATATTAATTTCCTTCAATTATAGTAACCATTTTACTGTCTCTATGTATCTCATAACATCATGTTGTATACCTTAAATATACACAGTAAAAAAATGTATTAAAGAACAGATTAGGTCAGGCATGTTGGCTCACGCCTGTAATCCCAGGCTAGCACAAAAATTAGTGAGGCATGGTGGTGGGCGTCTGTAATCCCAATTACTTGGGAGGCTAAGGCAGGAGAATCGCTGGAATCCAGGAGGTGGAGGTGGTAATGAGCCGAGCTCGTGCCATGGCAACTCCAGCCTAGGCGACAGAGCAAGGCTCCATCTCAAAAAAAAAAAAAAGAAACAAAAACGGACTAGGCCTGCCGCAGTAGCTCACGCTTGTAATCCCAGCACTTTGGGAGGCCGAGGCGGGTGGATCACGACGTCAGAAGTTCGTGACCAGCCTGGCCAACATGGTGAAACCCCGTCTCTACTAAAGATACAAAAACAAAAATTAGCCGGGCGTGGTGGTGGGAGCCTGTAATCCCAGCTACTTGGGAGGCTGAGGCAGGAGAATTACTTGAACCCAGGAGGTGGACGTTGCAGTGAGCCAAGATCGTGCCATTGCACTCCAGTCTGGGCAACAGAGTGAAACTCCATCTCAAAAAAACAAACAAACAAAAAAAGAATGTATTAGTGGGCCAGGCGCGGTGGCTCATGCCTGTAATCCTAGCACTTTGGGAGGCCGAGCTGGGTGGATCACAAGGTCAGGAGATCGAGAACATCTTGGCCAACATGGTGAAACCCCGTCTCTACTAAAAACACAAAAATTAGCTGGGCATGGTGGCGCGCACCTCTAGTCCCAGCTACTCTGGAGGCTGAGGCAGGAGAATCACTTGAACCCGGGAGGCGGAGTTTGCAGTGAGCCAAGATCACGTCACTGCACTCCAGCCTGGGTGACAAGAGCGAAACTCCATCTCAAAAAGAATGGATTAGTGAATTAAAACTTATGTAATACTAAAATCAGAGAAGAAGCCCAAATGTTATTTTGGGACAGTGTTTTGTTGTCGTTGCTTTTTTTTTTTTTTTTTTTTTGGTATCGATGGGGTTTCATCATTTTGCCCAGGCTTGTCTTGAACTCCTGGGCTCAAGTGATTTACCCACCTCAGCCTCCCAGAGTACTGAGATTATAGGTGTGAGTCACCACACCCAGTATGGTGGGATAGTTTTTATTTTGATTTGTTTTAGGGTCACTGGGACTTTGTGTTTTATAATGCTAATAATATTCATAATAATGATGACAGTTTATTAGCACTCATTGTACCCTGCCCATAGGGCTCAGTTTGCTTTATAACTTTCAAATCTCCATACATTATTTTTACTGAGTTGCCACAGAGGCAATTTTTCTGTTTTCTTTTTTTTTTTTTTTTTTTTGAGATGGAGTGTCTCGCTCTGTCACCAGGCTGGAGTGCAATGGCACGATCTCGGCTCACTGCAACCTCTGCCTCCTGGGTTCAAGCGATTCTCCTGCCTCAGCCTCCCTAGTAGCTGGCACTACAGGCGCCCACCACCACACCCAGCTAATTTTTGTAATTTTAGTAGAGATGGGGTTTCACCATGTTGGCCAGGATGGTCTTGATCTCTTGATCTCATGATCCGCCTGCCTCAGCCTCCCAAAGTGCTGGGATTACAGGCATGAGCCACTGTACCTGGCCAAGGCAATTTTTCTAATAGTAGAGCTGCTTTGAAAAGCATGATTATATCTTCTACAAAGGTGATAACCACATGTTCATACTCTGTCAATGTTCTTCCCTGTCCACAGGATCCTGTTGAGTTTTACTTATGAGAAGATGCTACAAAGGTTTAGTAAGAAAGAAGGAAATAAATATGAAACCAATATGTTCATTAGTACATTCAACAGATTTTGAATATGTATTATGTACCAGATACTGTGCTAGATGCACAAGTTGTGAATGAGGTGAGATGAGGTTAGATAGGAGAATGAGTGGATATTTCAATTCTTCAGAAGTAGTTTAGCAGAAGCTCTAATTGTGTAGTTTGATTTTTTTTTTTTGAGAGAGAGATTTAGTCCTAGGAATGTTGCTATAACCTGCTTTCATGCTTTCACTAGACTCTGAGTTCTCTTTTGAAGGGATCCAAGTGCTAAGAGATCAGCTGGGTTGGTTCCTTCCTGGCGTCATATCCCAAAGTCGCACAGCAGTAGCATCCTGGAGGTAGACTCCACAGCATCCATGGGTGGCTGGACAAAGAGTCAGCCTTTCTCTGGTAAGCAGAATGACACTGAATTTGAGGACTGGATTTGACCGGCAGTTTTGTCTGGGGACCAGACTTACCTGAGCACATTTGAAATTAGAGGACAGTTACAGGCCGGGCGCGGTGGCTCACACCTGTAATCCCAGCACTTTGGGAGGCCGAGGCAGGCAGATTGCCTGAGCTCAGGAGTTCGTGACCAGCCTGGGCAACATGGTGAAACCCCGTCTCTACTAAAATACAAAAAATTAACCAGCGTAGCGGCGTGCACCTGTAGTCCCAGCTGCTCGGGAGGCTGAGGCAGGAGAATTGCTTGAACCTGGGAGGCGGAGGTTGCAGTGAGCCAAGATCGTGCCACTGCACTCCAGCCTGGGCGACAGAGTGAGACTCCATTTCAAAAAAAAAGAGGACAGTTACAGTTTGAGTATTCCATCAGAATGTAAATGTAGAGTCATTTCAGTTGCTCCATCTTTGGATTTATCTATTTTTTGTTCTCCATCACAGCCTGCATGAATATTTCTTTCTACCTGGAGGGAGCCCTTGTGGGAGCAAGAAGGGACAGAAATATGGTGAACAGTGTTACTAACATCCCCATTCTTCAGAAGAATAAATCCTAGGGCTTTCCTTGGATTAGGGACAGCCTCTTGGGAAATGGATTTCTTATTGTTTAGTATTATGAATTGACATACCAAAGGGGTACATGTGGCTATTTGCAAAACTTGGAAATAAGCAATTCAAATTTATCCTTACCCCTGGCTAAATATCTTAGTCTTACTACCAATTCTCTTGATAGTTACTGACAATTCTTAGAGGTAGCAGGAAGAAAGGCCTGCAGCAGCAGTAGTAAAAAGGCATGAACCCTTTTAGGTATGTATACTAAAGGTTGTGGACATCTGGCAGAGCAGAACAATGCCTATAGAGGCAGATATCTCTGGAATCCTGGGCTCTAGTAAGTTATAGTTAGAGACACGTGGAAGACATTTGGGCTTCCCATTGTAATTATACATTTGATTTATTCCCCACATTTTAATTTATTTCATGTTGAATAACATTGTTTCAAGAAACTTGTGAATCGTGCATGAGACTATTCTCCCTTCTCTTCAGATAGCCAGCATTTTTTTAATTACACTAATGACTGAGTCTCATGATCTCCTGAATAGTCCTCAATTCTGGACCAGTTGGATAGAATTCACCAACAGCGTTCTTCAACTGGTAAAAGATAATTAGCAAGGAGTTATGACAAGATTCTTCACACACCATATCACCCCACCATCCTGTTTGTATAATAAGCCCTATTTATGCGCCACAATTTGATCTAACCATTTTATTAAGACACAGAACAAACATTCTTATATGGTAACTTTGCATACTCCTTTAAAAAACTACAGGGGTAAATCAAGTCCAGTAATTCAATAATCTGCCCTTTGCCTCCTGAAATTGAAGGAGCCAGTGTTACCATTGCGGTATATATCTTTCTGTCTTTTTCTATGCTTACACAAGTACATAGATAAGTTTATGTACATATATATATAGGTAAGCACCATTTTTAAAAAGATGAAGTCATACTATGCATGTTATTCTCTCAATTTTTCACTTAATTTATTATGGACATCCTTCTGGATCTATTTAGATCCATCTAGAAAGGTTTATAAAATTGGACTTATACTGCTGTGGACATTTTACAAATTCAAAGAGGTGGTGGAAATTAAGGGTGAGAAAATGACATTCTTGAAGCTCCCCAGTCAGTCAGTGACAGCACCTGGTAGAAAGTGTTCTCTAATGATTAGAGCATGATTATGAATTTAACCTACTTGACTTTAATTTAGCTCCATTATTTCCCATTTGGTTTACCTTGGGCAAATTATTTATCCTCCTGTGACTCAGTTTCCTCATTCCTAAAATGGGGGTAATAGTATCTACCTCATAAGTTGTTGTTATGATTAAATGAAATAATACATGTAAACATGCTTAAAACTGTTTCTGGCACATAGTAAGTGCTGAACAAATGTTCAGCGTAATACTATTGTTGTGAAGCACTCCATAAATGTTGTTGTTGTTGTTGTTATTATTATTATTATTTTGAGACGAAGTCTTGCTCTTGTCTCCCAGGCTGGAGTGCAATGGCGCGATCTTGGCTCACTGCAACCTCCACCTCCCGGGTTAAAGTGATTCTCCTGCCTCAGCCTCCCGAGTAGCTGGGATAACAGGCGCCTGCCACCAAACCTGGCTAATTTTTGTATTTTTAGTAGAGACGGGGTTTCACCATGTTGGCCAGGCTGGTCTCAAACTCCTGACCTCAGGTGATCCTCCCGCCTTGGCCTCCCAGAGTGCTGGGATTACAGGCGTGAGTCACCATGCCCGGCCTGTTGTTATTATTATTATTATTCCTGGCCCAAGTGCCATCCGGAATCTAATTATGGAAAGCATTATCCAAAATATAAGCTCCAAATTGGGCCAGGCGCAGTGGCTCACACCTGTATGTAATCCCAGCACTTTGGGAGGCCAAGGTGGGTGGATCACGAGGTCAGGAGTTCGAGACCAGCCTGACCAACATGGTGAAACCCCGTCTCTACTAAAAACACAAAAATTAGCTGGGCTTGGTGGCATGTGCCTGTAGTCCCAGCTACTCAGGAAGCTGAGGCAGAAGAATCGCTTGAACCCGGGAGGCGGAGGTTGCAGTGAGCCAAGATTGCGCCATTGCACTCCAGCCTGGGAACACAGTGAGACTCCGTCTCAAAATAATAATAATAATAATAATAATAATAATAATAATAATAATAAATAATAAATAAATAAACTCCAAATTGAAAGCAAGAATTCCAAAAGGAAAGTATTGCAGTGGTCATAAATTCATCAAGTACTTAGTCTTGGTAATGGAAATGTGGTGACTTCTCCCTTGCTTATATTACAGGTGAGGAGATATCTTCTAAAAGTGAACTGGATGAATTGCAGGAAGAGGTGGCCAGGAGGGCGCAGGAACAGGAACTTCGAAGAAAACGGGAGAAGGAGTTAGAGGCAGCGAAAGGGTTTAACCCTCATCCTAGCCGCTTCATGGACTTGGATGAACTGCAGAATCAGGGTAATTGTTGTGAGCATTAGGTTGTGGGTGATGGGGACAGACAGAAAGGGTAGAAAAAAACATCTAAGCTTGTAAGTTCCCTGTCTTCTCTTTAGCAAAATAATTTTTTAAGTCTTAATTCACCCATTCCAGTGAGAACAAGTTAGAGTAGGATGTGACAAGACTATTGACTGGAGATAGGCACTGATTTGGGGCACATCTATTAAAAGCCTATAGATTAGAGATAGTATATCGTTCATGAATAATGTTTCCCATGAACATCTGTTGAAGGTGTAAATAAAACTAGCCTTGAGTCAGAAATAGCTGAAAATGGCAGTGAGCCACACTGACAGTGAGGGGAATTCTACTTGCTGGGAAGAAACATACCCATGAAATATTCCACCTGGAGCATCAGGGAAGTGGATCTGCCAAACAGGAGCAAGAACAAAGCCAGTTTACTTTTGATACCATGACAATTGATTCTGTAACCTCAAACAATTTGCATGGACTTTACTTCCACAACTGCCCCATGTTAGACTTTTTTTCTTCCTAGAATTTTTTTAGGATGTCACTTTGTACCAAAAGAGACTAGCCTTCAAAATAGTTCAGCCAAGCTGAAGTATCTACCTTAAATAGGCCATATATCTTAGTTTTTTTCCTATAAAATGACTTTATTGTTTTTATAATTCGGAAACCCCACTTACAACAAATTGTGCTAAAGCAGTATGAAGGTCCCAGTTTGTAAGTGCAAGCTTTTAACTTTGCTGGCTGTTTTCTGTTGACCACTTTTCTCTTTTTATATACACTTAGAGAATCTTCTTGGGCCAAGTAATCCTGTTTGGGGGCAGCTTTTTTCCTTTAATACTACTCTCTTTTGATTCAAGGTAATTGTTGCCTTATATTTCCCAAGACATTGTATTAGTTTCCAAATTAGTTTTAAATTCCTAATACTTAGCTGTCTCTATATTTGGATAGTCTTTTTTCCCTTTTTGACCTCAAGCTGTATCACATTGGTGTCCCAGGTTTATTTTGCTTCTGAAAAAAGGGGTCTTGTCATTTCTCTCCTTTTTTTCTCTCTCTGCCAGTTGGGCAATAGATTAAAGTTAGGAGGAGATCCCACTGGCAATATTTCATTGTCAGTTCTCTATACACTGTGGTTCAGCATTTCCTGCATGAGCAAGGAATGGAATGCTAAGATTCTGAAGGATAAGAATTAAAATTTAGTACAGTGATTGATCAACTATAGCTTGTCTAGATCTCCATAGAGTAGAGAACTTAAAAAAAATGGCTCTACGCCCTACCTCTGATTATAAAGGTTGTATACATTTAGTTGATTACAAATATTATGAGAGAACTTCAGGTCTGGGGAGTAAGGGAAACCACACCTCTAGAGATAGAGTGGATCCTGAGTGCCAAGTTCTTCAGAACCAACCTGCTGTTTCCATTGTCTTCCCATTGCTCTCAAAAAGTCATGATGAATTAGGAAGTGAATGTTAGGGATGTGGAAGAGCCTTTCTTACCATGTCCTGCTGGAGGTAAGTGGAGGATGAGGGACATTATGGGAGAAGTGACTCAGACATTTTTTTTTCCCTGCAACCTTGTGAAGGCTCACTGGCAATCCCATTTGTAGGTGAAATTACATTACAGCTTGCTGCCAATGTATGATTATGAGTAAGTAGAGGGCAAGGGATACATAAACATGAGAGTTCTTTTACAAAAATTTTTCTGCCTGTACTTCCTAGCCTTTTCATCCGGTATTGTTTTTAGACTCTTCTGCACCTGCTTTGGCACACATTCACTTTGAGAGGAGGATGGAATATTCCCTGCTTGCTGTATGGGAAGGTGACTTCTTTGGGGGTAGTTTTGGTGAGGAATAGCATGATGAAAGTAAATACTTAGCAACGCTTATGACAAGTATGTATATGCAAACCAGGAATGAAGGCAGTTCAACTGCCCTGGCAGATACATTGGATTAGGAAGTGTAGACCATCTGTGACCAAGAAGTGCACTGATTTTCCAGTTTAGGGTGGTGCATAGAGGACTGTGAATTGGTGAAGTAAATAAGTGGTATGAATGGCTGTCCACAGAATAATGAAGCTACCTTTGCCATAACATAGCAGTGAACGTCTTAGTTGACATCTAGGGTGTTCTGACACTAGTTGGCAAGAATTGCACTGGGAAAGAGCAGTTCAATTCCGGGCATAAGAACCTAACCTTCTGCTATTACTTTGTTCTTTCCTTGAGGGACTTCCTCCGCTCGCACTGTCATATAAGTACCGCGCGCTAACCGATTGCACCACTGGAGCTCCTTCCTTGAGGGACTTCCTAAGGGTCTTGGTGTTAGAATATGTGGCCATTAATGGCATGCCTCTCTTTCATGGCCTTGGTAACATCTTGGTTAAGGCAAAATGGATGTCCTGCTTGTTTTCAGATAATTCTTAATAGGAATAGACAGTTGGAATAAGGGTAGACCAGTGGCTCAGCAGCAAGGATCTCTGTGTACTGAAGGGAAACAACAGTACACAGGAAAATTTGGAATGAATTGTAATGAAAATGAAAAGTGCTGGCCCTTTCAGGGAGGAGTGACGGCTTTGAGAGGTCCCTGCAAGAGGCAGAGTCAGTGTTTGAAGAGTCACTACATCTGGAACAGAAAGGAGACTGTGCTGCAGCTTTGGCTCTCTGTAATGAAGCTATCTGTAAGTAACTCTAACTGCTATGGCTGTGGCACTTTTGACTAACTTCACAATAGGTATTATTAGTGTTGTCACTCAGACAGGATAAAAACAGTTTTTGTGTCTCCTCACTCTTGCTCTCCCAAACTGAGTCGCGTTAGCTGTTTTTGCCCTTTGATTTCTAAGTGTACCTGGCACTGGCACTGTGGCCTATGGATATTTACCAGAATAACCTCAGCAAGGAATCCATAGATGATTTCTCCAGTCATGCCTACCTTCTTATTTCAGGATAAAGTTAGACCTCAGATGTGAAATTAGTCTGCTCTTTTGCTAGTCACTGGCTAGTGGGTTGGAGCTTATAGAAGGAAAACTGAATAAATTGGCTATGACTTCCCAGGCCTGTGACTTTTTAATTCAGTATTTGATTCTTTCTGATTCTCCCCTACCTTCATAGTATGCAGCACCATAAACTTACAGCAAGAGACTAAGGCTTAGAATTGGTATCAGCTTCTTGTATGTGACCCACAAGAAGCTGTGGTCTATAAAGACAGATGCAGGTTTGGATCTTATTTCTGCTGTTGGCCATTGGGAAGAGAGGGGTGAGAGTAGAGTGTGGAGACCAGAGTCAGACAGGTCAGATGCAAAGGACAAGAGTGGCAATCTCTAAGATGGAGGCACTGGTTTATCTTCTTGATTTATTTTAGTTTTGTTTTTTTAATTTGGATTAACCTGTTTGGCCTCCATGGCTTCCATCAATGTTCCTTATAGCCAGAGGCAGCTGTGTGCCCTGGACAGCATATGCATGGTCCATGCCTTGCGTTCCTGCTACATATTTTGAGTTTTACTGCATATCTTTGCTCATTTTTTTTCAATTTTATTCTTTTTATTTTTATTTGTGTTTTGTGTTCTGTTTCTGCTATATTTTCTTTTGCATTTTAGCTAAACTAAGACTTGCCCTGCATGGTGCCAGCTGTAGCACGCACAGCAGAGCCCTAGTCGATAAGAAGTTGCAAATCAGTATTCGAAAAGCACGGAGCCTGCAGGATCGCATGCAGCAGCAGCAATCACCACAGCAGCCGTCGCAGCCCTCAGCCTGCCTCCCAACACAGGCGGGGACTCTCTCTCAGCCAACAAGGTAGTGCTTGGGAACCATGTTAGTTTATGAATGCCAGGGGAAGAAATGACCATGAGTATTCTGTAGCAAGAGCTCTCATTGTCTTGGCGACTGAAGGGGAGAGAGGAGTCCTCTGAAAAGATTTTCTTCTTTCAGGTCAGACATACAGTGAAAAGCTCATTGTACTGCTGGTCCTTATCTTAATAATTCCTAGGATGCAAAAAGTACAGCATAATAAGACCATTTGTCCACATTTCCCATGGGTAACTTTAGCCCTGGACTTGTGTAATAACGCGATTATTATATTTGTATATATTATGTTCTTAGACATGGCAATCCAGGCTACATTTCATGTTGTAGTAGCTACCATGTGATTTATTTTGGGATTTCAGTGCTTCCTATCCTTATGGAAGCAGAGAAAGCAGTCTTTCTTGCTCTGATTGCACCATAGAGAAGAGACACAAAGATTCCCTTTGCTTTGCTTCTTTATGGTCAGGACTAGGAAAGAAGTTCCAGTAGTCATTGTTGTAGTTCTCACATCTTAGCCCTGGAATTTGGCTTTTACTTAGAATAGATGAATTTAAATAAACATTAATTTGGACCGTTAATAATTCTGAGTAGTTTTCAAAATATAAATTAGTAAAAGCAGTTAACATTTTTTTTTTTTTTTTTTTTTTGGAGACAGGATCTTGCTTTTTCACCCAGGCTGGAGTGCAGTGGCACGATCACAGCTTACTGCAGCCTCAACCTCCTGGGTTCAATGTTCAAAAGGCAAATGTTCAAAAATAGTTAACTGCTAGGCATGGTAGCTCACGCCTGTAATCCCAGAATTTTGGGAGGCCGAGGAGGGCAGATTATTTGAGTCAAGGAGTTTGAGACCAGCCTGGGCAACACGGTAAAACCCTGTCTCTACAAAAAACACAAAAAATTTAGCTGGGCATGGTGGTGCATACCTGTGGTCCCAGCTACTTAGGAGGCTTGGGTGGAAGAATCGGTTAGCCCGGCAGGTCAAGGCTGCAGTGAGCCGTGATGGCACTGCCACACTCCAGCCTGGGTGACAGAGCAAGACCTTGTCTCAAAAAAAAAAAAAAAAAAAAAATTGCAGGTCTATTTGATGCTAAAGCACATGTCCTTAACCATTATGTAATATTGCCTTGTATGATTGGGCTTCCCATATTAGTAAATCATATTCTCCATAATGTTATAAGGGTGACTGGGTGACTATATCCTCAAAAGTTGATAGTATATTTTCATTCAAATTTAGGGGCTTGTTTTGAATATAAGCAATTTAGATAGGTAAACCGTTTCCAGAAAACGTATACATCCTGATGTATGTGAGTGATCGAGGCTTTATTTAAGTCCTTGTAACATTAAGTTTTTAAAGTCAGAAATACAAAACAATTAGTGAGAAACCAACTAAATACAGTTAATCCCTACTCCTACTCCTAAATCTCAAGAGAGTCATATTGCTTTGGGGAAACATCTCAGTGACTAATAGAACAAAATCCAGATTATAAAAACATATTTGAAATGGTTAATTTCTGTGTATTCCCATGAGCCCAAATCACCCTGTATTTTGTAAATGTGGCCTCATAGTTCCTTTGGCCGGGCTGCCTCTCAGGACCCCAGGTAGGACTTGCCTCCCTGTATAGCATCCTGGATTTTTGCTGTTTGGTATGAGTGATTTTCAGGCTTTGCTTACCTTCCATGTCATCTGCATGTGAGACTAGCTGATTTTGTTTCCTAATTTGCAAGTAGAATGTGATTGGAATGCGACTTCACAGGTAGTGAAGAATATTGGCAAGGGCTCCACTTAATGTTACTGTGCAACTTTGGTGAGGGTGTTTAATAAAGAGGATTAACGTTACCTATTTACCTGAGTGTGAGCTGACCATGTGCCTTTTCTTTTGTGATCCTCTGAACTACTGACTCTACTTGTGCTTGTCTTTCTGTTTATTTTTACCATTCCCTGTGTGAATAGCTAGAAATGGGAATGGAATGTTGAGTTCTTTCTGTAAGTGTTCCTGTCAGTCAAGGCAGCTTATGACTAGCTCTCTCCATTTGTTTCAGTGAACAGCCTATCCCGCTCCAAGTATTGTTAAGCCAAGAGGCCCAACTGGAATCCGGCATGGATACAGAGTTTGGGGCCAGTTCTTTCTTCCATTCACCTGCTTCCTGCCATGAGTCACACTCATCACTATCTCCAGAGTCATCTGCCCCACAGCACAGCTCCCCCAGTAGATCTGCCTTGAAGCTTCTGACTTCGGTTGAAGTAGACAACATTGAACCCTCTGCATTCCACAGGCAAGGTTTACCTAAAGCACCAGGGTGGACTGAGAAGAATTCTCATCATAGTTGGGAGCCATTGGATGCCCCAGAGGGTAAGCTGCAAGGCTCTAGGTGTGACAACAGCAGTTGCAGCAAGCTCCCTCCACAAGAAGGAAGAGGCATTGCTCAAGAACAGCTGTTCCAAGAAAAGAAGGATCCTGCTAACCCCTCCCCGGTGATGCCTGGAATAGCCACCTCTGAGAGGGGTGATGAACACAGCCTAGGCTGTAGTCCTTCAAATTCATCAGCTCAGCCCAGCCTTCCCCTGTATAGAACCTGCCACCCCATAATGCCTGTTGCTTCTTCATTTGTGCTTCACTGTCCTGATCCTGTGCAGAAAACTAACCAATGCCTCCAAGGCCAAAGCCTCAAAACTTCATTGACTTTAAAAGTGGACAGAGGCAGTGAGGAGACCTATAGGCCAGAGTTTCCCAGCACAAAGGGGCTTGTCCGTTCTCTGGCTGAGCAGTTCCAGAGGATGCAGGGTGTCTCCATGAGGGATAGTACAGGTTTCAAGGATAGAAGTTTGTCAGGTAGTCTAAGGAAGAACTCTTCCCCTTCTGATTCTAAGCCTCCTTTCTCACAGGGTCAAGAGAAAGGCCACTGGCCATGGGCAAAGCAACAATCCTCTCTGGAGGGTGGGGATAGACCACTTTCCTGGGAAGAGTCCACTGAACATTCTTCTCTTGCCTTAAACTCTGGGCTGCCTAATGGTGAAACTTCTAGCGGAGGACAGCCCAGGTTGGCAGAGCCAGACATATACCAAGAGAAGCTGTCCCAAGTGAGAGATGTTAGGTCTAAGGATCTGGGCAGCAGTACTGACTTGGGGACTTCCTTGCCTTTGGATTCCTGGGTGAATATCACAAGGTTCTGTGATTCTCAGCTTAAGCATGGGGCACCTAGGCCAGGAATGAAGTCCTCCCCTCATGATTCCCATACGTGTGTAACCTATCCAGAGAGAAATCACATCCTTTTGCATCCACATTGGAACCAAGACACAGAGCAGGAGACCTCAGAATTGGAGTCTCTGTATCAGGCCAGTCTTCAGGCTTCTCAAGCTGGCTGTTCTGGATGGGGGCAGCAGGATACCGCCTGGCACCCACTTAGCCAAACAGGTAAGAATGCAACCAGGGGTTGGGGGGAGGGGGGAGGATCATATAAAAGCTGAAAGCAGGGAAAGATCAGAAGGGAGTGTTCTATACAGATACTATCCCCAGCTTAGTAGGAGGTAATAGAACTTTTGACTTTACTCAGAAAGCCTTCAGGACAAGACCTAGACATTTTTCTGGCTAGAGTGGAGGAAGGGGCAGAATTACCACTCATAGGCAACTTCCCTCCTTCTAAAGTAAGAGATTACTAAGTATTTGCCCATGGCTTCTCCAGTATGCTGTGCTAAAGAATGGTTCAGGGCCGGGCACGGTGGCTCACTCCTGTAATCCCAGCACTTTGGGAGGTCGAGGCGGGCAGATCACAAGGTCAGGAGATCGAGACCATCCTGGCCAACATAGTGAAACCCCTTCTCTACTAAAAATACAGAAAATTAGCCGGGCGTGGTGGTACTTGCCTGTAGTCCCAGCTACTCGGGAGGCTGAGGCAGGGAAATCACTTGAATTCGGGAGGCAGAGGTTACAGTGAGCTGAGATCGCACCACTGCACTCCAACCTGGGTAACAGAATGAGACTCCGTTTCAAAAAAAAAAAAAAAAAAAGAATGGTTCATAGGTGTTTGAGAGTGATTCAGCATGACAGCATGAAATGGAGGGAGGCTGAGAGGAAAATATATTCTTCTATGGCTTAGAATCCCAAGATTCAGCCTCCAGGTCTGCTTTGCAGTAGGATGTCCATATGCTCAGTGTGGACATTTCCAGATCATACTGAACCAGCAATATCAAGACCTTCCTGATCCCTTTAGGAAAAGTCAAGTTTGGTGTTCAAGGAATTTTTAATGTACTATATGCCTACAGGGTAGCCACTGACTGAGATAATACAGAGTGAAGAGTAGAGCCTGCACCTGAAGTGCACATCATAGTCAGTTCTGGAAATTGAAGACATGAAGAATGTTTGTAACTTACATTGATGCACTTAACTCCAAAGCCTGAACTATTTTCCTGATTCCAACATTAACTCTCAGTATAAATTTGGACAAGTCACTTAATATCCCAGGGCCAAGGTTTTACCTGTAAAATGAGAGAACTGGCTTTTTTTTTAAAAAAAGATATGTTCTAACTCTAAAATGGCATGTATGATTCTGTGAAATTGAACTTGGAGAACTTTTCCTTAGCTTGGCTGTGACAGTTTCTGTAATGGTGCAGGTTCCTTGCATGCTGACAACCAACATATAATTACAGTTGAGTAAGTGTTTATTGAGTACTTACTGTGTTCTCCAGAGCCTTTGAGGGGAATACCACATAAATATAAGATTTGATTTTTTATTCATTTTTTTTTTTTTCTGAGAAGAGTTGCACTCCTGTTGCCCAGGCTGGAGTGCAATGGCGTGATCTCAGCTCACTGCAACCTCCGCCTCCCGGGTTCAAGTGATTCTCCTGCCTCAGCCTCCCAAGTAGCTGAGATTACAGGCGTCCACCACCACACCTGGCTAACTCTTGTATTTTTAGTAGAGACAGGGTTTCACCACGTTGGCCAGGCTGGTCTTGAACTCCTGACCTCAGGTGATCCCCCCGCCTCAGCCTCCCAAAGTGCTGGGATTAAAGGTGTGAGCCACCGTGCCTGTCCTAAGACTTGATATTAAGATACATTTCTGAGGATCCGTATCCTAATGTAGATTTTACAATAACATTTACTAAGGTGGTCTTTGATAGGACTGGTTGATATGGGAAGAATCTAAAGAATAAGGGAAAGCTGGAGTCTGCCTCAGTGAGCTTTCTATCTAAGGAAGCAAGAATACACAAATAATTTTTTTTTTTTTTTGAGACAGAGTCTCGCTCTGTTGCCCAGGCTGGAGTGCAGTGACGTGATCTCAGCTCACTGCAACCTCTGCCTCCTGGGTTCAGGCCACTTCTCCTGCCTCAGCCTCCCGAGTAGCTGGGATTACAGGTGTGTGCCACCACGCCCAGCTAATTTTTATATTTTTAGTAGAGATGGGGTTCACCATGTTGGCCAGGCTCATCTCGAAGCCCTAACCTCAAGTGATCCACTCGCCTTGGCCTCCCAAAGTGCAGGGATTATACACGTGAGCCACCGTGCCAGGCCACAAGTAATTATTTTAAGAATAATAAGGCCAGGCATGGTGGCTCATGCCTGTAATCCCAGCACTTGGGAGGCGGAGGTGGGCGGATCATGAGGTCAGGAGATTGAGACCATCCTGGCTAACATGATGAAACCCCGTCTCTACTAAAAATACACACAAAAAAATTAGCTGGGCACGGTGGCCCACACCTGTGATCCCAGCATTTTGGGAGGCCGAGGCAGGTGGATCACCCAAGGTCAGGAGTTCAAGACCAGCCTGGCCAACATGGTGAGACCCTGTCTCTATTATAAATACAAAAAATTAGCTGGGCATGGTGGCGGGCACCTGTAATCCCAGCTATTTGGGGGGCTGATGGCAGGAGAATTGCTTGAACCCAGGAGGTGGAGGTTGCAGTGAACTGAGATTGTGCCACTGCATTCTAACCTGGGCGACAGACCAAGACTCTATCTCAAAACCAAAAACAAAAAAAAATTTGTATTACCCAAAATAGCAACATTTTTCATTGCAGGTAGTTTGAAAATACATAAAGTATCAAAAATCACTGATAATCTCACTCTTAATGTTTTCATAAGCTTACCTTTGGTTTTCATTTTTATACACATGTACTATATAGTTTTGTTTTTGCAAAAAGCAGTATCCTTTACACTATATGTATACAGTTTAGTATCATGACTTTCTCATGTTATATCTGTGAGCATTTGCTGTAAAAACTACCTTTAATGGTTATAAAGTGTTTCATATGAATGTACTGTAATTTATTTCTTCAACCATCCTACTATTGTTGAATATTTAGGTTACTTACAATTTTTTTTTTTTTTTTGAGGCAGTCTCGCTCTGTCATCCAGGCTGGAGTACAGTTGCACAACCTTGGCTCACTGCAACCTCCGCCTCCCGGGTTCAAGCAATTCTTCTGCCTCAGCCTCCCGAGTAGCTGGAACCATAGGCGTGTGCCACCAAGCCTGGCTAATTTTTTGTATTTTTAGTAGAGAAGGGGTTTCACCATGTTGGCCAGGCTGGTCTCGAACTCCTGGCCTCAAGTAATCCGCCTGCGTCAGCCTCCCAAAGTGCTGGGACTATAAAGTGAGAAGTGACTATAAGGTGAGCCACCGCTCCTGGCTTACTTGTAATTTTTAATAACATAGTACTGTGTTGAATATCTTTGCACTTAAGTGGTCACGTTTCTCATGAGCTCCTTAGAATAACCTTTTAGAAGACTAATAACTAGTTGAATGTTATAAACTTTTTTTTTTTCATTTTTGAGACAGGGTCTCATGTTGTTGTCTTGGCTGGAGTGCAGTGACATGATCACAGCTCACTGTAGCCTTGACCTTCTTGGCTCAAGAGATCCTCCCACCTCAGCCCCTTGAGTAGTTGGGACTACAGGCATGCACTACCATACCTGACTAATTTGAATGTTATAAACTTAAAAAAAATATTGATACATACTGGCCAGTTAGCTTTGAAGAAGACTATACTTCTGAAAACAGTATGAAAGAGTACTTACTGACCATTAATTTTTTTGTCTAGTAGTGTAAAGAAACAAATTTTTAAAAATCTATCTAGTAGTCAATCTATTCTCAATATATTTATCAAATCAAGCGGAGCATGATGACTCATGCCTGTAACCCCAGCTACTTGGGAGACTGAGGCAGGAAAATCACTTGAGGCCAGGAGCTTCAGGCTGTAGTGTGCTATGAGCACATGCCTGTGAACAGCCACTCTCCTCCAGCCTGGGCAACACAGTGAGACCCTATCTCTTAAAAAAAAAAAGTAAAATCAAACTAGTCTTTATTTTTGTTAGAGTCCTTGGTTTAAAAACTGAGTCCTTAAGAAGTGACATGACAGGCTGGGTGCAGTGGCTCACACCTGTAATACCAGCACTTTGAGAAGCCAAGGTGTGAGGATCACTTGAGCCCAGGAGTTCAAGACCAGCTGGGCAACACAGTAAGATCCCCATCTCTACAAAGACTGAGAAAATTAGCTGGGTGTGGTGGTGCGGGTCAGTAGTCCAGCTACTTGGGAGGCTGAAGCAGGAGGATCAACTGAGACTGGGAGGTTGAGGCTGCGGCGAGCTGTGGTCATGCTACTGCGCTCCAGCCTGAGCAACAGAACAAGACCCTGTCTCAAAAAAAAGAGGAGTGATATGACATAGAATAAAGAAGTGATCAGATAGAATTAATTGGGAAGTAGATGAAGGAAAATGCCAATTAGGATTCACATATGAAAAAATATAATTTGGCCAGGTGCGGTGGCTCACGCCTGTAATCCCAGCACTTTGGGAGGCTGAGTCGGGTGGATCACCTGAGGTCAGGAGTTCGAGACCAGCCTGACCAACGTGGTGAAACCCCATCTCTACTAAAAATACAAAAAAAATTAGCCGGGTATTGTGGCACGTGCCTGTAATCCCAGCTACTCGGGAGGCTGAGGCAGGAGAATTGCTTGAACCCAGGAGATGGAGGTTGCAGTGAGCCGAGATCACGCCACTGCACTCCAGCCTGGGTGACAAGAGTGAAACTGTCTCAAAAAAAAAAAAGAAAAAATATAATTTGAGAGTTCTTTATCTTATTGTAAAACATTTATTAAGCACCAAATTACATTACTTTTTAAAATTTATTTATTTTTTGAGACAGAGTCTCGCTCTGTTGCCCAGGCTGGAGTGCAGTGGCACAACCTCAGCTCACTGCAACCTCCGTCTCCCAGGTTCAAGCGATTCTCGTGCTTCAGCCTCCCAAGTAGCTGGGATTACAGGCATGTGCCACCACACCTGACTAATTTTTGTATATTTTGTAGAGACGGGGTTTCACCATGTTGCCCAGGCTGGTCTCAAACTCTGAGCTCAAGCAATCCACCTGCCTCAGCTTCCCAAAGTGCTGGGATTACAGGTGTGAGCCACCACGCCCGGCCACCAAATTAGTTTTTCAAAAAATGCTAAAAAAAAAAAAATGCTTTATTGATATGTAATTTACATGCCATACATTTCACCTATTTAAAGTGTACAATACAATGGGTTTTATTATATCAGAGTTCTCCATCCATCACCACAATCAGTTTTAAAGTGTTTTCATTTGAGGTGGGAGAATCGTTTGAACCCAGGAGGCAGAGGTTGCAGTGAGCTGAGATTGTGCCGCTGCACTTCAGCCTGGGCAACAGAGGGAGACCCTGTCTCAAAAAAAAAAAAAAAAAAAAGGTGTTTTCATCAGAAACTTTGTACCCGTTGGCAAATCACTCTTTATCTCCTCCTTTTCTTCCCCCAACCCCAGGCAACCACTAATCTATTTTCTTTCTCTAGAGATTTGCCTGTTCTGGACATTTCATATAAATGGAATCATGCAGTATGTGGTCTTTTGTAACCAGATTAATTTTGACATAATCGTAGTTCCTAAAGTGTTATATAAACACTGCTCTTGACCTATATTCTGAATTTCATTGTACTTTGAACTTGGGCAGACATCATCTTATAGATATCTAAAAAATAAAAAATTAACTTTTGTTATGGGAAATTTCAAATATATTCAAAAGTAAAGAATAAGAGTAGGCCGGGCACAGTGACTCACACCTGTAATCCCAGCACTTTGGGAGGCCAAAGTGGATGGATCACTTGAGGTCAGGAGTTTGAGACCAGCCTGGCCAACATGGTGAAACCCAGTCTCTACCGAAAATACAAAAAATTAGCTGGGCATGGTGGTGGTGGATGCCTGTAAACCTAGCTACTCAGGAGGCTGAGGCAGGAGAATCACCTGAACCCAGGAGATGGAGGTTGCAGTGAGCTGCCCATTGCACTACAGCCTGGGCAACAAGAGCAAAACTGCCATCTCAAAAAAAAAAAAAAAAGAATAAATGTTATAATAACCCTCCAGGTACTTATAACCAGCTTCCATAGTGATTATCTTGCACAGTTATCAACATATGGCCAGTTTTTGTTTTATTTTATTTTATTTATTTATTTTTTAGACGAGGTCTCGTTCTATCTCCCAGGCTGGAGTGCAGTGGTGCAGTCTCGGCTCACTGCAACCTCCGCCTCCCGGGTTCAAGTGATTCTCCTGCCTCAGCCTCCCAAGTAGCTGGGACTACAGGCACGTGCCACCATGCCAGGCTAATTTTTGTATTTTTAGTAGAGACGGGGTTTCACCATATTATCCAGGATGGTCTCCATCTCCTGACCACGTGATCCGCCCGCCTTGGCCTCCCAAAGTGCTGGGATTACAGGCGTGAGCCACCACACATATGGCCAGTTTTGATTTAGCTATACCTCCCCCACTTTCCTTTCCCCTCTACATTATTTTATTTTATTTTTTGAGACAAGGTCTTGCTTTGTTGCCCAGACTGGAATGCAGTGGTGTCATCAGGGCCACTGCTGAGGTCCTCCCACTGCAGCTTCCTGAGTAGCTGGGACCACAGGCACACACCACCACATCCGACCAATTTTTGTGTGTGGTTTGGAGCGACAGGGTTTTGCCATGTTGCCCAGGTTGGTCTCTACCTCCTGAGCTCAAGTAGTTTACCCGCCTCAACCACCCAAAGTGCTAGGATTACAGGCATGAGCTACGATGCCCAGCCTCCTCTAGATTATTTTAAAACAAATCTCTGAATCTCTGATATTATATTATTTCATTCATAAATAATTTGGCATGTATCTCTCAGAAATAAAGATTTTTTTTTTTTTTTAATGAGACGGAGTCTCGCTCTGTCACCCAGGCTGGAATACAATGGCGTGATCTCAACTCACTGCAGCCTCTGCCTCCCAGGTTAATGCGATTCTCCTGCCTCAGCCTCCTGAGTAGCTGGGATTACAGGCACGCGCCACCACGCCTGGCTAATTTTTGTTGTTTTTTTTTTTTTTTTTGGTAGAGACAGGGTTTCACTATGTTGGCCAGGCTGGTCTTGAACTCCTGACCTCAGGTGATCCACCTGCCTTGGCCTCCCAAAGTGCTGGGATTACAGGCATGAGCCACTGCACCTGGCCAGATTCTTTTTTAAAAGACAAACCAATAATATTATTATACCTAAAAAATTAACAATAATCTCTTAATATAATACCTAGCCAATATTCCAGTTTTCTCAGTGGTCCCATAAATGTCTTTATACAGTTGTTTTATTTCAAGTCAGGATTCAAACAAGACACACATATTGCATTTTGATGATAAGGCTCTTAAGTCTTTTTTTTTTTTTTTTTTTTTGCCAGTATGATACCCTATGTTTTTTCCCCCTCCATTTATTTGTTGAGGAAATTTGGTCATTGTCTTTTAACATTTCACACATTGTAGATTTTGCTGATTATAGTCTAAGTCCTTAAGAAAAAAAAAAAAAAAACATGTTCTGGCCGGGTGCACTGGCTCACACCTGTAATCCCACACTTTGGGAGGCCAAGGTGGGCAGATCACGAGGTCAGGAATTCAAGACCAGCCTGGCCAACATGGTGAAACCCCGTCTCCACTAAAAATATAAAAATTAGTCGGGCATGGTGGCATGCACCTGTAGTCCCAGCTACTCGGGAGGCTGAGGCAGGAGAATCCCTTGAACCTGGGAGGTGGAGGTTGTGGTGAGCTGAGATCACACCACTACACTCCAGCCTGGGCAACAGAGGGAGACTCTGTCTCAAAAAAAAAAAAAAACATGTTCTTCTAGCCCACATTTTTCCTGTAACTTAGTACTTAGAGCTAGAGGCTCAATTAAAATCAGATACAAATTTTAAAAATAGGAATATTTAATAGGAAGTTCTTTGTATTTCTTACATCATATCAGCGAATACATAATGTCTGGTAGTCTTTCTATTGATGAGAGGGTAGACATCATCTTAACCCTTTCTTCTATTGAATCTAGAAATTCCCTTACAAATGGCCACCTCTACCTCTGCTTAAATTCTTTTTTTTTTTTTTTTTCTGGATTCTCACTCTATCGCCCAGTCTGGAGTGCAGTGGTACAATATCAGCTCATTGCAACCTCTGCCTCCCATGTTTAAGTGATTCTCCTGCCTCAGCCTCCCGAGTAGCTGGGACTACAGGCGCACACCACCGCACCCAGCTGATTTCTGTATTTTTAATAGAGACAGGGTTTCGCCATGTTGGCCAGGGTGGTCTTGAACTCCTGACCTCAGGTTATCCACCCGCCTCGCCTCCCAAAGTGTTGGGATTACAGGCATGAGCCATCGCACCCTGCCTTCTTTTAAAGGAATCAGATTCTACTCCCTTCAGGAGGTTCCAGTGGCTACCTTCTTGTCCAGGAGTCACATTTGGCTTGATTAGAGGAACACCCAATTCTAAACATTACTCTGTAAATCTTTTTTCTTTTTTTTGAGACAAAGTCTTACTCTGTCACCCAGGCTGGAGTACGGTGGCACAATCACGGCTCACTGCAGCTTCCACCTTCCAGGTTCACGTGACCCTCCTGCCTCAGCCTTCCGAGTGCAGGTGTGCACCACCATACCTGGCTAATTTTTTTAATGCTTTTTTTCTCTTTTTTTAGAGATGGGGTCTCACTATGTTGCCTAGGCTGGTCTTGAATTCCTAGGCTCAAGTGATCCTACTGCCTCAGTCTCCCAAAGTGCTAGGATTACAGGCATGAGCTACCACGGCCAGCCATAGCTGTAATTTTTTTTTTTTTTTTTTTTTTTTTTGCGACGGAGTCTCTGTTGCCCAGGTTGGAGTTCAGTGGCGTGATGTTGACTCACTGCAGCCTCTGCCTCCCGGGTTCAAGCGATTCTCCTGCCTCAGCCTCCTGAGTAGCTGGGATTACAGGCGGCCGCCACCACGCCTGGCTAATTTTTGTATTTTTAGTAGAGATGGGGTTTTCACCATGTTGGACAGGCTGGTCTCGAACTCCTGACCTCGTGATCCACCGGCCTTGGCCTCCCAAAGTGCTGGGACTACAGGCGTAAGCCACCGCACCCAGCCTTAGCTGTAATCCTTAAACCTGGCTACCTATAGTCATCTGAGGAGTGGCTCAGAAAACCCCAAAAAACACATAAATACAGAAATAATTTTATAGAAATAAGAACATAACACACATGCTGTTTTTATTATAGACAATTTTCCTGTCTCTTCTCTCACAGCCAGTCCCTACTTCCCCAGGTAATTATCTAGTGTGCATACACTGTATTTTCTGTTTATACAATCCTATGTAGACCTACATATACATAAACAAATGCTTGTCTATCATTTTACAGATTTTTTTCCTTTTAATGCAACAATGTTTCATTAAAATTTCTTCAAATCATCTAGTTTAACTCAGTTCAATCTTTTTAAGTGGCTGGACAATATCTGGTATTAAACCATAATGTATTTATTCTTCTATAGGTGGGCATTACTTTATTTCTAGTTCTTGGCTACTATAAATTATGTCAGTAGAAAATATTCTCATATATATGTTGTTATGAACTGGTATTTTTTTCTTCTTCTTCTCAGGATTAGAATCGTTGGGCAACAGGATAAATATATTTTTTATTTTATTGGAGATTACCAGGTTGTTTTTTAGGAAGACTGTAACATTTCCCATTTCCCCCAATAATGTTCAAGGATATTTTCTTAGACTTTTTGGGAACCTTTCAAAAATGAAAATTCCCAGGCACCAACCACAAACCTTCTGATTCAGCTCTGTGGTAACATCCAGGAAGCTATATTTTTAAAAGTTCCCAGATGAATCTGAGGTGGTATTGAAAGCACTGCATTTAAGTACCCAGGAATACTGAAAATAACTGGTCTTACAATACTTACATGAATAATATCAGCTTCAGCCAGATATATATATATATATTAGAATCAAATCATCAAATCAAGACATGAATTGGCCATGGACATATGTATCAAATGTAGGTCAGGGGCATATACAGTTTTGGAATGGAAAACTTAATTAGTTGGATTGGGGATAGCCCCTTGGGAGTCACCAATCCAGTTTAGAGCAACTGAACAATCTAGAAAGATTTTGAAAAGAGGTAAGCATTTAGTGGTTGTTTAGAAATTTAAATGATTTGAGAGAAGCTAAGGGGAAAAGAGCATTACATATGTAAAACATTCCTGAGGAGCTCCTGCTCTCAGAGTAAAAGAGGTCACCAGGTGAGATGGTAAGAGTACTGTACTGAAAATCAAGAGGATTTAATTTTAATCCTGGTTAAACTACTAAACTCTCAGACCCTGGAACTCATTTTCCTGTTATATAAAATGAGGAGGTTTGATAGATGATTATTATGATCATTTCTATTCTGAACTAGACTGGAGATAATTTCCTTTGTCACCACAGATACTTTAGAAAATCACTGTGTTAGAAAACAAAACTCACTGTGTTAGATACTTTCCTCTGTCTATAAGTCTTGAGCCTAAGTCTGACAGAAGCTGATTATGTTTACAAAAATGAAATGAAGCAAGATGGGGACACTCAGTAAACTATCTATATTCTAAAATTCTTGTTTCTTTTTTTTTTTGAGACGGAGTCTCGCTCTGTCACCCGGGCTGGAGTGCAGTGGCGTGATCTCCGCTCACTGCAAGCTACGCCTCCCGGGTTCACGCCATTCTCCTGCCTCAGCCTCCCGAGTAGCTGGGATTACAGGTGCCTGCCACCACGCCCGGCTAATTTTTTGTATTTTTAGTAGAGACAGGGTTTTACCATGTTAGCCAGGGTGGTCTCGATCTCCTGACCTCGTGATCTGCCCGTGTTGGCCTCCCAAAGTGCTGGGATTACAGGTGTGAGCCACCGCGCCCAGCCCCTCTTGCTTCTAAATTCCAGGAGCATGTTCCTCCGTTGAATTCAAGGATGCATATTTATTATTAAATGAAACAACAGCTCCTGAGTTTGTGCTGCTAGGCTTAGAGGTTAGGCCCTAGGGGAAGAGATGGCCTCAACTTGTATTTGTGTTTTCCTCTTCAGGCTCTGCAGATGGCATGGGGAGGAGGTTGCACTCAGCCCATGATCCTGGTCTCTCAAAGACTTCAACAGCAGAAATGGAGCATGGTCTCCATGAAGCCAGAACAGTGCGTACTTCTCAGGTAGCAGCCTCAGGTGCTAAGGTGCTGGGCCTGGGGTGGTGTGTTGGGGAAGGAATTATGGAGAGATGTGACAGGGATGATGATAAGGCAGAGGCATGGTGATATGGGGCTATCAGAAGAAAATAAGGTCTATGATTGGGCTTCTTTTGAATTAGAGGAGATTGTTACATGGCCACTATCTTACCAATACATCTAATTCAGGTGTCTATTACTACTGAGTCTTCCCCTACTCTTTCCCATACCCTGAGGATACTGTCTGTGGGAAAACCATAAGTCTGGTATTATGTGTCTGCCTGTATGTGTCTGTGTGTTTGAAGGCTACACCTTGCCGAGGCCTCAGCAGGGAGTGTGGGGAGGATGAGCAGTACAGTGCAGAGAATTTACGTCGCATCTCACGCAGTCTCAGTGGCACCGTTGTCTCAGAGAGGGAGGAAGCTCCGGTTTCTTCCCACAGTTTTGTAAGTAGAATCAGGGTCCATCTATTCAGAGCACCCTCCTCCTTGCTAAGCAAAAATACAGTGCAGGTGAAGAAGCAGGGAGAAAGTGAAGGTTGTAATGTGAGGAAAGGCCCTGTGTACTCAGCAAAAATAAGGACACGCAGTCATTATTTTATTTACAAACATTCAGCTGGAGCCCAGAGGAATGTCCATTCCATGTAGCAGTTCTGAAAGGCCGTGCGTGTTGTAGGGTTTCCTGGGGTGAGAAGAGTCATAAAGCCTTGAGAGGAATCTGAGAAGCAAAGGCTGCTGATTGGGTCAGAACCCACTGCACTAATCAAAGAAAGAAGGAAAGAAATGGGATGGAGTATTGGTTTGCTTTTTCCTCTCACCCCCAGTATGTGATTGAATAGAATTCAGTGTGTTTTCAATCTAAAGTGATGCATGTGTATCAGCAAGAAGAGGAAAAAAGCCTTCTTGAGAATTTTCATATGGTACTAGTGCAGTAATGTGTAAGTAGAAGAGGCAGGAAAGCCCAAGCCATTAGAGATCAACAAACTTAAATAATATCAGTGGCTAGGTTTGTAGGTAATCATACCTTTGGAGAATTTCACTTCCTTGCCCAAGTTGAGTGTTCATCACAGTAGAGGTCAGGGTACAAAGTACCAGTGCATTGAAGGTTGTCCACTAGGTCAGTTCAGGAAAAATGTAAAAACAGATTTTAAATACATGGTACAAAAATAAAAAGGTATAAAAGCATATATGGTGAAAACCAAGTCTGTCTTCTACCAGCCCTTCAGATTCAGTTTCCCTCCTAAGAGGTACTCATTTTTCCAATTTTTAAAAATCAGCCGAGGCCAGGCGTGGTGGCTCATGCCTGTAATCCCAGCACTTTGGGAGGCCAAGGATGGTGGATCACCTGAGGTCAGGAGTTCGAGACCAGCCTGGCCAACATGGCAAAAATATAAAAATTAGCCAGGCATGGTGGGGGGTGCTTGTAGTCCTAGCTACTCGGGAGGCTGAGGCAGGAGAATCGCTTGAATCCGGGTGGCAGAGGTTGCAGTGAGCTGAGATTGAGCCACTGCACTCCAGCCTGGGTAACAGAGCAAGACTCTGTCTCAAAAACAAAACAAAACAAACAAAAAAACCCAGCCGAATTTATAGTAAGTTTCATTCAATTTATCGTTCATAAATTCCTAAGCAATTCTGATCAGGCTGCCATTCTTTTTTGGAAAAGGTGGACTCTCCTGCCTAGCATTTGTTCTCATGTACTTTCAATTCATTTAATGGCAAATTGTTCTTTTCCTAGGAGAGTTGGCTTCCTTTCTTCTGACTTCTGTATCATTCATTGATTCATTCTTTTAAATAAATGCTTATTGATTCTGTACAAGATTCCTAGCACAAAAATAAACAAATAAATAAGTGCTTATTGAGTGTGTTCTAGGTATTGTGCTAGGTGCTGGAGCTACAATGGTGAGTTAGATATAGTCCCTGCTTTTATGGAGCTTACAGTCTACAGTGAGGGACGGATAAATAAACAAACAGTTATAATGTGTTAAGGATTTGATCCTATGGGAACATAATAGAAGGGATATTTAAATCAGGCTTGAGGTATCATGGAAGGCTTCCTGGAGGAAGCAAAAAGAATATAGCAAGTAAAAGGGACCTGAGCAAATATTAACTGAATTAAAAGAAGCTTATTTAGTATGGCAGGATTAGAAAGTCTGGCAAGGGGAGATGATGGAGAGTGTTGACAAGAGAGGATACAAAGAATATTATGGACCACAGACAGCCCTGTATGTCACAGTAAGTAGTTTGGAAGGATAGAGATAAGTCGATGTATTTGAGACCCAGTTAGGAAGTAAACATCAGTGGGAGTTGGTGCCTGCCTGGATGTTGGGAGTGGGGATAAAGGATGATACTCAAGTTTTATGGGTAGATAATGATATATTTGAGGGAAGATATGCATTCAGTTTTACATATATTAAGCTTGAGTGGAGGTATCTGGCAGGCTTTTGGAATGAGATATATAAGCTGCAAATTGAAATCTGGGAATCATAGCCATTGAAAAAGAGGAAAAGACTTGCAGAAAGAGAAGAGGAGCCAGGACATATCCCTAAAGAGCATCAGATTTAAGGTGGTTCTTCTGAAGAACCCTAAAAGGAGACTGAGAAAAAAAGATTAGAGAGACTGAAGGGAAACCAAGGATGTGTGGTACCATAGTCACCAAGGGGAGAGTGTTTCAAGAAGAAAGGAATAGCCGGGCGCGGTGGCTCACGCCTGTAATCCCAGCACTTTGGGAGGCTGAGGCGGGCAGATCATAAGGTCAGGAGATTGAGACCATCCTGGCTAACACAGTGAAATGCCGTCTCTACTAAAAATACAAAAAAATTAGCTGGGCGCGGTGGCGGGTGCCTGTAGTCCCAGCTACTTGGGAAGCTGAGGCAGGAGAATGGTGTGAACCCAGGAGGCAGAGCTTGCAGTGAGTGAGCCGAGATTGCGCCACTGCACTCCAGCCTGGGTGACAGAGCGAGACTCCGTCTCAAAAAAAAAAAGAAGAAAGGAATAATTAGCTGTGTCACATGCTGAGAGGACTGGCACCTGGTCCTTAGGCAGTATGATAAATGCTTACTTTGTGCCATTTTGTAGTAGGTGCTGTGAGCATACACTGATGAAACAACACAAATTCTGCCCTTGAGTAGCTTGCAGTCTCGTAAAGGAAATTAGACATACTGGCATATAGATTATTTTATTTAATGTATTATTACTAAGTGCCCACATTGTTCTAGGCACTGTTCAAGGTGCTGCGGATACAGAAGTAAAAAGAAATAGGGGAGAAGACAATAAACAAATAAATGACATAATGCCAGACAATGATAAGTATGATAAAGAATAATAAGGCAAGAGAATAAAGAGTAAAGAGGTAATAGTGGTTTTTTTGAGGGCTATTCCTGATAGTAGGGTAGTGAGGGAAATCAGCTCTAAGGAAGTAACTTTTGATTAGAGATCTCAGTGATATGAAAGTATGAGCCATCAGAAGAATATTCTTGGTAACAGAAACAGGAAGTATAAAGACTCTGAGGTAGCAATGAGCTTGGTGTGTTTGAGGAATATTAAAGTTAGAGTGTAAAAGCTCCAGGAATGATAGGAAATAAAGTGAGGAGCAGCAGGGCCATATCACACAGGACCTTGTAGGCCACAGTAAGGAGGAGTGGATGGGAGATAGGAAAAGCAGATTGAAGGCTGTTGCAGTAGTCCAGGTGAATTTAAATATAAAACCCATAGGTAGAAATGATAGTCCTTGGCAAGTAATGGAATTGTGGATGGGAAGTGGGAAATCAAGGTCATTGCCAATGTTTGAATATGGGTGATTTAGGAAAATGAGGTGCCAGGAGGAGGAGTTTGGAAGGATTTTGGTTCAATTTTGGATATGTTAGTGTTTCAGATGTTAAAGGGGAATATTTCTGGGTATTTATCATAAAAGTAGATAACTAATAGGGAGTAGAGCAGGACATTAGCATCAGTAAATACAAACTTGACAGGCAAAAGAGGAAGCTGTGGAATGTGTAGCAGTGACAGGAGAGAAGATGGGGTAGAGTTCTTGATTCTACATTTAAACATATATAGTTTCATTCCCAGTACTTAGAATAAGTGAAGGATTTTTTTTTCTCATTCTCTCAGGCTTTCTGAATTTCTCATATTTCGTTTTTATTTTTAAATTTCTATCTCAATCTCTCTAATTCTACTGTTAGCATTAAGGAGTTTGCTAAAGACCTGAATGATAGGGTTGGGAAGGTGAGGGATATGAGGAAGACTGGTTAAGGGATAAGGATCTGAAGTTTGCAGTTTCTTAGAGGGCTAGCAGGGAGAGCAACTGAGTAAATTGGGTCCTGTTCCAGAACAAGGCATGTAGGCATGTTTGTGCTCTGGTTCCCTCCATTTCCCTTTGCTTGCCTCACTGTGTTTACCCAACTACATCCTGCTTTGTGTTAATCCTCATCTCTATGTTTTTTTGTCTTGTCTCATTATAAGGATTCATCAAACGTGAGGAAGCCTTTGGAAACCGGGCACCGTTGTTCCAGCTCCTCTTCCCTCCCTGTCATCCATGACCCTTCTGTGTTTCTCCTCGGTCCCCAACTCTACCTTCCCCAACCACAGTTCCTGTCCCCAGATGTCCTGATGCCCACCATGGCAGGGGAGCCCAATAGACTCCCAGGTAACTCCCCCAAATCTAATATTATATGCCAGAATTTGGTACCTTTTCAGGGGCCTCCAAGGGTCAAATCAGTATACCTATGGGGAGGGGGGTATCCCAAGGTGGAGTGGTGTGAAGATATGAATTACTGCTTCAAAGTCGTGCATTTATCTAGATAAATATTAAATCATTTGTTGGGCACCATGATTCTTAGACCAAGGGTTTAGACCAGCACCCCTAGAGTCTGTCTACTTACGAAAATGACCTGCTTCAGTCATGACAGAATAAGCTTTTAACTGACAAAGGGGAGTTAATACCCAGTCTTTGGGACATCCCCAGAACAGAAATGGTCATCTCTCCTTCTATCCTCTGAGCTAGTTTTCTCCCCTTCTATCCTCTGAGTCTCAGCTGAGGGATGGTCTAGGAAGATAAGGAATGAGTGGGAGAATTGGAAAGACCCTTTACATGGAGTACCCACACCATGTGTACAGACCCAGACAATTGTGGGGAAGGTGGGCAATATCATTTTGGCTTTCTTTGACCTTCCGAGTGAGATGTTCTCTTTTTTCCCCTCATGCACTGGATGTACAAGCTTGAGGCAGTGGTTCTCAATGGATAAAGGGGATGTACCACCGGTATCTAGTGGGTAGAGGCCAGGGATGTCCTCAACAGCACAGCCATTATTGTCACTTGCTCAGTTGTTGTTGTAAACCCTCAGAGTCAGCTGAACTATTTTAGGCCAAACATACTGTTTTTGCAAAGTATTTTTCATTAATAAATCACACAATGCACAGGGCAGTCTCTCCCCAACCCCAACAAAGAATTATCAGCCCAAGATACCAAGAGTGCCAAAGTTGAATAAATGTATAAGAAAAGGCATTCCACATTAGATCTCAGAGATCAAACAAAGGCAGCTTAACTGAAGTGAAGGTAACATTTTAAGAAAAGTTGGAGAAACAAAAAAAAAGCAAGGCACAGCGTCTCACACCTGTAATTCCAGCACTTTGGGAGGCCAAGATGGGAGGATGACTTGAGTCCAGCAGTTCGAGACCAGCCTGGGCAACACAGTGAGATCCCGTCTCTATTTTTTTTAAAAAGAAAAGCTGCGTGAGGTTTTGGTATGGTGGCTCTAGGAGTATAGTCATCACAAAGGGAGTATACGTTTGCCATATATTGCTATATATTAGGGAGCCCTTCTTTTGTAGGTGTGTGTATAGTGGATGAGAGATTATAGTGGAGGGAGGTAGAGGTATGGCAACATCCATGAGACTGTTTCATTTGCCCAGGTTGGAGGTATGAGATTTGATTTTGATGTATATTAAGAATTTTAAGAAATGGAATCAAAAGCACAGCTTGATTCATTCTTTCCCTTGTATGTATGCTCTTGGAGGAGTAGGGAATTGGGCTACACAGCTAGGCATGGCTCTCTGGGAAGGAGAATGGTTTTCTGAAGATGCTCAGTCTTTGGGTTTCTTTTCTTTCCCCAGGAACTTCAAGGAGTGTCCAGCAGTTTCTGGCTATGTGTGACAGGGGTGAAACTTCCCAAGGGGCCAAGTACACAGGAAGGACTTTGAACTACCAGAGCCTCCCCCATCGCTCCAGAACAGACAACTCCTGGGCACCCTGGTCAGAGACCAACCAGCATATTGGGACCAGATTCCTGACTACTCCAGGGTGCAATCCTCAACTAACCTACACTGCCACACTACCAGAAAGAAGCAAGGGCCTTCAGGTTCCTCACACTCAGTCCTGGAGTGATCTTTTCCATTCACCCTCCCACCCTCCCATTGTTCATCCTGTGTACCCACCATCTAGCAGTCTTCATGTACCCCTGAGGTCAGCTTGGAATTCAGATCCTGTTCCAGGGTCCCGAACCCCTGGTCCTCGAAGAGTAGATATGCCCCCAGATGATGACTGGAGGCAAAGCAGTTATGCCTCCCACTCTGGACACAGGAGAACAGTGGGAGAGGGGTTTCTGTTTGTTCTATCAGATGCTCCCAGAAGAGAGCAGATCAGGGCTAGAGTCCTGCAGCACAGTCAATGGTAAAGGTTATTCCTTTCCTTTCCTGGAGCTACACCTTTCTTTGTAAAACTGTACTGTGGGCCGGGCGCGGTGGCTCACACCTGTAATCCCAGCACTTTGGGAGGCTGAGGCGGGTGGATCACGAGGTCAGGAGATTGAGACCATCCTGGCCAACATGGTGAAACCCCGTCTCTACCAAAATACAAAAAATTAGCCAGGCGTGACGGTGCGTGCCTGTAGTCCCAACTACTCGGAAGGCTGAGGCAGGAGAATTGCTTGAACCCGGGAGGCAGAGGTTGCAGTGAGCCGAGATCGCACCACTGCACTCCAGCTTGGCAATAGAGTGAGACTCCATCTCAAAAAACAAAACAAAACAACAACAAAATAAACTACTGTGGCAGCGTTGGTACCCTGCATCACTGCCATGGTTGTGCTATTCTCATCTCAACATAGAATTGGTGGGTTCTCCTAAGGGTGTCAGGAACCTCTAAAAAGATGTGATTCTTTGGGAGGGGATATTTGAAATTCCAACTTCCATTCCCCCTAGCAAAAGGAAGCAGCTGCTGTTTAAGGGTTTTATCTGAGCCACTTTAAAGATGAATCCATGGTATTACTCTGGATACTAGCCATTCCTTAGGATTTTAAGGTCACATTTTATTCCTGGATGCTTTATGTCCCCACCTCCACCTGAGCCCTCATCCTCTGTTCCCTACTATACTCCCAACTTCTACTCTTTGTTTTATCCACCTATCCCTATTACCTGACCCTTTGTCTTCCCTGTCTCCCATCCTTGGGGGGACATGTAGCCCTGTGGTCATGGTTCTGATGACATCATCAGGGCAGCCCCCCTGCCCAGGTATTATGGCCTGTCAGCATTCCCTGTGCCCTCCAAACCTTAGGCCTAGAATGCGGAGCTGCCAACATAACATTCACCCTTTTGAACAGATGGAGTCAGGCACACTAACACAGCCTTCTGTCCTCAATAACACAGCCATTATTGCCACTTGCTCAGTCGTCAATGTAAACCCTCAGAGTCAGCTGAACTATTTTAGGCCAAACATACTGTTTTTGTAAAGTATTTTTCATTAATAAATCTATAAGACAGTTCTATTTAATTCCTTGTCATTCTTCCCTTTGTATGCTCTTGCTTTCTTTGTATTGGGGCTGGAAGTCTGGATAAATATATGAAGTGGCTTTTGACTGAGTGGAAGTGAGGAGCCAGAGACGAGTTGAAGGATATACAATCAAGGTGGGAATCAATGGGTCCTAAAATAGGGTGCCTTTCCTTTCTAGTATTGCTGCTAGGATGTTTCCCATCCCTTTCCTGACAGAGCATTCAGTACTCAGTACATTATACACTTCCTTCCTCCCCTCCTTAGGAAGATTTTCTGGGGATTCAAGCTCTTCTTACAGACTCACTCCTGATCAATGTACTCCAGGTGCCTTCCCTCTATCTTATAAGTTTGTGACGTGCCTCCTGTCCCTTCCTTCCTCTCCTTCCGTGGGGGCCTCTCCCTTTCCCTTCCCCTGTGGTGTTATGGCCCTTCCATGCCAGAAAGATCCATTTTCACCTGTGCCTCACTCCCGAGACTCTTCCCTCTAAAAAATAGCTTGTGGGTTCCCTTTTTGGAAAAAATCCATTGTTGGGTCTTTCCCTTCCTCTTTTCCTGGGGTCTCAGGATAGAAATTGACACAAAGAAGAGGTAGAAAGGTACTCCTTGGACCTTCGGACTACTACTTACTTACCACCATGCATTATGAACAGATTCTGAGCACATGTATTATTGAGCAGGAGGATGGGCAGGAATTGGTTGTTCCATCCCACTTGGATCCTGCACCATCAAGATATATAGAGCTTAGTGGATATGCTGGTCCCTGTCCATGATTCAACATATCTCCTGGTGTCGTGGACACACTCATCTAATAATTTTTGATGAACAGTCAGTTCTTGCCCCTCTACCCCCTTTCCCATGAGTGTCAGTCACCGTGGTCTCTATAAAGGTTCCATAAGTCACCTGGGCCCAGATTCTGTGCATGTGCAGAAATAAGGAATTAATTTCCAATTCCCTATTTACTCCTCTGCCTTCCAGGAGGAGGTTGTATCCTTTTCAGGTGAATTCTTCAGATTCTTTGCACATCTCTTGGTGTCATCCCCTTTATTCCCCTTACCTGTTTTGACAAACTATGGCGCCTAAATTGCTCTAGCTGCAGTCTTATTCTGTGCTTTCAGACTCTTGACAATTCCAGACTCTAAACACAAAGGCCAGAATTCTCTTTCAAACTCCATTTTGGATGGTCCCTTCTCCACTCTAGAACCTACAATGCTTCCTCTATTCTCTGGTCCCCTACCAACCCTTCAGTATTCAGATCTGGTAGCTAAATCGTTATACATTTCTCTATTAGTAGGAGATCCTGAGGTTTAATCACGTCTTCTCAGTTTACTGGGAATGCCATGAGAGCGGGTGTGTTTCCTCGCAGTCGTTCGATCGCAGCACCTCCTCATTCTTCATTCTGCATGCAAAGAATTTTAACCTGATCCCTTGGCCTCGTCCTGTTTCTCTCCTAGCTTCAGTAATTTTGCCCAAGTCCCTAGAGCCTACCCCGCCCCCACCCCCGCACGCGCAGTGCATGCCGGTCTTAGCCCCTCTGTAGGGAAAGAGGGTCCGCCATGTTCCCCGGCGGCGCCGCCGCTTGGCTCTGGTAGCCGCCGCCCCCGCCCCCAACCCCGCCCGGCCCAGAGCCTAGCCGAGCCCCGGGCCCAGCATGGCCGCCCCGGAGCCGGCCCGGGCTGCACCGCCCCCACCCCCGCCCCCGCCGCCCCCTCCCGGGGCTGACCGCGTCGTCAAAGGTGAGAGGTGGACGAAACCCTGGGGGCCTGGCCTGAAGAGCTAGCTGTGTGTGAGGGCGGGCGGGAGACCGTCCCCTCGGGAGTGGGCCCGGAAGGGCGGGCGAGTGACTGGCTGCCTCCCTTGGGGAGTGGCCCCTGGGCGGGCCCCTGCTGGGCAGGGCTGAGTCGGTGGCAGTGGTTCCGCGGTCTCCCGGTTGCTTTCAGGCCGGGGCGGAGGTTTTGCTTCCGTGGCTTCCTAGCCCAAGGGGTGAGGCTGTTAGCTGCAGTGAGCCCGTTTTCTCTTCACTCGGCCTGTCAAAGCGGCGCAGGGGCCGCGATTAGCTTCCTGCCCCGCGACAGCTGCACTTCTGGCTTGCCGGGGCGAACCGAGGGGCTCGGAGACCTTCAGCCACGCGAGGCCCGCCAGTGAGCAGTCAGAAATCACCTCGGCTTTGGCCCACGCCTGCTCCCCGGTGACAGTCGTCCGCCCTATCCGCGTCTAGCTGGCGACAACCGCAGGGGTTCACTTTTGGCCGTCAGGTGCCACCCGGAGCAGAAATTAGGGGAACCTTGTGGGATTGGATCACGGTGAAGGGTCGGGGCAGGAATTGGAAGGCCAGCCTTTATAGTGCAGAAAGGGAGAAAAAGCAGCATAAACGAAAAAAAAAATTCTTGTGGATAGCAAGTATTTACTTAGAAAACCATCAACACTTTGGTCAAAAGGAGTTACCCCTCCCTTACAAACACACACCCACACATTCATCCTAGACGAAAAAGTTAAATGTTTCTCAGCCAGGGCAGAATTTATGGATGTTTACCCACAACAGGTCAGCAGATTAATTTAAAATAGAGAAATTGAGGGCTAATTGAGAGTTGCTTAAGATTCCAAGCTTCCTGGGAGAGCCTACCAACCTCAAACACTGCTGTGGAGGTGAAAAACAATTGAAATGATTCTCTTTACCATGTAGCTTGATTGATAAATTGAAATCGTAGAATGAACTTTTCCTTATTTGTATTGTATTTATTTTTAAAATATAGGTACTTTTGTTTTCATTCAGCTTCTCAAATACACTGGCACAGTATTTAAACACCGTTAGCCTACTTTTTGAAATCTGACTCATATGTTTCCATTAAAATATTTAAAAACAAGGAAACCTTTTTTCTTTTTTTTTTTTAATTAAAAATTTTCAACCTGAGCCTTCTTCGGTTCTTAAAAGAATAATACTAATTTGGCCTGGCGTGGTGGCTCACATCTGTAATCCCAGCACTTTCGGATGCTGAGGCAGGCGGATCGCTTGAACTCAGGAGTTGGAGACCAGCCTGGGCAACATGGCGAAACCTTTTCTCTACCAAAAATACAAAAAATAAAAATTAGCCGGGCATGGTGGCGCGCCCCTGTAGTCCCAGCGGATCGGGAGGCTGAGGCACGAGAATCACTGGAGCCCGAGAGGCAGAAGTTGCAGTGAGCCGAGATTTGCGCCAGTGTGCTCCAACCTGGACGACAGAGCCAGACCCTGTCTCCAAAAACAAAAACAAAAACAAAAACAAAACACTGATTTGCACCTAGGCTTAAGTTAGTAGTATATCCAGTTGGGCCAGGCATTGGAATGAGCTGAATAACGAGTTTATGGAATCCTTAATACAGAGAAATCTTAAAAAAAAAATAGTAATGCAGACATTCATTCTATCAAGAAATCCTGGAGTTTTGTGGGGGTGGGAACGGGACATTGGCTACCTCTTCATTTTCTGACTGTATTTCTGTGTTGTGTGTTCATTTCCCTGGGCACTTTTCACCAGACTGTTAGATGGGGTAACCAATCACATTCCTGAACAATGAGTTTATGCTATCCTTACGTTTGTGAATCTTCTTATTCCTTGTCATATATATGGTAATGTTTTTTCTGTACTGCTTTAATGCAGTGAAAATAAGATTCCAAACATAAGGCAGATTCCTTAGGGGTGAGTTGTGAGTCCAAGGCAGTCATATTTGCAGGTTATTGGTGTGGAATAAAAGCCATTTGATTTAGATAAATAGGAAAGGAGCTTGTTAATATAGAAAATTATAGTTAAATAAAGCTTATGGTTATCATATTTCTGGTGCTTCATTGTGCCCTCTTCATAGAGACAACTTTCATTTCTTTATGGAATTTGTTAACCAGTTGGAATTCCTGTATGGATTATATGTTTTAAAATGGTGTGTAACAGACTAATTTGCACTGCTCATGGAGTCTCCTGCATTTACTGGGAAATTCACCTTTCTTACAGATCCAGAAATTCACTTTTAAATTTCATCTTCAGGATTCTTCCTTGTCTTTTATTCAGTAATTATACTATAATGTGATACCTGATATTAGAGAATACTGGTTGCCTGATGATAAATGATGTGAGTTCAGCTTAAGTTTAACTTGTTAAAATCCAAATTTCTTTTAAGTCCACAATGTGGTGGTAGTTTTGTATCGATACATTTTCATAGTAGTGATATTATGGAGACTGTCTGTTGGCATTGAATGCAAGTAGTCTTTTTCTCCCTGGAATTTTTTTTTTTTTTTTGAGACGGAGTTTCACTCTTGTTGCCCAAGTGGAGTGCAGTGGCGCGATCTCTACTCACTGCAACCTCTGCCTCCTGGGTTCAAGCGATTCTCCTGCCTCAGCCTCCCGAGTAGCTGGGATTATAGGTGCGCGCCACCATGCCCGGTTAATTTTTTGTATTTTTTAGCAGAGACGGGGTTTCACCATGTTGGCCAGGCTGGTCTCAAACTCCTGACCTCATGATCCTCCCACCGTGGCCTCCCAAAGTGTTGGGATTACAGGCGTGAGCCACCGCGCCCGGCCTGCCTCCCTGGAACTTCTTAGTGTCAAAATTTTATACTCCATGCTTGTAGTCATAAGGCCTACATTTTATGGTCATGTAGGTTTTTAAGGGTGTATAGGTCTTTCTGTGTTTAAGATCAGATACCTGAAATTCACTTTTTGTGAAGTTTGGGAGCTTGGAATACTGTAGGTGATTCATGAGTAAATGTGATGAGCTTGTCACTAAAATTATTAGTGGTAATTCCATGTCATTGATTATGGGTCATTAGGTTTTTGGTTGATTAAATTCAGTTCTGAGCCTACTCCAGCTGCTGGCTCAAGTCAAATTCTTCCCCTGTTTGAAAGTTGATCTAACCCACCTGATTAAGCAAGATGGTATATACCCTTTTAATTATATTCTATTAAGCATTCTTTAGCTATGTAGGAAATAAGAAAGTGGAAAAAAATTAGGAAAAATATCTAACCGTATCTGCATGTGTGCTTTCTTACCACATCAGCAAAGCTGGTATAGGTAATTGAAGCACAAAATCCTGAATTTATATATATTGCTTTCCCTCCTCCCCACAAAGTTTACTTGACCTGAATTGCCCAGATACCTCCTTTTTTCCCCAGATACTTAAAAAATGTACGTTTTGCTTTGTATACCAGGTTCTAGATTTGTAAAGCTGGATTGTCTCTTGAGATTATCAAGACTGTTAGTATTAATAAAAAATTCACCTTTTTACTTAGAGAGCATTGTCAGTATTGGGCATATGTTCATTTTAGCACCTACAATGTGAGTCATTTTCTTAACATTATTTTATTTCATGGGTTATAGTAACCTCAAATTATCAGACTTTCAGATTGAACCAAAATGCTGAATTTATGTGTTTTAATTTTTTTTAAGCTAAAGTATTTCTGATTGACAACGTTAGAATTCATTTGGATTCTGTTGCCAGTTGCCCTGCTTATAAATCTGAAGTCATTTGGCTAAAGTGTTTTCTAGTAGCTTTCCTTTAGGAGGATTACTTTTTGTTTATTTATTTATTTATTTATTTATTTATTTTTGAGATGGAGTTTCGCTCTTCTTGCCTAGACTGGAGTGCAATGGCGCAATCTCGGCTCACTGCAACCTCCACCTCCCGGGTTCAAACGATTCTCCTGCCTCAACCTCCCAAGTAGCTGGGATTACAGGCATGTGCCACCACGCCCGGCTAATTTTGTATTTTTAGTAGAGACGACATTTCTCCATGTTGGTCAGGCTGGTCTCGATCTCCTGACCTCAGGTGATCCACCCACCCTGGCCTCCCAAAATGCTGGGATTATAGGCATGAGCCACCGTGCCTAGCCAGATTACTTATTTTCAGATAACCCATATAGCCTTGGTGTGACATAGCTACTTCAGTGTTTCTTGCTAGTTCTATTTCATTATATTTTAAAGCAGCTTGAATTTTAATTTTTGTTTACAAAGTCTATTTTGTGGACTTATCTGTGTAAAAAGAACTAGAAATTATTTTTCTTTTACTTTCCACTCTCATTACTGTTAACCATACTAAAATAAATCTTCAGGCCAGGCGCAGCAGTGGTTCATGCCTGTAATCCCAGCACTTTGGGAGGCCGAGGCGGGGGGATCACTTGAGGTCAGGAGTTTGAGACTAGCCTGGCCAACATGGTGAAACCCCATCTCTACTAAAAATACAAAAATTTGGCTGGGCACAGTGGCTCACGCCTGTAATCCCAGCACTTTGGGAGGCTGAGGCAGGTGGATCACGAGATCAGGAGTTCGAGACCAGCCTGACCAACATGGTGAAACCCCGTCTCTACTAAAAATACAAAAATTAGCCTGGTGTGGTGGTACACGCCTGTAATCCCAGCTACTCGGGAGGCTGAGGCAGGAGAATCGCTTGAACCTGCGAGGCGGAGATTGCAGTGAGCCGAGTTCATGCCACTGCACTCCAGCCTGGGCGACAGAGCAAGACTGTCAAAAAAAAAAAAAAAAAAAAAAAAAAAAAACAATAAAAACAAACAAACAAAAATTAGCAGGGTGTGGTGGCACGCACCTGTAATCCTAACTACTTGGGAGGCTGAGGCAGGAGAATCACTTGAACCTGAGAAGTGGAGGCTGCAGTGAGCCGAGATTGTGCCACTGCACCCTGCCTGGGTGACAGAGCGATATTCCGTCTCAAATAAATAAAAATAAATAAATAAAATAAATCTTCAGTACCATGTGTCCTAGTGAAAGCAAAGGAACAGAAAGAGAGAGAGAAAAAGAGTGTGAGGGGATGGGGTGAGAGGGAGAGGGAGAGGGAACACTATGGTAACAAGTTACCTTAAAAGGAAAATGCCAAGTTGGAAATACAGCTTAGTAGTGAGGCAAAAGCTTCAGGTTCCAGAGCTATTGAATGAATTGGCAAGAGTTGTAAGGAAAAGTTTGGTAAAAGGACCTTGATTTATTAAACAAAGCGTGCCAATCATATGACCTCATTTCACCATAAAAAATGTTTTTTATACACAGAGATGAAATAAGCTGAAGCTAATTGGGCATCGTCTGTGTATGGTATGTAAAATTTATTTTGGAACATCACAGTCGTGAAATAGCAAATATTTATTAAATGTCTGCTGTATCACAAAACTGTAGGAGAACAACAAAAGTACAAAATATAAAATACAGACTTGGTTCATGAATAAATATTCATGAAAAATTAACAATATATGACATAAGGACAGGTATAGTTAATAATTGCCAGGTAAGTTGCTGAGCCCGCAAGTTGTCAGTTCAAAGGAGGTAGTGATGACTCTGGACTGGAATGGTCTAGGAAGGGCTTGTGTAGAAGCAAAGGGGCCTTGAAGGATGGTTAGGATTAAAATAGAGGATTGGGACCATTTATTTGTGCAGTGTTTATTGAGTACCAGCTTTGTACCAGGCATTGTGCTAGGCATTGATGATACAGAAGTGAATAGGATATTAAGTAAGATAGATTCTCTTGTAGTGCCGGCATTCTAGTGGGGGAGACACTATTATAAATAAATAATGTAATGAATTTGGTACAAAGCGCTACTGGAGCTGTAAAGAAGGGATTGGCTATCTTACTTTGAGGGAAAGCGTCACTGAGAGGATAATGTTTCGAGGTAGTCCTTGAAGGATGAGTAGAATTTCACCAGAAAGTGGGGCTAGAGTAGGTGTAACAGAAGCAGAAAGGCATGGAGTTTGAAAAAAGCATGAAATGTATGGCAAAAGTATGTGAAGTGCTTGGCAAGGAGTGACAGGAATGAAGTTAGAAAAGATCTTTTGTATTACAAGTTGAGGAGCTAAAACTTAAGCTGTTAAGCAGTATAGCAGTATATAGTACCTGGATGATTAAAAGCACAAGCTCTGGAGTCAGACTGCCTGGGTTTGAATCCTAGCTCTACTACTTAATAACCTTCTTGCCATGGACAAGATACTTAACATCTCCAAGCCTTAATTTTCTTATCTGTAAAGTAGAGCTAATAAAATCTTATTATAGGGTTTTTGGAGAATTAATAGAGACCGTGCATATAAAGTAGGTACCACAGTTCCTGGCCTGGCACATGGTAAGTACTCAACCAATGGTAACCATCACCATTATTATTATTATTATTATTATTGAAGGTTTTAAAGTAGAATAGTGACCCAGTATCTTGTTTTTTGATGGCTAATTCTGGCCATATTGTGTGCAACAAATTATTGGAGGGCAAGAAGCTTAAAGCAGGTTGTCTAATTAGAAGATTAATGGAGTAGTCCAAGTGAGGGATGACCAAGGCATGAAAAACTAGATACGACACAAATTCCTACTAATATTAGAAGGTAAGTATATTGGATGAGTGATTGAGTATGGAAGTGAAATAGGTGAGCAACAGTTTTTTAGGAAACAATAATCAGAATAATTTTGCTTTAGGGCTAGATTAAATTGGGCAATTGTAGTTAGATGCAAAGATTGGAATGATATGTAAAAGACTGAGAATGGTTAAATTGAGAAGAACCTTGAAAATAAGATCCAAAGTTTTCTTTTTCTTTATTCTTTAGTCATTAAGAAACTACCCCAAGTTTTTGAGTAGGTTAATTTACTACTTTGTTCAGTCAAAGAGGAAGAAGAGATTTTTCTAGTAAATGATAAGAACTTGAACTAGTATTGCAACAGTGGAGATTTAAGAAAATTGAATTTGAAGAATCAATAGGACTTAGAGTTCAGAAAGAGAACAATGACATTAAGTGTGAGTGATAGAGAATGGTGATACCTTAACAGGTGTAAGCCAGGAAGGGGAGCCAATTTTGAGGGAAAGGTATATTTAAAAACCACCACAAATTAAAAGAGACCCAATGGATACCTTGAAATTTTGAAGACAATGCTGTTGGATTTATTGAATCTTTCCTTAAAGCATGTGGCCAATCCATACTTCTACTCCTGGCAAGCAAATGGTTATATCATTCTTCATGATGAGGCTTTTTTTTTTTTTTTTTTTTAACCCTCAAGACAGGATCTTGCTCTGTCACCCAGGCTGTAGTGCAGCGCCATGATCATAGCTCACTGCAGGTTCAAACTTCTGGGCTCAAGCGATCCCCCAACTCAGCCTCCCAAGTAGCTGGGACTACAGGCACACACCACCATGCCTGGCTAATTTTGTTTATTTTTTATGGAGACAGAGGTCTCACTATGTTGCCCAGATTGGTCTCAAATTCCTGGGCTCCAGTGACTGTCCTGCCTTGGCCTCCCAAAGTGCTGCAGTTACAGGTGTGAGCCACCACGCCCAGCCATGATCAGCCTTTTGATGTCTCCTTTTGTCAAAAGAAAATTGTCCTTGTGTTGGTATAAAGACATATGCTACAGGAGCAGCATTCTGAAGACTTCAATTTCAACTATGGCTCTACTTCTTACTAGTGAAACCCCTGGAGAAGCAACTTAATGTCTCTGAACCTGTTATCTATCATTTGTGAAATGGGAGATAAAACTTGCCTGACCCTAACCCCAGCACTTTGGGAGGTGGAGGCGGGCGGATCACTTGAGGTCATATGTTCGAGACCAGCCTGGCCAACATGGTGAAACCCCGTCTCTATTAAAAATATACTAATTAGCCGGGTGTGATGGTGGGCGCCTGTAATCCCAGCTACTCGAGAGGCTGAGGTAGGGAGAATCGCTTGAACCTGGGAGGCAGGGGTTGCCATGAGCTGAGATCTCACCATTGCACTCCAACTGGGGCAACAGAGCGAGACTCTGTGGAAAAAAAAAAAACAAAAACTTGCCTGACCAAACTCAAAGGATGTCCCTGGGAATCATGTAGGATTATGTATGTGAAAGTACTTGGTCAACTATGAATAAAACACTATAAATATATTGTCATTGCTACATAAATTAGTGTCGTTAAACAAGTATTTTGGAAACTATAATCATTAATTCTGTAAACATTTCTTAATACCTATGTTTTTCCTGTTTGTTTTTTTTTTTTTTTTTTTTGGTTTTGGTTTTTTTTTGAGATGGAGTCTCACTCTGTTGCCCTGGCTGGAGTACAGTGGCATGATCTCGGCTCACTGCAACCTCTGCCTCCCAGGTTCAAGCAACTCTCCTGCCTCAGCCTCCCAAGTAGCTGGGATTATAGGCATCTGCCACCACGCCCCGCTAATTTTTGTATTTTTAGTAGAGACGGGATTTCGCCATGTTGGCCAGGCTGTTCTCAAACTCCTGACCTCAAGCGATATACCCACCTTGACCTCCCAAAGTACTGGGATTACAGGCATGAGCCACTGCACCTGGCCAGTTCTTAAGTTTTAGATAGGTTTTGATAATGGTGGAACTTAGAATGGATAAGACTTGTGGGCCAGAAACTTGAGCCTATGATGACTAGTTTTCTTTTGAGAGAAAGTCTCACTCTCGCCCAGGCGGGAGTACAGTGGCCCAATCCCGGCTTACTACAACCTCTGCTTCCAAGGTTCAAGCAATTCTCGTGCCTCAGCCTCCCCAGTAGTTAGGATTATAGGAGCCCGACACCATGCCCAGCTAATTTTTGTATTTTTAGTACAGATGGGTTTCACCATGTTGGCCAGGCTGGTCTGAAACTCCTGACCTCAGGTAATCCACCCGCCTTGGCCTCCCAAAATGCTAGGATTACAGATTTAAGCCACGGCACCCAGCCTATGATTAGTTTAATAGATAGCAGGGACAAGGGTAAACTAGCCAGAAGGCATGAATCTCAAAGGAGGAGGCATTTTTTTTCCCTTAGTGGAGAGATGATGTTGGAAGTGCTAATGCGGAGCTAAGAGAATGCTGAAGCCTCCACTGAGATTAGTGGAATGCGGAAAAATGAGCACCATCCACTTTGAAAAAAGAATTTGATAAGTGTTGTCCTTCAGGAGACCCAAGATGTAATTAAACTAGAGAGATGAAGACAGTATTCTGTGTAGAGCTAAAGAAGAGAGAGGCCAAGCGCGGTGGCTCACGCCTGTAATCCCAGCACTTTGGGAGGCTGAGGTGGGTGGATCACCTGAGGTCAGGAGTTCAAGACCAGCCTGACCAACATGGAGAAACCCAGTCTCTACTAAAAATACAAAATTAGCCAGGCGTGGTGGTGCATGCCTGTAATCCCAGCTACTTGGGAGGCTGAGGCAGGAGAATCACTTGAACCTGGGAGGCAGACGTTGCGGTGAGCTGAGATTGCACCATCGCACGCCAGCCTGGGCAACAAGAGCAAAACTCCGTCTCAGAAGAAAAAAAAAAAAAAAAAAAAAACCAGTCTGGCCAACATAGTGAAACCCCATCTCTACTAAAACTACAAAAAATTGGCTGGGCGTGGTGGCTCACGCCTGTAATCCCAGCACTTTGGAAGGCCGAGGCAGGCGGATCACGAGGTTAAGGGTTCGAGTCCAGCCTGGCCAACATGGTGAAACCCCGTCTCTACTAAAAATACAAAGATTAGCCGGGCATGGTGGTGCACGCCTGTAATCCCAGCTGCTCAGGAGGCTGAGGCAGGAGAATCGCTTGAACCTGGGAGGCAGAGGTTGCAGTGAGCTCATGTTGCGCCACTGCATTCTAGCCTGGGCAACAGAGCAAGACTGCATCTGAAAAAAAAAAATACACACACACACACACACACACACACACACACACACACACACAATTAGCCAGGTGTGGTGGTGTGTGCCTGTAGTCTCAGCTACTTGGGAGGCTGAGGCAGGAGAATTGCTTGAACCTGGGAGGTGGGGGTTTCAGTGAGCTGAGATCCTGCCACTGCATTCCAGCCCCGGCGACGATGCGAGACTCTGCCAAGAAAACAACAAAAAAAGAGATTGTGTGTAGGGTTTGTGGGATAGATTAAAACAAAATCTTATAATAGGAATTCTGAAGGCCTCAATGAAAAGGATGGAGGGAGAACAGCAAGAAGGAAATTGTATGAGGGAAAGAAATACAGAGAAAAATTTAGAAGTATAGATGTAGAGACTGTATTTTGGATAGTTGCCAAGGATGGCAATGATGGGAAGCATGATGAGATTAACTGACCTTAGGCATCTGAATGATACTTTGGAGTCAAGTTATTCACTTGGCACAGACTGTACCCCCGTTGAAGTCAGAGGCCTCATAGGGCTAAGAGGGCAGTCCTTGCTTAGAATTGGGGAACAGGATCAGTTAATTCTCAGGTTTCCTTGCCCAGTGGTAGAAACAGTAAGAAGATCTCTGTACCACCACCCCCTTTTTCCCAATTCCTGATCAGTCTGTGTTCTTGGTTTCTTTTTCCAACTTCCTAAATTAAAATGTTTTTCAGTCCTTGTTTTTTTAGCCACCATACATTAAATGTGAGTGAAAATACCTTGCGAATATTATTGGTTACTATATAGAGATGCCCTTCATGTCAAAATTTGGATAAAAGGAAGATTTTCAACAGAACAGTTTGGTCAAAATGAATGTTACCAAATCAAGATTTTTAGGTTTTGAGGAGATTTTGTAGCTCTCTTTTTTGTTTGATTGGTTTATTTTTTTGAGATGGAGTTTTGTTGTCACCCAGGCTGGAGTGCAGTGGTGTGATCTCGGCTCACTGCAACCTCTGCCCCCCAGGTTCAAGCAATTCTCCTGCCTCAGCCTCCTGAGTAGCTGGGATTACAGGTGTGCACCACCATGCCCGGGCTAATTTTGGGGTTTTTAGTAGAGACAAGGTTTCACCATGTTGGCCAGGCTGGTCTTGACCTCCTGACCTCAGGTGATCCACCTGCCTCGACCTCCCAAAGTGTTGGGATTACAGGCGTGAGCCACCACGCCCAGCCGATTTTGTAGCTCTTTAGGTTGTTCCAACAAATATTATTAGCCATTTCAGTTGTTGACTATTTATATTGCATTTATATACATTTGTTTTCTGGTTTTTCCCTGTCGCAAATATAGAAAAGTAAGGAAACATAGTCTGAAAATTAGGAGAAAAAAGTATATATGGAGGCAAAAAAAAAAACTCTGGAAAAGTAGAAATAGGCCTTGCGCAGTGGCTCCACGCCTGTAATCCCAGCACTTTGGGAGGCCGAGGCGGGCAGAACACGAGGTCAGGAGATCGAGACCATCCTGGCGAACACTGTGAAACCCCATCTCTACTAAAAATACAAAAACATTAGCTGGGCGTGGTGGCAGGTGCCTGTAGTCCCAGCTACTCGGGAGGCTGAGGCAGGAGAATGGCATGAACCCCGGGGGGCGGAGCTTGCAGTGAGCAGAGATTGCGCCACTGCACTCCAGCCTGGGCAACAGAGCGAGACTCCGTCTCAAAAAAAAAAAGTAGAAATAGTTGGCTGAAGATGAATTAGAAATAAAAAAAGCAAAACCTTTAAAAAGCCTGAAAACTATATGGAAATGCTTTAAAATGCTTTAGGAGTTGCAAAACAAAGTAGTAGTTGAGAATTAATTTTTTTTTTTGAGATAGAGTCTCTATTGCCCAGGCTAGAGTTCAGTGGCACGATCTCAGCTCACTACAACCTCCACCCCACCAGGTTCAAGCGATTCTTGTGCCTCAGCCTCCAAAGTAGCTGGGACTACAGGCGCGACACCACACCTGGCTAATTTTTGTGTTTTTAGTAGCGATGGGGTTTCACTATGTTGGCCAGGATGGTCTTGAACTCCTGACCACAAGTGATCTGCCTGCCTTGGCCTCCCAAAGTGCTGGGACTGCAGACATGAACCACCGCACCTGGCCAGAGAATTAGTTTTTGATGAAAAAAAAATTTTAACTCTCTATTGAGCAACTTATTTTAGGCCAAATTCTATTTGGACAGTTATCTTTTGCCCCGTCAGGTCTCCTGCTGAAGCTCCGTTCTCCACTTGCAAAACAACACTATACGTGCCTTTTTTCTCTTATTTGCTGATAAATTAAAATTTATTTTATTTTTATTTTTTATCTTTAGACGGAGTCTTGCTCTGTCTCCCAGGCTGGAATGCACTGGCATGATCTCGGCCCACTGCAACCTTCACCTCTTCGGTTCAAGCGATTCTCCTGCCTCAGCCTCCTGAGTAGCTGGGACAACAGGCATGCGGCCACCATGCCTGGCTAATTTTTTGTGTTTTTAGTAGAGACGGGGTTTCACCATGTTGGCCGGGCTGGTCTTGAATTCCTGACCTCAAGTGATCCACCTGCCTCAGCCTCCCAAAGTGTTGGGATTATAGGGGTGAGCCTCTGCGCCCAGCCAAAACATATTCATTTGAAACTGCCTATTTTTATTTTCAGTGTTATGGTAACATTGATTCCCTATAGCTTTCATCTACCTCTACTCATGAGTAGGTGACGTTTTTCTACCACTCAACCTGTACACATTTTAAAAAAGCTGTCCCAGCTGGTTTTGAAATGTAGAAGTGTGCCTTGAGTTGAAAAATAAGTAGGAAAGTACAGGTCTTTAGATAACTAACTGTGGCATGGAGTCAGTTTATACTTTCTTTTTCAGGTGAATACATTATAGTTCTTCAGTGTGACTTGAAGTAGAGCATTCACAGTGTGCGTGAAAACATGCAGTACCACTTGTGTCTGGCTGAGGGGGAAGTAGGGAGTGGTCTCATAGGTGGATTTTTAGGAAGTTCTATGTTTTGAACAGAATTCAGCAATTAGTGGAATTATGTTGTTGGTTGTTAGGAAGTATATATCATCTAGGCCAGGCACAGTGGCTGACGCTTGTAATCCCAACACTTAGGGAGGCCAAGGCAGGCGGATCACCTGAGGTTAGGAGTTTGAGACCAGCCTGGCCAACATGGTGAAACCCTATCTCTACTAAAAATACAAAGATTAGCCGGGTGTGGTGGCGGGTGCCTGTAATCCGAGCTACTTGGGAGGCTGAGGCAGGAGGATCGCTTGAACCCAGGAGGTGGATGTTGTAGTGAGCCGAGATCTCGCCACTGCATTCCAGCCTGGGAGACAAGAATGAGACTCTGTCTCAAAATAAATAAATAAATAGGAAATATTCATCATGTAGAACACAGCTTTTTTTTTAGAGACTGAGTCTCTTTTTTTTTTTTTTTTTTTTTTTTGAGACGGAGTCTCGCTCTGTCGCCCAGGCTGGAGTGCAGTGGCGCGATCTCGGCTCACTGCAAGCTCCGCCTTCCGGGTTCACGCCATTCTCCTGCCTCAGCCTCCCGAGTAGCTAGGACTACAGGTGTGCACCACCACACCCAGCTAATTTTTGTATTTTTAGTAGAGACGGGGTTTCACCGTGTTGACCAGGGTGGTCTTAAAATCTTGACCTCATGATCTGCCCGTCTTGGCCTTCCAAAGTGCTGGGATTACAGGCGTGAGCCACTGCATCCAGCCAGTACGTAGCATTTTAAATAGTGTTTCTTTTCCCAAGTAGAGTGCTAAAAAAAAAAAAAATTCTCTGACCTGATGAAAAAACTGATTCTATCTTGATCTCAGAAATTTGTGTTTATTAGTAAGAGATATTTAACCTTCTCATTTTTGTAATGTCCCAAAAGTAACACTTGATTTATTTAGTAATCAATTCATTAAAAATGTTTATTTTTTAAACAATTACTCTACCATGAGGGCAAATTTGGTTATAGCATATATAATGGTTTGTTTAATCTTTGATTGGTAAAAACATTCTTTGAGGCTTTTATTTTATTAGAATCTTGACATGCTATATTTGGGGGTAAAATATACTTTAATGCCTTATTCTAGATGAGTAAAAAGTAATGGTAATACATGTTTCTTGTGAAGGGAAAATAAACAAGGTCCAGTTTTATTTTACTAGATAGCAAATAAAAAAAAAAAGAGGGATTAGTGATTTCAGTCTTTTAGAAATGGTTGGCATCTCTCTGCCTTAGTTCTTACCTCACTTGTAAAGGATTGAGTTCTTCCTTAATGTTTTCTCCTGGTATGAGAATGTGGTTATATTCTTTCTTAGGTAATTGATAGGAATCTAACCTAGTTTTTTTTTTTGTTTTTTTTTAGTTACTTTAAGTTGAAATGTAAAGGAGCAGTTGGTTCTGTACATTTCCAAGCTTCTCTGTAATAATTGATCATTACAATGATGACCCTAAAGCATCAGGAAAATACTGTATACTATATGCTCAGAGATATATATATGTATATATATATATATATTTGATGGAGTCTCACTGTCGACCAGGCTGGAGTGCAGTGGTGTAGTCTAGGCTCACTGCAACTTCTGCCTCCCCGGGTTTAAGTGATTCTCCTGCGTCACCCTCTTGAGTAGCTGGGACTACAGGTGTGCACCACCACACCCAGCTAATTTTTGTGTTTTTAGTAGAGATGGGGTTTCACCATGTTGGCCAGGCTGGTCTTGAACTCCTGACTTCAAGTGATCCACTGGCCTTGGCCTCCCAAGTCTGGGATTTCAGGTGTGAGTCACTGCACCCGGCCTATTTTTCTAAAAAAAAAAAAAAAAAGAAAAAAAAATCTGGAAAGAGGGAGCTGCCTTACATTTCAGTCTATATTTATTAGACTCCTAATGTACATTTCTCTCTCACTTTCTTTATTTTGAAAAACAAAGTACTATTCAGTAAAGAGCCTGAAACTGCTTCAGTCCAAGCTGATTTTGAATGCATAAAGATTTACTTGTTGGATTCAGTAAAAAAGGAATAAGAAAAACTTACTATATAGTAATTTTTCCTAGGTATATGACCTCAAAATTGTGCTTAGATGCCATTGAAATAGATGTTCATGTTTTCCATTCCACTCAACAAATATCACTTAAAAACAGTACAGTTGGTGATTTCTTACAGAAATCATAAATATGTACTGCGGAGTGAAAAAACCAACTACTTAACTATGATGAAATGGGAACTTTTGGTTAAATTTGTAGGGATAGGCCAGGTGCAGTGGCTCATGCGTGTAATCCCAGAACTTTGGGAAGCCAAGGCGGGCAGATCACCTGAGGTCAGGAGTTCGACACCAGCCTGGCCAACATGGTGAAACCCGGTCTCTACTAAAAATACAAAAATAAGCTGGGCATGATGGCGGATGCCTGTAATCCCAGCTACTCGGGAGGCTGAGGCAGGAGAATCCCTTGAACCCGGGAGGCGAAGGTTGCAGTGAGCCGAGTTCACGCCACTGCATTCCAGCCTGGGCGACAGAACAAGACTCCATCTCAAAAAAAAAAAAAAAAAAAAAATTACAGGGATAAATTTGCAGTGGTAACATTTTACACATATGCAAAAAGTGCTGTATCTCAAACAGTTTAGGTGGAAATGAGTATGATTTGCTTTCAGAATGTGTGTTAGGTGACTCAGAAAGTGACTTCAATGATAAGGAATGCACTGGTTTCGAATATATGCATAAAGATTTTGAATGAAGGTGTTTTGTGAAACGTTAAGTAAGGTAGGAGAAAAATCAGTATTTTGAAATTATGATTTATTATTTTAAGCCTCCTAAATTAATTTGCATTTCAGAAGTAAACATCTGGTGTTTGGTCTATATCTCTAAAAGTGTATAGTCAAGTTGGTCAGAAAACATTGTTTTTATGTTCTTATTAGAAAGGAACATGGTAAATCACCTTGTATTTGGGTTTTCTTTCTAGTTAGGCTTATTTGGTATTAAAGTGTTGTGGGGTTTTTTTTGAGATGGTGTCTCGCTGTGTTGCCCAGGCTGGTCTCCAATTTCTGGCCTCAAGTGATCCTCCTGCCCCAGCCTACGAAGTAGTCGTGATTACAGACATGCTTCACTACTCCCAGCATTAAATTATATTTATTGTACTTCATTTAAGGTAAAGAATATCTAATACTATAATACAATATTTTGAGAGTTCTGCCTAAAAATGTTTTGGCTTAAACAAAAAAGTTTTGGTTATCCTGAAAGAACTTAATTTTGTGAGACAACTCATTTCTCTAATAATTCTCAACAAAGAACATGTTAGTATAAATAGCTTTAAAAGTGGTATAATTTGCTTACTATTTAGAAAAACACTTCTACCCAATAAATGAAGAAGAAAGAAAAATCCCTGCTTTACAGTTTTTAGTCTTATCTAGATCCAATTATTAGTTTTTAAGTTAATGTATTTTTGGTGACTTATCTTTTATTAATTAAAAACATTTGCAGCTGTCCCTTTCCCCCCAACACATCGCTTGACATCTGAAGAAGTATTTGATTTGGATGGGATACCCAGGGTTGATGTTCTGAAGAACCACTTGGTGAAAGAAGGTCGAGTAGATGAAGAAATTGCGCTTAGAATTATCAATGAGGGTGCTGCCATCCTTCGGAGAGAGAAAACCATGATAGAAGTAGAAGCTCCAATCACAGGTAAGCTTATTCATGTTTTGGGTATTATTTTTATTATGTCATTATTTAGTTGCCTGGATTTACAACTTACTGTTTTCAATGATACTGTATGCTAAATCAATATTACTTGGACATTATCTTGAATTTCAAATTATTTTCCATACTTAAAAATGATTGCCTGTTTTCAGTGAATAGACATGATTCTAAATAATCTGAGTGTAGAAGTTAGTCTAATATGCTTTTGTGAAGGTTTCATCAATTGTGTTGACCATACTTCAATTTGATCAATACTTACTTTGCTTTCAATTGTTAGGGTCAAATACCTTGATGTCATATCAGATACCAAAAGTGACCATTTAGAGAGCAACAGAAAGTATTGAGTTAGAATGGATATTTTAACTGCCACCATTGTAATTTTGTCATCTTGAAACTTAAAACACATCCTTGGAGTCCTAGAGACGATCTTTATAAATGTAGATTTCAGTTTGTCACTGACCACAAATTTCGTTATTTCTGTTACATCTTTTTCTAGATCTTGAGCACATGAACACTTGGTTACACATCATCCTAATCATGACTGTTCATAGACTACTTCCTTCTCAGACATTTCTTGATAGCATTTGTACTATGTCTTATGTAAAATACGTTTTAACTTAAGTAAAATTTGTTGTTTTAGAGATTTTTTTCCCTTATCTAATAATCTTCTTGTTTCAGTGTGTGGTGACATCCATGGCCAATTTTTTGATCTGATGAAACTTTTTGAAGTAGGAGGATCACCTGCTAATACACGATACCTTTTTCTTGGCGATTATGTGGACAGAGGTTATTTTAGTATAGAGGTAATAATCATAAACTGTCATTTGATTTGCTGTTAAGTGTTAACACAGATGCTTTCACTTAATCCTAGTTTTCACAAGTACCTGTGTTAGGTTTTTTTAATAACTCTGCATATTCTGAAGTTTTTATGAAAAGCTACTATTTATTCCTGTTCTGTCTTTCAAACAATTCAAATAAATTTCTTTGTATAACTCTGTTTATATAATTATAATTGCCATTTTTTTCCCAGTGGAATTTATGAGCTGACTGAGGGGTCTTTATTGCCCTGTTAACTAGTGGCCTTAAAAATTTAGTGCTATTTATCTCTCTTGCCCCTAAAGGCATTAAACCATGTGAAAAAAGATTACTTGAATTCTGTCTGATTAAATAAAGTATATTGTGATTTTTTTATTGCTTGAGCCCTAGTGCTTCTGTTTCTCCTTGTGTAGCTATTAAGACTCAAGTATATCCTATGGAATCTTTGTGTATTTGGAAAGTATTAATTTGTTTTTAAAAACTTGAGGCATTAAAATGACCTTTTGATTATCACTTAACAGTAGATGGTTCCTTTTCTTCCTTTTTCTCTTTTCTTTTTCTTTTTTTTTGAGACAGGGTCTTACTCTGTGGCCCATGCTGGAGTACAGTGGCACCAGCATGGCTCAATGTAGCCTTGACCTCTTGAGCTTAAGGGATCCTTCTGTCCCAGTCTCTCAAATAGCTGGGACCACAGGTACACACCACCATGCCTAGACTAATTTTTAATTTTTTTGTAGCAATGGAGTTTCCTATGTTGCCCAGGCTGGTCTTGAACTCCTGGGCTCAAGTGATCCTCCTGCCTTGGACTCCCAAAGTGTTGAGATTACAGATGTGAGCCACATTGCCCTGCCATCTTTTTAAATTATATAAACAAAATGCAGCAAATGTAGAACAATATGTATTTTCCAATATATACATTTTTTCTTTTTTTAATGAAAAGGGGATCATATTATAATATTGTCTGTAACTTGCTTTTTCATACATGCCTACACCAAATATCCTTCCAAGTCAGTAAATATAAACTCGTAGCATCATTTTAATATCTACATTGTTTTCCATCTAATAAACAAACCATAATTAATTAATTCCTTGTGTTAGACACTGAAGATGTTCCCAGTTTTTTTCTTTACAAATGATGCTTTAATGAGTCATATTATTCATACATCTTTACATACTTGCCTGATTATTTTTGTAGGACAAATTCCTAGAGGTAGAATTGTGGGGTCAAATTTCTACCAATAGATACCTGTGTTGCACATTTAATATGTTCTAAGCATGTTCTAGGCACTGAAGACATATCGATTAATCCTCACAATAATATTAATGAGGTAAGTACTGTTGTTTTATTCATTTTATAGATGAGGAACCTGAGGCTTAGAGAGGTTAAGTAACTTGCCCAAGGTATTATTAGTAAACAGCATAGCCAGGCAATGTGACTCCCAGCATATGCTTTTAACCACCTTCCCTAGTAGATACTGAAACCTTACCTGGTGAATTTATGTTGGTTACTGTTGTTTATATCTCCTTCTCCAGTGTTTCCAATATACCTTTTTTTCTGAGGTGTGCTAGGATTCTCAGAGTGGAAGGAAGTTCTAGACTCTGTCTGTCCTGCTTCCCTTAGGAATTTTGCTATTTTGAGTTCTTCTTCCTCCTGCTGATAGTTGATTATTAGCCTCGTCAACTTTTCCCAAATTGTCACAGGGCTTCAGGCAAATCAGAAAATGGCCCATTTTAACAAAAAAATTTCAGGCATTTGACCAAAACAATAAAATAAACAGTTTTATGAAGCTTATTTGGTAACTAAGTTGGTGTGCATGTCCTTGTGTAAGATTGTTTTGCAGCTGACTCTTTTTTTTTTTTTTTTTAATTGAGATGGACTCTCACTCTGTCGCCCAGGCTGGAGTGTAGTGGCGTGATCTCGGCTCACTGCAACCTCTGCCTCCCAGGTTCAAGAGATTCTCCTGCCTCAGCCTCCCAAGTAGTTGGGATTACAGGTGCCCACCACCACTCCCGGCTAGTTTTTGTATTTTTAATAGAGATGGAGTTTCGCCATGTTGGTCAAGCTGATCTCGAACTCCTGGCCTCAGGTGATCTGCCTGCCTCGGCCTCCCGAAGTGCTGGGATTACAGGCGTGAGCCACTGCGCCTGGATGTAGCTGACTCCTTTAATACATTTTGTTGTTATAAAAGGAAAATAACAAAGAATCAAAATAAGCATCGAGAACAGATTATTTCCCTGATTTTATTACTTTTTTCCCTTTTGAATAAAATGAAGGATATGAATAGTTACATGTTTAGATATACCTTAATTTATTAACAATAAAGTTTTGTTGGGTGTGGTGGCTCACACCTGTAATCGCAGCACAGGTTGGCCAAGTCAGGCAGATTGCTTGAACCTGGGAGTTCGAGACCAGCCAGGGAAACATGGTGAAACCCTGTCTCCACAAAAAAAAAAAAAAAAACTTAGCTGGGCCTGGTGGCATGTGCCTGTAGTCCCAGCTGCTCAAGAGACTGAGGTAGGAGGATTTCTTGAGCCCAGAAGGTCGAGGCTGCAGTGAGCAGTAATTGTGCCATTGCACTCCAACCTGGGTGACAGTGAGACCTTGTCTCTAAAAATAAAAAAGTTTGTTTTTTCTTTTTGCATATGATTATATAAACCATGCTTATTTCCATATCAAATATTTCTTCCTTTTTTAAGCAAATAAGTAAAATGTGAGTCTCTTTCTTATGTTAAATCTATTTAGAGAATAGCATCTGCTATAATGTTTAATAATATTTTTATTTGAAAAATTACATTTGCATTGAATTAGTTCAGATAATAAGCACTTACCATATGTAAGGCAATATTCATAATCAATGAAACAAACATAAAACATGGACCTTCCCTTCATGGGCAGCATGGCATAATGCTTAAGATCAGAGGATCAGAATCCTATCTCCATCACTTAGAAGTTTTGTGGTTTTGGACAAGTTACTTGAGATCTTTGCTTCAGTTTCTCATTTGTAAAATAAAGATGATATTACATACTTCATAGTGTTGTTTGAGGAATAAATTAGGGGAATTATATAGTGCTTCACATATTGTAAGTACTTAATAAATGTTAGCTGCTGTTATTTTGACAGTATTATTTACTAATACGCATCTGTAGACCAGTGTGCTAATTGTTTTTATATTGGGCAGTCTGTAAATCCAAAGTAATTAAATAGATTGTTTGACTCATTCATTCAACAAATATTTATTGCTCTTCTCCTATTTGCTAGGTACTCTTCTGGGAGTGGAGAATCAAAAGTGAATAAGATGACAAAATCTGTGATTTTGTGGTGCTTATATTTTAGTAAGGGACAAAGAAAGATAATAGAGGATGGTAAGGGTAGTAGAGGAAAAGGAGCAAAGATCAAGCAGCTTCATTAAACAAAAGTACAAGATAAATTCACTAGAAAAATTTTCTTTTGCAGTGTGTCTTATATTTATGGGTTCTGAAGATTCTATACCCAAGCACATTATTTCTTCTGAGAGGCAACCATGAATGCAGACACCTTACTGAATATTTTACCTTTAAGCAGGAATGTGAGTACTGCCAGAAGAAATGTTTTCACTTCCTCAGTATTCTTTTGGACTTAAGTGGGTAGTAAGAGTTTTGAAGACTTTACAGTGCAACATGTAAGGACAGATTTCATGTCCACACATAAAGCTTTGAGGAAAGTTGTCGAGCACTCTCTGGTGTTTAATGGTATTAAGAAGTTTTTGGTGGGGCATGGTGGTTCACGCCTGTAATCCCAGCACTTTGGGAGGCCCAGGCAGGGGGATTGCCTGAGCTCAGGAGTTGGAGACCAGCCTGGCCAACATGGTGAAACCCCATCTCCACCAAAAATACAAAAAAAAAAAATTAGCTGGGTGTGGCGGCACACTCTTGTAGTCCCAGCTGCTCAGGAGGCTGAGGTGGGAGGATCGCTTGAGCCTGGGAATCGGAGGTCATAGTGAGCTGAGATCATGCCACTGCACGGACAATTGCCTGGGCAATAGAGTCAGACCCTGTCTCAAAAAAAAAAATTTTTTTTCATTTCAGAATTTCTTATTATGTTTAACTTTTACAAACATACTTAGAGTTTTATATATAAGTTTTAATGTTACAATTAATTTTTCTAAGCCAGGCACGGTAGCTCACGCTTGTAATCCCAGCACTTTGGGAGGCCGAGGCGGGTGGATCACCTGAGGTCAGGAGTTCAAGACCAGCCTGGCCAACACGGCAAAACCCCATCTCCTAAAAATACAAAAATTAGCCAGGCGTGGTGACATGTGCCTGTAATCCCAGGTACTCAGGAGGCTGAGGCAGGAGAATCACTTGAACCTGGGAGGCGGAGGTTGCAGTGAGCCGAGATCGCGCCATTGTACTCCAGCCTGGGCAACAAGAGCGAAACTCTGTCTCAGGAAAAAAAAATGTATATATTTTTTCTAACAGGAAAAAATAAAAACCAAAAGAAAAAAATGTTATTTTGCATTGGAGATTTTTGTCCTTCAATCTTGAGGCATTCCTGTGAGGAATCCTAACAAATTGTTTATCCTGTTACCATTGCAGATCATTTCAATCATGCTATTAATGATTGAAATTCTTCTTAAAATTTTTTTGTTTTTTTAAATATCATTGTTTTAAGACTAGTCAGGTACAGTTGGTGAAATTCTTAACCTGCAATGTTTATCCCTTTTCTCTCTCAAATTATTATAGCAATGGTAATCTAATACCTGTAAGTAACCATATGTTACAGAACAAGATTAGGCCTTTTTCACACCTCAAACCTTTGTGCTTTTTTATTATTTTTGTTATTTTTATTTTTTTTTTGAGACAGTCTCGCTCTGTCGCCCTGGCTGGAGTGCAGTGGTACAATCTCGGCTCACAGCAACCTCCTCCCGGGTTCAAGTATTCTCCTGCCTTAGCCTCCCAAGTAGCTGAAATTACAGGCATGCGCCACCACGTCCTGCTAATTTTTGTATTTTTGGTAGAGGCGGTGTTTCACCATGTTGGCCAGGCTGGTCTCTTAACTCCTGACCTCAAGTAATCCACCTGCCTCGTCCTCCCAAAGTGCTGGGATTACAGGTGTGAACCACCGCATCTGGCCTGCCTTTGTGCTTTTTAAGTTAATATTTATGACTGTATTAAGTAGAGTTAAATTCTAAAAGCAGAAATAATTTCAACGTTTTGAGACTCAAAACATGATCCAATAAAGGTCATACTAAGTAGAGACTTGCAGCAACAGGAGAAAAATACAGTGATGGGTAGTGGCAGAAGTGGCATACTCTTATAACTTCAAGGATCAGGCAGTTAACCTAAATGAGTAAGATAAGACCTGGAAAGTGCATGCTTGACCTAAAAGCAGTCAAATTAGAATTTTTATTAAACCACAGTGCTAGAAAACAGAGTCGTTAGCAGACTGCCAGTGTAGAATCTCTGGTTGCTGGATATATATATAGTTTTTTTAATATTTGAATATTACAGTATTAAAACAGGAAATAGGAACTAAGTTCTTTTTCTTTGCCTAGATAAATAACAAACCACCTACCAAAATCTCATCAAAACCAAAATAGGAATTTAAAGTTGTAAAGGAGCAAATGAAAGTGCATGATATCTCTCTAAAAGTAAATGATAGTTTGATTTGGTAGAGTTTTGTCTTTCTTGTGTTTCTATATTGGCTTCCTGCTTCACTGCCCATTTTAAAGTATTCATTGTAGGCAAGAGGAACCCCTCAGCTTTTCTGACATGAGCATGCTATTATCTTTTATTTTTCAGAAAAAATGGATGAACCTTGAATTTTGTTGTGATGATGTAGTCATCTTGCCTGTAATAAGAATAAAGTAGTCATTGACTCTTAGAATAAAATAAAGCAAGTATTAAAATGATTTTAACCTCAAGTACAGTTCTAATTTTGCCTTATTTGGCCGATAAAGGTGAAGGGTTGAGCTGTTTTTAAGAGATTTCTTTCTTTTTTTTTTTTTTTTGAGACAGAGTCTTGCTCTGTCGCCCAGGCTGGAGTGCAAGTGGCACGATCTCGGCCCACTGCAGCCTCCACCTCCTGGGTTCAAGTGATTCTTGTTCCTCACCCATTGAGTCTCTGGGATTACAGGTGCACACCAGCATGCCTGGCTAATTTTTGTATTTTTAGTAGAGACAGTGTTCTGCCATGTTGGCCAGACTGGTCTCAAACTCCTGGCCTCAAGCGATCTGCCTGCTTTGGCCTGTCAAAGTGCTGGGATTACAGGCGTGAGCCACCGTGCCTGGCCTGTTTTTAGAGATTTGACTGACTTATTTTTAACAATACGTGATGACTTTTCTGTCATCCAAAATAATTTTAGAGAGCAAATATTTTGCTTCATAAGACATAACATCATCGAGAATAATTTTAGAGAGAGCAAATATTTTGTCTTCATAAGACAGATAACTTTGCATATTTTTGTTGATTCTTATAGGGGAAGATGCTTTCCTTAAAAAAATTGTGTGCAGTAAGATTTATTCTCTGTGGTATTTACTTCTGTGACTTTTGACACTGCATAGAGTTGCCCACTACCACTATCATGATACAGAAAAGTTTTATCATGCCATAAGTTCTCTCTTGCTACCTTTTTATAGTCACCCCTTCACTCACTCTGAAGCCCTGGCCACCACTTTGCTGTTTACTGTCTATAATTTTCTTGCCATCTGTCTGTCTGTCTGTCTGGGCTATTACTACAGTTGAAACTGTAACTATCTCAATTTCATTATAAATAGCTATAAGATATAAAGGAGGGGAGAGAACAAGAAATAAAAATCTAATATATATGTTTTTAAAATGGTCACACCACCACCAGTAATGTAATTTTCAATTAGTTTTTTGTTTTTCTAGGTAAAATTAAGTATTCGGAAAGAGTCTATGAAGCTTGTATGGAAGCTTTTGATAGTTTGCCTCTTGCTGCACTTTTAAACCAACAGTTTCTTTGTGTTCATGGTGGACTTTCACCAGAAATACACACACTGGATGATATTAGGAGAGTAAGTATATATTTTACTTCCGAGATTGATTTCTATTTATAGTACATTGTTGAGTAGAGCAGAAGTTTCAAACTTCACTTCACTGCCAAGATTAGGTAATAGTAAAAATTAGTATACTGATATCTTAAGGAAATAACTTCTGTTTATTCACAATAATATAGTATGAACTGTATTCAAAGTTGGTATCGTTTTCCTATGCACATTTTATCCTTACTTTTTGATGAGTTACTTCTGTTCTTTCTTTTCTTTCTTTCACAGTTAGATAGATTCAAAGAGCCACCTGCATTTGGACCAATGTGTGACTTGTTATGGTCCGATCCTTCTGAAGATTTTGGAAATGAAAAATCACAGGAACATTTTAGTCACAATACAGTTCGAGGATGTTCTTATTTTTATAAGTAAGGAAAAATATCCAAGATTAATCACATTTTAGTTGTTAACATAGCATATGCTTCATACAGAAAAGCCATTATTTTACTTAATTTACTCTTTTTCCCCCACAGCTATCCAGCAGTGTGTGAATTTTTGCAAAACAATAATTTGTTATCGATTATTAGAGCTCATGAAGCTCAAGATGCAGGGTAAGAATTCTGTTTCCCTGACCCAAATTAACACCTAAAATATAAATCAAACTTAGTAACCATGATTGATGCTTTACGATGCATATTAAGCTATTTGTTTTGCAGCTATAGAATGTACAGAAAAAGTCAAACTACAGGGTTCCCTTCATTAATAACAATTTTTTCGGCACCTAATTACTTAGATGTCTACAATAATAAAGGTAAGATATTGTTGATAAAAAAAATTGTTAAACAACTTAGTATTTTAATTGACTTTTTTTAATATAATAAAAAAGGGGTGTTGTTTGAAACTATTAGTATCCAGATTTCTTTATAAATAACTGTAAGATGGAGGGGAGAGAACAATAAATAAAAATCCAAAATGTGAAACTAAGTAATATGTAACCCCATTCCACAACTTGTCTCTTGGAAAAGCCATTTTGTAAAACGTGCTCTGAGTTAAGTGCATCAAGCAAAACCAAACATGATTTTCTCAAACTCCCCTTTCTTAAATCTTTTCCCTTATTGAGGATGTTTTCTTATTTGTATAAAGCTGCTGCTGCTTTGATGATTTTATTTGCACTGTCTACTTGTTTAGTTTATCATGTTTCTTGTTTTATGTTCACTGATCTAGGTTCTCTTTCCCTTTCTTATTTCCTTCTTTTACCTCCACAGTCTTATCACTGCCCCATGAAGATTTGTATTTGAGCTTTTTTTTAATTAATTCAGTTTCATCTCATTTGAGGGATACATTCTTCTCTTTATTTTTACTGCTTTTTTCCTTTGCCTTCCGTTCCAGAGATTTTCATTTCCCCACCTTCCCTGAAAATTTGACCTGTCTATAGTAATTGGATTTCATTTTATTTTGAATACAGTTTATTGACAGAAAGTGCCAAAGGGTCTTAATCTAGTTAAGTGTGTGCCAAGGACATTGAAGATGAGATTGGGTATGTTTATGTAGTTTACATCTTTGGAAGATGATATTAAGAGGCCAGCTTCTCTTCTGTCTTGACATGTCTGGAATTCAGTTGACTATGCCATAGCTTCAGGATCAGACTGGAGTGGATGTGCCAAGAGGAAAGAACAGAAGGTTAAAGACTTTAAAAAGGACATTTAGAGAGAGAATGAGGTCATTGCTAAATAAGGGTCATGGTGTAAGTTCAAAAGAGGAACAGAGGAAGTTTTTTTGGATGATGAGAGGTGATGGTTAAAAGATTAAAACACTTGCCTGAGACCAAACAGTAGCATGCTGGATAACTTGGGTACAGAATATGCTACAAGAACTTACACTATAGATATCTTATGAAATATGACTTCATTTTTGAGAAGAAACATATCTAAGTTTTGATTCCATTCTTTCTCTCTCTAGACAGGGTCTCGCTCTGTTGCCCAGGCTGGAATGCAGTGGTGCAGTCTCGGCCGACTGCTACATCTGCATCCTGGGTTCAAGCAATTCTCTTGCCTCAGCCCTCCCTAATAGCTGGGATCATAGGCACCCGCCACCTCGCCCAGCTAATTTTTATATTTTTATAGAATGAGGTTTCACCATGTTCACCAGGCTTGTCTTGAACTCCTGACTTCAAGTGATCTGCCTGCCTCAGCCTCCCAAAGTGCTGCGATTATAGGCCTGAGCCACTGCGCCCCTGCCCTGATTCCATTCTCAAAAACAGAACCAAGTGTTAAATTTAACTTTCTACCAGTGCTCTAATTCCTCAACTGTGACTTCCTCTTGTTAATATTAAGGGAGCTAGTGTTCAGTGTCCAGTTGAGTACTGCCTTACTGATTGTCCTTTGTTGGTTTGACTCAGGAGGTTAAGGGATGGATTTTTTTTAGCACTTAGAAAAGAGGCTCAAACCATTGACTGTCTTATCAAAAATCAGATGTCTCTTTGTAGTCCTGAGTCTGTACATAAATAGTGTTAATGGTTTGAGTGTTTACGTTGTATGGGTATGTTTGTAATTTTTCATTCTATCCATAAGGCAATTTTCTAGATTTTTCTCTCTTTTATCCCTTACAAAAGATCTGAAAGCTTGGTATCAGCTCATAATTTTTGAGACTAATTTAAAATACTCTTTTTTCCCACTTTGAACTGATTGTCAAAACATATAATTTAAAATACTTTTATTTCAGATGGGAATTTCATATGGGAAACAAACATATACTTATTAAGTTAGTAAACAGTAACATGTAGCAGGATTACTTTTGATTCTCTATTAGCCACAATCACAAATGTTGGAATTTAACATCTGCATTTCAGTGCTTTTCATTAAAATGAAAAAAAAGTAACCATAAAATTATATCTACAAGACATTTTATACTTTTATGTATTTTCATGTGAAATGCATTGTCTGATCTTAAACTTCTGTGGTAGGCAGGGTAGACATATTAGTCCTGTTTTATAAATGAGAAACACATTAGTTGAATAATTTACCAAGCATTGCACAGCTAGTATGTGCTATAGTTTAGATGAGAATCCAGCCCTTCTAACCCAGTGTTCTATACAGTAATATAACCAGTAACTGAAATCTATGTAGGTCATTTAAGATTTTAATTATATCAACATATTGAAACATTAGATACCTGCATTTGAGATGAAAATGTTATCTCTGGATTGTTTGGTTATAATATTCTCTTTTGGTGTTTTAGTAGGATTTTTTTTCTAAACAAAGTAAAATATTTCTTTGTAGTAATTTTGTCTGATTTTCCATATTAAATGAAACAAATACATTCATACATTTATAAGTAAAATGTTCCAAATGGGTGGGATTTTTTTGTTTGCTTTATTACCATTCAGCTATCCTTTTCAGGTTGCCTGAAGCTAGAAAGATCTTAAATTCTCAATTTGTTTGAACTTTAAAAACCTAGAAAATTGCTCATTGCCATTCTGTGTTTCCTCTAAAAACTGAGTTTTCACAATTTTGGATTTAGTAAAAATGTATGTTCATCATTGGATTATAAAGTAAAACAAACATTCTGGAAAGAATCTGGAAATTTCATTAGTAATGTGAAGACCTGACTATAGTTATAGTTCTACATAACAGTGTTAAAAACAAAACCTATGTTATTATTAAAAATTAGTTCCTTCCTCCCTCTACCAGCCCTGATTCCACTCACCCCCGATCTCCCTTCCTCTTAATATTTTTCTGCTTTTATGTATTTTATATTTTTAAGGCTAATGACAAATAGTTACTTATCTATTAAGTTATTGATGTTCAACTTATCTTGCAGCTGCTGTATTAAAGTATGAAAATAATGTGATGAATATTCGACAGTTTAACTGTTCTCCACATCCTTACTGGTTGCCTAATTTTATGGATGTCTTCACGTGGTCTTTACCGTTTGTTGGAGAAAAAGGTATAATTTTTATTTTTAAAAAAAATTTGTTTTATTACTGTTACATTTACTCCAGTTTACTATCATAGGCACATACTTGCTAAAGGAAACCAAAGTCTAGTTTCACTGTGGTTACAGCTCTCCTTGTGTCAGTGGGTGTGGACATAAGAGTCTCAAAGATATTTTAGTTAGCTGTTTACAGCCCCCATGTGAGGCTGTCTGGGGGACTGGGAGAAGATTTATAAATAGCCCAATGTCTTCAGCTGTTGGATTTTCTTTTTTTTTTTTTCTTTAGCTTAAATCTTTTATGAAGGGGTGGAGAGATTGCTTTGCTTGAAATGGGCCCTTCTGCATATCTTAACACCATTTTTGGGCATTCCACCGAAATTCTTGGGGAAATTTAGTAGCCTTCATTTTAGCAATATTAGTCATTTTAATAGCTGTTCTATACTTTAAGAGAAATCATAAAGAGAAATTCAGATTGTAACCCAATATTCCTTCTCTTATATAAAAAATATGTATAAAATTTTAGTAGTGATGCCTTTCTAATTTAGAGGAACACTTGTTAGTACATAATAGGCTTTTTGAGAGAAAATAAATGCTATTTAAGAAATTCTGTTTCTGTGTTTCATTTGTAGTTCTATAGAATTCTTAGGATTTTGTTACCTATCATGTTCTTTTCCATTTTAAGTTAATTTTTTTCATAAGAAAATGCCTCAGTTTCCATATGTGGAAAATGACATTATGAGAGTACAGACATGATTATAAAACATTTTGTTCAGTATCCCCCTCTATTTTTTCTCACCTCTTCCATATTACAAAATGTTCCTTTCTGTATGAGATACGTCACTTCTGCCAAGGCAATTTGTAGTTCTGAAATTCAGAATTAATACTTAAACTGTGTATGTTAAACAGGTTTTCTGCAGATTGCATTTGGTGTTCTTCATTTACTCAGTAGGTCCAATGTTAATACGGAGATAGAATTACCCTTTAGCATTTGAGAAGGGGGCCAGTTAAGGGCTTAGGTGCAAGGGATGCATTACACTTACAACCTTCTATCTTTGGTGTATGAGAAATAGTTCAATCATAGCATCATCAGATGAATTAAATAATTCATCCTGCTCACTCTCCTGCCTTCAGGCTAGACTGCAACTCAACTGTTTTAATGTAATATGGGAAGGATGGAGGGGCCAGGAAGATAAGGTAGGAGGAAAATGGACATTTCATAGATTCTAATTTGATTCTCTGATAGTCCCACATAAGGAAATATTTCGTTATATCTAATCTAAATATTTATGCTATGAGTATTTAAACAAGGAAAGAAATAGAGATAATAGGTTTTTCTCAACTAATGCACCTGTCAAAAACCAGGGCATCATAGGGTTTTAGAGCTCATAAGTGGATATAACAGTCATTTAGCCCAACTCCTTTTGAGAGATGAGATAATTTAAGATGAATTCTGTGGATCCCTTACAAGTGAAGATGGAGAACAGTAGGCTTTTATCAGTATTCCTGTATTTGAGGTCTGGTACTAAGTGATCTTTAGTTTTTCCATTGCCACTCTAAATCATCTTTTATAAACAAAGAAATATTCAAACTTTTTGACCATTTTTGTTGTTTTTCTTTAGATCTTCTCTAAATTATTCACATCTCTCTAAAAATGTAAAGCTCAGATTTTAACATTACATGCAAATAGAATTCTAGCCAGTGTTGAGCACAGTAAGAAAATCTTCTCAAACTCTTTGCATATTTTGCTATTTTAATACATGATGGCTGTTTAGATAGCCTGACTACTTCTTGATGGTAATGAGCATTTTCTTTTGGTGTGAAAAGCAGCAAGTGACATTTGTTTTACTTCGAAGAAGCCAGCTGGACTCTGGGTCTAGTTCCTGAGAAGCAGGAACTAACCTAAGCCAGAGGCTTCCTGAAAGGCTGATTTAATCCCAAAATTAGGCGAAAGCAGTGTTTCCTTACCCTTTTGGGAGCTAAAACCCCCACTATTTTTTTTTATAGAGACAGAGTCTCGCTCTGTCACACAGACTAGAGTGCAGTGGTGCCATCATAGCCCACAGCAGCCTTGAACTCCTGGGCTTATGTAATCCTCCTGCCTTGGGCTTGTAAAGCACTGAGATTATAGGTGTGAGCCACTGCACCTAGCCAAGAACCCCTTTTCTGTTTCACTAAAAATATTCCTACATTGGCCTGTAGTCCCAGCTGCTAGGGAGGCTAAGGCAGGAGGATCACTTGAGCCCAGGAGTTTGAGAATACACTGTACAACAATCAAACATCTGAATAGCCACTGCACCCCAGCCTAGACAATATAGCAAAACCCTGTCTCTAAAGAAGTAAAATAACTTACATTGGGAAATTTTCAACATACACCAAGGTAGAGTGAATAATATGAATTTCCTATATACCAATTATTCATCTTCAACAATTATCAAATCATAGCCAATCTTGTATCATTTATGTCCCCATCCAGTACTCCCCACCTCATACCTCAATTATTTTGAAACAAATCTCAACTCTTTTCTATCTATAAATACTTTAGAATATATTTCTAAAAGATAAAGAGTCACATTTTAAAAGTACAAATAAAAACATTTATTAATTTTTTTTTTTTTTTTGAGGCACAGTCTCATTCAGTTGCCCAGGCTGGAATGCAGTCTCATTCTATTGCCCAGGCACAATCTCAGCTCACTGCAACGTCCATCCCCCGGGTTTAAGTGATTCTCATGCCTCAGCCTCCTGAGTAGTGGGATTACAGGCATGCTGTACCACACCTGGCTAATTTTTGTATATTTAGTAGAGACGGGGTTTCACCATGTTGGCCAGGCTGGTCTCAAACTCCTGGCCTCAAGGGCTCTGTTTGCCTCAACTTCCTAAAGTGCTGGGATTACAGGTGTGAGCCACTGCCAAAAACGTTTATTAATTTCTTAATATAGAATCCCTTTGAGAATCTGATAAAAGTTATGGACTTTTGCTTCAGAAAAATTCATGTATAAATGTATGTACTCACAACATTTTCAGGATGGTCATAGTTCTGAAATGAATTTGCAACCTTCACACTTATTGGCCCTCCTTTAAGAACCTCTGTTCTAGAGGATCTAATATTATATGATCTTCCATAGAAGGTCATACATGTAAGATTTATTTATTGACTAGATTTTTTTTAAGTGTTTTATTCAAGGTACCAAGGAAATACAGATACAAGTAAGATGGGTCTTTGCAGATTAATGTGGGACCTGTGATATATATAAATAATGATAATAAGATGTAATATGGTAAGTGCTCCAAGACAAGCGTAGTTTTATAGGAATTGAGATGGCTGGGCGTGGTGGCTTGGGGCCAGGCGTGGTGGCTCATGCCTGTAATCCCAGCACTTTGGGAGGCTGAGGTGGGTGGATCATCAGGTTAGGAGTTCAAGACCCACCTGGCCACGATGGTGAAACCCTGTCTCCACTAAAAATACAAAAATTAGCTGGGTGTGGTGGCGGGCGCCTGTAATCCCAGCTACTCGGGAGGCTCAGGCAGAGAATTGCTTGAACCCAGGAGGTGGAGGTTGCAGTGAGCTGAGATTGCACCACTGCACTCCAGCCTGGGCAACAGAGCGAGACTCTGTCTCAAAAAAAGAGGAGAGGCCGGGCGCAGTGGCTTACGCCTGTAATCTCAGCACTTTGGGAGGCCGAGGCAGGCAGATCGCGAGGTCAGGAGATCGAGACCATCCTGGCTAACGCAGTGAAACCCTGTCTCTACTAAAAATACAAAAAATTACAGGTGGCGGGCACCTGTAATCCCAGCTACTCAGGAGGCTGAGGCAGGAGAATGGCGTGAACCCAGGAGGCAGAGCTTGCAGTGAGCCAAGATCGAGCCACTGCACTCCAGCCTGGGTGACAGAGTGAGACTCCGTCTCAAAAGAGAAAGGAGGTTATTTCTGTCAGAGGGATTAAAGTAGCTTTTGAACAGGGGCTTGAAGAATGGTGGAATTGTGCTGGTGGATATGAGCAACAGAATTCTAGATAAGAGAACTTCCTGAGCCTGAGTCTGAAAGCAAGAAATCATAGGTCTCTTTGAGGGTTTAATTTGATTAGTGAGTAGGATCTATGAAGGACAGTAGTAGAAAAAGAATGAAAAGTTAGGTTAGGGCTAGATCATGAGGATATTGATCACCACACAGAGAAGTTGGAACTTTGATAAATGGTGAGCAAGCCATTGAGATGGAATTTGACTGTGGTCGTCATTTAGAAAAATTACTGTGGTGAAGTAGACTGGAAGGAAGACTTGACGTTGAGAGACCTGTTATGAAGTTACACCAGAAGTCAGGTAGAGACATAATGAAGGCCTGGTAGCATTAGGAACGGAGAGTGGGGAGAACCAAAAGAATGGTAGAAGTAGAATCAGTGAGACTTAACAAGATTACATATTTAAGGGTAGGGAATGGTTGGAGATGACTTGGATATTTTGAGTCTGGTGAAGATAGTGCCATTAACACACTCCAATGAGAAAACTCTTGTTACAACAACCCTTTACTCAGGTTACTGCTGTTCTTCATGTTCATTGGAATCTCTAGGCCTTTCAGTATGTCATTTTCTTCCTTTTTTTTTTTTTTTTTTTTTTTTTTTTTGAGACAGAGTCTTGCTCTGTCACCCAGGCTGGAGTGCAGTGGTGTGATCTCAGCTCACTGCAATCTCCATTTCCCAGGTTCAAGCAGTTCTCATGCTTCTGCCTCCCAAGTCTCTGGGATTACAGGTGCATGTCACCACACCTAGCTAATTTTTGTGTTTGTCGCAGAGACAGGGTTTCGCCATGTTGGCCAGGCTGCTCTTGAACCCCTGACCTCAAGTGATCCGCCCACCTCAACCTCCCAAAGTGCTGGGATTACAGGTGTGAGCCACTGTACCCAGCCTAACTAAGTCATTTTCTTACTAGTCAAATCCCTTTTTACCTCTCTTCCTTATTAACATACCCTCAAACTCCTTTCTTTTCTGTTTTTCTACTTCATTTGTCCTATAAATCTTAGGTCTAGTCAAATCCAGCCATCCATTTTCTCCATTCCTACAGCCACAGTACAGAGTGCTGCTGGAGATTTTTACGGACTTGTGAATTGGCACCACCCCTTGATTTATAACATTAGCTGAGCTCCCAGTAGGACCCTCATACCGTTTATATCCCTAGTCTGCTTTTTTCTCCCATTTTGCTTAGGATAGAGTCCAAATTTTCCTTTTTTAAAAAATTGTATAAAGAAAAGAGGGCCAGGCACAGTGGCACATGCCTGTAATCCCAGCACTTTGGGAGGCTAAGGTGAAAGGATTGCTTGAGCCTAGGAGTTCAAGGCTGCAGGCTGCAGTTAGCTGATCACTCCACTCTACTGCACTCCAACCTGGGTGATAGAATGGGACTCTATCTGAAAAAAAAAAAAAAAAAAAAAAAAAAGAAGGAGTTTAATTGGCTCGTGGTTCTGCAGGCTGTACAAGCATAGCACCTGCATCTCCTCGGCTTTTGGGGAGGCCTCAGGGAACTTCTCATGGTGGAAGGTAAAGTGGGAGCAGGCACTTCACGTGGTGAGAGCAGGAGCAAGAGAGCGAGGGGGAAGATGCCAGATACTTAAAAAACAGCCAAATTTCACAAGAATTTACTCACTATCGTGAGGACAGCACCAAAGGGATGGTGCTAAACTATTCATGAGAAATCCACCCCCATGATCCAGTCACCTTTCACCAGGCTCCACCTCCAACACTGGGGATTACAATTCAACATGAGATTTATAGGTGACAACATCCAAACTATATCATTCTGCCCATGGTCCCTATAATATCATGTCCTTCTGATATATCAAAATATAATCATCTCCTGCCAATGGTTCCCCAAAGTCTTAACTCATTCTAGAATTTAACCGAAAAGTGCCAACTCCAAAGTCTCATCTGAGACTCAAGCCTAGTTCCTTCTACCTATGAACCTGTAAAATCAAAGACAAATTATTTCCAAGACCTAATGAGGATATAGGCATTGGATAAAATAAACATTCCTGCTCCAAAAGGGAGAAATCTGCTAAAAGAAAAGGGGTTCAGACACTATGCAAGTCTGAAACCCAGCAGGCAGTCATTAAATTTTTTTTTTTTCTTTTTGAGACAGAATCTTGCTCTGTTGCGCCCAGGCTGGAATGCAGTGGTGTGTTCTTTGCTCACTGCACCCTCCGCCTCCTGGGTTAAAGTGATTACCCTGCCTCAGACCCCCAAATAGCTGGGACTACAGGCATGCCCCACCATGCCTGGCTAATTTTTGTATTTTTAGTAGAGACAGGGTTTCACTATGTTGGCCAGGTTGGTTTTGAACACCTGAGCTCAAGTGATCCATGCACCTCGACCTCCCAAAGTGCTGGGATTAAGGTGTGAGCCATCACGCCAGTCATTAAATCTTAAAGCTCCAAAATAATCATTGACTCCATGTCCTACATCCTGGGCACACTGTTTCGATGAGTGGGCAGTTCTGTCCCTGTGGTTTTTCCACACTGAGGTTGCAAGCTGCCGGTGGCTCTGCCATTCTGGAGGGCAGCAGCCCTTTCTCACAGCCCCACTAGGCAGTGCCTCAGTGGGGAGTCTGTGTGGGGCCTCCAGCCCTGCATTTTCCCTTGGCACTGCCCTAGTAGTGTCTCTCTGTGAGGGCTCTGCCCCTGGGCACCTAGGCTTTCTCATACACCTTCTGAAATCTAAGTGGAAACCACCAAGCTTCATTCACTCTTACACTTGCCTAGGGGTTTAACACCAGGTGGTGGCTGGTGCTGGAGCAGTCCCTGGCTGTGGGGAGCAGTGTCCTGAGGCTGTTCTGGTCAATGGGCTCCTCCCTGACCCCCAAAACTATTCTTTCCTCCTAGGCCTCTAGGCCTATGATGGGATGGGCTGCTTCCTTTTTTCCATTGTCTTGGCTATTAGCACTTGGTTCCTTTCATATTTTTTTCTTAAACATTTTCTTCTATCCATTTCCCTCACTAGTGAAAACACATTAGTAGTTGGAGTGTTCTCTACTTACTGTTTTCTTCCTTTATACAGTACCCTTATCTTGAATTCTTCCCTTGTTGAAGAGGTGACCCTTCCATTCAAGCCAGTCTAACTTGTCTCTAGATTCTATTACCTTTCTGCTTTTTCAGGAAACTTGCTTTATCGTTTATGTCCTCTATATCTTCACATTCTCAGTACTAGTTCTTTTATAAATTATTCAAATCTATCTGATCTTTAAATAAATAACATTTCTCTCATCTGATGTCATTTTCTAACTACTGTGCTGTGACTTTTTTTTTTTTTTTTTTTTTTTGCTATTACTTTCTTGCCTTTCTTTCAGAAGCCAAGTTTCTGGATGAAAATGTATACTTTAAAGCTACGATTTAATATCCGTTAAATGGCTCCATGTAGCTTTCGAGATAAACCTTAACCTGTCAACACAAAGTCCTTGGACCTTCCCTACTTTCTCTTCAGCCTCATTTCCTGCCTTTCTCTTTCACGTTATCTTCGTTCTAGCCATAACACAGCAAAGCCAGTTTTCTGAACGTGTTATGCTCTTTAAGTTTTATACCCTCATACTTTTCTTTATTTTTTATAACTGCTTTATTGACATGTAATTCACATACCATAAAGTTGACCTATTTAAATTGTACAATTCCATGTTTTTTATATACTACAGAGTTGTGCAATCATTACCACAGTTTTGGAACATTTTCATCATCCCCTCCAAAGAAACCCTGTGCCCATTAGCAGTCACTCTTCATTTTCCCCTAACCCCCCTTGCTAACCCTAGGTAACCACCAATCTGCTGTCCCCATAGATTCACCTATTCTGGACAGTTCATATAAATGGAATCACACAGTGTGTGCTCTTTTGTGACTGGATTCTTTCCATGGTCTCAAGGTTTATCTGTGGTGTAGCATGAAGCAGTACAACATTCCTTTTTATGATGGAATAGTAGTCTATTGTATGGATATAGCACATTTTGTTTGTTTTATTCATCAGCTGATAGACATTTATTTCTACTCTTGGACTTACTAATAATGCTGCGAAGAATATGCATGTGCAAGTTTTATGTTTTCATTTTCTTTTTGAGACAGAATCTTGCTCTGTCGCCCAGGCTGGAGCGCAGTGGCGCGATCTTGGCTCACTGCAAGCTCCGTCTCCTGGGTTCACGCCATTCTCCTGCCTCAGCCTCCTGAGTAGCTGGGACTACAGGTGCCCGCCACCATGCCCAGCTAATTTTTATATTTTTAGTAGAGACAGGGTTTCACTGTGTAGCCAGGATGATCTCAATCTCCTGACCTCCTGATCCACCCGCCTCGGCCTCCCAAAGTGCTGGGATTACAGGCGTGAGCCACCATGCCCGGCCTATGTTTTCATTTTCTTGAGTATAGACCTGGGAGTGAAATTGCTGGGTCATATTGTAACTCTATGATTAACCTTTTAAGGATCTGCCAAACTGTTTTCCAAAACAGCTGTACCATTTTATTGTTGTTGTTGTTTTTGAGACAGAGTTTTGCTCTTGTTGCCCATGCTAGGGTGCAATGGTGCGATCTCGGCTCACCGCAACCTCTGCCTCCTGGGTTCAAGTGATTCTCCTGCCTCAGCCTCCTGAGTAGCTGGGATTACAGGCACGCACCACCACGCCCGGCTAATTTTGTATTTTTTAGTAGTGACGGGGTTTCTCCATGTTGGTCAGGCTGGTCTCAAACTCTTGACCTCAGGTGATTGTCCCACTTCATCCTCCCAAAGTGCTGGGATTACAGGCATGAGCCACTGCGCCCGGCCTTAGCTGTACCATTTTACAGTTTCATCAGCAGTGTATATATTCTTTGGATGAAAAAATATATATATTTTAATAAATATACATTTTAATATATAAACATATACTTTACATATGTAAAATATATTTTAATATAGAAAATACATGTATATTTTAATATAGAGACAGGGTTTCGCCATGTTGCCCAGGCTGGTAACTCCTGAGCTCAAGCAGTCTACCCGCTTTGGCCTCCCAGGGTGCTAGGGTGACAGGCATGAGCTACCACACCCAGCCGAGGATGAATATATTTTCAAATCCTTTGCTTATTTTATAATTGGGTTATTTGTCTTAAAATTTTCTTTATTAAAAAATTTTTTTGCCAGGTGCGGTGGCTCACACCTGTAATCCCAGCATTTTGGGAGGCCGGGGCGGGTGGATTACCTGAGGTCAGGAATTCAAGACCAGCCTGGCCAACATGGTGAAACCCTGTCTCTACTAAAAATACAAAAATTAGCTGAGTGTGGTGGTGCGTGCCTGTAATCCCAGCTACTCAGGAGGCTGAAGCAGGAGAATTGCTTGAACCTGGGAGACAGAGGTTGCAATGAGCCAAGATCACACCACTGCACTCCAGCCTGGACAACAGAGTGAGACTCCGTCTCTAAAAAATAAAACAAAACATTTTTTTGTTGTCTATATAAATTTATGAAGTATAAGTGTAATTTTGTTACATAGATATATTGCATAGTGGTGAAGTCAAGGCTTTTAGTGTATCTATCACCAGACTAGCATACATTGTACTTATTAAGTAATTTCATCTTCCACACCTCTCCCACCTCTCTACCCTTCCAAGTCTCCTTTGTCTATCATTCCACACTCTACCTCCATGTACATATATTATTTAGCTTCCACTTATGAGAACATGCAGTATTTTTCTGTCTCAGTTGTTTCATGGGAGATAATTATTGAGTTGTGTTTTTTAGATATTCTATATGCAAGTCCCTTACGTATATGATTTACAAATAATTTTCTCCCATTCCACTTTCACTTTCTTTCTTTCTTTCTTTTTTTTTTTTTTTGAGACAGGGTCTTGCTGTGTCACCCAGACTGGAGTGCAGTGGTACCATCTTGGCTCACTGCAACCTCCACCTCCCAGATTCAAGCGATTCTCCTGCTTCACCCTCCCAAGTAGCTGGGATTACAGGCATGTGCCACCATGCCCGGCTAATTTTTGTATTTTTAGTAGAGACAGGGTTTCACCATGTTGGTAAGGCTGATCTCAAACTTCTGGTCTCAAGTGATCCACCTGCTCAGCCTCCTGAAATGCTGGGATTACAGGCATGACCCCCGGCCTAGCTGACTTTCACTTTCTTGATAATGTCCTTTAGGCTTTCACTCCATCATCTAGGCTAGAATGTTGGAGTGCAATCGTAACTCACTGCAATCTCAAACTCCTGGACTCAGGCAGTCTTACCGCATGGCCTTCCAAGTAGGTAGGACTACAGGCATGTCCTACCATGACTAGCTTTTTTTTTTTTTTTTTTTTTTTTTTTTTTCTTTTTTAGAGATGGGATCTTTGTGTTGCCTAGGCTGGTCTCACACAAATTACTAGGCTCAAGTGATCCTCCTTCTTCATTCTCCCAGGTAGCTGGGATTACAGGCACATGCTTCCATGCCTGATTTTTTTTGTCCTTTGAAGCACAAAAGTTTTCTAATTTTTTAAAAAAATACATTTTATTGTGTATATTTAAGGTATACATCGTAACAGCTTTATTGAAATATATATACTATGCAATTCATCTATTTAAAGCATACAATTCAGTTGGTTTTAGTATATTTCTAGAGTTGTGTAACCATCAGAAAGACTAATCTTTCTGTCTCTATAGATTTGCCTTTGCTAGACATTTTATATAAATAAGGTCATATGGTATATGGTATTTTGTGACTGGCTTCTTTCAAAAAGTTTTTTAATTTTGGTGAAGTCATATTTATCTGTTTTTTCCTTTGTTGCTTGTGTTTTTGTTGTTATACCTAAGAAATCATTGCCTAATCCAAGCTCATAAAGATTTGCCCGTTTTTTTCTGAGAGTTTTAGTTCTTACATTAGGTGTTTGATCCATTTTGAATTAATTTTTGCATGTGATGTGCAGTAGGGGGAGTGCAGTTTATTCTTTCGCATGTGACCATTTGCAGCTTTATTCTTTTGTAGTTGACCATTGTTGAAATGACTGTTCTTTAGCCACTGAATTGTTTTGGCACCCTTGTCAAAAATCAATTGACCTTAAATATCAGGTTTTCTTTCTGGACTCTCTGTTCTGTTGTGATAAATGACTACTACATCACTTTTTTAACTTCTGTTTAGAATGCCTTATCTGCCCTCTCCACTTGGCAAACTCCTAGTTCATGATTCCTCTCAAATGTTATCTAGCAAAAGCCTTGCCTTCCCCAGCAGGTCTTCCCCAGCAGGTCTTTTGCATATCTTTGAACACTTACAGCATGTTTTCCATCAACCTTTTGCAGTTGATATTTAATGTCTCCTTCAGTAGTTAGTAAGCTTGTTGAAGGTAGAGACTGTGCCTTTCATATCTGAATCCTAGAGCTTTAATGTAGTACTTGACATGTGGGGTGCTTTTAGTATATTTATTAGCAGGAAAAAGTGGTTTGTAGAAGTATTGAATTTTGTTTTGGATATGTTCATTTCTAGGTGCCTTCAGGACATCTAGGTGCTAATATTCAATAGACATTTTTATTTATTAATTGAAATTTGCTTTTATCTTTCTTATTTTGTGTACTTATTTGTTAGATATTTATTGAGTACCTGTCATGTGCCAGGGCACAGTGCCAGGCTCTGAAGTTATAATAGTGAATTAAACAACATCCTACACTCATGAAGTTTTCATTCTAGTAGGGGAAACATACAGTATACAAATGGTTTAAGACAGTTGACAGGCTGGGCGCGGTGGCTCACGCCTGTAATCCCAGCACTTTGGGAGGCCAAGGTGGGCGGATCACGAGGTCAGGAGATCGAGACCATCCTGGCTAACACGGTGAAACCCCATCTCTACTAAAAAAATACAAAAAATTAGCCGGGCGAGGTGGCGGGCACCTGTAGTCCCAGCTACTCAAAAGGCTGAGGCAGGAGAATGGCGTGAACCCGGGAGGCGGAGCCTGCAGTGAGCCGAGATCGCGCCACTGCACTCCAACCTGGGCGACAGCGAGACTCCATCTCAAAAAAAAAGACAGTTGACAATAAAACTAGCCAAGGACATCTAGAGCCTGAAGGAGAGGTCAACACTGGAGATACAGACTTTGGAGTCATCTTCAACGAGGTGATAATTGAAACTGTAAATATGATAATAGACAGAAATTCCAAGTGATTGAACATATAGGAGGAATAATAATGCAGAGAGAATCTTGAGGATATCCAAAGTTTTGGGGAAAAATGATCCAAATGTGGGAAAACCAGAAGAGCAGAATCTTGGGAACCAAGGGAAAAGAGAAGGAAAAAAATATACAGAATAGTCAAAGAGGATTAAGCCTATGAAAGAGCCAAGGGTTCAGATTGTTAGATAGTCATTAGTAATCTTTAGAAGTAAATTTCAAGAGAGTTGCTGAGCCAGTTTTTAAAAGATTAAGGCCAGGCGCAGTGGCCTACGCCTGTAATCCCAGCACTTTGGGAGGCCAAGGCGGGTGGATCATGAGGTTAGGAGTTCGAGACCAGCCTGACCAACATGGTGAAACCCCATCTCTACTAAAAGAAAAAAAAAAAATACAAAAATTAGCTGGGCATGACGATGGGTGTCTGTAATCCCAGCTCCTTGGGAGGCTGAGGCAGGAGAATCTCTTGAACCTGGGAGGCAGAGGTTGCAGTGAGCCGAGATCACGCCACTGCACTGCAGCCTGGGCAACAGAGCAAGACTCCATCTCCAAAAAAAAAAAAAGATTAAATCCTGAGACTTTTTGGAACCACTAAAACTCTGCCATGATTTTTTTTCTTATTATGCTATATCCATGAATGAAGATTTGAAATGTATACATTCAGTTGTTATTCATCTCTGTTCTTATCTCTATGGGGCTTCATTTTTTTTTTTTTTTGAGAGGCCTGAAAATTTGTTCCATAAAGAATCTCTTTCTCTCAGAGTTGTTATCCACTGAATTTCTTTCATTTTGAAAGCCTTTGCATTTTTAAATTCCATCGATCTTGGTATAAGAATGTGTTTGCTTTCTTGGGCTAAACATTATTTGACCATTTGTAAAAATAGTTGCTATGTGTATGTATAGACAGTTATATATGGTCAGCTAACATGTAACTTTTTTTTCCCAAATAGTGACAGAAATGTTGGTAAATGTTCTGAGTATTTGCTCTGATGATGAACTAATGACTGAAGGTGAAGACCAGTTTGATGGTATGATTATTCATCTTACTATTTTTTTTTTTACTGTGAAATGGTATTTCTTTACTGCCTAGCCTCAGTACACACTATTTTGCAAAAAATAGTCATTGCTTTCAGAGACTATGCTATTTGATAAGTAACAAGTTACTTTTTTTGGATATTAAGATTTGAAAATAATTTCAGTGATTTCATTTTTTTATTGTAATATGGGGAAGAAGATGAACTTTGGGAAAGGAGAAATTTGGAAGAAAGAAGATAAGGAAAGGAAAATTGAAGTGTTAAAAGGATGTAGTTCTTGGCAAATATGGACACTGGTTAGAGAAAAGAGGATAAAAATACTATTTGTTTTATTAGAACAATATTCTTAGTGCATCAGAAGCATACCTGAACTCCCAATTTTGCTTTTCCTGCCTTTTAGACACTAAAATAGACTGCTTCTAAATTAGTGTGATTGTGTTCTAAAAGACCACTTGCTAATTTAGTTTCAGATTCTGAAAGCATTTTTTTCCACAGAAACAAAGTTATACATGGTTGTTGTTACGTAAGCCAACAAGCCTATGTACCTAATGCATGTTTATAGTAAAAAGTAATACTATAGAAACAATTCATTTTATTTTGTTTTGAAATTTTTATTTAAAACTTTATTATTTAAATGTTTAATTAAAACCTGAGTACATAAAAAGGTAAACAATATATAAACTGAAAACGATTCCCTTCCATATTCCCCTCATATCTTTGTTGTAGTATACTTTTTATAGTTGTAATCAATATTTCAATGTTTCCGTGTATTAAACATGGTCTGTATATTGGTAAGATTTAATAGCTACGTATTTCTAAGTCCATTGATAAACTATAATGTTTGGCTAGATGTGGTGGCTCACGCCTGTAATCCCACCACTTTGGGAGGCCAAGGCAGGAGGATCCCTTGAGCCCAGGAGTTGGAGACCAGCCTGGGCAATATGGAAAGATTTCCTTGTCTGTATTAAAAAAATATATATATACACACACACACACACGAAAATTTAATTTTCATAATCTCATTGTTTGGCAACTGGGTTCTAAATTATCCTTATGAATAGCAGTAAAATAAACATATTTGTATAATAGCTTTTATTTTCCTCCTTGGAATAAATTTATTGGAGAGAATTATAGAGTTACAGAATTAACTCTGTAATTCTTTTAGCTTCATCGTTTTAGCTGTGAACTACCAGATTGCTTTGCAGAAGGATTGGACCACTATGAAGTGCCTCCAGCAAGGAATCCATAAACATATTTCTCCACAGGACTACCTCATTGGATTTTGGTCATTTTTACTTATTTTCTTCATGGCTATATAGTAGTAAATTATAGTTGCTTAAGTTTACATTTCTTTGATTTCTAATGATGCTAAGAAGAAAATTACTGTTTTTCCAACTGTGTAAACTATCCATTTCATTTGATCACTTTTCGAGTAAAATCTGAATGAAGCCTATTTAGAAATTTCTTTACTTACAAACAGGTTTGATTCTTAAACATTTGAAAGCCCATTTGTTGAAAGTACAAGGTAACTGTACAAGCGCTACCATTGCCATCTGTTAGTGGTAGGCAGAGATGTGCTTTTATTCTTACACATTTGTTAATAACTGACATAGTATATTTATTATCAGTTATTTTTTAGTTTGGATAGTAAACTTTAGTGAATAATAATTACTCTTCCTTATTTTAATTCTCTTTCCTTTTTTTTTTTTTGAGACAGAGTCTTGCTCTGTCACCCAGGCTAGAGTGCAGTGGCGTGATCTCAGCTCACTGCAAGCTCCACCTCCCTGGTTCAAGCAATTCTCCTGCCTCAGCCTCCCAAGTAGCTGGGATTACAGGTGCCCACCATCACGCCCAGCTAATTTTTGTATTTTTAGTAGAGATGGGGTTTCACCATCTTGGCCAAACTTGTCTCGAACTCCTGACCTCAGATGATCGGCCCGCCTCTGCCTCCCAAAGTGTTAGGATTACAGGCGTGAGCCACCATGCCCAGCCATTGAATAGTTTCAAATAGATATTTTGTTTCCCTGTTCTGCTGTCACTGTTTTAAGAATAGACCTGGGCTCAGATTCTAGTTCCTTCTAATGGCTCTGTGGCATCAGACGACTTACTTAACCTTTCTGAGTCTCAGTTTCTCTCATGTTCAAAGAAGTGACAGTAATACCTACTTCATAATGTTGTAGGTATTGAGATAATGAATAATTGAAGTAATTATTGCCACATAGCCTACTTTTTTTTAGAAAGTTTTCTATTTTTCAAAATCTGTGAAATATTTAGTGAGAGTTTTAATTGATATTATGTTAATTCTATATCTGAATCTAGGGAGGTTTTTTAAATTTTTTTTTTTAAGAGATGAGGCTTCCAGCCGGGTGTGGTGGCTCACGCCTGTAATCCCAGCACTTTGGGAGGCTGAGGCGGGTGGATCATGAGGTCAGGAGATCAAGACCATCCTGGCTTAACATGGTGAAACCCTGTCTCTACCAAAAATACAAAAAATTAGCCGGTCGTTGTGGTGGGTGCTTGTAGTCCTAGCTACTTGGGAGGCTGGGGCAGGAGAATACAGTGAACCCAGGAGGCGGAGGTTACAGTGAGTCGAGATCGCACCACTGCACTCCAGCCTGGGCGACAGATGGAGACTCCGTCTCAAAAAAAAAAAAAAAAAAAAAGAGATGAGTGAGGTTTCCCTATGTTACCAAGGCTGGTCTTGAACTCCTGGCCTCAAGCAGTCCTCCCACCTCAGCCTCTCAAAAAGCGCTGGGATTACAGGCATGAGCTACCAGGCCTGGCCAAGTCTTTTGTTTTTCCTTCCTTCCTTCCTTCTTCCTTTCTCTTTCTTTCTTTTTTAAAAAATAGTATTTAGTTTTCCAAACTAAGACCAAGAACTCTTGCTCTATATAATTATTTACTATTTCCTCCATTTAAGGTTATATAGTTTTTCTTTGAAAAAATTTTGTCATTATCAAGTTAAATTAATACATCTGTATTTTATGTTCTTATTACTATTACAACTGGTGTCTCTTATTTTCTATCTGTGTAAAAGAATATACTATATATTTGTGGGTTTATCTTATATCTAACAAACTTGAATCAGCAGAATTATTTTCTATGATAATTTTAAGTTTGTTTTCTATTACTTTTAAAAATATGTCATTTATAGGGGATTGATATTGTTATTTATTTTCTGTATTTTTACCTTTCTTTTATTCTTTAAAAGTTATTATGAGTATTGCAATAGTATGTTAAATAGGCATGATGGTAGATAATGCTTTAGTCCTCTTCTTATAATAATAAGAAAAAAAGGTTCCTTGTTAAGTCTAATTATAGTACTTGGTTTTAGGTACCTATGATTTATATGAATAAAGATACTGAGTCATATTTTGAGATGGAACCAGAAATAAATATAAAATTTTATTATATTCTAATGAGAAGATTTTATATATCATCAGTATTTTTCCTATTAGTATGATAATTTATCCACTTGTTATTATCATTCTTGCATTCCAGGGATGAATTGAATTTGATCATTAAAGAGGCAGTGTAGTTTAATGAAAAGGATCAGTGGTTTAGGTGTCTTGTCACTACCGTTCACTAGCTGTGTAATCTTAGAAAAGGCACCTAATTTCTCAGGTTTTCTTATTCAGAAACTGAGGGAATAGAGAGGATGAAAATTCTTTCCCACTCTTAAATAATTTTAAAAATTGTTAAGCACCATTTATGACAATGTTTCTATGGGAAAATACACTGAGTTCCAGCTTTGAATATTAGAAATAGATCTCCCTTTACTGCTAACAGGGCAGGTACAATTACTCTTCATTGTTTTCACTCTTCCAGTACCACGTATTAGGAGTAGGGACTCTAAGAAAGTTTTAGGAATATGAGTCTGGGAGTTTGCATGGAGAAATGGGAATGGTTTGAAAGAGAAAAGAATGTTGAGGAAATGGAGGACAGAGGAGGAGATTCGGATAGATACTAAGGTTTAAAGTGGGGTAGGGAAAGAGCTACTGGAAATAGGTTTATTTCCCTTCCTTATTTGTACTCCCTGATTTCTTCCCTCTAACTCCCTCCATCTTTTCTCCTTTCCTTTCACTGTAATGGCGTGCCTTCTGTTCTCTCCTTCCTCTTTTCCTACACAACGGTGAACCATTCTATGGAACTGGTCTGGGGAGATATCTGACTTTAGAAAGAAAACTTGATGGGATGGCTGTGGAATCAGAGTAAGGGTTTAGTTTTTCTTTGGGGAAAGAGAGCGGGATTGGAGATTTCTGAGTGTCAGGAAGGAAGAAGTAATTTTTGTATATTTAAAGCTAAGATGGCCGGGCGCGGTGGCTCAGGCCTGTAATCCCAGCACTTTGGGAGGCTAAGGCGGGTGGATCACCTGAGGTCAGGAGTTCGAGACCAACCTGGCCAACATGGCAAAACCCCCTCTTTACTTAAAAAACACAAAAATTAGCCAGGCATGGTGGTGCGCACCTGTAGTCCCAGCTATTTTGAAGGCAGAGGCAGGAGAATTGCTTCAACTCGGGAGGCAGAGGTTGCAGTGAGCCGAGATCACCCCATTGCACTCCAGCCTGGTTGACAGAGCGAGACTCGGTCTCAAAAAAAAAAAAGCTAAGATTAGGTAAAGGCATAAGACTGTTGTTAAGTGGTAAATCTTTGGTGCTCTGTATTGTTTAATGTATGTGTGGGGTCATTTTTAAGACAAAAATTTGCATTAACACTAATGTATAAACCCACATAGCATCCGTTTTAGAAGTGTTAATCATAAAAGAGAATTTTTGAAAACTGATTTCTGTGATATTTAGGTTGCATGCAGTTTTTTCCAGGTGTTTATCTTTTGTCTTCAGTTTGGTAAAGGGAAGTACATAATCCATATGTGTTGCAGTTTCACTAAAATAAATACATTTCCTATAAAGGAATAATATATCTCAGCATTAGAATGGAAGATATGGAAAGCTCAAATGAAACCACCCCAGCTGCCTACTCTTAGAACTGTTACTTGATTTGAAACAATCTGTTGCTATTTTTGCAAAAAGATGTCCCCCAAATTTCCCAGATTGGACTGGGGACAGAAAGCACATACTGTTGCTCCTGAGTATATGCAAAAGTTCTGCAATTCAGATTTAGGAAATCATGTGCTCTTGTTAGGGAATATGGGAGGTTTAGCTTTTCCTTCGTTGGGAGGGGGTGAGGTTTTCTACTGAGGCAGTTTATAAAGTTACCTACATTTCTCTGAATGTACTACAGATTTTGCAGATGTTGGTGTCCTTGAAGAACCACACAAGTTTGTATTTCATTTGTGTCATTACCTTTTACTTAACATACTTCCACAGGTGACACATTTCCTTAGGGGTATGACTATAAATGTGCAATATTTGTTAGCAGTCTTTTTTCAGTCTTATGTGTTTTCACATGTTTTTTTCTGTCCCTAATTATGTCTGCTTCCATCAGATATGATAGTTATTCTGTCCATAATTTCTTCCATGCACATGTCTTTTAAGAAATCTTTACTTTAGAGTTCTACCTAGTTGCATCCCTCTTTATTCACCAGATTCTACAGTACTACATTTTTCAAATTTCCAAATATGAGGGCCTTCATTTTTCTCTCTTTCTACATTCATTCTTCAGTACCACTGCCAAGTTAAATCTCTATCTTTTTATTTGTCCCAACCACCTTTTCTCCATCATTCACTTCCTTTTTTCTGGACTCTCCATCTGAAGAACGGCTCATATATGGCAATAAAAAAGGTACAGACCAGACAGAGTAACATTGTTTTGAAATATGACTTCATAAGTTATCTTCATGTCCATGTAAGTTAGCACATTCATTGAGTAATGTCTATGCAGAGTCCTCTTGGGCCTTGTGCAAATTTAGCTTAAGTTTTATCTGTGTTAGTGTTTGGTATTTTTAGAAGTCATATTCCAAGATATCTGTCTTTCTGTGCATGGAAATATTTTCCCTCCTTTTCATTCCTGTTTTAAAATTTCATTCTTTTGCTTATTTGTAATGTTTTGTACTTTTCCCTGCATGATTAGGGTTGTTTGATTGTCTATTATTTCCCAAAGAAATGTTACTGTGACCATTTACTTTAATATGATGCATGATGTGTTTGTAGACTGATTTAAAATCCTGATTTGTACAGTGTTTTTATATTCCTGTGAATTTTTCATTTGATATCAGTATAGTTTACATGTCATTTGGTTTTATAGATATAGAAATTAAATCTGAAAATATGAATGTACTTATTACAGCCATCCTCCCCAACACCCTACTGCTTATCCCCAGTCTAGCTACTTTAAAATTCTGTCAATTTTAAAACAAAATGTTTATAATCATTTATTAGAAGAGAATCAGACTTACCTTCTATCCTTGAACAAGTCACTTAATAACCTCAGTTTCTTTGTCTATAAAATGAGGAGATTGCACTTTATAGTATCTCCATTGTCTCTTCAAATTCTAATATTCTATGATTCTTATATTTTTAGTTTTTGGGGGTTTTTTTGTGGTTTTTTTTTTTGGTATTTTAAAAATACCTGTTTAGAGTGCTGTGGTACCCAGGTACCCACACAGTTTTGGACTTGTAAAAGCTGTAGCTTCAGTGCTCATAATATTTACCCTTTAGAAGATCATAAACATGTCATGGAGCCTATTTTTTTCCCCTAAAATATGTCTTTTGTTTCTGTCTTTCAAGTTGGATTTCTTTTTCTCTTTTCTTGCAGTCAGATCCAGTCATTATCTTAGTTTTTAATTATATGTAATTGTGGACTGCTTGAATTTTAAATGAGATGTTCTCTCCCAGAAGACTTACAGTTGTTCAGACCTCTGTATACCTAAGGCCCCTTTTGAATTAGTGTCTTTAGCCTTTCCTTAACCTTCTCCTCAACCATGGTGCTTCCATGTGTGTTTTCATTGTGTTGAAGCACGGCTCTAAGGAACCACACTTTTGGGTCCAGAGTGATTCTAGTTGCTATATATGAAATAACAGGACTGAGATTGATGTTGTTCTTTCTGGAGGCCAAGGGAAGGAAGATAAAACCTTTGAGTCATTCTTCAGCCAAGGATTTAGTTATTTTGGTTTATTCTCTTCTACATCAGTTGTAGACAGCACAGCTAACCCTTTAGAGATGAAGCAGTAGTGATCCTTTAGCCATGTTTTTCTTGTTGCTTATGTCATACTCACCTAGAGATGTAAAAGATTGTATATATTTGCATGACCTTAGGAGCACCTGGTACATTAGGCACCTGGTGCATTGTTGAAATGCTGGTATGGCCCTTAGTTCAGGATTACCTGCACAGTAGCTCCTTCATGCCATTCATTTTAGACCAACTCAAAGCAAAGAAGCTTATTCTGTCATAGTCTGATGGGATATTGTCAGCCTGCATGTCAAATACTTTGTGATAGTTAAATAAGACTACAGGACTGTTAGAAATTCTTGTCTGTTAGTCTGCATGCCATAGGCTGTCATGAAAATTAAACAGAGACTATAGGATTATTATCAGTTTTTGCCCTCTGGTTTGTAATGCAAGTTGGGCTCAAGTTTGTTTGTTTTTTTTTCCCCATTGCTGTTTTACTGATTAGCCAGTAGAGTGAAATATTAAAGTTTGTGGATTACTTTTTATTTCTATATTTATCAGACCCCAGTATTAGACCAATGCTGAGCTAAACATTGAGAGAGCAAGACATTTTTTAGCATGAGTTCATCTAGTCCCCTCCATGTAAGCTGGTGGCAGGGGTCTTGGTACTGGTTTAGATGAGTGTGGAACAGGCTAATAGAATATTGTAAGCATGCATGCCCTAAACTTGAGCCTTTCTCTCTATTTATTCCATTGAAAGTAGGTTCAGCTGCAGCCCGGAAAGAAATCATAAGAAACAAAATTCGAGCAATTGGCAAGATGGCAAGAGTCTTCTCTGTTCTCAGGTAATGATATATTTTCTTGATTATTTGTTTTGCAGAAATTACGTTTATTGTACCTTGTTACAAGCATTGTCCCGCATCTAAAAGCAAAATGGGGCCGGGTATGGTGGCACACTCCTGTAATCTCAGCATTTTGGGATGCCAAGGCGGGCGGATCACCTGAGGTCAGGAGTTTGAAACCAGCCTGGCCAACATAGTGAATCCCCATCTCTACTAAATATACAAAAATTAGCCGGGCGTGGTGGCATGCACCTGTAATCCCAGCTACTCGGGAAGCTGAGGCACAAGAATTGCTTGAACCCAGGAGGCAGAAGTTGCGGTGAGCCGAGACTGCGCCACTCCAGACTGGGCGACTGAGCAAGGCTCTGTCTAAAAAAAAAAAAAAAGAAAGAAAAAAAGCAACAAGCAACAGGGTATCATTCTTCCTATAAAGAAGTTACTTAGGCCTGGCCAGGCGTGGTGGCTCACGCCTGTAATCCCAGCACTTTGGGAGGCCAAGGCAGGTGGATCACGAGGTCAAGAGATTGAGACCATCCTGGCCAACATGGTGAAACCCTGTCTCTACTAAAAATAGAAAAATTAACTGGATGTGGTGGTGCATGCCTGTAGTCCCAGCTACTCGGGAGGCTGAGGCAGGAGAATCACTTGAACTCGGGAGGTGGAGGTTGCAGTGATCTGAGATGACGCCACTGCACTCCAGCCTGGGTGACAGAGTGAGACTCTGTCTCAGAAAAAAAAAAAAAAAGGGTACTTAGGCCCTTAGGCTGGGTGCAGTGGCTCACGCCTGTAATCCCAACACTTTGGGAGGCCAAAGCGGGCGGAGTTCAAGACCAGGCTAGGAAACATGGCGAAACCCCATCTCCACAAAAAAGAATACAAAAATTAGCCGGGCCTGGTGGCATGCACCTGTGGTCCCAGCTACTCGGGAGGCTGAGATGGGAGGATCACCTGAGCCCCAGGAAGTTGTGAGTAGTGAGCCGTGATTGTGCCGCTGCACTCCAGCCTGGGTGACGGAGTGAGACCTTGTCTCAAAAAGAAAAAGAAGTTTATATATTTGTATACTGAAGATGGGAACACAAGTCCCTTTGAAGCTAAGATTTTTGACTCTGGTGATTGTTATTGCTCATCTTTGGTATCTCTTTTCCGTTTGTGATAACACTAAATTCACACCTTGAAAATTAGAGCAGGATAAGAAGGAGGGGATACTTTTTAGAGTATTCTTGATGAACTTGTTCATCCATATAGGAAGTCCCTTGTGCTGGAGCCATAAATTGCCTTCCCTGGGGTTAATTCAGGAAGACCAGGTTAAAGGGTACAAATGAATAGGTCAGTCTTTAAAAATTTGTTTGCACAACTGACTACATCAGACATTTGAACTTCAGAGCATATGAAATACCATATTTTCTCAATAGTATGATGCCCCTTGATGAATCTTACCACATATTTAATAAAGCTTTTCAGGAAAAACAATATATGCCTCAATGGTAAGGCACACCCTCATACCTGAAACACTTAAAATATAGAAAAATTAATGTCTTGAAATTGAGGAAAATATGGTAATAGCAATGAATGTCATGAATTTTATATATGGCCTATATCTAGACCCTATGTCTTCTTTTAAATTAAGTACTTGTTGGAAGTATCTGATATTTGTTATATCTCTCTGCTATAGGGAGGAGAGTGAAAGTGTGCTGACACTCAAGGGCCTGACTCCCACAGGGATGTTGCCTAGTGGAGTGTTAGCTGGAGGACGGCAGACCCTGCAAAGTGGTAATGATGTTATGCAACTTGCTGTGCCTCAGATGGACTGGGGCACACCTCACTCTTTTGCTAACAATTCACATAATGCATGCAGGGAATTCCTTCTGTTTTTTAGTTCCTGTCTCAGCAGCTGACCTAGACAGGGTACTGTATTAGCTAGTGTCTCATTAATACCTGATCAGGGCAGAAAACTGATAGAATGGGTATTCCTTTCAATTGAAAATAATGGTCAGTTCCTCAGCTTTTCATGAAATGATATGGGAGCAGCTCATATCATAATGTCTGAAATATTTATTTATTCATCTGTCTAATTCACCCTTTTCTTTTAAAAGCCCCAGTTTCAGAATGTGAATCAGGGATATTCCTGTTACTAAAATGGAAATGTAATTCCAAGTTTCTTTTTTAATTTTTTAAATTTATGTCATTGTATTGGACTATGCTTATATTTAAAACTACTTAATTTAGAGTTAACTACCTGCTTAGGCCCCAGAACATTACTTATGCCCTTCAGTTACCAAAAGATTTGTGCAAGGTTTTGTACCCTGGTAAATGATGCCAAAGTTTGTTTTCTGTGGTGTTTGTCAAATGTTCTATGTATAATTAACTGTCTGTAACATGCTGTTTCCTTCCTCTGCAGATGTAGCTGCTTTCCTAAATCTGTCTGTCTTTCTTTAGGTTAGCTGTATGTCTGTAAAAGTATGTTCAATTAAATTACTCCATCAGACACTTGTCTGTCTTGCAATGTAGAAGCAGCTTTGTAGCACCTTGTTTTGAGGTTTGCTGCATTTGTTGCTGCACTTTGTGCATTCTGAACATGAATGTAACATTAGATATTAAGTCATTGTTATAAGGGGTTGAATTTAAATCCTGTAAGTCAAAATTGAAAGGGTGTTATTAAGTGTGCCTTTATTTTGCATGAAAATAAAAAGAATTATACGTAAAGCATTCCTGTAATCTGGCTCATTGAATATTTTATACTTAAAAAACTTTTTTTGGCGTAAATATTTGTGTAAATACTGGGTTAACTTTTTAAAAGCCCATTACAGATTAAATAGAAGAGAGTGATGTGAGTATTAGTGACCATACACAGTAATTCAGTCTAGATTTCTTTTCCTGTGGTTGGAAAGCAAAAATACATGATGTGGAAAAGCCTGAATTTCTTGTAGTCACTTTTGACAGCCCTCTAAGGGTCATTGTCTATTAAAATAGCAACAGATCTGATGTTTTCCTTAGTCATAATTAGGTTTCTTTTTGGTGTTGTAATTAGTGACTTTTTTAGAGGGAAAAAAATAGGCAATTTTAACGTTTTGAATGAATTTACATTTGACTTCACAATTTCATTTCACTTGGTTCCATAATAAGTGCTCTTTTTTTTTCTTTTCTCTCTTCTCTTCTCTTTCTTTTTCTTTCTTTCTTTCTTTCTTTCTTTCTTTCTTTCTTTCTTTCTGTCTTTCTTTCTTTCTTTCTCTCTCTCTCTCTCTCTTTCTCTCTCTCTCTCTGTCTTTCTTTTTTTGTGTGCATGTGTACATGTGTGTGTGTGAGAGAGACAGACAGGGTCTGGTTTCTTGCTGTGTCACCCAGGCTGGAGTGCAGTGCAGCCTCAACCTCCTGGGCTCAAGCAGTCCTCCATTTCAGCCACCCAAGTAGCTAAGACCATAGGCACATGCCACCACAGCCAGCTAATTTTTTTTATTTTTTTTATTTTTTATTTTTTTATATTTTTGTATTGCCCAGGCTGGTCTCAAACTCCTGGGCTCAAGCAATCTTCTGACCTCAGCCTCCCAAAGTGCTGGGATTATAGGCATGAGCCACTATGCCTGGCCAATGATTGCTTTTCAATAAAAAAAATTTTTTTCCTGTAAACAATTTTTACTTGTAGCCTATACATGTTCTATTTTAAATGTCATTGTATTGTTCACTACCACCACTGGTATATCTGAAAAGTACACTGTGTTTTGAAATTATAAATTTTCATTCTGAATGAGGTTTCTTTTTTTGATTTTCTTTAAAAAAAAAAAACAACCTGCTTTGATTTGCTTTACATTCCTTGCCCTCCATTTTTCTTATTATATTGTAAACATTAGAAAAATGAACTAAAAAGAATTTCATGAATGTACATTAAAACAAGATCTTAAACATTTGATAAAACTAGTAAAAATGTTAATAGAAAAGGATGAACTTTAATAGCTTCAAAAATATTATACTCTTCTTTGTTCAGAAAAGAAAAATAAAACCAAAAGGGTATCATACTTAAATAAATCTACAGTATAGTCATCTCTCAGTTATCCTTGGATATAACATTACTTTTATATTGTATCCGCAGCAAACCTTGCTTTCAGATTTCACGATTAGCCCCTGCTAATTACATGCTTTGTTGACTTCTGTTTATTCTTAATTTGTACACGGCTTGAAGCTCATTCCTTCAACTTTGAAACCACCCTCAACTGCAGGGGAGGTTTGAAAGACAGCAGCTTTGCTGGAGGGACTCTCTATTCTCAGCATGGACTAAGTTACTGGAAGGAATTGAGTTTAAGGGGTCTAATTTGGGACCCCTTAAACTAGATAGCTTCTAGTTTTGCTAGCTCTTGATAGTGTGGTTTGGGCATTTGGTCAAAATTATTTTCCTAGCATAAGATAAATCCACTTTGAAACAAATAACAAAGGTCATACAAAAGCTGCATGTTTGTGATTATTTTTTAAAAAGTTATCCTACATTTTAAATTTTAGTAGATAATGTTCCCTGATGTTAGTGTGTATAACTGAGAGTTAGGTATTGCAAAAGGAAAAAATTTTAATTCTAAGACCTCGTGCCTATTTGTCAGAAAATAAAAATTGTCGTTTCAAGAACTTTAAAAGTTAATTTACATGATGTTTCTTGAGTGTTTTTACAAACTGCACAACTCTATTGGAGGTGGATTTTCTGTTCATCTTTATTTTATGTATGTTTTCTTTCTGGGAAATTTGATTGGGAGCTAGCACTGTAATGCTACCCTCACCAGGATCTATATGGGAAATATATGTGGCCAATTCTATGTTAGTAATACCAAATTCCTCTTGGTCATTTATCTTGCATAGTACTGAGGAACACAGTTTGAGATAGCACTATGCTCAAACTTATTAAGGCCATGACAAGATGCCCTATATAACTGAAAACAAATAGAGGAGAAATAGTGCCTTTCAGATAGAGTGTTGCAATTAGCAATCTGGGCTCAAGTGATCTTCCTGCTTCAGCTTCCCGAGTAGCTGGGATTACATATGCACACCACCATGCCCGGCTAATTTTTTAAACTTTTTTTGGGGGGAGATGAGGTCTCTCTATGTGTTGCCCAGGCTGGGCTCAAACGCTCAAGGGATCCTTCCACCTCAGCCATCCGAGAGTGCTGGGGTTATAGGCATGATCTTCCATGTCCTGCCCGATTTGTAATGTAGTTTAACAGTTAAGGAAAATTAACTCTTCCTTTATTCAGTGTTCGTCCTAATTCTTTTGGGTCCCCAATTCACTTTACTGTCTGGTTAAGATCAACATTTTCTAACTTAGTTCACTTTAATACCTTAGATTCATCAGTTTCTTTTACATTAATAATTGCTTTGGATAAAATTATTTCTAAATCATGTTAATTGCTAAAAGATCACTTCAGGAATAATTATTCTAATTGGCCTTATTGCAGAAGAAGCAAAATAGGAGAGACCAGGGCATTACTTTTACAAATATTCTGAGTAATAAGGGGAATGGACAATATTGTAAACCAGTATTGTTGTGTGCTATCTTGAGTCCTGGTCCTCAGTGTGAGCTCTTTATACAGTTCAAACCCAGAAATGAGCGAAAAAAAGAATCTTTGACTATAAAATGTTTGACTAATTATGGTGAAATTCTCTAAATGGACCAGTGACACACTATACCAATAATGTATTTCTTATTTATAATATGACCTATGTGTCTATATCATGAAATAATTAGAATTTATGCCTGTAAGACCTCACTTCTCTTCCTTAATGTCTCTTTAATTGGTAGATGAGTTTGAAAAGATGCTCAGTAGTCTTTTTCTGAGGCAAATTTGAGTTCATGATAAACTCTGTCAGTATAAATGGAATTTTTTAAGGCTATAGATGTTAGTATCTGTAGGTATTTGGAACATCAGTACTAGAATAGAAAGGAAGTTACTGGTAGACAGGAGAAGTCCTTTCAGGTCCCCCACAAAGAACAGAGCCACAGAACTGTTCTACTTATAGTAATTCATCAAGTTTACTGCCCTTAAATTTCACTGTAGTCATATCAGCTCTTGCAGCTTATGTTTTGCCTTATAAATTACAAGTAACAGGTAAAGCATTGCTGACCCCTTCTAGTTTATGTCTTAGGGAACCAACTGGTAATGAGTATTGTTCTCACTGACATGAAAGAAAAGACTTTTCTGTTTGCTTTTCTGCTACAATTCTATTATAATTTTACCCTAGAGCATTTTCCTGTGATTGTGATGGATGTGATATAATAAACATAATGGAAAATTCTAAGGCCATCAAATTACTGATTCAAGATGGGTAATTAATACTGGAGTGCATTTGCATGGGTGCTGAGGTGTCTGTGTTTACAGTAGGTTTATGTGTTCTGTGCTCTGAGTGATGTTGTCATAGTGCTGTGTGTAAACTGTGCTGTGTCAGGAATTGGGGGTTTGGATGGGGCTCTCTAATTTGGGTACTATTTATGTTAAATTTTAAATGATGATGTAGTATGGGATACTGTGATATTTTAAGTGATCATTGCCTTTTCTGCTGTACAATATGACCCTTCTCATCTCTCTCATTCATTTTGCATGCCTCTGCTCACTTCTGTACAGCCACAGTTGAGGCTATTGAGGCTGAAAAAGGTATGATCAGAGTCCTTGTGCTGGGCAGAGATCTGTGGTGTGTGGGTGGGCATCAGAGAATGTCCTGTGGGTGTGTTTTACTCCTAGCTTTTACAGCCCAAGATGAATCAGACTCACTGATTCATCAAGTTTAGAAGCCTTGCAGCCCTCTTTTTTTAATTTTTCATTTTTAAATCAGAAGGGCTGATGTCTATGGTGACAGTCTTTTTCTTCTTTCCGGTGTAATATGCAATCAGAAAGTAATGTTTCTGATTTCTTTAGAGTATAGCATGTTATGCTATACAGTATAGCTTTATAAAGTTGCCTGTTTTAATGGAAATTGCCAAACTGACCTGCAAATAGAGATCTGTTCCATATTTTGCATGATTCTATGCTACTCAGATTTTTTTTCCCTAAGTGAATCCTCCTCTAGGTATAGGTGTGAGTTTGTTTTTACAAACTAGTGTGCCTGACTGAGAATACAGGAACTGTCACTATAATGATTTTCTTTTTTCTTTTTTGGCCGCAGTTTGGGCTATAGTTTATGGATAAGATTATGTTCATATATATATGTGTTGGCTTGGTATTTCACATTCCTCAGTGTTTGTAGCCCCAGCCATTTGTTTGGTTCATGTGCCAGACTAAGACCTAAGGATTGCAGATATTAAGCAACCAGATTATAACCAGTGGTTTGAAAATATTTCCTATGAACACTTTAATAATGGAGGATGCATCATTCTAGATGAAGTGAATGAGAAACCATACAATTGGTGGAGAATTGCCATTTATTTTGATTTGAGTTTCCAAAGACTGTGCAGTATGGCCAATGAATTAAGGAGAACATCTTCTAAATTACGAGATTATAAATACTTTTTTGCTATCAGCCATACACAGATCTAACTCTTGGAGGCACTTCCACCTTTTTAATGTTATATTGGTGGCGATGGGCTGACCTTGACCTCCAAGATAGTTCTGATCTACTGTATTTTAACCTTTCTTTAACTCTTTCTCCTCCCAAGCTCTTGGTACAGATTTGTATATTGAGGATTAACCTTGTTTAGCCTCCTCACTTGCCCCTACTCTCATTGCTGCCTTACTGTGATAGTCACTGGTGATCTTAGGGACTGATGTAGGAGATAATTGGTATAGTAGAAGTCAGACTGAGACCCTGAGACCATTGCCTGGAGGTTGATTTTGGGGGCAGGAGAGGGTTAACATTTTTTTTGTATTTTTATTTTTTGGAAGGCTTTGCTAACACTTGTCACCTATAAAGCTATGATGTTTATATTTAGGTTTAAACATTTCACATTTTAAGGAAAGACTGAAATGAGGATAGGATTCAGTTAAAGTAAGATTTATGTGTTGCTACTTACAGCTACTAATTTCTTTCTTCTTAAAAATCATTAATTATGTTTTTGAAATCTCAGAAATGTTTTTCAATTACTGACTTATCAAATTTGCATTTTATTAAGCAATACGAGGATTCTCTCCACCACATAGAATCTGCAGTTTTGAAGAGGCAAAGGGTTTGGATAGGATCAATGAGAGAATGCCACCTCGGAAAGATGCTGTACAGCAAGATGGTTTCAATTCTCTGAACACCGCACATGCCACTGAGAACCACGGGACGGGCAACCATACTGCCCAGTGACCCACTACTTCCCAGGGACTCTCACATCTCGGGCCCCAAATGGACAGATCACCCGAGGAGCTGGAGGGGTCGGCCAAGCTGACTGTAAATTTCACAGTCTCTCTGAAGAAACCATTGTGCTTCTGAGACCCTAGCCCCCTTCCTGGATGGAGGCTTGAGGGCCCTGGGACATGTGCTATCTGATAAGATTGGGTCATCGCTGCCAAGGTGGAGAGCAGTGAGCAAGGGGCTTGGGGCAATTTCCAGTGGAGGGCATCCACACCTCCATTTTATGCTTGTGGTTCACACATTTAAGTTTACAAATCAGATTTCTTTTCCCCTTCAGTAGAATTAGATTTTGTTTTTCAATCATGATTTCAAATGCAATCCTAAGAGCTAATGTGGACTTTTCTTTTTCCATGAAATGTCTTTAAAGGATGAATTAGCATGGTCTTAAAATACATTTCTGAGGTTACTAGCTGTATTTTGAATTGTGAGCAAAATGCCGAGAAACCCAGTTGGCATTTATACAAAATGTTGACCTCAGGTCTATAGTTCTTAAATGTGGCTAATTCTGTAACATAGTCTTGGTATTTTTTAATTATGAATGCATATCCTATTTCCAGGCAGGCTCTCTTACTTGAACACAAATCCAAAAACTAATTTAGAGTCTTTTTTGCCCAGATCTTTTAAGACTTACACCCCAGAGATTTAAGAAGAAAACCTCTAAATTTCAAAATTATGAAGAATTACAGAATTACTCATTTAAGGTACTTTAAAAGAAGTTTGTACATTGTCAAAGTAAATTTTAATTCAAATCATGTCTGTAAAACTTGACGTATTTTGTGTATGCATGTTTTCATTTTGCAAATATTTAATATATAGACCTATGATGTACAGGTACGACATGTATAGGTTACCTAGATGTTATGAGAAATTTTAGTTTATTGTGAGTACTCAAGTTGCTTAGAGAGCCACCAGGGTGATTTGCTGCTGGCTTTCTATCATTTTTATGTTTTAATGCAAAGGAAATTTTAAAATGTTCTGGAAGTGTTTTTGATTAAGCAATGCAGCCTAGAAGCAATGGTTCTGTTCAATCATTCAGATGTTAGTGGAAGCATAAAAGTCAAGACTGCATGTTGAAACCTTTCTTTTGATAGTTACTGAACTGCTTGGTTAAACTAAATGGAACCATGTGCTAATTTTTCACAATTATTGACCTGTATTGATTGCCACTGTAGTTTGGTATTTCCCTTTACTTTGGTGGCCTGCTTCCCTCATGCCCTGGAATACAACTCAGAGCTCCAGGCAGCGGAACCATCTATTGTTTTGTTTGCCAGAAAGTGCACCCTGTATGGTCTCCTGTCTAAGTTGGAAATATTATGCATGTGCAGGACTATTCGAGTATTTTATAAACAGTAGCACACAATAAATTCCATGCATGGGCCGCTGCTCCTATCTCTGTGTTGGGTTTTATTTGGAAGATGCAATCTGATTTGTCCTTTTGATGCAAATCAGAAAATCCTGTTACTAGAGCTGGGATGTCCTCCGGAGATTATCTCGTGGATAGTTCATGGTAATTTGATTAATTAAATTCTTTATAAATTTTGCCTTAAAAAAAACTTTTGTTATATACTTGTTTTACATGAGCATTAGTAACTGAGCACTAGAGGACTTTGAATGCCTACTGTAGGCCTCCTAAGTCTAATATTTAAGATCACTGTTTATTGTCTTTTAATTGAAAGAAAATATGTTATTGTCTAGAATTTTGTTATAGTGGTATTGGGAATTTACTGGGTGTTCTAACAATAAGAAAAATATTAGTGATAATTGCATTTTCCTATCATTCCTTTCTTCTTTGTCATAATCACAATAAGTATAGGATTTTGCACATTGAGGGATATTAGGATATTGCTCAAAATTATATAATCATACAATAACTTGAATTATAGTTCTCAACAATAATTACAATGAGATATATTATAAAACACTAAGTCAAAATATAGGCAGGGCACAGTGGCTCATGCCTGTAATCCAAACACTTTGGGAGGCTGAGACAGAGGATTGCTTGAGCCTAGGAGCTCATGGTTGCAGGCTGTGTTGAGCTATGATTGTACCACTGTACTCCAGCCTGGGTGACAGAGTGAGACCCCATCCCTTAAAAACAAACAAAATATATGTAAATATATTAGGCAAGCGCACACACACACACACACACACACACACACACACACACACACACACATGCTTGCCTAATTCCAGGTAACAAACAGAACTTCTCAAATTGTTTCTTTTTTCTTTTTCTTTTGCTTTTTTTTTTTTTTTTTTGAGACGGAATCTCTGTCTGTCACCCAGGCTGGAATGCAGTGGCATGCTCTTGGCTCACTGCAACCTCCGCCTCCTGGGTTCAAGCAATTCTCCTGCCTCGGCCTCCCAAGTACCTGGGACTACAGGTGCCCACCACCACGCCTGGCTAATTTTTGTATTTTTAGTAGAGATGGGGTTTCACCATGTTGGCCAGGCTGGTCTCAAACTCCTGACCTCGTGATCCGCCCACCTCAGCCTCCCAAAGTGCTGGGATTTCAGGCGTCAGCCACTGCACCCGGCCACAAATTGTTAATTATTATAACTCTCTGCTTGCCAAAATATTAACTTACAAAGCAGTCCATGAGTTGGCTCTAAAGTTATTATGCATTGCATACCTTAAAGATTGTTGTCTATGTTGTTTATGAAAGTTGCATACCTTAAAGATTGTTGTCGATGTTGTTTTATGAAAGCTATTCAGTAAAGAGTTTATCTGGCTAAAATAGACCCAATAGAAAAATTAAAAAGTAAGTAAGAGTTTAACTAGTATATTAGGTGCCAGGAACTTTCCTAGCCCTTAGGTACATAACTAGCATTATATAGTGTTTGTGGGAATCATGGGTGAGCATTAAGTAGTATTAGCAAAAAAACTATGGATTGATGGTAAAAATTAAGAGGAAAATAAGAGAAAGGAACCAAACTCAGGAAAAGCAAAATACCTGAAGAGTGATAAAGTATCACATAGTGCCTCACAGACCACTTCCTACATGTTGAATAGGAACCTCTTTCTAGTCTTTCTTCATAATTCATTTCACAGCATACCATTTATTAAGATTTTTTAAATGCAACTCATGATGAATACAAATTGTGAAAAGTTCAGACTTCGTAACTTTAAATGTTTACCAGAGCAAGTCATAGTGATAGTAAAATATAAGTATTCAACATCAAAGTTTTTCTATATTACTATTCTCCTTTATATTCATTGACAACTTCTGAATTAGAAAAGTCAATCTCTGATGTCTTGTATCTTCTGCAGTTCAGCCATTATTAACAGAACTCAAAACATTTGAGGTTCTCAGATAAATTTTGAAGCCTGTTAAATTTGAAGTTGGCCTGAAACTTTTGCACAAAGTGAATTACCCCTATTTTATTTAGGGTTTTTGCCTATTGCAACTGATTTTCCTTTATCCACAGCTATTCTACATAATGTTATGCAGTGTTTGGTTGAATCCTTAACACTTTTCTTCCACCTTCCCTGCATGTAGTTTGTACTTTTTACAGTTTGGGGTTCCTGTGTGGATTTGATTTGCCACATTCCGGGACCTCATTGCGAGTGATTCTGTTCCCCAGTTTGATGATGTTCAAAGAAGCAGGTAAGTGAGAGCTGGGGTCAGATATAAGCAGAAAGTCAGAACTTTTTTATTTAAAAATTTTAAAAAAATTTTTTGAGGGTAAGAAAGATCTTGCAGTCTTTTAGGACCACTGCCCTAACAACTTCAGATAGGCTAGCTGTAAGTAGAAAGAAGCTAGGACTGTGGAATTGAATTTCCTGGATCAGCTGCAATTACAAGGAGGATAAGAGAATGGTTGAGCTGATTCTTTTCTATTTTCTTTTCCTAGAAATAGTATGTATTTTTAGTCATTAACTAGTATTTTGGTTTTGTTTAATATCCCAGAAGCATTTATTCCTCTCTTAATACAGGTAAAGTGCTCCTGATGACTCTCTCACTCAGAGAGTTATCTTACCCTTCTTTCAGGGAAAGTGAATTTTACAAGTTAATTCTGCATGTTTCCCCTACAACTGATTTCATTCTGTACCATTAAATGGCCATTTATTTTCTCCCTTCTACTTAATCCAAGATTGGACATTGTTGAGTTTTGTTTGAACAATGTTTGTTATGCTGAAAAAGGACACCAGGCCTGGGGGAACTCATCCTGTGTCTAGATCAACAAACAGAACTCCAGAGGGTCCTCTGGTTCCTCCCACTTGGTTGGAAAGGTGCTTACCCTTTCCAATCAAATATTGACTTCTGCACTAATCCAAAGGGTTTTCTTCTGAAGCTGTAAACTGAGAACAGAAATATTGCCTTGAGTGAGAGAAGTCTAGGAAGCAGCAGGTTTCATTTTTTGTCAGCCTGCCTGGCCTTTACTTGGCTAACACTTGGGAGTGTTGACAGTCCTGAGCCCCCTTGGCAGAGAACAAAGGTTAGAGAGAAGCCCTCAGGCAGGGGGACAGATCCCTCTTTGCCTCATTAGGGAGAATTCAGCCTTGTCTGTCTGGTTGGCAGGGCACACTTAATCACTGAGACTCAGCATTTCAGCAGTTTGCAAAGGAAAGTGATATGAAGGGACAGCTGCAAGTAAGCCACAACCTAGATCTGAAGAGATCAAGCACTCATTTCACTTGGAGGAAAGAGAGAAGGAAGGAAGCTGAGGACTTAGCAGGGTAAGTTTTTTTTTCCGTCAACCTGTCTGCTTGCTTAGTTTATAATTGAGTAAAGTATTTATCACCCCAGGCAGTGTTAATCACTGATTAAACAGCTGAATGTGGCCATAATTACAGTGTCCTTAATGTATTTCTCCTTCTCTTTTCCTACCCCCTTATAAGGATCTCCAATGACCAGTTTCAGTCTTCCTTCTCCCTACCTCTCCAAAGACGTTTTGCATTTTTTGGTGACTTACAGAAAATTAGATGAGCACTCCTTATCTGGAGATAGTGAAAATATGACTGTAGTTTAGGTGAAACTTGGGACTCTTGGTGGTAAAGAAGAAGATGGGAAACCTAGGTCTAGGAATAGATTAATATTTTGTCTTGAATTTGGACATGAAGGATAAAAGTTTTTCTAGGCAATCAAGATCATGTCTCCTCTCCAGTTCTTGGTGTTGGTGTTCTCTCTCTTATACTGGGACTAAATTAGAGCCTAAGTCACTGGGGATGGCTAGAAAAAAATGAAAGGGATTCCCTTTCTAAGTGGAGAGCATTCTAGACTCTGGAAAGTTCAAAGAGCTTACTGCAATTCTTTCCAGCTTCTCCTGTGAGTCCCCTGTTTTTTCCTTTGTTTCTCTCAGTTTATAACCTGTGAACAGGGAGTAGCCTGGGGCTCTTTACAGGAGATTTAGAACCAGGGAAGCTGTGTCTGGGCCTGGGGTATATAAACTCAAACATGAACCTGATGATGTATATAGATGCAGATCAAAGACCTGGCTTCTCACCCACCTTCTTTCTTTTCTGCCAGAAAGCTAACTCATTTGTATCATGAACATTGTGCTCTAGACACAGAGGAGACTGTGACATTAGGGATTTTTACCACCACTCCTCTTCCTCAAACTGTGTGATCCTTTTGCTTTCTGACCAGTTCAGCCAACTCCCAGATTGCCAAGAGCTAATCTTCCTTTAGAGGAAGACCTCACCTTGGAAATGCGGAAAAGTAAAGCAGTACCTTTCTGACCTTAAGTGGCTTGCTTCCATTGCAGCAAAAAGGCTTATGTTTTAACTTCAGGGAGATATCTATTATAAATTCTGGGATTTAAGACCCTAGAGTTGTCTCAAATCACACTTTCCTTCCATACCTATTTAAAAAAAAAAAAGTCATTCTTTCAAGGTTTAAGAAAGTGGTGTCTTGGCCGGGCGCCGTGGCTCATGCCTGTAATCCCAGCACTTTGGGAGGTCGAGGTGGGTGGATCACGAGGTCAGGAGTTCGAGACCAGCCTGACCAACATGGTGAAACCCCATCTCTACTAAAAATACAAAAATTAGCTGGGCATGGTGGCGCGAGCCTGTAATCCCAGCTACTCAGGAGGCTGAGGCAGGAGAATCACTTGAACCCGGGAGGTGGAGGTTGCAGTGAGCCAAGATCGCACCACTGCACTCCAGCCTGGGTGACAGAGTGAGACTCTGTCTCAAAGAAAGAAAGAAAAAGAAAATGTTATCTTGCCTGAGGCAGGTGGGTAGAGTAGATAAATGCTTTTTGTAGAATGGCAGTGATTCTGAAAATGCAATGAGAATGTGAGGTGATTAAAAGTGGAGGACAGAATGAGGTTAGTTGTTGGAAATTGGGCCCTAAAGTGTGAAGGGCAATTCCATTTACTCTTTTGGTAAAAGGACATGACCCTTAAACCCTAAGATAATCTAATATCATTAGGTCCAATTTCTTCATTGAAGGTAATATATAGGATATGGTATACAGATGAGCTTGACTATTTCTGTTCTGTGGACTGAAACCATCCATTCACCCATGGGATAAGGGGAGACATTAAGAGGGTGGATGGAAACATAAGGATGAGGAGATAGAAAGTACAAAGGAAAATACAAATTTGTTCCTCCATTAACCTGAGGACAGGTTTTTAAGAGTCATGTTGTAAGATATGGATATGAGCTGGATAATTCTGGGAGCTTTTTGTTTATTTTTGCCACCTGCATACACCTCAGCTGCATGATGATTCTGAGGTTTTTCCTAACAGATCTGATCTAGAAGGATCAAATGTCAGATCATTTTTGTAACAAAACATGATCCCTGGTTTGAACTTTAACAGTTTCCTCATTCACACTGCCAGCGTTTTTAATCCTCTGTTATTTCTCTGTACCTGAAGACAATCTGGGGATTAATAACTTTTTAGCCTCTCAATCTCTATGAATACCTTCCTTCCTTTCTTTTTTAATCGAAGTGAAAATCATATAACATAAAATTAATAATTTTAAAGTGAGCAATTAAATGGCATTTAGTGTATTCACGGTATTGTTCAACCATCAATTTTGTCTTGTTCCAAAACATTTTTATCACCCCAAAAGAAGACCCCATAACCATTAAGCAGTTACTCCCCATTTTCCCTTCCACCCAGCCCTTAGCAACTACCAATCTGCTTTCTGTCTCTGGGTTTACCTATTCTGGATATTTCATAGAAATGGCATCATACAACATGTATACAACATTTTGTGTCTGGCTTTCTTCACTTAGTATAATGTTTTTTGAAGTTCCTCTACATTGTAGCGTGTATCAGTATTTCATTTCTTTTTATAGCTGAATAATATACATCTTCATATGTATATTTATATCCCAATTTGTTTATCCATTTATCCATTGATGGACCTTTGGGTTGTTTCTACCTTTTAGCTGTTGCGAATAGTGCTGCTATGAACATTCACATATAAGTATTTGTTTGAGTATCTGTTTTTAAATATTTTGGGCACATACCTAAGAATGAAATTTCTGGTTATATAGTAATATTATGTTAACTTTTTGGGGAACTGCCGTACTGTTTTCTATGGTGGTGGCACCATTTTACATTCTCACCTGCAGTGTACGAGGGTTCAAATTACTCCATATCCTCATCAACACTTGTCATTTTCTGTTTTTTTTTTTTATAATAGCCATACTAGTGGGTATGAAGTAATATCTCACTGTGGTTCTGATTTGCATTTTCCTAATGACTATTGAGCATATTTTCTTGTGTTTATTGTCCATTTGCATATATTCTTTGGGAAAATGCCTATTCACATGTTATGCCCAATTTTTTAGTTGGGTTGTTTGGTGGTTTTTTTGTTTGTTATTGAGTTGTGGGAATTCTTTATATATTTTGAATACTAACCCCTTATCAGATATATGGTGTGCAAATATTTTCTTCCATTCTTGGGGTGTCATTTGACTCTGTTGTTAGTTTAGCATCCTTTGATGCACAAAAGTTTTTAATTTTGCTGTCCAATTTATCTATTTTGGTGGTGGTGGTGTTGCCTGTGCTTTTGGTGTCATATCCTAGAAATTATTGCCAAACCTATGTCATGAACCTTTCCCCATAGACTTTTATAGTTTTACTTCTTAAGTTTAGGTCTTTATACTTTAAACATTCAAACTCGAGTCATTCTATTTCATTAATTTGCAGAATGTTTCTGTCTATATTTCTGTGTTTATTCTCTCCTCTGTGCTTAGAATTTATTTTTTCCCTATTTCCAAGTATTCAAAGTATTCCCATCTTTCAAGGTCTATTCCAACTGCCACCTGCTTCATGAAGAAAGCCACTGAAGAGATTCTCGCCCACTGAAGAGATTTTCTTCTTCTGATCTCCCATTAGTGCTTTAGTTGCACTTTTCTGGTTGGATTTATATAGTACCTTATAGTCTACATCTAATCTCCCTGCAAGACATTTAGATATATATTTCTCATATTTGCTTCTATATATAGTGTTTCGCAAATGATTTCATCTGTTTATCAGTAAATATATATTACATGAATGGACATTTTAATTTTTCTCATATGGTCCTTTCTGTTTACTCAGCTCTTATGGAAGGCATGGCAGAAGATGAGACAGGGAAAGAGGACAGCACAGAGTCACAGCCAGATCGTGACTGAGTGTAGGCTTACTTCTACCTCAAAACTTACCACTTTAGGAAATTTTTCTGACTTGCTTGACTACATAACTCTTAGTGCACGTTTTGTATTACATTTAATTTTTACTTCTTGGCTTATTGCTTATACATGTGATAATAGGTCTTTCAAAATAAATGTTTTATCTCTCTATATTAAACTGTCTAACTCTCCAATTGGATGGTCACTTTGGAGAATTAAAACTTCTATTGCTTTTTCTTCTTTTAAATTGAGTTTTAAAATACATTAAAGCTATATTAATATTTTCTCCTTATTAAAAAAGTCAAACATTACAGGTAAGTATACAGTTCCATTTGATCAGCCCAGTTCCTATTTAACTGCCTTCTTAAACTATTCAGAGTTAATCACTGTTACCAGTTTTCTTTTTTTTTTGAGACAGAGTTTTGCTCTTGTTGCCCAGGCTGGAGTGCAATGGTGCGATCTCGGCTCACCGCAACCTCCGCCTCCTGGGTTCAAGCAGTTCTCCTGCCTCAGCCTCCCAAGTAGCTGGGATTATAGGCACCCACCACCACGTCCAGCTAATTTTTTGTATTTTTAGTACAGATGGGGTTTCACCATGTTGGCCAGGCTGGTCTTGAACTCCTGACCTCAGGTGATCCGCCCGCCTCAGCCTCCCAAAGTGCTGGGATTACAGGCGTGAGCCACCACGCCCAGCTGTTACCAGTTTTCTATGGGCCCTGCCAAATCTTTTTTGATGCATTTACTTATATATATATATGTGTGTGTATATATATATATAATGTATAGGACTTACTATGTGTAAATTATATTCATATAAAATTACTTCTTCTTGGCTGGGTGCGGTGGCTCAAGCCTGTAATCCTGGCATTTTGGGAGGCCAAGGTGGGTGGATCACCTGAGGTCAGGAGTTTGAGACCAGCCTGACCAACATGGTGAAACCCCATCTCTACTAAAAAATACAAAAATTAGCCGGGCCTGGTGGCGCCTGCCCGTAGTCCCAGCTACTCGGGAGGCTGAGGCAGGAGAATCGCTTGAACCTAGGAGGTGGAGTGAGCTGAGATTATGCTGCTGTACTCCAGCCTGGGCGGCAGAGCAAGACTCTGTCTCAAAAAACAACAACAACAACAAATTACTTCTTCCCTATTTTCCACAGCTGCCTATGGTGATCAATAACCAGTAAATACTGAATAAATCTTACTGATAACCTGGGTCTGAGAGACTGGAATGAGAAATGAAAGGTCAAGCATATGAAAATACTTCACAAGTGTCCAGCTTGTAAAATTCCATTCCATGTCTATTCTGCATATAATCTCCAGGTATCACTGGACAGGCCATGGCTCCACGGTCCCGGCGACGAAGGCACAAGAAACCTCCCTCATCAGTGGCTCCCATCATCATGGCCCCAACCACAATTGTGACCCCTGTGCCTCTGACCCCCTCAAAACCTGGCCCTAGCATTGACACACTTGGCTTCTTCTCCTTGGATGATAATGTTCCTGGCCTATCGCAGCTGATCCTTCAAAAGCTGAACATGAAAAGCTATGAAGAATATAAGTGAGTGACCAGCTCTATGGAAAAGGGATATATTGTCTCTGGTAGAAGTAAATTTCAGAAGGTGGAGAGGGAGTACAGTTTGGTGAATATGGAGTATTTGCAATAAGAGATTTTCTCATCCTTTTGCCAGTTACTATATTACTATAAAAGAAGAAACATTCACTTAAGTGAAAAATGATGGCAGTGGGAGACATAGGAGTAAGTGGAAATGTGTAGGAGACAAGATGGGGGGCATGAGAGATTTTGGAGATATTCCTTTCCCCATTGTCATTCCTTCTCCATGCTGTCTCTGCAGGTTGGTGGTAGATGGGGGTACCCCCGTATCAGGCTTTGGATTTCGATGTCCTCAAGAAATGTTCCAGAGGATGGAAGACACATTTCGATTCTGTGCTCACTGTAGAGCACTCCCTAGTGGGCTTTCAGACTCCAAGGTTCTCCGGCACTGTAAGAGGTGACTTGTTGGGGGCTAATAGGGAGACATTCAGAAATGATCCTGTATTAGCCGGGCATGATGACTCATGCCTGTAATTCCAGCACCTTGGGAGGCCGAGGCAGGTGGATCACATGAGGCCAACCTGGCCAACACAGCAAAACCCTGTCTCTACTAAAAATACAAAAATTAGCCTGGTGTGGTGGCACACACCTGTAGTCTCAGCTACTCGAGAGGCTGAGGTGGGAGAATTGCTTGAACCCAGGAGGCAGAGGTTGCAGTGAGCCAAGATTGCACACTGCACTCCAGCCTGGATGACAGAGCGAGACTCTGTCTCAAAAAAAAAAAAAAAAAAAAAAAAGCAATGACCTTCTACTACAACCTCATTCCAAGAGGAAAGATCTGAAAGTTTTCAAAATAACCTAAGACTTAGGTCCTCATTTTTTGTCACCCAGGCTACAGAGATTAGAACAGTGTTCTAATCCTGCTTATTTTTGGTGTTATTGGGAAGTGAGACAAGAAACCACAATACAATCCTCTCTGTCTCTCTCTTGAGTACTCAAGGAGTAAGACTACATTTGTTCTGGGGAGGTGGAGGTTGAACCATACCTGTTATGAGAGGACAGCTGCAAACTCGTGGTGTTTTTTCTAAAAGTGATATAAAAAGTGAGTTGTTCCAGATAGAGAGTAAGGTATCACTCTGTCTGGCAGAATAATTATATTCCCAATCCCTCCTGCCTTGTCTGCCAAATGTAGTCCCCAAAATTGGTGCATCAGCTCTCATTCCTCTCCCTACCTTCCTTACCCATTCACCATCCTAGGTGCAGGAATATCAGTTCCTTTCCTCCGATAACCCCAATCATATTTATAGTATAAGAACTATTTCTCTCTCATTCTCTCAGGTGCAGAAATGTCTATTACTGTGGTCCAGAGTGCCAGAAGTCAGACTGGCCCGCACACAGGAGGGTTTGTCAAGAGCTTCGTCTTGTGGCTGTGGACCGTCTCATGGAATGGCTTCTGGTCACAGGTGGAGTGGTGGTGTTGAGGATCTCTGCCATAATGGTCATAGTTGATTGCATTTAAAGGAAGATACAAAATCATATTGTTATGAAAAAATGAGGAAGTGGGGCAAAGGATGGGGCACGCCTGCTCACAGGTTGGCAGAGTGAACATGGAGGGAATATTGATCATTAGTGAGGGGGAAATTTTGAAGCCAGGAAAGCATTAGGTTACTTCTTATTTCTTCTTTCCTACAGGTGATTTTGTTCTACCCTCAGGACCTTGGCCATGGCCACCTGAAGCTGTACAGGACTGGGACTCCTGGTTTTCTATGAAGGGGTTACACCTAGATGCTACATTGGATGCTGTGCTAGTTAGTCATGCTGTGACCACCTTATGGGCCAGTGTAGGACGGCCAAGGCCAGACCCGGATGTCCTGCAGGGATCTTTGAAGCGGCTGCTGACAGATGTCCTGTCACGGCCCTTGACTCTAGGCCTAGGACTTAGGGCCTTGGGGATAGATGTTAGGAGGACTGGGGGAAGCACAGTGCATGTGGTTGGTGCTTCCCATGTGGAGACATTTCTTACTCGCCCAGGGGACTATGATGAGCTTGGTTACATGTTTCCTGGGCACCTTGGACTCCGTGTGGTCATGGTGGGTGTAGATGTAGCTACTGGCTTTTCACAGAGCACCTCAACTTCACCCCTGGAACCTGGCACAATTCAGCTTAGTGCCCACAGGGGCCTCTACCATGACTTCTGGGAGGAGCAAGTAGAGACCGGGCAGACACACCATCCAGATTTGGTGGCGGCATTCCATCCAGGTAAGAGTCATTGGTTCAGGGGAATAGAGGGTGGCTCCCCTGAGAATTTTCCATCCTGAATCTTCTGTCTTTGGAACCCCATTCATTTGGTCTCATTAAACACAATATGATGACAACTTTTCTTTTTTTTTTTTTCTTTTTTTTTTTTTGAGACGGAGTCTCGCTCTGTCGCCCAGGCTGGAGTGCAGTGGCGCGATCTCGGCTCACTGCAAGCTCCACCTCCCGGGTTCACGCCATTCTCCTGCCTCAGCCTCCCGAGTAGCTGGGACTACAGGCGCCTGGCTAATTTTTTGTATTTTTAGTAGAGGCGGGGTTTCACTGTGTTAGCCACGATGATCTCGATCTCCTGACCTTATGATCCGCCCGCCTCTGCCTCCCAAAGTGCTGGGATTACAGGCGTGAGCCACCGCGCCCAGCCTGATGACAACTTTTCTTGATAATTTGCCATATGTACTACACTTGGGTTCAGAATTTTTCATTGAAGAGTGGATGATGATGATGATGATAATGACTGGGGATAAGCAAGGTGAGGGGTGGGGTGCTCACAGTCAAAGAAATATCTTGCTCTTAGGGTCTGCTTTAGTCTTTCCCTATTCCCATTTTCATTTTTGTTCCACAGGTTTTCATTCCTCCCCAGACTTGATGGAGGCTTGGCTGCCCACCCTGCTGCTACTTCGTGACTATAAGATTCCTACATTGATTACTGTTTACAGGTTTTGACCTCATCCTATTTGTGATACTTCCCTGACTTTACATCTCTCTTTATATAGATGAGCTCATTTTTGCCCCCCTCTTGCTCATCTACCTTCTGGTGAGGATGTTCTTTTCCGCATATGGCTTTTTTATCCCCTTGGAACAGTCCTTTGCTAGTTAATGGAATATTTAATGAGACATTTGGGAGGGAAAGATAGCCCTTGCCTAGTCCAGCCTTAGGCAATTTGGGGGATGGGTGATTACAGAAATGTCAGGCTCTTGGGCAGTTTTTCCTTTATCTCTGTCACAATCAGTAGAGTAATTTTTCTTCTCTCTCTTCTACAGCCATCAGGAGTTGGTATCCTCTTTGCAGATTCTGGTGGAACTGGATACACACATCACTGCCTTTGGGTCTAATCCTTTCATGTCCCTCAAACCTGAACAGGTCTATTCCAGTCCCAACAAGCAGCCAGTATACTGCAGTGCATACTATATCATGTTTCTTGGAAGCTCCTGTCAGCTGGATAATAGGCAATTAGAAGAGAAAGTGGACGGCGGGATTTAAATAGATCATAACTGGACATCTGGAAAACGGGGAGTTTGTGATGAAATTACCCTGCTAATGCCAGGTTCTTGCAAACTTTGAAAAACATTATATTCTAAACCTCATTTACTGTTTGGGTAAAAATTCTAAGCTGAATGAGAGTTTCTGTATAACATAACTGGTTTCTTTCTTTTTTTGAGATGGAGTCTTGCTCTGTTGCCCAGGCTGGAGTGCAGCGGCATGATCTCGACTCACTGCAGCCTCCGCCTCCTGGGTTCAAGTGGTTCTCCTGCCTCAGCCTCCCTAGTAGCTGGGATTACAGGTGCACACCACCACACCTGGCTAATTTTTGTATTTTTAGCAGACAGGGTTTCACCATGTTGGCCAGGCTCGTATCAAACCCTTGACCCCAGGTGATCTGCCTGCCTCAGCCTCCCAAAGTTCTGGGATTACAGGCATGAGCCACCATGCCCAGCCAATGTAACTGGTTTCTAAGAGTTTAGCCACAGTAGCTTCTAGAGATAGGAAATTAGATTTAGTGGGTGGGAAGAGGCCCTGATGCTGGTCTTTCCAGAGCTTATAGTTGCTAACACTTTTCTTTGTAAAGAAGTTTACCTTTTGACTGGAACCAGATGGCACTGAGAAAAAGAATGAGAACCACCTTATTCTTCTGAAAAAGACTTTCTTCTCATCCAGTAATTTGGGCTAAAAAATGGAAAGATGTTGATGACTTGAAGTGATGCAAGAATGGACAAGTCAGGGAAGTCATTGGGAACATGGATGAGGTTGTAAGCATTGGTACAGTGTCCTGTTTCCTGACTTTTTTGAGAGAAATGTCTACTTTTCCTGTTTTCTCTTGGGGACTTTTGACCCTAGAGTAGCCCTGGTGTTATATTTTAGATATCCCAAGCTATATCAGACTTTACCTGAATATACTGGAGTTACTTATTATCCCCCATTCTATACCCCAATAAACTCAGTTTGGGGCTTCTTAAGTCACTTGTTTTATTTCCTATTCACTGGCAAGTATTACTCATCTGCACATAACACCTCAAGACTGGAAGTTTCTCTCTTGCCAACAGAGTAATTAGCATCAGTTCTCTGGGTCTGCCACTCTGTCACACATTTGCCTCATGTCATCCTTTTCTTTTTTATTTCTTTTTCTTTTTTCTTTTTGGAGACAGAGTCTTGCTCTGTTGCCAAGGCTGGAGTGCAGTGGCATTATCATAGCTCTTTGCAGCCTCAGACTCCTGGGCTCAAGTGATCCTTCCATCTCATCCTCTCAAGTAGTTGGGACTTACAGGTACATACCACCACGCCCAGCTAACTTTTTTTTTTTTTTTTTTCTAGAGACAGGGCCTCCTTGTGTTGCCCAGGCTGGTCTCAAACTCCTGGGCTCAAGCAATCCTCCCACCTCAGCCTGCCAGAGTGTTAGGATTACAGGCATGAGACACTGTGCCCAGCCAATGTCATCCTTTTCTCATCATACTCTCAGGATTAGGACATTTCCTGGGTATTCATTCCTACAATCTTGCCATGACTGTCTCTCACACACATATTACAGCCCATCACCCAACACATACATACACATTCTATTGCCCACTCTAATAGGGATAATTTTAGAATTTCATATATTCATTGAAAACAGTACCTGTCATACTACAGGTACTGTATTTTGGCTTTGGGGAGATTGAAAGGTGAATAAGACATGGTGTTTATTCTTAGGAAGGGAAATAATATTTATGTATTTGGAGATACCTTTATTGCAAGGTATAATATGGAGTAAGAAACACGAGAGAGGCTTCTGGTGCTAAGGAAATAGAGTGAAAAGAGCTCTCTTCCCTCTTGCGGCCATCACTGAAGCAGGAGCGGCCAAAATGAAGTTTAATCCCTTTGTGACTTCTGACTGAAGCAAGAATTGCAAAAGGCATTTCAATGCACCTTCCCACATTCACAGGAAAATTATGTCTTCCCCTCTTGCCAAAGAGCTGAGACAGAAGTACAACGTGCGATGCATGCCCATCCAAAAGGATGATGAAGTTCAGGTTGTATGAGGACACTATAAAGATCAGCAAATTGGCAAAGTAGTCCAGGTTTACAGGAAGAAATATGTTATCTACAATGAATGGGTGCAGTGGGAAAAAGCTAATGGCACAACTGTCCACATAGGCATTCACCCTAGCAAGGTGGTCATCACTAGGCTAAAACTGGACAAAGACCGCAAAAAGATCCTTGAACGGAAAGCCAAATCTCGCCAAGTAGGAAAGGAAAAGGGCAAATACAAGGAAGAAACAATTGTGAAGATGCAGGAATAAAGTAATCTTATATACAAGCTTTGATTAAAACTTGAAACAAAGAAAAAAAATAGAGTGGAAAGAGATCATTTTGCTAAACGATAGTGAAAATATTCTGAGTGAGAATTTTTTGAAACAGAGCACAAGGCACTCAAGACGGAAGGAACAACAGGACCAGAAGTTTGGAGGCAGAAAAGCATATGGGATATTTGAAGGTACCTTTAGGGATTAGTATAAATTAAGTCTGGAAGGTAGATTGAGATAAGATGATAGGAGTATTGTGGATTTTTGTAGATCTGAGTATGAATCCTGGAACAGCCATCAAATTTTATATTGCAAGGGAAGCTAAACTTCTCTAAGCCTTAGTTTCTTCATCTGTAAAATGGAGATAATACCAAGTATCCCAAATTAATATTGAAGTTAAACGAAAATGTTTGCAAAGTTGGAGGACTCGCACATCCCAATTTCTTTTTTTTGTTGTTTGAGACAGAGTCTCGGGCTCAAGTGATCCTCCCACCTCAGCCTCCCTAGTAGCTGGGACCACAAGTGCAAGCCACCATGCCCAGCCAATTTTTGTATTTTTTGTAGAGACAGGGTTTTGCCATGTTGCCCAGGCTGGTCTTGAACTCCTGAGCTCAAGAGATCCACCCTCCTCAGCCTCCCAAAGTGCTGAGATTATGAGCCACTGTGCCCGGCCCCCAGTTCCAAAACCTATAATCAATTGTATACTTAGCAGTTCAATATCCCTAATCTGAAAACCCAAAATGCTCCTGTGAGCGTATCCTTTGAGTGCTATGTCGGCACTCCAAAAGTTTCAGGTTTTGGACCATTTTGGATCTCGGTACTCAAAAAGCTTTGGATTTTGGAGCATTTTGAATTTCAAATTTTTGGATTAGGGATGCTCAACCTGTACAAAATAGTAGTAGTCAAGACAATGTGATACTGGCATAGAATAGACATAAGGTCAGTGCAGTAGAATTGAGAATTGTCTTAGTCTGCTTGGGCTGCTGTAACAAAATACTGTAAACTGTGTGGCTTGTAAACATCAAATTTATTTTCCACATTTCTGGAAGCTGGAAAGTCCAAGATCAAGGCACTAGCAGATTTCGTGTCTGAGAAGGGCATGTTCTTACTGTGGAAGGGGCGACTGAGCTCACTCTTTCCTCTTTTACAAGGACACTAATCCCACTCATGAGGGCTCTGCCCTCATGACCTAATAATTTCCCAAAGATCCCACCTCCTAAAGCCGGAGGTTAGGATTTCAGCACGTGAATTTGTGTATGTGTGGTGTATGTATGTGTATGTGTATGTATTGGGGTGGAGGAGGCTCACAAAACATTCAGACTGTAACAAGAATAGCAGGGCATGGTGGTTCATGCCTGTAATCCCAGCACTTTGGGAGGCCAAGGCAAGCAGATCGTTTGAGCCCAGGAGCTTGAGACCAGTGTGGGAAACATCCCAAAACCCCGTCTCTAAAAAAAATACAAAAAAAATTAGCTGGGCATGGTGACACATACCTGTAGTCCTAGCTACTTGAGGGGCTGAGGTGAGAGGATCGCTTGAGCGCAGGAGGTTGAGGCTGCAGTGAGCCAAGATTGTGCCACTGCACTTCAGCCTGGGTGAAAAGTGAGAATCTGTCTCAAAAAAAAAAAAAGAAAAAAAAAACCTTAACATTTATGGTCAATTGATTTTTCACAAGGGTACATAAACAATTAATTGGGAAAAGAACAGACTTTTCAACAAATAGTGCTGGGACAACTGGATATCCAGATGCAGAAGAATAAAGCTATACCCCCACCTCACACAATATACATAGATTAACTCAAAATGGTTCAAATACCCAAAACTAAAACTCTTCAAAGAAAAAAAAGGGGAAAATCTTTGTGAACTTATCTGGCAATGTTTTCTTAGGTATGACACCAAAAACACAAGCAACCAAAATAAAAATAAATAAATTAGACTATCAAAATTTAAAATTTTAGGCCAGGTGTGGTGGCTCACACCTGTAATCCCAACATTTTAGGAGGCAAAGACAGGAGGACTGCTTAAGCCCAGAAGTTCAAGATGAGCCTAAGCAACATAGACCTATCTCTACAAAAAAAAAAAAATTAGTGGGCATGGTGGCGCATGCCTGTAGTCACACTACCTGGGAGGCTGAGGTGGAAAGATCGCTTGAGCCCAGGAGGCTGCAGTGAGCCATGATCGCACTCCAGCCTGGGTGACAGAGCGAGATCCTGTCTCAAAAAAAAAAAAAAAGAATGAGAGAAAATATTAATAAATTATATATCTGATAAGGGACCTACAACTTAAAAGGACAGATAACCCAATTAAAAATGGGCAAAGGATCTGAACAGACATTTCTCCAAAAAAGATGTATAAAGGGCCAATAAGTACATGAAAAGATGCTCAACATCATCAATCATTAAGGTATACAAATTAAAATTATAATGAGATACCACTTCATACCCACTACGATGGCTATGATGAAAAAAAGAGGTAGTAACAAATGTTGATGAGGATGTGAAGAAATTGTAACCTTCATACACTGCTGGTGGGAATGTAAAATGATGCAGCCAATTTGGAAAACAGTCTGGCAGTTCCTCAAACAGTTAAACATTGAGGGCCAGGTAATGATGACTCACGCCTGTAATCCCAGCACTTTGGGAGGCTGAGCTAGGAGTACTGCTTAAAGCAAGGAGTTTAAGACCAGCCTGGGCAACGAATCAAGACCCTGTCTCTTTAAAAAAAAAAAAAAAGTTAAAAATTGACTTACCATTTGACCCAGAAGTTTTGCTCATAGGTTTGTACCCATGAGAAATGAAATCATATGTATATAAATATTCATAGCAGCATTATTCATGACAGCCAAAAGATGAAAACAACCAAAATATCCATCAGCTTATGAATGGATAAGCAAAATGTGGTAAATCCTTACAAGGAAATAGTATTTGACCATAAAAGTAATGAAATACTGATTCATGTTACAATATGAAAGCCAGTTACAAAAGACTACATATTGTACAAGTGCATTTATATGAAATGTTCAGAATAGGCAAGTCTATGGAGACAAAGTAGATTAGTGGCTACATGTGGAGGGGAAGGATGGGGGTATTGGGGGCGACGGGTAAAGGATATGGGATATAACCATTCTAAAATTGATTGTGGTGGTAGATGCACAACTCTGAATGTACTAAAAATCATTGAATTGTACACATTATATGGGTGAATTATATTTCAATAAAGCTATTACCAAATTTTTCTAATCTTAGAGAATGTAAAAAATAAGGATATTTAAATCCTTAACACAGTACCTAGCAAATAGTATGTCCTTAGTAGCTATTATTTGATAAATATCATTTTGAATTTTGCTCAGTAACACAGATTGAACTAGCAGTAGTGTGTAAGATGGTTTGGTAATGGAAAATCCAGTTAGGACACTATTGTCATGGTTCAGACGAGATAATGTAGGTGTCAGCTAAGATTATATCAGTAGGTATGGAGAGCAAGAGGTAATTTTTAACTACAAGTAAAGTAAATAGTGACATTTTGCAGGTAGAACATGAAAGTAAAATCTAGGATTTGTTTGCTGATTGTGATGGATGAAGGGTGATGTATCTGTCAGCCAGAATATAATTAGAAACTACACAGTAACAGGTGGCGCAAAAACATCCAATTTAGTAGAATGGTGGTGATAGTACACAAAAGTCCAAATGCCTAGCTTATTGTCAAATGCTGAGGATTCTAAGATGGCTTCTGCCCTTATAGGAGACTGACATAAGCAAGGACAATATAATGGAGTTATGTTTTCTAAAGTCAGCATATGAAATGAAAAAAAATTTTCAAAACTACCTTTGAAAATCCTTTAGGGTAGCACATGGGTTCTCTCAGTAGGTCTATCAGAGCCAGTTTTTCCCAGTGCTGGAAATAAATCTGTATTTGGCTGATCACCAGACGAAGTAGTTGGCTTGGGTTTTGGGGGCCCTATTGTAGTCAATCAGACAATCAATTATTTATCAAACACTCACTACTAGGCTCTAAAGATATCCCTGTTCTCAAGGAGCTTACATTCTAGATGGGGACAGAAACAGTAAACACACAGAATTTCAGATGCTTTTTTTTTTTTTTTTTTTTTTTTTTTTTTTTTTTTTGAGACGGAGTCTCGCTCTGTCGCCCAGGCTGGAGTGCAGTGGCGGGATCTCGGCTCATTGCAAGCTCCGCCTCCCGGGTTCACGCCATTCTCCTGCCTCAGCCTCCCAAGTAGCTGGGACTACAGGCGCCCGCCACTACGCCCGGCTAATTTTTTGTATTTTTAGTAGAGACGGGGTTTCACCGTTTTTAGCCGGGATGGTCTCGATCTCCTGACCTCGTGATCCGCCCGCCTCGGCCTCCCAAAGTGCTGGGATTACAGGCGTGAGCCACCGCGCCCGGCCAGAATTTCAGATGCTTTTAAGTGGTATAAGGAAAATTAAATAATGAGCATAGCTGCTAGTGGTGGTTGTGCTGGTGGCAGCTACTAATGTTCAGGAAATACCTTGAGGAGATGACATTTTTTGTTTGTTTTTTTGAGATAGGGTCAGGCTCTGTCACCCAGGCTGGAGTGCAGTAGTGAGATCTTGGCTTACTACAGCCTCTGCCTCCCAGGTTCAAGTGATTCTCCCCTGTGAGCCTCCTAAGTAGATGGATTACAAGTGCACACTACTATGCCTGACTAATTTTTGTGTTTTTTGTAGAGATGGGGTCTCGCCATGTTGCCCAGGCTGGTCTCCAACTCCTGGGTTTCAGTGATCTGCCTGCCTTGGGCCTCCCAAAGTGCTAGGATTATAGGTGTGAGCCAACTCACCCAGCCAGGAGACCACATTTGAGATGACACCATGGAGAACATTCCCAGTAGAAGCAATAGCAAGTGCCAAGGTCCTGAGAATCTGGTGCATTTGGTCACAAGCTTGGTATGTTTGGACCGAAGGCCACTGTGTTCAGAGGTTAGTGATTAAGGAAAGTGAAGGCCAGGCGCCGTGGCTCACGCCTGTAATCCCAGCACTTTGGGAGGCCGAGGCAGGTGGATCACGAGGTCAGGAGATCAAGACCATCCTGGCTAACATGGTGAAACCCCGTCTCTACTAAAAATACAAAAAAATTAGCTGGGCGTGGTGGCAGTCACCTTTAGTCCCAGCTACTTGGGAGGTTCAGCCAGGAGAATGGTGTGAACCTGGGAGGCGAAGCTTGCAGTGAGCTGAGATTGCACCACCGCACTCCAGCCTGGGCGACAGAGCAAGACTCCGTCTCAAAAAAAAAAAAAAAAAAGTGAAAAGGGATTAGATGAGCGATGTAGGCAGGGACCAGATTATCTAGGGCTTAATAGACCATCAGGAGTTTGGATTTTATTTTATTCTGGTTCCAGTGGGAAGCTATTAAAAAAGTTTAATCACGGGAATTACATGACCCAATTTATTCTTTAGAAAGATCACTCTGACTCAGGGTTTCTTAACCTCAGCACTATTGACTTTTTGGGCTGAATAATTCTTTGTGTAGGGACTGTAGGCATTGTAGGATACGTACCTTGTTTAGAATCCTTGGCTTTCACCCACTAGATGCTAGTAACCCCACCACCTCCCCTCAGTTGTGACAAACAAAGATGTCTCCACACATTGTCAGGTGTCCCTGAGGGACAAAATTACTATTCTAATGGAACAAAAAGGATATGAACTTAAATACCAGACTCTGGGCCAGGCGTGGTGGCTCACACCTGTAATAATCCCAGCACTTTGGGAGGCCGAGGTGGGTGGATCACCTGAGGTCAGGAGTTCGCCTGGGCAACATGGCAAATCACCGTCTGTATTAAAAATATAAAAATTTAGGCCGGACGTGGTGGCTCATGCCTGTAATCCTAGCACTTTGGGAGGCTGAGGCGGGTGGGTCATGAGGTCAGGAGATCGAGACCATCCTGGCTAACACAGTGAAACCCTGTCTCTACTAAAAATACAAAAAATTAGCCAGGCGTGGTGGTAGACACCTGTAGTCCCAGCTACTCGGGAGGCTGAGGCAGGAGAATGGCGTGAACCCAGGAGGCAGAGCTTGCAGTGAGCCGAGATCGTGCCACTGCATTCCATCCAGCCTGGGCAACAGAGTGAGACTCTGTCTCAAAAAAAAAAAAAAAAAAAAAAAAAAAAAAAGCTGGGCGTGGTGGCGGATGCCTGTAATCCCAGCTACTTGGGAGGCTGAGGCAGGAGAATTCGTTGAACCTGGGAAGCAGAGGTTGCAATGAGCTGAGATTGTGCCATTGCACTCCAGCCTGGGCAACAGAATGAGACCCTGTCTCAAAACTACAAAAACAAACAAAAAAAAACCAGACTCTGATACAGTGGGATGTTCACATTAGAAGCATGATGGCTCTTATTTCACATGAACTCTGGAACATACCATGGCCTTCAGAGATGTTGACCAGGTATGGTGGCTCATGCCTGTAATACATCCAGCACTTTGGGAGGCTGAGGCAGGTGGATCGCTTGAGGCCAGGAGTTCGAGACCAGCCTGGCCAACATGGCGAAACCCCATCTGTACTAAAAATACAAAAAAATTAGCTGGGCGTGGTGACATGCCTCCCAGCTACACGGGAGGCTGAGGCATGAGAATCGCTTGAACCCCGGAGGCAGAGGTTGCAGTGAGCCTAGATCGCACCACAGCACTCCAGCCTGGGTGACAGAGCAAGACTCTGTCTCCAAAAAAATTAAAAAATTAAAATGGTCCAGTTGAGTACAAAAAAGAAGATCAGGAAGAGTTTATTGGAGCAAGACGGAGATGAGCAACCTTGAAAACAAGTCTAATTAAGATGAGTAATTGTTAAAAGATGAGCAGTGCTTTCTAAGCAGAGGTAGCAGGAGGAAAGGGTCTCCGATCCTGTAACGCCTTTTATGCCAGGAAGAAAGGATGAATTGAAAGGATGAAATGGCAAATGTCGTAGTAGACTATTGGACTATTCCTGCAGCTCAGGAAAGTGGGCTGGAAATAAGAGGTTTGGCAAATACCCTGTTATGGTGGTATTTAAGGCAGAGGGAGGGTTTGGAACGAGCTCACAAAGGGAACTCTAGAATGAACAGAGTAGGCTTCTCAGGGAAGGCTTAAATCCTGGAGGTCTCTGGGGTAGGTAGGACAGAAAGTCCTGTTATTTTCCAGGTAGACAGACTGTTGGGCGCCGGGGAATTAATGCTGGTCACCTAGAGAGTTGTGCATTTTGTCTACCATTGTTAAATGAGGCAATGACCTGCCTCAAATACTTTTCACTCCACACACCTATTTGGAAGCCACGTATATTTTGCTTGCTCTTCCCATTTAAAATCGTAATCCACTCTATTCCACCCCCATGAGGAAGCTTTTGGGTAGAAAAGTGTGTAGAGGAATAAGTAAGTTGATGTGCATCAGATGTGCAAACTTTAGTGTGCATCAGAACCACCTGGAAGGCTTGTTAAAACAGGTTGCTGGGCACCACCCGGGGAGTTTGATTCAGTAGGTCTAAGGTGGAGTTCAATAATCTGCGTTACTAACACGTTTCCAGGTGATGCTGCTGTTCGGGGGACCACACCCAGAAGCTACCTTTTACCACTCTAAAAGGTAGCTGATTGGTTTTCTCTGTAATATAAATTCCTTAACGAGTTTAAAATATTGATCTGAGCCCTCGTAATTGCCTCAAATGTTTAATGCTAATGTGTGTTCAATGCTGTAGCCACGAGGGGAGCCTAAAATCACCTAACAACTCCTTTCGGGAGTGATTTTGATTAGTTCATCTACAGTTCCAACTAAGATTTCCCACAAATATTACTTTCACAGGAGGCTAACAAAAAACGCCGTCTTTGTCCCCAGAAAATACCTGGAGGACGGTATTTCAGAGGCGGGGAGGCTGCACCAGCCTCCCAGTCTCAGCCCTTCTCTACCGCCCGCCACTGAAGGGGCCCCGGATACCCCCAGGACTGCTGCAACTTCCTAGGTGACTTGAGGCAGCCTTAAAAGGGATTGGTGCAGGGTCCTTGCGACAGATAAATGTGATTAAAAATCCGCTGGGCCACCCGAAGGGAGAGTCTTTTTCCCTCAGGTGGCGCCTAGGGGCGGGACTGAGGGACAGCCCGCTCCCCGCAGCGCCCTCTCCGGCTCCGGGGGTGTTCCCGGCTGCAGCCGCGATCCTAACGGGCTCGCGAGACGCCCCGCCCACCCTGGGCCCGCCCCCGGCTCCATCTTGCGGGAGACCGGGTTGGGCTGTGACGCTGCTGCTGGGGTCAGGTGAGGAGCGGCGCCCCCCTCCCTTTCCCACCTCGTCTGCCTCGGTGGTCTTGCCCTCGGCCAGCTCTGGGCGCTGCTGTCCCGGTGCTAGTGGGGCGCGGCTGGAGGGCAGTGTGGGCCTCCCGGATGGCGGCGACTCGGTTTGCGCGTCTCGTAGCCGGGCTGCCGGCCGGGGTGTGTTGGGGTGGCGTGGGTGAGGCGGCCGGCCTGGCTTACGGGAAGCCCTTCCGTCCGTTTGGAAATCCCAGGGACCAGTGGCGCCCCGCCCTCGGGCAGGTGGAGGGGCTGAGGCCGGAGCGTGGCCCAGCTGCCTCGCGGGAGGCTGAGTAGGGAAACGCACGGGCAGTGCTGAAAGCCGTCTGGCTGGTAGTGGCTGTACTTTCCGGTGACACAGCGAATTTAGGGAAACTTGGGGAAATTTTTACTGTGTTTAGTGAACCGTAGGACAGAATGCGCCAGGCCAAGGTCGTACACTGGTTCTCGTTTACAGTTCTTGGAAGCTATTCTAGAATAGCATTCCAGATTTGATTGCTGTTCCCCGACCAGCAGCAAATCTGTGTTGAAATTAGCTCATCCTGTGCAAACACTGCGCAAGGAAACCAAGGTGCAGAGGTAGATGGCTGATGTCCACCGTAAAGTGACAGACATGACGCTGTTGTCTTCCGACTGCCGTAAACGCCCTGATTTTTGCCAGCTGATGGCCAGCTAATCTGCTAAATGTGTCCGAATTAGATGATGAGTGTAATGAGTTACCTTCCAGGCAAGGAAAGAGTTTCAAGCACTGAATAGGTAAAAGAGATAATTTTGGCCACTGCAAACTTTCAGTCCTTTTCAGTGAGGACTGTCTTTCAGTCCTCACTGGTGGTTGGCTACCTACCTGTCCGTGCAGAGGACTAGCCATGCCTCCATGTTCTTTCTCCACATCACTGACGGATTTAAATGATCCTACCATACCTAGAAGCCGGTTTTGCAAAATTGTATTCGCTGTTGCGCGTATCTTCAGTCACCCTTCCTGTTTCGTGTATTTTTTCCCCCATAAATTTGCAACAGCTGCCTCTTGGGTTCCTGGGCTTCATGCCATCAATGAGAAACGGTGAGACCCAGCCCTTTTACTAACTGACTCACTGGGTGGAGGTGGTTTGGAAAACCAAAAATGATTTTCTAGTCTTTTAAAAGTGATTGCTAACAGAGAATGTTTAAAAAAAAAAAAAAAAAAGCCCGAGCGCGGTGGCTCACTCCTGTAATCCTAGCACTTTGGGAGGCCGAGGCGAGAGATTCACGAGGTCAGGAGGAGTTTGAGACCAGCTTGACCAACACGGTGAAACCCCGTCTCTACTTAAAAATACAAAAATTAGCTGGGCGTGGTGGCGCGCGCCTGTAATCCCAGCTACTCTGGAGGCTGAGGCAGGAGAGTCGCTTGAACCCGGGAGGCAGAGGTTGCAGTGAGCCAAGATCGCCACTGCACTCCAGCCTGGGCGGCAGAGAGAAACTCTGTCACAAAAAAAAAAAAAACCCAAAAAACTCTAGACTTACTATTCACTTGGGCAAAGTTGAGAAATTTTTTGAGTCACTCTGGGTGTTATTTAGCTTTTTACAAAAACGTTTAAAATCTGCCTCTTGAATAAATGATATATGTACAATTCTAAAAGGGCTAAAGTACATTGAAAAGTAAGTCTCGGCCGGGCGCAGTGGCTGTCGCCTGTAATCCCAGCACTTTGGGAGGCCTAGGCGGGAGGATCACGAGGTCAGGAGATCGAGACCATCCTGACTAACACGGTGAAACCCCGTCTCTACTAAAAATACAAAAATTAGCCGGGCGTGGTGGCAGGCGCCTGTAGTCCCAGCTACTCAGGAGGTTGAGGCACAAGAATCTCTTGAACCCCGGAGGCGGAGGTTGCAGTAAGCTGAGATCGTGCCACTGCACTCCAGCCTGGCAACAGAGCGAGACTCCATCTCAAAAAAAGAAAAAAGAAAGGTAAATAGTCTTCTCCATTGTGTCCCAGCTCTTCATCCAGGAAGCAGTCACTGTTTTCTACTTCCTTGAGTGTCCTTTCAGGGATATTCTATAAGTCAAAATCAGTGCATTTTTTACACATAATGGCAGCACACTATGCAGTTTTTCACTTTGCCTTTTTTTTTTTTCATTAATACGTGTTATAGATGGTTTCATATATGGGTAAAAGAAAAAGCTGCCTCATTTTTAATAACCACATAACACCTCCTTGTATGGCTATCCATAATCTGTTTCACCTGTCCCTCCTTTTTAAAAATTTAAGCAATGGCCCCGCACAGTGGCTCACGCCTGTAATCCCAGCACTTTGGGAGGCCGAGGTGGGTGGATCACCTGAGGTCAGGAGTTCGAGACTAGCCTGGCCAACATGATGAAACCCTGTCTGTACTAAAAATACAAAATTTAGCCGGGTGCGGTGGCACGTCCCAGCTACACGGGAGGCTGAGACAGGAGAATCGCTTGAACCTGGGAGGTGGAGGTTGCAATGAGTGGAGATCACACCACTGCACTCCAGCCTGGATGATAGAGCAAGACTCCATCTCCAAAAAAAAAGATAAAATTTCAACAGCTTTTGGAGTACAAGTGGTTTTTTGTTACATGGATGAATTATATGGTGGTGAATTCTGAGATTTTAGTCACCCAAGTAATGTACATTGTACCTAATGTGTAGTTTTTGATTCCTAGCCCCCTTTCACCCTCCCCTTTCTGAGTCTCTAAAGTCCATTATATCACTTCATACCTATGTCTTTGCATACTCATAGCTTAGCTTCCACTTACACAGTGAGAACATACGGCTTTTGGTTTTCCACCCCTGTATTACTTCACTTAGAAAAATGGCCTCCAGCTTCATCCAAGTTGCTGCAAAAGACATTATTTTGTTCCTTTTAATGGCTGAGTAGTATTCCATGGTTTATATATACCACATTTTCTTTATCCACTCAGTTGATGGGCACTTAGATTGGTTCCACATCTTTGCAGTTGTGAGTTGTGCTGCTATAAATATACATGTGCAAAAGTCTTTTTCATATAATGACTTTCTTTCCTTTGGGTAGATACCCAGCAGTGGAATTTCTGGATTGAATGGTAGATCTTTTTTAGCTCTTCAAGGAGTCTCCATACTGTTTTCTGTAGAGGCTGTATAGTAGTGTAATAAGCGGTCTCTTTTCCCCACATCCACACCAACATCTATTGTTTTTTGACTTTTTTTTTTTTTTTTTTTGAGATGGAGTCTCGCTCTCGTTGCCAGGCTGGAGTGCAATGGCGTGATCTCAGCTCACCCCAACCTCCGCCTCCCGGATTCAAGCAATTCTCCTGACTCAGCCTCCCAAGTAGCTGGGATTACAGTCACACGCCACCATGCCCAGCTAATTTTGTTATTTTTGGTAGAGACGGGTTTCTCCATGTTGGTCAGGCTGGTTTCAAACTCCCAACCTCAGGTGATCGCCCGTCTGGGCCTCCCAAAGTGCTGGGATTACAGATGGGGGCTACCGCGCCCGGCCCATTTTTTGACTTTTTAAGAATAACCATTCCTGTAGGAGCACGGTGGTATCTCATTGTGGTTAATTTGCATTTCCCTGATGATTAATGATGTTGAATTATTAATGATTATTTCATGTTTTTTGGCCATTTGTGTATCTTTTGAGAAATGTCTATTCATGTCCTTTGCTCAGTTTTTAATGCAATTGTTTTTTTTTCTTTGTGATTTGAGTTCCTTGTAGATTCTGGATACTAGTCCTTTGTTGGATGCATAGTTTGCAAATATTTTCTCCCATTCTGTGGGTGGTCTGTTTACTCTGTTGATTATTTGTTTTGCTGTGCCGAAGCTTTTTAGTTTAATTAGGTCCCATCTATTTATTTTTGTTTTTGTTGCGTTTGTTTTTGGGGTCTTAGTCATGAATTTTTTGCCTAGGCCAGTGTTTAGAAGACTGTTTCCAATGTTCTAGAATTTTTATAGTTTCAGGTCTTATATTTAAATCTTTTATCAACTTGAGTTGATTTTTGCATTGGATGATAGTTAGGGATCCAGTTTCATTCTTCATGTGGCTTGCCAGTTTTCCCAGCATCATTTATTGAATAGGATGTCCATTCCCCAATTTTTGTTTTTGTGTGCTTTGTCAAAGAGCAGTTGGCTGTATGTATTTGGCTTTATTTCTGAGTTCTCTATTTTGTTCCATTGGTCTATGTGCCTACTTTTAAACCAGTACCATGCTGTTGTGGTAGCTATAGGCTTGTAGTGTATTTGAAGTCTGGTAATGTGATGTCTCCAGATTTGTCTTTTTGCTTAGAATTGCTTTGGCTATTCAGGCTGTTTTTTGTTCCATATTAATTTTAGGATTGTTTTTTCTAATTCTGTGAAAAATGATCTTGGTATTTTGATGGGAATCGCATTGAATCTGTAGATTGCTTTGGGCAGTATGGTCATTTTCACAATATTGATTCTTTCAATCCATGAGCATGGGATGAGTTTCCATTTATGTCATCTGTGATTTCTTTCAGCAGTATTTTGTAGTTCTCCTTGTAGAGATCTGTCATCTCCTTGGTGAAGCATATTCCTAGGTATTCTATTTATTTTTTATTTTTGCAGCTATTATAAAAGGGATTGAGCTCTTGATTTGATTCTCAGCTTGGACGTTTTTGGTATATAGCAGTGCTACTGATTTGTGTACATTGATTTTGTAACCTGAGACTTTACCGATTTCATTTATCAAATCTAAGAGTCTGTTGGAGTCTTTAGGATTTCCTTGGTATATAGTCATAATATCTGCAAACAGTGATAGTTTGACTTCCTCTTTTCCAATTTGGATACACTTTATTGCTTTCCCCTACTTTCCCTCTGGCTAATACTTCCAGAACTATGTCGAATAGGAGTGGTGAAAGTGGATGTCCTTGTCTTGTTCCTGTTCTCAGGGGGAATGCTTTCAACTTTTCCCCATTCAGTATGATGTTGGCTTTGTCGTCATATATGGCTTTTATTATTTTGAGTTAGGTCCTTTCTATGCCTCATTTGTTGAGTTCTTTATTGTAAAGGATGCTGGATTTTGTTGAATGCTTTTTCTGCATCTGTTGAGATCATATGGTTTTTGTTTTTAATTCTGTTTATGTGATACATCACATTTATTGACTTGCATATGTTAAATCATTCCAGCATCCCTGGGATGACACCTGTCCCTTATTGATGGACATTCACATGGTTTTTAACCTTTTCCTATTACAAAAATGCTGCAGTGAATAGCCTTGTACATATATAATTTTGTCCTTGTGCAAGTATTTCTATAAGGTACATTCCTGGAAATGGAATTGCATTCTAGTCTTTTATATAATTATTTTTCAAAATGTACCAAAATTCACTTTCTTAAAATAGCTTTAATTTTTATTATATACAGATAATCTTTGCCTTATTTTCATTTTTGTTGACATAATTCCTCCAGGCTCTTAAAGGTAAGATTTAAGATAGTAGCTAAAGAATTTAGATATAGGTCTTGTCACTGGAACAATTTCTTGAAACTTAGAAATTTAAATTGCTTATGATGTCTTTGGTACTGTAACTGCATATTGCCTTTCAAATTACTATTAATTTATCTCATAAATTATTTTCAGATTTTTTTTTCCTTTATTTTGACCCTGACCCTTTTGCCCTTGGTCTATCTACTTTTCTTTTTCTTTCTTTTTTTTTTTCTTTTTCCTTGTCTTGTCTTGTCTTTTCTTTCAACTGGAGTGCAATGATGCAAACACGACTCACTGCCGCCTTGACCTCCTGGCCTCAAGCAATTCTCCCACCTCAGCTTCCTGAATAGTTTGGACTACAGGTGGGCGCCGCTGCACTGGGTAATTTTTAAAATATTTTTGTAGGGACGAGGTCTTACTATGTTGCCCAGCATGGTCTTTAACTCCTTGGCTCAAGCAGTCCTCCCACCTTGGCCTCCCAGAGTTTTGGGATTATAGGTGTGAGCCACTGCGCCTGGCCTATCTGACCATTCTTTAGAGCTTTTGCCCCTCCTTTACTCTTTATACAAACCCAGGCTTAGAAAAGAAAAAAGCAAAAAAATTCAGCCTGTCCCTGTTTTTATATCCAGCCCTTTGGGATCCCAAATGATTATTTTATAATTGACTGGGTCAGTTTTCATATCATTTTATGTTTCTTATTGACTTATAGCCTTGATTCAATCTATGTCCGTTTATTCTCAATTCAGCACATTTTTAGCTTCTATCCTGTGTTCCTGTCATAAGGGACACTATATTATCTCATTTTCCTATACTGTGTACTCAAATGGCTGAATACTTAATCTTTCTATCAGCACCTAGGACAGTGCTCATTACACAGTGGACTTTCATAAATGTTGACTTGAGTTGGGTTTATTTGGCATCTGATATAAAAGAAATATGAATCATTTACAGCTGTATTGATGAAAAGTGCCAAAACATATATTTACAAATTTAGAAAATTAGGTGTAGATCCAGAAATCCCAAAGTATTCTGGTATCAGAGTGTGAATCACAGACCTGCAGAATCCATATCACCTGAAAGCTTTAGAAATGCAGAATCTCAGGCCCCATCCTGGAGCTACTGAATTAAAATCTCTATTTTAACACGATCCCTAGGGATTCATATACACATTAAAGTTTGAGGCCAGGTACAGTGGCTCACGCCTGTAATCCCAGCACTTTGGGAGGCTGAGGCAGGCAGATCACTTGGGGTCAGGAGTTTGTGACCAGCCTGGCCAACATGGTGAAACTCCGTCTCCATTAAAAATGCAAAAATTAAGCAGGTGTGGTAGTGCGCACCTGTAGTCTCAGCTACTTGGAATGCTAAAGGAGGAGAATCGCTTGAACCCAGGAGGTGGAGGCTGCAGTGACCCGAGATTGTGCCACTGCATTCCAGCCTGAGCAACAGAGCAAGACTGTCTCAAAAAGAAAACATTGAGAAACACTATTTTAGTCAACTACGTTGTTCAAAGAAGGAAGAGAGGAGACTTGAGCTAGATAGGAGGGGTGAGTAAGCCCAGGCTTGAGGGCCAAGTCAGTTAATGATAAGAATGGCTTAAGCAAAGGAATGCTGGGAATGGTTCAAGTGATAGAGATTTCACGTTGAGGGTTAGGTGTTGGTAAGAAATGAGTTAAATAGATAAATAGAGGGTGGGTGTGGTGGCTCATGCCTGTAATCCTAGCACTTTGGGAGGCTGAGGCGGGTGGATCTCTTGAACCCAGGAGTTCAAGACCAGCCTGGGCAGCATGGCGAAACCCCGTCTTTACTAAAAATACAAAAAATTAGCCAGGTATGGTTGTGTGCACCTGTAGTCTTAGCTCTTCAGGAGACTGAGATGAGAGGATCATCTGAGCCCAGGAATTCGAGGCTACAGTGAGCTGATGTCACACTACTGCACTCCAGCCTGGGCGATAGAGCAAGAAACCATCTCAAAAATATATGTATAATAATAATAATTGGAGCCAGTACTAAGGAGACCTGTATATCAGGCCAATTAATTTTCATTTGATACTCCAGCAGTAGTCATTGATGATTTTTGAGCTGAAGAGCAATTTGCTGAAAGAGCAGCATTTTAGGAAAGTTTAGCTAGTGACAGTGTCTGAGAAAATTGGGAGGGTGACAGAGTATAAGCAAGAATATAAACAGAGGAGGAGTTTTAGTAAGACAGGCATCAAGTGATGAAACTTGGTCTAAGTATATGACCATGAGAACAGAAATTACAGAAGAGGCATTTCAAAGGATGGATAGAAAAACACTGGTTTTGGCCGGGCGCAGTGGCTCATGCCTGCGATCCCAGCACCTTGGGAGGCCGAGGCGGCCAGATCACCTGAGGTCAGGAGTTCGAGACCAGCCTGGCCAACATGACGAAACCCTGTCTCTACTAAAATACAATAAATTAGCCGGGTGTGGTGGTGGGCGCCTGTAATCCCAGTTACTCAGGAGGCTGAGGCAGGAGAATTGCTTGAACCCAGGAGGTGGAAGCTGCAGTGAGCCGAGATTGCACCACTGCACTCCAGCTGGGGTGACAAGAGCGAAACTCTGTCTCAAAAAAAAAAAAGAAGAGAAAAATACTGGGTTTCTTACTATACTGGAGTATTAGGTAATTTAAGTAGTGGTGCTATTGACAGATAAAGGATGTTAAGAGTGGTGTGGTGGAGAATGACGAGTATTTTATTATACACATACAGAAAGCCTCCTGATTGACTTCTGTCTTAATCTGCTCCTTAGTCTATTTTGGTGATCATCCGTCTCACAGTTACGTCTCACCTTTTGCCTTGCAAATAACATTGTTCTACTTTCTTGCCTATCTGTGTCTAGCACCTTTAAAAGCCTGGTTTAAACCTTTGATCATTCACTCTCCACTTGTAGCAATGTTTTCTTGTAGATGCCAAAAAAGTGATTACTGACTTTATATAGATGTATTTGCCAGGTATATTATATCTGATCACTAATAGTATTTTAGATTTTTTTGTTGTTGTTGAAATGGAGTTTTGCCCTATCACCCAGGCTGGAGTGCAGTGGTGTGATCTTGGCTCACTGCAACCTCTGCCTCCTGGGTTCAAGCAATTCTGCCTCAGCCTCCTGAGTAGCTGGGCTTACAGGCACATGCCACCACGCCTGGCTAATTTTTGTATTTTTAGTAGAGACAGGGTTTCACCATGTTGGCCAGGCTGGTCTCGAACTCCTGACCTCAGTTGATCCGCCCACCTCAGCCTCCCAAAGTGCTGGGTGTATTACAGGCCTGGGCCACTGCACCCAGCCTTTTTTTTTTTTTTTTGAGACAGTATTGCTCTGTGGCCCAGGCTGGAGTGCAGTGGTGCAATCTTGGCTCACTGCAACCTCCACCTCCTGGGTTCAAGGGGTTCTCCTGCCTCAGCCTTCCAAGTAGCTGGGACTACAGGCACATGCCACCACACCCGGCTAATTTTTTGGATTTTTTATAGAGATGGGGTTTCATTGTGTTAGCGTGGATGGCCTCAATGTCCTGACCTTGTGATCTCCTCAGCCTCCCAAAGTGTTGGGATTACAGGCGTGAGCCACCGCGCCCGGCCCTAATTTTTGTATTTTTAATAGAGACAGGGTTTCACCATGTTGGTCAGGCTGGTCTCTGACCTCAAGTGATCCACCTGCGTTGGCTTCCAAAGTGCTCAGATTACAGGCGTGAACTACTGCGCCTGGCCGTGTTTTAGATTTGATCAGGCTAAGAGGGTATTCTTTTGAATGTTTGTTTTTTTCTCTGTTTATTTACATTTGCTTTAGGTTAATAGTGTTTTCTTCAAATGCAAAAGATATATATATATATATATATAGGGATATTTGTCTTTATCCACACTAGCTCCATTTATTTTACATGAGCCATCTTTTCAACAATGGACAGGAGAGTGTAATGAATCCCCATGTACTCATCACCCAGCGTGAGCAGTTATCAACTCCTGACTGCTTATTATGTCTAAATTCCTGCACTATATTATATAGAATATTCCTGCATATTATTTTGGCATAATCCCTGACATCGTATCGTTTTGTTTGTAAATACTTAATGTGTATCTCTAAAAGATCAGAATACTTGATGAAAATCATAGTACCATTATCACACCAAAAAAATAGTAATGTCTTAACATCACTTGATGTGCAGGTTATTGTTTACTTTTCCAAATGGAAATGAGCACCTTTTGAAGAACATAACTTTCAAACTTTCTGGTACAGACTGCAGTTTTTAAAAGATATTTCCAGTGTTATGTTTGCTGATCAGAAGACTATCAACTTTTGATCACCATTATTATCACAGAATAGATAATATATGAATGCCTCCTTAATCTCAGACTAACCACACTCTACCACCCTACTTTCTTTTTCCATCAGAAAGCATTCTAATTTTAAAATTATTCTAAGTCTAATAAAATTGAGAAAGTAAATGTACTGAAAGTGTTATAATGAATTAATAAAAGCCAAACTTCATGCTAATTATTTTTTTAATATTCTTGTATTATCTATCACAGTTCTCTATGATCATAGCAGTTAACACTTACTGAGGACTTACTTTATTGCAGGCACTGCTAAATGCTTTGCCTTTGTTCTTTTACTTAATTCTTACAACAACATCCTTAAGTAGGTACGTTCACGTCCCATTTTATAGATGAAGAAATGAAGGCCTAAAAAGGCTAAGTAACTTCCTTTGAGAAGCTAAGTAACTGCCCATATTCACACAGCTGGAAATCCAGGATGTTAGATGGAAAATTCTGTTGGCAGTGCTGGTGAAAATGCAAATTGGTACAGCCCCTCTGGAGGGGAATTGGGCAGTATCACATTCACCTTTACCCCTTCTCAGCAATGCCATTTCTAGGAATCTTCCCCGAAGATAGTATTGGCAAAATATACAGAGAGGTACTTGTACATGGCTGTTCATTGCAAGACTGTAATAGTTAAAAGACTAGAAATAACTCAGATGTCTGCCATTGAATAAGCCATGATACATCCACACACTGAAGTACTATGTGGTTTTTTGTTGTTGTTGTTTTGTTTTTTTTTAAGAGACACGGTCTCACTCTGTTGCCCAGGCTGGAGTACAGTGGTGCGATCCTAGCTCACTGCAGCCTTGAAGTCTTGGGCTCAAGTGATCCTCCTGCCCAGGCTTCTGAATAACTGGCACTACAGGTGCACACCACCATGCCTGGCTAATTATTTTACTTTTTGTAGAGATGAGGTCTTTCTTTGTTGCCCAGGCTGATCTCAAACTTCTGGCTGCAAGAGATTCTACTGCCTCAGCCTTCCAAAGTGCTGGGATTTACAGGCATGAGCCGCTGTGCCTGGCCTATGTTGTTGTTTTTAAAAAGGAATGAAGAGTGTGGGTGTTGGCCATAATAAAAGAAAAAAGCCAGTAAAGAAACAGAGTATGTGCCGGGAGCAGTGGCTCACGCCTATAATCCCAGCACTTTGGGAGGCCAAGGTGGGTGGATCACCAGGTCAGTAGTTCAAGACCAGCCTGGCCAAGATGGTGAAACCCCATCTCTACTAAAAATACAAAAATTAGCCAGGCACGGTGGCAGGCACCTGTAATCCCAGCTACTTGGGAGGCTGAGGCAGGAGAATCACTTGAACCCAAGGGGCAGAGGTTGCAATGAGTTGAGATTATGCCACTGTACTCCAGCCTGGGCGACAGAGTCAGACTCCGACTCAAAAAAAAAAAAAGAAACAGAGTTTTTATGTAAGAATGGAATGGGGGAATGGGGATACAAATATAGACATATCAGCTTATGTACTTAAAGATAGGTAGATAAACTGTAAAAGTAATCATATGTAGGAGATAGTAAGGGACAGGGTTAGAAGTTAACAGGTTTCTGAACATATCTTGTTTTGTAGATTTGACTTTAGAATCCAGAGAATGTTTTACATAATTACAAAACTAAATCAAAAACTTTTTAAACCTTAAAAGTCAAAAGCAAAATGAAACAAATGGACCTAACGTGTGTCAAATTGGTAGCATAACTACACAGGAATTATTTTCAAAATGTCGTTAAAACAGTAATTTGAGGCTAGGCCTGTAATCCCAGCACTTTGAGAGGCTGAAGCAGGCAGATCGCTTGAGCCCAGGAGTTCAAGACCAGCCTGGGCAATACGGTGAAACCCCATCTCTACAAAAAAAATACAAAAATTCACCAGGCATGGTGGTACGCACCTGTGGTCCCAGCTACGGGGTGGGGAGGGGGGGTGTTGAGGTGGGAGGATCACCTGAGCCCAGGAGGTCAAGGCTGCAGCAAGCTGTGATTGTGCCACTATACTCCAGCCTGGGTGACAGAGCAAGACCTTGTCTCAAAAATAAAAAGTTTATAAAAAAGAAAGCTAGGGTTTAATCCACGTATATGTGACTCCAGAATGTTAACTCTTAACCATTGTACCATTGTTTCCCATAATGTGGTTATATCACCATATGAGGGGATTTCTGTGGCACCTAGAAAGGACTTTTTATTGTAATAGCTAAGTATTTATTTTAATATTACCTTCTATTTGTGGTAAGAAAACTACTGGAAGTTTTCCATTTAAAAGTATGCTGATATTTAAAAGTATGCTGATGATAAGCATACTTTTAACATAAATGGAATTAAAAATTGGCTTAAAGAAAAATAGATCAGCCAGGTGTGGTTCTGGAGGCTGGGAAGTCCAAGAGCAAGGTGCTGGCATCTGGTGAGGACTGCCCTCTGCTTCCAAGATGAAGCCTTGGCCGGGTGAGGTGGCTTACGCCTGTAATCCCAGCACTTTGGGAGGCCAAGGTGGGTGGTTCACCTGAGGTTAGGCGTTCAAGACCGGCCTGGCCAACATGGTGAAACCCCATCTCTACTAAAAATAACAAAAAATTAGCCGAGCATGGTGGCAGACGCCTGTAATCCCAGCTACTCGGGAGGCTGAGGCAGGAGAATCACTTGGACCCGGGAGGCGGAGGTTGCAATGAGCTGAGATTGTGCCACTACACTCCAGCCTGGGCAACAGGGTGAGACTCCGTCTCCAAAAAAAAAAGAGAAAAGAAGAATAGTTCAGTATTGGTATAGTAGTGGTAGAATTGAGATGTGACAAAAATTGTATGGCATGACAAAGTTGGAACCTTTCTAGGCTGTACTGACTCCATTGGTGTGAATGATGAAATAAGCATTTAATAAGCTTTGCTTATACCCCTAATATCCACATTTTAATTTTATGCCAGACTCTTTTGAAAAGAGAAATATTTTGCATAAAACCTTGTGTGTGTGTGTGTGTGTGTGTTGTGTATGTGTGTGTATATCTGTATGTTTTCAAAGGCCTTAACCATTATAAGAAATTACAGGCTGGGCGCGGTGGCTCACACCTGTAATCCCAGCACTTTGGGAGGCTGAGGCAGGTGGATCACCAGGTTAAGAGATTGAGACAATCCTGGCCAACATGGTGAAACTCCATCTCTACAAAAAATATAAAAATTAGCTGGGCATGGTGGCGTGCACCTGTAGTCCCAGCTACTTGGGAGGCTGAGGCAGGAGAATCGCTTGAACCCGGAGGCAGAGGTTGCAGTGAGCCAAAATCACGCCACTGCACTCCAACCTGGTGACAGAGTGAGACTCCGTCTCAAAAAACAAAACAAAACAAAACAAAACAACAAAAAACTTACAGAGGACATTTTTTATTGTTGTTACAGAATGTCATACCCAGGCTATCCCCCAACAGGCTACCCACCTTTCCCTGGATATCCTGTAAGTATTGCCACTTAATACCTCACATCCTTAAAACAGGTGTTGTTTGGGACTGGCCCATGTCAGATCTTACAGATATGCTTGAGCAGGGGTCATAAATTCAGATGCTCAGAGGTACTACGTAGAAGTGAGGAAAGGCAATTGTGTGGGGGACTAGAGAGGTCTTGCTTTGTCTATTGAAAGCTGGCAGGTGCTTAGCACCAGCCCTGTGTAGCCATGGAGGGAGGCACACTCAGCGTTGCTAGATACTCCAGCCCTTCAAGTAAAGCCAGAAACTTGGGTTCTATGTGAAATTGCCCAAAGGTTCAAAATTTAGGAGTTAGTTTTAAAAAATGTTAACTGCTGTATGAGCCAGTAAAACATGGATGTAAGCAAAATCCATCCCATGAATCACTGGTTCTTTTTCTTTTTTTTAATGCCCTTGAGTCATAATATCACTGCATCTTAACCTTTGTGTTAGAATGTTTAAAATAATTAACGGCTTGGCTAGACCCAGAGATAAATTGCAGTGGATTTGTAGTTCTTAGACTTGGAGTACGTTTTATAAATGTGCTACTAAGTTCCACCTTGTTGATAGCTATACTACTCTGAGGACTAAGAGCTGAGCCATAAGTAAGAATTGTGCGTTTCAGTTTTTGTTTGTTTGTTTGTTTGTGTTTTTGAGATGGAGTCTCGCTGTGCGCCCAGGCTGGAGTGCAGTGGTGTGATCTCAGCTCACTGCAACTTATGCCTCCTGGGTTCAAGTGATTCTCCTGCCTCAGCCTCCCGAGTAGCTAGGATTTCAGGTGCCCGCCACTGTGCCTGGCTGATTTTTTGTATTTTTAGTAGAGACGGAATTTCACCATGTTGGCCAGGCTTGTCTCAAACTCCTGACCTCAAATGATCTGCCCTCCTTGGCCTCCCAAAGTGCTGGGATTATAGGCATGAGCCATTGCGCCTGGCCACATTTCAGTTTTTTGTTTTTGTTTTTGTTTTTGTTTTTGAGATGGAGTCTCGCTCTGTCACCAGGCTAGAGTGCAGTGGTGTGATCTCGACTCACTGCAACCTCCGTCTCCTGGGGTTCAAGCGATTCTCCTGCCTCAGCCTCCTGAGTAGCTGGGATTACAGGTACGTGCCACCACGCCCAGCTAGGTTTTGTATTTTTAGTAGAGATGGGGTTTCACAATGTTGGCCAGGATGGCCTCAATCTCCTGACCTCGTGATCCGCCCACCTCGGCCTCCCAAAGCGCTGGGATTACAGGCATGAGCCACTTAGCCCAGCCCACATTTTGGTTTTATACTCATAACTGTGGGGCTGCTATCTAACCCTGGGAGAATAGGAAGAGGGGTCTATACAAGTTTATGATAATATGTATCCTTATGCAAAGTGATTATATAGCTCTCGTGAATTTATCATAGGAGAGATGAGAATTATGGATATGTTCCCAAGTCCCTATGTATTAAACAGGACTGTAGTAACTATTTCAGTCAGTGTAGGCTAATTGCTAAAACAGACAACTCCCAAATCTCAGTGACTTAACACGATGAAAAAACAAATGTATTTCTTTCTTCAGTTTCCTGGACGTCAGTGGAGGATAGGGGGTGGGTGGGACGAGGCTTTGTTTCATGCAGTGTTTTGGGTTTCCAGGCTCCTTCCTTATTCTGATCCTACCATCCTTTAGCACTTTGGAGTCCTCCACTGGATCCTCTGCTTATGGGTGGCAGATGAAGGAAGAGAGAGAGCATGGAGGATTTGCCAGAGGTTTTTAGGGGACAGGTTTAGAAAGTGGTGTATCTCACTTTTGTCTATGTTCATTTACTGATATTCATTCATGTGGTTCGACCTAACTGCAAGGGGGTCTGGGAAGTGTAGTCTGTATAGCTTTGTGGCCTGGGGAGAAAGAGTTCAGTGAACATGCAACAATCTCTGCCACTCTGCATATTGCTGCTCTGAACCATGAAGTCCAAAATGTCACATCCGGTGTGTGATGTGATATACAGGTTACCTTTTTTATTTTTAAATATTATGTAACAGATCCAGATGTGTTGCAAGAAAGCCTCAAATTCCTCTGTTTAGGATATAGAGGAGGATCTTTCTCATATTTGTAGATGCTGGGAAAATGAAGGAACTGATGAGTTTTTTTTTTTTCTTAAAACCTTGAGGTTTGTAAAGAATCCTGTTCTGACTCCCAAATAGAGAAGCAGACCCCTCTTGCCTGACTCAAGTAGAATTAAATTTAACTGAATTCTGACAAACAAGTGTCCTTACAAACTGGTATACTGATAAACTAGTATAAGATACCAGGATTTCTAATGGGACTTTTAAAAAGTAAAAGAATGAGGTAGACCTTAATAATAACCTCTGTTTGTTCCTTATTTTTAGATGGGTCATATTTCTCTATGATCGTATTTGTTTAAAAATTATTCTGATTTTTCAGCCTGCAGGTCAGGAGTCATCTTTTCCCCCTTCTGGTCAGTATCCTTATCCTAGTGGCTTTCCTCCAATGGGAGGAGGTGCCTACCCACAAGTGCCAAGTAGTGGCTACCCAGGAGCTGGAGGCTACCCTGCGCCTGGAGGTTATCCAGCCCCTGGAGGCTATCCTGGTGCCCCACAGCCAGGGGGAGCTCCATCCTATCCCGGAGGTGAGTTACGGGTTGCGGAATTAGTAATGATTGGGATTGCTGTAGCACTTTTTCCTTCTCCCTTTATCCTCTTCATTCCTGCTTGTTTTGTATAAGGTCAAGTCGCTCTTAGGTAACCTTAGGTAGTAAGGACCTAGCTGGCAAGATGGAGGGATGAAGATTCTCTGGGGACATGAAAGCTGGGAGCAGTTTCAAAAATTCCACTGTGAAGGGACTTGGAATAAATTTCATGGCAATAAAGGACCAATATGTAACACTTTGCTTGTTTGTAGTCTTAAGACCTGATTAAGACATTTCAATTAGCAAGACTGTGACCTTTAGGTCAGCTTTATTCAAAGGTAAAAAAGACCCCAAAAAACAACAAAAAAACCTTAGCCCTTTTGTATTTTAAGTTAGTAGGGAAGAGTAATAAAGTAATATTTTGGCTGGGTGTGGTGTCTCACACCTGTAATCCCGACACTTTGGGAGGTTGAGGTGGGTGGATCACTTGAAGCAAGGAGTTCGAGACCAGCTTGGCCAACATGGTGAAACCCTGTCTCTACTAAAAATATGAAAATTAGCTGGGTGTGGTGGTGCATGCCTGTAATCCCACCTACCTGGGAGGCTGAGGCAGGAAAATCACTTGAACGTGGTAGGTAGAGTTTGCAGTGAGCCAAGATTGTGCCACTAAACTCCAGCCTAGGCAACAGAGTGAGACTGTCTCAAAAAATAAATAAATATATAAGGTAAAAATTTAAAAACTTATTTTTTACTGGAGAATTTGAAGTTTTGAATCTAGATAAACAGGGACTGCTATTATAGCATTAATAGCATATTTTTCCACTGTTAACAATAGATATTTTTCTAAAGTTTTTTCTGCAATCATGAGAACTGTACTATAGTTTATTGACATGTTCTTTTCTCTAGTTCCTCCAGGCCAAGGATTTGGAGTCCCACCAGGTGGAGCAGGCTTTTCTGGGTATCCACAGCCACCTTCACAGTCTTATGGAGGTGGTCCAGCACAGGTTCCACTACCTGGTAGGTACCAGCTGTCCAGAAAAAAACAGTATCATGATATTTTGAGTTTTTAAATCACCATTGAGGGAACTTAGTTTATATTTGAGATAATCTGCAATAAATGTTTATATTTCCATAAATAATTTTAAACATAATGGTTTTATGAAATATATTAAATTGATGGAAAAGTTTAATCAGTAAAATAGAGATAAAGTCACACTTTTTCTATTAAAAAAATCTGTCCCAAAGCCAAAAGGAAGCCTTCAGGAACTTCTCTGCCCACTCCTGTACCAATAGTAAAACCACCCCCAGAACTGTATTCTGACAACCATTCCAGGTGGACTCAGAATTTAATCTGATTCAAGTGTGAAAAAAGTATTATTTATGAGGATCTTATGTAGAACATGGAATATTAAAAAGGTTCTTATGACCAAAGTTGGTTTTAGATTCAGTAAATTATATTTTTAAAAACTATCCTCATAAGTATCATAGTGTGAATGTTCTTGTATGTTTCCATATTCATAGTCATCAATGCTGTTTTGAAAAATTAAAACATGTAAGACCTGTTGCCGTATTATTATTATTTTTTTTAACATTATAGGTGGCTTTCCTGGAGGACAGATGCCTTCTCAGTATCCTGGAGGACAACCTACTTACCCTAGTCAGGTATTTTGTTCCTACCTTTTAAGCTCACTCTAGGTAGCTAGATAAAGAAGGAACCTATCCTTTGCTGAGGTTTCCATGGGTCGGAGGAAATGGCCCATTATAGTAATGGAAGACTAAAGTCTTTACTTCTGATAGACTCCATACTTTCTTTGGTCCATCTGCTTTAATAGTGTCCTGATGACTTTGAGAAGACAAGCATAGGTCTATTCTCATAGGTAATGATTCTCACAACTTTATCCTGGAGATTAACCTGGGGTCTTGGTTTTAGTTCTTTTTCCTCTTCCTTGCCCTTACCAGCAGTTACACCTATGAATTTGGGTGGCTGGGTGATTGGTATTTCTGACAGTGATTTATGTAGGGTGGTTTTGTTTCCCATTTTTACCTTTATAACTTTTCACTCTTTTTTCAGATCAATACAGATTCTTTTTCTTCCTATCCTGTTTTCTCTCCTGTTTCTTTGGATTATAGCAGTGAAGTGAGTAAGGTTTTCTAATGTTTACTAATCACTAGGTCCTTTATATGTGCCTTTGTTTCTGATTCTCATGTACTTGTCTCTCACTACTTCTTAAGGGCTCACCTGTATCTATTTTATCTTTGTGTTCCTGTAATAATAGGTAGGGCTTTAGACATAGTAGCCAGTTAGTCTGTTGACTGGATTTTCTCATTAGCTGCAGAGTTTCCTATATGTCAAATATTTGCCCTACTCCGTATGGCTTCTTTTTTTTTTTTTTTGAGATGGAGTTTCACTGTTGGCACCCAGGCTAGAGTGCAGTGGCACGACCTCGGCTCACTGCACCCTCCACCTTCCGGGTTCAAGCGATTTTCCTGCCTCAGCCTCCGGAGTAACTGGGATTACAGGCGCACGCCACTACACCTGTCACATTTTTTTGTATTTTTAGTAGAGACAGGGTTTCACCATGTTGGCCAGGCTGGTCTCGAACTCTTGACCTCAGGTGATCCACCTGCCTCGGCCTCCCAAAGAGCTGGGATTACAGGCATGAGCCACCACGCACGGCCTGGCTTCTTATTTTAATCCCAAATTTTATTCTTAAATTACCTTGTTAATTTTTTTATAGCCTATGCAAGTTACTAGGAACAAAATAAGCAGTATACTTGATGCTTACTTTTATTTTGATTTTCTTATTGATTTCTATATTGGATATTCATGAATGTCTAGCATTTTCAAGCTTGTTTTAGGCTGGGGTAGGAGAAGGATTCTAGTATTGGAAGAGAAACATCTTAGTGATTTTTTTAGCTCACTTTCCTGATTTGAGGTATGTGAGCTCCAGAGAGGTTGAGAAACTTGTCTAGGGCAACACAACTAGTGAAGGACAAAGCTGAGAAGATTCTAGTCTATATCTTCTGCCTTCTAGACCAGCGGTCTCTCTCTTATACAAAGTTGCTTTGCTGATACAGTAAATGATACTCCTCCCAAGCATGTAGTAAGTTGCTTTCAGTCCTTTTTTTCATTGTTGAAGTTGTTTGCCAATCATATTATAAACCTGTAATCACTTTTGTTATGAAAATTTTGATTTTAGTTTAAGCATGCATATAATTTTAGAGAAATCATTTTACGACTGAATATGAATGACTTTTAAACATGAAACACTAAAAGTAAATCACATGTACTTATGCAACTTATTTTTATTTTTATTTTTTATTACACTTTAAGTTCTAGGGTACATGTGCACAACGTGCAAGTTTGTTACATATGTATACATGTGCCATGTTGGTGTGCTGCACCCGTTAACTCGTCATTTATATTAGGTGTATCTCCTAATGCTATCCCTCCCCACCACCCCAACCCCACGACAGTCCCTGGTGTGTGATGTTCCCCATCCTGTGTCCAAGTGTTCTCATTGTTCAGTTCCCACCTATGAGTGAGACCATGCGGTGTCTGGTTTTCTGTCCTTACGATAGTTTGCTCAGAATGATGGTTTCCAGCTTCATCCATGTCCCTACAAAGGACATGAACTCATCCTTTTTATGGCTGCATAGTATTCCATGGTGTATATGTGCCACATTTTCTTAATCCAGTCTATCATTGATGGACATTTGGGTTGGTTCCAAGTCTTTGCTATTGTGAATAGTGCTGCAATAAACATACGTGTGCATGTGTCTTTATAGCAGCATGATTTATAATCCTTTGGGTATATACCTAGTAATGGGATGGCTGGGTCAAATGGTGTTTCTAGTTCTAGATCCTTGAGGAATCGCCACACTGTCTTCCACAGTGGTTGAACTAGTTTACAGTCCCACCAACAGTGTAAAAGTGTTCCTATTTCTCCACATCCTCTCCAGCACGTGTTGTTTGCTGACTTTTTAATGATCGCCATTCTAACTGGTGTGAGATGATATCTCATTGTGGTTTTGATTTGCATTTCTCTGATGGCCAGTGATGATGAGCATTTTTTCATGTGTCTGTTGGCTGCATAAATGTCTTCTTTTGAGAAGTGTCTGTTCATATCCTTTGCCCACTTTTTGATGGGGTTGTTTGATTTTTTTCTTGTAAATTTGTTTAAGTTCTTTGTAGATTTTGGATATTAGCCGTTTGTCAGATGGGTAGATTGCAAAAATGTTCTCCCATTCTGTAGGTTGCCTGTTCACTCTGATGGTAGTTTCTTTTGCCGTGCAGAAGCTCTTTGGTTTAATTAGATCCCATTTCTTAATTTTGGCTTTTGTTGCCATTGCTTTTGGTGTTTTAGACATGAAGTCCTTGCCGATGCTTATGTCCTGAATGGTATTGCCTAGGTTTTCTTCTAGGGTTTTTATGGTTTTAGATCTAACATTTAAGTCTTTAATCCATCTTGAATTAATTGTTGTATAAGGTGTAAGGAAGGGATCCAGTTTCAGCTTTCTACATATGGCTAGCCAGTTTTCCCAGCACCATTTATTAAATAGGGAATCCTTTCCCCATTTCTTGTTTTTGTCAGGTTTGTCAAAGATCAGATGGTTGTAGATGTGTGGTATTACTTCTGAGGGCTCTGTTCTGTTCCATTGGTCTATATCTCTGTTTTGGTACCAGTACCATGCTGTTTTGGTTACTGTAGCCTTGTAGTATAGTTTAAAGTCAGGTAGCGTGATGCCTCCAGCTTTGTTCTTTTGGCTTAGGATTGTCTTGGCAATGTGGGCTCTTTTTTGGTTCCATATGAACTTTAAAGTAGTTTTTTCCAATTCTGTGAAGAAAGTCATTGGTAGCTTGATGGGGATGGCATTGAATCTGTAAATTACCTTGGGCAGTATGGCCATTTTCACGATATTGATTCTTCCTATCCATGAGCATGGAATGTTCTTGTTCTTCCATTTGTTTGTGTCCTTTTTTATTTCGTTGAGCAGTGGTTTGTAATTCTCCTTGAAGAGGTCCTTCACATCCCTTGTAAGTTGGCTTCCTATGTATTTTATTCTCTTTGAAGCGATTGTGAGTGGGAGTTCACTCATGATTTGGCTCTCTGTTTGTCTGTTATTGGTGTATAGGAATGCTTGTGATTTTTGCACATTGATTTTGTATCCTGAGACTTTGCTGAAGTTGCTTATCAGCTTAAGGAGATTTTGGGCTGAGACAATGGGGTTTTCTAAATATACAATCATGTCATCTGCAAACAGGAACAATTTGACTTCCTCTTTTCCTAATTGAATACCCTTTATTTCTTTCTCCTGCCTGATTGCCCTGGCCAGAACTTCCAACACTATGTTGAATAGGAGTGGTGAGAGAGGGCATCCCTGTCTTGTGCCAGTTTTCAAAGGGAATGCTTCCAGTTTTTGCCCATTCAGTATGATATTGGCTGTGGATTTGTCATAAATAGCTCTTATTATTTTGAGATACGTCCCATCAATACCTAATTTATTGAGGGTTTTCAGCATGAAGTGCTGTTAAATTTTGTCAAAGGCCTTTTCTGCATCTATTGAGATAGTCATGTGGTTTTTGTCTTTGGTTCTGTTTATATGCTGGATTACATTTACTGATTTGCATATGTTGAACCAGCCTTGCATCCCAGGGATGAAGCCAACTTGATCGTGATGGATAAGCTTTTTGATGTGCTACTGGATTCGGTTTGCCAGTATTTTATTGAGGATTTTTGCATCGATGTTCATCAGGGATATTGGTCTAAAATTCTCTTTTTTTTGTTGTGTCTCTGCCAGGCTTTGTTATCATGATGATGTTGGCCTTATAAAATGAGTTACTGAGGATTCCGCCTCTTTCTATTGATTGGAATAGTTTCAGAAGGAATGGTACTAACTCCTCTTTGTACCTCTGGTAGAATTCGGCTGTGAATCTGTCTGGTCCTGGACTTTTTTTGGTTGGTAGGCTCTTAATTATTGCCTCAATTTCAGAGCCTGTTATTGGTCTATTCAGGGATTCAACTTCTTCCTGGTTTAGTCTTGGGAGGGTGTATGTGTCCAGGAATTTATCCATCTCTTCTAGATTTTCTAGTTTATTTGCATAGAGGTGTTCATCCTATTCTCTGATGGTAGTTTGTATCTCTGTGGGATCGGTGGTGATATCCCCTTTATCATTTTTTATTGCGTCTATTTAATTCTTCTCTTTTTCCTTTTTTATTAGTCTCATATGCAACTTATTTTATGCAACAATTACCACCTTAAGCTGGAACTAAAACCAGTAGGTAGAAGTTAACAGAATGCAGAGTGTTAGATTTTGGAAGAGCTTTTAGATGGAAGTGAAATAGGCTACCCTGTGAGGGGTGAGCTTCTTGTCACTGAAAGTCCACAGGCAGATTTTGGTTGATGTTGAGTATGGATGTGTCTGTGTGTATCAAGGAAGGTGTAAAAAAAATTTTTGTCTTAGATGGGAAGTTGGGCCAGTTTATCCCTCCTGATTGATCCAGTTCTCTAATTCTGTTATAGTCTTGTTGTTGTTGTTGTTTCATTTGTTTGTTCAATTTTGAGTCAGGGCCTCACTCTGCTGCTCGGGTCAGGCTGGAGTACAGTGGCGTGATCAAAGCTCACTGCAGCCTCGAAATGCTGGGCTCAAGCGATCCTCCTGCATCAGCCTCCTGAGTAACTGGGACTATAGTTGTGCACCAGCATGCCCACCTAATTTTTTAATTTTTGGTAAAGATGAAGGTTTTGCTGTGTTGCCCAGGCTGGTCTTGAACTCCTGGGCTCAAGCGATCCTCCTGCCTCAGCCTCCCAAAATGCTGGAGTTGCAGATGTGAGCCACTGTGCCCAGCTCTATGATAGTTTTTCAGCAAGAAGGTTGGAATCAAATGGGCATTAAAGAAGAATAGCAAAGGTTGGAACTTCTGGTAGCAGATTTTGCTGAGAACTCTCCCCTAGAATTTAACCTCAAGAACACAGATCCTGATTTCTCTCTTTTTTTTTTTTTTTTTAAGAGACAGAGTCTCACTCTGTTGCCAGGCTAGAGTGTGCAGTGGCGCGATCTGGGGTCACTGCAACCTCCGCCTCCCGGGTTCAAGTGATTCTCCTGCCTCAGCCTCCTGAGTAGCTGGGACTACAGGTGCGCACCACCACGCCCAGCATTTTTGTATTTGTAGTAGAGACAGGGTTTCACCATGTTGGCCAGGATGGTCTCAATCTCTTGACCTCGTGATCCACCTGCCTCGACCTCCCGAAGTGCTGGGATTACAGGCATGAGCCACTGTGCCCAGCCCAGATCCTGATTTCTTTGAATTCAGTTTAATGCCTGGAAGATGACAGTATTCTTGAAAATTTACTTCAAACTTAGACTTTCGGCAGAGAATACATCAAAAAAATTTTTCCCTACAGATGAAATATGAAATCAATATATATATATGTGTGTGTGTGTATATATATATTTTTATATATATATATATATATATATATATTTTACAAAAGAGAATCACAGAAAATGAGAATCATCAAATGGTACACAGTGAGGGTTAGTTTATCTATTCCAGTGTATTAGAAACAATGGCTTCTGTCCTATTTAGGATTTTAGTGACAGCGGTTACATCAAAGGAAACTTAGTTTCTTGAGACATGAAGGCTTATAAAATTTTTTTATACTCGACTATTTGCTACAAGTAGAATAATTTTGGCTTTCTATTAAAACCACTATAGGTATATTTGTTAGTTCTCTGCTTACAGCCCTAGCTTGGAAACTAGTAGAGGATGGATGCTAAGGCTTACTGGTAGAAGAAAATGTTGGAGTAAAAATATATATGAGTGGGAGGAGCTATTGACCCATAAAAGTGTTATCTTGAAAAGCTGCTGAAAGATGGGGCTTGTTCTCATCTCCTCAGTTGCTTTGCCCCCACAAATGCTGGTGTACTGCTGTATTCAATGTGTATAACTTTAAATACAGTTTCTGTTGTCTAAAAAGCATTGAATCATCTTTTATTTTGAAATGGTATTGATTGCATGTTTAAATGATAATACTTTGGAGGTATTGGATTAAATAAACTGTGTGTGTGTATATGTGTGTTTTCTGCAGTGAAAACACTTATTTTACAACAGTAATCTTTATTTTAGGTCAACATTCAAACATACAAGAAATGTGTTGTTACAATTAAAATTTTTTTAAAAAGTAGTGGAGCATCATCTTCATCCCATCCCTCTTAAGCCCTGACTTGAACACCCTAAGAAACTTCTTGAATTATTCTGGGCTGGCCGCACACCTGTAATTCCAGCACTTTGGGAGGCCAAGGCAGGGGGATCACTTGAGGCCAAGAATTCGATACCAGCCTGGGCAACATAGCAAGACCCCCGTCTCTACAAAAGTAAGAAATTAGCTGGGCATGGTGGCACATGGCTGTAGTGCTAGCTACTCAGGAGGCTGAGGCAGGAGGATTGCTTGGGCTCAGGAATTCAAGGTTACTGTGAGCTATGTTTGTGCCACTGCACTCCAGCCTGAACAACAGAGTGAGAGCCTATCTCTAAAAAATAAAAAATTGGGGGAAACTATTGAATTATTTCATAGCTTTGTATTTTAAATTGTTTTATCTTTTAATTTTGACATAATTTTAGACTTGCAAAATAGTACAAATAATTTGTATATACCCTTTACTCAGATTCTCCAAATGTTAACTTCCTACATAAACACAATGCAATGATCAAAATCAGGAAATAACATCGATATAGTACTGTTACCCAACCTACAGACCTTATTTCAGTTTCACCAGTTGTCTCAATGATGTCCTTTTTCTGGTTCAGGATCAAATCCAGAATGCAATGTTGTATTTATTGTCATGTCTCTTAAGTCTCCTTTAATCTGAAATAGTTCCTCAGTCTTTGTTGTTCATGCCCTTGATGCTTTTGAAGAACACTGTCAGTTATTTTATAAAATATTTCTTAATTTGGGTTTGTCTGATATTTTCTCATGGTTAAATCCAGGTCATGCCTTTTTGGCAAGAGTACCACAGAAATGATTTTGTGCCCCCAGTGCATCATATCAGGAGACACTTATTATTGACTTATTCCATTACTGGTGATAATTAATTTTGATCATTTAAGTTGGTGCCTGCAAGGTTTCTCTGCTATAATGTTATAGGTTATACAAATATCCTGTTTCTTTATACTTTTGCCACCTAATTTTAGCACCCACTGTTGATTCTTGCCTGAAACAGTTACTACCATAGTATTTGCTAAATGGCAATTTTTAATTTTCATATAGATTTATTTCATGTATAATAATCAGGGTCCATATAGGAAATTAAGAGAGATTACTAAAATTATATTGCTGGTTTGAAATCTCACTGGGCATTCATGTGCTACTTCACTAAAGCCATTTTATATTCTTCTGTTTTTAAATCAAACATTGTCGCTCATCTCACACCATTCAGGGATCAGTCTTCTTTTTTCTTCCTATTCTACCAAAAAGGAAACTATAGTAAGATTGTGACTTTAATTTCACAAGTTTGGCCATCTTGTCTCCTGGAAGTTTGGTGTCTGGCTATCTGTTGGCAGGAGAAAAATCTGTCCTGAAGGGGGATAGGTCTTTCCTGTCTGTTCCATAATGAGCTCTGGTAATAAAATGCTCATATCCTTGCCTTAAAACCCAAACATTGGCCTTCTTACTTAAGATTGATGTCTGGGGAAGTCTTTAAGTTTCCTCATTAGAAACTTACTGGAAATGCTGACACGGATTTTATGCCTTTTATTTTCAGCCTGCCACAGTGACTCAGGTCACTCAAGGAACTATCCGACCAGCTGCCAACTTCGATGCTATAAGAGATGCAGAAATTCTTCGTAAGGCAATGAAGGGTTTTGGTAAGGAAAACAAATTTTTGTCTTTTTTAATAAGTTAAAGTAATCAGTTCTAAAGTAAAAATAAACCTTATCTCATAAACCCAAGTTTATGTGTCAGCCTGGGTGCGCATACCTGGATTTAATCTGATGTCTAGTGCCTTGTAAGCATTCTAAGAGATGACCTCAGGCTGGGTGTGGTGGCTTACACCTGTAGTCCCAGCACTTTAGGAGGCCGAGGTGGGCAGATCACCTGAGTTCAAGACCAGCCTGGCCAACATGGCGAAACTCCATCTGTACTAAAAATAAAAAGTAAAATAGTTGGGCATGGTGATGCATGCCTGTAATCCCAGCTTCACGGGAAGCTGAGGCAGGAGAATTGCTTGAACCTGGGAGGTGGAGATTGCAGTCAGCCTAGATCACACCATTGCACTTGCACCCCCAGTCTGGGTGACAAACTCCGTCTCAAAAAAAAAAAAAAAAAAAAAAGATGACCTCAAGCAGCACCTAGCATGTACTTTGTCCTTACTTAAACATGTGTGGTTCTTCCAGGGACAGATGAGCAGGCAATTGTGGATGTGGTGGCCAACCGTTCCAATGATCAGAGGCAAAAAATTAAAGCAGCATTTAAGACCTCCTATGGCAAGGTATGTTTTTCTTTCCTGGAATGAGCACCAGCAGTGGCTGGTAGACTCTGCATTCATGTCAGATTGGATACTATATTTTGATTAGTACCTGTGGTGCAAAAGAGGGACAACTAGACTTTAGAGACCTCAAGGGTACTGTATTCCCTATTTCTGTTTTTTGTTTTGTTTTGTTTTGAGATGAAGTCTCGCACCAACATCCAGGCTGGAGTGCAATGGTGCGATCTCAGCTCACTGCCGTCTTTGCTTCCCGAGTTCAAGCAATTCTCCTGCCTCAGCCTCCTGAGTAGCTGGGACTACAGGTGCACAGCATCATGCCTGGCTAATTTTTGTATTTTTAGTAGAGACAGAGTTTCACCATGTTGGCCAGGCTGGTCTCTAACTCCTGACCTCAAGTGATCCGCCTGCCTCAGCCTCCCAAAGTGCTGGGATTACAGGCGTGAGCCACCATGCCTGGCCTATTTCTCTTAAAAGGCTTTTTCATTCTAGAGTAGTCCTTGATCTCATAATCATACCTTACCCCAGTCACATATGTGATAGACATTCAGTAGAAAGTAGATCACAACTACAATCATGATCAAGAGGATGGTTCTCAGTCTTCTGCCTGTTACAGTGGGATTCAAGGCTTATTACATAGCCCTTGTTTATTCTTGGTCCTGGGCATCGCCTTCTGCTTCTCTCCCTTTCTCTAAACGTGTCCTATGTTAAAATTATATGGACTGAGCGTGGTGGCTTACGCCTGTAATCCCAGCACTTTGGGAGGCCAAAGCAGGAGAATTTCTTGAGGCCAGGAGTTCAGGACCAGCCTGGGCAACATAGGGAGACTTCATTTCCAACAACGATGACAACAAATTATATTAGCTGGGCGTGGTGGCGTGTGTCCATAGTCCCAGCTGCTTGGGAGGCTGAGGTAGAAAGATTGCTTGAGCCCAGGAAGTCAGGCTGTTAGTGAGCTGTGATTGTGTTACTGCACTGTAGCCTAGGTGACAGAACAAGACGCTGTCTCAAAAAAAAATAATATGGAAATGCTTGCCATTCTCTGTACACGCCATGATCTTTTATGCTTCTGTGTTGTGTACATGCCATTCTCCTGGCCTTGAATACCTTTTCTTTTTTTCATGGCAAACTTCTTTAAGATTTGGCTTAAATATCAGCTACTCTGAAGTTTCTTTCATTAGTCTGGACAGAATTTAGCTGCTTCTTAATACTGTAGTCCCATAGCACTTTGTAAAACCTCTGTTATTACTAATCTCACGGCCCACCCCCAAAAACTGAGCTCCCATAGGACAAACCATGGTCATAGTCATCTTTGTATTACAGTACCAAGTATATAATGGCAAGTAGCCACTTAGTACTTGTTGAATGGATGATCAGTTTCTAAATCCAACAAGATTCTATGGCTAAAAAATGCCATTGTTCCTCAGATGTAATGGGAAAACATGGATAGCACTGCTTTGCTTTTTTTTTTTTTTTTTTTACTTTTTTTTGAGACAGAGTCTCAAAAGGCTGGAGTGCAGTGGCATGATCTCCGCTCACTGCAGCCTCCACTTTCCAGGCAAGAGCGATTTTCGTGCCTCAGCCTCTCGAGTAGCTGGAATTATAGGTGTCTGCCACCACACCCAGCTAATTTTTGTACTTTTAGTAGAGACGGGATTTTGCCATGTTAGCAAGTGTGGTCTCAAACTCTTGGCCTCATGTGATCTGCCTGCCTTGGCCTCCCAAAGTGCTGGGATTACAGGCATGAGCCACCACGCCTGACCTGCTTTGCCATTTAGATAGGAATCCTAAAAATATCCTAATGTTCTCTGCATCTAGTTTATATTTCTCAGAATGGGGTAGTGGTCCATTGATTGGTCCCACCTTGCTTATTCTATTTTGCCTTTCCCTGTCTGCCCAGCCCAGTGACTGATTATGCAACACAAACCCTAGATCTCCTTAAGCTTCAACATCAGACTCACTATTCTCACAAAGATATTTTCCATGTTATGAATTTTTTATCTAGTCTGCACAATGCTGTCTCAAGTTTTTTTATATATTGCTTTAGAATTAAAACTAACAATCTAATTTCCGTACCACTAGCCACCTCTTTTCTTAACTTCCTAATTAGTAAAACACTGTTTTTCTAGCCTGCTATAGTCATCTTTGAGTCCATGTTTTTCTTTTATCATAGGGAGTATTCTGTATGCTTTGTCCTAGCAGTTGGTTATTTACTAGTTTTTATTGATCTAATCTATAAAATGGCCCTTTAAAATGTTTCTTTTGTCTACTTTGTTCCTTCTCATTTCCATTGTTACCATTCAAGTCCAAGACTTTATTACCTCTTAACTAAATATTCCAGTAGCCTAAATGTTTTCATCTATAGCTTCTTTGTCACCATCATCCATTCTGAATATTGTTGCTACATCAGTGCCATTTTCTTGCATGAAAAGTTTCCAGTGGTTCCTCCCAGCAAACAGAATCAAGTCCATATTCTTTAGCTTGGCATTCAGTGTAATAATCCAAGATTTAGTTACAACTTTGTTTTAACTCATCTATTATGAAAACCTTCCTCTGTAGCAAAACCGGTTGTCTTATTGTTCCATTGAACAAGCTTTGCTCATTCTTGGCTCTATACGAGTAATTCTCAACCTTAACTGAACATCGTAATTTCCTTTAAAACTTAAAAATACACAGAATCTCTGAGTCTTAGTCCTGGACATCAATGTTTTTCTTTTTTTTTTTAAAGCTCCACAATGAATGTAATGAAGAGTCAAGGCTGGGAACCCCTTCTCTGTTCCTTGGTGGTGTTCCTTCTTACCTGAAATACCTTTCTCCTTCGTCTTTGCATGCTAATTTTTACATTTTTCTCTGAGCTCTCCAGCTGACTTTGAACTTTTTCTGTTTCAACTTTCTCTATTACTTATTTCTATGCTACTTACCCAGTGCTAGAGTACAGGTTACCTTACATTATTTTTTTTTTAGATGTGTATCTTTCCAAATAAGAACAATATCGGCTGGGCACAGTGGTTCATGTGTGTAATGCCAGCACTTCGGGAGGCCAAGGCGGGTGTATCACTTGGGGTCAGGCATTCAAGACCAGCCTGGCCAACATGTGAAACCCCATCTCTACTAAAAATACAAAAATTAGCCTGGCGTGGTGGGATGTGCCTGTAGTCCCAGCTACTCAGGGGGCTGAGGAAGGAGAAGCGCTTGAACCCAGGAGGCAGAGGTTGCAGTTAGCCGAGATCACACCACTGCATTCCAGCCTGGGCCACAGAGCGAGACTCTGTCTCAAAAAAAATAACAACAAAAAACAAATAAGAACAAGATGATAATGGTTTCTACTTCCTCATAGAACCAAGAACAGTTCCTTTTACTAAGTAAATATCTGTTTATCATTTTGTCAGTTTGAATAATTCTTTGTTTCATATATCCCTTGTTTTTGTACCTGGTAGAGTGGAATAAGATTTTATTAAATGTTTATTGATAGAATGAATAAAATAGATCTGCTTGAGTGTAATAAATGTGTAAGTGTAACAGACTTTAAATTTATTTACTTCTTTTTTATTTCTATTTATTTATTTTTTTTTTTGAGACGGAGTCTTGCTCTGTCGCCCAGGCTGGAGTGCAGTGGTGCGATCTCAGCTCACTGCAAGCTCTGCCTCCCAGGTTCACGCTGTTCTCTTGTGTCAGCCTCCCGAGGACCTGGGACTACAGGTGCCTGCCACCACTCCCGGTTAATTTTTTGTGTTTTTAGTAGAGACAGGGTTTCACCGTGTTAACCAGGATGGTCTTGATCTCCTGACCTCATGATCCTCCTGCCTTGACCTCCCAAAGTGCTGGGATTACAGGCATGAGCCACCGCGCCTGGCCTTTATTTACTTCTTAGTATATTAACATTCAGCTTTCAAATTTAGGTTTTTATAAAGCAATTCCATTTCTTTTTTTGTATTTTCCTTAAAAGATTTAAGTGACAAAATTTGGAGAACACATATACTTAGCTTGTATTTGTGATTAAATAGGATTTAATCAAAGATCTCAAATCAGAGTTAAGTGGAAATATGGAAGAACTGATCCTGGCCCTCTTCATGCCTCCTACGTATTACGATGCCTGGAGCTTACGGAAAGCAATGCAGGTACTACTATATGTCATTTATTATGAATATTTTGTCCTATTTCATATGTAAAACCGTACAAATTATGACAGTTCTGAATTTACAGTGGTAATTAAAGCAATTCTTTATTTCACATCATCCATCTGAATATATAGTTTTTAGTTCTACAGAACAAAGAAATATTTGACGAAGATTTAATTACTTGCAGAAATTTCATTTTTCTTTGTATAATCTTCCCTTCATTTCATGTAGGGAGCAGGAACTCAGGAACGTGTATTGATTGAGATTTTGTGCACAAGAACAAATCAGGAAATCCGAGAAATTGTCAGATGTTATCAGTCAGAATTTGGACGAGACCTTGAAAAGGACATTAGGTCAGATACATCAGGACATTTTGAACGTTTACTTGTGTCCATGTGCCAGGTGAGTATAGTATGAATGCTTGTGCGTTGATAGAGGGAACATACTTTAAAAGCCTTTTGCCAGTGAGCATTCTTTATTCCTTTTAATATTTAGCCACCTTGCAATATTGCCATCTTTAAGAGGGACAACACAGAAACCAGTGTACAGATTTCTTTGTAGTTACTATTGAGATTTATTCCTGTAAATCTGGCTTTTGTAAGGAATTAGAGATTTAACCTCTAAGGTTGTATGGAATCAGAAACCAATTCGAGGCTCTGTGGCTGGGATGGGGATGAAACTGTACATTTGAGCTTATCACTATCCTGCCCATTATGCCCCACCATCAAGTGAAGATGTGCAGGACTGCCATAGAGGTGCTACAGGAAGTGAGGACTATGTGAGGAGACCCAGAAATGCAGAAAAATGTTTTAGGGTTCCCAGTAATAACTGTGATTAGCACCTTCTTTATTTTGATTCCCCAGGTGTGCTGGAGAATTGACAGAAAATACTCCAAATAGGGTATTTGGAATGGCATTAGAAACACACTTAGGGCCAGACATTGTGCCTCACACCTGTAATTCCAGCACTTTTGGAGGCCAAGGCAGGAGGATTGCTTGAGGCCAGGAGTTTGAAGCCAGCTTGGGTACCATAGCAAGAAACCATCTCTATAAAAAATATTTTTAAAAATTAGCCGAACATGGTGGTATGTGCCTGTAGTGCCAGCTATTCAGGAAGTTCAGTGGGAGGATCACTTGAGCCCAGGAGATTGAGGCTGCAGTGAACTGTGATCGCACCACTGCATTCCAGCCTGGGCAATAGAGTGAGATCCTGTCCTTAAAAAAAAGAAAAGAAAAAAAGAAAAGAAGCACACTTAGATGATGAAGGTGTATTTGAAAGAGATTATGTAAATGACTAGCATGCTGATTCAATATCAAGAGTTATTGCCTATTGTGCTAGTGCACAAGATTGGACCATCTGGAGGGATCTAAAGGAGAGGAGGGGCTCTTAAGAGCCAAGGGAGGGGCTGGGTGTGGTGGTTCATGTCTGTAATCCCAGTACTTTGGGAGGCTGAGGCGGGTGGATCACCTGAGGTCAGGAGTTTGAGACCAGCCTGACCAACATGGTGAAACTCCATCTCTACTAAATACAAAAAATTAGCCAGGAGTGGTGGCACCTGTAATCCCAGCTACCTGGGAGGCTGAGGCAGCAGAATCGCTTGAACCCGGGAGGCAGAGGTTGCAGTGAGCTGAGATTGTGCCATTGCACTCCAGCCTGGGTAACAAGAGCAAAACTCCATCTAAAAAAAAAAAAAGGGAGGTAGCTGTGGAAAGGATAGTGGATATGGAAATGAGAAAGCAAAGTAAATGGGTTGAAGGAAATTGAATTTACCTAAATCAGAGTAACAGGAGGGCAGTAGGTTAGGATTTAAAAGAAACAAGAAGGAAAACAGACAATGCTAAAAAATGGCTATTAAGATTTTACATGAGGTGCTGAGTCTCTCTTTATGCAGAGTTCAAGGCCCAGCCCTACCTTTTCCAGGGCATGAGTAGAGGAGTAACTTCCTGAGAAAGTGTGTGTGAATCCAAAGGCAATAATCTGGGAAATTTTTTGTGAGTACCTTTTCCTGTGTTATATTCAGTCGCCCATGTAGAATGTGCCTCTACGTATTCCTTGTGCCAGTTGCTCAGAAGACAGTTCTTCAGCTTCAAGGAGGATTTTTCCATCTTATTCCAAAGATGGTCCCTGAGACTCTAAAAGGCAGCCTTTTCTTGTTTGGGTTTGTCTTTCTGTTTTTGAGAGAAACCAACTGCTCATTAAGCTTAAACTCTTCCTTCCTCCTTCCTTTCTTCCTATTCCAGGGAAGAGTGTGGTATACAAATAGGCACAGTCTAACAGAACATGAGTTATTTGTAGCTGCTTCTGTAAAGCTTATGTGTCATTTTTATGCGTGTATTTATGGTAAATACTTACATATTAAGATTATAATTCGATGGCTGAGTGTGGTGGTGTGAGCTTATAGTCCCAGCTACTCTGGAGGCTGAGGTAGGAGGATCACTTGAACCCAGGAGTTTGAGGCTATGATCATGTCTGCAAATAGCCATTGCACCCCAGCCTGGGCAACATAGTGAAATCGTGTCTCTTAAAAAAAAATATTATACTCAGATGAAGAAAAGAAAGTTTATGAAGCCTCCATATTATATCCTCCCTCCCTCCTGCCCTAGAGTTAAATTTCTTGAGGGCAGAGACCCTGTCTCTCCTGTGTCCCTACCGCTTAACACAGTGCCTGACACAAAGAAAGTGCTTAATGTCTCTTAGTCGCATGAATGAATAAAAAGTAGAACTCAGTACAGTGCATATTGATCTTAAATTCCAGCTAAGAGAGCTGTTTCTTCATTTGAGTGGTAGTTAATATCTCCTAGTAGAGATATTTTTGTTTAAACATTTTGGGTTTAATTTAGCTCCCAAAAGCCCTCATTTTTAACATAACCTCATTAAACCGTGATCTTATATTATAAAATCCAGTTGACAGTATAATAAATTACTAGTTATATTTCCATGCATAGAAATGAAGCATATGCATGACAGACATTATGGATTAATCTTTAATAAATTATCTCTTTAGGCCAGGCCCAGTGGCTTACATCTATAATCCCAGCACTTTAGGAGGCTAAGGCAGGAGGATCACTTAAGCCCAGGAGTTAGAGACCAGCACCTGGGCAACATAGTGAGACATGCTGTCTCTACAAAAAATAAAAAAATTAACCAGGCATGGTCGTTTGTGCCTGTAGTCCCAGCTATCTGGGAGGCTGAGGTGGAAGGATCACTTGAGCCTAGGAGGTTGATACTGCACTCCAGCCTGAGTGACAGAGCAAGACCCTATCTCAAAAAAAAAAGAAATAGTCTCTTTAAATCCAAAAGTGAACTAGATTGGAAAAAAAAAATTTAGTAGAACTATTATTTATTTCTTCCAATTCCTGCCTTTCTCTTTTGCAGGGAAATCGTGATGAGAACCAGAGTATAAACCACCAAATGGCTCAGGAAGATGCTCAGCGTCTCTATCAAGCTGGTGAGGGGAGACTAGGGACCGATGAATCTTGCTTTAACATGATCCTTGCCACAAGAAGCTTTCCTCAGCTGAGAGCTACCATGGAGGCTTATTCTAGGGTATGAGCTTTTCTTTTGAAGATTTGGCTTCTGCTGTAAGATACAAAAATATTTAACCCTTTAATTTTGTTTGCAGATGGCTAATCGAGACTTGTTAAGCAGTGTGAGCCGTGAGTTTTCCGGATATGTAGAAAGTGGTTTGAAGACCATCTGTAAGATATTTTTGTGCTTTGCTTTATTTTCTTTTTAAATGAGTGGGAGCTTTGAATAGTTGTTCCCATTAAATGTTGATAATATAGTCCACGTGGAATCTGCTTAGGCAGTAGCTGATCTAATCCTTTGGGGTTTGTTTTTTGTTGTTTGTTTTCTTTATTGGATAAGCCCCCAGAAACAGTCCTGTGTTTTTACATACAATTTCCTATGAATGGTAGTTCTGTGATCAAACAGGGCTGTTTGGGGATTATTTGGCCTTCATCTGTAGGCCTGTCTTGATAACTGTGCCAGAATACCTGATAGTTGTAGCACTTCCTTTAAAGAGAAAGGGAAAGTCCTGAGGAACTCACAGTGTCACCACGAAGCAGTTTGAGTCCTCAAAACAGATATTTCAGGTACTCAGCCCAGTGAGACTCATTTCCTTTTTGAAGTTAACCAGTTTCTGGTGGTCTAATACACAGATGTCTAACAAAGTGAAAGTTTCATTCTCATGGATATTAGGACTAAGGGGAGTATTAGTAACACTTTGGTATTAACAATGGAATGTTGGGCCAGGGGCAGTAGCTCACACTTGTAGTCCCAGCTACTCAGAAGGCTGAGGTGGGAGGATCACCTGAGTCTGGGAGGCTACAGTCAGCCATGATTGCACCACTGCACTCTAGGCTGGATGACAGAGTGAGAACCTGTCTCAAAAAAAATCAAGGAGAGCATCTGAACACTCTTAACTCACCCCATGTTTCTGTGATGATTACAGAGAAAATAATCAAAGGCAGGCTATAAGTGATAAATGAAGCTGGAGGGGTACACTTCTTGTGAGATCATGATTCCATGTCTCAACCATCTCTAACTTGCAGTGCAGTGTGCCCTGAACCGCCCTGCCTTCTTTGCTGAGAGGCTCTACTATGCTATGAAAGGTGCTGGCACAGATGACTCCACCCTGGTCCGGATTGTGGTCACTCGAAGTGAGGTGAGGCAGGCCTCTCTCTTTTTGTCGGGTCTTACTTGATGTTCAATGTTGATTTCTTAAAAGTTCCCCAGTTGGTTGTCAGTCCCTCAAAAATGATAAGAAAGAGCTCTCTTTGCCACCTAAAAGAGGTGGTATAAAGAACAGAAAATTCACTTTCCTCATGCTGTGGGAGAAGCTTGCATTAGTGAAATAGGCCACTCTACCCTAATGAAGATAATACTAACAGATTTTACAACTTGAGAACGTCAATGGAGAATACAAATTTATGGGAAGTTAGACATTTGTCTTTCGATTTTCATTTTGCTTATATAAAAATTAGATGAAAGGCCTATGTAGATTAATCCTAGTGGATATCAACATTATTTAAATTTAGCATCCTTTATTAATAATAAAACAATTTTTAAAATATTCATAATTGTCTCAAGTATAGCCTCATTTTTAAAAATTGTACTTTATATATTTACTCCACTTACAAAAAATTTTTTTTCTCAGAAGAAATGACATTTGAATTTTTTTTTTTTTTTTTTTTTTTTGAGACATGGTCTCACTCTGTCACCCAGACTGGAGTGCAGTGGCACGATCTCAGCTCACTGCAACCTCCACTTCCTGGGTTCAAGCAATTCTGTCACCTCAGCCTCTCGAGTAGCTGGGACTACAGGTGTGCGCCACCATGCCCAGCTAAGTTTTTGTATTTTTTTGGTAGAGATGGGGTTTCACCATGTTGGCCAGGCTGGTCTCGAACTCCTGACCTCAAGTGATCCACCTGCCTCGGCCTCCCAAAGTGCTGGGATCACAGGCGTGAGCCACCACGCCTGGCCTGAACTTTTAATTGAAAGAAAACATGGCGGGGTGTCGTGGCTTACTCCTGTAATCTCAGCAGTTTGGGAGGCCAAGGCGGGAGGATTGCTTGAGCCCAGGAGTTTGAGACCAGCCTGGGCAACATGGTGAAACCTATTTCTACAAAAAACACACGCGCGCGCACACACACACACACACACACACACACGCCGGGGCGTGGTAGCCTGGGCAACATGGTGAAACCTATTTATACAAAAAATACACACACACACACACACACACACACGGTGAAACCTATTTATACAAAAAATACACACACACACACACACACACACACACCCACACCCACCCCCCGGCATGGTAGTCCCAGCTACCCAGAATGTTGAGGTGGAAGGATCACCTGAGCCTGGAAGGTCAAGGCTGCAGTGAGCCGTGATCGCACCACTACACTCCAGCCTTGGTGACAGAGACCCTGTGTCAAAAAAATACCCTAAATTATTATTATTATTGCGTGTTTTTTTTTTTTTTTTTTTTTTTTTTTTTGAGATGGAGTCTCGCTCTGTCACCCAGGCTGAAATACAGTGGCATAATCTCGGCTTACTGCAACCTCTGCCTCCCGGGTTCAAGTGATTCTCCTGCCTCAGCCTCCTGAGTAGCTGGGATTACAGGTGCGTGCCACCATGCCTGGCTAATTTTTTTGTGTTTTTAGTAGAGACTGGGTTTCACCATGTTGGTCAGGCTGGTCTCGAACTCCTGACCTGATGATCCGTCTGCCTCGGCCTCCCAAAGTGCTGGGATTATAGGCATGAGCCACCACACCCGGCCAAAAACCCTAAATTATACTAAAGAAGGTAGATTATTTTTAAAGAAAACAACCAGAATATGGTATTTTGAAAAAAACTTTGTTCTTTAACTTAAATTTTCAAAGCAGGATGTTTTAAGTTGTGATAAAATATACATAACATAAAAATTTACCATTTTTAAGTAGCAGTAAGTACATTCACATTGTTATGCAACCATCATTACCATTCACCTTCAGATGTTTTTTCAACTTGCAAAACTGAAAATCCATACTCCTTAAACAGTAACTCCCCATTCTCCTTTCTCCCAACTGCTGGCAACAAACCATGTGACTTTCTGTGCCTGTGTTTGACTACTCTAGGTACGTCATATTGGTGGAATCATACAATATTTGTCTTTTTGTGAGTGTTGTCTTTTACTTAGCATAGCGTCCTCAAGGTTTATTCATGTTATAGCATGTCAGAATTTCCTTCCTTTTGAGACTGAGTAATTAAATAGTCTATTGTACGTGTATCCCACCTTTTGGTTTTTTTTTTAATTCATCTGTGACACTTGGTTTGTTTCTGCCTGAATAATGCTGCTATGAACATGGATGTACAAATATCTGTTCAAGTCTACTTTCACTTATTTTGAATATACCCAGAAGTGGAATTTCTAGGTCATATTGTAATTCTTTGGAAGTGTTTTTGTTTTGCTTTGAGGAATTAACCATATTAGTTTCCACAGCAGCTGCACCCTTTTACTTTTCCATCAACCTGTGTACAAGTGTTCCCATTTCATGGCATCCTTGCCAATACTTACTATTTTTTTGGTTTTGATAATAGCCATCCTATCAAATGTTTTTAAATGACTAATATCTTTGGAATAATAGATGAAACTAGTACTACCCTGACCAAGTATTTTACAGAGCTGTGAATCAGACCTTCATTGGGTAGTGCTAGCATTGGTATGAGTGCCAGCCATAAAATGTCAGTCACTTGGTGTTTTCCCCCCCAAGTTTTGATTATTATTAAGATCTTATTATTTAAAAAGAATTTTAAGAAATGTCAGTTGTCACAGATGTTTTTCTGACAGAAATATTATTTCTTATGCAGATTGACCTTGTACAAATAAAACAGATGTTCGCTCAGATGTATCAGAAGACTCTGGGCACAATGATTGCAGGTGACACGAGTGGAGATTACCGAAGACTTCTTCTGGCTATTGTGGGCCAGTAGGAGGGATTTTTTTTTTTTTAATGAAAAAAAATTTCTATTCATAGCTTATCCTTCAGAGCAATGACCTGCATGCAGCAATATCAAACATCAGCTAACCGAAAGAGCTTTCTGTCAAGGACCGTATCAGGGTAATGTGCTTGGTTTGCACATGTTGTTATTGCCTTAATTCTAATTTTATTTTGTTCTCTACATACAATCAATGTAAAGCCATATCACAATGATACAGTAATATTGCAATGTTTGTAAACCTTCATTCTTACTAGTTTCATTCTAATCAAGATGTCAAATTGAATAAAAATCACAGCAATCTCTGATTCTGTGTAATAATATTGAATAATTTTTTAGAAGGTTACTGAAAGCTCTGCCTTCCGGAATCCCTCTAAGTCTGCTTGATAGAGTGGATAGTGTGTTAAAACTGTGTACTTTAAAAAAAAATTCAACCTTTACATCTAGAATAATTTGCATCTCATTTTGCCTAAATTGGTTCTGTATTCATAAACACTTTCCACATAGAAAATAGATTAGTATTACCTGTGGCACCTTTTAAGAAAGGGTCAAATGTTTATATGCTTAAGATACATAGCCTACTTTTTTTTCGCAGTTGTTTTCTTTTTTTAAATTGAGTTATGACAAATAAAAAATTGCATATATTTAAGGTGTACAATATGGTGTTTTGATATCAGCATTCCTTGTGTAATGATTCCACAATTAAGGTCAGGCTAATTACGTATCTGTCACCTTGACATAGTTACCATTTTTTCATGTGTGGTGAAAACACTTAAGATCTACTACCTTAGCAAATTTTAAGTGTTCAGTACATTATTAACTATAGATACTGTGCTCTACATTAAACCTCTAGCATTTATTCGTTTTATAACTGAAAGTTTATACCCTTTGACCAACATCTCCCCATTTTCCCCACCTCTCACCTGGACAACCACCACTGTGTTTAAGTTCAGCTATTTTAGATTCCACGTATAAATGGTATACAATATTCTCTTTCTGTGTCTGGCTTATTTCACTTAGCATAATGATCTCTAAGTTTATAATTCACATTGTCACAAATGGCAGAATTTCCTCCTTTTTTTTTTTTTTTTTTTTTTGAGATGGAGTTTCGCTCTTGTTCCCCAGGCTGGAGTTCAGTGGCACAATCTCAGCTCACTGCAACCTCCGCCTTCCGGGCTCAAGCGATTCTCTTGCCTCAGCCTCCCGAGTAGCTGGGATTATAGGCATCTGCCACCACTCCTGGCTAATTTTTTGTTTAGTAGAGATGGGGTTTCACCAGATTGGCCAGGCTGGTCTTGAACTCGTGACCTCAGGTGATCCACACGCCTTGGCCTCCCAAAGTGCTTGGATTACAGGCAAGAGCCACCACACCCGGCCAGAGTTTCCTCCTTTAAGGCTGAATAATATTCCATTGTGTATATATACTATAATTCCTTTATCCATTCATCCATCAATGGACACTTGAGTAGTTTCCATATCTTGGTTATTGTGAATAATGCTGCAGTGAACATGGGAGTAAAGATACCTCTTTACTGATTTCATTTCCTTCAGATACATACCCAGAGGTGGTATTGCTGGGTCATATTATTTTTAATTTTTTGAGAAACCTCCATACTGTTTTCTATAATGGCTATACCAATTTACCTTCCCACCAACAGTGTACAGTGGTTCCCTTTGCTCCACATTCTTGCCAACACTTGCTATGTCTTACCTTTTTGATAATACCCAACCTAATAGGTGAAAATTCCATGTGTACTTGAGAAGAATGTATATGCTGCCATTGTTAGGTATAGAGTGTTCCGTATGTGTCCATTAGATCTAGTTTATTGTTCTATTTAAGTCCTCTTTTTCCTTACATCTGATTCTTCTATCCATTATTGAGAATGGGGTATTGAAGTCCCCAGTTACTGTTGTAAAACTGTTTCTCCCTTTAATTCTATCAGTTTTTGCTTCATATATTTAGGTGGTCTGTTATTAGGTGTGTAGATGTTCATAATTGTCATATCTTCTTGCAGTATTGGATTTTTTATTATATAATGTTCTTTGTCCCCTGTAACTTTTTTTTTTTTTTTTTTTTTTTTTTTTTTTTTTTTTGAGAATGGAGTCTTGCTCTGCTGCCCAGGCTGGAGTGCAGTGGCCTGATCTCAGCTCACTGCAACCTCCGCCTCTCGGGTTCAAGCAATTCTCCTGCCTCAACCTCCCGAGTAGTGGGGATTACAGGTGTCCGCCAGTCAGCACGCCTGGCTAATTTTTGTATTTTTAGTAGAGACAGGTTTTTGCCATGTTGGCCAGGTTGGTCTTGAACTCCTGACCTCAGGTGATCTGCCCGCCTCAGCTTCCCAAAGTGCTGGGATTACAGGCCTGAGCCACCATGCCCGGCCCCTATAACCTTTTTTGATTTAAAGTCTATCTCGTCTGATATTACTGTAGCCTCCCCTGCTCTCTTTTGGTTACTGTTTGCATGGAGTATCTTTTTCCATCTTTTAACTTTTAATCTGTTTGTGTCTTTGGATCAAATGTGAGTGTTTGGTAGACAGCATAAAGTTGGATTTTTGTTTGTTTGTTTGTTTGTTTTGAGATGGAGTCTCACTCTGTTGCCAGGCTAGAGTGCAGTAGAGTGATCTCGGCTCACTGCAACCTCCACCTCCCGGGTTCAAGTGATTCTCCTGCCTCAGCCTCCCTAGTAACTGGGACTACAGGTGTGCGCCACCACACCCACTTAATTTTTTGTATTTTTAGTTGAGATGGGGTTTTACCATGTTGGCCAGGATGGTCTCGATCTCTTGACCTTGTGATCCGCCCACCTCAGCCTCCCAAGGATTTTTAAAAATCCATTTTGCTGGCCGGGCACGGTGGCTCAGTCTGTAATCCCAGCACTTTGGGAGGCCGAGGCGGGTGGATCATAAGGTCAGGAGATCGAGACCATCCTGTGGATGGTGAAACCCCATCTCTACTAAAAATACAAAAAAAAAAAAAATTAACCGGGCGTGGTGGCAGGTGCCTGTGGTCCCAGCTACTGGGGAGGCTGAGGCAGGAGAATGCTGTCAACCCAGGAGGTGGGACTTGCAGTGAGCTGAGATTGTGCCACTGCACTCCAGCCTGGGTGACAGAGTGAGACTCCGTCTCAAAAAAAAAAAAAATCCATTTTGCCAGTCTTTGTCTTTTGTTTTTGTTTTTGTTTTTGTTTTCAGATGGATCTCGCGCTGTCGCCCAGGCTGGAGTGCAGTGGTGCAATCTTGGCTCACTGCAAGCTCCGCCTCCCGTGTTCACGCCGTTCTCCTGCCTCAGCCTCCGAAGTAGAGCTGGGACCACAGGTGCCCGCCACCACGCCTGGCTAATTTTTTGTATTTTTAGTAGAGACGGGGTTTCACCGTGTTAGCCAGGATGGTCTCGATCTCCTGCCCTCGTGATCCACCCGCCTCAGCCTCCCAAAGTGCTGGGATTACAGGCGTGAGCCACCGCGCCCAGCCCAGTCTTTGTCTTTTGATTAGAACGTTTAATCCTGGCTGGGCGTGGTAGCTCACACCTGTAATTCCAGCACTTTGGGAGGCTGAGGCCAGCGGATCACTTGAGATCAGGAGTTCAAGACCAGCCTAGCCAACATGGTGAGACCCCGTCTCTACAAAAAATACAAAAATTAGCCGGGTGTGGTGGCATGCGCCTATAATCCCAGCTACTCGGGAGGCTGAGGTAGGAGAATTGCTTGAACCCAGGAGGTGGAGGTTGTAGGGAGCTGAGATCATGCCACTACAATCCAGCCTGGGCTACAGAGCGAGACTCCATCTCAAAAATAAAAATTAAAAAAAAGAAAATGTAATCTATTTACATTTAAAGTAATTACTGATAAGAACTTCTGTTGTATTGCTATTTGTTCTCCATATGGCTTACTGCTTTTTTGTCCCTCATTTCCTGCATTACTGTCTTTTGTGTTTAGTTGTTTTGTAGTGAAACATTTAAATTCATTTCCCTTTGTTTTGTGTATATTCTATAGCTATTTTCTCTGTGGTTACCATGGGGATAACATTTAACATCCTAAAGTTATAACACTAAATTTATGCCAGCTTCAGTGACATATACAAACTCTTCTAACAGCTGTGTCCTCACCCCTTTTGGTTGATGTCACAAAATTACATCTTTTTACATTGTGTGACCCAAAACATAAACTAATTCTTTTAAATACATTAGTTTCTTAAATTACGTAGAATACAAAATTTGGAGTTACAAACCAAAATTACAGTTATGCTAGTGTTTAGTTTTTTTTAATGTGTTCATCTCAAATCATGTAGAAAACCAAAAGTATCGTCACAGACTATTATTACAATAACATTAGCTTTTATAATTGCCCATGTATTTACCCTTTATTGAGATCTTTATTTCTTCATGTGGCTTCAAGTTACTGTCTAGTCTCCTTTCATTTCATCCTGCAGGACTAGGACTTCTTTGAGCATTTCTTGTAGGGCAGGTCTAGTGGTAATGAACTTTCCCAGCTTTTATCTAGGAATGTCTAAATTTCTTCCTCACTTTTTAAGGACAGTTTTGCCAGATATAGGATTCTTGGGTCGACAATTTTTTTTTTAGCACTTTAACTATATCATCCAATTCTTTCTGATGAGAAATCTGCTGATAATCTTATTAAAAATATCTTGTATGTGGCAAATCACTTCTCTCTTGCTGATTTCAGGATTCTCTCTTTGGATTTAGAAAGTTTGATTAAAGGCTGGGCACGGTGGCTCACGTCTGTAATCCCAGCACTTTGGGAGGCTGAGGCAGGCGGATCACGAGGTCAGGAGATCAAGACCATCCTGGCTAACACTGTGAAACCCTGTCTCGACTGAAAATACAAAAAATTAGCTGGGCGTGGTGGTGGGCGCCTGTAGTCCCAGCTACTCGGGAGGCTGAGGCAGGAGAATGGCATGAACCCGGGAGACAGAGCTTGCAGTGAGCCGAGATCGTGCCACTGCACTCCAGCCTGCGTGACAGAGCGAGACTCCATCTTAAAAAAAAAAAAAAAAGAAACTTCGATTGATTAAAATGTGTCTTAATGTGGCTCTCTTTAAGTTCATCTACTTGGAGTTCATTGAGCTGCTTGGGTGTTTATATTCATGTCTCATAGAACTTGGGAAGCTTTTAAGCCATTATTTCTTCAAATATTTTCTCTTCCTATTTCTTGCCCATTAGAATTCCCACAATGTGTATGATGGTCCACTTGATGGTGTTTCACAGGTCCGTTAGGCTCTGTTCACTTTTCCTCAATCTTTTTTCTTTCTGTTTTTCAGACTCAGTTTCCATTGTCCTGTCTCCAATTTGACTTACTCTTTTTTTTGCTTGTTTAAATCTGCCTTTGAATCCTGCTAGTGAATTTTTGCATTTCAGTTATTGTATTTTTCAGCTCCAGAATTTGTTTGGTTTCTTTTTAGGTTTTCTATCTCTTTATTGATATTTCCATTTTCTTTATACATCATTTTCTTGGCTTTTTCCATATCTTCCTTTAGTTTTTTGATCATCTCTTTTATTTTATTTTATTTTTTTGAGACAGGGCCTCACTCCTGTCGCACAGGCTAGAGTGCAGTGGCGCAATCACAGCTTAACTGCAGCCTCGACTTACCTGGCTCAGTTGATCTCCCATGTCAGACTCCAAGTAGCTGGGACTACAGGTGTGTGCCACCACATCCAGCTAATTTTTTGTATTTTTTAGTAGAGATGGAGTTTCACTGTGTTGCCCAGGCTGGTTTCAAACTCCTGGGCTCAAGTGATCTGCCCACCTTGGCTTCCCAAAGTGTTGGGATTACAGGCATGAGCCACCACCACACCTGGCCTTATATCTTTAAGACAGTTTTTTGTTTTTGTGTTTTGAGACAAGGGTCTCGCTCTGTCACCCAGGCTGGAGTGCAGTGGCACAATCCAAGCTCACTGCAGCCTCAAACTCCAGGGCTCAAAGTGAGCCTTCTGCCTCAACATCCCAAGTAGCTAGTTAGGACTATAGACACAGGCCACTGCACCTGGCTGGCTTATTTTTTAATTCTTCTTCTTCTTTTTTTTTTTTTTTTCTCTAAGAGACAGGGTCTCACTGTGTTACCCAGGCTGCTCTTGAACTCCCAGCCTCAAGTGATCCTCTTGCCTTGGCCTCCCAAAGTGCTGGAATTATAGGCATGAACCACCACACCCAGCCTTTAAGACAGGTTTTAAAATTTTTTTGTGTAATAGATCTGTCACCAGGTCTTTTTTTAGAGACAGTTTCTGTTTATTTTTGCTTTTGATTGGGGATAGTTTCCTGTTTCTTTGTATGCCTTGTGATTTTTTTCATTGAAAATTATACATTTGGGTTTGATAATGTGGTAACTCTGGAAATTGGATTCTCCCCTTTCCCCAGGGTTTGCTATTTTTTGTTACTGTATTTGTTTATTGTTTTTTGTTTTTGTTTTTTAATTGTTGTAGGCTGTCTCTGGGCCAAGGACCATACTGAGGTATAAACTTAAGGTCTTCTCAGGTCTTTTTGAGCCTGTGCCTTTCTCTGGGTGTGGGTGGCCACTTTCTAATTTTCCCCATATATGTAGTTGCTTTTGAATGTCCTTGTCTTTAATGTCTGCCCCCCAAAGGGAGAAAAAGAGAAAAATGAAGGGTTGGGATAAAGACACACGTACCAGACCTTTCAGTCCCCTGGACGTCACTTCACCTGGAGAGGGAGAGACTTGCAACAATTGGGGGAGATGCAACAATGGCCCCTGCTTCTTTGTCTATACCCCTGTGATCAGAAGCAGTGTTCAGTAATCAGCACAGATATCTCATATTTGGAGGATAGGATACTTTTTTTGCCTATCCTGGCTCCCACAGGCTATGTGCAGGCTCCTACAGGAACAAATGCACACTCGCCTCCCACAGGATGGGTAGCTACTACTGTGCTAAGAGCGAAAATTGAAAAAGTCCAAATTGCCATCCAAGTTTTCCTCTGGAAGTTGCAAACCTTCAATAGACTCCAGAATTCCAAAATAGTTACCTCAGACAGCCTGGGTGGGGAGGCAGATTTCTGGTGCTTCCTACTCTGTCTGCCATCTTCCCAGAGTCCTTTCCCAAGCAACATATTTTTAAACTTTTAAAAATACGAGCTATAATTCATATATACAATTCACCCTTTTAAAGTGTACAATTCAGCTGTGCATAATCCCAGCACTTTGGGAAGCCAAAGCGGGAGGATTGCTTGAGCCCAGGAATTTGAGACCAACCTGGGCAAGATGGCAAGACCCCGTTGCTACAAGAAAATAATTTAAAAAATTAGCTGTGTGTGGTGGTGCATACCTGTGGTTCTAGCTGCTTGGGAGGCCAAGGCAGGAGGATGGATCATTTGAGCACAGGAGTTCGAGGTGACAGTGAGCTATGATTGTGCCATTACACTCCAGCCTAGGTGACAAAGTGAGACCCCGTCTCTCAAAAATAATGTGTACAATTCAATGGTTCTCACCATACTCACAAATTTGTGCGACCGTCACCACAATCAATTATCGAACATTCTCATCACCCCAAAAAAGAAACCCCGTACCCAATCAGTAGTCATTGCTCATTCCTCACCCTCCTACCCAGCCCCTGGCAACCACTAATCTAGTTTCTGTCTCTATGGGATTTGTCTATTCTGGACTTTCCAAATGACTGGAATCATACAATGTGTAGCCCTTTGTGTCTGACTTCTTTCATTTAGCATACTGTTTCTAAGGTTCATCTGTGGTATAGCATGAATCAGTACTTCATTCTGTTCTGTGGCTGAATAGTCCATTGTATAGTTATATTGCTTTTTTTTCTTCAGACAGAGTCTTGCTATGTTGCTCAGGCTGGGGTGCAGTGGCACAATCTTGGCTCACTGAAACCTCTGCCTCCCGGGTTCAAGCAATTCCCCTGCCTCAGCCTCCTGAGTAGGTGGGGTTACAGGTACGTGCCACCACGCCTGGCTAATCTTTTGTATTTTTAGTAGAGATGGGGTTTCACCATGTTGGCCAGGCTGGTCTCGAACTCCTGGTCTCAAGTGATCTGCCTGCCTTGGCCTCCCAAAGTGCTGGGATTATAGGCATAAGTCACCACACCTGGCCATTTATATCACATTTTTAAAAATTCATTCATCAGTTGATGGGCATCTGGATGGTTTTCACCTTTTGGCTATTATGAATAATGCTACTGTGAACATTCATGTTTAAGTTTTTGTGTGGACCTTTGTTCCCAACTATCTTGGCTATACACCTAGGAGTAGAATTGCTGAATCATCACCTGAGGTCAGGAGTTCAAGACCAGCCTGGCCAACATGGTGAAACCCCGTCTCTATTAAAAATACAAAAATTAGGCCGGGCACAGGGGCTCACATCTGTAATCCCAGCACTTTGGGAGGCCTAGGCAGGTGAAACACAAGGTCAACAGTTCAAGACCGGCCTGGCCAACACAGTGGGACAACTCTGTCTCAAATGAAAAGAATTGCTGGATCGTATGGTATATCTATGTTTAACTTTTTTTTTAAGAGACGGAGTCTCACTCTGTCTCCCAAGCTGGAGTGTAGTGGCGCCATCTTGGCTCACTGCAACCTCCATCTCCCAGGTTCAAGCAGTTCTCCTGCCTCAGCCTCCCAAGTACCTGGGATTACAGGCACACGCCGCCACACCTGGCTAATTTTTTTTTTTTTTTTTGTATTTTAGTAGAGATGGGGGTTTCACTGTGTTGCCCAGGCTGGTCTCGAACTCCTGAGCTGAGGCAATCCACCCACCTTGGCCTCCCAAAGTGCTAGGATTACAAGCGTGGGCCACCGCACTTGGCCTATGTTTAACTTTTTGAGGATCTGCCAAACTGTTTACTCAGGTGGCTGTACAATATTATAATCCCATCAGCAATAAAGTTTTGAAACTGGGGGGTTAATCTGATTAGATCCACAAAACAGCCTGCCCTGCAATTTGGTCATTTGCATTTTGTTTTTTTCTATGTAGCTGAAGACCACAGCATTTAACCTTTGCTGGCTTCCTGTATAATCTATAGATAACATATGTCACCATGGTAACGGTCACTTAAGTTGGTTTTCAGGAACTTGGGGCAGCTCCTCTCCTGTTCAAACTGGTTGTGACCACTGACCCTTCAACCAGGCCTGAGCAAATGCCCAAGAGGTAGCCTTTTGACATCACAGGCTAAACACTCCACCCTCAAATGATGCTAATGTCACCATTTTCTGAACAGTCATCCTATGAAGTGCCATGAATCCTGACTACACTTGCGCAGATCAGTGGATGATTCATTTTCCCCCACTGCCAATCACCTTTCCCCATGCCTTAGACCACCCTGCTTCTCTAACCCATAAACATCTCTATGCCTTATTTTCGGGAGGCAGATATGAGAGCTATTTACCTGCCCCCTTGCTGGGCTGCCTTGTGGATAAATCTTTTCTCTTTTGCAAAATGTGCCATCACAGTGATTGGTTTACCCAGCACGGGCAGAACAAACCTGGTTGATAATTTTTCTCATCCTCGCCAACACTTACTGTCATTGTCTGTGTTTTTCACTATAGCCATGCTGGTGGATATGAAGTGGCATCTGATTGTGGTTTTCATTTCATTTCCCTTGTGACTAATGAGCCTATTTTTTGTGCTTATTGATTATTTGCATATCTTCTTTAAAAAATATGTGTTCGAATACTTTGCCCATTTTTAATTTGGGTAATTTGTATTTCTGTTGAGTTGTAAAAGTTGTTTATATATTTTGGATAGTAGACTCTTACCTGATACACAATTCACAAAATACTTTCTCCCATTTCATAGGTTGGCTTTTGTTTTCTTGATGGTGTCTTTTGATGTACAAAATTTTTAAATTATTTTTTCTTCAAGACTTAAAACATTTTGGCTGGGCATGGTGGCTCACGCCTGTAATCCCAGCACTTTGGGAGGCTGAGGCAGGCAGATCACGAGGTCAGGAGATCGAGACCATCCTGGCTAACACAGTGAAACCCCATCTCTACTAAAAATACAAAAAATTAGCTGGGCATGGTGGCACGCGCCTGTACTCCCAGCTACTCGGGAGGCTGAGACAGGAGAATGGCGTGAACCCAGGAGGTGGATCTTGCAGTGAGCTGAGATCGCGCCACTGCACTCCAGCCTGGGTGACAGAGCGAGACTCCATCTCAGAAAAAAAAAAAAAAAAAAAGACTTAAAACATTTTAATTGATACAGTTGTACATATTTACGGGGACAGTGTAATGTTGTGATACATATACACAATATGTAATAAATTAGGGTAATTAACATATCCATCATCTCAGACATCTTTTTATGTGATGAGAAGATTCAAAATCCTCTCTTCTAGCTATTTTGAAATATGCAGTATATTACCATGAACCATAATCACCATTCAGAGCAATGGAACACCAGAACTTATTCTTCCTATCTAACTGTAACTTTGTATCCATTGACTGGCCTCTCCCTGTCCTCCCTCTTCCCTCCTCTTCCCAGCCTCTGGTAACCACTATTTATTCTCTACTTCTATTAGATCAACATTTAAGGCCAGGTGCAGTGGCTCACATCTGTAATCCATCCCAGCACTTCAGGAGGCCGACGTGGGTGGATCACTTGAAGACAGGAGTTAGAAACCAGCCTGGCTAACATGGTGAAACCCCATCTCTACTAAAAACACAAAAATTAGCCGGGTGTGATGGCTCGCGCCTGTAATCCCAGCTACTCAGGAGGCTGAGGCATGAGGATTGCTTGAACCCGGAAGGTGAAGGTTGCAGTGAGCCAAGACCTTGCCACTGCACTCCAGCCTGGATGACAGAGCGAGACTGCCTCAAAAAAAAAAAAAAATTTAGGATTCCACATATGAATAGGATCATGCAGTATTTGTCTTTCTGTGCCTGGCTTATTTCACATAACATAATGACCTCTAGGCTCATTCAAGTTGTTCCAAATGAGAGGATTTCATTCTTTTTTATGGCTGAATAGTATTCCATTGTGTAAATTTACCACATATTCATTCATCTGTTGACGGACACTTAGGTTGATTCCATATTCTGGCCATCGTGAATAGTGCTGCAATAAACATGGGTGTGCAGACATCTTTTTGACATACTGATATATCCTTTGGATATATGGGATTGTTAGATCATATGGTAGTTCTGTTTTTAATTTTTTTAGGAACCATCTACTATTTTCCACAGTGGCTGTACCAATTTACATTCTCACCAACAATGCACTGCATGATGAAGGTTCAGTCAACAACAGACTACATATATGACAGTAGTTCCATAAGATTATAACACAGCTGAAAAATTCCTATCACTTAGTACTTACTAATGCTAGATTTTTTTATCATTATTTTATACTCCATCTACTTATTGAAAAGAAGTTAACTATAAAAAGCCTAAGATAGGACCTTCAGAAGGTATTCCAGAAGGCATTGTTATAGGAGATGACAGCTCCATGTGTGTTATGCCCCTGAAGACCTTCCAGTGGGATGAGATGTGCAGGTGGAAGATAGTCATGTTGATTATCCTGAGCCTGTGTAGACTTAGGCTAATGTGTGTGTTTGTGCCTTTGTTTTTTTTAGTTTTGGAGGCAGGGTCTTGCTCTGTCACCCAGGTTGGAGTGCAGTGGTGGAATCATTGCTCACTGCAGCCTTGAACTCCTGGCCTCAAGCAATCCTCCTGCCTCAGCGTCCCAAGTAGCTGGGACTACAGGCTTTTGCCACCACACCATGCTAATTTTTAAGATTTTTGAAGAGACATGGTCTCACCATGTTACCCCAGGCTGGTAACTCCTGGACTCAAGCAGTCCTCTTACCTCAGCCTCCCAAAGTGCTGGGATTGCAGGCCAGAGCCACCACACCTGACCTGTGTCTTAGTTTTTAACAAAAAAAGGTAAAAAGTAAATAATTTATTTTATTTATTTATTTATTTATTTATTTTTTGAGACAGAGTCTTGCTCTGTCACCCAGGCTAGAGTGCAGCGGCGTGATCTCCGCTCACTGCAAGCTCCTCCTCCCAGGTTCACGCCATTCTCCTGCCTCAGCCTCCCTAGTAGCTGGGGCTACAGGTGCCCGCCACCACACCTGGCTAATTTTTTGTATTTTTAGTAGAGACGGGGTTTCACCATGTTAGCCAGATGGTCTTGATCTCCTGACCTTGTGATCCACCCACTTCAGCCTCCCAAAGTTCTGGGATTACAGGCATGAGTACACCTGTAGAAGGCCTGTAAAAAATAATTTTTTAATAAAAAGCTTATAAGGACATACAGAAAATATTTTTGTATAGCTGTAAGAGTCAAAAAGTTAAGAAGTTTAGGCTGAGTGCAGTGGCTCACGCGTGTAGTCTCAGCACTTAGGGAGGCCGAGGCAGGTGCATCACTTGAGCCCAAGAATTCAAGACCAGCCTGAGCAACATGGTGAAACCCCATCTCTACAAAAAATACAAAAAGGCAGGAGGTTTGCTTGAGCCCAAGGAGACTGAGAATGCAGTGAGCCATGATCATGCCACTGCACTCCAGCATGGGTGACAGAATGAGACCGTGTCTCCAAGGGAAAAAAAAATGTTTAGGAAGCAAAAACGTTACAGTAAGCTAAATTAAATTTATTATTAAAAAGTTTTAAAATAAATTTAGTGTAGCCTAATTATATAGTGTTTGTTAAGTCTGCAGTAGTATACAGTAATGTCCTAGGCCTTCACAATTCACTCACTACTCATTCCTTCACTCACCCAGAGCAACTTCTAGGCCAGCAAGTGCCATTCATTGTGAGTGCCTTCTACAGGTGTACTATTTATCTTTTATGCCATATTTTTACTGTACTTTTTCTATGTTTAGATACACAAGTACTTACCATTGTGTTACAATTGCCTACAGTATTCGGTATGATAACATGCCATACCTGTTTGTTGCCTAGAAGCAATAGGATATACTCTATATGACTTAGGTATGTGGCAGGCTACGCTATCTAGGTTTGTGTAGATACACTATTTGCATTTCCATCACATTTAGTGATGTTGAGCATTTTTTCATATATCTGTTGGCCATTTGTATACTTTCAAGAAATGTCTATTTAGATCTTTTGTCCATTTTAAAATCAGATTATTTGTGGGGTTTTTTTTTTGGATTTTTTTTTTTTTTTTGGTGTTGAGTTTCTTATATACTCTGGACATTAACCCCTTGTCAGATGCATAGTTTGTAAATAAAGACCATGTATGACAGACACACAGCTAACATACTGAATGAGGACACGTTGAAAGCTTTTTCTCTAAAATCTGGAACAAGACAAGGATAGCCACTTTCACTACTTCTAGTCAACATAGTACTGGAAGTCCTAGCCACAGTAATTATGCAAGAGAAAGAAACAAAGGGCATCTAAATTGGAAAGAAAGAAGTCAAACTTCCTGTCTGCAGATGACATGAATTTATACACACAAAACCCTAAAGATTCCACCAAAAAACTGCTAGAAGTAATAAATTCAGTAAAGTTGCAGGATACAAAAGCAACATACAAAAATCAGTAGCATTTCTATATGCCAATAGTGAACTATCTGAAAAAGAAAACAGCAATCCCATTCACAATTGCTACAAAAAACAAAACAAAAACCCTAGGAAGTTTTAACCAAGTAGGCAAAAGATCTCTACAATGAAAACTACAAAACATTGATGAAAGAAACTGAAGACACAAATAGTATCCTATGTTCATGGATTAGAATAATTAACATTATTAAAATGTTCATACTTCCCAAAGTGCTCCACAGATTCAACACAATCTCTATCAATATTGCAATGACATTCTTCACAGAAATAGAAAACCCTCAAATTTATAGTTTTAGTTCTTACATTTAGGTCTTTGGTCCATTTTGAGTTATTTTTTGTATATGGTGTGAGGTAAGGGTCCAACTTCATTCTTTGCATGTGGACATTGTTTTTCCTTGTACCATTTGTTTAAAAGACTATATTACCCCCTCCCTCCCACATCCCAGTAGATCATCTTGGCACTCTTGTTAAAAATCAGTTGACCGTAAATGTAAGAGTTTATTTCTGAACTCTCAATTCAATTGATTATTTTGATCTATATGGCTATCTTTATGTCTTTATTACTGTCTTCGTTACTTGATTACTGCAGCTTTGTAGAAAGTTTTGAAATTGGGAAGTGTGAGTTTTCCAACTGTTCTTCTGTTTCAGGATTGTTTTGGCTACTCTGGGTCCCTTGCATTTCCATATGAATTTTAAGATCAGCTTGTTAATTTCTGAAAGAAAAAAAAAACAGTTGGGGTTTTCATAGTGATTGCTTTCAATCTGTAGATCAATTTGGGGATGAGCAATACATTTGATTGTATTATTGTCAGAAATATGTTGACTTTGGAAGTAACAAATTAGCTAATTAGAAACAAGTCTTTTGGAGTAATGAGAAAGGAATTTGTTGAGCTAGTGCATCATTTAATGGAGGCCTTTGAAACTCAGACTAAGGCATTCAAATTTTATTAGAAAGATATTTTTATAGTTTTTTTCCCTGAAATTGGTTTGCATATGTAGATGATTTTATTATGATTCCAGTACTATTATATTTTCCATACCACTAAAGAGGGCTTTTTCCATACACAAGTGGATGTTTTAAATCAGTCAAAAAGAATGCCTTTCAAACAGAGTGGCCACTGCTAAGCACTGTAGGAGAATAAAAGAACTGTAACACACACACACACGGGAGGCTGAGGTGGGAGGGTCACTTGAACCCGGGAGGCAGAGGTTGCAGTGAGCCGAGATCATATCATGCCACTGAACTCCAGAGCAAGACTGTCTCAATAAAGAAAAAAAAAAAAAAAAAAAGGCCGGGCATGGTGGTTCATGCCTGTAATCCCAGCACTTTAGGCGGCTGAGACAGGTGGATCACCTGAGGTTAGGAGTTCAAGACCAGCCTGGCCAACATGGCCCTGTCTCTACTAAAAATACAAAAATTAGCCGGGCGTGGTGATGGGTGCCTGTAATCACATCTACTCCAGTGGCTGAGGCACAAGAATCACTTGACCACAGGAGGTGGAGGTTGCAGTGAACCCAGATTGCGCCACGGCACTCCAGCCTGGGCTACAGAGTGAGACTCCATCTTAAAAAAAAAAAAAAAGAAAATTGTAACATACAGCCCTTGCTCTCAGGTACCCTAAAGTTGAATGGAGATTAATTATGTTTAAGGAGGTGACATCTGTTATTTATCCTTGCTTGCCTAAGACCTTGAAGCAAAGTACTAAGTAGACCAAGATCATGAGCGATTTCTGGAAGAACAGCTCCCTATTAAAGACTTGGCCTAACCCAGCTTATTATGTAGAAAGAGTCTGTCATTTGCAAGTGGGATAGCTGTCTCAGTGCAAATTCACCCAAAACTCTCACTTGGGAAAAAAAATCCAGAGAGAAATCCTTACTCAGTAGTGCCACAGTAGTTTTATTTTGAGAACCTTTATTACCTGTAACACTGCAACTTTCAAAAAATATTTCTCAATATTTATAATGTTTCTTTATTCATATAAATAAAAATTTTAAAATTTGACTCTGGTAACTATTTCCTAAGCAAAGGGCTTCCCAGGGAGAGTGGTTATGCGTGTGTATATATTTTAATTGTTTTGAAATGATCTCGAATGTATAGAAAAGTTGCCCAAATCGTGTAAGGAAGTCCCATGTCCCCTGCACTCAGATTCCCAAATAGTTAACACTTTATTGCACTTGTTCCATTGCTCACTGTGTGTGTATGTGTGCAGGTGTGCATGCATGTGCATATGTGTGTGTACATGTGTATGTATCCCTTGTTAGTCTTTTTCTGGACCTTTTGAAAGTCAAGAGAGCAAATTGAAGAGATGGTGTCTCATCACTCCTAAACACACTAGTGTTTATTTTCCCCTAAACAGGGACACTCTCCTACCTAACAACAAACAAACTTCCACATCAGGAAATCAATATTGGTACAACACTACCATCCAATTCAGATGAGATTGGGCATGTTCGGGGTGGTATGCGATTCACAGAGCTAATTCACATTTTTCCCACCGTCCTAACAATGTTGTTTTCCTTTCTGGTCCAGAATGCTATACAGAGATACATATTGAATTTAGTTGTCATATAACCTCAGTCAGAGACAGTTCCCAGTCTTTCTTGTCCTTGGATGGTCTACAACCTGAGTTCCTTTCATGGTAGGAAAACCAAAAAGGATGCTTTGTGTGTGTGTGTGTGTTTTTTTTTAGTGTGTTTCACCAGGAGGCTCACAATGTAGACTCCTCCCAACACTGGTGATGTTAACCATGATCACCTGATCATGTTGGTTGCGTCCATTCACTGTTTCCCCCTCTGTAATCAAGTAGTATTCCATGGAAGCATTCCAAAATCACGCCAGTATTCTATGCCTCATAGAACATCTACCCACCAGCCTTAGCGTCCATTGAAGACTCCTGCCTGAGTCATCCTCCTCAGTAGTTGTCAAATGGTAGTTCTCTATTTCCATCCTTCTCGCTACACTTCTGGGTTGGCATCCTACTTTGAAAGAGTTTTCCTTTTTCTCTGTATCAACACGGACTTGCATATTCCTATTTTATTCAATGGGTTGTAATCCGTTATCGTCGTTGTTTACTTCATGCTCAAATTGTCCCTTATTTGGCCCATGGGAGTCCCTTCAAGCTGGCTCTTAACACTGCAACAATTTAAAGTATATATACTGCTAAAATTCATCCGTGTTGTGTGTATGGCTGCAGTTCATTAACTTTGACTGCTTGTAATATGCCATTTTGTGAATATGCCACAGTTTATTGGTCCACTCATCCACTATTCCTTCGACGGGCACTTGGGTTGTTTCCAGGTTATTGCTATTGTGTTTTGCTATTCTAGCTCTTTAATGTTAAATTTTGAATATTAAAAATTTGTATTAACATCATAAACTTCAGGTCTGTTTATTGTACAAATATTGAGCACCTAGAAGCAGGGTCATTTTGCACTCTCATCAACAGGGCGTGACGGGCTCATTTAAAAAATATTGCATATTTCACGGAGAAATATTTAAATGATGTTTTCAAATCAGTTTAATAAAGGCCTTTTTCTTTAAACTTCCTTTTGCTTTTTTCCCTCCTATTATAGAGAAATATTGAAATCAAAGAGTCGAGAAAGCAAAATGTAAAGGTGGAAACCTATGCACTTAAACCCAACTCTTGGCAAGGTAAAGCATCCGCGGAAACAGCAGGCTCTCGAAGTGAGGAGGCTGCAGCCGGCGCTAGGGCGCAGGCGCAGAAGCTCAGCGTCTCGCTCCCTGCTCCCGGCCCCAGAGGGTTATCGCGAGTCTTGGAATAAACTTGCTCGTGCGATGGCCAAAAGTAAGTTCTCGCGAGAGGTAGTTGGTTGCTATAGTTGTCAAAAACATAACTGAGGCTGCTGCAGGTAAGACAGTGATCCCTCCTGAAGAAACTCTCTCTTCCCGGCCTCCCCACCTCAGCCCTGCGGCCACACCACAGCCGTCACCCCGATCTTCTGCTCCCTTAGCTAAGGCCAGGCTGAAAACCCCGATATTTAGACCGAAAAGCCGCTGGCCCGGCCAGGTGCGGACTCTGCCGCCAACCCCAGCCCGGCGACCTCCACAGGAGCGCGGACGTAGACCTTCCTTTACCGCTTCTCGTCGGAGGCCTCCTCATTCTGCGCTGACTGCGCTTGTCCCCAGACCAGACTCAGTCACATCGCCTCCTTCGTCTAACCTTTTTCTCACTGGACTCTCCCCTTGCAGCTTCTTCCGAGCAGATGACAAGAAATGCGTGCCTTGCCGGGGGCAACAAGAGTCCCCACCCTAGCTGCCCTGACTATAACTTTAGTCCTATATCTTGCATTCATAATTCAAACACGACGCGAACGCCTGTTGTGTACAAGACATGGTGCCAGGCACTCTGGGCCCGTAAATATGCGTGAGACAGGTTACATGCCTTCAAGGGTGTAAATGAGCTCTCAGGACAAACGCTGCATATTAATAATACCATTTGTGCAGTGCTTCATACTTAAAAAGCTTTAATATCTTAGGGGATATTCACAATAAATGTGAAACAGGTTGGAAGTTATCCATTTTACAGAAGGTGAAACTGAGGCTTAGAGAAGTTAGGCATTTGCCTAGGGGCACATAGTTGTTAAGTAGGAAAGGTCTTTTGAATACCCAGTCTTCATAAACAGGACAGCTTGTGGTAATGCCACAAAAGACGTGTAAAGTGCTAAATGAATTCAGAGGAAAGGCAAGTTTTTCCGACTGGGAAGCTTCATGGACTAGGAAGCATTTGAGCTGGATTTTAAAGGATGAGTAGGATTTGCTGTAGAGACGGAGTGAGGAGAAAGGGAGAGATAATTCCAGGGGGAAGGAAAAATGCAAAGGTTCAAAAGCGACTAAATGCAGGTAATCTTTGAAAAATACTAAGCAAGAGCATAAGCTAGAAGAGGGGAGTTGACTGGCACTGCAAGATCCTAGAAAGCCCTGAATGTAGTACTACATTTAACTACAGTTAAACTGTAGTGTTACAGTTTATTTGGTAGGTGAGAGGGAACAAGACAGTGATACGATCAGATCTGTACTTTAATAAGGTATTTATCTGCTTGTCTCTTCTCATTTTCTCCCTATTTCTTCTTACTCCACCACTGCAAGCTACTTGCTACTTGCTATGTGTGTTGTTTTGCCTCTGAACGTTTTAAAATCTGTTCCCTTTCTTGGAATATCCTTCCCTTTATTAAGACATAGTTCCAGCGTACTTCCTCCAAGATTTTCCTGGCATGCATATGTATTCTCAAATCCAGCTAGGTCCCAGCTTCATTCAGCACTTCCTTGCTGTATGACTGCTGGTAAGATAACAAACTTCTCTGAAGCTCAATTTTTTTCAATCAAATAGAGATTTAAGAATCTCTTAGAAGGGAGGCTACATTTAAGATAATAAATGCGAAGCACACTTGGCACACTGGCTATAATCAGTTAATTTCCTTGCTTCTCTCATTCTTTTTATTTGTAAAAGAAAAAATAAATTTCCACCCCCCTTTTCCTCCCTGTGTGTTTCACTCCTCCCTTCTTTCCTCTGTCAGAGCACCTGTCTCACAGATTATGACTCCTGGTCTAGTTACACGTCTCTCGTCCTCACTAGATTTTAAATTTCTTGAGGTTAGAGAGTTCACATCTTATCTCTTGTATCCTCAGCACCCATCACAGTGCCAAGCTTAACAAGTTTTTTCAATGAGCAATTCTGACAAAAGCAGGATGAATTAGAGTGAGAAACTGGAGTCAGAGACACCAGTTAGGAGGCTTTTGTTACAGTCTAGCAGAAGGGTAATGAAGGCCTAATGCCATATTATTGAAAAGGAAAGAAGACTGATACAAAAGGGCATTTCAAATGTACATTTGACAAAGAAGTTGTCAGTGCCACTAAAGCCCTTAAAGAGCCCAGAAATATGTTGTTGAACAAATGATTTGACACTTTTAGGTGACTGGAAAAATGCTGGAGTAGCTGAGAAGAGGCAGGATAATTATAAAGTCTGAAGGCTGTAAGATGTTGTTTTCTCTTTTGTATCACCAAGTACACTTAGCATAGTATGTCCTCAGTAAATGTTTGAATTGAGTTAGAAAATAAGGCCTTTTCAACAGGCACAGTGGCTCATGCCTTTTAATCCCAGCACTTTGGGAGGCTGAGGTGAGTGGATTGCTTGAGCCTAGCCGTCGAGACCAGCCTAGACAGCATGGTGAAACCCTGTCTCTACAAAAAATACAAAAATTAGCTGGGCGTGGTGGCGCATGCCTGTAGTCCCAGCTACTCAGGAGGCTGAGGTGGGACAATCACTTGAGCCTGGGAGGTTGAAGCTGCAGTGAGCTGTGATCACACCACTGCACTCCAGCCTGGGTGACAGAATGAGAGCCTGAAAAAAAAAAAAAGGAAGGAAGGAGAGATAAAAGACCTTTTCCAAAAAACAAATATCCAATTTATTATCGAAATTGTTTGTGCCCTTAGTATTGTAAAATTGACAGTATATCTGACTAAATAAGAAATACATTAAGACCTTTTCCAGTGGACTACCATTTTGTGTGGCTGCTTCTTTCCTGCTCTCAAAATATATTTTTGTAAAACTGAGAAGTTAAATAATGTTTGAAGGGAGCTTTGCAGATTAAAAAAAACGGTTACCAGAGAACACTGTGAACAGTGTATGGCAGCAGTCCCCAACCTTTTTGGCACCAGGGACCAGTTTCGTGGAAGACAATTTTTCCACAGACTGGGGGCAGCGGGGATGATTCAACCACATTACATTTACTGTGCACTTTATTTCTATTAGTATTACACGGTAATATATAATGAAATTTTTTTGTTTTGAGACGGAGTCACTCTTTTGCCCAGGCTGGAGTTCAGTGGTGTGATCTCAGCTCACTGCAACCTCTGCCTGCCGTGTTCAAGCGATTCTCCTGCCTCAGCCTCCCAAGTAGCTGGGACTTACAGGCATGTGCCATCACACCTGGCTAATTTTTGAATTTTTTAGTAGAGATGGGGTTTCACCGTATTGGACAGGCTGATCTCGAACTCCTGACTTGGTGATCCGCCCGCCTCGCCTTCCAAAGTGTTGGGATTACAGGCGTGAGCCACCGTGCCTAGCCTATATAATGAAATATTATACAACTCACCATAATGTAGAATCAGTGGGAGCCCTGAGCTTGTTTTCCTGCAGCTAGACAGTCCTATCTGGGGGTGATGGGAGACAGTGACAAATCAGGCATTCGATTCTTATAAGGAGTGCACAACCTAGATCCTTTGCATGCATCAGTTACAATAGGGTTCGCACTCCTGTGAGAATATAATGCTGCCACTGATCTGACAGGAGAGAGAGCTTAGGTGGTAATGCAGGTGATGCAGAGTGGCTGTAAATAGAGATGAAGCTTTGCTTGCTCGCCTGCTGCTTACCTCCTGCTGTACAGCCCAGTTCCTGACAGGCCACGGGCTGGTACTGGTTCATGGTTCGGGGTGGGGACCCCTGATGTAGGGTATGGGAGGTCAAGGTGTTCCTACTTTGTCTTGTGATACTTTGTGCTTAATGGGTTAGTTACCTGTATAAACATCTTTAGCGCTACCAGTGAAATCATCCTTGTGACCAGCTCCCTAAAGCACTGCCTGTCCAACAGCAAAGGTTGGATATGGGGAATAAAACAGTGCTGGACTATGGCATTTCCTTAGGTTTTCCCTGGTATTGGTTATGATGGAATATGGGTACTTGTGCAGCTGTGGTACATGAGGGGACAGGTTGATTCATTCTGTTTACAGAGACCAAAGAAAACAGAGGGACTTTTCCCAGTTGGTGATATGGAGCAAGTGCCATCAGCAGGCAGACTCGTGCAGATCACCGTGACAGAGGGATATGATTTGGTAAAGTTACTTTTGGAAATTTACAAAAATCCTTAGTTTGGGAGTACCTGCAGGAGGAATGGAATTTTGCTTCATTCTCTACCTCCAAACCTCCTGGCTTTATGTAGCAGTGGCATTCCGCCTCAGTGTTCCTTATTGTTAGTCTTAATCTCCAAGTCACATTACTGTGTGTCTCAAATACCCGGCAATTTGAATACTAAATTTAACAGGATGAAAGAAACAGTGGTTTTAGTTTCCCTAGACAGCAGTTCACGTATAATTTTTTTCCCTTTCTCCTGAGAAGGATCTGAATTCTTCCAGAGTTTCCCTTGTGATTAATTCTATTTGATTAATTAAAAAAACAACAACAATGTGATGTACTAAAAATTAGGAATATGATGAAATGGGAAAATATTCAGTATATTAAGTTTAAAAAGATCATTCCAAAGAGGATGTAATTAATGAGCTCCACTTTGTTTTAAAATGCATATATAAAAATGTATCTATGTGTGCATGTATGGGTACACACACGTACATCCATATATTCACAGCAGAACACTAGAAAATATATTCTAAAATATTAATAATGCTTGCATGTTACAGTAAGATTGTAGGTAATTAATTTTCTTACTTTTAAAAATGTTCCTCAGTAGCTTGCAGTGAGCTGAGATCGCGCCACTGCACTCCAGCCTGGGTGACAGAGCGAGACTCCGTCTCAAAACAAACAAACAAACAGAAAAAAAAATGTTCCACAGTATACTTTTATTATTAGGTGAAACACAATAAATGTTATTTTCAAGACTCCAACATAACAGCACTTCAATGGAATGTTGCATTTAAGTAAAACTAGATTTGTTTAATGATTTTTCTACCTATTCCTTTTGTATTTGTGATGTTGCTCGTTAGGAAAAAATGAAAAATGCTATTTAGCCCAAATCAAAATGGGTTACCAGATGTGTGGGAAAATTCTCTATTTGAATATAATTGTAAAGTGGTGTGTTTCTGCCAACAGAAAGGTTTTAAAGGAGATACTCCAGTTACCTTTATTCGAGCAGAATTCAATCAAGTGGTTCTGGGAGACTCTGCAAAAATTACTGTTTCTCCAGAAGGAAGTGCAAAATACAACTTCACTAGCAGTTTTGAGTTTAATCCTGAAGGAGGAATCACTTCAGATGACCTCGCTCACAAACCTGTGTTCTGTAAGTCCTTGTGGTTCTAAAAATCAATGTCCCGATTGCCTTCTTCCCTATCATGTTGGATGGGAAAAGCACAACCAAAACATTCTTTTAAACATGTAACTAAAATCATGAGAAAGAAAGGACAGTTCCTTTGTTCCCAGAAGCAAGGCAGGAACTGAAACGTGAAAATCTTGAACAGCTGCCATTGGTGTGTATGTGTTAGTGGAAGTGTGCAGGGAGAAGGCAGTACTCCAAAACCTAGGGGCTTGGGTTTTAATGCTCTCACAAGGACAGAAAACCTTTGGCTGTTGTTGATGGGGGAATAGAGACTGAGATCACCTCCCCATCACAAGTTAAGACTCTCAGAAAGTATGGACCAGGAAAATAAAATCTGCTTATCAGCATCTCTGTCTAGATCCTGGGTAGAGAAAAAAGTCTTCCCTAGGAATAATCATAGGCTTGTACTAACCATTAAAGAATATATATATTTTTAAAACACAGGAGGAGCATTTTTATGATAGCAATTGGCCACATTCTAAGCGATAAAGCAAGTCCTACCATAGATCAAAGGATCAACAGCATACAGACCACCTTTTCTGCCAAAATGTAACAATCAACAAAATTAGAAATCAATAACAAAAAGCCAAAAAGCTATTTGGAAATTTAAAAACATACTTATGAATCATTCATGGGACAAATAAAAAAGTCATAATAAAAATTGCAAAGCATTTGGAAGAGATCAACAGTAAAACACCAAATATCAGAATTTGTGGGATATAGTTAAAGGTGTACTTAGAGGTACATTTATAATCTTAAGCGCATTAATTAGAAATAAAAAGGATTAAAAGCAGAACTTTTGAGAAGATGGAATAGATGTACTTTTCTCTATTCCTCCCACTGAGTACAACTACAAACCCTGGACATTATATATAAAACAAACATAAGAGACTCTGAAAGGTGGAGAGAAGGAAACTTGGGACCTGGGGAATGACACAGTGGTGAGTTCTTTGGGTTTTCTTTTTGCCTTATATATCCCATACTTCTTGCTGAAGAAGGTGGCAACCTGGAGACACCAATGGGCACAGACCAAAAAAAAGAAAAAAGAAAGAAAGCCTGATAAAAGTCTGCTCTGTTTAGCCAAAAGACTATGAAAGCGGCAGCCTAATAAGACAGAAAAGTTTTAGACAGTAATTCCCGTACTCCAGCCAAACACCGTAGGAAAAAAACCCCCACCCTCAATCAAGCTGAGTGGAGAGCCTAGACTTCCACTCTCACAAAGCTCAAAAATGAGGTTCTCCATTACCCTAGTGATGTCAGAGAAGACCAAGTAGGGAACCAGGGCTTTTATCCCCTCTAGTAATGAGTCCCCTTCCCACCCCTCATAATGTTAGTGGAGACCACATGGATCTTGGACTTCTATCCCAAACTGTCAGCAGCAAGGTGTCCCTTCACTTCCCACTGGAGTGGTGTCAGAGGAGGCCTAGTTTAGAGTCAGAACTTTCACCATCACCCAAGGGTAATGAGTCCACACCCACTGTGGTATCAGTGGAAACCAAGTAAGGAATCAGGACTCCAATTCCCCTGCTCAGCAGTAATGAGGAGCTGCCTCCATCAGGTGTCAGAGGAGGCTGAGTAGGGAACCTAGACTTCCACCCCAACTTGTCAGTAATGAGGCAGCATCTCCTTCCTTCCCCTTTTGGGGTGGTGTTGGAAAAAGCCAGCTGAAAACAGAAGGTGTAAGTAAGATCCAGAGATTCATAACAATAGGAAAAGTCCAGGTTTCAACTTAAAACCATAAGTCATTCCAAAAACTGGAAGATCTCAAATTGAATTAAAAAACATAATGGGCTGGGCACAGTGGCTCAAGCCTGTAATCCCAGAACTTTGGGAGGCTGAGATGCGTGGATCACAAGGTCAGGAGTTCAAGACCAGCCTGGTCAAGATGGCAAAACCCCGTCTCTACTAAAAATACAAATATTAGCCAGGCGTGGTGGAGCCTGCCTGTAGTCCCAGTTACTCAGGAGACTGAGGCAGGAGAATCACTTAACCTGAGAGGTGGAGGTTACAGTGAGCCGAGATCATACCACTGCACTCCAGCCTGAGTGACACAGTGAGACTTTCTCTCAAAAAACAAAAACAAAAACAAACAAAAAAACAATGACTGGGTGCAGTGGCTCACGCCTGTAATCCCAGCACTTTGGGAGGCCAAGGCGGGCAGATCACGAGGTCAGGAGATCGAGACCATCCTGGCTAACACGGTGAAACCCCGTCTCAAGTAAAAATACAAAAAATTAGCTGGGTGTGGTGGCGGGCACCTGTAGTCCCAGCTACTCAGGAGGCTGAGGCAGGAGAATGGCGAGAACCCAGGAGGCGGAGCTTGCAGTGAGCTGAGACTGCGCCACTGCACTCCAGCCTGGGTGACAAAGCAAGACTCCGTCTCACAAAAAAAAAAAACAAAACATACATATATATATATATATATATATATATATATATATATATATACACACACACACACACACACACACACATATATACACACATATACACATATATATACACACACATACACACATATACACACATATATATACACACACACATACATATACACACACATACACACACACACACATATATACACACAAATTAGCTGGGTATGGTGGTGAGCACTTGTAGCCCTAGCTACTCCAGAGGCTGAGGTGGGAGAATCACTTGAGCCCTCGAGGCAGGGGTTGCAGTGAGCTGAGAGCGCACCACTGCCTTCCAGCCCAGGTGACAGAGTGAGACCTGGTCTTGAAAAACAAACAAACAAACCAAAATAAATACCACCTGGATAAAATGTGTGTAAAAAATTAAATCATGTAAGTACCATAAGAAATCATGGAATTAAAATAATCAGAGAGAGGAAGCCTTTATAAGTATTTCACAACTGTAGAAACCACAGAAAAAAAATATATATATATTCATTAGCAACTGTAAAAGACAAGCCACAAACTGGAATACAATTTGCAATTCATTTCTAGACAGAAGGCAAATTTACCTTTAAAGAGCACTTGCATATTAATAAGAGCAAGAATCTAATGGAAAAGTATACAAAACATATGAAAGGAATATGAAAAGTTCATGGAAAAGAAACTGTAACTGGTCCTTAAGTATATGGAAAAAATTTCAACCTCATTCTAATACAAAAAATAAAATTATGTTTAGATGCTATTTTCATCTGTCAGGTTACAAAGGTCACAGAGTTTGATAACATATCAAACCCTGTTATCCTTGCTGAAAATGCTGAAGCTGAACCCAAGTAGGAACACAGGAATTGAGAAACAAATTAAATACTATGAGGAATAAAACAAGAGACAAATCTAGAAGGTGTGACATTCTATGTAACTATTGGCCTGGTGTCTTCAACAAAAGAGAGAAGTGTTTGAGAGAAGTATGTGGAAAGGGGGGACTGTTCTAAATGAAAAGAAACATGACAACCAAATGCAATATGTGGTCTTTGAACAGACCAGCTACAAAATAAATTTGGGGATAATTGGGAAATGTTAAATATAAACTGGACACTAGGTGAATTAAGGAATTATTTAATGCTATTATCACACACTTGCTAGATGTGGTAAACTGATTGTGGTTTTCTAGGAAAATGTCTTACTTGGGATTTGTATACTTTGGTATTTAGGAGTAAAATGTCATGATGTCTGTAATTTATTTGAAAAGTACTTCAGCAAACAAAGCAAATATGATAAAAGTATTTGAGCAAACAAAGCTACACATGATGAAGCAAAAAAATTGTTAAATTTAGATTATGGTTATATGGATAGTTGTTATACTATTCTACTTTGTGTATTTGAAATTTTGAAATTGTTATAATAAGTGTTAAGCACACAGAGTAATGCTGCAGTGAAAAACCTTGTACATACTCTGCATGCTACAGGATTACTCCAAAATGTGTCAAGCCTTATGGTAGGCAATATAGGGGGATCTAGAGCAGTGCTTTTCTTTGCTTTTTTCTTTTTCTTTTTTTTTTTTTTGAGACGGAGTCTCGCTCTGTCGCCCAGGCTGTAATGCAGTGGCACAGTCTCGGCTCACTGCAAGCTCCACCTCCTGGGTTCACGCCATTCTCCTGCCTCAGCCTCTTGAGTAGTTGGGACTACAGGTGCCCGCCACCACGCCTGGCTAATTTTGTTGTTGTATTTTTAGTAGAGATGGGGTTTCATTGTGTTAGCCAGGATGGTCTCGATCTCCTGACCTCGTGATCTGCCCGCCTCAGCTTCCCAAAGTGCTGGGATTACAGGCATAAGCCACCTCGCCCACCCTAGAGCAGTGTTTTTCAAACTTCAGATTGTGACTTTTTAGCCATTCTTAAGATCAATTGATGGGCATTATGACCAGTAAGTTCTTCTGTATGAAATAGAATAGAAAATACCTAAGGATTTTGACCTAGTAAAGATTAATATTATATGAAGCTTTGTTATATAATCATATGTATCAGTTACTTTTTTTTTTTTTTTTGAGACGGAGTTTCCCTCTTGTTGCCCAGGCTGGGTGCAATGGCTTGATCTCAGCTCACTGCAACCTCTGCCTCCCAGGTTCAAGCGATTCTCCTGCCTCGGTCTCCCGAGTAGCTGGGATTACAGGCATGGGCCACTATGCCTGGCTAATTTTGTATTTTTAGTAGAGGCAGGTTTTCTCCGTGTTTGTCAGGGTGGTCTCGAACTCCCAACCTCAGGTGATCTGCCCGCCTTGGCCTCCCAAAGTACTGGGATTACAGGTGTGAGCCACCACGCCCAGCCTCAGTTACTTTTATACACATGCATGTACATGATGATGATCTAAAACCCATTTCTTATTATAACTTGCAGGCAAAAAGTTCAAAAGTCACTGAAGTGGTCCAGTATTTTCCACCAGAAGTCAGTGATGTTGGTGCCTTCTGTACTTTCAAGTTTATTTTTTTTTAACTTACATATCTTTGACAATGCTTTGTTTGTTGCAGCTTGGTTATCGGATAGATGTGTTTTAAATGTCTCATTTTCTTTGTTTTGATTTTTCTAGTAACTGTGACTGAAGTTTTACCAAAGGAAAAGAAACAGAAAGAAGAGAAGACCTTAATTCTTGGTCAGGCTGTGGTGGACCTTCTTCCCTTACTGGAAGGTCAGATGTGTGCTTTGCCCAAAAGCAGAAATGGAAAAGCTCATAAAACTTAGCCCCAGAGAGATATAGAAATTAGCCTCAATGAATTTGAGGGATTTGAGGGGAAAAGTAGGCACATTTATCTCTGCCTGCAGTCATCCCAACTTAACCCTTTCTTCTTTGGCTCAACTTGGGCTTCTTTTTGCAGGACAGAGTTCATTTCAAACAACAGTTCCATTGCACCCTGTGCAAGGCTCACCCTTAGAAACTCCTAGATCAAGTGCTAAGGTAATCAGAGTTTTAGCTCTCAACATTTCAGCCTGCCATTCAATGTAACAATTCTGTCTGCTATTAAGGTTCAATTCAGTTGAGTGTAATGCATTGGGCATTTTCTTTTCACAGCACACTTAGTGTTAGATTCTGGGAAACAAAGATAATAAGGCAGAGTCCTACTTTGAAAAGCCCACAGTCTACATATCATAGACTATAACCCAGTGTGATTAAATGGTGGAGTGAGGCACATGGGCATAGAGCAGGTATCAGTTACTTTGTCCGCAGGTAGAGGCAAGGAAGGCTTAACCATGGAAATAACTCTTGAGCTATGTCCTGATGGCTCAAGTAGTATATGAAAGCACCTCATATACTTTAGGGCATGGTAGCATGCCTCTCACTGAAAATTTCTAATCCAGCAGTTCTAGCCCAGACCCCTTTCTGGAGTTCTAGAATATCAGACTTTATAAGCACCTACTGTATACCTCTATAATGTTATCCCATAGGCACCTAAAACTCAACATTCCAAAACTGAACTCAGTATCTTCCCTGAAACCTATTCTTCCTTTTATCTTAGTTTTTTGACTAGTGGCATCACCCATCCATGAAATCATGGAACATAGAACCTAAATTATATCCATGACATATATATATTCCTTCAGACCCTAACTACAACCAGTCCTCAAATCTGCCTTTCACCAAATCCCACCTTTTCTATCTTCTAAGTGTCTTTAGGTTTTCTTTTTGGCTTCATTCCTACTCTTTATTGCCTTATTACCTCTCACTTGGATAGTTACAAATAGCCTCGTACCTACCTTTACCTCCCTCTAGTTCAACCTTCCCATGGCTTGCACAGTGATTTAAAAGTGAATCTGATCTTATCTCTTCCCCTACTTAGTACTCTGTAGTTCATGGATTCACCCACTGCTTACAAGTTAAGGTCCAGATTGCTTAGCAGGCATATAGCATCCTTTATAATGGAGGCCTCCCCCTTCAACCTCATCTCCCATTACTCCTTTCCTTATATTAATACTTCAAGTTCCAGAATCCTGACTTACTTACATATACCTAAATGGAAGATACCATACTGTTCCAATCCCTCTTTACATAGACTGTTTTTCCCCTCTAAGACTAGTTAAGCACAGTAGTGAGAAGTGGGGAAAGAATAGAACAAAGAATTTGATCTGTAACTGACTGTGAACAGTCAGTTGAGATAACTCACTGCCTTTGGACCAGCCCACAAAAACTGTTCTTATCCAGAATTATTTTTTCTTTCCTTCCTCTGCTAATCCAGGTTGTAAATGCCTATTTATCCTATAAATGTCAACCCCCAGCCAAATAATTAGTTATTCACTGCCTCCTTGGTGTCCTTGACTGCAGCATTTTGTACAGGTCTCTAGTATAGATTTTGCATAAATCTTGACACTATGACATGAGTTCTATGTTGAAAGGAACTATGTCTTCTTTGTCTTTATATCCCTAGTGATATAGCAAAGTGCCTAGCATTCAATACACATTCTTTTTTTTTTTGAGATGGAGTTTTGCCCTTGTTGCCCAGCCTGGTTTGCAATTGTGTGATCTCGGCTCACTGCAACCTCCACTTCATGAGTTCAAGCGATTCTCCTGCCTCAGCCTATCAAGTACCTGAGATTACAGGCACCACCACCATGCCCGGCTAATTTTTATACATTTTCTCTTTTAGTAGAGATGGGGTTTCACCATGTTGGCCAGGCTGATCTCAAACTCCTGACCTCAGGTAATATGCCTGCCCCGGCCTCCCAAAGTGCTGGGATTACAGGCGAGATCCTACCTTGCCCAGCCTCAATACACATTTAAAACCTACTTTGTATGTATCCTGAGTGAAAATGTCAGAGGTATACACATATATGTCTATACCTATGTATGTGGAATATATACATATCTATTTGAAAAAAATATTTTCTTATTACAAAGCATTACATTTAAATTACAAAAATAGGCTGGGTGCAGTGGCTCACGCCTGTAATCCCAGCACTTTGGGAGGCCAAGGCGGCTGGATCACGAGGTCAGGAGTTTGAGACCAGCCTGGCCAATATGTTGAAACCCCGTCTCTACTAAAACTACAAAAATTAGCTGGGCATGGTGGCATGCGCCTGTACTCCCAGCTACTCAGGAGGCTGAGGCAGAAGAATCGCTTGAACCCAGGAGGCGGGGTTGCAGTGAGCCGAGATCATGCCACTACACACCAGCCTGGGTGACAGAGGGAGACTCTGTCTCAAAAAAAAAAATAAAATTAAAAAAATGACAAAAATAATCATAAAATATAGACTAGCAAAAAAAGCACCCAATCTCACTTACTCATGTGCAACTTCTATCGACATTTCTTTTGTTTTTTTTGAGATGGAGTTTTGCTCTTGTTGACCAGGCTAGAGTGCAATGGCACAATCTCAGCTCACTGCCTCCCTGGGTTCAAGCGATTCTCCTGCCTCAGCCTCCCCAGCAGCTGGGACTACAGGCGCGCACCACCATGCCTGGCTAATTTTGGTATTTTTAGTAGAGATGGGTTTTCACTGTGTTGGCCAGGCTGGTCTTGAACCCCTGATATCAGGTGATCCACCTGCCTTGGCTCCCAAAGTGCTGGGATTACAGGAGTGAGCCATCATGCCTGGCCAACATTTCAACAGAATCTTACAATTCCTGTTTTATATGTATTTATATATATACTTTACCTCAGTATGATAGAGTGGGAAGGGATCTAGTTTAGGGTTAAGATTCTCTTCTTGGCTCTATCTCCAACTCATGGGACTTAGAGAACATGGTTTCAACTTATGGAAATAATTAAGCTTTACCTTCTTATCTTGAACAGTAATATGAGATTCAAATGAGATAATGCAAAAAAGGAAGATCTCTGGCAATTTTCAAAATGCTGCATAATTTTATTCTTTTACAGCAGTGCAGTCTTGAAGTTAAAGTATTAGTGGCAGAGCCTTTACTGACCACAGCCCAGATCTCAGGGGGCAATCTACTGAAGGTCACGTTGGAGGCTGCTTACTCTGTGCCTGAATCCTTCATTCCAACAGGTCCTGGGCAGAACTACATGGTCGGTCTGCAAGTTCCATCACTTGGAGAGGTAAAGCCCTACTGCCAGATATTTATAGAGATTCAAACATGTCTGTACTCATATGGCCATCTCTTCCTCACCTCTAAGATTTCATTCAAAGCATTGCACTGCTAATAGCTGAGATTTATTTTAGGCTTGAAAAATACAGTTTATTTCTATTTTATATACAGATCTTAATGTTTATAATTTACATATTATATATTATGCATTAAATATAATTTATATAAATATATGGTGGAAAATATGTAAGATTTAAAATGGCCAATTTTGGTGTATTTCTATACAGATTATTTTTATGTGTACATTTTGCAGATTTTGTGCAACGTGCTTTATTAAACAAAACTTTCTCTTAATTCCAGATTATTTTCTTAGGCCAAATTTCTAGGTATAGGAATGATTGGATATGGAGTTTCTTAGGCTCTTGATGGAGATTTCTAACTTGCTTGCTAAAAGGCTTCTTCTATTCAGTTAACACTTCCACTTATCTTATTTCCAGGGCCATGTATGTGGATGACCCACTAAAGTTGTGTAGCAACTGTTCAGTTTGCTGAGGACTTAGGAGGTTCCTGGGACATGGGACTTTCAGCACCACAACTGGGACAGTCCTAGGCAAATGAGATGGCTGATCACCCTTCCGGGGAACAGCCCACATAGTTATATGAGGCAGATCTGTGCATTGCCCTCTCTCCAACTTTGAGATTGTATTGAAAATTTTCTCTTTGTTTTTGCTAATTTTGATAATTAAAAGTGTCTTTTATTTTTTTTCTCCTGGAGGGCTTAGTATTTTTCTTGCTGATGTATTAAATTCTGGCTGGGGTGCAGTGGCTCACGCCTGTAATCCCAGCACTTTGGGAGGCTGAGGCAGGTAGATCAACTGAGGTTAGGAGTTCGAGACCAGCCTGGCCAACATGGTGAAACCCTGTCTCTACTAAAAATACAAAAAATTAGCTGGGTATGGTGGTGGGTGCCTGTAATCCCAGCTACTGGGGAGGCTGAGGCAGGAGAACCACTTAAACCTGGGAGGCAGAGGTTGCAGTGAGCCAAGATTGCGCCAAGATTGTACTCCAGCCTGGGCAACGAGTGAAACGCCATCTCAAAAAAAAAAAAAATTCTTCATATGTAGAGAAAAATAATATTTTCTTTCAAGTTTGTCAATTTATAGTTTATCATATTTATTTCTGGTTTATTATTTATTTTTAATTTGGGTCATTGCTTTGGTACACAAAAGTTTTTTAATAGTTAAATCTTTTTCTTTTAGGTTTCTTACATCATTTTAAACTTGAAAAGGGCTCCTTTATTCTGATGTTTTATGAAAGGTTGCCCTACCAGGTCCTAGAATTCTTTTTTGCTTTGCTTTTGGAGATGGAGATGGAGTCTCACTCTGTCGCCCAGGCTAGAGTGCAGTGGCATGATCTCAGCTCACTCCACCCTGTGCCTCCCGGGTTCAAGCAATTCTCCTGACTCAGCCTCCTGAGTAGCTGGAACTACAGGTGCCCACTACCACGCCCAGCTAATTTTTTGTATTTTAGTAGAGAGGGGGTTTCACCATGTTGGCCAGGCTGGTCTTGAACTCCTGACCTCAGGTGATCCGCATGTCTCAGCCTCCCAAAGTGCTGGGATTACAGGTGTGAGCCACCACACCCAGCCCCAGGTCCTAGTTTTATGCAGTAGTCTTAGTTCCAGCTTCCCGTCCTGCCTGAGCATGGGGCCATGATTGCTTCTCTATAATAGTGTCTGGGTCTGACATTTCCTGGGTTGGCGCAGCATCAGCTCATGAGCTTATCCCTTGGGTACTGAGTTGCTGCTGCTGCCAGTTCTGGCACTTTTAGACTTTCTTTTTCTTTCTCTTTTTTTTTTTTTTTTTGAGACGGAATCTCGCTCTGTCACCCAGGCTGGAGTGCAGTGGTGCGATCTCGGCACACTGCACCCTCTGCCTTCTGGGTTCAAGTGATTCTCCTGCCTCAGCCTCCCGAGTAGCTGGGACTACAGGCACCCGCCACCAGGCCCGGCTAATTTTTTGTATTTTTAGTAGAGATGGGGTTTCACCGTATTAGCCAGGATGGTCTCGATCTCCTGACCTTGTGATCCGCCCACCTCGGCCTCCCAAAGTGCTGGGATTACAGGCGTGAGCCACTGCGCCCGGCTTAATTTTTGTATTTTTAGTAGAGATGGGGTTTCACCATATTGGCCAGGATGGTCTCGAACTCCTGACCTTGTGATCCGCCCGCCTCGGCCTCCCACAGTGCTGGGATTACAGGTGTGAGCCACCGTGACTGGACTAGACTTTCATTTACTTCTTTTGACCTTGGCTATGTGATAAAATATAACTCTTTTTTTGTTGTTGCTATTCTACTTTATCTAGTTTGTTGTGTTTGTTGCTGATGAAGGCTCTGTTGTACTTTAGTTTGCTATAGTGTTGGAAATAGAACTTCCTTTTAATTTAAGGGCCATTTATTTATCTTTTCCAGTAAACTTCTTGTTCCTGTTCTTTATCTATCTATATATCTCTCTATCTATCTATCTATTAATAAGAGACAGGGTCTCACTCCATCACCTAGGCTGGAGTGCAGTGGCACAATCATAGATTACAGTAACCTTGAACTTCTGGACTCAAGCAATCCTCTCACCTCAGCCTCCCACGTAGCTGGGATTACAGGTGCATGCCATTGCATCTAGCTAATTTTTAATTTTTTTTTTTTGTAGAGATGGGGGTCTCACTATGTTGCCCAGGCTGGTTTCAAGCTCCTGGCTTCAAGTGATCCTCCTGGCTCTATCTCCCAAAGTGGGATTATAGGCATTAAGCCACCTTGCCTGGCTGATATCTCATTGTTTTAATGTGCACTTTACTGATTATTAATGAAACATAGCATGTTTTTGTTTAAATGTTGGATGTTCTAATTTCCCCTTCTATAAATTGCCTACTTATATATTTTACCAATTTTCTACTGCAAGTATACTTTGGATAAGTTATAAGACATGAAAATGCCTATATTTTTAGCCCCTTGCCAGATTTTAGTTCGTTTTCTAAAGGATAATTTTTAAACAGGTATAAGCACAACTCTCATATAAATATAAATAACACAGAATTTGGTCCAAGATTTTATTTAACTAATTAATGAGGGAATCAGTAAAATGTGACAATGAGTTCAAAGGAGTATATAGGCATCAGGAATGCTGAAATGAATTTGCCAATAATTCAAAATTTGTCATTAGCTTCAGGGAAATAATCAGTTACATTGCCACTGGACAAACTGTATCTGCATATTTATGAACAAGAATAATTTGCATTATTATCAAATGTCTATAAGTTACAGAGTTGTAAAATAGCACAAAGGGAATGAAGGGCACAGGCCCCTCTCTAGAATCAGATTAATCGTAGAGGGGTATGTTTGATAACACTCAGCATTCCATTGAAAAGACACTTGAATAATCTTCTTGTCCATTTCAAAGTCCTTTACAAATTTTCCTGACATATGGTATCTATTTCTGTAGAAGGACTATCCCATTTTATTTAAGAATGGAACTCTGAAGCTTGGAGGGGAAAGGGAACCTGTTCCCCGGCCCAAAAAGTGGCCAATTGCCAACATTCTGGCTCCAGGAGCTAATAACATTCCTGATGCATTCATTGTTGGTGGTCCCTATGAAGAAGAAGAAGGAGAACTCAACCATCCTGAGGTGAGAGCCTGATATACAGGTTTTTGTGATAAACTTAGTGTACTGACAGATGATAAAACATTTTGTGAATTACTGTAATTTATATACATTTGTCACCTGTCGAAATACTTACATGCCAAAATAAAACACATATCTAATTCTGATTCAAATATCTTCTGGCTTCTTAAGTCCAGAAAACAAAATAATTTATATCACATGTACTCTTTATTTTATTTTAAATTTACTGATTTATGAATAGGTAATTATCAGTTACTGTCAAAATTAAAAATGAAGATGTATGCAGTGAAAGTGTCCCTCTAGTCATGTCTCTTCCTTCTAATTCCTCCCCATCTCATTACCCTAGTAGTGATGGCAGCAGTGGCCAGTCTGGAGCAGCTCCTGCCATGATGCTGGCTGCAGTGGGGGAGTCCTGACTGGGCCTACACGCTCCATGGAGCTGGTGGGAGCTGGGAACAAGTGCCCTCCCATGTGCAGCTGCAGCTGCCCAACCACAGCTGCATACCCAGGCATCTCTGCACTCTTGGAAGCTGGGAAGCCCTCCTGCCCCCACAGGCTTGGAAGTGCCTGCTCCTGCTGCCTGGCCTCTGCCTACTCCTGGTGCCTGCTCCAATTTTGGAGCAAAGCTGTGGCCAAGCCTGGTGCTGTCACAACCTGGCCAGGTGCGCATGTGCTCAGGGAAGTGCTGACACACCAACCCCCTGCCACCTTGATCCCCCTCCAGACTTTGGGCACCCACGAGCATGGGAGAAAGTCCGAGGGGCCACTGAGGGCAGCTTGGCATGGGCTTGCAGGCACCCCTCAGCATGAACAGCCAGGGCACTGTGGATGGCAGCAGGAGGCAGACAGGCTCCTGGGCAAAAAGGGGCAGGTGCCCAATGAAACCCCACCTTCAGGCCAGGGACCGCCTTAGGTCTGGGGGCCAGGCTGCTAGTTCCATGGACTGGAGTGAGAACTTATGGTACTTTTCTGGCCCCACCCATGGCCTCCCATGGATCAGTCAGCATCTACTTCCTCCCCTCTGGAGCCTATAAAAACCCATGACTCAGCCAGACTCAGGCAAAGGATGGGATGACCTGCCGGTGGAGAGAAGCTACCCACTGTGGGTCTCCTCTCTGCTGAGAGCTGAACAGTCATTGGGATGCCCTGCCTGTAGAGAGGAGCTACCCACTGTGGGTATCCTGTCTGCTGAGAGCTGAACACTCATCAGGACGCCCTGCCTGTGGAGAGGAGCTACCCACTGTGGGTCTCCTCTCTTCTGAGAGCTGGGCACTTGTCAGGACAACCTGCCTGCAGAGAGGAGCTACCACTACTCAGTGAGTCTCCTCTGAGTTGTTCTGTTGCTCAGTAAAGCACCTCTTTGCTTTGCTCACCCTCCGCTTGTCTGTGTACCTCATTCTTCCTGGATGCGAAACAAGAACTCAGGACCTGCGGAATGGTGGGGCTGAAAGAGCTGTAACACAAACAGGGCTGAAACATGTCCCTTGCTCATCACATTGTGGGTGACAAAAAGGGGAGAAGAGAGAAGAGTTATGGTGCTTCGGGAAGCCCAGACCTAGGAGCTCCCTGAGCCAGGTCTGACACCTGGGGCTCTTCAGTTTCTGGTGTCTCCAAGCTTCTGAGCACCACCACATTCCCTGGTGCCGGCCATGGAAGCCGTTTGCAATATGCCTGGTTCAGCCACAGCCTCGCAGGGAGCTGGCACCTGTGCTGACGCCTGGAGCTGCCGGCTCTGCTGCAGCCAGCATGCCTGGCTGTGCACAATGGCCAGACCCCATGATCGCTTACTCACACACCCCTCAATGATCCATGCCTAGCTCACCCTTGGCAGGCGTGGGATCCAGGCCAGTAGTGCAAGCCTAGCATAGCCTGCCAGGCCAAGTGGGTGAAATGAGCCTAGCAGGCCCAAGCAAAATTTGGGCAAAGGTGTGACCAGCCACAGAGGTTTTCTGCTGGAAAAGCAACAGACCAAGGATTCTGTGACAGTCGTCACCTTTGTTACAGTTTCTTGTGTTTCCTTCTAGATACTTTCTTATGTATATAAAAGCAAATATGTAAGTCAAAGGAAGACCCAGAGACAGAAGCATTTAGAAAAGTAAAGAAAAGGTTTCCTTGGAAATTGTGAAAGGGAGTCAGACTTCAGAAGGACTGGCTCACCAAATAAAAAATCAGTGTAGTCATCTCGGCTGGGCGGAGTAGCTGATGCCTGTAATCCTAGCACTTTGGGAGGCCGAGACAGGTGGATCACTGAGGTCAGGAGTTCGAGATTAGCCTGGCCAACATGATGAAACTCTGTCTCTACTAAAAATACAAAACTTAGCTGGGCACGTTGGCACACACCTGTAATTCCAGCTGCTTGGGAGGCTGAAGCACAAGAATCACTTGAACCTGGAGGTGGAGGTTGAAGTGAGTCAGGATTGTGTCACTGCACTCCAGCCTGAGTGTCAGAGCGAGACCGTGTCTCAAAAAAAAAAAAAAAGTATAGTGATCCCTTGGTGTACATGGGGGTTGTTGCCAGGACCCCTGCAAATACCAAAATTCGTGCATACTCAAGTCCTGCAGTCAGCCCTGTAGAAACTATGTATAGGACAAATTGGCCCTCCATATTTGTGGGTTTTACATCCCACAAATACTGTATTTTTGATTCATATTTGGTTTAAAAAAGATCCACATGGCCAGACATGGTGGCTCACACCTGTAATGCTAGCACTTTGGGAGGCCAAGGCGGGTGGATCACAAGGTTAGGAGTTCGAGACCAGCCTGGACAATATGGTGAAACCCCATCTCTACTAAAAATACAAGAATTGGCTGGGTGTAGTGGCACACATCTGTAATCTCAGCTACTCGGGAGGCTGAGGTAGGAGAACCACTTGAACCTGGGAGGTGGAGGTTGCAGTGAGCTGAGATCATGCCACTGCACTCCAGCCTGGGCAACAGAGTGAGACTGTCTAAAAAAAAAAAAAAAAAAAGAGATTCACATATGAGCCAGGTACGGTGGCTGTAATCCCAGCACTTTGGGAGGCCAAGGCGGGCAGATCACTTGAGACCAGGAGTTTGAGACCAGCCTGGTCCTAAAAACACAAAAATTCGCCAGTATAGTGGTGTGCGCCTGAATCCCAGCTCCTTGGGAAGCTGAGGCAAGAGAATCGCTTGAACCCGGGACACGGAGGCGGAGGCTGCAGTGAGCCGAGACTGTACCACTGCACTCCAGCCTGGGTGACAGAGCAAGATTCTGTCTCAAAAAAAAAAAAAAAAAAATCCGCATATATATAAGTGGACCCATGCAATTCAAATTGTGTTGTTCAAGGGTCAAATGTTTTTAGAAGAAAACAACACAAAATTACCAACGTTACCCCATTTACATTAGTCTATTCATGATGGCAAAACTGCAGGTTTCTTCACTTGATTTTCAGATATACAAAGGTTATAAAATATCTTCAGACATCAGCATAATAAACATCAGGGATAAAAGTACTTTTCTTTTTTTGTTTTTTTGAGATGGAGTTTCCTTCCTGTTGCCCAGGCTGGAGTGCAATGGCCCGATCTTGGCTCACTGCAACCTGCGCTTCCTGGGTTCAAGTGATTCTCCTGCCTCAGCCTCCCAAGTAACTGGGATTACAGGCACCCGCCACCACACCCGGCTAATTTTTGTATTTTTGGTGGAGATGGGGTTTCACCACATTTGGCCAGGCTGGTCTTGAACTCCTGACCTCAGGTGATCTGCCTGCCTCGGCCTCCCAAAGTGCTGGGATTACAGGCGTGAACCACTGCACCCAGCAGATAAAAGTTCTTTTCTTTAGGAAGTCCAGATTTTCAGGAAATGTTCAAAGTCTTGTTATTTTCAGAACTAGTATCTGTTGGGAAAACACTGCTATTTTTCCTTTATCTCAAGGTATTAATGTTTTTGTTTGTTTGTTTGAGACAGAGTCTCACTCTGTCACCCAGGCTGGAGTGCAATGGCGCTATCTCAGCTCACTGCAACCTCTGCCTCTTGGGTTCAAGCTATTCTCATGCCTCAGCCACCTGAATAGCTGAGATTACAGGCACACGCCACCATGCCCTGCTGGTTTCTGTATTTACTTTAGTAGAGACAGGGCTTCACCATATTGGCCAGGCTGGTTTCAAACTCCTGACCTCAAGTGATCCACCCACCTCTGCCTCCCAAAGTGCTGGGATTACAGGCCCAAGCCACCATGCCCTGCCTGTTTTTCATTTTTTAAAACTGAGTGTATAAGGTGTTTAATCATATATATATGCACACACTAATACATACATGTATTCGTTCCCCATCATTTTTATTACACAAATGTAAAGAGTACATACTTACACACACTATATGCAACTTGCTTTGTTTTACTTTGTGGTGTATTTTTGAGATTTTTCCACATTATATAAAAAGCAGTCTCACTCTTTTTCTTTATTTGTACTTGCTGTATAATGTGACATTGTATGGACATACTTTAATATACTTATTAATTATATAAATTACCAGAAATTTGTCAAGGGCATAGAAAATAGTATAACGCGGCCGGGCGCGGTGGCTCATGCTTGTAATCCCAGCACTTTGGGAGGCTGAGGCAGGCTGAGCACGAGGTCAGGAGATCGAGACCACGGTGAAACCCTGTCTCTACTAAAAAAAATACAAAAAATTAGCCGGGCGTGGTGGCGTGCGCCTGTAGTCCCAGCTACTCCACAGAGGCTGAGGCAGGAGAATGGCGTGAACCCAGGAGGCAGAGCTTGCAGTGAGCCGAGATCGCGCCACTGCACTCCAGCCTGGGCGACAGAGCGAGACTCTGTCTCAAAAAAAAAAAAAAAAAAAAAGGAAAATAGTATAACACACTTGCAAATGTTTCTCGAATGAGCTGATAATCCACTGATGGAAACATTTAATAAAATAATTTGTAAAATGAGGATGGTTGAATTATTTTTCATTGTCTGACTAAATATTTAAAATAGTAGACCTGAGGCTAGGAATATTGGAAAAACACTGTGCATTATCTTTTCTCATCATTGTGATTAGTGAAAATTCATACTTTTCTTAGATTTATATTTTAATTTAGATCAGACATTTTATTTTAGACATTCAAATTATATTTTATGTTTCAGTTTAGATTGTTAATTCTCAACCCTGGCTGCACATTACAGTCACCAGGAAAGCGTTTAAAACAATGACAATGGCCAAGTCTTAACCCAGGTAAACTATGTAAGAATTTACTTTTAAAATAGTACCAATGCCAGGTGTTTTTTCCTTTTTTTTTTTTTGAGACAGGGTCTCTGTCACCCAGGCTGGAATGCAATGGTGCGATTATTGAGGCTCATTGTAGCCTCAACCTCCTAGGCTCAAGCAATCCTCCTGCCTCAGCCTCGTGAGTAGCTGGGACCACAGGCTCATGCCACCACACTTAGCTAATTTTTAAATTATTTTTAGAGATGGAGGTCTCACTTTGTTGCCAGCCTGGTCTTGAACTCCTGGCCTCAAGCAGTACTCCTGCCTTGGCCTCCTAAAGTGTTGGGATTACAGGTGTGAGCCACTGCACCGGGTCCAGGTGTTTAAAAAAAAAAAAACAAAAACTCCAGATGATTTTAATATGCATCTAGAGTTGAGAATCATTGATTGAGGTTGTTAGTCAGTATTTGGATCTTAGTACTGGATCAATGTAACTATTATATATGTAATTTATCTTATCTTATATACTTTATTAATAAAGTACTCATAATTTTAAGGTGGTGGTAGTAGTTGCAATAGTAGTCATACTTATAGTAGTAATAATACTAAGAAAAGTATTGTGAACAAATCCATTAAAAGAATGCCCTATAGATGGAGCAGAATGAAGTCATGGCACACATACCGAGAACAGAAGTATTTATATTTTACAGGACAGCGAATTTAGGAATCAAGCAGAGTGCATAAAGAAAAGGATTATTTGGGACTTGGAAAGTCGCTGCTACCTTGATCCTTCTGCAGTGGTCAGGTAAGAAGAAGAGGAAGGACATATGTCTAACCCACAAAGGCTTGTAGGTGGGAAGAAATGTTACTTTTGTTAATTTTATTTATATTTGAGTTAAGGTGATTTTAGATTGAGACTTTCTCATTTATCACATCTATATATTAGAGTGATGTTGTGTTCATCTGCTAATAACAGAAACAGCTAGTGATGGTGGTTTAACCAAGGTGAATGCTTATTCCTCTTTTATATAAAAGAAGTCTGAGCTGGGCCTGGTGGCTCATGCCTATAATGCCAGCACTTTGGGAGGCAGGAGGATCTCTGGAAGCCAAGAGTTCAAGACCAGCCTGGGCAACAAAGTAAGACCCTGGCTCACAAAAAAAAAAAAAAAAAAAAGAAGAAGAAGAAATTAGTTTGGTGCAGATACGTACCTGTAGTCTTACTACTTGTGAGGCTGACATGATAGGATTGCTTGAGCCCAGGAGGTTGAGGCTGCAGTGAGCTGTGATTGCGTCACTGCACTCTAGCCTGGGCAATGGAGTGACACCTTGTCTCTTAAAAAAAAAAAAAAAAAAACTCGGCCAGGTGCAATGGCTCACAACTGTAATCCCAGCTCTTTGAAAGGCCGAGGCGGGTGGATCATGAGGTCAAGAGATTGAGACCATCCTGGCCAACATGGTGAAACCCCGTCTCTACTAAAAATACAAAAATTAGCTGGGCATGGTGGTGCTCACCTGTAGTCCCAGCTACTCGAGAGGCTGAGGCAGGAGAATCGCTTGAACCCAGGAGGTGGAGGTTGTAGTGAGCCGAGATCACGCCACTGCATTCCAGCCTGGCGACAGAGTGAGACTCCATCTCAAAAAAAAAAAAAAGAGTCCAGAATTGGTATGTATGATGGTTACACAGTGTTATTAGGTATCCAGGCTCCGTCTTTCCTTTTGTTCTACCTTCTTAACTATGTGACTTCCATCCACAAGGTTGTATCATGGTGCAAAGGTGGCTGCTGGAGCTCCAGCTTGCACGCTCACATTTCTGGCAGAAATTTGGAAGAGGAGAATGGTTATGGATTAAAAAGGACACATGCTGCCTGTCTTAACCCCTCTTCTGGAACCTTCCTGGAATCTGGCAACTTCTGTTTATGTCTCATTAGCCAACCTCTAGATGCAAGAAGGCTAGACAATAAAGTGTTTTAGTTGAACACATTGTCACCCAGGCTAAATCAAGATTTAATTACTAAAGAACAGGTACACTGATATTGTGTAGGTAACTATCAGTCTTCATCACAGTGACCTGGTTGTTAGAGATAGATGAGAATTGAGGGATTACCAATATATATACAATATGAATGAACAACTCTGACTTTAAAAAAATGAATATCTGTTTTTTTAGGACAGCTTTAGATTTACAGAAAAATCGAGCAGAAAAATTGAGCAGATATTTTAGAGAGTTTTTATATACCCCTGGTCACCCACTTGGTCATGGTGTATAATTCTTTTTTATACATTGTTAGCTTTGATTTGCTAATATTTTATTGAGGATACATTGTTGCCATTATTACCTTGAACAAATAGTTATCAGATCAATTAAGAATAAAAAACATTAACAAATTTATTTTACCTTCATTTATGATATTTCCTGATGCTCTTTCTTATGTTGATACAAGTTTTTTGACCCATGTCATTTTCCTTCTCTCTAAAGAACTTTTAGCATTTCTTGTAAGGCATGTCTACTGGCCAGAAACTCCTCTCATTTTTGTTTGTTTGAGAAAGGGTTTATTTCTCCTTTAGGTTTGAAGGATAATTTTATTAGGTACGGAATTCTAAGTTGGCGGGTTTTTCTTTCACAACTTTAAATAGTTTGCGCTACTGTCTTCTTGCTTGCATGGTTTCTGAAGAGAAGTCCAATGTATTTCTAATCCTTGTTCTTCTGTAGGTAAAGTGTTTTTCCTCTGGTTTTTTCAAGATTTTTTTTTTTGCAGTTTGAAAATGATATGCCTAGATATAGTTGTTTGTTTGTTTTTGTCCTTATTCTGCTTGGTATTCTCTGAGATTCCTGGATCTGTGGTTTGGTGTCTGTCAGTTAATTTTGGAAAATTCTTAGCTATTATTACTTCAAATATTTCTTCTGCTCTTTTCTTTCTTCTTCTGTTATGCCTAATTACACCTTTTGTAATTGTTCCACAAGTCTTGGATATTCTGTTATGATTTTTTGTTTTCATTTTTCTTCCTTTGCATTTCAGTTTGGGGAATTTCTATTCACATATACTCACATTCACTGATTTTATTTTCCTCAGCCATGTCCAGTCAACTGATAAGCCCATCAAATGAATTATTCATTTTTGTTTGTGTTTTTGATATCTAGCATTTCCTTTTGATTCTTTCTTAGAGTTTCCATCTCTGCTTACATTACCCATCTGTTCTTGCATGTTGCCTACTTTTTCTGTAAGAGTCTTTAACATAATTATAGTTACTTTACATTTCCTATCTGATAATTCCAAAATCTATGTCATATCTTAGTCTAGGTCTTATAGTAGCTTTGTCTATTTGGACTATATTTTTTCTTGCCTTTTAGCATTCTTTATAGCCCTTTAATTTGGAAGCTAGCCATTATATATTGGGTAATAGGAATTGGGGTAACTAGTATTTTTAGTGTGAGGTTTTATGTTAATCTGGTTAGGAGCTGGGTTGTGTTTCTTGTTTGCTATAGTTGTAAGTGCCAGAGGCTTCAGTTTCCTTTTTCCCCCACCTCCCCTGTTGTCTTTGGATTTGCCCAAGAACTTCTCTAATAGAGGGGTTTGTAGCCCTCTCAGTTGTAATTCATTGTTATTATATTGAAACTCTGTTGATGTGGTGGCAAATTGTCGGGGAGAAGTATTCTATAACCTGTGATTACGTCTCAGTAAATAGGTTTGGGTAACCTGGGCTGTGACTTTCAGAAGTGTTTGATAATCTTTTTTTCCTCCTATCCCTGTGGAAGCTAGACAGGTTGGAGTTGTCTAAATGCCCTTCCCTGAGATCAGATAAGGATCTGGTAAAGTAGTTTCCCTTAAAGATCAACCCTTTGATAGGGAGAACACTGTGGCCATATTTCAAAATGGTTACTTTTCTTCTCTCCCTGCCTGAAATATGAGGGTATTTTTCTTCTATCTTCACTGTGAGAACTTGGTGGGGCTCCTGGATTTAAAACTTATGTAAGTGTGGGGACCCTTAACAGTGGGCCCCCTGGAGTTTTTCACTCCCAGCTAGTCCACATTTAGCCTCCAGCAATTTGTCAAAATTATCATTAAACTATTTCTACCAGTTGCTGGCACCATTGACTTCTGCTGTCTTTAAGCTGACTGCAGCTGTGATCCTCTGTGTTTTCCTTGTCTCTCTCAATTTCAGGATGGCAGTTTTTGCCTTGTGACCTCAATTCTATGATGGATCTAAGAAATGTTATTTATTTCAATTCGATCAACTTTTTTCTTGTTGCAAGTACAGGTGGGATTACTTCAAAGCTGTATTGGAGCTGAAACTGGATACTATTTTCACAATAGAAATAACCAATTTTATACCATTTGTAAACTTGTCTGATTATTTCTTTAGAATAAATCACTAGAAGTAGAATTTGTAGTCAATGATTATGGATATTTTTAAGGTTTTTGATTCATATTGTTAAATTGCTCTAACAATGTTCAGTTTGCCTCACTAGAAGTTGAGCAGAATTATTTTTGGAATGTTATAGATTTGGGAAAGTTTTAAAAACCACCAACCCAGTAAGAAAAAAAATTTTTTTTTTGAGACAGGGTCTCACGGTGGCCCAGGTGAGAGTGCAATAGCACCATCACGGCTCACTATAGCCTTGACCTCCTGAGCTCAAGCCATCCTCCCACCTCAGCCTCCTCAAATAGCTGGGACCACAGGTATTCACTGCCATGCCCAGCTAATTTTTTGTATTTTTCATAGAGATGGAATTTTGGCATGTTGCTCAGACCATCTCAAACACCTGGGTTCAAGCCATCTACCTGCCTTGGCCTCTCAAAGTGCTGGCATTTACAGGCATGAGCCACTGAGCCGAGCCCCCCAATTTTTATATATGTATATTCTATATTACTTTCTAAAAGAGAATATTTCCCTTTAACCTAAATTATACTGACTTTATTTTTGCATATAATGCTAATGGACTGATTCTTGATTTGCAGTTTTCAGAAGCGAATTGCCGATTGCCGGCTTTGGCCTGTAGAGATCACAAGAGTTCCTCTGGTCACTATACCCAAAGGGAAAGCTGGCAAAACTGAAAAGGTAAATATGCCCCCTCAAAAATATTTATATAAGAAATGTAGAATCAGACCCGACCTGTTATTCTGCTTCAATTCTGATACCAAAAGAAAATGTGAACATAGCTGTTCTCCTAAGGGTGACTAGCTCATTCTGATTTGCCTTGAATGTCACTTGTTTTAGCACTGAAAGTCTCATGTCCCAGGAAAATCCTCTGTCGTGGGAAAAACCAGGATTATTGACCACCCTAGTTCCCCGTTGTTCACTAAAGACTCTCTAGGCTTTATTACCAGATATCCTATTTCTCTTTGGCCCTTCACAATAGTTTTACCATAGGTTAAACTTGCCTTCTTAAAATGTTTTAGCCTGCTAATTAGTGTAATAGGGATCTTAGATATACTACTGTTTTTAAAAGGTATAGCTTTGATGAGCCTAGTACATATTATCTATTGTTTTACCTGTGCATGTCTGGTCTTTTCTGCTTGTTCATAAACTCCCTGAGAGTAGGGGTCATGTAGTAAGCTGATTTGCATCCTCCATGGTACCTAGCATGATGTACGGCAAATAGCAGACCATTTAATAAGTATCTAAATTGTTTGGCTGACTTTAAACATAGGCTTTTTGCATAATAAAAATACTATCACTAGGTAACCATTTCTCCCTTTGTAGTATGTAAGTATTGGCTAACTTTCCTTAGATTTCAAAACTACATATTATCTCATGAACATAGGACTTTTTTTTTTTTTTTTTTGTGATGGAGTCTTACTCTGTCGCCTAGGCTGGAGTACAGTGGCACAATCTTGGCTCACTGCAACCTCTGCCTCCTGGGTTCAAACGATTCTCCTGCCTCAGCCTCCTGAGTAGCTGGGATTATAGGCACACACCACCACGCCCGGCTAATTTTTGTATTTTTAGCAGAGACAGGGCTTCACCATGTTGGTCAGGCTGGTCTCGAACTCCTGACCTCATGATCCACCCGCCTCAGCCTCCCAAAGTGCTGGGATTATAGGTGTGAGCCACTGCACCCAGCCAAGTGTAGGACTTTTAAGTCTAGTTGCCAATTATTATTATAATAGATGAAATCAAAGAGATTATTTTTATGCTTGGAATTAAATTTATTTTCTTTCACAAAATTGATCTTTTTCTCTATAAAAATTTTCTGTGGCAAACCATACAACCATTTAAAACGCTGTTAAAATATATTTATTAACATGTTCTTCATCTTTGCAATGAAAGTTTAGATGAGATCAAGTATGGTAAATACATGACAGGAGACTGTCATTCGTCCGCCTTCATCCATGGTAGATAGTGCTAATCAATCAAAGCACTCTTTCCTTTTGAACCAAGATAAATACAGAGAATTTTTCTCAGCCAACTATGCTAAAACACCTCCACCATTAATGAGAATTTAGACATAAGTTAAAGCCTTTTTGTCATCACTGGTCCACATAATTTGTAAGGTCCCTTTTATTTGTATGAGTCTGTGAACTAAAGGTAAAAGCCATAGCTTCTGATTCCTTTTAAGTTTTTTGTTATTGTTATTGTTGTTTTTTATAAAGCTTCACTTTCTGCTAAGAAGCCGCATGGTGAAATTGACTTTTTGGTTGAATATATATATCAATTAATTTGAGTATGTATTGATTCAACTACTGCCTTTACTATTAACACTGTTTTTTTGTTTGTTTGTTTGTTTATGTTTATTTTATTATTATTATACTTTAAGTTTTAGGGTACATGTACACAATGTGCAGGTTAGTTACATATGTATGCATGTGCCGTGCTGGTGTGCTGCACCCATTAACTCGTCATTTAGCATTAGGTATATCTCTTAATGCTATCCCTCCCCGCTCCCCCGACCCCACAACCGTCCCCAAAGTGTGATGTTCCCCTTCCTGTGTCCATGTGTTCTCATTGTTCAGTTCCCACCTATGAGTGAGAACATGCGGTGTTTGGTTTTTTGTCCTTGCAATAGTTTGCTGAGAGTGATGGTTTCCAATTTCATCCATGTCCCTACAAAGGACATGAACTCATCATTTTTTATGGCTACATAGTATTCCACGGTGTATATGTGCCACATTTTCTTAATCCAGTCTATCATTGTTGGACATTTGGGTTGGTTCCAAGTCTTTGCTATTGTGAATAGTGCCGCAATAAACATATGTGTGCATGTGTCTTTATAGCAGCATGATTTATAGTCCTTTGGGTATATACCCAGTAATGGGATGGCTGGGTCAAATGGTATTTCTAGTTCTAGATCCCTGAGGAATCGCCACACTGACTTCCACAATGGTTGAACTAGTTTACAGTCCCACCAACAGTGTAAAAGTGTTCCTATTTCTCCACATCCTCTCCAGTACCTGTTGTTTCCTGACTTTTTAATGATTGCCATTCTAACTGGTGTGAGATGGTATCTCATTGTGGTTTTAGTTTGCATTTCTCTGATGGCCAGTGATGGTGAGCATTTTTTCATGTGTTTTTTGGCTGCATAAATGTCTTCTTTTGAGAAGTGTCTGTTCATGTCCTTCGCCCACTTTTTGATGGGGTTGTTTGTTTTTTTCTTGTAAATTTGTTTGAGTTCATTGTAGATTCTGGATATTAGCCCTTTGTCAGATGAGTAGGTTGAGAAAATTTTCTCCCATTTTGTAGGTTGCCTGTTCACTCTGATGGTAGTTTCTTTTGCTGTGCAGAAGCTCTTGAGTTTAATTAGATCCCATTTGTCAATTTTGGCTTTTGTTGCCATTGCTTTTGGTGTTTTAGACATGAAGTCCTTGCCCATGCCTATGTCCTGAATGGTAATGCCTAGGTTTTCTTCTAGAGTTTTTATGGTTTTAGGTCTAACGTTTAAGTCTTTAATCCATCTTGAATTAATTTTTGTATAAGGTGTAAGGAAGGGATCCAGTTTCAGCTTTCTCCATATGGCTAGCCAGTTTTCCCAGCACCATTTATTAAATAGGGAATCCTTTCCCCATTGCTTGTTTTTCTCAGGTTTGTCAAAGATCAGATAGTTGTAGATATGCGGTGTTATTTCTCAGGGCTCTGTTCTGTTCCATTGATCTATATCTCTGTTTTGGTACCAGTACCATGCTGTTTTGGTTACCGTAGACTTGTAGTATAGTTTGAAGTCAGGTAGCATGATGCCTCCAGCTTTGTTCTTTTGGCTTAGGATTGACTTGGCGATGCGAGCTCTTTTTTGGTTCCATAACAACTTTAAAGTAGTTTTTTCCAATTCTGTGAAGAAAGTCATTGGTAGCTTGATGGGGATGGCATTGAATCTGTAAATTACCTTGGGCAGTATGGCCATTTTCACGATATTGATTCTTCCTACCCATGAGCATGGAATGTTCTTCCATTTCTTTGTATCCTCTTTTATTTTGTTGAGCAGTGGTTTGTAGTTCTCCTTGAAGAGGTCCTTCACATCCCTTGTAAGTTGGATTCCTAGGTATTTTATTCTCTTTGAAGCAATTGTGAATGGGAATTCACTCATGATTTGGCTGTCTGTTTGTCTGTTATTGGTGTATAAGAATGCTTGTGATTTTTGCATATTGATTTTGTATCCTGAGACTTTGCTGAAGTTGCTTATCAGCTTAAGGAGATTTTGGGCTGAGACAATGGGGTTTTCTAGATATACAATCATGTCATCTGCAAACAGGGACAATTTGACTTCCTCTTTTCCTAATTGAATACCCTTTATTTCCTTCTCCTGCCTAATTGCCCTGGCCAGAAATTCCAACACTATGTTGAAGAGGAGTGGTGAGAGAGGGCATCCCTGTCTTGTGCCAGTTTTCAAAGGGAAGGCTTCCAGTTTTTGCCCATTCAGTATGATACTGGCTGTGGGTTTGTCATAGATAGCTCTTATTATTTTGAGATACGTCCCATCAATACCTAATTTATTGAGAGTTTTTAGCATGAAGGGTTGTTGAATTTTGTCAAAGGCCTTTTCTGCATCTTTTGAGATAATCATGTGGTTTTTGTCTTTGGTTCTGTTTATATGCTGGATTACATTTATTGATTTGCGTATATTGAACCAGCCTTGCATCCCAGGGATGAAGCCCACTTGATCATGGTGGATAAGCTTTTTGATGTGCTGCTGGATTCGGTTTGCCAGTATTTTATTGAGGATTTTTGCATCAATGTTCATCAAGGATATTGGTCTAAAATTATCTTTTTTGGTTGTGTCTCTGCCAGGCTTTGGTATCAGGATGATGCTGGCCTCATAAAATGAGTTAGGGAGGATTCCCTCTTTTTCTATTGATTGGAATAGTTTCAGAAGGAATGGTACCAGTTCCTCCTTGTACCTCTGGTAGAATTTGGCTGTGAATCCATCTGGTCCTGGACTCTTTTTGGTTGGTAAGCTATTGATTATTGCCACAATTTCAGAGCCTGTTATTGGTCTATTCAGAGATTCAAGTTCTTCCTGGTTTAGTCTTGGGAGGGTGTATGTGTCGAGGAATTTATCCATTTCTTCTAGATTTTCTAGTTTGTTTGTGTAGAGGTGTTCATCCTATTCTCTGATGGTAGTTTGTATCTCTGTGGGATCGGTGGTGATATCCCCTTTATCATTTTTTATTGCATCTATTTGATTCTTCTCTCTTTTCTTCTTTATTAGTCTTGCTAGCAGTCTATCAATTTTGTTGATCCTTTCAAAAAACCAGCTCCTGGATTCATTAATTTTTTGAAGGGTTTTTTGTGTCTCTATTTCCTTCAGTTCTGCTCTGATTTTAGTTATTTCTTGCCTTCTGCTAGCTTTTGAATGTGTTTGCTCTTGCTTTTCTAGTTCTTTTAATTGTGATGTTAGGGTGTCAATTTTGGATCTTTCCTGCTTTCTCTTGTGGGCATTTAGTGCTATAAATTTCCCTCTACACACTGCTTTGAATGTGTCCCAGAGATTCTGGTATGTTGTGTCTTTGTTCTCGTTGGTTTCAAAGAACATCTTTATTTCTGCCTTCATTTTGTTACGTACCCAATAGTCATTCAGGAGCAGGTTGTTCAGTTTCCATGTAGTTGAGCAGTTTTGAGTGAGTTTCTTAATCCTGAGTTCTAGTTTGATTGCACTGTGGTCTGAGAGACGGTTGTTATAATTTCTGTTCTTTTACATTTGCTGAGAAGAGCTTTACTTCCAACTATGTGGTCAATTTTGGAATAGGTGTGGTGTGGTGCTGAAAAAAATGTATATTCTGTTGATTTGGGGTGGAGAGTTCTGTAGATGTCTATTAGGTCTACTTGGTGCAGAGCTGAGTTCAATTCCTGGGTATCCTTGTTAACTTTCTGTCTCGTTGATCTGTCTAATGTTGACAGTGGGGTGTTAAAGTCTCTCATTATTATTGTGTGGGAGTCTAAGTCTCTTTGTAGGTCACTCAGGACTTGCTTTATGAATGTGGGTGCTCCTGTATTGGGTGCATATATATTTAGGATAGTTAGCTCTTCTTGTTGAATTGATCCCTTTACCATTATGTAATGGCCTTCTTTGTCTCTTTTGATCTTTGTTGGTTTAAAGTCTGTTTTATCAGAGACTAGGATTGCAACCCTTGCCTTTTTTTGTTTTCCATTTGCTTGGTAGATCTTCCTCCATCCTTTTATTTTGAGCCTATGTGTGTCCCTGCACGTGAGATGGGTTTCCTGAATACAGCACACTGATGGGTCTTGACTCTTTATCCAATTTGCCAGTCTGTGTCTTTTAATTGGAGCATTTAGCCCATTTACATTTAAGGTTAATATTGTTATGTGTGAACTTGATCCCGTCATTATGATGTTAGCTGGTTATTTTGCTCATTAGTTGATGCAGTTTCTTCCTAGCCTCAATGGTCTTTACAATTTGGCATGATTTTGCAGCGGCTGGTACCGGTTGTTCCTTTCCATGTTTAGTGCTTCCTTCAGGAGCTCTTTTAGGGCAGGCCTGGTGGTGACAAAATCTCTCAGCATTTGCTTGTCTGTAAAGTATTTTATTTCTCCTTCACTTATGAAGCTTAGTTTGGCTGGATATGAAATTCTGTGTTGAAAATTCTTTTCTTTAAGAATGTTGAATATTGGCCCCCACTCTCTTCTGGCTTGTAGAGTTTCTGCCAACAGATCCGCTGTTAGTCTGATGGGCTTCCCTTTGTGGGTAACCTGACCTTTCTCTGTGGCTGCCCTTAACATTTTTTCCTTCATTTCAACTTTGGTGAATCTGACAATTATGTGTCTTGGAGCTGCTCTTCTCAAGGAGTATCTTTGTGGCATTCTCTGTATTTCCTGAATCTGAATGTTAGCCTGCCTTGCTAGATTGGGGAAGTTCTCCTGGATGATATCCTGCAGAGTGTTTTCCAACTTGGTTCCATTCTCCCTGTCACTTTCAGGTACACCAATCAGACGTAGATTTGGTCTTTTCACATAGTCCCATATTTCTTGGAGGCTTTGTTTGTTTCTTTTTATTCTTTTTTCTCTAAACTTCCCTTCTCACTTCATTTTGTTCATTTCATCTTCCATCACTGATACTCCTTCTTCCAGTTGATCACATCGGCTCCTGAGGCTTCTGCATTCTTCACGTAGTTCTCGAGCCTTGGCTTTCAGCTCCATCAGCTCCTTTAAGCACTTCTCTGTATTGGTTATTCTAGTTATATATTCGTCTAAATTTTTTTCAAAGTTTTTAACTTCTTTGCCTTTGGTTTGAATTTCCTCCTGTAGCTCGGAGTAGTTTGATCGTCTGAAGCCTTCTTCTCTCAACTCGTCAAAGTCATTCTCCGTCCAGCTTTGTTCCATTGCTGGTGAGGAACTGCGTTCCTTTGGAGTAGGAGAGGCACTCTGCTTTTTAGAGTTTCCAGTTTTTCTGCTCTGTTTTTTCCCCATCTTTGTGGTTTTATCTACTTTTGGTCTTTGACGATGGTGATGTACAGATGGGTTTCTGGTGTGGATGTCCTTTCTGTTTGTTAGTTTTCCTTCTAACAGACAGGACCCTCAGCTGCAGATCTGTTGAAGTTTGCTAGAGGTCCACTCCAGACCCTGTTTGCCTGGGTATCAGCAGCGGTGGCTGCAGAACAGCGGATTTTCATGAACCACGAATGCTGCTGTCTGATCGTTCCTCTGGAAGTTTTGTCTCAGAGGAGTACCCGGCAGTGTGAGGTGTCAGTCTGCCCCTACTAGGGGGTGCCTCCCAGTTAGGCTGCTCGGGGGTCAGGGGTCAGGGACCCACTTGAAGAGGCAGTGTGCCCGTTCTCAGATCTCCAGCTGCGTGCTGGGAGAACCACTGCTCTCTTCAAAGCTGTCAGACAGGGACATTTAAGTCTGCAGAGGTTACTGCTGTCTTTTTGTTTGTCTGTGACCTGCCCCCTGCCCCCAGAGGTGGAGCCTACAGAGGCAGGCAGGCCTCCTTGAGCTGTGGTGGGCTCCACCCAGTTGGAGCTTCCTGGCTGCTTTGTTTACCTAAGCAAGCCTGGGCAATGGGGGGCACCCCTCCCCCAGCCTTGCTGCTGCCTTGCAGTTTGATCTCAGACTGCTGTGCTAGCAATGAGTGAGACTCCATGGGCATAGGACCCTCCAAGCCAGGTGCGGGATATAATCTCTTGGTGTGCCATTTTTTAAGCCCGTCGGCAAAAGCGCAGTATTAGGGTGGGAGTGACCCAATTTTCCAGGTGCCGTCTGTCACCCCTTTCTTTGACTAGGAAAGGGAACTCCCTGACCCCTTGCGCTTCCCGAGTGAGGCAGTGCCTCGCCCTGCTTCAGCTCGCACACGGTGCGCTGCACCCACTGACCTGTGCCCACTGTCTGGCACCCCCTAGTGAGATGAACCCGGTACCTCAGATGGAAATGCAGAAATCACCCATCTTCTGCGTCGCTCACGCTGGGAGCTATAGACCGGAGCTGTTCCTATTCGGCCATCTTGGCTGCCCCCCCCCCGCCCCCGCCATTAACACTGTTTATATGCATTTTCTCAGTGATCATGGTATTATTAAACCCATTTTGAAGATAAAGAAGGCCCAAAATGTCTTATGTAACTGGCCCAAAGTCACATAACTGGCTAAGTAGTTGAGTTAGTTTCTAAAACCAGGCCTTTGAACTGCTGAGTCAGAGCTCCATACCTTATATTACATTGCTTATAGCACTAACAACTCTCTGGTTTTATTCCTTTAGACTGATGAAGAAGCTCAGCTTTCGTTTCATGGTGTGGCTTATGTTAATATGGTCCCATTGTTGTATCCAGGTGTGAAGAGAATTCGGGGAGCTTTTCATGTTTACCCTTACCTAGACAGTGTAGTCCATGAAAAGGTAAGAAAAAATTGCATAAAAATCATCATGGTAATTTATCCTTTATATATCTGTTTACTTACATCTTTAGCATATACATCTTTGCAACTGATATTTAGAACCAGTTGGTATACTAGGATATTAAATATATAGCCTTACAGTCATTCTGCATTGGACCTTTAAAAATTTAGGATAATGAAAGGACAAAAACTGAAAACCTAAATCTCTATCAACAGGTGAACAGAGAACACAGAAAAACAAATTGTGTGGTACCTCTGTATGATGGAATACTACTCAACAATAAAAAGAAATGAGCTAATGATACATGCAACAGCACAGACTAAAATGCATTATGCTAAATGAAAGAAGCCAGACAAAAGAGAGAAAAGAGAGTACTTTTTTTTTTTTTTTTTTTTTAGAGATGTGGGTCTCACTTTGGAGTGCAGTGGCACAATCATAGCTCACTACTGCCTCAAATTCCTGGGCTCAAGGGATCCTCCTGCCTCAGCCTTTTGAATAGCTGGGACTACAGATGTGCACCACTGTGCCTGGCTATTTAAAAACATTTTTTAAAATAGAGACAGGGTCTTGAAAAGTACATTTTATATAATTACATTTATATGCAATTCTGGGAAAATAATTTATCTATATTGATAAAAAGCAGATTAATGGTTACCTGGGAACAGGGATAGAAGGAGGGATGTATTACAAAGGAATGAGAGGAAAATATTAGGGATGATGGAAATGATGGTTATCTTGATTGTGATGATGGTTTCATACATATACACATATGTCAAAATTGATGAAATGATATACTTTAAATATGTATGGTTTATTTTTTATTGTACTTTAATTTTACCTCAATAAATTTGGATACAAAACTTTCAGCATTTTAAGTGTGACTGGGTGTGGTGGCTCACACCTGTAATCCCAGCACTGTGGGAGGCAGAGGCAGGCAGATTGCCTGAGGCCAAGAGTTGGAAACCAGCCTGGCCAACATGGCAAAAACCCGTCTCTACTAAAAATACAAAAATTTGCCGAGTGTGGTGGCAGGCATCTGTAATCCCAGCCACTCAGGAGGCTGAGGCAAGAGAATTGCTTGAACCTGGGAGGCGGAGGTTACAGTGAGCTGAAATTGCACAACTTCATTACAGCCTGGGCAACAGAGCAAGACTCTGTCTTAAAAATATATATATAAGAAAAAGAAAAAAAAAGTCTGTTGTTGTTAAATATGGAAAAACTGAAATCCATGTGGTAATTAATGAACTAGAATATGAACTATAATTTTTTTTTTCCATTTTTAGGTGTAAAAATGTTAAAATCATATATTCGAGCAAAAAATCAGTTTCATCATGTTGCTTCCTAGGAGAAAATGAGGCTTTGTAAAACACACAACAATAACAAAAATCTATTATTATGTCACTGTTATTAGGACAGCTATTTTTCAGTAATAAATTTATGAAAACCCCATCATCTAGTTGTACACTAACTGAGTAGTAAACTGTTTCTACATCAGTATCTTTTGAACTAGAAGCCACATTTATAGGAATTCATTTATTTGTTTTTGAGATGGAGTCTCGCTGTGTTGCCCAAGCTGGAGTGCAATGGCGTGATCTCGGCTTACTGCAACCTCTTTCTCCCGGGTTCAAGCAATTCTCCTGCCTCAGCTTCCCAAGTAGCTGGGATTACAGGTGCATGCTACCACGCCCGGCTATTTTTTTGTATCTTTAGTAGAAACTAGGTTTCACCATGTTAGACAGGCTGGTCTTAAACTCCTGACCTCAGATGATCCACCCACCTTGGCCTCCCAAAGTGCTGGGATTACAGGCATGAGCCACTGCGCCCGGCCAGGAATTTATTTTAAGGACATAATTTAATAGGTTCAAAAATCTCATATTCATGAAAACTTTTTGAAACCTATAATAGCAAAAACTAAAAATGAGGTTAAATGTTTACTAATAGAGGAAGGCTTAGTAAATCATAGTAAGTAAAAATGATGAAATATGTAGCCATTAAAAATAATACTTTATAGGCCACGCCTATAATCCCAGCACTCTAGGAGGCCGAGGCGGGCGGATCACCTGAGGTCAAGAGCTTGAGACCATCCTGGCCAACATGGTGAAACCCTGTCTTTACTAAAAATACAAAAATTTGCTGGGCGTGATGTTGTGTGCCTGTAGTTCCAGCTATCAGGAGGCTGAGGCAGGAGAATTGCTCGAACCTGGGAAGCAGAGGTTTCAGTGAGCCGAGATTGTGCCACTGCACTCCAGCCTGGAGACAGAGCGAGACTCCCTCTCAAGAAAAAAAAAAAAAGGATAATTATTAATGTTTTATAGATAGTTAAATGGGAAAGAAGGCTGGGCATGGTGGCTCACACCTGTAATCCCAGCATTTCAGGAGGCTGAGGTGGGAGGATCACTTGAGCCCAGGAGTTCAAGACCACCCAGGGCAAAATAGCAGGACCCTATCTCTACAAAAAAAATTTTTTTTTAATTAGCAGAGCATGGTGGCACATTCCTGTAGTCCCAGCTACTCCAGAGGCTGAGGTAGGAGGATGGATGGAGCCAAGGAGGTCAAGGCTGCAGTGAGCTGTGATTGTTCTACTGTACTCCGCCTGAGTGACAGAGTGAGACCTTGTCTCAAAAAAAATTAAAAATAAAAAAAATGAGAGAAAAGAATGCAAATGTTACATATAATATAGATCAAAATAAATTTCAAATGAATTTATTAAAATAAGTTAAATGTGAAGACTATAAAAATGAATATTAAAGATATGAATTAAGAGAAAACTTCCTAGGCTTGAAAGCAGTGAAAAGTATGAAAGAAAGTATTTCGTTTACCAAAAACATCAAGTTTCTATATATAAAATAAACCTTCATAAACAAAATTAAAATGTAACTGAAGAACTAGGGAAAATATTTGAATACATATCAGAAAGATAGCTACTATTTCTGAAATACAGTAGTTTCCTGAGAGATAGCTACTATTCCTGAAATATAGTAGTTTTTTCAATCTAGAAGAATAACAAACTTTTTCTTAATGGGCAAGGTATGTGAAATAGCAGTTCACAAAAGAAGTGTCAATGGCCAACAGATATAAGAAGAGACATCTGGCCTTATTTATTAATCAAGGAATTATAAATTTAAATAACGGTAGTTATCATTTTACTTGAGAAGTTCAACAATTCTTTAAAATATGATAATGCCCATTGGTGGTAAAGGTGTGATAATGTTATAGAACCAAACTGATGTTTGCTCACCTGGTACAGTAAAACCACATATATGCACCAAGGTTTGCAGTGATAGAAAGAAAGGCTTTCATTGCAGGGTGTCAAGCAAGGAAGACCAGGCGCTAAATTATCAAATCCTGACCTCCCTGATGGCTTGCAGGCAATGATTTTTAAAGGCAGAGGTAAATTTCAGGAAAGCAGAAGCTACAGGCAAAATCATAAATCAATATATGCAAGTTACACATTGGTTTAAGCTTAAAAGGGCAGGATATGTTGAGGTGGGGGTAGGGGGGCTTGCAAGTGGTAGGTAGATTCAAAGATTTTCTGATTTGCAATTGTTAAGGAAGAGAGGCTTTGTTTAAAAATTTGGGGTCGTAGAAAAATGTTAACTGGCTAGGGGGAGTGACTTTCTCCAAGCACCCCAGGAAGAAGTTTAGAACAAAGGACCATATAGTTGAGTCTTCACTTCCTCCTTAGCTGGAGGCTGATCCATTCAGCTGATCTGAGTGCCGGCTGATCCTTTCAGTGGTTTCTCAGTGGGGTCTGAAGCTCAGAAAGAAACTCAAGGACATATATTAAGACGTTATGTTTAGTTTCTATAAAGCAAACATCTCTTGAACTTTAACTTCCTTGGTTATTGTTTTAGGCTACTATTACCTTCTTGTTTAAGTTACTTATTTATTTCTGGGGCTAGCTAGGTGCCTAGAATTTCTCTTGAAGGAACTTCAGAATTTTCTATTATTTCCATGTCTGGGGAGCACAGGCCTCTAAAAAGAGGATCCTTGCTCCATCTCAGTAAAACAACTTTCATTCACTGCTCGTAGAAGCGTAATTGGTAAAAACTTTTTGCAAAAAATGTATTGTCCATATGTATTCAAAAGCTTGAAATACTTATATCCTTTCCAATAGGACTTCTACTTCTAGGAAACTATTTCAAGGGAATAATTGGAAATGTATCCAAACCTTTCTATATGAAGATACTCTTGTTGAATCTGAGGGAAACAGTGTATCATAATAGAAAAGTTATGAGGTTTGATAACCCATTCAGGCAGCCTGGAGTTTGAATTCTGAAACTGCCATTTACTAGCTGGATGACTTCAGGCAAGTGACTAAATTTGTCTCACCTTTACTGTATTCATCAGTAAAATGGAGGCAATGCTTGTTTCCTAGAATTGTTTTACCTATTAAATGAGATGAAATATATAAAGCACTAGGAATGTAGTTGGCACACAGAAAATTTTAACTGTCCCTTTTATTATACACATATGATAGGGGAATATTGTTCATATATTAAAAATTATCCTCATGAAAAATTTTAAAACATGAAAGAATGCAAATGATAGTCTGTTAAATGAAAGTCAAAATATAAATATGATAACATTTTTTCACAATAATTTAAAAAATATATAGAAAACATTGGAAAGGAAATATCTCTGGCTATGGCCAAGTGAGGAGGTTGACAAATCATCTCCCCACAAAAGCAACCATAAAGCTGGACAAATGGACAAAAAGTCATTTCACCATCCTCAAAATTGCCCAAAAGCATCAACAAGCTGAGAACTACTAATGCATGAAAAGCTAAGGAGTTTGAGGCCTTCGTGTCTGGGGCTGCTCTGCCTTCCCCACCCTCACCTTTAGCTCAAGAATGCATGAAAGATGATCCAGTGGGGGTGAGCTGAATGCCAAGCCCCATCGCTACTCTGTCTCATTACAATCATGATGGAAGGCAAAGGGGAAGCAGGCATGTCACATGGTGAGAGAAAGAGCATAAAAGAGAGGAGAGCGGTGCCAGATTACTTTTTAACAAGCAGATCTCTTTGTAACTAACAGTGAGAACTCATTACTTCAAGGATAGCACCAAGCCATTTATGAGAGATCTACCCCGTGACCCTAACACCTCCCACCAGGCCCTACCTACAACACGGGATCACATTTCTTTTTTCTTTCTTCCTTTTTTTTGAGACGTGGTCTTCTCACTCTGTCACCCACTGGAGGGGGCTCACATTTTAACATGAGATTTCTAGAGGATAAAGAGCCAAACTACATCAAAATGGCAATCTTGGTGGAAGGCAACCAACAATATGTAGTAAGAGTCCCAAGAGGGAAGAGTATAAAGATATAATGTCTGAAAATATCCCACATTTGATGAAGACATGAATTTACAGATCCAAGGAGTTCAGAAAATCCCAGTTAGGATCAGCACACAGAGACCCAAAATATACACATTATATATAGTCAAATGAAAGAGAGAGACAAAGAGAACATCACGAATGCAACAGGAGAAAAACAACTCATCACTTACAGGGGAGAATCAATATGGTTAACCACTGATTTTTCATCTGAAACAATGGAAGCCAGAAGGCAGTGGAATAACATATGCAAAATTCTGAAAGAAAAACACACATACACAAAAACTACCAACCAAAAACAAAGGCAGGGCTGGGTGCGGTGGCTCATGCCTGTAATCCCAGCACTTTGGGAGGTAGAGGTGGGTGGATCACCTAAGGTCAGGAGTTTGAGACCAGCCTGGCCAACATGATGCAACCCTGTATCTACTAAAAATACAAAAGTTACCTGGGCATGGTGGCGTGCACCTGTAATCCCAGCTGCTCAAGAGGCTGAGGCAGGAGAATTCCTGAGGCAGGAGGTTATAGTGAGCCAAGATCGTGCCACTGCACTCCAGCCTAGATGACAGAGTGAGACTCTCTCTCAATAAAAGAAACAAAAACAACAAAGGTAAAATAAAGACATCCCCAGATAAATGCTGAAAGAATTTGTTGCTAGGAAACATGCCTTGCAAGAAATACTAAAGGAGGTCTTTCAGCTTGAAAGGAAATGGCATCAGTTGCTAACTTGAATCCATAAGAAGAAATGAGGAATACTTGAAATGGTTATAAGTTAATACAAAGGAGTTTAGAAATAGATCTTTTTCATTTTTACTCTTCTTTAGAAGACATGATTGGATAAAGTATTAGTTATACTGTTGGGTTAACATATAGATTTAATTTATATGATAATAGCATAAAGGAAGGAGGATAGAATGGAGCTATAGCAGAGCAAAATTTCTGTATTTTACCAGAATTAAGTTAGTATTGATGTGAAATAGATTGTTATTAGTTAGGATGTATATTGTAATCCTAAGTAACCACTAAGAAAATTGTGCGTGTATACATACACATATGCACATATATGTGTGTATGTCCATACATATTATATATACATATATATTTATGTGTACGTCATATATATATATATATATATATATATCTATATCTATATATATATATATATCTCAACAAAGGAATTAAATGGGATATCACAAATATTTATTTAACATAAGGTAGTTAAAGGAAGAACAGAACAACAAAAAACAGATGATATATAGAAAACAAATAGCATGGAAAATAAAAATCTAAGTATTTCAACAATAATATTATATGTAAGTGATCTAAAAACACTGATAAAAGGATAGAAATTATTAAATTGGATTTACAAAAAAATCAAGATTCAACTATATACTGTTTATAGTAGACACACCTTAGGTTCAAATACACAGAAGTTTGAAGTAAAAAGGTACAAAAGATATACTATGGAAACAGAAAATGTAATAGCTGAGTAACTACAATAATACCAGACAAAATAGTTTTTAAGACTAGAAATACATATTACTGAAGACAGAATGGCCTGTCACAATGATTAAAGCATCAATTCATCAGGAAGACAGGACAATTATAAGTGTATACACACTTAACAGTACAACACAATCACCTCATAATACTTGAAGCAAAACCCAACAGAATTGAAAGGAGAAATAGGCAATTTGGCAATAATATTTAGAAATTTCAGTATCCTACTCTCAATACTTGAAAAGACAACTGTATGGAAAATCTGGCCAGGTACAGTGGCTCAAGCCTGTAATCCCAGGACTTTAGAAGGCTGAAATGAGAGGATTGCTTGAGCTCAGAAGTTGGAGACCAGCCTGGCAAAATGGCAAAACTCTGTCTCTACAAAAAATAAAAAAGTTGTCTGGGTGTGTTGTTTGTGCATGCCTGTGGTCCCACCACTTGGGAGGCTGAGGTAGGTGGATCACTTGAGCCCAGCAGGCAATCAAGGCTGCAATGAGCTGTGATCATGCCACTGCACTCCAGCTTGGGTGACAAGAGTGAGACCCTGTCTCAAAACAACAACAACAAAAAAGAATATCTATGGTAAGTATAAACTTACCATACAACCCAACAAATCATTTCTAGGAATTTCTAAGAGAAAAGAAAACCTGTATTTACACGAAGACATATATGTGAATGTTTATTGCAGCATTATTTGTAATAGCTAAAAGCTCACAATAATACAAATGTCTGCAGATAGTGAATAGATAAACAAAATGTGGTATATGTATACAAGGGAATACTATTTTGCAGTGAAAAGAAATTAACTACTAATGATGTAAAATCTCCAAATCACTGAATCATGCTCTTTAAATGTGTACATTGTATATATGTGAATATCTCAATAAAGCTGTTTTTTTTTTTTTTTTTTTTGAGATGGGGTCTCACTCTGTCACCCAGGCTAGAGTGCAGTGGTACTATCATAGCTCACTGCAGCCTTGAACTACTGGGCTCAAGTGATCCTTTGCCTTAGCCTCCTGAGTAACTGGACTATAGGCATATGCCACCACATCCAGCTAATTAAAACAAAAAATTTTTTTTGTAGAGACAGTCTCACTGTGTTGCCCAGGCTGGTATCAAACTCCTGGGCTCAAACGATCCTCCTGCCTTGGCCTCCCAAAGTGCTGGGATTACAGGTGTGAGTAACCGTGCCCAGCCTGTTTTTTAAAAAAAGTAGTGAACTTGGGCCAGGTGTGGTGGCTCACACCTGTAATCCCAGCACTTTGGGAGGCCGAGGTGGGCAGATCATTGAGGCCAGGAGTTTGAGACAAGCCTGGGCAACATGGTGAGACCCTATCTTTACAAAAAATACAAAAATTAGCTGGGGTGGTGGCATGTGCCTGTGTCCCAGCTACTCAGGAGGCTGAGGTGAGCTGATGGCTTGAGCCCAGAAGGTAGAGGTTGCAGTGAGCTGTGATTGTGCCACTGCATTCCAGTCTAGGTGACAGAGTGAGACTCTGTCTCAAATAAATAAATAACTAAAATAAAAAATAAAAAAGTAATGAACCAACTGACACATGCTATAGCATGGACGAACCTCAAAAACATGCTAAGTGAAAGAAGGCAGATGCAAAAGACTATGTATTGTATGATACCACTTATATGAAATACTCTTATTATAGAACATACCCCAGAGATGTTAAAATTTGAGAAAGCTTGTGTCTTTGAATCTATGAAATACAGTATTTATCACAGAGGTGGTAGGATTGTGAGTGATTTTTAGTATTTACAATTAATATTGTTGGATTGTTTTCAAACAGCTTTATTGAGGTATAATTGATAAACTGCATTTATTTAAATTGTACAATATTAAAGTTTTGACATATCTGTACATCTGTGAAACTGTCACCACAATCAAGATAATGAACATACACACATTACCCCCCAAAGTTTTTTGTGTCTTCTATTATTCCTTTGCCCACCTCTGTCCACCCCTCCCCTCTCGCCTGGCCTCCTTTGGTCTGGTTCTTTTCATTCAACATAAATTATTTTGAGAATCATCCATGTTCTTTAATTAAAAAATTGTTTATTTCAAAAAAGAATTTTTAGGGAAAAATTGTTGTAAAATCCTTTTCTGGTGGTTTATCTATAGTTTGAATTTTTCCATACAAAGGTTTTTCTTTGAACTTTAAACTTGCTTTATCCTTCCAATTATAACTGATAGGTCAGTGGTAACTAAATAGATACTATTTCTTGTATAGAAGTGAATTCAGCCTGTTAATTTAATTTTAATTTTTTTTCCTTTTTTGAGACGGAGTCTCACTCTATTGCCCAGGCTGCTGTGCAGTGCACCATCTCAGGTCACTGCAACCTCCGCCTCCCAGGTTCAAGTGATTCTCCTGCCTCAGCCTTCCCAATAGCTAGGATTACAGCTGCATGCAACCACACCCGGCTAATTTTTGTATTTTTAGTAGAGACAGGGTTTCACCATGTTGGGTAGGCTGGCCTTAAACTTCTGGTCTCAAATGATCCGCCTGCCTCGGCCCCCTAAAGTGCTGGGATTACAGGTGTGAGCCACCGCACCTGGCCTTTTTTTTTTTTTTTTTTGAGACAGAGTCTTGCTGTGTAGCCCAGGCTGGAATGCAGTGGTGTAGTCATGGCTCACTGTAGCCTTGACTGCTTGGGTTCAAGTGATTCTCCCACCTCAGCCTCCCCAGTAACTAGGACCACAGTCATGTGCCACCATACCTCGCTGATTTTTTTTTTTTTTTTTTTTTTGAGACAGAGTCTCGCTCTATCGCCCAAGCTGGAGAGCAGTGGCATGATCTTGGCTCACTGCAAGCTCCGCCTCCCAGGTTCACACCATTCTCCTGCCTCAGCCTCCCGAGTAGCTGGCACTACAGGCACCCGCCACCACGCCTGGCTAATTTTTTGTATTTTTAGTAGAGACGTGGTTTCACCGTGTTAGCCAGGATAATCTCAATCTCCTGACCTCGTGATCCACATGCCTCGGCCTCCCAAAGTGCTGGGATTACAGGCATGAGCCACCACGCCCGGCCCACCTCGCTGATCTTTTTGTTTTGTTTTTAGTAGAGATGAAGTCTCACTATTTTACCCAGGCTGGTCTTGAACTGCTGAGCTCACACAATCCTCCTGCCAAAGTTCTGGGATTACAGGTGTGAGCCACCATGTCTAGCCTAATTCGAAATTCTGTGTCAAAGATTAAAAGCATTCTGATTACAAGAGTTATGAGATCCCAGAATCAAGCCAGGTTGTAAGGTCTCCTTTAAATCCTTTAAATGGTAGAGTAGGCAACTAACTTTCTGTGGTGGTTTTACCTGTTCTAGAAGGAGGGAAATACAATGAAGTCTTTCAAGTCCCTTCTCTCTCTCTGATATTAAATGTCGAAATTGTTTGGAAGACTAAATGGTAAAAAAAAATAATGTGTATTTCTTTCAAGTTTGTCTCATGTATTGCTTTTTTTTGTTTGTTTTTTTGTTTTTCAGACCAAATGTTTATTGAGCTTGTTCCGGGATATTGGCCATCACTTGATTCATAATAATAAAATAGGAGGAATTAATTCTCTGCTGTCCAAACAAGCTGTTTCTAAGAATCTGAAAGAAGATAAACCAGTGAAAGAAAAGGATATAGATGGAAGGCCTAGGCCTGGGGATGTGGTAGGTTGTTGAGAAGGTGATGATTTTGCCTCTTAGATTACATTCCAGAGGCTTCACTGATTTCTCACTTGGTGACTGGTATCAATGTTAGTTTGCATTTTTTTTTAATTTTACTTTAAGTTCTGGGATACATGTGCAGAATGTGCAGGTTTGTTACATAGGTACACATGTGCCATGGTGGTTTGCTGCACCTGTCAACCCGCCATCTAGGTTTTAAGCCCCACATGCATTAGGTATTTGTCCTTAATGCTCTTCCTTCCCCTTGGCCCTTACCCCCGACAGGCCCCAGTTTGTGATGTTCCCCTCCCTGTGTCCATGTGTTTTCATGGTTCAACTCCCACTTATGAGTGAGAACATGCGGTATTTGGTTTTCTGTTCCTGTGTTAGTTGCTGAGAATGATGGTTTCCAGCTTCATCCATCCCTGCAAAGGACACAAACTCATTCTTTTTTATGGCTGCAGTTAGTTTGCATTTTGATGCAGTGTAGAGAACATTGTTCTTGTCACTATGAAGACTGTGTAGGAATTCAATTTTTGAGGTGTGTTCATTTTCTTTCAGCAGGCACCTAGTATAAAATCTCAGAGCTCAGATACTCCTTTGGAAGGTGAACCCCCTCTAAGTCACAATCCTGAAGGACAGGTAATTGTGCATGAAGTTTGGAAAATTAAGTTTAAGTTAACCAGACCTTTATTAAGCAAGGCATTTTCAATGGAAAATGCTCAGGCAGGATGTTAGTTATCATTCCATATTTGCCCATGACTAGTTGTCTATGACTTTGGGCAAATTTCTTTGTCTTGTTGAAACTCTGTAAAGTGAACTGGTGCCAGGTTAATTTTAAGGTCCTTTCCAGCATTAAAATATTATATCTTTTGTTAATTCTACTATGTTAAACATTATAAGGGATGTAAAGATGCATCATCTGCAGCATTTATTCATCTGCTTTCAGGAAACTCAGCATCTGGTAGGAGAAACAGACTGGTATATAACTAATCATAGTATATAATTTTGATGAGTGCTGTAATAGAGGTACAAATAAAAGTTCTGTGTGGGCTCTGAGGAGACAAATATTAGGATGGGGAAGTCTAAGGGAAGGCTTCATGGAGGAGGTGATATCCATACTAAGTAGTGAAAGATGAAGAGACCTGTTTGCCATAAGAAGATGGAGGGAGAGGCATTTCAGAGCCAGGGAACAGCTTGAGAGAGAATAACAGAGAATTTGCAAGAGCAGAATTTAGGCTGTCTCAGTTAATTGCAGTGTATGGTATATAGAGAAATTAAAGGAGAGATTCTATAAAGAGTTAGGAAAGAAGAAAGAGGCTGAATCAGGTAATGGAAAGACTTGAAAGGCTTATTTAAAAGTTTGGACTTCATTGTATAGCTGATGACAGATTCTTGAACCTCTTCTTGGAGATTCACATCAAAGGTTTCAAAGTCATAGAAATAAGACCTCATGTGTGTTTCAGGTCGGAATTCTTGCAAGGGTATGAAAAAAAGAGATTGAAGGTGGGGTAGGGCTGCAGGCTTTTCTTGTAGTATAGATGAGTGTTGATGACAGTTTTATTTAGGACAGGGGTTGTAGTAAAGAAAGTCAGAAACCTGGAGAGGCAAGGAGTTTGCAATTGGGAAGCTTTGGGGGTATTGATGAGAAAAGTTAAGGATAACTCAGGTTGCAAGCCTCACTTTCTGGAAGGATGACAACACCATTAAGAGAAAAATCAAGAGAGATTGACATTGGGGAAATAATAAATTCAATTTTGGACATGTATTTAGGATGCTGGCAAAAATCTGGGTAGAGCTGTCCAGCACTTGGAGTTGGTAGATGGTAGTGAGGAGACTGTGAGTGGGAATGTAAGAAGGTTATGAAGAGAATTTTTCTGCAGGACCACCTGAAAGAAGGTTGCTGGAAGAAAGAAAGGCATTCACTTAAAACAGTTCCTGGGAAAGTATTGAGAACAAGTTAAACAGGGCTTCAGCCTTGTTACACTGTAGAAGCTTCCAAGAATAAAACTGAAAATCCTTTCCTCTAAGAGATAACCACTGTTGCTATATTTCTTTCCAGTTATTTTTCTATGTGAAAAGTATTTTAACAGTTGAGATCACACTGTATATGTAGTTATATATGCAGTTTTCTCACTTATTATATTGTGAGCATCATCTTATGTTACTAAATTTTTCATAAATATATTTTTTTCTGGAAATAATAAGAAAACAATGTCTTTACAGCAATATGTAGAAGCAGGGACATACATTGTGTTGGAAATTCAGCTGGACAAAGCCTTGGTTCCAAAGCGAATGCCAGAGGAGCTAGCCAGAAGGTTTGTAGCTATGGTGCTTATACTAGTTTTGTACAATTTGGGTATAAATAAGAGGAAGTCAGATTGTCCCCACGATTGTAATTTCCCTTGGGCTAAGCAGGAGTTATCTGGTTTTTTTCTAGATGAAGTTTTTGTTGTTGTTGTTATTTTTGTTACCTTATCACAAAAGCATTGCATGCTCACTATAAAAATTTTTAGGAAGCTGGGTGCGGTGGCTCATGCCTGTAATCCTAGCAGTTTGGGAGGCCAAGGTGGGGGGGATTGCCTGAGCTCAGGAGTTTGAGACCAGCCTGGGCAACACGGTGAAACCCCGTCTCTACTAAAATACAAAAAATTAGCCGGGCATGGCGGCATGCACCTGTAACCTCAGCTACTCGGGAGGCTGAGGCAGGAGAATTGCTTGAACCTGGGAGGCGGAGGTTGCAGTGAGCCGAGATCGCACCACTGCACTCCGGCCTGAGAGACAGAGAAAGACTCTATCTCTAAAAAAAAAAAAAAATTCTTAGGAAATACGGATGAACAAGAAAGTATATAAAAATACCCAAGGTCAGGTGTGGTAGCTCATTCCAGCACTTTGAATCCCAGCACTTTGAAAGGCCAAGGCGAGAGGATCACTTGAGCCCAGAGGTTTGAGACCAGCTTGGGCAACATAGTGAGACCCCATCTCTATAAAAAATTAAAAAATAAAAACATCCAGATCTCTACTCACCTAGTGATAACTGCTTTTAACACCTTGGTGTTGTTATCCTTCTGGAGTTATTTTAAAGCCCCCTATATTACACATACACACATAAACACACACACGCATGTTACATATACATATATGTAATTTAAAAAAACTGTTTATATTGTACCATAGTGCTTTGCTTGTGTGCTACTAGGAAACTGTGCATTCATCTGGGTTATTCAACTTGTTCGCATACAATTGTTCATAGTATTCTAATACTCCTTTTTATCCCTCTAAAATTGGTAGTAATGTTTCCACTTTCATGTCTTCTCTCTTTTTTCAGTCAGTCTTGCTAAAAGTTTGTCAATCTTGTTGATCTTTTTGAAAAACCAACTTTTAAAGCTTATTGATTTTCTCCATTATTTTTCTATTCTCTAATTTGTTTTTACTCTAATCTTCATTCTTTCTTTTATTATGTCTTCTGCTAGCTTTGGGCATAGTGTGCCCCCCTTTTGCTAGTTCCTTAAAGAATACAGTTATGTTATTGATTTTGAGTTTTCTTCTTCTTTAGTGTATGTGTAGAGAACTATATATTTCCCTCTGAGCACTGCTTTCACTGCATTTCATAATTTTTTATTTGGTTTTTGTTTTCATTTGTCTAAAGGTTTTTTTTTTTTTTTCATTTCTCTTGTGATTTCTTCTTTGAACCATTGGTTGAATGTGTTGCTTAAATTTTCTTATTTCAGTTATTTAATATTCTTATTTTCTTAATTTTAAGTCTTCTGTTACTGGGTTTTAGTTCTATTTCCTTGTGATCAGAAAATATGCTTCATATGATTTCAATCTTTTTTTTTTTTTTTTTGAGACGGAGTTTCACTCTTGTTGCCCAAGCTGGAGTGCAATGGTGTGATCTCAGCTCATGGCAACCTCTGCCTCCTGGGTTCAAGTGATTCTCCTGCCTCAGCCTCCTGAGTAGCTAGGATTACAGGCATGTGCCATCACACCTGGCTAATTTTGTATTTTTAATAGAGACGGGGTTTCTCCATGTTGCTCAGGCTGGTCTCGAACTCCTGACCTCAGGTGATCTGCCCGCTTCGGCCTCCCAAATTGCTGGGATTACAGGCATGAGCCATCATGCTCAGCCATGATTTCAATCTTTTAAAGTTTATTGATCCTTGTTTTGTGGCCTGACATACGGTATACCCTGCAGAATGTTCTATGTGCACTTGAGAAGAATGTGTTATCTGTTGTTATTGGGTGGAATGTTCTATATATGTCTGTTAGGTCTAATTGGTTTATAGGGTTGTTCAAATCCTTTCTTTCTTTCTTTCTTTTTTAGATAGAGTCTCGCTCTGTCACCCAGGCTGGAGTGCAGTGGCATGATCTTGGCTCACCGCAACCTCTGCCTCCCGGGTTCAAGCAATTCTCCTGCCTCAGCCTCCCAAGTAGCTGGGACTATAGGAGCACATCGCTGCACCCAGCATTTTTTTTTTTTTTTTTTGTATTTTAGTAGAGATGGAGTTTCACTGTGTTGCCCAGGCTGGTCTTGAACTCCTGAGCTCAGGCAATCTGCCCGCCTCAGCCTCCCAAAGTGCTAGGATTACAGGCATGAACCACCATGCCCGGCCCAAATCCTTTATTTTTTTACTAATTTCCTGTCTGGTTGTTTTATCCATTATTGAAAGTAGAGTATTGAAGTCTCTATTATTGTAGGACTATCAGTTTCTCCCTTCAATTCTATCAGTTTTTGCTTTATAAATTTTGGGGTTCTGTTGTATATGTTTATAAATGTTGTATGGGGTTCTGTTGTATATGTTTATAAATGTTGTATTTTATTGCTGTATTTAACCTTTTATCAATATTTAATGTCCTTATTTGTCTCTTGTACCCTCTTTTTATTTGAAGTTTATTTTGTCTGACAGTAATATAGCCATCTCAGCTCTTTTTTACTATTTGTATGGAATATCTGATTTTATCCTACCTTTGACTTCCTCCTGTCCTTACATCTAAAGGGAGTATCTTGTAGACAGCAGATAGATGGATTCTGTGTGAGTTTTTCTAATCTAATCTGCCAGTGTCTGCTTTTTAATAGGAAAGTTTAATCCATTTACATTTAATGTGATTACTGATAGAGAAGGATTTACTTCTGCCATTTATCTGTTTGTTGTCTTCATGTCTTATTTTTTTTTGTTCTTCAGTTCCTTTATTGCTGCCTTTTTATATTTAGCTGATTTTTTGCAGTATGCCATTTGGATTTCCCTCTTCTTTCCTTTTCTGTGTATTTTTTTAGTTGTTGTCTTAGTAATTAACTTGGAGACAACAATTAGCACCTTAAACCTGTAACAGCTTAGTTTGAATACAAACTTAATTTCAGTACTATACACTCTGCTCCTATACATCTCCATCCCTCCCGTTACATTGTTATTGTCACAGATTACATATTTATCTATTGTGTGCCTACTAACATAGACTTATCATTATTATTTTATGCATTTGTCATCAAAAAAAAGAGGAGAGAAAGAGGAGTTACAAGTTGAAAGTGCAATAATACTGGCTTTCATATTTACCTTTACTAGTGTTCTTTATTCCTTCATCTGACTTCAAGTTACTGACTAGTGTCCTGTCATTTCAGCCTGAAGGACTCCCTTTAGCGTTCCTTATGAGGTAGGTCCTGTTATCAAACTGTCTTAATTTTGTTTATCTGGGATTGTCTTAATGTCTTCTTCACTTTTGAAGGATAATTTACTAGATATAGAATTCTTTTACCTTTTTTTTCTGTAATTTTTGTAGAGACATAGTCCCACTATGTTTCCCAGGCTGGTCTCAATCTCTTGGCCTCAAGTGGTCATCCCTCCTCAGCCTCCCAAAGTGCTGGGATTATAGGCATGAGACACCTGGATATAGAATTCTTAGTTGTCAATTTTTTTTTCTTTCAGACTTTAAATATGTCATCTCAGTGACTTCTGGCCTCCATGGTTTTGATAAGAAATCAGCTGTTAATCTTATTGAGGATCACTTGTATGTGACAAGTCACACCTCTGTTGCTGTTTTTGATATTTTTTCTTTGTCTTTGTGTTTTGACAATTTGACTATGGTGTGTTTTAGTGTGGACATATGAGTTTTTCCTGCTTGGAGTTTATTAAGTTTCTTGGATGTGTCAATTCATATCTTTCACCAAATTTGGGAAGTTTTGGGCCATTATTTCTTAAAAATTCTTTCTTCCCCCTTTCTTCTCTAGAAAGGGGGAAGTTTCTTCCAGAACTTCCATAATGTGTATGCTGGTCAGCTTGATGGCATCCTATAGGTCTTAAATTCTGTTCACTTTTCTTCATTCTTTTTCTTTCTGTTCCTCAGACTGAATTATTTTAATTGTTCCATCTTCAGTTTTGCCGATTCTTTCTTCTGCCTGATCAAATCTGCTGTTGAACCCTTTAGTGAATTTTTTATTCCAAATATTGTACTTTTAAGCTCCAGACTTCTTGTTTTTTTAAAAAATAATTTCTGTTTCTACTGATACTCTAATTTTGTTCATACATTGCTTTCCTTTTTTCTCTTTGTTTTGTCCGTGGCTTCCTTGAGCTTTTTGAGTGTGTATAGTAAAGTTGATTTAATGTATTTGTGTAGTAAGTTTGATGCCTGGGCTTCTTTAGGGAGAATTTCTATATTTTTTTCTTTGAAAGAGTCATACTTTTATTTATTTGTACTATTTGTATTTTATCATCGTTGAAAACTGGACATGTGGATACTATCATGTGGGAATTTTGGAAATCAAACTTTTCCCTTCGCTACGTTTGGCTGCTTTTTATTGTTGAAGGTGTAACTTGTGTTCAGCCAGTGTTTTGACAGATTTCCTTGAATGCCAGGATCTAAATACAAACAAAAACAAAACAAAAAATCTTTTCTGCCAATCTTTACAGATGGCTCTGTGCTGAGGCATTCTTTTAACATTTAACCAGGCCATTTATATTTCTGCCTCAGCCTTTTCTTCCTGCTTATACTGAACCTGTAGATCAATCAGTGGTGAAAGCATAGGGTTTTCTCTGGTCAACTTTAAGCATACATCCTGTCCTGGGCATACATGTGGCTTTCTGAATTTCCCAGTACACACAAGTACTTTTGAATGCTCTAATTTCCAAAGAAACTCTCCAGCTTTTCTTCTCAGGCTTTAGGTGGTCTATTATATGTCTCAACCATAATGCTTTGCCCCAAACAGCTTTGGGGATTTGATAACCTTACAATGTTTTTGAACAATACTTTTCCACCCTGTGTAGGTTTCAGTGCTTTTCCGCACTGAGTTAGGAGAAACAGAGATGAGTGCCTTGCACCAGTCTCTCAGGCAGTCCCAGACAAGCTAGAACAAACACAGTAATTTGAGAATAAGGTCTGCTCTGCTTCCTCCAGAATCAGGGACCAGTGTGCCACACTAGAAATCCAGGCTGCCACCTTTGAGACTGCTGCTGAGCTGGGGATGCGGTGTGCAGCGGAGCAAGAGCAAGTAAAAATGCCAGAAAGCTTTCCTGCTGATTTAGAATTGCCTTCTTCTGGATTCAGATTCTCTTTGTTACTGTAAACCCTTTTTTCCCAACATTCTAACAAGTTGGTTCTGACAGTTTCAGTTTCTGGTGTGTGTGTTTTTTTTTTTTAAGTTTATCTGGAGGGATGGGAGTTTAGAGTTACCTGCCCGGTCGTTTTGCTGACATCTAGACTTTACCTCTTGATGTGAGGAGCATTATACTCAAAGAAAGATGAAAGAAAATAGCAGCTTCTACCTTGGAGACTATTTATTACATGTATTTTTAAGACTTTAGATAAATATCCCCAAATTGCCTTCCAAAAAATTTACAGTTCTATAAATGATATATGAGACTACTGTTTCTTCACATATTCACCAACACAATACTTTTTTATTTTTGCTATTTTGATGGGGAGAAAAGTTTCTCATTTTAATTTTAATCCACATTGTAAATTGTGTAGTGAAACATTTTTACACATAATTATTAATAATTTGGAAGTTTCTTTTGAGAATTACCTGCTTATAATGGCACATTCATCTTTTATACCTGAGAGTTCTTGAGTTTTTAAAAACTTTGCATTTAGTCCCCTTCCAAAAATAATCTAATAATATTTACCATAAATGGGCCGGGTGCAGTGGCTCACGCCTGTAATCCCAGCCCTTTGAGAGGCCGAGGCAGGTGAATCACCTGAGGTCAGGAGTTCGACACCAGCCTGGCCAATGTGGGGAAACCCTGCCTCTACTAAAAATATAAAAATTAGCCGGGCGTGATGGTGGGTGCCTGTAGTCCCAGCTACTTGGGAGGCTGAGGCAGAATTGCTTGAACCCAGGAGGTGGAGGTTGCAGTGAGCTGAGATCATGCCATTGCACTCCAGCCTGGATGACAAGAGCAAAAAACTCTGTCTCAAAAAAAAAAAATTTACCATAAATGACATACAAAATAAAAGTAATAATCTAGAAATAGTCAAAAACTCAAAACGATGGAAAAGGAAGGCCGCATTAAATAGAGCTCTCATAAATAAGCATCAAATCTGAGCTGTCCAACAAAAAGGGAAGCCCTGTAAGTTATATAATTTTAATCATAAAGGAAGAAGCACATTAGTCACAAAAGAGACCACATTTATTCCTGGCATTAAATTCTAAAACAGATTTCTCATTTGGGCTCTTACATAGGGGAATACAGAGTGACAGTATAACAGTATCCTTAATGACAGTTTTACAACAAATACAGAAGCAATTTTTATGACTTTTATATCTTGAAACTTTTTATCCACTTATAGTACATAAAGTACTCTATATAGTACTTTAAAAACTGTGGTTTATCAATGTTTAAATGTTTTTGGACTTTTTTGTGAGAAACAGTTATTAGCAATAAGTTTTTTTTTTCAAAGGCATTTCTTCTCCAAGCTAGGCCAAGTGATAAAATTATAGAGCAAAAGCTAATTAGAATGGCAACAATAGGCCGGGTGTGGTGGCTCACACCTGTAATCCCAGCACTTTGGGAGGCCAAGGCAGGTGGATCACGAGGTCAAAAGATCGAGACCATCCTGGCTAACACAGTGAAACACTGTCTCTACTAAAAATACAAAAAAATTAGCCGGGCGTGGTGGCGGGCGTCTGTAGTCCCAGCTACTCAGGAGGCTGAGGCAGGAGAATGGTGTGAACCCAGGAGGCAGAGCTTGCAGTGAGCCAAGGTTGTGCCACTGCACTCCAGCCTGGGCAACAGAGTGAGACTCCATCTCAAAACAAAAAAGAATGGCAACAATAGAAAATTGTACTTAGGCTGGGTATGGTGGTTCACACCTGTAATCCTAGCACTTTGGGAGGCTGAGGCAGGAAGATTGCTTGACCTCAGAAGTTTGAGACTAGCCTGGGCAACATAGCAAGACCTCATCTCTATTAAAAATAAAAAAATTAGTTGGGTGTGGTAGTGCATACCTGTAGTCCGAGCTACCCGGTGGTGGGGGGCGGTGGGGTTGCTGAGGCAGGAGGATTGCTTGAGCCTGGAGATCCAGGCTGCAGTGAGCTATGATCATGCCACTGTACTCCAGCCTGGCAACAGAGCGAGACCCTCTCTCAAAAAAAAAAAAAAAAGAAAAGAAAAGAAAAAAGAAAATTATAGTCAATACTTGTAAAAGATTATTTGCCTTTCGTTGCAGGCTGAGCCTGAGGCATGGGTATACCAAACTGCTAAATCTATGTCACTGTATAAGAATATACCTAAATTTAAAGCAGTCTTCAACATATGAAAAGAAACTAAACTATTTCCGTAATAAAATAAATGCACATTAAAACTATGCTGAAGTACCTTGTTTTTTAATTGCTGAAATAAAAAAAGCTTGATAATTTATTGTGTTGTTGAGGATGTTTGGAAACAGGTCCTCTCATATAAGCTGGTGCGAGTATAAACTGGGTAAAATTCCAGTGGAGGGCAATTTGGTAATGCTATCTAAATACAAATTCATGGATCTTTTAACTCTTTGATCAGGTAACTCACTTCCAATAACTTGTCTTCAGATAAATATTGTTATCAAGCTCATCAATGACCACCACACTGTTAAATCCAGTGGTGTGTTCTTGGGGTCATTTTGACCTGTCATCAGCATTTAACTACTCAACCCTCCTTGAGGAACTTTCTTCACTTGGTTGTAAGGACACTATACTCTCCTGGCTTTACTCCTCCCTCCCTGGCCTTCTTTATCTCTCCAGCATCTAAATGTTGGAGTCCCCCAGAGCTCAGTGCTTGAACACCTTTTCTATCTATACTTATTTCCTTGGTTTCTATCTAGTCTCGTGGCTCTAAATACCATCTATACACTGATGGCTCCCACATTTATATTTCAAGCTGAACCTCTCCTAATTCTCACATACTCTTTGGTCAGAGCCATAGTAGTCCCTCATCTGGGACTTACATGTAAGATGTAAGATATACTTAGATGTAAGTTTCCTTACATCTACCATTCTACCCTTCAATTTCTTCTTTTTTATTTTCTAATGATAGCTTTTTCGAGATATTATTCACATACCATATACTTCTCTACCACCATCACCTTTTCTTTCATTTTGTTCACCCATTTAAAGTATCCAGTTCTGATCCCTTTGTAGTTCATAAGCGTGATGATTGGGTGTTCATGCTCATACATGAGCTGTGCCTCCCTCAAGCTTTGTTGTGACATCATCATATTACCTGTCCGATGTGAACTTAGAAAAATAAAAATAAAATAAAGTGTACAATTCAGTGGCTTTTAGTATACTCACAGAATTGTGTAGCCATTCCATAGTCAACTTTATATATACTATCATTACCCCAAAAGTTGAAATCCCATGTACATTAGCAGTCATTCTCCTTTTCCTCTCAACCATCATGCCACCTCTTCCACCCTGAACCCCCAAGTCTAAGCAGCCGTTTATCTACTTTTTTTCTCTATAGATTTGCCAACTCTGGAATCATACAATATGTGGTGACTGGCTTCTTTCATTTAATCTAATGTTGTTAAGGTTTATTCATATTGTGGCATATATCAATACTTAATTTCTTTATTACCAAATAATATTTCATTGTCAAAACAGGAGCAAAAGACAGAGAGAGCAGGGAGGGAGTTGGGGGAGGTGCCACACATTTTTAAATGACCAGATCTTGCAAGCACTTACTCACTATCATGAAGACAGCACCAAGCCATGAGGCATCCACCTCCATGACCCAGACACTTCCCACCAGGCCCCACTTCCAACACTGGGGATTATAATTCAACATGAGATTTGGATGGGGACAAATATCCAAACTATGTCAGTTGCTTCCTCACTTCCCTCAGGTCTTTACTCAAACGTTAACATCTCAGCGAGGCCTTCCTGGTGAAATATGCTCCTGCATTCCACTACCCTCAACCCCCAATAGAGTCTGTCTGCCTTCCTGCATTATTTTTCTCTATGGGACATATTACTAGCATATTTATCTTGTTTGTTTATCTTATTTATTGTCTTTCTTTCCCTACTAGAATGTAAGCTCCATGAGGGTAAGAATTTTTGTCTATTTTGTTTAATGCTCTATTCCCAAACCTAGAAAACTACCTGATGGAAAATAAGCACTCAGTATCTATTTTTATTTTTTTATTTTTTGGGAGACAGAGTCTTGCCCTGTGGCCCAGGCTGGAATGCAGTGGTGCGATCTCAGCTCACTGCACCTCTGCCTCCCAGGTTCAAGAAATTCATGTCTCAGCCTCCTGAGTAGCTGGAACTATAGGCACACACCACTACACCCAGCTAATTTTTTTCATTTTAGTAGAGACAGGATTTCACTATGTTTCTCAGGCTGGTCTCGAACTCCTAAGCTCAGGCAATCCACCCGCCTCGGCCTCTCGAAGTGCTAGGATTACAGGCATGAGCCACCATGGCTGGCCTCTCAGTATCTATTTTGAATGAATGAATAACATTGTCTCTGGAGAGGAAACTAGGAGGCTGGGCAATAAGGTTGGAAGGAGATATTTTGCTATACAGTTTCGTACCTTCTAAATTTTGAATAATATAAATAGATTACCTATTTAAATAAATAGAATTAAAATTAGTAATTATGAACAGAGGTATATCATTACATAGGATCTAGTAAGAAAAATAGATTTTGTGAGTTTGATTGTGGACTTCAAGGTAGTATAATATATTTAGCAAGAACCTGAAACTAAAAGGGAGAAGAGCTATAACTTAATTCCTTCTAGGTTCTTGTAAGGGCTTCTGAAAATAGAAGGTAGAGGTTTTGACATAAGTAGTTTGACATTGACAAAATGTGGTTTTTTACTCACATTTTGGATTAAGTTTTGATAGCATTATTGTAATTTAATGCAGCCCTATAAATTATGCCAAGAGTACACTTTTATTGTAGACGGGGAGGAAAGAAGAGGTTTTGCTTGCCTATTCCACTCAGATTTCCAAATCATTCTGCTTTCAGAGATGTTACTGAGTGCCTCTAAAATGTTGACACCCATTTCTTTCCAAAACCCCAGTCAAACAGCCCTTGTATACCACAAGTTTTTAAATACGTAAGGGTAAAGCCAGGGCTCAAATTAACCAAAAATACAACTTAGATACTCCCTGAGTAGCTGCTTCCTCACCTCCCTTCTGTATGGTCCGTAGCCATATACTTTGCTGTGGTTCACATCTAGGGTTTTACATGAGAGAACAGCACAGTGCTCAAGTGCAGTGGGGGAACAGACCTCAGATCTCCCCCACCCAGACACTTTGAGGATAAGATAAAAGAAAATATACATCTGTAGATAATAAATTTTTTTTTGTTTTTTTATTTTTTTTCTTTCCTGATACAGGGTCAAGGAAATGATTCCTCCAAGGCCTCCTCTTACCCGTCGGACAGGAGGAGCTCAGAAGGCAAGTGCCAAAGCCAAGTTGAAATGATAAGTAATAAGATATTGAGTGCATGCACTTGTTAATTGCATGGACTCTTTAATATGTCTTCCAGAAGGGGTGAAAACTTGTTTGAAGCTTTACGTATTTTCATTGCTGGTTCCATTTGTGATCAATGGCATATAGCATACAGTGTTTAATCTTTGGCTGGTGGTCTCTCAGCTGGGAAGAAAAGGGCATTTTACATTTAAAGTATTACTGGGTGTGGTGGCACACACCTGTAGTCTCAGCTACTAGGGAGGCTGAGGCAGGAGGGTTGCTTGAGGCCAGGAGTTCAAGGGAGAAGTGAGCCATGATCATACCACTGTACTCCAGCCTGGGCGAGAGAGACCTTGTCTCTAAAACAAACAAACAAACAAACAAACTAATAAAGTATCATGGAACATAAAACCAAATCCAGTTTTAGACTTCCAATCCATGCTCTTGACCTCTCTGAGGCGTCTACCAGATGTTTTGTATTTTCTTAGGCAGTGAGTGACTACCACATACAGATCAAGAATATTTCTAGAGCCATTCTAGATGAATACTACAGAATGTTTGGAAAACAGGTGGCCAAACTGGAGAGTGATATGGATAGTGAAACCTTGGAGGAGCAGAAGTGCCAGCTCAGCTATGAACTTAATTGCTCTGGAAAATACTTTGCTTTCAAAGAACAACTCAAGGTAAAACATTCACTTGTTTAATTACTCCATGGGTGTTTATGGAGCAAGTTCTCCACATACCCACATCACATTTTCTCCTCTGATTATGTTCAGCTATACTCTTACCTTTCTTGGTGGGGCAAAGAGCTAAGTTCTCTATGATAGAGTGTCAGGAGAAGCTCCATTCTTTCAGTCTTGGAATAAATTATTACATATATTCTGAACGGGAGCTTTTAAGAAACTAATTATTCACTTGAGGCTGGGCCAGATTTTGTACCAGATTTCATTGTCACTGTAGGAGGCAGAAACTCTGTCTGGTACTGACTCCATAATTAATTCTTCTTGCCTCTCATTCAAATCTCTCTAAAAGAATTAATTTTAGTTTTAAAATTGAAGACGAAACAGTTATCAGAAAGGAGGCCTTAATCATTAGGACTAGAGTAGCATGTCTTGAGTTAGGATACATTTAATTACTGGCATTACATTTTACTTTTTAAAATTCAGAATGTATAAACAAAAACAAAAAACTCCAAATCTTTCCCTAATCTATAGAATCACTAAAATTTGAGAAATAGTTAACTTAATAATCATTTCTTGAATAATAATGGCTAACATTTATTACATGTTTGCTGTTTTCCAGGCCAATTTATCAATGCTTCATATTTTACTAATTTAATCCTTATAACAATCCTATAAAGTAGGTGTTGCTCATTTTATAGATGGGAAAATGCAATATTAGTTGGCTAAGGAATTTGTCCAAAGTCACAGAGATAGTAAAGATCAATGTTGGGATTTAAATTCAGGCAGTCTGGATCCAGAACTCACATTCTTAACTGCTACACTACACTGCCTTTGTACACACATTTACTATGTGTCCTGTACTGTACTAAACAGATATAAAGAAAGAACATGGAAGTCATAGAGTGAAAAACAACAAATGTCCATGGAAGCAAGAGGGTATTCTCAGCAGGTGGTGTCGTCATGTCTCAGTTTGACTCTTGGTTCCACATTTACTAGTTGGGTGACCTTGAAACGTGACTTTATCTCTCTGTGCCTCAGTTTCTTTACCTAACAACAGGGATGAGGTTAATATTATCACATAAGGTCATATGAGAATTAAATAATATAATGCATGGATTATAAAACCTGGCAATAATGTTACCTTAGTGGGGAAAAAAGGAGAAGCTGTCCTGGCTATAGCAACATGCTGTGTTTATATTTGTACAGCATTTTAAGCTTCTATACTTGTCTCTCTTTGGCTTCTCAATCATCTTCTAAAGTAAAATAATAATACCAGAACTACATATCCTCTTAACAAATGAGGAAGCTGAGGTACCAAAGTGTAAAATAATTTATGAAGTTGTACAGTGGCAGCATTAGAACCAGAATTCCATTCTCTGGATTCTCAGCCCAGCCCTTTCTCCCTTTCCCCTTTGAACCATATGGCCACCATGAGAGACATAATGCCTAAACCTAATGCTCAGATTTTCTTCAGCTTTATGATTCTCTTCATATAGTATGAGCTCTGCATTGCTTCAATTAGTAATGATGGTGATGTTAAGGAAAGAAGAAATCATACAGAGTATGTTGATTGGGGGAAATTTGGAGAGCTGATAGTCTACCACCCACCAAGGGAGAAATCAATCGCTTTCTGAAATTTTGATCAGCTTTAGACCAGAAAGCCCTAGAGAGACCCGTGCTCTCAGCATGGTGCTGGACTGTATTATCAGATGGGTGATCTGTGTGTCTTGCAGCATGCTGTGGTAAAGATTGTGAGAGATAAATACTTGAAGACAACATCATTTGAAAGCCAGGAGGAACTTCAGACATTTATCAGTGAGCTCTATGTGTTCTTAGTAGATCAGATGCATGTAGCCCTAAACCAGGTAAGTGTCAAGAACTGAGAGCACTTTCTTTTCTCTGTAGAGCATCAGAGTCTTCTATGAATAATTCCTTCCTTTGTTTATTCAACGAATATTTATTGAAGTGTCTGCTCTGTGCTAGGCACTGAAAACACAAAGATGAGTAAGAAACTGCCTAAGCCTAATCAGTTTAAGACTAATTTTGGAAAAAAACAAGGAGATATGCTCTTTCAATTTCCTAGAAAAATAAATTTCACAACTTTAAAAAATGTGATGGAATTGTCAAAAATAGATTAAATATGTTGCATAAATTGTGAAATGAAAATTATCATTCTATTTATTCTGTGAACAGGTACAATTCTTAATTTTTTATTGAATATCATAAAAGCAGAGAAAAACTTTGAGTTTTCAGATATTATACCCAAATGACAGTGACACTTCAAACATGCCTTTTCTGTTTGACTGGTGGTCTGCTGTCCCACCCACTTTTCTGTTTATATTTGTAAGTCTTCCATCTTGCCTTCATTTGCTTATTTTTATTTGTATTCAGGGGTAGTTTATTTGAAACCAGTGACAAAGTCACAGTCTTTTTGTCCCCTGGTAGTGTCTAACCATCTGTGCCTCCTCAAATTCTTTATTCTATTTGCTTTTCCCTTCCTTGTTTTTCTTCTCTACCACCATCACCTCTTGTTTCACTTTGTTCTGTCTTTCTGGAGAAGGTAGGACAGGAGTGTCCAGCATCAAAGGATTAAGAGAACAGTCCTGCCTTGGGCATGGATGATTTGATTTGAAAAGCAATTGAGAGTGGAGCATGAGAAAAAGAAGTTTTGACTTTTTCCTCACTAGTAGCTGGGAGCAATACATTGAATTATTTTACACTGAGGTATAATATGATCAGGTTTACATTTGCTAAAACACTCTGATAGCACTATGGAGGATGAGTTAGAGGTGACAAAACTGTGATGTTAGTTGATTATTGCATAATAAGGAGGAAAAAGTTTAAGTTAAGTTTAAGTTTCAATGGGTAATTGATGCCATTCAGTACTTCTTGGTTGATACTAAAAAGAAAAGAAAAACATTAACCAGGACATGGAATGCAATTATGAGTAAATTTGGTGGGAGGCAGATGGTACTGAATTCGCTTTTGAACATAGGCTCTAGTGGGGTTTTGCCCAAGACAGAGATCTGAGCTAGAGATGAGATTTGGGGAGCTATGAAATATGGATGCTATGGTCATAGATGAACTGCCTGAGAAAAACATAAGAGAGAAGAGAGCTGGCAGTAGAACTCTAGGAAATACCAACATTTAAGGAATGAATGAAAAATTGAAAGAGACAAGTGGGATTGTTAAAGAGGCAAAGAGCCAGAGACAATGGTGTCACAGAAGCCAAAGGAAAAGAATTTTAAGGAAAAGTGGTCAACATTGTTAAATACTCCTAGGAATTCAAGAAAAACAAATCTAAAGTCTTCACTGGATTTGACAATAAGGAAGTTATTGTTAACCTTTACATAGCAATATTATTGGGCTAATGGGGGGATTCAAATTATGATGAATTGAGTAAATGAGCAATCAAGAAACAGATGAATATAAATTCAAGTTGGATGACGAAGGAAAAAACTGGAAAAGTAGTAGCTAGAAGTTATAGGGATTTTCTTCCCTCCCTCCCTCCCTCCCTTCCTCCCTTCCTCCCTTCCTCCCTTCCTTCCTTCCTTCATTTCTTTCTTTCTCTTTCTCTCTCTCTCTCTTTCTCCCTTTCTCTCTTTCTTTCTCGCCCAGGCTGGAGTGCAGCAGTGCAATCATGGCTCACTATAGCTTCAACTTCCCAGGCTCAAGCAATCCTGCCACCTCAGCCTCTCAAGTAGCTGGGACTACAGGTGCACACCACGCCTAACTAATTTTTGTATTTTTTTGTAGAGATGGGGTTTCACCATGTTGCCCAGGCTGGTCTCGAACTCTTGGACTCAAGCGATCCACCAGCCATGGCCTTCCAAAGTGCTGGGATTACAGGCATGAGCCACCCGCTCCTGGCCTGGGATTTTCTTTTTAAGATGAAAAAGACTTGAGCACATCCACAGGTTTGGGAAAAAGTCAGCAGAGTGGGAGAAGCTGAAAATTGAGGAAAGAGAGGGGATAATTGATGGCAGGCTCAGGGTATACACCTGGGAAAGGACCAAGAATTTAAATGGAAGGATTAACTTTGGAACAGTGCAGGCTGCAATACCTCTTTCTCTGAGACTGAAAAGAAAGCGATACAATAGATCCAGAAATAAATAATTTAGCTAGGGAGTATAATAGTTGAGGGATTTCTTACTTAATGATTTCTATTATCTCTGTGAAGTAAGGTCTTTACTGAAAGTGAAGGAGATGAGGATTGAATGAAAAACTTGAAGAAAGAGAAGAAAACTTAGATACTGCAAAGCATTATGGAATATGCTGCTAAGCAAAGACAAATACATAGATTACTAAGGGTATTAAAGGTCTCCAGCTAAGACTGAATGCCACAAGAGCTTGTGGCAGCTTAGATACCAATCTCTGTGTCTATGCAGTTTTCCTTAGGACCAGTTAGCTGCTCTTGTCTTGGAATGAAGAAGTCAGATTGTGCTATTGTTTTAAGTTGAGAATTTTCAGGACAAATGCAGGAGAAGGACAAGGATGCCTGAGATGAAAGTATGCTGGTGAGAAAGTAGCCTGAGTGGGTTATCATGAGGTTCAGACTGATCCATCTGGGAAGTGATGGGCTTATTGGAACTGAAGGAAATAAAGTCAGCAGTTTTCAGTGGGCTAAGTAACAAAAAGGTGGAAGACAAGACATGGAGTGTTGGTTCTGGGAGTGGGATATTAGAGTATTCTGTTTTGGGTGTAGAAGTGCATCGCTGCAGGGATTTGGGGGTCAAGATAATCAAAACTAAAAAGAACAGGACAAAAGTATTAATCAATGATCAGAAACTCTCTTTGGCCTATCTCAAATTTGGCTTTACTGTCCACATTTCTTAGCAATTATCCTTATTAAAATCACTGATATTATTTTGACTTCTAATTAAAGAATTTTGTGGACTCTTTCTTGACCATAGCTTCTGACTCAGGAGATTCCTAATTACACCAGACCTGCTCTCCCAATCTTTGTGTATAGGATATATTCTTTTTCTGGTTTTCCTCCTACCTTTTTGTTTCCTTTGAAGGATCTATCAGTCTATATTTCCTACTAAAACTATAGATTTGGCTTCTAAAGGTTTACCCTTAATCTCCTGTTTTCTTCACATTTAAAGACCCTAGCGAGGGCTTGCCAACCTTTTTCATGTCATGACACAAAAAAATGATAGTATTTGTCATATACACTACAGAAAATGAAGGAAGCTGTTTGAGGTCAGAGGTGACCTGCATAGGGACTATGAATGCCCTGAGGGTTGAGGCAGTTATTTCTGCCCTAAGCAATTTTTACTTACTTCCATGAGCTCAGACTGTTGGTATTCAGATACCTGAGCTTCTCCTTCACCCTTGACATTTCTCTCCTGGTTCACTCTTATTCTTTTACTTTTTTGGCAAGACTGTCATTATAGACATCAATCAGTAACATTTTAGACGTCATAACTGGATCTCACATCGGATTTATGCTTATGAAACCTCTCTACTTGTAATTGTTTCATTTTTGTCTACCTAACATCTTGACATTGACAAGACCATGCCAGATGATGTCCAAGGCACTGTTGCAACCATTTATACAAGCAGTGAACAGCTTCAACTCTTTGCATTTGAAGCAGAAGTCAATGAGAACTTTGAGATGGCAGCAGCATATTATAAAGAGGTAATTAAACATCTTCCCAGTGATTGTTACTATTATTTGTGAAATATGGGCATAATAGTAATTTTTGATTGTTTAAAATCCAACTTGATTGGTGAAAGGGTAGACACATAGAACAATAAAGTCCAAAAATAGGTTCCCACCAATAAGGTCATTCAATTTTTGACAAACCTAAAAGAAATTTAATGGAGAAAGGATAGTCTTTTCAGTAAATAGTGTTAGAACAATTGCAAAAAATAAAATAAACCTCAACCTTAAACATTTTACAAAACTCAACTCCAAATGGAACATATATCTAAATGTAAGATGTAAAACTACAACACTTTTAGAAGAAACATAGGACAGAATCTTGACCTGGAATCAGGTAGAGTTCTTAGACGTGACACCGAAGCATGATCGATCAAAGAAAAATGTGATAAATGGATAACTTTGCTCCATAGAGCAAAGTTAAAAACATTTGCTCTATGGAGGTCATAAGAGAAAGAAAAGGAAAAGTACAGATTAGGAGAAAATATTTATAAAACATATGTATGACAAAGGATTTGTATCCAGAATATAAAGCACTCTCAAAACTAAAAAATATTTGCACATAAGCATTCATATGAGTACCTATTTTTAATTATTTTGGCTATATACTTACAAATGAAATTGCTGAGACATACGGTAATTCTGTGTTTAACTTTTTGAGAATTTTGAGGCATTTCACTGGGATTTTGATAGGGATTGCCTTGTATCTGTAGCTTGCTTTGGATAGTATTGACATCTTAACAATATTAAGTCATCCAATCCATGAACATGAAATGTCTTTCCATTTATTTATGTCTTTCTAAATTTATTTAAGCAATTTTTATAGTTTTCACTCATCATGAAGTGCATTTTTCAGATTTGTAGATAAACTTATATTTGCCATCTGAAGATTACTGCAGAAATTATTATATATGGTTGATATACAATACAATGAATCTTTAGGCTCCCAAGGTATTAGATGAGTTTAAAGTGACCAGAATACTGACACTAGGAACAAATAGCTTGATGATTCAAATTTTTAATTATATTAATACTTTTTTCAACCACCTACTAAAGGCCAGAACAGTGATTGCACTAGGCATTTGAGATTCAGTGATAAGCAAAAAAGAAGTCACAATCTGTGCTTTCATAGAACTTACAGTATTTACAGTGTTTACCATGTGATGTCGTATGCATAAAAATAGGACATAGTATCACAATAACCTTGGCTCTCCTGATGCTTAGAGATTGGTCCGTGAGCCCCAGAATCTGGATCACTGGTTGGACTATGGTGCCTTCTGCCTCCTAACTGAAGACAACATCAAAGCACAAGAGTGTTTTCAGAAAGCCCTTTCCCTCAACCAGAGTCATATCCACAGGTATAGGTGGAAGGGAGATGAGGAATCAGTGGGAAGGAACAGATAAGTTTCTACGTGAAATTGTCTTGGTTCCATAAATGTGACATGGGACCGTGTTGTTAATCATGTTGGTGATCTTTTCTCAGCTTGTTGCTGTGTGGTGTCCTGGCTGTCCTGTTGGAGAACTATGAGCAAGCAGAAATTTTCTTTGAGGATGCTACTTGCTTGGAACCAACTAATGTTGTAGCCTGGACTTTACTTGGTAGATATTTTCTTGTAATCTGAATGTGTTTTCTCCCCATTATAAGATTTTCCCTTTTTCCTTTCTCTTCTTCAATGGCTCATCATGTAGTTCTTAAACTTTGGTAAAATATGGGAAAAATAAGTGAAATACAATTCTTTAGTATATGATAGTGGGAAAATAGTCATATGTATTTCAACATTTTTCTTTCCCCAGGTTTGTACTATGAAATTCAAAACAATGATATTCGAATGGAAATGGCATTTCATGAGGCCTCCAAACAGCTTCAGGCACGGATGCTTCAGGCACAAGTAACAAAGCAAAAGAGCACTGGTGTAGAAGACACTGAGGAAAGAGGGAAGAGAGAATCTAGTTTAGGCCCTTGGGGAATCACAAATGGTTCTGCAACAGCAATCAAGGTGGAAGCCCCAGCAGGTAGAGCCAGGGAATAGAGGTGAAGAGTGGCTATTAGAAAAATTACTGCCAGGTGTGGTGGCTCACACCTGTAGTCCTAGCAACCTGGGAGGCTGAGATGGGAGGATCACTTGAGCCCAGGAGTTCAAGGTTGCAGTGAGCTGTGATCATGCCACTGCACTCCAGCTTGAGTGACCATAATCCTATCTCTAAAACAAAATTTAAAAAATAAAAAGAAAAGTACTGGCCCTAAGAACAGAAGCTGGCACATGGTAGGCACTCAGTAAATATTTGTTAAATGAATGAATACATTGAGTTTGAGTTATTTCAGGGATACCAGGAAAAACTCTGAACTTCTAAATATTTCCTCATTCATATGATTAGTGGTCTGAAACTTCTACTGTTGAGATTCAATTGTTTTAATCTTAGAGAATTTACTGTCTTTAAAAGGGGCACCATTCTAACAGAGTAAATTTCATTTTTCCCCCCTCACTTTTCTCTCTACCACATAGAGTCCCTCTCTTATGATTCTCAAATGTATTTATTTATGTACTCCCTTTCCCCTGCTGTTCTGTGATTCTCTTTTCCTCCAGTCATTCTGTGTGGTATGTGTGTTTTTGTTTGTGTGTTCCTTGCATGTGTGTATTATTATTTTGTGTGCCTACATTTTTTAACAGTTTGAGGTGTAATTGACATTTCAAAAACTGCACATATTTAATATGTACAATTTGATAAATTTTGACATATGTACACAATCAAGAAAACATCACCACAATCAACATAATGAACATATTCATTGTCCCTAAAATTTTCCTCATGCCCAGTTGTGGGCATCTCTTTCTCTTGCTCCCATTTCCAGACAACTACTAGTCTACTTTCTATCATCATAGATAAGTTTGCATTTTCTAGAATTTTTGAATTCTAGAAAACACCTGGAATTTTCTAGAATTTCCAGAATTAAATAGAATCACACAGTATGTACTCTTTTTTATCTATGCATAATTACTTTGAGATTTAAACATGTTGTTGCTTATATCAATATTTCATCCCTTTTTATCGCTAAGTAGTATTCCATTGTATGGATATACCACAATTAGTTCATCCATTCACCTGTTGATAGATACCTGTGTTGTTTTTAGTTTGGAACTATTAAAATAAAACTACTATGGACATTCATCTACAAGTCTTTTTTTTTTTTTTTTGAGATGGAGTCTTGCTCTGTCACCCAGGCTGGAGTGCAGTGGTGAGATCTTGGCTCACTGCAACCTCTGCCTCCCAGGTTCAAGCAATCCTCCTGCCTCAGCCTTCCAAGTAGCTGGAGCTACAGATATGTGCCACCACACCTGGCTAATTTTGTATTTTTAGTAGAGATGGGGTTTCACCATGTTGCCCAGGCTGGCCTCGAATGCCTGACCTCAGGCAATCTGCCTGCCTCGGCCTCCCAAAGTGCTGGGATTACAGGCATAAGCCACCACGACCAGCCTCTTGTTATTTTTAATATGGATTTTGTTAGTAATTACCCCATTCAACTTGCATTTTGTTTATTTGCATCCTTTGCCTTTTTCTCTTGATAAGTCTTGACAAAGGCCTAACATAATCTTTTCAAAGAACCAGGTTTTGGTTTTGTTACTCTTCTCTATATATGTTATTTAAATCATTGATTTGCCGGGCACGGTGGCTCATGCCTGTAATCCCAGCACTCTGGGAGGCCGAGGCAGGCGGATCACAAGGTCAGGAGATCGAGACCATCCTGGCTAACATGGTGAAACCCTGTCTCTACCAAAAATACAAAAAATTAGCTGGACCCGTGGCACAGGCCTGTAGTCCCAGCTACTCAGGAGGCTGAGGCAGGAGAATCGCTTGAACCCAGGAGGCAGAGGTTGCAGTGAGCCAAAACCGCACCACTGCACTCCAGCCTGGGCAACAGAGTGAGACTCCATCTCAAAAAAAAATAATAATAATAAATAAATTAATTAATTATTGATTTATGCTTCTAAAGTTTAAGTATGTCTCTTTTTTTGAGTTTGAAATGTTGCTCTTTTTCAGTTGATGTTCATCATCTTTATGTAATCATAACAATTTTTTGTTGTAAAATCAATTCTATTAGCCTGGATTTAATATAAAATAGAGCCTGAGTCAAGAATTTAATGCTAATACTTTAATTAGAAGAGTTAATTTCAGAACAGGCAGAGTGAGGAAAAAACAGTAAGAGAGGCAACAAAGGATATGAACCAATGTAAGGTGACACCTTATGTCTACATTGGCCATTTCATTATGATAAACTGCAAAGAATGCAGCTGGTTGCTTTGCAGGTAAACTTGCTTAGTCTTGTGGGACATCTCCAAGCATTCAGGCTATATAGGGAAACCATGACTGAATAATATGGGAAGGAAGAAGGAAAGAGAATCTGTTATTTTGTCTCTTCTCTTCCGCTGGTCAAAATTAATCACCTGTGGAGTTAATTGGACCCATACTTCCAAGTTCTATAGTCTGGTCCATTTGGTACCTGCTTGAGAAGTCATATGCCATACCCTAAAGTGTAGAATTCTGTCCAATCCAGAAGTGGTGGGAAGAGCCAGGAACTCAGATTATGTGGCTGGTTGAACTAACTGTCCTACCAAGGGGTCAGGGAGGGCCTGGCTCTCTTTGGTGAAGAAATAAGTAGTTCCTAGGTAGTAGGACTCCATGAACCCAAGTGCTGGCAGTCAGCCTTAGCAGCAGGACTGTGACTGGGCCTCTCATAGAGAAGTAGTTGCCAAAGTGCCTGATACAGAGCATGCACCTGAGGGTCTATGGCATTGACAGAACCTGAGATATATTAGACAGGTAAGACACATCAATATCAATGTTTATATTATTATTTCTATAAACATACTATTCTCTGCTGAGCCACTTTCTGTATTTTTTTGTTCTTTTATAGCTTTATTTTTCCAAGAACTAAAAATTGCCTAATTTATTCAGAAAACTTAGTATTCTGTGTTCCTTTTGCCTTTTTCCCCCGCATGCTTCAAAAGTATTGTCAAGTGCCCATCAATGTTTTTGATATGTTTGGCCGGGCACGGTGGCTCACACCTGTAATCCCAGCACTTTGGGAGGCCAAGGCGGGTGGATCACCTGAGGTCAGGGGTTCCAGACCAGCTTGGCAAATATGGCGAAACCCGTCTCTACTAAAAAAACAAAAATTAGCTGGGTGTAGTGGTGGGCACCTGTAGTCCCAGCAGCTCAGGAGGCTGAGGCAGGAGAATCACTTGAACCTGGGAGGCAGAGGTTGCAGTGAGATCAGATTGCGCCACTGCACTCCAGCCTGGGTGACAGAGCCAGACTCCATCTCAAAAAAATAGTTAGATGATAGATAGATAGATAGATAGATAGATAGATAGATAGATAGATAGATGTTAAAATGCATCAGTCCATTTTTCCCCCCTAGAGATATTTCTTCCTCCAAAGCCTTCTATCTTCCTTCTTCAGTTCTCAGTGCTTACCCTCTAGGCCTGATGGGTAACTCTTCTCCTGGGATGTTCCTTTGCTGTGATTCTGAAAATCTCCTTTAACTTCAAGATGCATCATTTCTTGGATTCTGTGCCTTCCTCTTTCATACTTTGCTTCCTCATTTTGGTGGAGCACATCCTCCAGAAGCTTCCTAAGAAAAGTATGAGTAATAAACATATTGAGGCCATGCATGCATAAAATAAGTTTATTCTACAATACACATTAATAAATAATAAAATAGAAAAAATATATTTGCATATATCACCTAGGATTAAGAATATTTTCCTACATAATCAAAGCATCGTTTTTTCATACACATAAAAATGTGGTCATGTACCACATAACGTTTCAGTCAATGATGAATCACATATGTGACAGTGGTCCCGTGATATTATAATACTGTATTTTTACTGTACCTTTTCTATGTTTAGATACACAAATACTTACCATTGTATTATAGTTGCCTCCAGTATTCAGTACAGTAACAGCCTGTACACATTTGTAGTGTAGGAGCAATAGGCTCTGAAATTCCCATTTCATCACTTTTATTATAGTTTACTGTTCTCTGATTAAATTCTTAATCTGACCTTTATCTTCTTGATCACAGTGACTACTGTTGGGAACAGGCCCCCAAATCTGGCCATAAACTGGCCCCCAAACTAGCCATAAACACAATCTCTGCAGCACTGTGAAATGTTGTGATGGCCACAACGCCCATGCTGAAGGTTGTGAGTTTACTGGAATGAGGGCGAGGAAACACCTGGCCCACCCAAGGGGGAAAACTGCTTAAGGCGTTCTTAAACCACAAACAATAGCATGAGTGATCTGTGCCTTAAGGACATGTTTCTGCTGCAGATAACTAGCCAGAGCCCATCCCTTTGTTTCGGCCCATCCCCTTGTTTCCCATAAGGCATACTTTTAGCTAATCCATAATCTATAGAAACAATGCTTATCACTGGCTTGCTGTCAACAAATATGTGGGTAATACTCTGTTTATGGCTCTCAGCTCTGAAGGCTGTCAGCCCCAATTTTCCACTCCACACTCTATATTTCTGTGTGTGTGTCTTTAATTCCTCTAGCGCCACTGGGTTAGGGTCTCCATGACCGAGCTGGCCTTGGCAACTATAAAGTTTGTGTCCCAACCTCCTGTGGCACTATTTATATTTTCTCTCCTTTTTATTTGTTTTGGTTCATATTGTCAGGTATCCTTGTGTGTCTGGTTATTTTTAAATCATATATAGGACACTCTGTTGGTAAACTAATTTAGTTTGAGGGATCAAGAGGATTTTTTTGTTTGTTTGTTTGTTTGTTTTTGAGACGGTGTCTCACTCTGTTACCCAGGCTGGAGTGCAGTGGTGCGATCTCGGCTCACTGCAAGCTCCGCCTCCCGGGTTCACGCCATTCTCCTGCCTCAGCCTCCTGAGTAGCTGGGACTACAGGCACCCGCCACCACGCCCGGCTAATTTTTTGTATTTTTAGTAGAGACGGGGTTTCACCATGTTCGCCAGGCTGGTCTTGATCTCCTGACATCATGATCCGCCCGCCTCGGCCTCCCAAAGTGCTGGGATTACAGGCGTGAGCCACCGCGCCAGGCCAAGGATTTGAAGATGACTTATAATTCCTGTGAAGGCCTATTTCAGTTTCATCCTTTACTCTTAGAGTGTAGCTCTTTGGTATCTCAACTCAAATTCCTTCTGGTGGTCATTGTCTACCAGTGTCTGCCATACACATCCTTGAGAGTCAATCAAAAGTAAAGTTGAGCCTGCCAGACTCTCAGTCTCACCCTTGAAACTCATATACCCATGCAAGAAAATATAGTTTCAGGCCTGGAATGGTGGCTCATGTCTGTAATCCCAGCACTTTCGGAGGCTGAGATGGGTGGATCACCTGAGGTCAGGAGTTCAAGACCAGACTGGCCAACAGGGTGAAACCCCATCTCTACTAAAAATATAAAAACTAGCCAGGTGTGGTGGTGGGCGCCTGTAATCCCAGCTACTCAGCAGCCTGAGGCAGGAGAATTGCTTGAACCCAGGAGACAAAGGTTGCAGTGAGCCGACACGGTGCCACTGCACTCCAGCCTCAGCGACAGAGTGAGACTCCGTCTCAAAAAAAAAAAAAAAAAGAAAATATAGTTTCAAATGATGAACTGAAACCCTGGGTTTCTGCATTTCCTAGATGTGAGCTTAGAGAGTCTATCTGGTTAGCTCTCTGGTATATTCAAGCATGTTTTAAAAATATATATTTTGTTCACCTTTTCTGGTTGCCCTCAGTGGGAAATTGGTCTGAATGACCCAGTCAATAATTGCCAGAAGCAGAAGTCCTTCCCATCTACTTTTCTGTCCTTCAAAGGTTTTTTGATATTTCTTGTAGTTTACTTTTCCTCTTCTGTTTTCTTCATCTTTGTAGGTTTATACATTTTAAATTCTCATTTTAGTGAGATTTTCGAAATAAGAATAAGGAAATATATATACATAGCCTATCTACTCTGTTTAACTGGAAGTCTCCATCTTCTTCATCTAGACTCATAGCCCATGTCCAACACATTCTTCTGTTGGTAATTCAAAATAGCCCAATCTCTTGCCTGCCTTAATTTAACCTAGTATTGTATTTCTCTACTTCCATATATCACTAATGGAGCAATGTACATGTGTTCCATTTAATTTGTCTCAGTTTCTTATATATCTAATTTGCCTACCTCTTGTAATTTAGTTTCCATTCTATCAGCTGAAATCACATTTATAAGACTAATGTTCAATTTACAGTAATGGAAGCAGCATGAAGTGGTGTGGCAAACCCTCTTACAAGTTGCAAGTATAAAATATTTTTTAAAACAGTAATTTGAAAGTGGGCCATCTGGTCTCTGTCATAAATAATCAACTCTGCTAATGTAATGTGAAAGCAGTCATAGATGATGCATTTAAAAATGGATGTGACTGTGTCCCAAAACAACTTTTATATATATATATATATATATATATATATATATATATATATATATATATATATATATATATATATGTGGCAGGTCATATATGGCCCATAGGCTATAGTTTGCAGCTCTGTCTTAACAGCAACCATTAAAAAAAAACCACAATTACATATACTCTAATACACTATAGATAAGTCAAAATGGGATACTAAAAAATGTTCGCATAATTCACAGGAAGGCAGAAAAAGGAAAATAGTAGAATAAAAAGCAGAGAGAACAAATAGAAAACAAATACTAAAATGGCAAACTTAAATCCTAACATAAATAAATACTATGGTAGGCTAAACAATGGCTCCTCCAAAGATGTTCATGTCCTAATCCCTGGGACCTGGAACTGTTGCCTTATATAGCAAAAGAGACTTTGCAAATGTGGTCAAGAATCTTGAAATGGGGAGATTATCTTGGATTGTCTGGGTAGGTCCAATGTAACCACAAGGGTCCTTATATGAGAGATGCAGGAGAAGTCACAGACAAAAAAAAAGACAATGTGATAACGGAATCAGAGGGCTAGAGAAAGATATTTGAAGATGTTATGCTTCTGGCTTTGAAGTTGGAGGAAAGGGGCTACAAACCAAGGTATATAGGTAGCCTCCACAAGCTGAAAAGGCAAGGAAATAAATTCTCCCTTAGAGCCTCCAGAAGGAGCTAGCCCTGTCAAATCTTGACCTTAATCCAGTGAAACTGATTTCAGACTTTTGGCCTTGAGAACTATGAGATAATATGTTTGTGTTGTTTTAAGCCACTAAGCTTGTAGTAATTTGTTACAGCAGCAATAGGAAACTAACATAATTACATTCAATGCAAATGGTCTAAACATACAAATTAAAAGACATAGACTGACTTTAAATAATAATTTTTAAAACCTCAACTATATGTTGTGTACAGGAACCTCATTTCAAATATAATGATATAGGCTGAGTGTAGTGGCTCATGCTTGTAATCCCAGTGCTTTGGGAGGCTGAGGTGGGAGGATCGCTTGAGGCCAGGAGTTTGAGACCACTCTGGACAACATAGTGAGAACCTGTCCCCCAAAATCCACAAACAAATATAGTGATATAGATAAATTAAGCATAAAAGGATAAACAATAAGAGCTTATGAACCAATAATAGTAAGCTGGAGTAGCTGTGTTAATAATGGACAAAGAAGACTCCAGAGCAAAGAAAATCAATTGAGACAAAGAGAAACATTAAAGAACAATAACAGGGTTAATTCACCAAGAAGACATACCAGTTCTAAGTGTGTTTGCACTAAACAACACAGCTTTTTAAGATAATGAAGCAAAAACTAACAGGGCCGAAGGGAGATGCAGACAAATTCATACTTAGAGTTGGGTGTGTCTCACCCCTATCTCCGTATTTGATAGAACCACTAGACAGAGAATTAACAGAATATAGAAAAATTGAACAGCACCATTAACCAGTGGGATCCAATTGATATTATAGATCACCCAACAACAGCAAGGTACACATTCTTTCAAGTGCACATGGAACATCACCAAGACAAACTATATCCTAGGCAATAAAACTGACCTTAACACACTTAAATGAATTGAAATCATACAATGTATGATCTCAGACCATGACAGAACCAAACTAGTTATCAGTAATAGAAAGATAACAGGAAAATCTGGCCAGGTGTGGTGGCTCTTGGCTCACGCCTGTAATCCCAGCACTTTGGGAAGCCAAGGCTGACAGCTCACTTGAAGTCAGTAGTTTGAGACCAGCCTGGCCAACATGGGGAAACCCTGTCTCTACTAAAAATACAAAAATTAGCTGGGTGTGGTGGTGCACGACTGTAATCCTAGCTACTTGGGAGGCTGAAACAGGACAATCACTTTAACTCCGGAGGCAGAGTTTGCAGTGAGCTGAGATTGGGCCACTGCACTACAGCCTGGGCAACAGAACAAGACTCTATCTCAAAAAAAAAAAAAAAAAAAAAAAAGATAACAGGAAAATTTCTAAACACTTAGAAATGATCAACGCATATCTAAATATTCCTCTAATGAAAGATGAAGTCACAGGGAAATTTGAAAATTTGAACTGAATGAAAATAAAAATATAACTTATTAGCTGGGCATGGTGGCTCATACCTGTAATCCCAGCACTTTGGGAGGCCGAGGGAGGCAGATCATCCTAGGTCAGGAGTTCAAGACCAGCCTGGTCAACATGGTAAAACCCCTGTCTCTACTGAAAATACAAAAATTAGGCGGGTGTGGTGGTGCACACCTGTAATCCCAGTTACAGGGAGCCCCATGCAGACCCTGTTTTAATGTCCTTTTGGCAGCAGACTGTTGTTTTGTACCATACATTCAGATCTCTAAGCCAGTGTAGAATCCATCATGGTTTGGTGTGGCCCGCCTGGGACTATGATATTGGCATAGTTTTTTTTTTTGTGTGTGTGACATTCATGTTTTGTGATGTTCATTCCTTTCTCTGAATCCTGTCATTGTGTTCTTGCAGCTGTGTGACATGAGTGGTGCAGTTTTGGATATGTGTGAGGGGGATTTTCAGGGTAAGCTGGCCCTGGCCTTGCCCCTCCACCCCGATAGCTAGCCAGGCCAGCTGCCCAATCCTCCCCTCCGCTCCTCCTCTCTGCATGTGGCTCAGGCCATCCGCATGGCTGCTTCGTTCTCCAGCCTTCCCCAGCCTTCCCCAGCCTTCCCCAGCCTCAATATGGATGAGTTGATCCATGAGCTTATTTGGCTTTGGGGGATCCCTGGCTTCTTTTTATTTCTTTTCATTAGGAGGAGCTGGGGGAGAACCCAGTCAGCCCCTTTTCCCCACCTTCTCTTTCACTAGAATCACGTCGGTATGTCCACAAGTACCCAGTGTTTAGCTTCCATTTATAAGTGAGAACTTGCAGTATTTGGTTTTCTGTTCCTGCATTAATTCACTTAGGATAATGGCCTCCAGCTGCATCCGTGTTGCTGCAAAAGACATGATTTTGTTCTTTTTTGTGCTGCGCAGTACTCCTTGGTGTATATGTACTGCATTTTCTTTATCCAGACCACCATTGATGGGCACCTTAGCTAGATTCCATGTCTTTACTACTGTGAATATTGCAATCACATGTGTCCTTTTGGTAGAAAGATTTGTTTTATTTTGGATATATACCCAGTAATGGGATTGAAACTCTATATTCAATGACATAACATCGGTAGTTTGAAATTGGCCATGGTAGGAGAATTTACGTCATGGAAATCAGCAAACCAGGCTCCACCCACACCCCTGACAGCCAGCAGTTAAACATTTACCATCTCATCACTAGATATATAGGAAAACTTCAAGTATTTGGAAATATACACTTCTAAATAACTCACAGGTCTCCAAGGCAGGCAGATCACTTGAGGCCAGGAGTTTGAGACCAGCCTGCACAAAATGGCAAAACTCTATCTCTACAAAAATTAAAAAAAAAAAAAATAGCCAGGTGTGGTGGCATGTCTGTAGTCCCGGCTACTAGGGAGGCTCACGTGGGAGGATCACGTGAGCCTGGGAGGTTGAGGCTGCAGTGAGCCATGATTGTGCCACTGCACTCCAGCCTGGGTGACAGTGAGAGTCTGTCTCAATAAATAAATACATACAGATCTAAATAAATAAATAATCAACCCACAGGTCAAAGAAGAAATCACAAAGGATATTAGAAAATAGTTTGAACTTAATGATAATGATAGCAAAACAAAGCAAAATGTGTGGAATTAGCTAAATTATTTTCTAGAGAGAAGTTTATAGCTGTAAATGCTTATATTGGAAAATAAGAGAAGTCTAAAATCAATGATCTAAGATTCTACCTTAAGAAGCTAGAACAAGAAAATCAAATTAAACCCAAAATAAGTAAAAGGAAGGAAATAATAGCCCAGAATAGAAATCAGTGAAATAGAAAACAGACAAAAATAGAGACAATCAATGAAACCAATAGCTGTTTCTTTCAGAAGATCAATGAAACAGATAAATCTGATCAGGGAAAAAAAGAAGTCACATTACCAATATCACAAATGAGAGAGAGGACATCACTGAAAATCTTATAAATATTAAAAAGTTAATAAGGAGAAGTTATTAACAACTTAATGCCAACAAATTTAACAACTTAAATGAAATGTATGAATACCTTGACAGACATAAACTAACAAAATGTACTCAGGAAGAAACAATCTGAATAGCCCTATATCTCCTAAGGAGGTTAAATGGGTAATAAAAACCTCTCACAAAGAAAACTTCAGGCCCAAAAGGCTTTATTAGTGTATTCTATTAAATATTTAAGGAAGAAATAATTCCAATCATACCACATGTTCAAAAAATAGAGAAAAAGAGAACACTTACAAACTCATAATTTGAGAACAGTAATCACCCTGGTATCAAAACCAGACAAAGCCATCCCAAAGAAAGAAGAGTACATACAAATAACTTTCATAAGCCTAGACACAATACTTATTTATTTATTTAATTTTATTATTATTATTCTTTTTTAAGAGACAAGGTTTTGTTATGTTGCCCAGGCTGGTCTCAAACTCCTAGCCTCAAGTGATCCTCCCACCTCAGCTTCCCAAATAGCTGGGATTATAGGCATGAGGCCCCACACCTGGTTAGACACAATAATTCTTAACAAATATTAGCCAATCAATTTCAGCAACATATAGAAAAGATATATTTAAGCAGGGTTGTAAGATCAGTTTCACATTTGAAAATCAGTGTAATTTATCACCGGGATAGCTAAAATTAAAAAGATTGATAAGACAAATTTATAACAAGGATGTGGAGTAGCTGGAACTCTCAAACATTCCTGGTGAGAATGCAAAATGGTGTAACCACTTGAGAAAACTGGTAAGTTTTTTCTTTTTTTTTTCATATACTTACATGGCTTTCCAATAAACGGCAATTTTTAAAGGTTATTTTTCTTTTCTTTTCTCTTTTTTTAAGACAGAGTCTCGCTGTGTTACCCAGGCCAGAGTGCAGTGGCAAAATCATGGCTCACTGCAACTTCTACCTCCAAGGCTCAAGCAGTCCTCCCACCTCAGTCCCTCAAGAGTAGCTGGGACTACAAGTGTGCAACACCATGCCTGGCTAATTTTTGTTTTAGTAGAGATGAGGTCTCACTGTGTTTCTCAGGCTGGTCTTGAACTCCTGAGCTTAAGCAGTCCTCTTGCCTCAGCCTCCCAAAGTGCTGGGCTCACAGGCGTGAGTCACCTCGCCCAACTTCTTATATTTATTTATTTATTTATTTATTTATTTATTTATTTATTTATTTATTGAGACAGAGTCTTGCTCTGTCGCCCAGGCTGGAGTGCAGTGGCACCATCTGGGCTCACTGCAAGCTCTGCCTCCCGGGTTCACGCCATTCTCCTGCCTCAGCTTCCCGAGTAGCTGGGACTACAGGCGCCCGCCACCAGGCCCGGCTAATTTTTTGTATTTTTAGTAGAGATGGGGTTTCACCGTGTTAGCTAGAATGGTCTTGATCTCCTGACCTCATGATCTGCCCACCTTGGTCTCCCAAAGTGCTGGGATTACAGCTGTGAGCCACCACGCCCGGCCCCAACCTCTTATTTTTTTAATTGATATATAGTATTTGTACGTATTTATGGAGTGATATTTTGTTACATGCCATTTAAAATGTGGAATGCTTCAGGAATCTGTGAGTCATCCTTGTGCAGGGGCCATGCTAATCTTCTCTGTGCTGTTCCAATTTTAGTATGTGTGCTACTAAAGTGAGGACGAAACTGACAAGTTTTGAAATAAGCTTAAACATACATACACATGCCAGCAGTTTCACTCCTATTTTTTTTTTTTTTTTTTTTGAGACGGAGTCTCGCTCTATGCCGAGGCTGGAGTGCAGTGACGTGATCTCGGCTCACTGCAAACTTCGCCTCCTGGGTTCACGCCATTCTCCTGCCTCAGCCTCCCGAGTAGCTGGGACTACAGGTGCCTGCCACCGTGCCCGGCTAACTTTTTGTATTTTTAGTAGAGATGGGGTTTCACTGCGTTAGCCAGGATGGTACTGGATCTCCTGACCTCGTGATCCACCTGCCTCGGCCTCCCAAAGTGCTGGGATTACAGGCATGAGCCACCGCGCCCGGCCTCACTCCTAGATCTTAACCCAACTGAAACAAACGTATCCTTGCAAAGATCTGTATGTAAATGTTTAAATAAAAAGATTTATTTATTTTTTTAATAACTTAAAATAGGGATCTGTTTGATATTATGACTTGGACTAGCAGCATGGTTGTACTGGGGAGTCACAGTGACAGAAACTGTTTTGTCAGTTTAGCTTATACTCTTTAAATTATTAAAAAATATAAACAAGTCTACCAAACAAGTCTGTCCTTCATGAAATATTTAGGGAATATGTTTCTTATGCTTTGCAAAATGTATCTCTTACAATAACCTTTAAACACCCAATGTAAGAAGTTTTATTTTTCATTAAAATGTAATCTATTTAGGACCAGGAGCTGCATTATCTATTCTAGACAAATTTCTTGAAGAATCCTCCAAACTGCAGTCTGATTCACAAGAACCCATTTTGACTACACAAACTTGGGATCCAAGTATAAGCCAAAAACCATCTAACACATTTATCAAGGAGATACCAACAAAGAAAGGTAACTAGAAATAAAGATTTCCACTTGGAAGAGGGGCATAAGCTAGACAAGGATGAAGACTCTTACGATGATGAAATGGCAATCCTGACTTGTTTGAAGTTGATAACCAGGCTCTGAAATCCAAACTCAATGGTGTAACTCTCTCAGTAAGCAAGGATTTTATATTTAGCTCACAGAAGTAGCCAACTACAGATCTATGATTTCCTAACAGTTCTTCGTTTTTAAAAAACATCTACAAACTGTGTTTCACATTCAAGAAGATCTGAATACCTTTTTAAACCTTTTTATTTGGTTGTACTTGCATTTGGAACCACAAGTAGATTTACCTTGAGAACCTTTGAGTGCTCCTTTTTGGGGACCATTGCTAGAGAGCAGTCAATTGCTTTCTAGATTATGATCCCTCTCATGTATTAGATAAGAAGACTCTCCCTGCCAAGTGAATAGTGTCTGAATTTTTTTTTTTTTTTGAGATGGAGTCTTGCTCTGTTGCCAGGCTGGAGTGCAGTGGCGCAATCTCGGCTCACTGCAACCTCTGACTCCTTGGTTCAAGTGATTCTCCTGCCTCAGCCTCCCAAGTAGCTGGGATTACAGGCACGTTCCACCATGCCCAGATAATTTTTGTATTTTTAGTGCAGACGGGGTTTCACTATGTTGGCCAGGATGGTCTCGAACTCCTGACCTCGTGATCTGCCTGCCTCGGCCTCCCAAAGTGCTGGGATTACAGGCGTGAGCCACCGCACCCACCCGAATGTGTCTGAATTTCTGACACTTTTTCTGTTATATCCAATCTTCAATCCTTTTAATGTAATATTTTCAGAAGCATCAAAATGTCAAGATTCATCAGCTCTTCTGCATCCCGGCCTTCATTATGGTGTTTCTCAAACTACCACCATCTTCATGGAGACCATACATTTCTTGATGAAAGTCAAGGCTGTGCAGGTCAGAGTATTTGGAAAAGGGCAAGTAGATGGAAAGATTTTAGCAAACTCTTTATTCTATCCATAATGGTATCTTTCAAGCTTCCATATTTGTGAAACAGAAATCAAATATGCTTTTGAGAGCATACTTTAAGCCCAATGGAAAGAACATCCAAACATGAACCACTCTTTGCACATGGCAGCAGAAGACCTCGCTGCAAGTTCTGCTCCCTGTAGAATACCAACAGAGCTAAATCAGACTCTAAAGGCATATGTTGCCTGATATCACTTTATTATGGGAATTCATTTTGTGAGTGTTGGGGGTTCACAGGAGCCAAATCATTCCCTTCTTCCCTTCTAGGTTAGATCCAACTAGAAACATACACAGTACTATGTGGGGGAATAAAAATATTAGCTTATTTTTATTGGTAAAACTTGGCTGGACAACATAACTAGCCCCACATTTGACTTACCCATGCAGTCACAGGTAGAGCAGCTGAAGAATTGAAGCCTCCTCTCAGAGAAGAAGAGCATTCTAGGAAGTCTGCCTATTACATGGGAAGAAAGAAGCATATTCATGAGCAAGCAGTAGGAGAGATCAAGACTCAGGAGCCAGGAGTGTTTGGTTTTGATCCTGCCAAGTGCATGCCCTACTCAAGGGCAGGCAAGCTCAAGAAAGGGCAAGAATTATTAACTGGGTGGGATTGAGCCACATTAAGCAGGAGGCTTTAACACATTAACCCTCCGCAAAATAGAAACAGACTCTCTTCTTCCACAGCTAAATAAGTCATTAGCTCCCCCAGGTCAGAGACCCAGAAGGCAGGTGGAAAAAATAGCTGCAGCTGTTCCCTCTAGTATTCTCCTAAAAAGGTGTAAGTATAATGTAGAATTTTCTACATTATAGGCTGAGATGGGAACAGTGGGAGATGAAAAGAAGGATTTACCCTCGACTTAAGAAGTATATCTAACTTTGTTAATTTTGTAGGTCTTATAAAGTGTAAAAAGCAAAGATTTGGCCAGGCATGGGGCTCACCCCTATAATTCCAGCACTTTTGGGAAGCCAAGGCAGGAGGATTGCTTGAGGCCAGAAGGCTGCAGTAAGCAGCCCTGGGTGACAGAGTAAGACCCTGTCTCTAAAAAAAGAAAAAAAAAAAAACAAAATACAAAAATTGACCCAAACTACAAAACTGGTAAACATAACCAATGTTTGGAGGTGGATCCAAAACAGACATTTATGTTTCTAAGATTTCAAGTCTAGATTGTTAGAAAGGCAGTTTTACCTCACTTAAGTTTCCTTACAATGTCAGCTGCCTGAAAATGTTACCTCCTTTGTAAATGGGGTGGTTGATGATGTGCCTTTGTCTGCTGCATAATACATGCAGTCTAACACTCACCTAGTATGATGACCAGCAAGACCAGAATTGTACAATATTGCAAGTTATTCACTTGGTAATGTCTTCATTTGGTGACTAGGTGAATAGCTGGTAATGGAACTATGAAGTGCAGAATGTTTGTAATTCACCCTTTACCTTTTGAAGTTGAGGATAATTATTTCATTCTGTAATACATTTCGTATTATTTATTATCAGAGACAGAATCCTTCAACCGAAAAAGACGCAATGCAGCCATTTATATGTTGCTTATAATCTGATTATCCTTGCAGTATGTGCACAGAGTGCTTGCACATGAGCTGTTATGCCCTCAAGGAGGCCCCAGCTGTGAATATTACTTGGTGCTGGCCCAAACACACATTCTTAAGAAGAACTTTGCCAAGGCAGAGGAATACCTTCAACAAGCAGCCCAGATGGACTACCTGGTAATGACTTTTGCTAAAGCCTCTTGAGTCTGGAGAAGGGGCTTTATTTAAAGGTGGTGATGCCATATCACACGTAGATTTCTGGTGAACAGAAGGGTGGTCATCAGCTGTCAGTAAACTCATCTCTCTATACCCTTCCATTTGCTTTTCTTAAGTAATCATGAGTTGGCTGGGCGCGGTGGCTCACAACTGTAATCGCAGCACTTTGGGAGGCCGAGGCAGGCAGATCACGAGGTCAGGAGTTCAAGACCAGCCTGGCCAACATAGTGAAACCCCATCTCTACTAAAAATACAAAAAATTAGATGGGCGTGGTGGCAGGTGCCTGTAATCCCAGCTACTCAGGAGGGTGAGGCAGGAGACTCGCCTGAACCTGGGAGGCGGAGGTTGCAGTGAGCGGAGATTGAGCCATTGCACTCTCCAGCCTGGGCGACAGTGCAAGACTCCATCTCAAAAAATAATAATAATAAAGTAATCATGAGTTTTGCAAAGAGCAGAGAAAAGGATATCTTTAGCTGATAGTGTTTATTTCAATTTTTCTAGATTTCTTATATTTTCTCATGTGAACAGTATTGGGGTTATGCTTGAATGTTTTTCTTAATATTTACTCCACACCCAAAATGGCTTTGAAGAATGCAAGAAAGAAATCTGAGGGCAGAGCTAGAAAAATGTCTCCTTGTACAATTAAATGGTTATGTTTCTGAGTGCTCTTAGAAAAAGAAAACGGTTGATCTGAAAAAGAAAAGAGAAAGGAAATGGACAATCTATCTAAATTTAAATGTTAAACAAAGATCATCAAGGTACTTTTAAATACTACCTTATCCCATATACTACTTGCTTTTCACTTTCCCAGAACCCCAATGTCTGGGGCCTGAAGGGCCATCTCTATTTTCTGAGTGGAAATCATTCTGAGGCCAAGGCATGCTATGAACGAACCATTAGCTTTGTAGTGGATGCTTCTGAGATGCACTTCATCTTCCTGAGACTGGGGCTCATCTATCTGGAAGAGAAAGAGGTGAGGGGTAGAGAATGGGGAATAACCCCGTGGTCTGGGAACTAATTGTAATTCAAGCATTAACATCTATCTGTGTGGACTAAAACTAGTAATATAATAATGACACTTTTACATCCAAAGGTAAAGTGACTTGCCCAACATCAGACAACCAGTAATTAGTGGAAGCAGCATTCAAACTCAGGCAGGCTGAAACGAGAGTCTGTGATTTTAACCATTATGCTACTAAACAGTTCTTAAGAACTCAGTAAATGTTATGCTAGCTAAAATTGTATTCACAGTAGTAGAAACATCCTTAGCTTGACTTACTTAACAGAAGGTATCATGGGCTTCAAAAGGACTTCTCTCCAAACTTTCTCCTAAACACAAAGGGTTATATTTAATCTGGTTGAGGCTAACCCCATTCCATAGGGCGCTCTGACCTGACCATGGAAGCAGTCCCTCCCCATATTTTGGGAAATATTCCGAGTTCTTTGGAAAAACAAAACCTTTCTTTTATGGAAAATTTCAGTACATACAAAGCAAACAGAATAGTAGAATGAAACACCATGGACCCATCATCTCACTATAACAATTATCAACATTCTGCCAAAGGCCTTTTGACTCCCCTGCTTTTGTTTTGACTTTATTCTATTTTTCCCGTCAGAACACCCAGTTGTCTTTTTATTTAATATAAAACAGCAACAGCAACAAGAAATTACGATGCTGTATGATGTTAAGTGGAAAGCTCACATAGGCTTGAGAGAAATCCCTATCCCACTGTAGTGAAGTATATAAGGAGAAGTTTTCTTTCTGATGTCATTGAAAGCTGCATCTTCAGAGCACTGCTGACTTAGGCAGACCCCGGGCAAGCAGGTCTTAGGCTGTTTGCTGAGGCTCAGCTATAGATGTATCTCATGTTGGAGATACAGGACAAGAAATTGTCCCTTCAGGGCTATGTCCTTTGAAAGTTTGTCTTCTGAGTTTTTCTAAAATTCTAAGATCTTTTACAACAAAGGTGTAAAATGATGAGGCTGTATCAAGTATACCTTTTAGTCCAGAGATTGTATGTTTGTCATGCCACCACATGATGTTGCATTTAAGTGAAAGGGAGTAATCCATGAAGTGGAGGTGGAATTCAGATAATCATGATGGTTGCCCCCACTTTCAGTGTAACTCCTTGCCTCAACTCTTACAGAGACTATAAATGTCTTTGGAACTACTTCCAAGTGAAAGTCTGCTCTTTCATGTGATCTATCCATCTCCTCTCACCAATCTTCTTGCGATAACTCCCTTAAGGTAGACGTCAAAGTACAATTAAAGGACTTGCTTAACTTAGATTGTTCTGGAGAGCAATTATCAGAGATCCCATGATCATCCCAGCAATATGGGGTTTGAAGCTTCTAGAACAGTAGCTTAGTGGTGCTTTCTTTCTACAGTATGAAAAGGCAAAGAAAACCTATATGCAAGCCTGTAAGAGATCACCTTCATGCCTTACCTGGCTAGGACTGGGAATCGCCTGCTATCGGGTAAGAGGATGAAGGCTTGAGACTAGGGCTGTGGATACAGCTGACCTTGATTCCTTGGCCTTCCAAGCATCCTGGGGGTTTGTGATGACATTGGAATAGCAATCAGGGCTGTCTGCTGTAATGAAAAGTTGTTCTTCAAAGGTGTTCAGTGAACTGAAGGTCACTTAACTAGCTAGAAAAATAAAAGATCTTTTTAAAAAATCCCAGAAAAACCTGAACCAAGAAGCTACATAATAAAAAAAATTCATGTTATTTGGTATAGACACTCCTTTGTGATATTATCTGTAAGAAAAAGGTGATATGGGAGATGAAGAATCTATTCAAGTCAATTAAAGAAATTGATTGACACTTACTAAGCACTGTGACCCTTTGATATGCAGGAGGAGTTGCTGTAACTTCTGGCAGAAGCTTTTGCTCTGCTTCTCCTAAAAACTCTTTACTTAACCTTCCCTCATTTCCTCCAGTCTTCAAAGAGGCAAACATCCTCTTGTTCCTGCCTAATTTCTTCAGGCATATTATTGACTCCATGTCTCTCCCTTTCTTTGAATAGCTTACTCACTTATTTATTTATTTATTTATTTATTTGAGATGGAGTCTCGCTCTGTCTCCCAGGCTAGAGTGCAGTGGTGCAGTGGTGTCACCTCAGCTCACTGCAACCTCTGCCTCCTGGGTTCAAGTGATCCTCCTGCCTCAGCCTCCTGAGTAGCTGGGATTACAGGTGCCCACCACCATGCCAGGCTAATTTTTGTATTTTTAGTAGAGATGGGGTTTCACCATATTGACCAGGCTGGTTTTGAACTCCTGACCTCAAGTGATCCACCCCAAAGTGCAGGGATTACAGGTGTGAGCCACCTCACTTAGCCCCTCATTGCTGTTTTTCAGCCATAAAGATAATATGTGTTCATTATAGAAACTTTAGAAGAAGCCAGGAGCAGTGGCTCACACCTGTAATTCCAGCACTTTGGGAGGCTGAGGCTGAAGGATCTCTTGAACCTAGGAGTTTGAGAGAAACCAACCTGGGCAACAGAGCAAGACCCCCATCTCTACAAAAACATTAAAAATTAACCAGGCATGGTGGCATGTGCCTGTAGTCCCAGATACTTGGAAGGCTAAGGTGGGAGGATTGCTTGGTGGGAACACAGAAGTTAGAGGCTGCAGTGAGCCATGATTGTGCCACTGCACTCCAGGCTGGGTGACAGAGCAAAACCTCACCTCTAAAAATAAATAGACAAATAGATACAAAATATGAAGAAAACATTAAAGTATCCGTAACTCCACAAGTTGGTGATAACCACTGTTAACATTTGAATGTACTTTCCTCCCGTCTTTTTTCATATATATGAAAGCAATTTTAATGTATAAAATGTAAATATTTACTGCTTTGTAACCTTTTTTCGACTTAACAGTATAGTATTGGTATCTTCTTATAGCTCTGTCACCCAAGCTGGAGTGCAGTGGCGCCATCTTGGCTCACTGCAACCTCTGCCTCCTGGGTTCAAGTGATTCTCCTGCCTCAGCCTCCTGAATAGCTGGGATTACAGGCATGTGCCACCACACCCAGCTAATTTTTGTGTTTTTAGTAGTCACAGGATTTCGCCATGTTGGCCAGGCTGGTCTCAAACTCCTGTCCTCAGGTGATCCTCCCACCTCGGCCTCCCAAAGTGCTGGGATTACAGGCGTGAGCCACCGCACCCGGCCTGTGTTTTGTTTTTCACACATCTGTCAGTGAGCCCTTTGAGGGCAGATATTGTATTTTATTTATTTACTTGAGACAGGATCTTGCTCTGTCACCCAGGCTGGTGTACAGTGGCTCAATCTCAGCTCATTGCAATCCCTGCCTCCGGGGCTCGGTTGATCCTCCTGCGTCAGCCTCCTGAGTACCTGGGACTACGGGATTTTATTTTTTTACTCCCAGCATCTAGCATACTGCCTGACACAGAGCAAATCCTTGGCAAATGTAGGTTGATTAAATAATGAATCAATGTCTCAGAGACTTCAAAGTGTGGGCCAAAGTATGGGTGTGGGTGAAAGGCCATCTCTTGTCTTTGGCCTAGAAACCCATTATTTAATTATTTTAAAGCAGAAAAAGTAGGCTGGACACAGGTGGTTCATGCCTGTAATCCCAGCACTTTGGGAGGCCAAGGTGGGCAGATCACTTGAGGCCAGGAGTTTGAGACCAGTCTGGCCAATGTGGTGAAACCCCGTCTGTACTAAAAATACAAAAATTAGCTGGGTGTGGTGGTGGGCACCTGTAATTCTAGCTACTTGGGAGGCTGAGGCAAGAGAATCGATTAAACCTGGGAGGCGGAGGTTGCAGTGAGCTGAAATCATGCCATTGCACTCCAGCCTGGGCAGTACAGCGAGACTCTGTCGAAGAGAAGGGAAGGGGAGGGGAGGGGAGGGGGAGGGGAGGGGAGGGGAAGGGAAGGGAAGGAAAAGAAAAGGAAAAGAAAAGAGAAAAGAAAAGGGTGGCTGGGGAGGGGAGGGGAGAGGAGAGAGGAGAGGAGAGGAAAGAAAAGAGAAAAGAAAAGAAAAAAGAAAGGAAAAAAAGAGCTACTTTACTGGGGAAGGGAGAGCCTTTTGGAATGTTTTACAAAGCAACAAAGCAAACTCACAGTTTTAGGAAGCAGCAACAATTTCCACGTGCCCAGAGCCCAGAGTGCACCCTAGAGTTTCTGAATACTGCATTGATTGCTCGGGATTGGGCTGTTAATAACTGATACTAGGGGAAAGAAAGCTTTCTGGACAATAGTATTTCAACAGGCAAATCAGATTTTTACCTCAAGAAAAGGATGCACAATGTAAAGAAAAAAAACTATAAATGTATCTGACAGCCCACTGTGTGTGGAGAAATCACTGAATGATGCACACATGAGAGTGAGTTCCTGTGGATTTCCAACCTTGCACCTGAAACTCCATGGTTTATAGATGTCCTGATGGGACCGCTGTAGAGGGAAGGAAGAAAGGGGTATAAGTTAAGAGCTTACTAGGCAGGGCTTCAGAATCCCCGACCTGGCTTTTTAATCAGAGCTCTTCTACTTTTAATTGGTTCATATATTGAACCACCACATAAGATTTCCTTTGAAGAAAAGAGTTCTGATGCTAAAAATATTAAAAAGTTGAAAACCATTGGTATAGGTCATATACACCAGTATTATTGGGACATAGTGGTTTCAGCTAAGCTAACTCACATGTCTCATTTTTCTGTCAAGCTGGAGGAGCTCACAGAGGCTGAGGATGCTCTTTCTGAAGCCAATGCATTGAACAACTACAATGCTGAAGTATGGGCATATCTGGCTCTGGTCTGCCTGAAAGTGAGTGTTTATTATCCTTACACAATGCCCTTTTAGGGCACAGAGGTGAGGGGTCAAGTAAGCAAGGGGCAGCAGATGGCCATTAATGCATGGTAGCTGAAATCTGATAAGCTCTAGGTGTAATCATTATGCTGATGACAAAGGAAGGGCCAAGTCTGGGCAGGCTGTACTTGGAACATGCTTAAAAATAATATATTTAGGTGTGTTTCTCTGGAAAGGAAGTTCTAAAAATAGGAGCAATATTGTATCACAACATAAACTAGGTCACAGATTGATGAAGGAGATGTTCTACTAGTGTTTCTGAATCATTTCTTCCCATTGAAATGCTGGCTGAGGGTGCTTGTCCTTGATTTAGATGGGATATTGGGTGGAGGGTAATGTGGGAGTTCATGATAGGTGCTTTACCTATTAAAAATAACTCTCCCATAGTTAGACTTAAATAACTTGCGTATCAGTCTAAGATCACATTGGGAATAACGACAGTAGCCCTCAGTTTTCCACTGGACAGTATGACACCAAATTGGCAGGGAGTATTATTATAAGAGAAATGAACCAAACAAAAATTACTAGATTTTCTCTTTAGTGTAAATATCCCAAATATCAACATTTTAAAAATACCTGAGGTCTGGCTGGGTGTAGTGGCTCACGTTTGTAACCCCAGCAATTTGGGAGGCTGAGGCAGGTGGATCACTTGAGCCCAGGAGTTCAAGACCAGCCTGGGGAACATGGCAAAACCCTGCCTCTACAAAAAATTAGCCAGGAATGGTGGGGAGCGCCTGTGGTCCCAGCTACTTTCGAGGGTTGGGGTGGGAGGATCACTTGAACCTGGGAGGCAGAAGTTGCAGGGTGCTGAGATTGTGCCACTGCACTCCAACCTGGGTGACAGAGTGAGACCTCGTCTCAAAAAAAAAGAAAAAAAAGAAGAAAAACAAATAAAAAGAGTTCTTACCCCAGCTCTCCCCTAACTAGCTCTAGGATCTGAGGCAAGTCACCTAACTTTATTGGGCCTCAATTTCCTCATCTTTAAACTAAAAGGGCCAGTATGGAAGACCATAATATACTTCTCTTAGAAATTGATAAGTCAAATAGGAAAAAAAATAGGATATATATACAGATGTATAACCCATTCAACAGGTTTGAGTTCAAACACCAATGTAGAACTCTTCACTTAACAATGAGAGGACACATATTCTTTTCAAGTACAAATGAGTTATGTATAAAGGTTGACCACATGCAAAACCAGAAAGAGGGGTTCAACAAATACATACAGATCACATGGCAGTAAAATTATAAATCAACAACCAAAATAAAGCCCAAAAGACTCATATACCTTTGGAAACTGAAAACATGCTTGTAATTAATTAATAAGTCAATGAAGAAACCTTGTGACACTTCAAATATGAAATCTTTTGTGCTAGGTAGAATTCTAAAGATGGCCCCCTCCCCTAAGATTAATCTATTAAACACTAATGTAGGTACTGCTGTAAAATGATTTTGCAGATGTAAATAAAATACCAAATCAGTTGACATTAAAATACAGAGATTATCTGGGTGGACCTGACCCAGTCAGGTAAGTCTTCTAAAAGCAGAGAGTTTTCTCTGGTGGTGGGGGCAGAAAGGATGTCAGATTTGAAACATAAGAATCATTCAGTATAGCATCTCTGGCTTGAATATGGAGAAGGACCACATGTCAAGGAATGTGGGTGGCATCTAGAAGCTAACAGCAGCCCCTGCTGAGAGCCAGCAAGGAAACAGGGACCTTATAGGAACCTATAAACACAAAGAACTGAATTCTACCAACAAACTGAATAAGCTTGGGAGTACATTCTTCTCCAGAGCCTGCAAATAAGAACTCAGCATAGATGACACCTTGATTTTGGCCTTGTGAGACCCTAAGCAAAGAACTAGTTGAATAATGTCAGGCTTCTGATCTATGGAAAATGTGATATGATAAATGGGTGTTATACACAGCAGTAGAAAATTAGGCCTTATAGTAGATTTTTATAATAATGATCCCCATTTAATTATGCTGTCATGTCCACATCCTTTGCAATGTTATGTTGCCACTCACTCCCATCAAGAGACGGAGTCTCTTTCTCATTTCTCCACCCCCTTGAATCTAAGCTAAACTTGTGACTTTCCCTGACCAGTAGAATATGGTGCAAGTGACATTGTGTGAATTCTCAGAGGTTAGGCTTTTAGAAGCCTTCAGCTACCACTCTTGAAACTCTGGGACCACTGTGCTGTGAAGAAGCCCAGTTTAGCCTATAGAAGGCTATAGTAGTCCACATGGAAGAGAACTGAACCACTCCAGCCAACAGCCAACATTAACTGCTATTTGAGTAAGGTTTTCTTGGATCCTTCAGTCCTAGCCAAATTGTCATATGACCTCAGCTGCATGAGTGATCTCAGGGAAAACCAGCAAAACAGCCCAAATTACCTGTAGAATTTTGAGAAATAACATATTATGTTTTAAGCCATTAAGTTTTGGGTTGGTTTGTTATACTTCAGTACATAACTGAAATGAGGCTGAATAAAAACAAAGCCAATATATATTAGAATTATGGGATAAAATTAAAGCAATAAATAGAGGGTAATTTATAGCCTTAAATACATATGTTAGAAACAAAGATTGAAAATCAATGAATTAATTTTTAAATAAATAAAGTAGTAAAGGGAAAGCAAGGAAACTCAAAGAAATGATAATTGAGAAAATGATAAGGAGTAGAAATAAATGAAAATTTCAACAAGGACATAATAGGATTAACAAAATTATGAGCTGTTTTTTGCAGAGACTAGTGAACAGACAAACCTCTTGCATGACTAAGAATTTTGTTTAAAATGGAAAGACACAAATAATATTAGCAGCAAAATGGAGACTAAATTAAAATCATAGGCTATTCTTATTCTATTAATTATTTTAAAAACTAAATCATTGGCTAAAATTAACACCCATTCATGACTTTTTAAAAAAGCAAACTAGCTTTTTTAAAATCTGAAACTACATGTCCCAAAATCTAAACTATTATATGAAATGGTGAAAAGTTAGAAGCATTCCTTTTGAAGTCAGGAACAAGATAAGGAAAATGTTATCGTCACTTCTACTTGAAACTATACTGGAGGTTCCATTAAGGCAATAACACATATACATACACACATAAAAGAAACTGAAGGTAAAAGGATTAGGTAGGAACCCAAGAAAATCTACAAGCAAACTGAAATATGTAATAAAAGAGTTCACTACTGAAATGGTAGATAAAAAACTAACAATGATGGTTACTAGTCAGGGCAGTCATTGGGGAACAGGGTGTATAGGGAGACGGGTGGAAGCAAAACTCATTGTATGCTTTATTATATCCTTTTGACTTTTGAATAATATAAATTTAGTCAATGAAGATTAACGCAAAGAAGTGGATGGACAAAGTTGCTGGATAAAAATCAATATAAAAATCAATGTCATCAAAATCAGGAACAATCAATTTGAAAGTCTGATTTTTAAAATCCCATTCAAGACCTGTGTGGGGAAAATCATAAAACTTTATTGTAAAAGAAAATCTAATAGAAAGATATACCATGTCCATGGGCAGGAAGTTCTGATGACATAAAGATGAAAGTTTTCCCTAAGTTAATATCTAAGTTTAAGGCAATTCCAATAAAAATAATAACATAATATTTTCAAGGAACTTGATGAGATAAATCCTAAAATTCACTTGGTTGAATAAAGACCAAAAAAAAAAAAATAGCTATGACAGTATGAAAGAAAGAGTAAGAGTGGCTTTCCTATTAAATATCAAGCCTTATTATGAAGCTGCAACAATTAACACTGAGTGCTATTAGTGTAAGAGTAGGTAAGTGAAACAATTGGCAGACAGAAATAGACTGACATATATATGGAAACTTAGGTTTTGAGTAGATGGTATTTAAAAGTAATTGGAGTTTTCTAGAAATTTACCATGATGCGCTTCCTCTAGCAATTTGAAAATGAGCGTGCGCAAGTTATTAATTACAGCATTATTGCAATTGCAAAATAATGGAAACAACCTAAATGGAGTTCATTTATTAAACATGGGAGAATGTCTAAATAAACTATAGTATATTCACATAATGGAATACTATGCCCCTGAATAAAAATAATGAGGAAGATCTCTATGAACTGATGTGGAATGATTTTCAGTTTATATTATTAAGTAAAAAAAGTGAAGTGCAAGATTATACCACCTTTTGTATAAGAGAGAAGGAAAAAGAAGAAAATATACATGAATCTCTTCTTCTTCTTCTTTTTTTTTTTTTTTTGAGATGGAGTCTCTCTGTTGCCCAGACTGGAGTGCAGTGGCGCGATCTGGGCTCACTGCAAGCTCCGCCTCCCAGGTTCACCATTCTCCTGCCTCAGCCTCCCCAGTAGCTGGAACTACAGGCGCCGGCCACCACGCCCGGCTAATTTTTTGTATTTTTAGTAGAGACACGGTTTCACCGTGTTAGCCAGGATGGTCTCGATCTCCTGACCTCGTGATCCGCCCATCTCGGCCTCCCAAAGTGCTGGGATTACAGGCGTGAGCCACCGCACCCGGCCGAATCTCTTCTTTAGTGCAAAAAGAAGCAGAGGAAGGATAAACCGAGATTAATGAGAGTAGATTCTACAGGACATGAGTGGGCATGGGTAGAGGAGGGAGGAAATGAGAGGGATGACACTGTGATGTCCCTTTTTGTAGAGTTCTGACTTTTGGGACAATGCTAATGTTTCGTATATTTTTTAAAAAAGAAAATCAGCAAGAAATGGGGAGACCACATAATTACGTACAAACAAAACCAAATAAAATTGTATTTCAAATGAATAACGTAATTAGACTGACAATGCAGAAAAATAATTAACTCATGGTACTTTTGAAAACATTCTTTGCAATGTAGACTAATACATACTATATATCAGGCTAAAGAGAAAAAACCTTTATACACATTTTAGAGTATAGTTTTAGGCTTCATTTTTGCAAAGTCATGAGTTAGCAGTTCTGAAATTACTAGGTATTCTATGATTTAACAAATAATTATGTTGTGGATAATGGGAGTCACATTTTTCACTGTGCTTCAAAGGAAGTTACAAATGTGGAAACAAGAAGGATAGAATGACCTTGTAGTGGTGGATTAGAATGGGAGATACTGATAAGAGCTCATTGTTTGATAGATTAAATAGATACAGGTATAAATAGGTATATAGAAATATATGTGTATTTATAGAAATATATTCATATGTGTCTAAATACCTGTGTCTCAAAAATAAATAGTGGTGGCAGGGGGCATAAGCACATCTAATGCTCAGGTCTTGGTTTCTAAATCCATTTAAGAAACTAGGGCATTTGTCCAGTTTAGAAGGAAAGGGTTTGTGGGGGGACCAGAGGCTTCTTGGAAGATGGCCAAAATTCCAGAACTAGTGCATGGAAAGTAAAAGATGAGTCTGAGATCTTGTTGAGTCAGAAAGTAAAAAATGTTCAAAGAAAGACTGGCACATATCAAAACAGCATAGGGAAAAAATAAAACAAACAGAAACTAGCTTGAAGTGGGGACACCTGCTGGCTAAAACAAGGATAATTTGAGCATCCAAATAAATAATTTGTAGAAAAGGATTACAAATAAGAATCTATGAGCCCACAGTGATATAATTAAACAAATAAGTGGTAGAGAAAGGAAAGCTTACAGTCAAAGGCCAACTGCTAAATGTATGAAGAATGATGGAATTGGAAAATCGCAATTTGGAAACCATCATAATAGATTCAGTGGACAATCATCAATGTATGCTAAAATTATGGTTGAAAAGTTCAAGGAGTAAGAAAATATTTCATAGTCTCAAAGTATCTCCCCACAAGATACTTATTAATTACAAAGGGGAAAATAGTAACATTAGAGTAGAAAAACCTGGCAGATAGCAATGTAATAAATGATCAAAGTTAACATCACAAGTATTGAGATAAGCAGCTTGTGCTTCCTGATATGGTGCACTGAGAACAGAACATTTTTATGGTATTCCTGTTAAAAGTTCATAACCTGATATGATTATGAGGGAACATTAGACAAATATGAATTGGGGAATAGTTTACAAAATAGTGCTCTATTTTTAAAAAATGCCAGTGTTACGAAACACAAAGACTCAAGAACTATTCCAGATTAAAAGAAACTGGAGACATAAATAATAAATACAATGCATGATCTTGGATTTATTTTCTCATAAAGACATTATTGGGCTGGGCGTGGTGGCTCATGCCTGTAATCCCGGCACTTTGGGAGGCCAATTGAGCCCTGGAATTTAAGAACAGCCTGGGCGACATAGTGAGACTTTATCTCTACAAAACATTAAAAAAATTAGCTGGGCATGATGGCACTTGTAGTCCCAGCTACTTGGGAGGCTGAGGTGGGAGGATTGCTTGAGCCCAGGAGGTCGAGGCAGCAGTGACCTGTTCACACCACTACACTCCAGTCTGGGTGATACAGCAAGATCCTGTCTCAAATAAATGAATGAGTGAATGAAGAAATGAATGAATGATATTATTGGAACAATTGGAAAAATCTTGATAAGGTCTATAGATTAGATAATAGTATTCTATCTATACTAACTTCCTGATTGTGATAATTGTACTGTGGTTATAGAGGAGAATATCCTTGATTTTAGAAAACACACTCTGAAGTATTAAAATTGAATCATATCTCTAATTTACTTGCAAATGTTCAGGAAGAGTTAGGTGTGTGTTTATGTAGATAAACACACACATATATACTTTAACTTTTCTACATATTTTTAACTTTTCTATATTTTTCTAACTTTTATACACACACACATACAGTAATCCCTCCTTGTTCCCCAGGGATATGTTCCAAGACCCCCCAGTGGATACCTGTAACAAAGGATAGTACTGAATCCTATATATACCATGCACGAATTTCTTTTTTAAAATAATTATTAAAAATTTTTTTCTAATAGCCCACAGGTGCTACTAAATATGCACAATTTCTTTTTCCTTCTTCACATTTTCATGGATAAAAGATAAGTTCATTATACAGATCTTAGCAACCTCAGCATACATTTTTTTTCTTTCCTGATTAAGTCAAGAGCTTTCACCTTTTCATGAAAAGGAAGCACTTTATGGCTTCTCTTTTGCATATCCAAATTGCCAGCATCACTACTTTTGTGCTATGAGTCCATTATTAAGTAAAATAAGGGTGGCTTGAATACAAGCACTGTGAGACCATGACAGCTGATCTGATAACGGAGAGGGCTATGAAGTGACTAACTGGCAGGTAGCGTCTACAGTGGGTATATGCTGGACAAAGGGATGACTCACATCCTGGGAGGGATGGCACAAGATTTCATCAGGCTCTTCATAATAGCAGTGTGCAATTTAAAACTTATGAATTGTTTATTTCTGGAATTTTCTATGTAATATTTTCAGATCTTGGTGGGCCGAGGTTGATCTTGGGTAAGTGAAGGTGTGGAAAGCAAAACCTCAGATAAGGGAGACTACTGTATATGTATTATATATATACATATATAATATATACATATATACATATATAATATATAATATATACATATATACATATATAATATATACATATATACATATGTATACATATATACATATGTATACATATATATAATATGTATACAGTACATGTATTCTTTCCTGAGAGAAGAGAGAACTGATTTTGTAACTTTTATTTAATCTGAAATTATGTCCAAAAAATTTTAAAATACCCCTTAAAATAATGCAGATTGACACCGCACTACACACCCACTAGAATAGCTTAAATCAAAAAGATAGGCCAGGCATGGTGGCTCATGCCTGTAATCTCAGCACTTTGGGAGGCTCGAGCAGGCAAATCGCTTGAGCCTGGGAGTTTGAGACCAGCTCGGACAGCATGGTGAAACCCCATCTGATATATTTTGGCTGTGTCCCTACCCAAATCTCATCTCGAATTGTAACTCCCACAATTCCCACTTGTTGTGGAAGGAACCAGGTGGGAGCTGATTGAATTATGGGGGTGGCTCTTTTCTGCACTGTTCTCCTGGTAGTGAATGAGTCTCACAAGATCTGATGGTTTTAAAAATGGGAGTTTCCCTACACAAGCTTCTTTTTGCCTGCTACCATCCACGTAAGACGTGACTTACTCCTCTTTGCCTTCCACCATGATTGTGAGGCCTCGCGAGCCACTTGGAATTGTGAGTCCAATTAAACCTCTTTCCTTTGTAAATTGCCCAGTCTCTGGTATGTCTTTATCAGCAGCATGAAAACTGACTAATACAGTAAATAAAAAATACAAAAAAATACAAAGATTAGCCAGGGGTGGTGGCATGTGCCTGTAGTCCCATGTACTTGGGAGGCTGAGATGAGAGAATCACCTTTTCCTGGAAGGTTGAGGCTGCAGTGAGCCCCTGTGATGGCACCACTGCACTCCAGCCTGGGTGACAGAATGAGATCTTGTCTCAAAAAAAAAAAAAAAAGATAGACAATGCCAAGTATTAACAAAGATGTGGATAAACTGGAATCCTCGTACATTACTGGTAGGGTTGTAAATTGGTACAACCACTTTGGAAAACAGTTTGTCAGATTCTTAAAAAGTTACACATATTTACCATATGTGCCAGCAATTCTACTTCTCTATATCTAGCTAAGAGAAATGAAGACATATGTCCACACAAAAATTTGTATATGAACTTTTATCACAGCATTTAATAATAGCACAAAACTGGGAACATTTTACATGTCCATCAGTGAATGGGTAAATAAAATGAGGAATATTTATACAATGGAGTACTACTCAGCAGTTAAAATGAAATTCTGATTCATGTAACAATATGGATAAATGTCAAAAATATTATGGCAAGTGAAAAAAGCAAAGCACAGAAGACTATATATTATTTGATTCTATTTATTTGAAATAAGGAAAATAGATCAATGGTTGCCTGGAGCTAAAGGTGAGGATGGAGAGTAACTGCAAACAGGCATGAAAGAACTTTTTGGAGTAACAGGAGTCTTCTAACACTGGATTGTGCTGATGCTTGCACAACATAACGTTAAAATTAGTGAATTTTATGGTATGTAAGTTATGCCTTAATATAGCTATTTTTTTATAAAGACACTATATAGCACCTGCAAAATGAGAAACAAATGGATTCTTCACTAAATGGTGATGGGACAACTGGCTACTATCCATATTAAAAAAAAAATTAGTTCCTTACCTCACACATCACACACAATTCCAACTGGTTTAAAGACCTAAGTTTTTTTCTTAAGAGACAGGGTCTTGCTCTGTTGCTGAGGTTGGAGTGCAGTGCAGTGGGACGATCCTGGGCTCAAGGGATCCTCCTGTTTCAGCCTCCTGAGTAGCTGGGACTACAGGCATGCACCACCACTCCTGGATAATTTATTTTATTATGTGTAGAGCAGAGTCTCACTATGTTGCCCAGGCTAGTCTTGAACTCCTGGCCTCAAGTAATCCTCATGCCTCAGCTTTCCAAAGAGCTGCAATTATAGGCATGAGCCTCTGTGCCCAGCCCTAACAATCTAAGATCTAAGTCCTTTTTTTTTCTTTTTTTTTTGAGACAGGGTCTTGCTCTGGTACCCAGGCTGGAATGCAGTGGCAGGAACACAGCTTACTTGCTGCCTCGACCTTCTAGGCTCAAATGATCCTACTGCCTCAGCCCCCCAAGTAGCTGGGACAACAGATGTGTGCCACCATGCCTAATTTTTTCATTTTTTGTAGAGACAGAGTCTCACCATGTTGCCCAGGCTGGTCTTAAACACATGGGCTCGAGCGATCTTTCCCCCTCAGCCTTGCAAAGTGCGGGGATTACAGGCATGAACTGCTGCACCCAGCCCTGTGCCCATTTTAAAATCAGATTGTAGAGTTTTTTCCTTATTGTAGCAGCTACTTATATAACCTGGATGCTAATCCTCTATTAGTTATAAATTCTGCCAATATTTATAATAAGTCCTTAAACTTTATTTTAGTGTCATTTGTTATACATGAGTTTCCAACTTTAAAGTTGTGGGAAAAATCACTGGAGCCTGGAAGGTTGAGGCTGCAGTGAGCTGTGATTGTGCCACTGCACTCCAGCCTGAATGACAGAGCCAGACCCTGTCTCAAAAAAGAAAAAACAAAGGAGGGGGAGGGGCATGGGGAACAATATAGGAATATGCAGTTTGCTAATGTGGAGATTGTAAAAGTTAATACATGTATGAGAAGAAGCTCTGTGTCACTAGTAAGCATAAGAATGCAACTTAGAATAATGATGTGGCAGAAATTCACAACCATCAGATTGGCAAAAATTAAAGTATGGTATTAGCACTTATTGGGGTAACCAGCCCCCAATATTTCAATGTAGGTTTTTTTCTATTTTCCCTAAGTGTCAGCAGGTCTGAGAAATAAAGGGAAAGAGTACAAAAAGGAGAAATTTTAAATCTGGGTGTCCAGGGGAGACATCACACATCGGCAGGTTCCGTGATGCCCCAAGCCACAAAACCAGCAAGTTTTTATTATGGATTTCAAAAGGGGAGGGGTGTACGAATAGGGTGTGGGTCACAGAGATCACATGCTTCAAGGGCAATAAAATATCACAAGGCAAATGGGGGCAGAGCGAGATCACAGGACGAGGGCGAAATTAGAATTGCTGATGAAGTTTCATGTCCCACTGGGCACGCATTATCAATGATGACATCTTATCAGGAGACAGGGTTTGAGAGCAGACAACTGGTCTGACTAAAATTTACTAGGCAAGAATTTCCTAATCCTAATAAGCCTGGGGGCGCTACAGGAAACCGGGGCTTTTTTCATCCCTTATATACAACCATATAAGAGAGAGACACTCCCAGAGCGGCCATTTTAGAGACCTACCCCTGGGAATGCATTCTCTTTCTCAGGGCTGTTCCTTGCTGAGAAAAAGAATTCAGCGATATTTCTCCTATTCGCTTTTGTAAGAAGAGAAATGTGACTCTGTTCTGTCCGGCCCTGCAGGCAGTCAGGCCCAATAGTTATTTCCCTTGTTCCCTGAAAATCACAGCCATCCTGTTCCTTTTGGATGCCCAGATTTCATATTGTTCAAACACACGTGCTCTACAAACAATTTGTGCAGATAACGTAATCATCACAGGATCCTGAGGCAACATACATCCTCAGTTTACAAAGATGATGGGATTAAGAGATTAAAGTAAAGACAGGCATAGGAAATTATAAGAGTATTGATTGGGGAAGTGATAAATGTCCATGAAATCTTCACAATTTATGTTCAGAGATTGCAGTAAAGACAGGCATAAGAAATTATAAAAGTATTAATTTGGGGAACTAATAAATGTCCAAGAAATCTTCACAATTTATGTTCTTCTGCCATGGCTTCAGCCGGTCCCTCCGTTCAGTGTCCCTGACTTCCCACAACAAGCACTGATGAAGACTCTCATAATTGTAATTGGATGTAAATTGGCATAACCACTTTTAAGTACAATGTGGCATTATTTAGTTACATTCATATCTACAATTTGGCAATGTCATATCTAGATATAATCCTAAGAAAAATACAAGAAGACACATACAACATCTGTAATCCTAGCTACTCAGGAGGCTGAGGCAGGAGAATCGCTTGAACCCAGGGGGTGGAGGTTGCAGTGCTGAGACTGTGAGAGTGCTGAGATCGTGCCATTGCACTCCAGCCTGGGTGACAGAGCAAGACTCCGTCTCAAAAAAAAAAAAAAAAAAAGAAGGAAAAGGAGAAGAAGAAGAAATGTACAAGGATGTTTACTGCAGCAATGTTCATGATAGCAGAAAAATTATTTTTCAAAATTGTTTTGGCTATTCTGGATCCTGACATCATTTGGGCCTCTGCCTCCCTGTGGCAGGAGGGAAACAAAGTAATAGTGGTAGGAAAGGCAGGTGTGCTGGAAAATGCTGCTGGCAATTCAGTGAACTTCAGTTGGGAACATTTCAAAGTGTAGATTTGGAGGAAGTAAGGGTTTAGGGTGTGAAAGTTTTGTGAACCAGTAAAACTTTCATATGGACTAGCATTAATCAGAAAATTGGACTAGATATTCCCCAGGTCCCCTTCAGACACGAATATTCTGTGGTTCTTACATATTTAAGCTTTACCAAGTGACTTTGCATACTCTAAGTAACTATGTAGCAAACTCAAGAAGTAGAATAGTGGATTCATATTATCTCATTTAACTTCTGGAGGAGTGCTTCATGCAAAGAATAATATAAACTGGTGGGGAGTAGTTAATGTTCTTATCTCATATCCAGATCTTCATAGAAGTAATTCTGATACCTACTTTTTCTAATTCCTAGAGACAGAGTAATGTAGTAGTTAAAAACTTGGACTCTGGAGTCAAACTGCATTGTTTTAAACCTGGCTCCTCTACTTACTAGCTTCATAACCCTGGCAAGTTACTTATCCTCTCTGTAAATTGGGAATAATAAATAACAGTAGTTATCTCCTAGGTCTTGAGGATTAAGAATGAACTTAAATAAAGCACTAAAAACAACATCAATAATGAAAACAATGTAAATCACATAGTACGGAGTGGTAAGTGTTAATTATTATTAACAGAATGGCTTCAGTCCTAAGAGGAACAAATGACTCATGGTGCTTTCAAAAAGGTGAGAGGCCAAGTTATCTTTAAGCTTTTCAAAAGGAAGGAGGAATTTTTTTTCCTTTTTTTTTTTTTTTTTTTTTTTGAGATGGAGTCTCACTCTGTTGCCCAGGATGGAGTGCAGTGGCATGATGTCGGCTCACTGCAACCTCTGCCTCCTGGGTTCAAGCGATTCTCCTGCCTCAGCTCCCCTAGTAGCTGGGACTACAGGCGCATGCCACCACACCCGGCTAATTTTGTGTATTTTTATTAGAGACGGGGTTTCACCGTGTTAGCCAGGATGATCTCGATCTCCTGACCTTGTGATCCACCCACCTCGGTCTCCCAAAGTGCTGGGATTATGGGCATGAGCCACCACGCCTGGCCAGGAGGAATTTTTTAAAAAAAAAACCTTTTTCTCCCTACCACCTTTCATTTGCTAGTTTTTCCTCTCAATTCAGAAGTTCTTAACTGGAAGGTGTAGAAGCCTCTGCCTTAGGTGTAGGTGCCTCTGCCTTAGCTGAGGCAATGTATTTTCCTTACCATAATGTTTATGACCTGTCATCATCACCAACTGCTGCACTTTTTTCAGGTTGGACGGCAATTAGAAGCTGAGCAGGCCTACAAGTACATGATCAAGGTATGACACAGATGCCTCTGTCATTTGCCTGCCCCATGTTAAGGGTGGGAAATTAGGAGGGAGGTACTGGCTTAATTCAGGACTTTCATAATGTGAATATTTTTCTAGAGGCTTTTCTTACCATCTTTGCCATTATCGTGGGGCTGCTGGGTTTGTAATAACAACCTACATATTACCATAGGTGATCTTTCTTCCAGCTCTTTAGAGAGAATATATAATAGTTAATAGAAAGATAGCCTGGGAGTCAGTCAACCTGAATTATGATTCTGGTTTTGCCATTAACTTACTGTGTTAATAATATTGTGGGCTTCATTTTCCTCGTGTAATATGTAGGGGTTGGTCTAGTCTAGGGATCAGCAAACATTTTCTGTAAAGGGCAAAATAGGAAATTTTGGGGGATTTGTAGGCCAAACAGTCTGTTGCAACTACTAAACTCTGCACTTGTAGTACACAAGCAGCTATAGGTGATACATAAGTGAATGGCTGTGTTCCAATACAATTTTACTTACAAAAAAACAGGTAGTGGCCAGGCATGGTGGCTCACGCCTGTAATCCCAGCACTTTGGGAGGCTGAGGTGGGTAGATCACAAGGTCAAGAGATGGAGACCATCCTGGCTAACATGGTGAAACCCCGTCTCTACTAAAAATACAAAAAAATTAGCCGAGCGTCTTGGTGGGCACCTGTGGTCCCAGCTACTCTGGAGGCTGAGGCTCCGTCTCAAAAACAAACAAACAAACAAAAACAGGTAGTGAGCTGGATTGGCTCATGAACAACCCCTGGTCTGTTCTATCAGTTACATATACATATATATTTTGAGACAGAGTCTTGCACTGTTGCCCAGGCTGGAGTGCAGTAGCACGATCTCAGCTCACTGCAACCTCCACCTCCCGGTTCAAGTGATTCTTGTGCCTCAGCCTCCCAAGTAGCTGGGATTACAGGTATGTGCTACCATGCCCAGCTGAATTTTTTTTTTGAGATGGAGTCTTGCTCTGTCTCCCAGGCTGGAGTGCAGTGGCGCAATCTCCACTCACTGCAAGCTCCGCCTCCCGGGTTCAGGCCATTCTCCGCTTCAGCCTCCTGAGTAGCTGGGACTACAGCCGCCCGCCACTGCCCCCAGCTAATTTTTTGTATTTTTAGTAGATAGGGTATCACCGTGTTAGCCAGGATGGTCTTGATCTCCTGACCTTGTGATCCCCCCGCCTCGGCCTCCCAAAGTACTGGGATTATAAGCGTGAGCCACCACGCCTGGCCAAATTTTTGTATTTTTCATAGAGACAGGGTTTTGCTATGTTGGCCAGGCTGGTCTCAAACTCCTGGTCTCAAGTGATCCGCCCACTTCAGCCTCCCAAACTGTTGGAATTACAGGTGGGGGCCAACATGCCTGGCCTGTTCTATTAGTTATGAATTGCAAGTAACTTGACTTGAAAGACAGTGGTTTAAACAAATTAGTTTTTTCTCATCTAATGAAAAGTCCAGGGCTCGTACCGCAGCTCCACAATGTCATCAGGGACCCAAAATCTATCTTTGTGCTCCACCAATTGTAGCCTGCAGTTTCTATCCCTCATAGTTGCAAGACAGCCAGCGTAGCTTACTATCATATTCATGTTTCAGGCAAGATAAAGAACAATAAGGGGAAAAGGAAAAAGGGGCCATGCTACTTCAGTTCCCTTTAAAGGACTTTCCCTAAATAAAGGGCTTCTCCAGGTGTCCTACCCAATGACTTTAGTTTACATTTCATTGGGTGGCAATTGGTCATGACTACCTCTAGCTGCATGGGAAGCAGGAAAATGTGGCTTTTTAGCTGACTGCATTACTGCCTTGAAAAGAAATTAAGATTTTGTTAGTAAGAAAAAATAGGTATTCTGTAGGCTCCTAGATGTCTCTACTACATATCTAGATTCTAAAACTAAAACCAGATCTAATATAAGCCTATGATTTCTGTCTCTGATTCCCTGATATCACTTGCCAGATGGGAATACTATGCATTAGCCAAGAGATGCTGGTAATAATGTGAACACTTTTTAAAAATAAAAAAAGTAAATTTTAATGAAGTTATCTTACAAAAAAATGTACAAATCATGACCGTGCATAGTGCTTGATGAATTTTCACAAAGTAAACATATCCATGTAACCAGGACAAGGTTCTAAGGTCTTCTACTGGAGTTTTCATGAAGTAGGGAAATAGGAAGAGCCAATTCCATCCCAGGGAACTATGTTCTTTAGCCGTAGCCCCACAAAAGAGGGGTCTTCAAAGCCACATAAAGTATATCACGTATGACATATATCTTTCCCTTTCTTCCTCTTTCATGTAGCTGAAATTGAAAGATGAGGCTCTGCTTGCAGAGATCCACACACTACAGGAAACAGTTGGCTTTGGAAATCCATCTTTCTGATACCCCTCCAGCTGAACAATTTTCTGCATGGGACTCTGAGTTCCTTTCCTTCCCAGAGAGTTTTACCGTATGAAGCCTGGAGCTGGAGAACGAAAGAATCTTCACTATAAACAGAGACCCATTCATTTATTTCCATTGGCTGTGTTACTGGATGTTTTACTGGTTGACGAGAAACTGGGTCACAATAAAAAAATGGAGATATGAAACTCAAAATTCATCAGCATGGTTCTGGAGTTAACGTATACTGAGTTACATGTAGGTATTTAGTTATATAAATAACTATAGTGTAATTGCTATAATAATTATATGGCATATATATACATACAATAAAATTAAGGTATAGTGGGGTCATTATTAGGGTTTCTGATGAAAGCTTATTGGATCACTCCTGGAGGAAGTCAGGTGCTAAGGTTTCTGGACAGGTTCAGTTAACTGAAATACAGGAATTAAGGCATCATTTTCAAAGGTGGCCCTGGAGGAAGACTGCTATGCTGGGTCACTGTATTAGGGCAAAGAGCATGCTAGCCCTTTGGAACTAACAGTAAACGAAAAAGCTGAACAGAGAGGTCTTTGCTGAAGGTGGAGCTATTGACACCTTCTCACCAAACACAGGCATCTTCATGGATCTAAACCACTAGGGCTCCAAGGAGACACCGTTACCCTCATCACCGAGGTCATATTCTAGGGCTACAGATAAAAAAAAAAAAAATCATACTTCACCTCTGCCCTGGATCACAGCACGGCAAAAGCAGGAATAACCCCTCCTTTTTTTTTTAAGGTGTGACTGCCTCGATAGGGGTGGGACGACAACAGGAGAAAAGGTGAGAGGTAAATTAATTTTGGTTAACGAGAAGGATAAAGTAAAATCTAGTCACTTACAATCCTTCTCCTAGTCTCGGCCCTGACACTACCTCCTCTGTGAAGTCTTCCTTAGCAAGCACTAGGTTTGCCTTCTCTGCTCGCTGTCCTTGCGCTGAGTACTACTGATCGCGCTAGTTTCTCTGCTGTCATCTCACGGTCTCCCCAGCGGACTGTGAGCTCCACGAGGAAAGAACAGCGCCCTTTAGTATTTGCGTTCTCAGCGTTGCGCCTCGGCACCAACGCTTGCAAGATGGATGGCTTTTGTAGCACTTTCCTTGGCGCGCCTGGGATTCGCCTAAAACTTCTGACTCCAGCAGGGACTCACAAGTCTGAGAGGGATCGCACCGCCACTCCCACAAGACACCACGAGAAACGCCTCTTTTGCAGCAGTTTAAGGTACGTTAGGGGTCACCGTGTTGCATTGTGGGAAGTATAGGGCGGCAAGCGGAGGAGGCGTGGCGAGCGGATCATCCGCTTCCGGAGTCGAGGTTTTCGGGCTTGTACCGCTTGGCGGTGCGGCCTGGTGTCGGCTTGCAGGTTCTTTCTGTGTTTGTTCTCTGCCCTGCCAAGGCCGTAGAGCTGGTGCGTGCGGGTAGCGGGGCTCTCCGAGGAGCCGCACGCCGGCGGCACCATGGTCCACCTCAGTGAGTCATCGGGCCACCGCGAGACGTTCCGGGCGGTCACGGGGCTCGGGAGTTCGGGGCCGGGTGGGGAGAGCTCTCCCAGGCGCGATGGAGGCAACCCGAACCTGAAGCAGCCACACTGCCTTACATTTGATCCTTCTCTCAGTTTTTTCCCCACTTAATCACCGCTGAAAAATTTCCACCCCATTGAAGCAGCTAAGGCTCCGACAAGGTCACAGAGCCTAGTGAATGGCAAGCCCATGCGGGGTGGGTTTGGGTATGAGGAGGAGGTCATTGCTGGCTGGACTGGCCAAGAGGGGTTTCACAAAGAAGAGTAGCATCTAAACTGGATTGACAGGAATGGATTGGAAGTGAGACATTTCAGTGGGAAAAGGGAATTGTGCCGTCTGTGTCATTTTGTCCTTTTTGTGCTGTTTTTTGTGTCCTAACCAGCTGCTTTTCTACAGCTACTCTCCTCTGCAAGGCCTACCGTGGGGGCCACTTAACCATCCGCCTTGCCCTGGGTGGCTGCACCAATCGGCCGTTCTACCGCATTGTGGCTGCTCACAACAAGTGTCCCAGGGATGGCCGTTTCGTAGAGCAGCTGGGCTCCTATGATCCATTGCCCAACAGTCATGGAGAAAAACTCGTTGCCCTCAACCTAGACAGGATCCGTCATTGGATTGGCTGCGGGGCCCACCTCTCTAAGCCTATGGAAAAGCTTCTGGGTAACTCAGCTCTGGTCTTACCTTATTGAGGGGATTTTAAACTGAAGTCAGCTCCAGGACAGTAGGTGTAAGAATGATTTTCGGCTGGGCACGGTGGCTCACGCCTGTAATCTCAGCGCTTTGGGAGGCCGAGGCGGGCGGATCACCTGAGGTCAAGAGTTTGAGACCAGAGTGGCCAACATGGTGAAACGCTGTCTCTACTAAAAATAAAAAAAAAAAATTAGTTGGGCGTGGTGACACGCACCTGTAGTCTCAGCTACTGGGGAGGCTGAGGCAGGAGAATCGCTTGAACCCAGGAGGCGGAGGTTGCAGTGAGCCAAGATCGCGTCACTGCACTCCAGTCTGGGCAACAGAGGGCGATTCCATCTCAAAGAAAAAAAAAAAAGAGTTATTTCATTCCCTCTAGGCTGTTCAGGACTGAAGTGGGAGCTGAAGTTGTGATCTAATTGGCATTTTGAATCTGGAGGCCCCTTTTGTGGACTCCTTTGTAAGACTTTGGGTGACTGGTATTTTATGCTAAAAATAGGAATAGTATGTTTTGAATGGCCATCTGTCAGTTTACGTTTTTTAAAGTAAGGGGAATATTGTTAGGGAAGTAGACATCCACTGTCTCCTTGCCGGGGAGAAGTAGTACAGAGTTTGGCAAGTGAGGAGCATGGTTTGCATCCATGCACTGGGTCAGATCTCAGACCTCAGTTCTGTGAGACAGAGTTCCTAGGGAAGCATTGGCTTATACTGTGTTATAATAAGTGAAAAATCTGTTACTTTTAGGTCTTGCTGGCTTTTTCCCTCTGCATCCTATGATGATCACAAATGCTGAGAGACTGCGAAGGAAACGGGCACGTGAAGTCCTGTTAGCTTCTCAGAAAACAGATGCAGAAGCTACAGATACAGAGGCTACAGAAACATAAATGAGCTGACTTTAGTGAGCATAGCAGTGGGAACAAGGTCAAGGTCCTTTTGAAACACTGCAGCGATCTTAATTTTGTTAGATTTGGAGTTCAATAAATGGAGTATCCTGAGTTGCCCTTGCTCTTCTGGCCTGGCCTGCACAGGGCCCAGGGAGAGATTTGTTCTTGTGTGACTTAGAGCTGGGTGTGGGTACTAATTAGCTTTTTTCGACTTTGTCTTGGGATAGACAGTGGCTATGGGAGGATTGGACTTTTGAGTTGGGCTCTGGGTCTCTTGGACAACTTTACAATTTACTGGCTTCCAAGACTTCCTGCTTCAAAACCCCCAGCCAGACTATTCATGGCCCATTCAGATCTTCATGTTCATCCCACAAGTGCAAGAACAGTTAACCTTTCTTAATTGATTTTTGTAATTGGAGGTTTATATTGTCTTGCCTAATGCATATTCTCTTTTTTTTTTTTTTTTTGAGACGGAGTCTTGTTCTGTTGCCAGGCTGGAGTGCGGTGGTGCAATCTCAGCTCACTGCAATCTCCACCTCCTGGGTTCAAGAGGTTCTCCTGCCTCAGCCTCCTGAGTAGCCGGGGAGCTACAAGCATGCACCACCACACCCAGCTAATTTTTTTTTTTTTTTTGAGAGGAGTCTCGCTCTGTCGCCCAGGCTTGAGTGCAGTGGCGCGATCTCGGCTCACTGCAAGCTCTGTCTCCTGGGTTCATGCCATTCTCCTGCTTCAGCCTCCCGAGTAGTCCCAGGAGTAGCTGGGACTACAGGTGCCCACCACCACACCCAGCTAATTTTTTTGTATTTTTAGTAGAGATGGGGTTTCACCATGTTATCCAGGATGGTTTTGATCTCCTGACCTCGTGATCCGCCCGCCTTGGCCTCCCAAAAGTGCTGGGATTATAGGCGTGAGCCACCGCCCGGGCAAATTTTTGTATTTTTAGTAGAGATGGGGTTTCACCGTGTTGGCCAGGATGGTCTCAATCTGACCTTGTGATCTGCCCACCTCGGCCTCCCAAAGTGCTAGGATTACTGGCGTGAGCCACCACTCCTAGCCTTAATGCATATTCTTAAATATACAAAGGTAGATTTGTTATGAAAATTGCTTTGGGGCTCTAATAACCTACCTTTTAAGAATGAGAAACTGCTGGGCTTAAGGGAGTTCAGTATGAATCAAGATTGAACCATTCAAATGTGGCTGTGATTTCTGCATATATCATAGATGGGATCCTTCTGAGAATACTGGAATAGGGAATTAGGACACCAAGCCAATTCAGCTGTGAACCTTATTCTTGTACTTTTCTTTCTTGCTGGTAATTTTATGGAGCAGGTTAAGAAGGCTGCTCTGTGTTAGGATAAACTGTATACCAATAATGTTGACAACCTGTAATGAGTGTTGCATTTTACTTCTTGTATCTTTTCCTTCCTACCTTGATGCCAGTAATCTATAAGGGATCTTTATAGTTTGAATGTATTTGAATAACTTCAGTATACTTTAGTTCTACTTTTTTATTTGACTCACAACCATTCTTAGGTCTCAAGTATTCCCATGTGTTTTAAAAGCCTGAAGTCAGTGAGATGAAATTCAACATCAAGAATTTGAAGTAACTTGTAAGGAAAAATAATATAAAGATACCATTGGGGCAGTGGCTCACACCTGTAATCTCAGCACTTTGGGAGGCTGAGGTGGAAGGATCACTTGAAGCCAGAGTTTGAGACCAGCCTGTGCAACACAGCAAGACCCCGTCTCTACAAAAACTTAAAAAATTAGCTGGCTGTGGTGTTGCTCACCCATAGTTCCAGCTACTCGGGAAGCTGAGGCAGTAAGATCACTTGAGCCCAGGAGGCCGATGCTGCAGTGAACTGTGATTGTTCCACTACAGTCCAGCCTGGGTGACAGAGAAAAGAAAAAGAAAACATTACATAATTTGGCTAGAGCATAATAATTTGATTTTCTGGTTTTTGAAAATTTGAGTTGCAATAAAAGGATATTTCAGTGTGCGATTTCAATTTTCCGTAGCAAATGTATATATAGAAAAATGTTAAAATAGATGTATTTGAATACCTTAAAAAATACAAGAAACTGGAAGAAAGATAATATTGCAAAGCATCTACATATATCCTAGGCCTTTTGTGTACAAGGTTATTTGTGACAATTGTAAGGTATTATGAAGGCAGGTAGGATTATCTCCGTTTTACAGATAGGGAAGCTGAGGCCTAGAGGTGGAAACTTGCCCAGTGATGTAAGATTCATCTCCCGGTTATGCCCTCCTGGAAAGCCCTTCCCAACATATTATGTTGTCCATAGAGGGAAAAATGAGCAAAGACAGATGGCTTAACTCTGGTGTGTGACTAAGATATAGGAAATTTATAGAGGAGGTTCTATCAATGTGCCGACTTACTTTGTGTTTTATGTTCTGAGAACGATTACCAGCCATCTCAAATTCTGTGGTTGTCAAAGCTCCCCTGGGGTTGTTGCTGGTTGGCCCCCACTTGCTTTGAGACTTTGATGCCAGGGCAGGTTGAGAGGAACTGACTTCAGCTGAGTTTGATCTTGGATCTGGGAAAGAGAAATGCTTTGAAAATCACGGCAACTCTGGGAAGTTTAAAAGATATTAATGTATCCTGGAGAGTTTGAGGCTTTGCAGAAACTTATTGGCAGAGCAGAATGATTCTGAAAAATGCTACATCAGTGAGGGGATATTTGATAAGGTATTTTCTGCCAACTCGGGTATTCACTTAGCATTGTTTATCCTTTAAGATATGTATACACATACTTCCTCTGTGAGTTTACCCTACTAACAAAGTTTTATCCCCAGCCTCAACCTTGCTTTGGGTCTCCAGGCCCAAGTTTCTCACCATCTCTTGGATGATTGCTCCAGCCCACTCTGCTGCCACCTGGGATCCAACATGTTCAAACCCAGCTGTGAACTTCACAGAGTATTAAAAGAAAGAGCCTTTGCTTCAGCAGTTTATGTTATTAAGACGGAGGCTTGGGTCATGTTATCTCTCTCCACCAATGTGTAAGGTGAAAGTCCTATTAGGTAAGAGTTTTTGGAAGACCCGTGTTTTGTGCTTTTTGGGTTTCAGTATAGGGTTTTTTCCTACAGGGCTAGAGGGAAAGTACCCCAGCATTTCCAACCAGTGGGGTGCAAAATTATTTGGGTCTACAGCTTTACCTATTCCTTTCAAGAACATTTTTGAAAAAACACATCTGTTAAGTTGAACCATGTGTAACTGCTGAATGCTGATGTTTGGCCGTTTTCTACTTAAAAAAATAGGCCAGCAGTTTGTAAATTCAAGCTAATATATGAACTTTTTGAAAAAGTTGTTCTTGGACACTAAAAGGTAAGACGGACGCCAGATTTCCAGAGCAAGGGGAGGAGAGACCCGAGCAACATCACTTCCCTGAAGACCTAGCTCCTGCGCGCGGCCGGGGACTGTGACTCCACATGCCGGCGTTACTTACCCGGGCCCGCGCCTGACTCGCCACACCTCATTTTGCGGCCGCCGTAAAGCGCGGATGCGCGGCGTGGCCACGCCCCTTCAGTGCTTGTGACGCAGGCGCCCTGGGCTTTTTGGGCGCGAAAAAGAAGCAGTCCTGGGTTGTACCCGGCGCAGCTGGGAGCGGCTGCTTCCTCCGGGGTCGTATCTCCGCCCGGCATGGGGCTGCTGGACCTTTGCGAGGAAGTGTTCGGCACCGCCGACCTTTACCGGGTGCTGGGCGTGCGACGCGAGGCCTCCGACGGCGAGGTCCGACGAGGCTACCACAAGGTGTCCCTGCAGGTACACCCGGACCGGGTGGGTGAGGGCGACAAGGAGGACGCCACCCGCCGCTTCCAGGTATGCAGGGTCCCGCCCCGAAGCCGACCGGCTGCGCGGGCCTCCCCCTAGCCTTTTGGCTACCGGGCCCCGCCCCGGGGGAGCGCGCTGAGCTCCGCTTGGCGCCTTCTGATCTTTATTTCTCGCGCCGCCGTTTCGGTGGGAGGAGCAGGGGTGATTTACGGATACTCTTTGCCCTCAGATCCTGGGAAAAGTCTATTCCGTTCTCAGTGACAGAGAACAGAGAGCAGTGTACGATGAGCAGGGAACAGTGGACGAGGACTCTCCTGTGCTCACCCAAGACCGAGACTGGGAGGCGTATTGGCGGCTACTCTTTAAAAAGGTAAAGGACTCTGGAGGTTTCTTTGTGACTGTTACCATCATTCAATCAACAAACCTTTATTGACTGCCTCTAAGATCTTGTATTTTGTGTTAATTTTGTAGGAATTAGGAATTTTGAGTTTGGCCTTGAAATACAGATACACGCACGCTTACTGAAACGGGCTTTAAATTTCCTGTTAATGTGATTGTTGCACTGAAAAGGGCCGATTTATTTTTTTTGCCGGATGCGCTTTATTTTACATATCCAAATGTAAGTCCTGATTCCGGATCACCTCTCACTCTTGGAAATTTCACTTAAATTTCCCTTCCCTGGTCCCTAGTTAGCAGTTAATGAAGATTGGATTTAAAAAGGAGGACTCCGGAGAAGCTTAGGCATAGAAAATCTGGTTCAATAATTTCAACTCAAGCAACTGTTGTATTGCAGCAATTCAACACCCAACTCTAGTTTTACTAACGTACGTTTTATTTAAAGTAAAATTCCCAAAGTTAAAGCAAATCTCCTTTATCATCAGATATCTTTAGAGGACATTCAAGCTTTTGAAAAGACATACAAAGGTTCGGAAGAAGAGCTGGCTGATATTAAGCAGGCCTATCTGGACTTCAAGGGTGACATGGATCAGATCATGGAGTCTGTGCTTTGCGTGCAGTACACAGAGGAACCCAGGATAAGGAATATCATTCAGCAAGCTATTGACGCCGGAGAGGTCCCATCCTATAATGCCTTTGTCAAAGAATCGAAACAAAAGATGAATGCAAGGAAAAGGAGGGTAAGATTTTGAATACTGTGGATTTATATTTTGACTGCTTCCAAAAAGGATTTGAGAGTATTTACAGCAGTAGAAGTAAACATAAAACTCCAGAAATAAGGACTAGGGTTAACTTGGTCTATAGTTTCGATCTAATAAAATGGGCATACCAGTTCATCAAGAGAAACTTTTTCTAGCATGTTGTGCTCAAGATGATTTTTATTGCATAGATTGTTTAAATATTACCATAGTAAAGTAGCACTGAAATATTTTTTCATGTAGGCCAATTCTTGTAGCATTCCTGAGGCATTCCTCAGGAGATAAAGTTAGTGGAACCCGGGTACACAGGATGGGCAGTGATCCTTACTCGGTTGAGGGGGTAAGAAGAGAATGGCAGACACCGTCTTGTTAAAAGTGCAGATGTTTGGGCCTTTGCCCCGAATTTGATTCTTGAGTTGGATACAGAATTTTTCTTTTCTTTTTTTTTTTTTTAAAGAAAAACTTTAGCTTAGCGGTCCCCAGCCTTTTTGATACCAGGTACCTGTTTTGTGGAAGACAGTTTTTCCAGTGACAGTGGGGGTGAGGAGAGTTGGGGGGGTGGTTCAGGATGAAACCTTAGATCATCGGGCGTTAGATTCTCTTAAGGAGCACACAACTTTTAGGACCACTGCTGCCTTCCTGAGTGCCCTCAGGAACTTTTCTGCAGCTTTTACATAAGAGACGCTGGCAGAGAGAAAGCTGACCTTTTTGTTTCCGGTGAAAATTTGAAGGGCCTGTTTTGCCTAGATAAGAGGCTGCACCCTTTCTGGTGAGCTTGAGGGGAACGGTGGAGTGTATATCAAGACCATTTTGGTTCATAGGCTACATCTGCTAAGACTCAAGCTGACAATTATCTTAAGTCGTTCATCATTTCCTGAGATGAAACTGAGCACAGCTGCATTCACAGTAGACTGTTAGCTTGAGAAACTTCCCTAGAATTTGAGGAGAAAATGGCATAGTTTTGATAGACTGTTCAACAAACCTTAGGGGGATGCTGAATTTAAAGAGAGAATTTGAATACAAGGAAACGGTGTCTTATTGGGATAGGGGGTCCTAATGTATCATCATCCTCAGTATTAATAGCATTAATTGCTACTTAGAAAATTCACAAGGGGTGTTGGGGCCTCTTATAGTTGTTGCCCTAAGGTGTTCTTGTGATATTTTGTAAACAATGCTCTAGGAACACTTGGCAAAGGAAGGCTGCTTTGAAATTAGGTAAATAGATGTTAAAACTGAGTTTATTGATGTTGGTTCTTCTGACTACTGGGGAGAAGTCATTTTAAACTGGGGTTGTTCACAAGGCACCACCAGTCCCATGGAGTAAATTGGGTTTCCAGGAGAGAAATTGGAAATACCTGTATCCTGGCAATTGCATCATTTGCCTTTTTTTTTTTTTTTTCTCTTTTTTCTAAGAGATGGCATCTCCATCACCCAGGCTGGAGTGCAGAGGCATGATCACAGCTTATTGCAGCCTGAACTCTCAGACTGAAGCCATCTTCCCACCTCAGCCTCCCTAGTAGCTGGGACTACAAGCACATGCCACCACACCAGGCTCATTTCTTTTCTTTTTTATAGAACTGAGGTCTCACTATGTTACCCAGGCAGGTCTTGAACTCCTGAGTTCAAGTGATCCTCCCACCTTGGCCTCCCAAGGTATGGGGATTACAGTTGTGAGCCACCATACCCGGCCTCATGTTCCTTTTTATCATCATGTGATTTATGAGTGCCAGAGTACTTACTACCTCTAGCAAATAGAATTGGGTAAAAAACAAATGGTAATTGGAATCAGAGGATCTACTGCTTGCTGTCAGCATTGTTGCCATTTAATGAATGACATAGTTATGTAATTCGATTCATTTTGTCTATTCATATATTCATAAAATTGAAACAGAATTATAGATTTGCTTTTGGGAAAGAGTATGTATTTTAAGCATTTCCTGGTGGCCCTGAGTCTCATGTGAGTTCCTGTTTCAGGCTCAGGAAGAGGCCAAAGAAGCAGAAATGAGCAGAAAGGAGTTGGGGCTTGATGAAGGCGTGGATAGCCTGAAGGCAGCCATTCAGGTAAACTTGGCAGTTTGTTGCCACATCTTTAATGATCTGATTCCTACTGCTAATATTTTCTTTGGAATGTTGTATTTTGTTTTCTTCTTTTAAGACATAACCGCATACCTTCTATTTGTCCTTTTAAAGTGTACAATTTGGTGGTTTTAAGTGTATTTACAAAGTTTTACAATTATTAACACCAATTGTAGGACATTTTCACCATTCCAAAAAAACTCCATACCCATTAGTAGTTATTCCACTTTTCCAGCCCCTGGCAACCACTAGGTACTTTCTGTCTATGGATAATGTTGTGAAAGCTTGTGTTTTAACTTCTCAAACAGAGCAGACAAAAGGATCGGCAAAAGGAAATGGACAATTTTCTGGCTCAGATGGAAGCAAAGTACTGCAAATCTTCCAAAGGAGGAGGGAAAAAATCTGCTCTCAAGAAAGAAAAGAAATAATGGAATTTTTCTCTTCAAAGGTCCTTAGGTGTAAATTGATGCCATCGTAGGCAAGGTGCAGGCAGGATTTGAAGGCAAAAGTCAATTCAGCTCTTGAGAAAAGGTGTCTTTCCAGCCTGAATTTTTCAGATTGACTAGACCAAGCAGAATCTCTCAACCTGATCTTAGTATTTCCTAGAAAGCACTTGACATTGTGTGAGGTCTCACCTGAAGGAACTTGGTGGTGACATTTGGGAGGGTGGAGGGAGGCAGTGTCCTTCCTGACAGCACTTGCCTCCATGGATCTTCTGTACACAGAACTCTTATCTAGGATGTGGTTCTGTTCATGCTGCTTTCTGCGATGTGCGTGTCTGTTAGAATAGGCTCTCTACCCAGCTAGAACACCTTCCAGACACTTGCTGGACAGCTATCTTCCACATACTTCCCAGTTTACATTTGGTCTTAATGATCTTGAATAGATCCTCTCTTCATTTTACTCAGCCAGGTTTTGTACTGATGTACAGGTGTTAAATTACTTCAAGCATTTTTGTAAGAGGTGTATATAATTCAATAAAAAAGGTAAAACATGATGATTAAGTTCTGGGGGCTTTGTAAATGATCCCACTAAAATGTGACCTAGGAAAAATATGAATGGTGTTTAGGATGAGAGAAAAGGGGAAAACAATAGCCCTGGTCAGCTTTATAATAGAGAGCCTGGTTTCCCTAGCATGAAGAGATGTATGTTGTAGTCCTGCCACTGATTACTGAAGTCCTGCCATTAATTGCTGAATGTCTTCAGTTGGGCCACTGAGCTTGTCTGAATCTGTTCCCTTTTATAAAAGAGTTACTACATCAAAACAAAGAGTGAAATCCAAATTTGTCAAACTGTATGTATTAAACATGTCCAGTTTTTTGGTTAAAAAAAAATTGCACTGGCTTTGAGGGAAAACACACAGGGTGAGGGAATTGGGCTAAATGACTTCTTACAGGCCCCTTTCTGATTCTTTAACTTTGAAAGGCAAGCCATATTGATCCAGTTGTTATAGTGAACTCATGGTAATGGTTTGTGAGAACAATAGAGATTTTCATTTCTATGTAGATGAGTTGGTATGAGAATATATGGAATTTTTAAGGGACTGTTTAAATCTTTGATTTGTAGACTATTAAATATACCGTATGCATAAAGTAAGCCTTTAGCTCTAAGGTAAAGACGACACGTTTTCGGTTTGTGACTACAAATAGGTTAAAAATAGATTTTAATTTTATTAAAAATATAATTTAATGCAGGTTGTTTGAAGCATCTGTCTTCATATGATGGCATTAGAACACCTTGGTATAATAAAAAGTTACCGTAATTTATGATTATTTGAATTTATCCATTCTGAAAATTAATAAGATCTAAAACTGGCATGACAATCAAGATTTGTATTTAGTGAAATTTAAAATAAATGTAAGCCATAGTTAAAACTGTTGCTGCATTCATGAATGCCCTTAGGAAAAGGTCCACAGTAAAATCAGAAAGCTGAACCTCTCCTGCTGTTTATAGGATATGTTTATGCTGAATTAATTGCCAGGGTTTCTTAAACTTTTAGGGAATTATACTTTGGTGGCTCAATAGTAGATTCTACAAATTATTTTTAAATTGATTTCCTTTCCTTAGAGCTGCAGGAGAATATCTGGCAAGGTGCATTTAATATTTGGAAAAAAGATATGACCAGTAACCTACTTTAGGAAGAAAATAAGCATCACCTGGCATCAGGTAGGCATCGTAAGGTTGAGCTGTCCTATCTGAAAAAATATGCGATATAATTTATTACAGAAGTTACTTTATACTAATGCTTAACATTTATGTTTTTAGTTACACACCCCTTCCATTTTAATCTGCTGATAGGGTAGGACATCTAAAGAGAGTTTTAGGAATGACATCTATTTGATGAGGTCAGATTTTCAACAGCAAAATGACTTAAAACTGAGTACAACTCTCCAGAAATGAACACAGGCTGAAGTATTCTGAAGCCAGTGATATTGTCACTGATGATTTGCTGCTTTTTGTGTATGTGTGAGCTCATCAAATCCTATATGATTGAACTGATCATTGTTAAGAGATAACATGAGCAGTGATTTGGGTATTATTCACTGTTGCATCTTTGGGTACAAACTTGCCTTTCCAATGGGATAGGTTAATTTCTGCTGAAAGAGACAGTAACTGGAGATAGAAACAACACTCATGTCATTTTTGGCTGCTATGGTGTTTTGTTCTTCGGTCACTTGTGCCAAAATCACTCTTCATGAAGATGATTTCTAGTCGATCTTCTATACAAGCTCTGCATCACTTGATGACTGAATACTGCTTCATGAAATCTCGTGTTTCCTGCAGCCTGATAGATTCTTCTCATTTGCCTTATGGTCCCTGCCTGGTTCGAGAGACTGGTCTGCCTCCGCTTTGAGATTTTGTAGACCCATGTAACTGAGGACCTGTCAGATGACATAGAGTAACATTAGTAGACAGTCTAGGTTTGATAATCACTCTCAAGTTTATAGCTAAGGGCTTTTTTGCTCCAATTATGAATTGGACTTTCTTAAGGTATGAAAGCAGTAAACTAGTTTTGTAGAAGAGCCCACTAATTAAAAAGAAGCAAGATGTCTGATTTACTCACTTCCACTTCAGTGTTACATAAGTTATACCTGAGGTTTTTTTTTTTTTTTGGAGGTGGAGTCTCACTCTGTCCCCCCAGGCTGGAGGTGCAGTGGCATGATCTCGGCTCACTGCAAGCTCTGCCTCCCAGGTTCACCTCATTCTCCTGCCTCAGTCCCCCGAGTAGCTGGGACTACAGGCATCTGCCACCACACCCGGCTAATTTTTTGTATTTTTAGTAGAGATGGGGTTTCACCATGTTAGCCAGGATGGTCTCAATATGCTGACCTCGTGATCCGCCCGCCTTGGCCTCCGAAAGTGCTGGGATTACAGGCATGAGCCACCACGCCCAGCCAGTTATACCTGACTTTCAATGTGGCTGAAATTGTAGCTCAAATGCAGATCTGAAAGCATAATCTGACAAAAGCATTCAAAGACTACCAGACAATGCTGCGGGGAACTGAGCTGAGAAATCACTTGGACTACAAAGATGGTTTGAGGCAGACTAGTTTTTTACCATAGTTGCTGATTATTTTGATCATTAACAGGAAACATCTCAGCTGTCCATTACTTCTAAATTTACCTTCAGCATAATAAGAATGACCCTGATGGTGGTGAGAAGACTGTCACAGGAAGAATTAAGACATCCTGCAGCCTGGGCAACATAGCAAGACCCTGTCTCTACAAAAAATAAATTACCTGGGCATGGTGGCACTGCTTGTAGCCCTAGCTATGTGGGAGGCTTAGGTGGGAGGATCCCTTGAGCCCCGGAGTTCGAGGCTACAGTGAGCCATGATCATGCCACTGCATTCTGGCCTGATCAGCAGAGTGAGACTGTCTCAAAAAAGACATCCCTCAATTTTCTCCCATCACTTCTTTGTTAGTACATCTACAGAGTATAATTTAAAGATAAAAAGAGTTAATGCGATAGAATCAGACTCAGCATATCCTGATGGTTTAGAATTTCTTTTCTTACCTTGGCCTAACAGATTAACTGATCAAAGCAGTTTAATCCATAGGAATATGGATTTTGCCTGCATAATAAAATCCATGCTATGTTCTTAAAGAATATTTTGAACATTACAACAAGGACTAATTTGGGTTGAACTTTTTAGATTTAAAAAAAAAAAAAAGGCAGTTTACCAAAGTAGTGAGAAGTTAATTTACATGGTATGAAGAAAATAGGAATCTGAAACTTTTTGGCTCTGAGCAATAGAACTCTCCTAGCTTTTTATTATACCCCATGTTCCAAAATGAATTTTAGGTGATTTACAAAGATGTGGGAAAACATTAAATCCAAGAAAATCTGAAAGAAGGGGAAATAGGTGTAGGAAAAAAGACAAAGGCTGGGTCTTAACACAACCACACAGTAGTAAATAAGGGCCATGGCCCCACCTTTACCTGCAGATCCCCTGCCAGGTCGGGCCTGATGAGGATACTCAACTGCACATGAGCGACGATACTGTGTATCCAGCTACAAGACAAAAGAGGAGACACTTCTTATGATGCATCTTCTCACAAAGGATAATATTTTAGCAGGTTCACAGGAACACCTTGAAATCAACAGTGGTAAAAGGCATAGACTACCAACTTGAGGGAAAAGTCAGCTGAGTGCACTGGGTTGAATTTCAAGTAGAAAATCCCAAGCCAGATGCCCACAAAGCCATTTATTGTAAAAATTGCAGATTCTTCAATATTATTACTATGCCGTTAAGGAAATCAGGAGTTATAAATAATCCATATGGTTTAATATTTCAGTTAGTTCTAAGGGGGTTCGTCTCATTTCTTTTTGTTGGCTGCTGCATATATTTTAAATGAATGCTTTCATTTAAAACAACCAGCCTTTTCAGCAACATTGAAATACTTATGACTTTACCACCATATCGAAATTTAACTTTACATTTACTTTTTAGCATTATGAAATGCAAATATTTCACAGTTACCTCAAGGAATTAAAAAATGTAGAGATACGACTACAATATTAAAATGCAAATATCAAATAAAGCTATATATGACATCCTGCTGGGGCTTCTGGAATAAAAACATCCCCCAGTAGTTCCCTTGAGAGAGCACTGAAATCAAGAGATTTCAGGAAGCTTTTTCTGGTGAAGCCCCTATATTTTAGAGATCAGGGGTCAGCAAACTTATTTTTTGCAAAGGGCCAGATAGTTATTATATTAGGCTTTGTGGACCATAGGGTGGTTGTTGCAATTACTCAGCTTCGCTGTTATGGTATGAAGGCAGCCATAGATAGCACATAAATGAGCTTGGTGGCACTGCTCCAATAAAAGTTTATTTACAAAACAAGGCGGTAGGCCAAGTGAGTAGCCCAGGAACTGTAGTTTACTGGCCCCTATTCTAGATGAAAACAGCAAGGAGCAAAGTGCTAGTCTGTAGTGCCAGGCCCAGGACAGCTAGCATTCTTTTTTTTGTGGGGGGACAGAGTCTTCTCGCTCTGTCGCCCAGGTTGGAGTGCAATGGCACGATCTCGGCTCACTGCAACCTCTGCCTCCTGGGCTCAAGCAATTCTCCTGCCTTAGCCTCCCGAGTAGCTGGGATTACAGGCATGCACCACCATGCCTGGCTAATTTTCTTGTATTTTTAATAGAAACGGGTTTCACCATGTTAACCAGGCTGGTCTCAAACTCCTGACTTCAGGTGATCTGCCCACCTCAGCCTCCCAAAATGCTGGGATTACAGGTGTAAGCCACTGCAGCCGGCTCACAGCTAGCATTCCTAATAAACTAAACAACTAGCTATCTCCCTTTTTATGACAGCAAATGGGGAGAGAAATGGTAAGTAATTTTTACTTTTTTTTTAATAAACTTAAAGAGAAGACTGAAACATTTTCATCTGTTCAGTTTTATTCCTAAGGCAATCAAAAATTAAATGTTTTTAGCCAGGTGCAGAGGTGCACACCTGTAATCCCAGCTACTTGGGAGGCTGCGGTGGGAGGATCACTTGAGCCCAGGAGTTTGAGGCTGCAGTGTGCTGATTGCACCACTACACTCCAGCCTGGGTGATGTAGCGAGATACTTTGTCTCTTAAAAAAAATGAAATGTTTGGCTGAGAGCGGTGGCTCACGCCTGTAATCCCAGCACTTTGGGAGGCCAAGGTAGGTGGATCACTTGGGGTCAGAAGTTCAAGACCAGCCTGGGCAACTTGGAGAAACACTGTCTTTACTAAAAGAATACAAAAATTAGCTGGGCATGGTGGCAGGTGCCTGTAGTCCCAGCTACTCAGGAGGCTGAGGCAGGAGAATCGATTGAACCCAGGAGGAGGTGGAGGCTGCAGTGAGCTGAGATTGCACCACAGCACTCTAGCCTGGGCGACAGAGTAAGACTCCGTCTCAAAAAAAAAAAAAGTTTCAGAGAATCTAGCTGTGTAATATAATCATCAAGTACTACTTAATAAATGTCCTGTGTCAGATTATAAGAAGGCAAATTCAGTAGAAGTTCTCAAACTTTCTGGGGTTCACACTGAACCCCAAGAATCAGAAATGCTCATGTTTCCTTTTCTTGTTTTTGGTGAGTTTCTCCCTAAGTCAGCCTCGTGGGGTCTACTAGAATGAACAGTGTTCCCTCAAAATTTATGTCCACCTGGAACTTGTGAATGTGACCAAGTTTGGAAATAGGGTCTTTGCAGATAAATCAAGTTAAGGTAAAGTCGCACTAGATTAGGGTGGGCCCTAAATTCAGCGACTGGTATCTTATAAGAAGAGGGAACCCTGGACACAGACACACAGGGAGGAAAGCCATGTAAAGACAGAGGCAGGCTGGGCATGTGGCTCATGCCTGTAGTCCCAGCACTTTGGGAGGCTGAGGTGGGAGGATCACTTGAACCTCGGAGTTTGAGACCAGTCTGGCCAACATAGTGACACCCTATCTCTACAAAATAAAAAAATTAGCAGGGCATGGTGGCATGTGCCTGTAGTCCCAGCTACTCAGGAGGCTGAGGTGAGATGATCACTTAAGCCCAGGAGGTTGAGGCTGCAGTGAGCTGTGCTCTGCACTCCAGCCTGGGCAACAGAGTGAGACCCTGTCTTAAAAAAAAAAAAAAAGAAAAGAAAAAAAAGGCCGGGTACAGTGGCTCACACCTATAATCACAGCACTTTGGGAGGCTGAGGTGGGCAGATAATGAGGTCAGGAGTTCGAGACCAGCCTGGCCAAGATGGCAAAACCCCATCTCTAGTAAAATTACAAAAATTAGCTGGGCGTGGTGGCAGGCACCTGTAGTCCCAGCTATTCGGGAGGCTGAGGCAGGAGAATCACATGAACCCAGTAGGCAGAGGTTGCAGTGAGCTGAGATTGCGCCATTACACTCCACCCTAGGTGACAGAGCGAGACTCCGTCTCAAAAAAAAAAAAAAAAAAGGCAGAAATTGGGAGTGATGCAGCTGCAAGCCAAGGAACACCAGGGATCACAGGTGGCCACCAGAATCCAGGAAGAGACAAAAAGATTCTTCCCTAGACCTTGCAAAGGGAGCATAGCTCTGTTGACACCTTGATTTTGAACTTCTCGCCTCTGGAACTGTGAGGAAAAAATTTCTGCTGTTTTAAGGCACCCAGTTGTTTGGTCATTTCTTAAGCCCTAGGAAACTAATACAGAGGTCTGATATTGATTATCCTTACCACTCTTCTCATAGAAGAAAAACTTTGCAGTGCTTTAGCCTGCTGTGGTTCAAGGGTCATGAGTTGGGACAAGTGTGCTGCAAACACTACCATCCTGAAAACTGTCAGGATGTGGGGTCCCTGGTTACTTCCCCAGGCTCTCCAAGTGCTCTTGCCACAAAGCAGATTATGTGGGGTCGAGCTCCCAGCCTACAAATGGGGAGGGTCAGTGCATGACCCCATTGCTGATCAGGTTTTTTCTATTACTTAAAAGGGCTAGTAAATGCCTAATAAATGGTAGGCAGTGTCAGCATTTAAAACACCAGTAGAAAGAAAAAGTCCTAAGCTGGGTACAGTGGTGTGCACCTGTAGTCCCAGCTACTCGGGAGGCTAAGGCAGGATTGCTTGAGCCCAGGAGTTCCAGGTCTAGTCTGGGCAACATGGCAAGAGCCTGCTTCTGAAAAAAATTTTTTATTAAAGTCCCAACTCACTCATCCACCAGGACTCATCATAATCTGAGACCACTTTTGATGTAATTCCAGAAGAACAGGATTACATAATAAAGTTATGCTTATCTGATGTGTACTGGGATTTAATATTCTTGCTTGTGGTCAGACATATCTTAAGTGTTAAATTGCTTAGAATATTTGTGATTTCTGTATAAGGCATTAAAGAATAGGCATCAGGGACTAGTTAGAATTTGAACAAAATGTATTTATAACACTTTTTATTGTTGGAAACTCAACTTTTATTCTGGGTTAAGCCTCTAGATAAAATCTTAAGTCTGCCAAACTATTATTCCCCCCACCTTTTCTTTCCCCAACTATCAAGACCATTCTAGGAAGTACGTCACTCTACCAAAAATGATTGAGTTGTGTTGGGCCTGGGGAAAAAGTCGGGCAAAAGGAGCCTTTCTTGTGGCTGCTGATAGTTAGGTTCATCCACCACCGCACTTTGAGCTCGACTAGAGTCGCCATGGGGTTTCTGCAGAGGAGACAAAAGTTACAGAAACAGTGAAAACTATCTGTAATGTGGTATGTAGTTAAAACCCTATCGACCATGGCAGATATGGTAAGTGCAGGCCAAACAGCTCCAATTCCACGTCATAAATTAGCACTGTGTTTGTACTTTTGACAAAACACAGTATAAATCAAGATCAGGGCACAGATCCTGCAGAATTACTGCCCATTAGGTTGTATGGTAAGTACATGGAGAGGCAATATGAAAGAAACATACCATCTGTCTTTGTGGCCCCACAGTGCTCACATGTTCCACTTCAGCTGTGCCAATAGGTGGTAGCAGATTATTTCGACTCAGGGGCGTCGGTGAGGGAGAGGAGAGCGAGTCGGGTGCCACTGGGCTGCAGATCCCACCAACAAACACGAAGGTATGAAAGCATGAAGTTATAACAATACCAGCAAATTGATTAGAAATCAGATAAATGAAGCAGATGAGTTTAATGTGCACAGAAAGCTTTAGGCTACCTATGTTTTCAAGTAGAGATCTCAGGATTTTTGGAAAATTAGTTTTTAAAATAGTGTTTTCTGATTTTGTTTTGAAGCTCTATACTCTGGGTACACAACAGAAGCTGGCCTTTTCTCTCCCACAGAACTGGAATAAAACATTTGTCCCTATCTGGTATTGCACTTCTCTGCTGATTTGGATTTGTAAATTCCCAGCTGATGATGGAATTCTTGACAGTTCTGGACCTTCTGGTTATCGTTTTCCCTAATAACTATAGTTCTCGGGTAAAGTTCCTAAACCTTCATTCCCTTCAGTAGGATCTGGAGCAGCTTGCAGTATTCCTTATCCTTAAGACAGTAATTGAAACTGAATGATACTTTCATGTCCCAGAAGTAACAAAGCAACTTACTTTTCAACTTTGAAAAAAAGTACTGTCAGAAGGAATGAGAGATTAATTATACATCAAGACTACTCATCCCCAAATGAATGCATTTATAGCTCTGTTGGTATAGATATAGCTACATCCACATAATAATGCTTAACTTGGAAGCCGCATTGAAAACACTGCTGTGGCCTTATTATCTCATACCTTTGAGGATATTTTTAGAAATTAATCATCCTAAGACATTTTGTGAATCAACAGCTAAAAGAATTCTATGTTTAAAATTGGCTCCTAGGTATTTTTGCATGATGAGGCTCAGAGTGTGTAGTGAATGAAGGGTGGGAAAGGCGATTACTTTTAGTGTCACTTCCTAGGAAGTGCTAAGGGATATTTTTGCTGGTATGTAAGCAACTACTTATCTGAGGTTTATGAAGTTTTCATTGTCAATGGAATAAGCAGATCCCAATGGTACAGAAGAACCTTAAAGGGGAATTAACTATTATTTTGGAGTGAATTTCACTGAATATGTTCCCAGCACGGAAAATGTTTGATTAAATAAATAGGTTCTTTATTCCTTTTGTAACCCCAATATAGTATTCTAGCCAACATTTTATTTTTACAAATAGAACTCTTTAGCTAGATCAACAGAAAGATTCAATATCTATTTCATTAAAATTATTTAACCCCTGCTGGGTGCGGTGGTTCACACCTGTAATCTCAGCACTTTAGGAGACTGAGGCAGGCAGATTGCTTGAGCTCAGGAATTTGAAACCAGCCTGGGCAACATGACAAGACCCCTGTCTCTACTAAAAACACAAAAAGTTAACCTGGCATGGTGGCACCACCCGCCTGTGGTCCCGGCTACTTGAGAGGCTGGGGTGGGAGAACCACTTGAGCCCAGAAGTTGAGGCTGCAGTGAGCCATGATCATCCACTGCACTCCAGCCTGGGCGACAGGAGTGAGACTGTATCTAAAAAAATAAAATAAAATAAAATTTAACCACATTAAAAAATTTTGTGTTGGATCTAAACCCATGGGCAATCTGTCATAAGACTACTTAATGATTAGTTTCTAGGCATAGATTTCAGTCTTATATTTAAATTAATTCTGTATGTAAAATGTGTTAGTTTTACCACGGTTTCCAGAAGTTCTGCTTTTGAAACCTACACTCGGGCTCCTCTGAGGATTTCTTCCACAGATCTTGGTGTTTCAGCACATGAATGGCTCGTGCTGATCGGATGAAGAGTTCGTGGTGGTGGATTGCGTCTCCTGGTGGACTGCACTGTGTATGACAGAGATGATGTACTAAACTCCACAGCTCGATTTGGCCAATTTCGAGTTGAAAGGATGGTACTGGACCCAGGCCTCATAAGTAGCTTGTCATCAAGATCTCTAGTAGCCAAATCAGAAACCCACAATGAAGTAAAGATCAGTATGTCAAGGAAGACAAGACTAACGGGGTAAAAAGCCTTAGACTAGAAACTACATTTAGGGGGAAATAAAGCAAAAATAAAAACCTTTCAATAAGTAACACTAGTTTCCAGATGGTACTCTAGCTCAGGCATGAGAATCTGTTCTTAAAAGTGGGACATTATTTCAATCATAAACATAATTTACTAGAATGGACATTTGGCAAAGCAAGTCCATTATCCACCTGCCATCACAGTCACTTTTTTAGTCACCAGTGAAGGCAAGCCTGAAGGACACCTACTCCAAAGTGCTTCCCAAAAATTTGCCACAGGGGCTGATTCCTACTCTGTTTGAGGCATTCTTTTGTGCTGAAAGATTGTCACCAGAAAGACAACTGAAAGACAAATATTGCTGCTTGGGAGCAGTTGTGGCACCAGTGTGGCTCCCACTGTAGCAATTAAAGTGCTGAGCAAGTTGGAGCTGGCAGGGATTTGGGTTTGGGTTCTTTGGAAAGCTGGGAGTGGGCAAAGGGTCTTGTGCTGCCCAGAGCCAGAGCTGTTGGGACCACAGTAGCCCTATTTGCATAAATAACTGAAATACAACCCTTTTCTGTAAGTCGTCCAATAAATAAAATAATACCACACCTAAACAGTTCAGTAGCTTAAATACTGCCCTACAGATTCAGGTGTGTATTTTTTTTTCTTTTAAAGCAAGTGAGAGGACATTTGACTATTTTAAGACATCTAAGAGTATCCGCACAATTAAATGGAAGAGAAGTGAAAGAATAACGCAGCTAAGCTCTGCCATTTGCTCCTATAGCTTTCAGCAAGTTCCTCAACCTTTCAGGCCACTTTGGTGTCCTCTAGTGCAAAACATGGCACCGTGCTTGGAGGACTTTGAAGGGATGCTGCCCATCAAGGAACAGGGCTAAACCTGGAGACTGTTCTGGTCTTCCTGCCTCTCTAGCAATTCACTTATGCCTTTTTTTTTTTTTTAACACACCCTAACTGCTTTCTAATTACAAAATGTTTAGGCTTTAGCTGCCCTATGTTCACCTTTATTTTGTTCTATGAACTTCTGGATTTGATTGTCTTCTCTAGCCAGGTGACTTTTAGATTGGTCTCTAGATCCGACCTCTTCCACATTGCCAGTGAGATGGCCCCTCACTGTAAACACACCCCAGAAGAAACCCATCTTTTCCGCCAACAGAGGCTTCCCTCAAGCTTGAAATCGAGATAACTTTGATTCCTCTATTTCTATAGAATTTCACTTAAATTTCACTCCCAAAATAGCTCATTCGTTTCTCACCCTGTGTGGCCGCTTGAGTGCAGACCCTTAGTAGCTCATGCGTGGACTCCTGCATTGACCCCTTACCTTCAGTTCCTTCCACTCCATCCATTTACACTATGGTGAAATCGATCTTTCAGATTCCTGATTTAAATATATGTGCTCCCAAACCAAAATTCATACATTGCTGGAAGGAGTGTAAAATGGTACAACTCCTTTGGGAAATCGTATGGCAGTTTCCTATGAAACTAAACATATACCTGTGCTATGACCCTTTCATTTCTAGGTATCAACTCAAGAGAAATGAGACCGTAAAACCACAAAAAAGACCTATACAAGAATATTTAGAGTAACTTTATTATGTGTAATACCTCTAACCTGGAAATGACCCTTGTTAATTAATTAACAGGAGAGCAGATGGATAAATTGTGTGTATTACAATAGAATACTCCTCAGCAAGGGAGGAGGTCATACACAACAACGTGGATGAATCCCAAAAACCTGACACTCAAAACTCTCCACAATCTGGTCCTAACATTCATTAGTTCCATAGTCACTTCTTTCCCGCTAATCACACCATGGTCTATTTTAATTCTAGAAGATTGTCAATTATCTTTGATCAGAAGCATTAAAGTTCTGACCTATTTTCCGTTCTTCTATGTCAAAAGTGATCTGCTATCTTTCCTAAATATTTTGTATTTTCTTATCCCCAAACCTTTCCCCATATCATTCCTCCTACCTAGAATGCCCTTGCTGCTCTCCTTTGCTTATCCAAAGCCCCATCTTTCAAGGACAAGTTCAAAACCTACACTTACCCACCAGAATGCTTTGGGGCTGTCATAGCACTCATTCTGGACAGCACGCACATGGCACTCAGTTACAAAAATGCCACATATGGTTAGGTCTTTTTTTACCCACGTATGTCTTCTCTTTCCAGTTACATTATCAGCCCCCTGATGGTGGAGACCATGTCCCTTGGATGTTTTACTCCCCAGGAGTTTTTGTGGTTGCTTGGTTGGCACTCAATACATGCATACTGATAAACTGATTTTGCTTTCCCTCTGTTTCCCTTTTACACTGTATAGTCTGAAAATGTTGAACTTCTTACAGGAGCTTGTCCATTAGGGAGAGATTTCTTGGCTGTAGAGGCATTCCATGAACCAAGAGATCATTCACATTTGGCTGATGTCTGCTTGCTTGACAGAGACTCATCTACGTGTTGAAAGAAGACAGTACTCTTGATCGGTTGGAGAAGATACCTGTTTGGTTTTCCAACTTTGCCAAAAGTTAATATTTCCAATTTGGTTATTTATACTTTTTCCCCATGCTTTAATTTTTATAACATCTTGGGGCCCGTAGCTGGGGCCCCAAGTCAACTGTCCATGTGATAGGGTCCCTCCTTTCCTCTCCATTCCTAAATGACAGCAGGTAGGGGAAGCCTGATCAATCTGGATGAAAACAATTAACAGCCCTCTTACAGGGAGTGAGGACCTTTATTATTATTGTTTACATTAAAATAGAAGAGAAAACTCACAGACAAAATATGGAACAATAATAGAAAATAGTAAGGGGAAACTGTAACTTAATCTCTTTCATCATCACACAATCCTGCACTCTGTACAAACTAATCCTTCTCTTTCACTACCTGTGGAGCAGGTCAGCCCTCAATGATAACCTAAATCCTGAAGACTCTGTACTAGGAGGTAAGCTTATCTGTTCTAATTTTAGCAGGATGTAATGTTTCTTGGACTGGCATTGCCCCCCTAGAGCCCTGCTTGTTTTCTCAGGTCATCAGCTCATTGGCTTTTCTGGCAGTCTCCGCTGCCACAGAATGTATTTTCCTTCCTCTTTCTCTTCAGAATGTTTGAATTAACTCTTCTCCTTTCTTAGGTCATCAGCGACCAGAACGTCTAACTATTCAGGGCTTAGGTCACTAAACCACGGCCACACCAGTTCAACATGCAGCAGTGCTTTACTACCACAAAAGGAACATTAATTTACCTGGTTCATCCCTGGTGTGGTGACTTACGAGCCTTCATAATTTTCTCTTATTTTTTCTGAGACGGAGTCTTGCTCTGTCACCCAGGTTGGAGTGCAGTGGCGTAATCTCAGCCCACTGCTACCTCTGCCTCCCAGGTTCAAGTGATTCTCCTGCCTCAGCCTCCAGAGTAGCTGGCACTACAGGTGCCTGCCACCATGCCCAGCTAGTTTTTGTATTTTTAGTATAGATGAGGTTTCACCAAATTGGCCAGGCTGGTCTTGAACTCCTGGCCTCAAATGACCCACCCACCTTGGCCTAATTTTCTTTTTAAATACCTGTTTTGTAAATCCAGCTGTATAACATCTGGCCAATATGCCAACACCTTTCTCTGGTTTTTTTTTTCCACCTTAAAAGTAACACCAGGAAACTATTGTGTAGGAACTGAGACTACATAAATCATTACACAGGGATAAGACCAATCTCATCTGCCTCCTGCAAGAAATACCATCTTTGTGCTTGTTCAGACTCACTTGAAATAGCTTTTCTCTTTGTTTTTGTTTGATTTTTATACCTGGTTTATGAGTACTAAACATCCAAAAGGCAAAAAAGTTAACAGATTTAAATATTAAAAAACAAAAACAGCCTGGGTATGGTGGCGACTCAGGAGGCTGAGGTGGGAAGGTGGCTTGAGCCCAGGAGTTTGAGACCAGCCTGGGCAACATAGTGAGACTCCTCTCTCTAAAAAACAAACAGGGACCAGGTGCGGTGGTGGCTCATGCCTGTAATTCCAGCACTTTGGGAGCCTGAGGCAGGTGGATCACATGAGGCCAGGAGTTCGAGACGGGCCTGGCCAACATGGTGAAACTCTGTCTCTACCAAAAATACAGAAATCAGCCGAGTGGTGGTGCACATCTGTAATCCCAGGTACTCAGGGGGCTGAGGCACAAGAACTGGTTGAACCTGGGAGGCGGAGGTTGCAGTGAGCCGAGATCATGCCACTGCGCTCCAGCCTGGGTGACAGAGCGAGACTGTCTCAAAAAAAATGAAAAAATAAAAAATAAACAGGGTGGGCCAAGTTGAGAGAAAAAGGAAGGAAAAACTCAAAAGGAAGGAGGCGTTCAAAGGACAATGTCAAGGCCATAGAGAATCTAAGATGAGTCATTTTTATCATAAGGGTATCCTCCATTCTTCCCAAAACAGACTTAGGCTGACCACATGGTTGATTCTAGGTTGCACAACTTACAGATGCCTCCTTAGAAGAGCTGACTGAGAAATATTTATCAACTCTAATTTGCTATTAATATTTTAAACAAACCAATGCGAAGAGTCACTGGATTATTATGATAAACACATAACTGTACTAAAACATATTGAGTCAGAAATCATACAAGTAAGGCAAACAACTCTGAGCAAATTTCCTCTGGTGAGAGTAGCCCTGGGGTCTCCAACTGATCCCTCTGGGGCTTACCGGATTTGAGGTAATGTACAGCACCTTAGACTGTGGCACTCGCGGTAACACCAAAGGATGTAGTTCACTCAGCACACAGGAACTTTCTGAATCGGGTCTGGTAACTGCAACATTACTCTCATCATCTGGGCAAAGGAACAGGATATATTATCCATGGATAATCTTCTGGCCCACAGCAACAGTATTGTGAAAAAAGATCTCTCCTGAGAATTCATAATCTCAAACAAGGCTTCACTTATCTTTGCAGTACAATTTTATGCCACCTGCATGGTTCAAAAAAACCCCTCAAACCAAGACTAGTTGAAAGTGGTTTCCCAGGCTGATGATGCCTACTGGTACCTGGCAGAAAGAGAAAAAGATCTCTAGGGCACAGTTGTCCTACATACCTTTGGAGTTGACAGAAATATTTTACAACTGTGCTGTCCAGTGTGGTAGTAGCCACCACCCTCCTATAGCTATAGAGCACTCAGAATGTGGCTAGGGAGTGAGGAGCTGAATTTTAAATTTAATTTTAACTTATGGCCAAACGTGGCTGGTGCCTACTCTATTGGACAGTATAGCTCTAGGGAAACCTTCATTAATCCAGACCTCAATTCCCACAGGTAAAGTTATGAGATTAGAAATCACTTTTAAGAATCACATCCACGAAGAAACAAGGCATCTTGAAAAAGAGCAGGCAGAAACAGCATAGTCGGATCAGCAAGGACTTCAGAAATTGGAATTGACAGATGTAGAATGTAAAACAAAAGCAGAAATAGAAAATATGACTAAGAGCAAGACACCATACAAATGACCAAGCAGGCTGGGCATGGTGGCTGACATCTGTAATCCCGGCACTGTGGGAGGCTGAGGCAGATTGCTTGAGGCCAGTAGTTCAAGACCAGCTTGGGCAACATAAGGAGACCGCCATCTCTACAAAAAAAATTAAAATTAGCTGGGCATGGTGGCACGTGCCCTTGGTCCCAGCTACTTGGGAGGCTGAGGTGGGAGGACAGCTTCAGCCCAGGTAGTTGAGGCTGTAGTGAGCTGTGATGGCCCCACTGCACTCCAGCCTGGGCAACAGAGTGAAACCCTGTTTCAATAAATAAAAATAAAAAATAAATATTTTTCTTCATTAATTTAGACTTTAAAACTGTCTTGATTAAAAGTTAAAATCATTATAAAAACAAGTTATAAATAGGTGATTACATTTCACCAGAGTTTTATATACTTTGAGGTTACAGTTCACAGACCATGTAGCCCTACTGCATATACTGCAAACCTGCATGCAGTTTGGCTTTTCTCTTCACATAGAGGTTGGGAAAGTTGCTCTAATAATAGAGATAGGTTTGTACCAGCACCTGTCAGTTTGTTCTAACAACAATGAACCAACTGGTCCATGACAAAGCCAAAACTGCAAGTGTTCTCTTTCTGTACTTCCAGGTATTATAATAAAAAGTAATGACAATAGCTAACATTTATTGAGCTCTTAAATATTACAGGAACTACTCTATATACTTTCATGTAACTGGTTTATTTCTTAAACAATACTATGAAATAGATATTAGTATTTATACTCATTTTATAGATAAACTGAGGCTCAAAGAAGTTAAGCAACTAGCCAAGAATCTAAATAAAGTTAGTGTCAGACCCAGTGGTCAAACCCAGGTCGTGTGGCAACAAAGTCTGTATCTTTTTTTTGAGACAGAGTCTCGCTCTGTTGCCCAGGCTGGAACGTGGTGGTGCAAGCTCCGCTCACTGCAAGCTCTGCCTCCCACGTTCATGCCATTCTCCTGCCTCAGCCTCCCAAGTAGCTGGGACTACAGGTGCCCGCCACCACACCCGCTTAATTTTTGTATTTTTAGTAGAGATGGGGTTTCACCATGTTAGCCAGGATGGTCTTGATCTCCTGACCTCATGATCCACCCGCCTCGGCCTTCCAAAATGCTGGGATTATAGGTGTGAACCACTGTGCCCGGCCCAAAGTCTGTACTTTTAATCATTATATGCCACTGCTTCTCATGGGGATCACATTGTAGAGCAGGGTTGGCAAACTATAGCCCATGGGTCAAATCTGGCCTGCTACTTAAAAAAAAAAAAAAAAAATTATTGTGGTAAAATACACATGACTTACCATTTTACACTCATGTTACTTAACAACAGGGATACCTTCTGAGAATGGCATTATTAGGTGATTCTGTTGTGTGAAGTCTGAGTGTATTTACACAAACCTAGGTGATACAGCCTATTACACACCTTAGCTAAATGGTACAGCCTGTTGCTCCTAGGCACAGGCCTGTACAGCATGTTACTGTACTGAATACTGGGGGCAACTATAACACAATGGTTAGCATTTGTATATTTAAACAAGCCTGAACATAGGAAAGGTACAATAAAATTATGGTACAAAAGATAAAAATGGTACAGGTACCTTGTATAGGGTACTTATCATGAATGGAGCTTACAGGAATGAAAGTTGCTCTGAGTGAGTCACTGAGTGAGTGGTGAGTGAATGTGAAGGCCTAGGTCATTACTGGACTGTCTATAAACACTGTACATTTAGGTTACACTACATTTTTAAAAATTTCTTCAAAAAATTACCCTTAGTTATACTTTTTGACTTTATAAATTTTTTATTTTTTTAACTTTTTGATCCTTTTGAAATAACAGCTTAAGGCACAAACACTGTACAACTGTACAAAAATATTTTTTCTTTATTTCCTTATTCTATGAGGTTTGCCTATTTTTTAATTAATTTTTACTGTTTAATCTTTTTGTTAAAATCTAAGACACAAACACACACATTAGCCTAGGCCTACATAGGATGAGGATCATCAATATCACTGTTTTCCACCTACACTTCCTGTCCCACCGGAAGGTCTTCAAAGGTTGTGTAACACACATGGAGCTGTCATCTCCTGTGGTAACAATGCCTTCTTCTGGAATACCTCCTGAAGGACCTACCTGAGGCTATTTTACAGTTAACTTTAAAAGACATGGTAGGAGAACACTCTAATGATAAAAATATAGTATATACATAAACCAGTAACATAATCGTTTATTATGAAGTATATGTACTGTACATAATTGTTTATGCTGTATTTTTATATGACTGGCAGTGCAGTAGGTTTGTTTATACCAGCATCACCACAAACACATCAGTAATGAGTTGTGCTTTGACTTTACGACAACTACAATGGCATTAGGTGATAGGAGTTTTTCAGCTCCATTATAATCTTATGAGACCATCATATATGTGGTCCAACATTGACCAAAGTGTCATTATGCCACACAGGACTGTATACAATTCAGCAGCATTAGTTACATTCATGATGTTGTGCAACCCTTACCTCTATCTAGTTCAATAACTTTTTATCACCCCAAAAAGAAACCCCATACCTGTTACTACTGCCTGTTTTTCAAAATAACGGTGTGGCTGGGTGTGGTGGCTCACACCTGTGATCCCAGCACTTTGGGAGGCCGAGGTGGGCAGATCACCTGAGGTCAGGAGTTCGAGACCAGCCTGGCCAACATAGTGAAACCCCATCTCTACTAAAAATACAAAAAATAGCTGGGTGTGGTGGCAGGCACTTGTAATCCCAGCTACTCGGGAGGCTGAGGCAGGAGAATCACTTAAACCCAGGAGGCGGAGCTTGCAGTGAGCCGAGATCACACCACTGCACTCCAGCCTGGGCCACGGAGCGAGACTGTCTCAAAAAAAAAAAAAAAAAAAAGTTGTAATAATCATTTGTTTATTCTCATAGTGGTATAGTATTCCATTGTATGAATATATCACATTCTACTGTTGATGGACATGTGGGTAGTTTCTGATGTATGTTTTCTAGTTATTTATGAACATTCTTGCACCTATCTTTTGGTGAACATATGTACTGAGTATGTACTAGTGTACACAGCCAAGCTCATTCATTTACATCTTATTTATGGCTGCTTTCATGCTACAAGGGCAGAGTTGAGTAGTTGCAACAGAGACTGGATGGTTGTCAAAGACTGAAATCTTTACCACCAGCCTCTGCATAGACAGTTGTTTCCTGACCCCTGTTTTAAGGTATTTCAGTCAACCTACTAAATGCCAATTAGAGATCCTCCAGCTCCATTTCATGATGTCTTGTTTTTAGACTTTAGTCTCAAAATTACAGTTACAATACAATAAAATAATCTTAATTTATGAATGCACAGAAAAATAAAAATATTAATTCACAGCCCAACACTGGTAAATTGTGAAAGGTGAAATAAGATTTTATCTGGTACGTGGTGGTTGATACACTGAAACTGGAAGGAGTTCCTTTGTTTATTACCAGGGTTTATTATTATGGGAGTCTGGGTATGACTCTGGACTTTTAATTACCACCTGTCCTGTGTCTCAAAAAAATTAACCTCATATAATATAAACTAGTTCATTTTAAAGAGAGTGCTAGTCCTATTCTCTAATACAAGCTTAAAAAAAAAAAAACCTAACACACATACAACATAGTGGCTTAAAAATAAAACAAACCCACAAAGACCACACATCAAGTGTGGCAAATGTGGAGCAACTGGAACTCTCACACAATACTGGAGAGGCTGTAAGTAGGTATAACCACTTTGAAAATTTTTTTGGCCATATCCACTGAAGTTAGAATAGCATATCCTCTGACCTAGCAATTCTACCCTTATGCGTCTAGTACTTAAGTTCATCAAAAGACATATACAAAAATATTCATAATAGTATTATATTCTAGACAAACCACCCACATATCCATCAACAGTAGGGTGTGATATAGTCATACAATGGAACACTATAAGCAATGGGAATAAACTTGTTGCGAGCAAAACATAACTGAATTTAACAAATATAATATTGAATAAAAGAAGCCAGATGCATAAGGGTATATACTATATGAATCCATTCTTACAAAATTTTAAAACAGGCAAAATTAATCTGTGCTGTTGGAAGTCAGGATGGGGTTATCTTGTGGGGGTACGGATTAAGTAGCTGACTGAAAGAAAGCATGAGAAAGGCTTCTGGAGTACTGGCAATATTCTTGATCTGGGTGCTGGTCATAAAAGCATACTGTTTTTCTTTTTAGAGACAGGGTCTTGCACGGTCATCCAGGCTGAAGTATATTAGCACAGTCATAGCTCACTGCAGTCTCAAACTCCTGGGATTAAGGGATCCTCCTGCTTTAGTCCCCTGAGTAGCTAGGACTACAGGCATGCACCACCACGCCCTGGCTAATTATTTTTACTTTTTGTAGAGACAAAAAATCCTCAAGCTTACTTGATGTAAATTTACTTTGTAATTTTCTATGTGTATATTACACTTCAATAAAAACTTTTTTTTCCCTTTTACTCTTGGCAAGCTGTGATTCAATAAAAAGTTTAAAAATGTTGGACTTCTGCTTCCAGCCAAGATGGAGTAACATGAACTGGGTTTACTCTCCTAAAACAATGAAACAATGGCTTTCAAGACCACTGTATATCAGATAATGAAAGTCAGTAAACCCTGAGATGATAAACAAATGAGACTGGACCTGCAATTGCCTTGAAAAAGTTTCCAAGATATGGCATAAAGAGTGGGAACTGAGGCACAGCCTGGTGGACTCCCTGAGTTGAGAGTCCAGAGACCAAGGCAGCTCGGATTCATAGAACAGAGTATCTTAAAGAAGAGAAATAGGAAGAGAACCCATGATATCTGCAGAGGGTGGGGCATCATTTGAGCATTCAAAATGTACTATCAGTGCACATATGAGAAGAAGCCACCTGAGGCTAGGAAAAAAAAAAGTGAAAGAAGGGAACAGTACTTGCTGCTCACGTGGAACAAGGAATACTGCCTGTTCCCACTCTCCAGACCAGAAAAACTCAATTCATGGAGCACTGGGCAGAATAAGATCTTGCCTCCATAGGTGGGTAATAATTAGCTCTAGACTGAACATTGCTCCAGACCTAACAAATCATAAAAGAAAGACCAGAATGGATCAAACTGTTTGCAAGTAACTTAATTGCATTTCAGAACAAAGCTCAAGAAAATATGCAGTAATAAAAAGAAATTCATCCCTTAGTAAGGTAAAATGCACAATGTATGAAATCTAATCAAAGATCACCAGGCAGGAAAATACAAGCCATAATGAAGGAAGTATCAACTGAAACCAACCTAGAATTAACACAGATATTCAAATTATTCCACATTTTCAAAATATCAAATAGAGACATGGAAAATATATATGTCTCTCTCAAATCATACTTTGAGATGAAAATGACAATATCTCACATGAAATACACTAAATGAGCAGATTCAACGTTGTAGAAGAAAAGATAATGAACACTGATGGCATAACAATAGCAATTGCCCAGAATGAAATACACACAGAAAAAAAAGAATACAAAAAAAATTTTTTTAAAGCATGAGTTACCTGAGGGATCAATGATCAAATGGACTAATTTATGAGTGACCAAAGTCCTGACGGATGATGGGGGACAGAAAAAAAAATCTGAAGAAATAATGGCTGAAAGCTTTCCAAACAATGAAAACAAACCTACAAATCTATGAAGTTAAACAAACTCCAGGCAGAAGAAACATGGGGAAAACTACATTAAGGCACATCATAGTCAAATTGTTCAAAACCAGTGATAAAGAGAAAATCTTAGCAGCCAGGAAAAAAAAATACATGCACCAAGGAACAAAGATAAGGATGACAACAAATTTCTTTTCAGAAACAATGCAAGCGAGAAGAAATGGACAGCATTTTAAAAGTACTAGAAGGCAAACTATTCACATAGTTCATAAAATTATCTTGCAAAAATGAAAGCAAAATAAAGGAATTTTCATATCTACAAAAGAAACAGTTAATCACTAGCAGACCCACATACAAGAAATATTAATGGACATTTTTCAGGCTGAAAGAATTTTAAAAATTTTTTTAAAAATAAGATTCATATAACATAAAATTCATCATTTTAACCATTTTAAAGTATGCAGTTCAGTGGTTTCTAATATAGTCACAATGTTGTGCAATCATTACCACTATGTAATTTCAAAAAATTTCTATCACTCCGAAAAGAAACATGGTACCTCTCAATTTCCCTCTTCATCCATCCCCCAGCAACCACTAAACTCTGTCTCTATGGCTCTGCCTATTCTGGACATTTCATATGAATGGAATCATACCATATACATGGTGCTTTGTGATTGGCTTCTTTCATTTAGCATATTTTCAAGGTTCATCCATGTTGTAACATGTATCAGTACTTAATTCCTCTTTGTGGCTGAATAATATTCCATTGCATGGTGTACTAGTCTGCTAGGGCTGCCATAACAAAATAGCACTGATTGGGTGGATTACACAATGGACATTTATTTTCTCACAGTTCTGGAGGCCAGAAGTCCAAGATCAAGGTGCTGTCCTGGCTTTCCGGTGGCCACCTTCTTTCTCTGTCCTCACATGGCCTTTTCTCCACGTGTAAATAGAAAGAGATCTCCGCTGTCCCTTCCTCTTCTTACAAGGACACCAGCCCTATTGGATTAGGAGCCCACTCTTATTACCTCAGAACCTGAATTACCTCCCTAAAAGCCTGTCTCCAAATACAGTCACTTTGGGGGTTAGGGTTTCAACATATGAATTTTAGGGGGGAAACAATTCATCCCACAACACATGGATAAACCCAATTTTGTTCATTCATCAGCTGATGGACATTTGGGTTGTTTCCAGCTATTATGAATAATGCTGCTATGAGCATTCATGTTCAAGTTTTTGTATGGATATATGTTTTCAGTTCTCTTTTTTATATACCTAGGAGTGGAATTTTCTTGGTCTTTTGACAATTTTGTGTTTAACATTCTGAGGAGCTGCCAAATTGTTTCCACAATAGCTGCAGCATTTTATATTTCCACTGCCATGTATGAGGGTTCCAATTTCTCTGTATCTTTACTAACACTTGTTATTTTTCTTTTAAGAAATAAAATGTAATTAAAAATATATATACACATAGCCATCCTAGTGGGCATGAGGTGGTATCTCGTTGTGGTTTTTATTTGCACTTCCCTAATGACTAACGATGTACAGCGTCTTTCATGTGCTTATTGACCATTGGTGTATCTTCTTTGGAGAAATATCTATCCAAATTATTTGCCCATTTTAAAATTGGGTTGTTTGAGCTTTTATTATTGAGTTATAGTTCTTTACCCTGGATACTAGATGCTTATCAGTTATATGATTTCTAAATATTTTCTCCCATTTCACAGGTTGTCTTTCGCTTCCTTGATAATGTCTTTTATAGCACAAAGTTTTACATTTTGATGAAGTCCAAATTATTTTTTCTTTTGCTGCTCATGCTTTTGGTGTCATATCTAAAGAATGTAATGTCAAATCCAAGGTCATGAAGAGTTACTCCTTTGTTTTCTTCTGAGAGTTTTATGATTTTGGCTCTCAAATTTAGGTCCTTGATCCATTGTGAGTTGATTTTTGTATATGGTATGAAGTCAGGATCCAACTTCATTCTTTTACAGGTGAATATACAGTTGTTCCAGTATCATCTGTTAAAGAGACTATTCTTCTCCCATTGAATGATCTTGGCACCCTTGAAAACTAATTGGCCACATATGTGTGGGTGTATTTCTGAACTTTTGATTCTATTCCATTGATCTATTTGTCTGTCCTTATGCCAGTTTCACACAACCAGTTTTGATTACTGCAGTTTTGTAGTAACTTTTTAAATCAGGAAGTGTGAATCCTCTAACTTTATTCTTTAGAAATATTGTTTTGACTATTCAAGGCCTCTCACATTTCCATGTGAACTTCAGGATCAGCTTGCCCATTTCTACAAAAAAAGGCAGCTGGAATTTTGATAGGGATTGTACTGAAACTGTAGATCTATTTGGGGAGTGTTAACATCTTAACAATATTAAGCCTTCAACTCCGTAAACATGGGATGTCTTTCCATTTCATTAGGTCTCCTCTAATTTCTTTCTATAATATTACATAGTTTTCAGTGTGGAAGTCTTGTACTTCCTTGGTTACATTTATTTATTTTATTCTTCTTGATACTATTGTAAATGAATTCATTTCTTAATTTCCTTTTTGACTATTCATTGATACAGGTTGGAAGAATTTTGAGAAGCATGATAAAAAATGCATAAATTGCCCTGAACAGACTGAGAGCAGAAATCTAGACCTGGAACATGTTATTGGCCACTGGAGGGAGACACTTGTTATTTAGTGGCAAAAAGCTTAGTGAAATGGTCTCCTGTAGTCTCGTAGAAAGCACAACTTGTAAGTGATGACCCAATCCATGTGTTGAAAGTGAGGCCTAAGTTTTTTCTTGCTGCTTATAATAAAATGTAAGATGAGAGAGATAAATTGAGGGGAAAACTGTTCAACAAAAAGTAACCAGGACTTGATGATTTTGAAAATTCTCGGTCTCTCTAGAGGATGAAAGATGCTAACATTGGACAGAGTGATCTAGAGAAAAAAAGGTGTGAGTAGACAACCTTTTACTAATATCTCAGAAAGATCAAAAGATTAGAGTATTCACTCACACAAAGGGTTCTCTCAAGAGATTAAGGGTTTATCTCAAAGATCCTCTTAACCAAACCACAGAGTCTTTATGAAACTTAAGGGCTTTGTCTCTCAGCCAGCCATTCAAGCAGGACCCTAAGATAGAGAAGAAATTATCTGAAAAGATACAGATATGGCTTTTGTCTAATTTGGTAAACCCCACTGATACCATGAAGAGCCAAAAAGTTTTTAAGAAAATTATTTCAACAGAAAAACTGCCAATTTGGACTAAAGGGACAGAGTCACTACAAAATGGAAGAAGGTTGTCAGACCCCCAAAGTTCTACTGGCAAGAAGCAGCCTGATAGAACTACTTAGCTACAAACACATGCTACCTTTCATGAAAAAATGAAAGATGATTCAGAGGGTGAAACCAGGCACCCAGAGAATGGAGCAAAGAACTGCAGAGGATTAGTCCCAGGTCTCGAAACTTAGTCATGGAACTCCCAATATTTACCCAGCTGGATTTCAGAATTGCTATGAACCCTTTTTTTAACCTTCCATTCCCCACTCCTTTTAACTGTGCTATCTATAACTATTATCCTTTGCCTGTCCCACTCTTGTATGTTGGGTGTGTTGGGGTCAGACAACTTGTCTCTTTAGTTTCACAGATCTACAGATGGAGAGAAATTGTGTATAGAACCTGTACTGAATAGATTACATCTAGGAACATCATCCACACCAGGACCTGATTTAGATGATAAGATTCTGGACCTTTGAGCTGATGCTACAATGGGATGGGACTCTTGAAAACCACGTGAGTGAGGTGAATGTATTTTGCATGTGGGAGAACATGAATCATTGGGGCATGTAGTAGACAGACTCTAAGGTGGCCCATGCATGATTCCTACCTCTTGGTGTTCATGCCTATGTGTAATTCCCCCACTCTGAGTGTGGGCAAGACTTGTGACTTGCTTCAGACCAATAGATAATGGTAAAGGTAATGGGATGTCATTCCCATGATCACGTTATATTATATAGGCTTTTGTCTTGTTAGTCCACTAGCTCTCAGTCTTTCTTACTGGCTTTGAAGAATAAAGCTGACATAAATACTACAGCTATAAGGAACTGTATTCTTCTAAGAATACACAAAAGTGTAAATGGCTTCTTCTCTAGTTGAGTCTCCACATGAGAGCCCAGCCCTGGCCAACACCTTAAACGCAGCCAGGTGAAACCCTAAACAGAGAACTAGCTAAGCTGTTCCTGGACTTCAGACTCACAAATATGTGAGGTATGTTGTTTGAAGCCACTGTTTGTGACAGTTTGTTAAGCAGCACAGAAAACCTACATAAACAATTCTTAAGAAGTGAAATGTGTATCTAACTATAAGCCAGCCATTCTACTATGAAGAATTTACCCAACAGAAAAAAATATGTATGCCTCCAATTTCTTGTACAATAGTGCTCATAACACCTTTACATGTAATGGCTCAAAGCTGAAAAGAATCAAACTGGCCATCAACAGATAAACAAATTGTGATGCAATGGAATACTACTCAGCAATAAAAAGGAATAAATTATTGATACACATAATGACAGCGATGAATCTCAAAATCATTATCCTGAGTGAAAGAAGCCAGACAAAGAGTGCATACGATTCCACTCACATGAAACTCTACAAAATGCAAACTAATCTACAGTGGCAGAAAGCAGATCACTCTTTTTGTGATAATCACTTTGGAGATGCAGAGATAGGCAAGGGCAGGAGGCAGGGATTATGAAAGGCATAAACTTTTGGGGGTGATGGTTATGTTCACTATATTGATTGTGGTGATGGTTTCATGGGTGTATACATATGTCAGAACTTATAACACACTTTAAATATGTAGTTTGAGGGGCTCTACCCTCCCTGGTGGCAGGCCCAAGTGCATTTTCAGAATTTAATACTGGGGTGCACCCTGTCCTTGGGCCAAGTTTGAGTTGATGTTGCTGCAGCTGCCACCTGGTAGAGGAGGGACAGGGAAGCCAAGCTCTTCTATGCATACCTAGGACAATACCTAATTCCCTGGTATAGGCTGCTGTGAGACCAAGACTTGAATGGACTGTACTCCTCACATCTTCTTGCTCATACTGCTCACCTAAGAGAGGTCCCATCCTCTGTGGTCACAAGGTCATAGCTGGCACCATTTTGATAGTTTAATGCTGCAATTTCATTAAACCACAAAGACAAAAGACAGAGAAAAAGAAACATAATTTATAAAACAACTCAAAAACAATCATCAATATGACAGAAACAAAGTCTCACATATCAATGTTAACCTGAATGTAAATGCATTAAATGGTCCACTTAAAAGACACAGATTAGCAGCATGGATTGAAAAAAAATAATCCAACTATATGCTGCCTACAAGAAACTCATCTTACCCATAAAGACACAAAAACTAAAGTAAACAAGTGGAAAAAAATATTCCACAGAAATGGAAATCAACAGTGAGCAGGAGTAGCTACACTTATAGCAGATGAAACAGACTTTAAATCAAAAACATAAAAATAAGACCAAGAAGGTCATTATATAATGACAAAGGGATCAATTCAACAAGATGTAACAATCCTAAATATATATGTACCCAACATCAGAGCACCTCAATTCACAAAACAAATATTATTAGACCTAAAGAAAGAGCAGACAACAATACAATAATAGTGGGGATTTTAACACCCCATTCACAGCACTAGACAGAGCAAAGAGACAGAAAACAAAGAAATATTGGACATACATTGGACTTTAGACCAAAATGGACTTAACATTTACAGAACGGTCTACTCAAAAACTACAGAATATACATTCTTTCATCAGCACATGGAAAATTCTCCAAGACAGACCAAATATTAGGCCATAAAACAAATCTTAACAAATGTTTTAAAAGTGAAATCATATCAAGTATCTTCTCAGACCACAGTGGAATAAAGTCGGAAATCAACACCACAAAGAACTCTGGAAACCATACAAATATGTGGAAATTAAACAGCATGCTCCTGAACAATCACTGGGTCAATGAAAAAATTGACAGAAATTTAAAAACTGAAACAAATGAAAATAAAAATACAATCTATTAAAACCTGTAGGATACAGCAAAAGCAGTATTAAGAGGAAAGTTATAGCAATAAATGCTTATATCAAAAAAGTAGAAAGATGGCTGGGCATGGTGTCTCACACCTGTAATCCTGGCACTTTGGCAGGCCAAGGCAGGAGAATCGCTTGAGGCCAGGAGTTTGAGACCAGTCTGGGCAACATAGCAAAACCCAATCTCTAAAAAAAAATTTTTTTAATTAAAAAAAAGTAAAAAGATCACAACTACCTAACATTACACCTCAAGGAACTAAAAAAACAAAGCCGAGCATGGTAGCTCATGCCTGTCATCTCAGTACTTTGGGAGGGAGGCCAAGGTGGGCAGATCACTTGAGGTGAGGAGTTCAAGACCAGCCTCGCCAACATGACAAAACCCTATCTCTACTAAAAATACAAAAATACGCTGGTTATGGTGGTGTGCACCCATAATCCCAGCTACTTGGGAGGCTGAGGCAGGAGAATGGCTTGAACCTGGGAGGCAGAGGCGCAGAGGCTGCAGTGAGCCGAGATCATGCCACTGCACTCCAGCCTGGGTGACAGAGTGAGACTCTGTTCCAAAAAAACCAAAAACTGAAAAACAAACAACAACAACAACAAAAACCAGATAGATTCACAGCCAACAACAACAAAAGCCTAAAAATCAGATGGATTAAAACAAACAAACAAACAGATGGATTCACAGTCAAATTATACCAAATATACAAATAATTAATACCAATCCTCCTGAAACTACTCCAAAAAAATTAAAAAGGAGGGAATTCTCCTTAACTTATTCTATGAGGCCAGTATAACTCTGATACCAAAATCAGACAAGGACACAATGAAAAAAGAAAAGCCCAATATCCCTGATGAACATATGGACAAGAACCCTCAACAAAATACTAGCAAACTGAATCCAACAGCACATCAAAAAGATAATACAACATGATCAAGTGGGATTTATCCCAGAGTTGAAAGGATGATTCAACATATGCAAATCAATAAATGTGATACATCATATAAACAGAATTAAGGACAAAAAACAAATGATCATCTCAATAGATGCACAAAAGGCACTGGATAAAATTCAACATTACTTCATGATAAAGGTCCTCAACACACTAGGCATAGAAGAAACATACCTCAACATAATAAAGGCCATAAACAACAAACCCATAGCTAGCATTATACTTAACAGAGAAAAACTGAAAGCATTCCCTAAAGCTAGAACAAGACAAGGATGCCCACTTTCACCACTCTTATTCAACAAGTCCTTGTCACAGCAATCAGGCAAAAGAAAATAACAAAAGGCATCCAAATTGGAAAAGAGGAAGGCAAATTGCCCTGTTTGCTGATGGTATGATCTTATATCTGGAAAACCTGAAAGATTCTACCAAAAAACTTAGATTCGATAAATAAATTTAGTAGTTTCAGGATACAAAATTAAGATCCAAAAATCAGTAGGGTTTCAATACCCCATTAATGATCTAGCCAAGGACCAAATCAAGAAGGCAACTCAATTTACAATAGCTATAAGAAAGTAAACTATCCAGGATTATATTTAAGCATGGAGGTGAAAGATCTCTATAAGGAGAACTACAAAACACTGACTAAAGAATTCATAGATGATACAAACACATGGAAAAACATCCCATGCTCATGGATTGAAAGAATCCATATTGTTAAAATGACCATACAGATCAATCAGTCTACAGATTCCACACAATCCCTATCAAATTACCAATGCCATTTTTCACAGAATTAGAAAAAAAATCCTAAAATTCATATGGAACCAAAAAAGAGCTCAAATAGCTAAAATAATCCTAAGTAAAAAGGACAAAGCTGGAGGACTCACATTACCTGACTTCAAATTATACAAGGGTATAGTAATCCAAACAGCATGGTACTGGTATAAAAATAGACACACAGACCAACGGAATGGAATAGAAAACCAAGAAATAAAGCCAATCAACTGATCTTTGACAAAGTCAACAAAAATATACACTGGGGAAAGGACTCTATTAAATAAGTGGTGCTGGGAAAACTGGCTAGCCATATGCAGAAAAATACCTCTCACCATATACAAAAATTAAGAGAACCCATACCTCTCACCGTATACAAAAATGGATTAAAGACTTAAACCCAAGACCTGAAACTGTAACAATCCTAGAAGAAAACCTAGGAAAAAGTCTTCTGGACATTGTCCAGGCAAAGAATTTAAGACCAAGTCTTCAAAAGCAAAAGCAACAAAAACAAAAATAGACAAATGGGATTCAATTAAACTAAAAAGCTTCTGCATAGCAAAAGAAATAACAGAATAAGCAGACTACTTACAGAATGGCAAAAAATATTTGCAAACTATGCATCTGACAAAGGACTAATATCCAGAATCTACAAGGATTTCAACCCAATAAGAAAACAATAAATAACCCTATTTAAAAGGGGAAAAAGAATATGAACAGGCTGGGCATGGTGGCTCATGCCTGTAATCCCAGCACTTTGGGAGGCCAAGACGGGCAGATCGCTTGAGCCCAGGAGTTTGAGACCAGCCCAGGCAACATGGTTAAACCCTGCCTCTACAAAAAAAATACCAAAAGATTAGCCAGTCGTGGTGGTGCATGCCTGTGGTCCCAGCTACTCAGGAGGCTGAGGTAGCAGGATCACTTGAGCCCAGAAGGTCAAGGCCGCAGTGAGCTGTGATTGTGCCACTGCACTCCAGCCTGGGTGACAGAGAGAGAGAGAAACACAGAGAGAGAGAGAGAGTGAGAGAGAGAAACAGGACATGAACAGACATTTTTCAAAAGAAGACATACAAGCATCCAACAAACATGAAAAACGACTGATGTTGGCAAGGATGTGAAGAAAAGGGAACACTGTATAAACTGTTTGTGGGAAAGTAAATTAGTACAGCCTTTATGGAAAAAAGCATGGAGATTTCTCAAAGAACTAAAAATAGAACTGCCATTTGATCCAGCAGTCCCACTCTTGAGTATATACACAAAAAGAAATCATTATATCAAAAAAATATTTACAGCCAGGCGCAGTGGCTCATGCCTATAATCCCAGCACTTTGGGAGGCTGAGGCAGGCGGATCACCTGAGGTGAGGAGTTCAAGACCAACAACATGGCAAAACCCCATCTCTACTAAAAATACAAAAAATTAGCTGGGCGTGATGGTGCACACCTGTAATCCCAGCTACTCGGGAGGCTGAAGCAGGAGAATCGCTTGAACCTAGGCGGCAGAGGTTGCAGTGGGCCAAGATCACACCACTGCACTCCAGCCTGGGTGACAAGAGTGAAACTCTGTCTCAAAAAATATATATTTATTCACACTCATATGTTTATCGCTCCATTATTCACGGTAGCAAAGATATGGAATCAGCCTAAGTGTCCATCAACAGAGGACTGGATAAATAAAATGGACTACTACTTGGCCATACAAAATAATGAAATCTGAGAAATATCCATGCTTTTTTCCATAAAGGCTGTCTTTTGCAGCAACATAGATGGAACTGGAGGCCATTATCCTAGCGAAATAACTCAGAAACAGAAAGTCAAATACCACATGTTCTCACTTATAAGTGAAAGCTAAACAATGGGTTCACATGGACATACAGAGTGTAATAAGAAACACTGGAGACTCCGAAAGGTGGGAAGGTGGGAGGGAGGCAAGGTTTGAAAAATTACCTATTGAGCACAATATTCACTATTTGAGTGAATATTTTAGTGTACCACCTGAGGTCACTAAAAACCCAGATTTCACCACTAAGAAATACATGCACATAAGAAACCCGCACTTGGACCCTTCAAATACATAAAAATAAAAAATAAAATGAAAAGAAAAAATAGTGCAGTTTATTATATATCTATTATGCTTTAATAAAGCAGTTTAAAAAAGTGCTACTTGCACATGATTTTTCTTCATAAATCATTATATTCAAAGAGAAAGTACAAGCTCTGTCTAATCATCACAGACTAGGCCTTTTTATCGATCTACTCATTCTCAAATATTTACTAAATACCTGTTAGTTTTTGTGGGAAATACAAACATAAGTCAGACCCACTATGATCTGAAATCAGGGGCAGAGACTAAATATATGGGTCATTCCATATCATATCATGAGATGATAATAAACAGATATTTGGTCTCTGCCCCTGGTTGAGGCACATAGCTCCTAAAACTCTTATAATACCCAAAGTGGTGTTTTTTTTTGTATGCTAATGATATGACCGGTGGTTAGGGGCTCTTGGATAGTCTGAGGATTGGGTAGGGAGATAGTGGTTGGCAGGGGAACCAACCATGTAATTAGAAGGTTGGAACTTTTTCACTTTTTCAGCCCCACCCCTTAACCTCTAGGGAGAAGACAGGGGCTGAAGGTCGAGTTAATCAGCGATGGCCAACAATTGAATCATGCCTACAAAATGAAACCTCCATAAAAATCCTAAAGGACTAGGTTCAGAGAGACCTAGTCTCTCTGGTAGACTTCTGGTAGGTCAGAAGTACAGGTCACAACTTGGAGCTTGCAACTAGCATCTGAAGTTGGGGGTAGTCTTGTGGGACTGGGCCCTTAATTTGTGGGATCTGACAATATCTCCTGGTAGACTGTGTCAGAACTGAACTGAATTATAGGATGTGGTGTCAGAATTGCTTGGGTTGTGGGGGAAAAAACCCTACCTACTGGTGTCAGACATGTTGTGGTATGTGAGAGTAGGAAAAAACATTTAGGGAAAAACATTTGGGTTTTTCCTCTCTCTCATACCCACTTTTTTTTTTCTTCTTTTTTGAGACAGAGTCTCTCATCTTATGCCCAGGCTAGAGTGCAGTGGTGCAGTCATAGCTCACTGCAGACTTGACCTCCTGGGCTCAAGTGATGCTCCCACCTCAGTCTCTTGCGTAGCTGGAACTATAGGTGAATGCCACCATGCCTGGCTAATTTTTAATTTTTTTAGAGAGATGGGATCTCACTACATTGCCCAGGCTGGTCTCAAACTCCTGGGCTCAAGAGATCCTTCCCCTTGGCCTCCCAAAGTGTTTGGATTATAGGCATAAGCCACTGTGCCTGGCCCATACGCACCTTTTGCACTAAGAAGCATATCATCTAATAGACTGGTTAGGGTTTAGAAATCATAAACAATTGATTTTTACATTATTTTCACAAAGATCCTTACCAGAGGCAAATCCTTCCCAGTGACTACGTGTCAACTGCTCCATACAGCTCACAACCTTGCACCATACACTGTCAAACACATAAGCAAGGACATCTTCTTTCATGCAGTAAAATGGAGCAATGGGAGGATACCCTAATTTCTGTTTCTCTGTAGCTGCTTCTGATTTCTTCCCATGAAATCCCTCTTCTCTGTAACAGAAGCAAGAAGGAAAGACTTCATGATGCTGAAGGGAAGGCTGCCTTTCTAAAATTGTCTGTGTATTACCTGAAAATTCACTTTGATTTGAGGAAAAATGGAAAATAGAATTAATTTGACAAAGGCCAAATAGAAGTAATAAATAGAAAATAGAAGTAATTTGACACAGGAGAAGTGAAAGGGAAGGAGGCAATCTTTGGAAAACCAAAAGAATCTGCTTCCAGTTCTAGCTCAGTGGTATTATGTATAGAAGCCTGGCTTATATTTAGCTGGCCCTAGGGCTGTGTGCACATGAGTGATACGTGAGTGAACATGGCTCAGCAGGAAATACAATGGGAAAAAAATGCAATGGGAAAAAAAAAATGCATCCAGAATCATGTGACACAATACTAACTACTAGACCTAACCACAGCTGCACAGCCTAAAAAGAAATTCTCACTTATTTTCAAATATGCTGCTGTGACTATCAAATCTGGAACTTTTAAAGGCTTAGAGGAATAGTTTAACAGGTTAATGTCACAGAAAGGTAGCAAGGAATAGTGAAGAGAAGACTGGATTGAGAATCAGATGAATAAGGTTTTGGTTTTAGCTTTACTTGAGACAAATCATTAACTACTCTGATTCTCACCTATCCAGTAAAGAAGATAAATCATATCTATGTGATAGGTCTACTGTTAGAATATAGTTAGAATAGATATAAATAGACATTATTAATTATAAAATCTGTGCCAACCATAAGGTTTTAAACAAACTGTTTATACCTTTTTCTTTTCTTTTTTGTTTTGTTTTGTTTTTGGAGATGGAGTCTTGCTCTGTTGCCCAGGCTGGTATGCAGTGGCGTGATCTCGGCTCACTGCAACCTCCGCCTCCCGGGTTCAAGCGATTCTCTGGCCTCAGCCTCCCAAGTAGCTGACATTAGAGGCACGCATCACCATGCCCAGCTAATTTTGTATTTTTAGTAGAGATGGGGTTTCACCATGTTGGCCAGGCTAGTCTCAAACTCCTGACCCAAAGTGATCTGCCTGCCTCGGCCTCCCAATGTGCTGGGATTACAAGTGTGAGCCACCGCGCCCAGCCTGTATATACATTTTTCAAACAGAATTTATGTAAACAAAGTCCATATCTCTTCAACTGCTCTTTTAAAAGGTTTCAAAGTTCCCACTGGTGGTAATTTGCAAAAGGGTAAAATCAAACTATGTGGGGAAAAAATAAACTTATTTTAAAATCTCTAATCTCAGGAACAGGCAAATGATGTGTGAAGTTATAAAATACACAAGGAAGTCTAGTACATGGAGGCAATAAGAACATAAATTCTGGATACCTGAGAAATAACATAAAATAAATAACAGAAACTGGCATATATTTAATAATATACATTGGTAGCATCATTTAGAAAAAATAGGTATTAATACACAAAATAAGAGGGGAGTAAAAAGCTTAAAAGGCATAATACTCACATATCTATGTGATCGAATGCTAGGTATTCCTCAATTATTCCTTCTGAGACGATTATAGAGTCTTCCTCATCTCTTTCCATAGAACAAAAGCTGGAGGATTTGGCAATGGAAGATGCTTTATGAGCATAAGAAGATGAAAAATGTAACTTCTTTCCCCTTATACCAAATCTTGGAGTGGAAAAAAGAAGTAAATATTAATTATGTAAACATAAACAGTTCTTATGGCAACACAGTTACATGAGTTTTGGCTCAAACTCCCCTTGCCCTGGCAATACCTTCGTGGACTATTCTAAGCCTCAATAACCTACCATTTCTCAGAACAGGAAGATTAAATTCTGGTCACAGAACTATTCTGCCTACATGTACTATGGACTATCTGGTACTGCTTGCTGTCTTTTCAGATGCAAACAGCTATAGCTATGTATTAGGTCATCCTTGCCTTGCTATAAAGAAATATCTGAGACCACGTAATTTATAAGAAAAGAGATTTAATAGGCTCACAGTTCTGGAGGCTGTAGAAGCATAGTGCTGGCATCTGCTTCTGCAGAGGACTTACAAAGCTTTTACTCATGGGGGAATGTTAAGTGGGAGCAGGAGCAAGAGAGGTGCCACACACTTTTAAATGACCAGATGTCATGGGAACTCACTATCGCAAAGACAGTACAAAGCCATAAGGGATCCTCCCCCATGACCCAAACACCTCCCACCAGGCCCCACCTCTAGCATTGGGGATTACAATTCAGCATGAGATTTGGGCATCCTGCCCTTGGCTCCTCCCAAATCTCATATCCTTCTCACATTGCAAAATACAATTATGGTTTCCAAAAAGTCTCAAAAGTCTTGACTCATTCCAGTGTTAATTCAAAAGTCCAAAGTCCCACGTCTCCTCTGAGACAAGGCACATCCCTTCCAGCTATGAGCCTGTAAATCAAAAACAAGTTATTTACTTCCAAGATACAATGGGAGTATAGGCGTTAGATAAACATTTCTGTTCCAAAAGAGAGGGGCTACAGATCCCATGCAAGTTCAAAACCCAGTAGGGGAGTCATTAACTCTTAGAACCCCTTGATGTCCCATGACAAGGTGCAAGCGGTAGGCTTCCAAGACCCTGGGCAGCTCTACCCCTGTGGCTTTGCAGGGTTCAGCTCCCAAGGTTGCTCTCATGGGTGGAGTTGAATGCCTGCAGCTTTCTTTTTTCTTTTTTTCTTTTTTTTCTTTTTTGAGAGACAGAGTCTCGTTCTGTCGCCCAGGCTGGAGTGTAGTGGTGGGGTCTCGGCCCACTGCAACCTCTGCCTCCCGGGTTCAAGCAGTTCTCCTGCCTCAGCCTCCTGAATAGCTGGGATTACAGGCGAGCACCACTACACTCAGCTAATTTTTGTATTTTTAGTAGAGATGGGGTTTCACCATGTTGGCCAGGCTGGTCTCGAACTCCTGGTCTCTAGTGATCTGCCCATCTTGGCCTCCCAAAGTGCTGGGATTACAGGCATGAGCCACTGCACCTGGCCTGAATGCCTGCAGCTTTCTAGGTACAGGGTGCAAGGTGAATCTATCATTCTGGGGTCTGGAAGATGGTGACCCCCTTCCCACAGCTCCACTAGGCAGTGCCCCAGTGGGAATTGTGTGTGGGGCCTCCAACCCCCTATTTCTTCTCTGCACTGCCCAATAGAGATTCTCTGTGAGGACTCCACCCCTGCATCAGGCTTCTGCCTGGGCACCCAGGCTTTCTCTTACATCCTCTGAAATCTACACAGATAGTGCCAAGCCTTCACTCTTTGCCCTCTGTGTGCCCACAAGCTTAACACCACATGGAAGCTGCCAAGGCTTACAGCTTGCTTGCAACATTTGTTTGTTTGTTTGTTTGTTTGTTTTTTTGAGACAGAGTCTTGCTGTATCACCCAAGCTGGACTGCAGTGGCGTGATCTCAGCTCACCGCAACCTCCACCTCCCAAGCTCAAGGGATTCTCATGCCTCAGCCTCCCAAGTAGCTGGGATTATAGGCGTCCGCCACCACACCTGGCTAATTTTCGTATTTTTAGTAGAGACAAGGTTTCACCATGGATCACTTGAGATCAGGACATCTTAGATTCTCTAAAGCGGCAAGTCAAGCTGTAACTGGGCCCCGCTGAGCCCCAGCAAAAAGCAGTGTCCCAAGGCTGCTCAAGGCAACAAGGTCCTGGGTCTGCCCCACAGAACCATTCTTCCCTCCTAGGCCTCTGGGCCTGTGATGGGAGGGGCTGCTGTGAAGGTCTCCGAAATGCCTTTTTCCCATTGTCTTGGCTATTAGCACTTGGCTGCTTTTTAGTTATGCAAATATCTCTATCAAGTGGTTGCTCCACAGCCTGCTTGAGTTCCTCTTCCCAAAAAGCTTTTTCTTTCTTTGTCATGTGGCTAGGCTGCAAATTTTCCAAGCTTTTATGCTCTGCTCCCCTTTTAAATATAAATTCCAACTTTAAGTCATTTCTTTGCTCCCACATCTGAGCATAGGTGTTAGAAGCAGGCATGTTACTTCTTGAACACTCTGCTACTTAGAAATTTCTGCTACCCAATACCCTACGTCATGACTCTCAAGATCAAAATTCCATAGATCTCTAGGGCATGGACATAATACAGCCAAGTTCCTTGCTAAGGCATAACACACATGCCCTTTCTTCCAGTTCCCAGTAAGTTCCTCATTTCCTTCTGAGACCTTGTCAGCCTGGACTTTATTGTCCATTTCACTATTAGCATTTTGGTCACAACCATTTAACTGGTCTCTAAGAAATTCTAAACTTTCCCTCTTCCTGTTGTCTTCTGAGCCCTCCAGTCTTTCAACATCTGCCCATTACCCAGTTTCAAAGTCACTTCCACATTGTCAGGTATCCTTATAGCAATACCCCATTCCTTGGTACCAGTGTTCTGTATGAAGTCATTCTTGCATTGCTATAAAGAAATACCTAGCCAGGTGCGGTGGCTCACACCTATAATCCCAGCACTTTGGGAGGCTGAGGCAGGCGGATCACGAGGTCAGGAGTTCAAGACCAGCCTGGCCAACACAGTGAACCCTCATCTCTACTAAAAATACAAAAATTAGCCAGGCACAGTGGTGCACACCTGTAGTCCCAGCTACTCAGGAGGCTAAGGCAGGAGAATTGCTTGAATCCGGGAGGCGGAGGTTGTGGTGAGTCTAGATCACACCACTGCACTCCAGCCTGGGCAACAGAGTGAGACTCTGTCTCAAAAAAACCCAAAAAAACAAAAACAAAAAACAAAAATACCTGAGACTGGGTAATTTATAGGAAAAGAGGTTTAATTGGCTTATGGCTCTGCAGGTTGTACAGGAAGCATAGTGCTAATAGTGCTAACATCTGCTTTGAGGGAGGCTGCAGGAAGCTTTAACTTATGGTAAAAAGTGAAGGAGGAGTAGGCATATCACACGACCAGAGCAGAAGAAAGACAGAGTGTGTGTGTGTGTGGAGAGGTGCCGCACACTTCTAAATGACTAGATCTCATGAGAACTCATTCACTATTGCAAAGATCATACCAAGTCATGAGGGATTTGTCCCCATGACTCAGACACCTCCCACCAGGCCCCACCTCCAGCACTAGGGATTATAATTCTACATGAGATTTAGGCAAGGACAAATATCTAAACTATAACAAGCTATACAACAAGTTTTTTAAAAACTAAGAATAATTGGCCAGGCGGGTGGCTCACACCTGTAATCCCAGCACTTTGAGAGGCTGAGGCAGGCGGATCACAAGGTCAGGAGATTGAGACCATCCTGGCTAACAGGGTGAAACTGTCTCTACTAAAAAAAAAAAAAAAAAAAAAAAAAAAAAAAAAAAAAAAAAAAAAAAAAAAATTAGCCAGGCATGGTGGCGGGTGCCTGTAGTCCCAGCACTTTGGGAGGCTGAGGCAGGAAAATGGCGTGAACCCAGGAGGCACAGCTTGCAGTGAGCTGAGATTGCACCACTGCACTCCAGCCTGGGCGTCAGAGCGAGACTCCGTCTCAAAAAAAAAAAAAAAAAAAAAAAAGAATAATCACATTTATAATTACATCTTAAGATATCTCACGAGGTTATATCCTTATTTCAGTAACTCCATCATTGCCCAAAATATATGCTCCTTATGGGCAGGGATCTTATCTTATTAATATTCAAATTTCTCTTCCTTCCTAGGCATTCAGTAAATATGTGATGACTCATTTGTTTCAGTGGGTTTACTCTGGAGAAAGTCAATCCAATCTGAGAAATAAAATTTTAAAAAATGGAACTCAGTTTAACCAAATGTTAAATATAACCAATTTACACTTTGTATTGCTCTTTACATTTTTTTGTGCCTTAAGTATTTTTTTTTATTAGGAAAATAGAATAAACCCATGGCAGCTGGGCCCATGGCTCATGCCTGTAATCCCAGCACTTTGGGAGGCTGAGGCAGGCAGATCACTTGAGGTCAGGAGTTTGAGACCAGCCTGGCCAACATGGTAAAACCCCGTCTCTACTAAAAATACAAAAATTAGCCAGGCGTGATGGCATGTGCCTGTAATCCCAGCTACCTGGGAGGCTGAGACAGGAGAATTGCTTGAACCTGTGGGGTGGAGGTTGCAGTGAGCTGAGATTACACCACTGCACTCCAGCCTGGGCAACAGAGCAAGACTCTGTCACACACACAAAAAAATAATAATAGTTAAAAAAACAAACCCATGGCACTTTTAAACAAGGCTGGTGGGAAAATCTTACTGGAAGACATTTTGGGAATATGTATTAGGAGCTTTAAAATAAACATTTTCTTTGATTCAGTGGTTTCATTTGTAGGGATTTCCTTTAAGGATATGACCTGTAAGATTTAGCTATAAGAATTATGATTGGTGGGGCACGGTGGTTCATTCCTGTAATCTCTGCACTTTGGGAGGCTGAGGCAAGTGGATTGCTTGAGCCCAGGAGTTTAACACCAGCCTGTGCAACATGGTGAAACTTGGTTTCTGCAAAAAAGTACAAAAATTAGCCAGGTATGGTGGCATGCACCTATAGTCCCAGCTACTCAGGAGGCTGAAGTGGAAGAATCACTTGAGCCCTGGAGGCAGAAGTTGCAGTGAGCCATGACTGTGCCACTGCACTTCAGCCTGGGCAACAGAGTGAGACCCTATCTCAAAAAAAAAAAAAATTATGATCACAGAATTGTTTATAATTGCCAAAAATAGAAACTAGCCCAACTGTTTCAAAATAGAGGATTTGGGGATGAGTTCCTTAAATAGTGATATATTCATGCAATGGAATAAAGTCCTTAAGTTAATATTGGGAAAAATAGAAGATGTCCACAATAAAAGATTAAGTATAAAGAGATTACAAAATGTATAATTTCATAAAAACCATATACATACATGGTAGAGAATGCTAGATGCCCCTCAATATCCATTCTCTCCTTCTTTTCTAGTAAAATCATCCCAATTTTATTCATGAAAACAACATATCCACCTCAAAGACTGCATCTCCCAGTTACCTTGCAGCCAAAGATAGTCAATGCAATATGAGCAGAATTATTCTGTGGGACTCTGGGAAGGCTGTTTAAAGGGAACTGGTGTGACTGCAAGGGATACCATTTAGCCCTTCTGTCTTTCCTCCTTTCTGCTACGTGGAAAGCGAATATCATGTTTGGAGCTCTATCAGCTATCTTGAACCATGAAGAAAACTTCAGAAAAAACACCGTGGGCTAACATGATATGGCAGAAGGATGAAGTGTCTCAGTCCCTGAAAACACCATGCCGCCACTCTACATTGCCTTCCTCCAGACTTCTTTTACATAAAAAGAAGTAAACTTCTCTTATGCAAGAGTTGGTAAACAGATAAGATCCTTAACCATGGCAGGTGGCACTGGGATGGAGATGGTAAGAGATGAGAGAAGCTCAGCCTGGGCAAAAGGCGAAATCCTGTCTCTACAAAAAATACAAAATTAGCCAGATGAGGTGGTGCACACCAGTAGTCCCAGCTACTCGGGAGGCTGAGGTGGGAGGATCACCTGAGCCCAGGAGATCAAGGCTGTAATGAGCTGAGATTGCACCACTGTACTCCAGTCTGGGTGACAAAGCGAGGCCCTGTCTCAAACAAACAAACAAACAAAACAAAAAAAGGAAGAGGGAAGGGATGAAGGGCGGTTGGGAGGGAGGGAGGGAGGGAGGGAATCGGTTTGGAGATCCAATATGTCTAAAAATTAGCCAGGCGTGGTGGCTCACACCTGTAATCCCAGCTACTTGGGAGGCTGAGGAAGGAGAATCCCTTGAACCTGGGAGGCAGAGGTTGCAGTGAGCAGAGATCACGCCATTGCACTGCAGCCTGGGTAACAAAAAAAAAAAAGCTATCAAACATATGGAATGTATACCCAACATTCCATTACGTTATTCTGCTATCGTATTATTCCACTTATAACCAATTATATTTTTAGTCAGTGGTAACTAATGGAATTCTTTGTGTTGAAAAATAAATAGGAATTTCTAACAACTATAGGCCTTTATAACTATTAAAAGAAATTTTAGCTAGATAAGAAGAAAAAATATTCCCATTTCCCCTAAAGCTGCAGCAAAAAATAAGATAGTATTCTACACCATAAAGTTGTCTTTGTAAATGTTATTTCTTTCTTTTTGTTTTTGAGACAGAGTCTCGCTCTGTCGCCCAGGCTGGAGTGCAGTAGCGTGATCTTGGCTCACTGCAATCTCTACCTCCAGGGTTCAAGTGACTCTCCTGTCTCAGCCTCCCCAGTAGCTGGGATTACAGGTGTGTGCCACCACGCCTGGCTAATTTTTGTATTTTTAGTAGAGACGGGGTTTCACCATGTTGGCCAGACTGGTCTAAAACTCCTGACCTCAGGTTATCTGCCCATCTCACCCTCCCAAAGTGCTGGGATTACAGGTGTGAGCCATCGCTCCTGGCTGCTATTTCCTTTTTTTTTTCTTAAGTGAATATACAGTTTATTTAACACTAAAACTTCATTAAGACATGTGCAATATGGCAATTTTACTGGGAATTTAACCCTATTTAGGATATGATTGCTTGCTGGGGCTTAGCCATAGGGTCCAGTTCACACTTAGCACTAATTAAATATTTGATTGCATAAATACAATACCAAATAAAATGCATTCGAATGCCTTCTAAAAAATCAATTTTAAAGGCCTTCCTACTCAGGCTAATGACAAACACAATAAGGGCAGGTATGCTACTTTAATGTAATTGGCTGATTTTATACAGCACTTATATCTTTTAGTCCCCAGATACATTATTAAATAATACAAAACATCTAATACTACCATTTCTACAGAACTAGGAAATAAATTTCTAAGAAAGAAAAATTTTAGAACTCATCTTTTATACCTATCCTAACAGTTTAACTCTAAAGAGGATAAAGCCAATGATTTTCCTCACAAGAGCTCACGACTAATGTTGCTTTGGTATCAAAATCTGTATTTCTGATCTGTTATGAGAATTGAGACAAGATTCAAATATTCCCAAAGAAAGAAGCACAATGCACATTGTAATTGTCTGTTCAACAACAGGGAGCACTGCATCCAAAACTCTGTCATCCCAGGAATTAAATACGGTCAGCTACATTTATGGGCATTTCCTTCACTGTAGTATTGCATACAAATCTCAGTGTCACGAAGAATCCTCTTGCCTTCCTCAGTAACAAAGTTTTTAGCCACACCTTTTCTACCAAATTGACCCCTCTGCCAATTCTGCGAATACAGTTTTCATGACTGCTAGGTAGATCATAGTTTATAACCGAAGACACTTGTTGGACATCAGTCCCACGTGCCAACAAGTAAATAGTGATCAGAACAGGGCTTGACCCTGATCAGAATTCCCTCATGATAGTATCTCTCTCCTTCTGGTCCATGTCGCCATGCAGAGCAAAAACTGTGACGTCCCTGGCATGTATTTTCTCAGTCAGCCAGTCCACCTTGCACCTTGTATTGAGAAAAATAACAGCCTGTTTAATGGTGCCTTGTACAAGTCACAAAGTATATCCAACTTCCATTCCTCCTGCTCAACACTGATATAAAACTGTTCGATTCCTTCAAGGTTCAAGTCTTCCTTTTTCACCAGAATTTGAATAGGATCTTTAGTGAATTTTTTGGTCACTTCCAACACATCAGTTGGCATCATGGCAGAAAGCAACACAACCTAAATACTTGTATTTAATTTTTGGAAAATCTCATAGATTTGATCCTTAAACCCTTGGCTGAACATTTCATCTGCTTCATCCAAAACAAACATTTTGATCCATTTTGGAAAAAAGGTATCTTCTGTTTAACATATCACACATTCTCCCTGGTGTACCAACAATATGTGGTACTTCAGCCTGCAGTTTTTGCATTCATTTTGAACATTTGTTCCACCAATGCAGGCATGACAGGTTGCTCCCATATAATCTCCAAGTGCCAGAATCACCTTTTGGGTATTTTTTGTTTTGTTTTGTTTTTGCGATGTAGTTTCGCTCTTGTCACCCAGGCTGGATGGAGTGCAATGGTGCAATCTCGGCTCACTGCAACCTCCGCCTCCCAGGTTCAAGCGATGATTCTCCTGCCTCAGCCTCCCGAGTAGCTGGGATTACAGGTATGCGCCAACATGCCCAGCTAATTTTTGTATTTTTAGTAGAGACAGGGTTTCACCATGTTGGCCAGGCTGGTCTCGAACTCCTGACCTCAGGTAATCTACCCGCCTCGGCCTCCCAAAGTGCTGGGATTACAGGCATGAGCCACTGCGCCTGGCCACCTTTTGGATCTTTAATACAGGGAATAATAGTTCTCTGCTGAATAGCGGAAGGCTTCTGAAATCATAAGCATAGATACCCCAAAGAAGAGACTTTTTAAAGTTTGTATCATCAAAGTTATCAACAACCTCCTTCCAGTTGCTCTCGATGACACCATCAGGGTCCATTCTCTCTGGGTCTCCATGTTCTCTGCTGTTATAATCCACGGAGCCACCAGACATGATGTGAAAAACGACTTAGCACCCGACTGAAAAGCTGCCTATGTTATTTTTAACAAAGGAATCTTTTAAATCATTGGACTTTGGATATTACTATATCTGGAAAATAACCTTTAATTTATATAATGTCTGTAATTCATTTATTTAACAAAGGAATAGGCTGGGTACAGTGGCATGTGCCTATAGTCCCAGCTATTTGGGAGGCTGAGGCAGGAGGATCTCTTGAGCTCAGGAGTTTGAGGACAGCCTGGGCAACATAGTGAGACCCTGTCTCCTAAAACAAACAACCAAATAAAAAGAATAACAGTTATTGGCCAGGCACAGTGGCTCACGCCTGTAATCTCAGCACTTTGGGAGGCTGAGGAGGGTGGACCATGAGGTCAGGAGATCGAGACCATCCTGGCAAACACAGTGAAACCCCGTCTCTACTAAAAATACAAAAAATTAGCCGGGCGTGGTGGTGGGCGCCTGTAGTCCCAGCTACTCGGGAGGCTGAGGCAGGAGAATGGCATGAACCTGGGGGGCGGAGCTTGCAGTGAGCGGAGATTGTGCCACTGCACTCCAGCCTGGGCGACAGAGCGAGACTCCATCTCAACAACAACAACAACAACAACAACAACAACAACAACAAAAAAGGATAACAGTTATCTTACCTAATACTGTGTTGCCCTGGTAGTTATAGTTATATTTAAATAGAGATGTGTTTTCTTGTGTGACAGAACTTTATTCTTCTCCCACATGCATGGAGGATAAAATGACTTTGCTAGGTTTCTTATTTATACAAAGAGTTTATATTTGGAACCAGTCCTTCCAGGTGTAGGCATTAGGAAGTAGAGTTCCGCATCTCTAATGAAAGTGATTACTGCAAGGCCCTCCAGGATGATTGGAAGGAACAAGTGGCCAAGAGCTACCCTTCCTGCCTAACATCTTTTCAGGCACTTGTTGGCCATTTGCATATCTGTGTAGAATCGTCTATTCAAGTCCTTTGTCCATTTTTCAATTGAATTATTATTATTATTTTTTGAGATGGAGTTTCACTCTTGCCGCCCAGGCTGGAGTGCAATGGTGCGAACTCGACTCACTGCAACCTCCGCCTCCTGGGTTCAAGCAATTCTCCTGCCTCAGCCTCCTGAGTAGCTGGAATTACAGGTGCACACTGCCACGCCAAGCTAATTTTTGTATTTTTAGTGGAGATGGGGTTTCACCATGTTAGCCAGGCTGGTCTTGAATACTTGACCTCAGGTGATCCACCAGCCTCGGCCTCTCAAAGTGTTGGGATTACAGGCATGAGCCACCACGCCCAGCCTGAATTACTATTTTTTGTTGTTGTTAGGTTATAGATTATTCTTATATATTCTGGATATAAACTCCTCATCAGATATGATTTGCAAATATTTTCTCCCATTCCACATATTGCCTTTTCATTCTTTTGCTTCTTTTGATGTTCAGAAGTGTTTACCTTTGATATAGTACCATTTGTCTGTTCTTGCTTTTGTTGCCTGTGCTTTTAGTGTTATATCCAAGAAATCAATGCCAAATCCAATGGCCTGAAGCTTTACCCTATGTTTTATTCTAGGAGTTTTACAGTTTTACATCTTACATTTAGGTCTTTGATCTATTTTGAGTTAATTTTTGTATATGGTATAAGTAAGGGTCCAACTTCGTTGTTCTGCATGTGGGTGTCCAGTTTCCCTAACACCATCTGTTAAAGAGACTGTCCTTTACCCAGGTAGTCTTGGCACTCTTGTTGAAAATCATTTGGCCATAATTGCAAGGGTTTATTTTTGAGCTCTCCATTCTTTTAATGATTTTTAAAGGGTTATAATTCAGCATGTAGTCATGTACTTTAGCCACTCATTAGATATTATAGTTAGTTATTTTTGTTGGGATATATATCTAAGTACAGATAAGCCCCTTAGCTAACTTGAAGTAGCAGAATGCATAGTTTTTCTCAGGTGGAAATGTCTTCAAACTCATCTCTTCAGGATCCTTTTCTGGCCTGTGTTTCCCCTGTATGCTGCCACCATCTTTTGTTAAATTCCTGGAATTTCTTTTTTTTTTTGAGACAGTCTCGCTCTGTCACCAGGCTGGAGTGCAGTGACGTGATCTCAGCTTACTGCAACCTCTGCCTCCTGAGTTCAAGGGATTCTCCTGCCTCAGCCTCCCAAGCAGCTGGGATTACAGGCGTGCGCCACCACACCTGGCTAATTTTTATATTTTTAGTAGAGACGGGGTTTCACTATGTTGGCCAGGCTGGTCTCAAACTCCTGACCTTAAGTGATCCACCCGCCTCAGCCTCCTAGAGTGCTAGGATTACAGGCGTGAGCCACCGTGCCTGGCTGGAATTTCTTCTTTTTGTGTGTTTGTTTTTCTCACCGTCTTCAGTGCTGAGGAATTTCATTTTGACCTAGACACTAATCAGTCTCTTTTGCAACCATAATTTCAATGCATACATTAATTCATTTTTGTGTCGTTTTTTAAAAAATGTAAATATGATCTGCTTTTATTTAGTTAAGAAAAAAGAGTGGCCAGGCATGGCAGATCATGCCTGTAATCCCAGCACTTTGGGAAGCCAAGGTGGGCAAATCACTTGAGCCCAGGAGTTCAAGACCAGCCTGGGCAACATGGTGAAACCCATCTCTGCTGAAAATACAAAAATTAGCCAGATGTGGTGGAGCACGCCTGTGGTCCCAGCTACTCAGGAGGCTGAGGCGGGAGGATTGCTTGAGCCCAGGAGGTCAAGGCTGCAGTCCCCCGTGATTGCACCACTGCACTCCAGCCTGTACAACAGAGTAAGACCCTGTCTCAAAAAACAAAAAACAAAACCAAAAAGAAAAGGAAGCAGCAAGTTGACTGCTAACCATGTTACAGGCACTGTCCTAGGTGTTACAGATACAAAGAGGAAGATGCTGTATTACTATGTTGTTTACTCTAGCACTTTCTTCTGGCCCAAGAACTCCTAGAGAACTGAACCAAATACCTAGTTTCATGCATTTGAGGTCTGAAAGAAAGCCAGTGTTGGAAGGATTAATGAATGAGAGAGAGACTGATAGATGTCTTAGAGAAGTAGGCAGGGGCCAGCTGATAATATAATTTTAGACTTTTATCTTAAATTCAGTGGAAAGCTACTGAAAGTTTTTAAGTGGGAGACAGGAAGGATCAACCCTGAATTAAAAAAAAATCTGATTTAATGTGGAGAATATATTGGAGAGGGCAAGAATGGATATAATTTGAAATGTTATTTTTATAGAAAGTCTTAGCGGTTGATAAATCTTATATTTTATGACAACCTGATTTGTTAAACTGTAAGATCAAAATGAATTAATGACACATTTTCTTCATACGTCTCACAACAAAAAGTGGCAAAATAGCCTAGCTACTCAGAAGGCTGAAGTGGGAGGATTGCTTGAGGCCAGGAGCTCAAGGCTGCTGTGAGCTCTGATTGTGCCACTGCACTCCAGCCTGGGTGACAGAGCAAGACCCCATCTCTTCAAAAAAAAAAAAGGGTGGGGGGCAAAATAGCAGTAGCACAACTTACATACCCTCACCACCCAACTTGGTTCTTTAATACTACTGTATTAGCCTCTCAAAGGAGTCTCCTTAAAGTAAGGAGCCTCTCAAAGTAAGTCTCCTTAAAGTTCAGCTGATTCCATATGTTAAAGGAAGAAAAAGTTAAGGATGGGCCTGGCACATCCTACTGTACCAGAAAACAAAGAAACAGTCAAAACAAAACCAAAGGTACTAGCTTGAAGTGGCTAAGTTGTAATAATTAGAGCATCAATACTAATTATTGCTAAGTAAATATATAAATATTTTGAAATGCTATGAGTTCATAATGGTACTCGAGTGAAAATATAAAGTATGAACAAAGTAGTTGTTACATTAAAGAAGTAAATATCATAGATTTTGTTTAATTTTTATGGCTTCCAATAAGTAGTGGTGTGCTAATATACCTGGATAATTTGTTTCTTCTAAGTATATGTCTGTGTATAAAGTATAAATAGGTATTTGTTTTACTTGTGTAAGTAAAGAAAATTATTGAGAACTGTAAGTCAAATATCCCAGGAAAAGTAGCACCAAAAATAGGAAGACTAATCAACAGTGGTGGTAGCAAGTAAAAAGGAAAGAAAGGGTATTAGCAGTATGTTGCAGAATGGTGATATAGTCAGATGTCCTAAAAAGGATGAACTAACTGCTCAGACTTGATTTCTTATTTCCTTGAAGATTAAATTTCTAAATGGGCCTACCATTGATAGTTGTAAAATAAGGCACATATAAAGTTTACACTAACAGATTAGGTCGATATATCCTAATAACAGAATATGAGTTATGTAATTTTGATCAGAGAGAATGAAAGAATACATCATTTCTGTGGGTGACATTAGGTTGTAAAATTTTTTATATTATATAAAAGGAGTAAACTTATCGATATAATACATGAGATTTAAATTTAAAAAGAATGCCTAATGACCAGCAGCTTGAGTTTAAATCACTTCAGGAATAGCAAACAAATATCATTATCTGACCAAAAATCAGTTGATAACCCAAATCTCATAACCCTAACAGTAATGTTTCACTTTGTGGTCTGGTGAGACTACCACAAGCCCAAGGAGGCACCAAAAGTAAGTATTACTACAACTATTGGAAGGTATCAAATAAGTAAAACTGGAGCCCTGGGAAAAAGTATAGGAATAATTTTTTAAATGAATTAAAACTATGATATTATATTTTACAGTAGATTTAAGTATAGGCATAGGTTTCAAAGTAATCCTATTTGGGTTTATTTTGCTACTATTTAAAAAGTCTGAGGTGTTCAAAAGATTTTGCCATTTAAAAACTACTTTGGGCTGGGCGTGGTGGCTCACACCTGTAATCCCAGCACTTTGGAAGGCCGAGGCGGGCAGATCACCTGAGGTCAGGAGTTCAAGACCAGCCTGGCCAACATGGTGAAACCCTGTTTCTACTAAAAATACAAAAATTAGCCGGGCATGGTGCTGGGCGCCTGTAATCCCAGCTAATCAGGAGGCTGGGGCAGGAGAATTGCTTGAACCTGGGAGGCGGAGGTTACAGTGAGCTGAGATTGCACCATTGCACACTGCACTCCAGCCTTGGTGACAGAGCAAGATTCTGTCTCAAGAGAAAAAAAAAGAAAAAAGAAAAAAAAAAGTCTGGGTGCGGTGGTTCATGCCTGTAACCCCAGCACTTTGGGAGGCTGAGGCGGGTGGATCATGAGGTCAGGAGTTCGAAACCAGCCTGGCCAGTATGGTGAAATCCCGGGCATGGTGGCACACACCTGCAGTCCCAGCTACTCGGGAGGCTGAGGCAGAAGAATCACTTGAACCCAGGAGGCAGAGGTTGCAGTGAGCCAAGACTGCGCCACTGCACTCCAGCCTGGGCGAGACAGCAAGACTCCGTCTCAAAAAAAATAAATAAATAAAAAATAAATCACTTTTTCAACTTTTTTTTCAAAAAAGTTTTAAAGTCTTTTTCTTAGACTTCGACATTTTAAAAAACCATTCTATTTACACATTTATGCCAAGAAGGAAGTGTCCATATTTTTGGATATATGTAAATATATATAGATATATAGACCTGAATAATAAGAATATCCTTAAGCACTATTATATGGTTTGAATATTTGTCCCCTCCAAAATTCACGCTGAAATTTAGTACCTAATTTGGCAGTGTTGAGAGGTGGAGCCTTTAAGGGGTAATTGGATCACGGGAGTTCTGTCCTCATGAATGGTTTAATCCATGTATGGATTAATGGGTTATCATGGAAGGGGAACTGGTAGCTTTATAATAAGAGAAAGAGAAACCTGAGTTGGCATATTAGCATGTACAGCCCCCTTGCCATGTGAGTCCCTGTACTGCCTTGGGACCCTGCAGAGAATCCCCACCAGCAAGAAGGTCCTGCCCCTTGACCTTGGACTTCTCAGCCTCCAGAACTGTAAGAAATAACTTCCTTTTCCTTATAAATTACCCAGTTTCAGGTATTCTGTTACAAGCAACAGAAAACAGACTAATCCACTACAGGAAAGGTCTAACTTTTTGAACAAAATTACATAATGAAATTTTAATATACACAAAGACTATGGACAATCTTACAGAATTTGCTATGCTTTACTAAATACTAATAAGTAGGAAGAAGTATTTTAATCCCTTAATACAACTGGTAGGACATAATACTTGCATATTAGGGCACATTGAAGTACTTACATAATGGAATACTCACATAGTAGAATCTCTTTCTTGAGACAAGGTTGTTTCATATGAAGCGGAAACAGCAGAAGGGGATCTAGGATACAATCTATAACCTTCACTTGGAGTGATTATCTGCCTACCTAGAATCCTTCAAAATGAAGAAACACAGACACAATTAAGTACCTTCACTGGCATACATACAAAATCTAGATATATTTTGGACACATTTGATGGCTCAACATAAAAGTCCAGTATACAGTCTGATACTGATTAAGAATGAGAAAATGTGAATCCAGAGCCTTACTACAGGTATATCTCTTCCATAGAATGGAGATGGAAAAGATAAACCTATAGCCCAGCTGTTAAAAAAAAAAATACAAGAAATCTAAGCAAACATCTGTAATCTGCCCTTCATGCTCTATAATAGTCCTCATTAAATCAGTCAAAATGGGATGGAGGCCCAGCCAAATTAGTAAAAACTACGAATTATATTCTTAAAAACGTGAAGCTTTGTAAATTTTGAGTATGTGCAATAAGTGGTACTACTGCAGTTTCTGAAGGAAGCTCTTGAATAGCCTATGTCTGGTTTCAAGTATACATAAGAATTTAATTGTATACAACAGTGTACATTTTCTGACCATCTTGTTCAAAAGAAGGGCTTTTTGATACTCAGATACTCAGACCTCAGCTGCTGTTGTAGAAATAGTTTTTACTTGATTAGGATCACATATTGTTAGTTAAGGAAACTCTAAGAAACTTCTACCAACTTAAGTTTTCTCTTAGCCAAGGCTTTATACCACATGGCCTTATTTACATTCATTAAAGTCATGCTCATAAAGATTTCAGAATACAAGCTTTTTTTTTAAATCTACTTTTTAAATTTTAGTATTAGCCATGAATACAAGTCAACTGGAGGGCTTCAGTACCTGAGGTGAGGAAAGCTAGCTGTCCACTGTTGGCACTCTTCTTGTAGACTCTTGGTATGCACACTCAACTTCTGCTCATACAAGAGTTCATCAATGGCTGTGAACATTGTCTGGACTTTTTCAGTGGCATTTTGATCGAGTTCCTAGAAGAAAATATTCCCCCCAAATATTTAGGTGAGCTGATTCACTCTCTGTTAAAAATTATAAAGATTAAAAGCAGTAAGACTTGTTTTGTTTACATATTTAGTCTACTTGAAATACTGCTGTGTTTCCACGAAAGAAAAGTTAAATTAGTGAGTTTTCAGATCTCGGAATTTTCAGGTATCTTCTCCATTCATATTTAAAGAAAATTTAGATAAATGTCTGTTTTTTAGGCTGGTCCAAGTACAGTGGTGTTTACAGCTAATTGATCACAACCACTTTATGGATTTCTTTGTTTCCTCTCCACTCCTACTGCTTCACTTGATTAGCCTAAAAAAAAAAAAAAAAAAAAAAAAAAGGCCAGGCGTGGTAGCTCACGCCTGTAAACCCAGCACTTTGGGAGACCAAGGTGGGTGGATCACTTGAGGCCAGGAGTTCAAGACCAGCCTGGCCAACATAGTGAAACTCCATCTGTACTAAAAACACAAAAATTAGCCAGGCGTGGTAGTACACACCAGTAATCCTAGCTACTTGGGAGGCTAAGGCACAAGAATTGCTTGACCTGGGAGGCACAGGTTGTAGCAAGCCAAGATTGTGCCATTGCACTCTATTCTAGCCTGGGTGACAGAGCTAGACTGTGTCTCAAAAAAAAAAAGTCTATATTTTTAAAAGTAACATATTCTTATATACAGTATTAATTGTAAACACTTTGAAAAATACAGAAAAGTATAAAGAAAAAATAAAAATTACCTGTAATTCCACCGTTCAAAGATAGATTGCTAATTTTAGTACAGTTGCTTGGTTTCACTATTTTTTAGATGGAAAACCCTGTGTATATTACTTTTTATACTGCATCTTTCACTTGACAATTGACAACTTATGTCCTTGACCTCTGTAATCCAGCCTTTAAGAATAGTCAGGCCAGGCACAGTGGCTCACACCTGTAATCCCAGCACTTTGCGAGGCCAAGGTGGGGTGGATCACCTGAGGTCAGGAGTTCCAGACCAGCCTGGCCTACATGATGAAACCCTGTCTCTACTAAAAATAAAAAAAATTAGCTGGGTGTGATGGCGGGTGCCTGTAATCCCAGTTACTTGAGAGGCTGAGGCAGGAGAATCGCCTGAACCTGGGAGGCGGAGGTTGCGGTGAGCCGAGATTGTGCTATTGCACTCCTGCCTGGGCAACAAGAATGAAACTCCGTCTCAAAAAAAAAAAAAAAAAGGCCAAGGCGGGTGACTCATGCCTGTAATCCCAGCAATTTGGGAGGCCGAGGCGGGAGATCCTGAAGTCAGGAGTTCGAGACCAGCCTGACCGACATGGAGAAACCCTGCCTGTACTAAAAATACAAAATTAGCTGGGCGTCACGGCTCACGCCAGTAATCCCAGCTACTTGGGAGGCTGAGGCAGGAGAATCTCTTGAACCCGGGAGGCGGAGGTTGTGGTGAGCCAAGATCGTGCCATTGCACTCCAGCCTGGGCAACAAAAGCAAAACTCCGTCTCAAAAAAGAAAACAAAAGCCAAAAACCAGAATAGTCAGAGGGCTGGGCATGGAGGTTCACACCTGTAATCTCAGCAACTCAGGAGGCTGAGTGGGGAGGATCACTTGAGGCCAGAAGTTTGAGACCAGCCTGGGCAACATCACAAGACTGCCATCTCTAAAAAAAATAAAAAATTAGCCAGGCATGGTGGTCTGTGCCTATAGTCCCAGCTACTCAGGAGGCTGAGGTGGGAGGACTACTTGAGCCCTAGAGTTCGAGGCTGTAGTGAGCTATGATTGTGCTACTGCTAGCCTGGGTAACCAAGTGAGACCTCATCTCTTAAAAAAAAAAAAAAAAAGCAGTCAGAGGGATGGTTACAAAATGCAAATCTGATCATTTTCTTCAGATTCCTTGCTTATCCTCTACTACATCTAAATTTACACATCCTTTTACATTCCAGTGTTCCAGTGGGAGAAAAGTCATATCTATGTTTGAAAATAATGTATTTTCACCCTAAAAATGAAAGTCAACCCCTACCCAATAAAAATTATATCTATCTGTCTGGGAGTGGGTTTTTTTTTTGTTTTTTGTTTTTTAATTTGTCCAAAGCTGGCGATGGTGGCCGACACCTGTAGTCGCAGTGAATCAATCAGGAAGCAGAGTTAGGAGGACTGCTTGAGCCCGAGAGTTTGAGGCTATACTGGACCATGGTGGCACTTGTGGCTAGCCATTGTGTTCCAACCTGGACAATATAGCAAGACCCCTCTCTAAAAAAATTGTCTTTCACCTGATAGACTTTTCAAACATGTCTTTCTTCGGGTCTAAAAAAAAAAAAAAATCAGTGACTACTTCTTTGAACATTGCCTCTTTCTTATTCTCTAAAATTTCTGTTAGAAATATATTGCAGTTTCTTAATCCATCCTCCATGTCTCCTAACTACTCTTCAAATTCTGTCTTTAGTTCCCTGGTTCTAGGTGATTTTCTTAGTTCTAGCATTCAATTAGCTACTATCTGTTTCACTGGGTCCAGCTTACCTTGTATATTGAGATATTTCAAATGCTATTCATTTTGAAGATGTTTAACTGGTTCTTCATATTTGCCTGTTCTTAAGTTAATATCTTTACCTGCTTTGTTTTAAAACCTCTAATAATTTAAATAGATGTTATCTTGTCCTTTAACTCTTTGAGGACTTTAAAATTTTAATCAACTTTACTGAGGAATAACTTACATTCAACAAAATGCACATTTAAGTGTACAGCAAATGAGATTTGACAAAATATTCACCCTAGTAACTAACATTCCTTTCCAGATATAAAACATTTCTCCTCACACTCCTTTGCAGCTTTTCCAAAATGTTGACTTATTTTTATCACTGTAAGTTACTTTTGTCTGGTCTAGAACTTCATATAATTGGGATTGTGCAGGATGCACTTTTTGTGTTTGGCTTCCTTCATTCAGGAGAATCTTTTTGAGGTTCATTCATGTTATTGCATGTATTAATTATTCATTACATTCTATTGCTGAAAAGTATTTTGTTTTAAGACTATGCTGCAATTTGTTTATCCATTCCCCTGTTAAGGGACGTTTATGTTATTTTCAGTATTTGTTTATATTGTTTGTTATGAATAAAGCTGATATAAACATTCATGTACAAGTCTTTTTCTACACATATGTTTTCATTTTTCTTGGATAATAGCTAGCAGTGAAATTGCTGTCACATAATAAATGTATGTTTAAAGAAATTACTAAACTATTTTATAGGATGGATGTACAATTTAGCACTCCTACCAGAAATGTGTGAGCATTAAACCTGCTCCACATCCATTCCAGTACTAGGTATTGTCAGTCTTTTTAATTTTAGCAATTTTTGTAAATGTGGAGTGGTGTTATCTTCCCAGTTTTCAATTTGCATTTTCTCTATAATTCATCATATGGAGCATCTTTCTACATGCTACGTGGCCATTTATGTCTTTTTCTTTCATGGAATGTCTTTTCAAGTCTTTTGCCCATTATTTCACCTTTTAATTAATTAATTAATTAATTATTTTTTAGAGATGGGGGTCTCACTTTGTTGCTTAGGCTGGTCTCAAATACTTGGGATCAAATGATCTGGTGGCCTCAGCCTCTCAAAGTGTTGGGGTTACAGGCACAAGCCACTGTGTCTAGCCTTTTTTTTTCTTTTTAATATGGAGTTTTAAGAGCTCTTTATATACTTTGGATACAAGTCAGATATTGGAAATATTCTCTCCCAATCTGTGATCTGTCCTTTCCTTCCTTCCTTCCTTCCTTCCTTCCTTCCTTCCTTCCTTCCTTCCTTCCTTCCCTCCTTCCTTCCTTTTTTTTTTTCTTTTTTCTGAGACAGAGTCTCTCTCTGTCGCCCAGGCTGGAGTGCAGTGGCACGACCTCCTGCACCTCACTGCAACCTCCACCTCCCAGGTTCAAGCAATTCTCTGCCTCAGCCTCCAGAGTAGCTGGGATTACAGGTGCCTGCCACCACGCCTGGCTAATTTTTTGTATTTTTAAGAGAGACGGGGCTTCACCATCTTGGCCAGGCTGGTGTCCTTTCATTTCTTAATGAGGTATGTAAAAGTAAAAAAGATGTAAATTTTGAAGGAGTTAAATTTATCCATTTTCGTAGCTTATGCTTTTGGTGTGTCCTATTTATGAACTTGTTGCCTAATCCAAGGTCTTGATTTGATTATACATTTTCTTCTAAGGGATTTATAGTTTTTGCTCTTATATTTAAGTTTATAATTCATTTTGAGCAAATTTTTTATATGATGTGAATTCATCTTTTTGCACATGGATATCCAATTGTCCCAGCAACATTTGTTAAGGAAAAAAAATCCTTTTTCTATTGAATTGCCTTTGTACCTTTGTCAAAAATCAATGGATCCTAAATGTAAGAGTTTATTTCTGGACTCTCAATTCTGTTCTATTGACTACACGTCCATCTTTTTGTCAGTACCACACTGTTTTTGTTGTTGTTGTTGTTTTGAGTCGGAGTCATGCTCTGTCACTCAGGCTGGAGTGCAGTGGCACAATCTTGGCTCACTGCAACCTCTGCCTCCTGGGTTCAAGTGATTCTCCTGCCTCAGCCTCCTGAGCAGCTGGGACTACAGGCCTGCACCACCGTGCCCAGCTAATTTTTGTATTTTTAATAGAGACAGGGTTTCACCATGTTGGCCAGGCTGGTCTCGAACTCCTGACCTCAGGTGATTCACCCGCCTTGGCTTTCCAAAGTGCTGGGATTACAGGCATGAGCTACCATGCCCTGCCCACACTGTTCTGACTAATGTTTTGATATTAAGTTTTGAGATGTGGTAGTATATGTCCTCTAATTTTTTTTTGAGACAGAGTTTCACTCTTGTTGCCCAGGCTGGAGTGCAATGGTGCGATCTCGGCTCACAGCAACCTCCACCTCCTGGGTTCAAGCCATTCTCCTGCCTCAGCCTCCGGAATAGCTGGGATTACAGGCCTGCGCCACCACACCCGGCTAATTTTGTAATTTTAGTAGAGACGGGGTTTCTCCATGTTGGTCAGGCTGGTCTCGAACTCCAGACCTCAGGTGATCCGCCCACCTCGGCCTCCCAAAGTGCTGGGATTACAGGCGTGAGCCACCTCGCCTGGCCATATGTCCTCTAATTTTCTATTTCTGTTTCAATTTTTTTTTTTTTTTTTTTTTTTTACTAATCTGGATCCTTTGCAATTGCATATACATTTTAGGATGAGCTTATCAATTTCTATAAAAATGTCTCCTAGGATTTTGATAGAGAGTGCACTGATATATAGATTAATTTGGGGAGAAATGCCATATTATTAATATTTTGTCTTCCAATTCATGAACAAGGAATTTTCTTCATTTATTTAGATCTTCTTTAATTTCTCTCAGCAATGTTTTGAAATTTCCAATGTACAAGTCTTGTGTTGCTTCTGTTAAATTTATTGCTAAGAACTTTTTTTATTCTATTGTGATTTTTAAATTTTCATTTTCAGATTGTTCACTGCCAATGTATAGAAATACAAATTTTTAAATTTAGATATAATTCACACACCATGAAATTCACCCTTTTAAATTGTCAAATTCAGTGTTTTTAGTATATTCGCAGTTGTACAACTATCACCAGTATCTTAATTCTAGAATATTTTATCACCCTTAAAAGAAACTGTTTCCATTAGCAGTCATCCCCCATTCCTCTCTCTGCCCAGCCCCTGGCCACCAATAATCTACTTTCTGTCTCTATGGAATTGCTCTTCTGGGCAATTCATATAAATGGAATCAAACAATATGTGATGTGTCATGTCTGGCTTCTTTCACTTAGCATGTTTTGAAGGTTCATCCAAGTTGTAACATGTATCGGAACTTCTTTCATTTTTATGGCTGAATAATAATCGCATTGTATGAAAACCATATTTTTGTAAATTGTTCTTGTATACTGTGACCTAACTGAACTAATTTATTAGTCCTATTAGATTTGGGGGGTGGTAATGCAGGGAATGTAAATTTTCTGGATTTTCTTTACATCATGGTATCTGTGAATAAAGACATTTTTATTTCTTCCTCTTCAATTTGAATGCCTCTCTTTGTCTTGTTGCACTAGCTCCAATACAATGCTGAATAGAAGTGGCAAGAGTGGACATCCTTACCTTGTTCTAAATCTTAAGGGGAAGGTATCCAGTCTTTTCTTGTTACATATAATAACGTTAGTTCTAACTTTTTTGTAGATGCCCAACCTTTCAGGTTGATTAAATTCCCTTTTATTTCTTGTATGTTGAGTGTTTTTTTAATTATGAATGGGTGTTAGATTTTGTCAAATGTTTTTTCTATGTTACTGTTAAGATGATCATGTCATTTTTGTCCTTTATTCTATTAATATAATGTATTAAATTAGTTGTTTTTCTTTTTTTCACCATCCGTCTACCCAGATGAAGAGTTGTTTTTCTAATGTTGAACCAGCCGTGCAATCCTGGGATAAATCCTATTTACTCACTTGGTCAGGGTAAATAATCCTTTTATGTGACTAGATTTGGTTTGTTAATGAAGTTTTTGTGTCTAATTTCAAGAGGCATACTGGTTTGTAGTTTTCTTGTGATGACTAACTTTGGTATCAAGGTCATACTGGCTTCATAGAATGAGTTAGGTAGGAACTGTTCTTTCTTTTCTGAAAGAGTTTGTGAGGGATTGGTATTATTTCTTCTTTAAATATTTAAGTGTATATAGAAATAAGTTGATTTTTACATATTGATCTTGCACCTTGTGGCATTGTTAAATTCATATATCAGTTCTAATTTTTTTCTTTTCTTTTCCTTCTATTCCTTAGAATCTCTTATATGAAGAATTCTTGTCTTTGGTTTTGGTATCAGTGTAATACTGGTCTCATAGAATGAATTGGAAAGTGTTCTTTGATTTTCTGAGTCTGATTTCTTCTTTAAATATTTGATAAAGTTTACTAGAATTTAAATATTTGATAGAGTTTACTAGCGCATCTGTGCCTGGACTTCTTTGTGGGAAGATTTTGTATTTGTTTATTTGTTGAGACAGAGTCACTCTGTTGCCCAGTGGAATGCAGTAGTGTGATCATGGCTCACTGCAGCCTTGACCTCCCAGGCTCAAGCGATTCTCCCACCTCAGCCTCCCAAGTACCTGGGACTAAAGGCACGTGCCACCATACCTGGCTAATTGTTTTAGTTTTCATAGAGATGGGGTCTCACTATGTTGCTCAGGCTGGTCTCAAACTACTGGGTTCAAGTGATCCTCCCTCCTTACCTCCCAAAGTGCTGAGATTATGGGCATGAGCCACTGTGATCAGCTGAAAGATTTTTAATTATTAATTTAGTTTATTTAAATAGAAATTACATAGATAGAAATAACCCAATTAGATTGGTATGGAGCTGTTTAAATTTTTAATTTTTCTTTAAGTCAATTTGTTAATTTATGTCTTTCTAGGGATTTGTCCATTACATCTAAGTTATCTAATTTGTTGCCATTGTTTACTGAATTCTCAGAGTACTTTCTGTAGGGTTGAGTTATGCCCTCTCTTTCATTCCTGATCATGTCAATCTCTCTTCTTTCTTGATCAAACCAACTAATGATTTGTCAATTTACTGACTTCTTTTCAAAGAAACAGCTTTTGACTTTATTTTCTCTATTGTTTTTCTGTTTTATTAATTTCTATCTTATCTGTATTATTTCCTTCTTTCTGCTTTGCTTTGGATTTAGTTTGTTCTTCTTTAGTTTCTTAAGGTGGAAACAAATTATTGAGACATCCCTGTTTTTCTGTAGACATTTAAAGCTATTCATTTCCTCCTAGCTGCATCCCATAAATGTTTATATTTTGCTTTTCCCTTTTCTTTCAGTTCAAAATATTTTCTACTTTCCCTTATAGATTCCTTTTTCAACCCATGGGTTATTTAGAAGAGTGATGTTTAATTGCCAAATATTTGAGGATATCCCAACTGTATGTTGTTGATTTATAATTTAATTCCAAGGTGGCTGGAGAACATACCTTGTATAATTTAAATCTTTTTATAGTTAAAAAACTTGCTTTATGTGTGCTTGAAGAGTATCTACACTGCTGTCACTGGGTGGGATGTCAGTTAGGTCAGGTTGGTTGATAGTACTGTTCAGGTGTTTAATATCCTTGCTGATTTTCTGTCTAGGTGGTCTACAAGTATTGAGAGTGGGGTATTAAAGTTTCCAGCTATAATTGCTACAATATTTCTCCTTTCCATTCAGTCATTTTTTGCTTCACCAACTTTAAGACTTGGTTATTAGATGTTACATTTATAACTACTATATTTTCCTGATGAATTGACCCTTTTATCATTATAAAATGTCCCTCTTTGTTTCTAGTAGTATTTTTTCTTTTAAAGTTTATTTTGTCTTAGTTCAAATTCAAGCAGTTTTTGCATCTGATTTTAATTTCTGGATGCCCTCTTGTATCTTCTCTGCATTTGCAAGCTGACTCACGGTCAGCCAGGGATGTGTAGATAGCTTAGTCAGTCCTGTGTGGATGTGTGGAAAGCTTATCAAGGCCTCCTGTGACCGTCTTATTTCCCAGATATCCTTAATAAATTCCTGGATAGTTTGCCAATCCATTGTTTGTCCCAGCCAGGACTAAAACCTCAAGCTATCTGAGCAACTGTTTTTCCTACCAAGTTTACTACTGTTACTTACATGCTGTTGGGCATAGGGTCTCTCCAGGTTCACTCCAAACCTACTGAGCCTTCTCCAACAGTGAGGCTGCTAGTTTTCACAGCGTGTCCCTCTGTAGTAGAATAGTCTCTCACTGTTCTTAACCCAAAGTTCTATTGATTTTCATGAATAATTGCTTCTTTATTTGTTATATGCTTTTTGTCAATTTGCAAAGCCTTTAAACAGTTGCACCTCACCATTTTGTCCAGTTTCATTGTTGCTTTTGGGGAGGAGGATTTGCCGAGCTATTTATTCTGATACTAAAAGTCCCACCTCATAATTTTTTGTTATTACATTGTCTTTCTCAGGTTTTAGCATCAAGACTCTGCTGACCTTATTATGAACTGAATTGAGAAGTATTCCTTATACTTTTTGGAAAAAAGTTTGCATCATTGTTATTTCTTCCACAAATGGATGAGAGAATTCACCTGGGCCTAGAGCTTTCTCTGTGTGAGAACTGTTTCATTTAATTTCTTGAATAATTTTACAATAATCCACAAATATAATAACCTTATAAAAGTATAATTCCACTTATAGTCACCCATTATTTGAGCTATATTTACTTCTACAAGTATAAACTCCCTCTTTATACATTTTAGACACATTTCAGACACACACTTTATATATCATATACATATTAAATACAAGCATATATTTTGCTTTAATCAGTCAGTTGTCCTTTAAAGAAATCAGATAAAAAATATAGACTTTTATATTCACCCATTAATTAATTTCTGGTTCTCTTCTCTTCCTCTACCCTGAACTCTCGTCTCTGCTCCTCAGCACAGTGGGACCACCATTGCTTTGCTTGGACTCTAGTTCACTCTTACACAGTCAGAAAATTGTCCCCAGGCAGGGAGACAGAGACAACAGGAGGGGATCTGTACAGGAGGAAGGCCTGGTGTGCGATAGGAGCCCAAGAAAGGTAAGAGAGTGCCTAAGCAGTTTTTATGACCTTAAGCAGCAAGAGAGGAGTGCTTCAGTTACTCTGGCAGTGTAACAAATTACTGCAAAACTTAATAGCTTAAAACAACAATAATCATGTATTATCTCTCCGGGTTTATGTGGGTCAGGAATTTATATAGAGGCACAGCAGGAATGGCTTATCTCTGCTCCACAATATCTGAGGCCTTAGTCAGAAGACTCAAAGGCTGGGAGCTGAAAACATCTTAATGCTCATTTACTCACATGTCTGGCAGCTGATGCTGGCTTTCAACTGGGGCTTTAATTCCTCTCTACATGAGCCTTTTCATGTGGTCTGAACTTCCTCGCAATATGATGGCTGGATTCTGAGGTCCACCATTCAGATGAGAGAGATGGAAAGAGCCAGCCAGAAGCTGTGTTGCTTTCTAACCTAGAAAGTCATGCAGCAAGGCTGGGTGCAGTGGCGCATGCCTGTAATCCTAACACTTTGGGAGGCCAAGGTGGGCAGATCACTTGAGGTCAGGAGTTCGAGACCAGCCTGGCCAACAAGGCAGAACCCCGTCTCTACTAAAAATACAATTAGCCAGGCATGGTGGTGCAAAACTGCAATCCCAGCTACTCAGGAGGCTGAGGCAGGAGAATCACTTGAATCTAGGAGGCAGAGGTTGCAGTGAGCCGAGATTGTGCCACTGCACTCTAGCCTGGGCTACAAGAGCTAAACTCCATTTAAAAAAAAAAAAAAAAAAAAAGACACAGACTGGGTGAATGGATGAAAAAACAAGACCCATTGATCTGTTGCCTACAAGAAACACACTTCACCTATAAAGACACATACAGACTGAAAATAAAGGGATGGAAAAAGATATTCCATACCCATGGTAACCAAAAAAGAGCACAAGTAGCTATACTTGTATCAGACAAAACAGATTTCAAGACAGAAACTATAAGAAGAGATAAAGAAGGTCACTATATAATGATAAAGGGAGATCAATTCAGCAAGAACATATAACAAATTTAAACATATATGAACCCAACACTGGAGCACCCAGATATATAAAGGAAATATTATGAGAGCTAAAGAGAGATATAGGTCCCAATACAATAAGAGTTGGAGACTTCAACACCCAACTTTCAGCATTGCACAGATTTTCCAGACAAAATCAACAAAGAAACATCAGACTTAATCTGCACTACACGCCAAATGGATCTAACATATTTACAGAAGATTTCGCCTAACAGCTGCAGAATACACATTCTTTTCCTCAGCACATTGATCATTCTCAAGGATGGACCATATGTTAGGTCACAACACAAGTCTTAAGACCAAAAAAACTGAAATAATATCAAGCATCTTCTCTGACCACAATGGAACAAAACTAGAAATTAATAACAAGAGGAATTTTGAAAGCTATATAAACACATGGAAATTACACAAGTTCCCCCTGAATGACCAGTGGGTCAATGAAGAAATTAAGGAGACTGAAAAATTTCTTGAAACAAATGATACTAGAAACACAACATATCCAAACCTATGGGAAACAGCAAAAGCAATACTAGGAGGGAAGTTTACAGCTGTAAGTGCCTACAACAAAAAAGAGAAAAAACTTCACATGAACAATCTAATGATACATCTTAAAAGAAACTAGAAAAGCAGCTGGGTGTGGTGGCTCACGCCTATAATCCCAGCACTTTGGGAGGCCAAGGCAGGCGGATCATGAGGTCAGGAGATCGAGACCATCCTGGATAACGTGGTGAAACCCTGTCTCTACTAAAAAAAATACAAAAAATTAGCTGGGTGTGGTAGCAGGCACCTGTAGTCCCACCTACTTGGGAGGCTGAGGCAGGAGAATGGTGTGAACCCGGGAGGCGGAGCTTGCAGTGAGCCGAGATCGTGCCACTGCACTCTAGCCTGGGTGACAATGCGACACTCCGTCTCAAAAAAAAAAAAAAAGAACTAGAAAAGCAAGAGCAAACCAAACCCAAAATAAATAATAAAGATCAGGGTAGAAATTAATGAAATTTATGATTACTAGAGGCTGGGAAGGGTAGTGGGGGGGTGAGGATTGGGGAGATGGGGTGGTTATTGGGTACAAAAAAAACAGAAAGAATGAATAAGACCTACTATTTCATAGCACAAAGGGTGAGTATAGTCAATAATAACTTAATTGTACATTTTAAAATAACTAAAAGAGTGTAATTGGATTGTTTGTAATTCAAAGGATAAACACCTGAAGGAATGGATTTTGTTTTAAGCCATGAAAAAGAATATTATAACATTCAATTTTTCTAAAGATAAAATCCTGACTAGTGAAGAAATGAAGGTCAAAAGTAAGATGGCTATATGTGAATATATTTTAAAAACCTGTTAGACTATAAATGCCAAAAGGAAAGCAAGGACATGGGAAACATCTGTATGACGTTTATAAGTTATAAAGAGATACAAATCATAATATAGAGAGAACTAATGGAAATATTTAGTCAGTATACTAAATCTTCCTGATGAGGCATCTAATTATTAGAATACAATTTAAATTCTTTGGCCTGCAGGGCCCTAATGATCTAGTCCCACCTACCTCTCTAATCTCATTTGTGCTTTTCTCCCCCTGGTTTTCCATCATCCAACCACCCTGACCTTTTATCAGTTGCAAGAATACACCAAACACTTTCCCTTGGAAACATGAAGCTCTTCTCCTCCTTGGGCTTTTGCATATGCTGCTGGTTACCTGTCTGGAAAACTCTTTTCCTCACTCTTCACATGGCTAGCTCTTCTGTCTTCAAGTCTCAGATCTACCTTACCAGAGATCCCTGATAATGAATCCCCCTGATAATGTTCTATTTCAGCACCCTGTCATCTTTCTTAGAGCACTTATCACCTTTTGTATTTACTTTTGTCAATCTCCCTCATTAGACTATTGAATCATGTAAGTCTCACTCACCCCATATTCCCAAGGCCAAGTACAGGGAAAACAACCATGCTCAATAAATATTTGTGGAATGAACGAAAAAAACGTGAAAACCCAAGTATCAGATAATAAGGGAAAGATCCAATTATGATATATTAAGACAGGAAAATATTATATAACATTCAGATTGACCAGTGTGGAGTAGTAAATGTCTATATAAAATGATGGTAAATGAAAAAAATAGGCCACAAAATAGTATGTACATGTATCATACAACTATATATAAGGAAAGTATATGTACATTCAAAATGATTAGAAAATAGGTTTTAACAATTAGCAGGCTTTTTGTTAAAAAAAAAGCAGGTTTCTGGCTGGGTGCAGTGGCTCATGCCTATAACCTCAGCACATTGGGAGGCTGAGGTGGGAGAATTGCTTGAGGCCAGGAGTTCCAGATCCTACCTCTTAAAAAAAAAAAAAATAGCAGGGTGTGGTGGCATGCACCTGTGGTCCCAGCTACTCAGGAGGCTGAGGCAGGAGGATGGCTTGAGCCCAGGAGTTTGAGGCTGCAGTGAGCTATGATTGCCACAGCACTCCAGCCTGCGTGACAGAGAAAGAAGAAAGAAAGAAAAGACAGAAAGAAAGAGCCTAACAATAATATTATATAAAGTCAATATTGTGGAGAAGTGTTTATAAAATATTAGGTGAAGAAATGCAGCATAATATTATGTGTACATCATGATTATAACTAAGCCAAATTAAATACAGATTGAAAAAAGATATAGAAATAAAAATGTTGGCCGGGCATGGTGGCTCATGCCTGTAATCCCAGCACTTTGAGAGGCTGAGGCGGGCAGATTACAAGGTCAAGAGATCGAGACCATCCTGGCCAACATGGTGAAACCCTGTCTCTACTGAAAATACAAAAATTAGCTGGCCATGGTGGTGCACGCTTATAGTCCTAGCTACTCAGGAGGGTGAGGCAGGAGAATAGCTTGAACCCGGGAGGCAGAGGTTGCAGTGAGCCAAGATCGTGCCACTGCACTCCAGCCTGGCAACAGAGCGAGACTCCGTTCCAAAAAAAACAAAAAACAAGAAATAAAAATGTCTATTGCATCTTGCATCAAGATGATAAAATTATGCATAAAAATTGTCTTTAAAAAATTTTTAGAGTTGTTGGTCTTTTAAAAATAATATTTTATAATGGGAAATAGCCAAAAATAAGTAAAGAAGTAAAAATCACTCATCTCATCACCTAATTAATAACAACTGAACAATATTTTGAGTAAATATTTTGGTCCTTTTCACTAATATAGGCAGAATTTATATAAAACAAAATTAGAGTGACACTACACATATGATTTATAACCTGTTTGTTTTCATTACCAATATATCACAAATATTTTCCCAGGCTATAATGGCTTAATAATAAACTTTCAAAAACATTTTAAACAACAAGGTAACATTAGTGGTAAAGACATACATTACTGGACTGGGCATGGCAAAAGGAATAGACCCAGAGCCCAAATCCATATTAACCTGCAACTGTTTGTTGTTGTTTTTTTTTTTTTGAGACAGTTTCGTTCTTGTTGCCCAGACTAGAGCGCAATGGCGTGATCTCGGCTCACAGCAACCTCCACCTCCCGCGTTCAAGCCATTCTCCTGCCTCAGCCTCTGGAGTAGCTGGGATTACAGGCATGCACCACCACACCCGGCTAATTTTGTATTTTTAGTAGAGACAGGGTTTCTCCATGTTGGTCAGTCTGGTCTAGAACTCCCAACCTCAGGTGATCCGCCCGCCTCGGCCTCCCAAAGTGCTGGGATTGCAGGCGTGAGCCACCGTGCCCGGCCAACATGCAGCTGTTTAAATTGAACACTAAGCATGTCTAAGGCTCAACTACTATATCAATAAAACAAAGCCAATACTGAAAGAAGATGAGGACTGATACTTCTTTACAGTTATTATGAAGTATGATAAATGTAAAGAAACAATGCAGGAGAGTGAAGGAATGAAATATACTGACAAATCCTAATTCCCAGAATCATCTCCCAAGCACTCTATCAGACTGATAACATATAACTCACACCATATCCCCAGGAGAAGTCCGAGCTTCCTTCAGTAGATATCCCTGCGCCTGTATAACTTGGAAAAGCAGACAGTGAATTCCCAGTGTCGGCTGATGTAAAAGATGATTCTCTTGTGATGTCAGACTTGCTAAAGGCACAATTTGGGAGGAGGAGAGAAAAAAGAAAATTTTTCATATGTCCTCAAGTTTCTGTGGCATTAACTACTCAGCAACTTACTAGGTGATTAACATGTGTACAAATATATCCACATAGGCAAAAATAAATGAAGAACTTGAAATTTGAGCATTATGGAAAAGTCCTAATTCCTACAGAATTGATGGCAGTCATTCCAAATAATTCTAGTCATAGTTTACAATGAATACTTCAACATCTCACCTATGACATACTCTTTTTTTTTTGGAGACAGAATCTCATGCTGTCGCCCAGGCTACAGTGCAGTGGCACGATATTGACTCATTGCAACCTCGGCCTCCTGGATTCAAATGATTCTCTTGCCTTAGTCTCCCAAGTAGCTGGGACTACAGGTGTGCACCACCACACCCAGCTCATTTTTGCATTTTAGTAGAGAAGGGGTTTCACCATGTTGCCCAGGCTGGTCTTGAACTCCTGAGCTCAGGCAATCTGCCCACCTCAGCCTCCCAAAGTGCTAGGATTTACAGGCATAAGCCACCGCACCCAGCCTATAACATACTCTTGACAACTAAAGACATTTCAGAAATGCTAATAGTAGTATCTGATCTTGTATGGCACTTTTTATTTTTTATTTTTTGAGATGGGGTCTCGCTCTGTCACCCAGGCTGGAATGCAGTGGTGCGAAATCAGCTCACTGCAACCTCCGCCTCCTGGGTTCAAGTGATTCTCCCACTTTAGCTTCCCAAGTAGCTGGGACTACAGGTGTGTGCCACCATGACTGGCTAATTTTGTTTGTACTTTTGTTTTGTTTTTTTGAGATGGAGTCTCGCTCTGTTGCCCAGACTGAGTGCAGTGGCGTGATCTCGGCTCACTGCAACCTCCTCCTCTCGGGTTCAAGTGATTCTCCTGCCTCAGCCTCCTTGGTAGCTGGGACTACAGGTGTGCGCCACCACCCCCAGCCAATTTTTGTATTTTTAGTAGAGACGGGGTTTTGCCATGTTGGCCAGGCTGGTCTTGAACTCCTGACCTCAAGTGATCCGCCTACATCGGCCTCCCAAAGTGCTGGGACTACAGGCATGAGCCACCGTGCCCAGCCTTTTCTTTTTTTTGTATTTTTGGTAGAGACAGAGTTTTGCCATATTGCCCAGGCTGGTCTTGAACTCCTGAGCTCAAGTGATCCACCTGTCTTGGGCTCCCAAAGTGCTGAGACTACAGATGTGAGCCATCACGCCCGGCCTATGATTATACAATATTTTTTTTAATCACACATTGCATCTCAGACACTAATAGAAGTTCTGAGAGACTGAAGAACCATCTTCCCTGTTCTATTACTTAAAATAACTACAGCTAATATTTACTCAGCATTTACTACATGCCAAGCATCGTGCCAAGTTTTACATACATTATCTCATTAATATTTGCAACATCCTATGAGACAGGGGTCCCGAACCCCGGGGTCACAGACCGGTGCTGGTCTGTGGCCTGTTAGGAACTGGGCTGCAGAGCAGGAGGTAAGTGGCAGGTGAGTGCATGAAGCTTCATCTGTATTTACAGCAGCTCCCCATGGCTCGCATTACCACCTGAGCTCTGCCTTCTGTCAGATCAGTGGTGGCATCAGATTCTCACAGGAGCACAAACTGCGCATGCAAGGGATCTAGGTTGTGCATTCCTTATGGGAATCTAATGCCTGATCATCTGTCACTGTCTCCCATCATCCCCGGATGGAACCATCTAGTTGCAGGAAAACAAGCTCAAGGCTCCCACTGATTCTACATTATGGTGAGTTGTATAATTATTTCATCATATATTACAATGTAAAAATAATAGAAATAAAGTGTATAATAAATGTAATGCACTTGAATCATCCTGAAACCATCCCTCACCCCACTGCACAGTCCATGGAAAAACTGTCTTCCACAAAACTGGTCCCTGGTGCCAAAAAGGTTGGGGACTGCTGCTATAAGATACACTATTATCAGTTAAGTAATTTTCCCAATGTTACTCAGCTAATAAGTTGTAGGACCAGGATTAAAAATCAGATGTTGAACTCCTCCTGAGTCCATGTTCTTTTTTATTTATGTTATGTTATTTTATTGTTTGTTTTTTATAATCTTGCTCTTTCTGATATTTATTTAATTTATGTTTTTTCTTTTCTTTTTTTTTTTTTTTTTGAGAAGGAGTCTCGCTCTGTTGCCCAGGCTGGAGTGCAGTGGTGTGATCTTGGCTCACTGCAAGCTCCGCCTCCCGGGTTCATGCCATTCTCCTGCCTCAGCCTCCTGAGTAGCTGGGACTACGGGCCCCCACCACCATGCCTGGCTAATTTTTTTGTATTTTTAGTAGAGACGGGGTTTCACCGTGTTAGCCAGGATGGTTTCGATCTCCTGACCTCGTGATCCGTGCACCTCGGCCTCCCAAAGTGTTGGGATTACAGGCGTGAGCCACCGCGCCCGGCCCTATTTATGTTTTTTCTTGAAACAACGTCTTGCTCTTTCACCCAGGCTGGAGTATCGTGGTGTAAACACAGCTTACTGCAGCCTTGACCTTCTGGGCTCAAGCAATCTTCCCATGTCAGCTTCTGTAGTAGCTGGGACCACAAGTGCACATCCCCACACTTGGCTATGTTATTTTATTTATTTATTTTTTTGTAGAGATGGGGTTTGCCATGTTGCCCATGCTGGTCTTAAACTCCTGGGCTTAAATGATCCTCCCACCTTTTGGCCTCCTATAGTGCTGGGATTGTAAGTACCAAGCTCCATGTTCTGTTTTTTTGTTTGTTTGTGTGTTTGTTTGTTTGTTTTTTCATTCTAATCCCATGGCAGATTATCCGTGTTCTTAACTACTTTATAATACTACTTCTCAAAGGTTATGAAAATATGTATGATGTTGTCATTAGCTGTTTCAGAATGAAAACTAAATGGTACTGAGAACATGACAAAAATTCTTGCTTTGTTTTCATTAGCACAAGGCTTGACACCAATCTTAAGCCAAAAAACAAAACCTCTGCCATGAGCAAGTGCAATAAGTAAACAAGTACACTTTGTGTTATTACCTTTGGGAACTTGTGTCTTTCTCATGACTGTCACTGGTGGGGGAAATTTCCTCCAGCTTCTCTGGAGGGGGATGATGGTTAAGAGCATGTTTTGTTATTCCTTTCCTGTGAAAGACAAAACAAAGTTATATTTCCTGTATAAAAAAATACATACAATTCAATAATTTAATCTAGAAGTTAGTCACCTACTTCCTCTGCTCTGGAACTGCACTGTCTGATATGGTAGCCACCAGTGATTAAAATCTGGCTAGTCAGAATTGTGTTTTAAGTGTAAAACACATTGGATTTCAAGAAGAATTTGCAATACTTCATTTATTATCTTGATTACATATTAAAATGATAATATTTTGGATATATTGGGTTGTTAAAATATATTCTTAAAATTAATGTCACTACAAGTTGAAAATATAGTAGATATCACCACACACCAATTAGAACAGCTAAAATTAAAAATAATGATAACACAAAATGCAGGCATGGATGTGGAGAAACCGGATGTCTCATACATTGCTGGCAGGAATGTCAAATGGTATAGCCATTCTGGAATAGTTTGACAGTTTCTAATAAAACTAAACATATGCATTTACCCAGAGCCCTAGCAGTTGCACTCTTGGGCATTATGCCTAGAGAAATGAAAACTTACATTCATACAAAAATCTGTATACAAATGTTCACAGCAGCTTTATTTACAGTTGAAAAAAATAACTGAAAACAACTCAAATGTCCTTTAACATTGATATTTCCACATAATGAAATATTATTCAGCAATAAAGAGAAATAAACTATTGATACATGCAACAACTTGGATGGATCTCAAAAGCACCATGCTTTTTAGTGCAAAAAGCCAAAGCCAATAGAAAAACCATTAACTACTACAGTTGACCTTGAACAACACAGGTTTAAACTGTGTGAGCCCATTTATATGCAGATTTTTTTCAATAAATATATTGGAAAATTTTTTGGAGATTTGCAACAATTTGAAGAAACTCAACAGATGAACCATGTAGCCTAGAAATATCGAAAAAATTTAAGAAAAAGGTATGTCATGAATGTGTAAAATATATGTAACTACCAGTCTATTTTTGTGTTGACTATGTTATTGGTAAGGCTTCCAGTCAACAGTAGGCTATTAGTGGTTAAGTTCTGGGGAGTCAAAAGTTGAACATGGATGTTTTACTGTACAGGGGGTCAATACCCCTAACCCCTGCATTGTTTAAGGGCCATTTATATAATGGTACATTGGACAAAACTATAGTGGTAGAGAACAGATTAATGGTTGCCAGGGATGGAGACAAGAGTGGATATAACTATAAAGGGATAGGGATACCCAGTGAAGTTCCTTGGTGGGGATGAAACAGCTATCTTGATTTATAGTCGTATTTGCAGTAATCTGTAAATGGGACCAAATTGCATAGAAAGAACTATATACACACATACACACACACAGGAGTGGATGTAAAAACTGGATAAGGTCTGTAGGTCTAGTTAACAGTATTGTACCAACGTCATTTTCCTGGCTTTTAAATTATACCACAGTTACATAAGATGTCATCATTGGGGGAAGCTGAGTGAAAAGTTCATGGGATTCTTGGTACTATTTTTACAACTTCCTGTGAGTCTATAATTATTTCAAAATAAAAAGGTAAAAAAATTTCACTTTTATTTTATTTTTTGAGATGGGGTCTTGCTGTGTTGTCCAAGCTGGAGTACAGTGGTGTGGTCATAGCTCACTGCAGCCTTGACCTCCTGGGCTCAAGGGATTCTTCTGTCTCAGCCTCCTGTGTATCTGAGACTACAGGTACTCACCACCACACTTGGCTAATTATTTAATCTTTAATTTTTTTTTTTTTTGTAGAGATTGGGATCTTGTTATGTTGCTCAGGCTGTCTCTAACTCCTGGCCTCAAATGATCCTCCTACCTCAGCCTCCCAAAGTACTGGGATTCAAGACATGAGCCACTGCACTCGGCCAATTTCACCTTTCTTTTTTAATGTGACCACCTGAAAATTTTAAATTACATATGTGGCTTATATCATATTTGTATTGAATATTGCTGCTCTAGAGACTCCAATGTATGCACTGGATTAAGCTATGGGGTCAATCATTATATGTTCCAGTAATCTATGGGGTCAATCAATATATGTTCCTAGTAATCTGCGGTAGACTTTCCTCACAAAACTCTGTAGTCAAATACATTCAGGAACTGTAATAGGTTGAACAAAGTTACACAGATTTCTTTACAAGAGATCTTCCAGGTCTTTAATATGCAAATGTTTATCATAAATCTCAAATACTCTCATTTCAAAGGAAACTAAGGCACAGAGGGATTAAGTAACCTGCTTAAGGTCATTTGGTTAGTAAGCGATGAAGCCAAGATTCAAATCCTAGTAATCTGGCTCTCAGAGGAAGGCCTCTAGAAGGAAATGAAGAGTTTGAGATTTTAGTGAATTGTACCATTGTTCTATATAAAGATAAAGCTAAGAGCCCAGTCAGTGGAGCTTGCACTTTAAATTATTTCTCAAATTGTGGAGATCAATTTGTGCAGACTTACCTGTATGTCTCTCATTCAGTGGTCCTACAACCAAGAGCTTGTCTTTGAAAAAGTGGAAAGGATAAGAAATACAAATTCAAGCTATGAAATAGAGACTTAAGACATTTTTTAGTCTGCCAGGGAAATCTATGAATTGACAATTAGATAACAAAAAATATCATTAAATTTAATAATGGCACTATGACTACATACAAAAATGTCCATAATTTTTAGAGATGCATAATGACATATATAGGGGTGAAATGGCAGTATCTGCAGTTTTGCTTTCGTTATTTCACAGAGAGGTGCAGAGAAGTTAATAAAAGGATAAGGAGGCCAGGTGCGGTGGCTCACGCCTGTAATCCCAGCACTTTGGGAGGCTGAGGCAGGCAGATCACGAGGTCAGGAGATCGAGACCATCCTGGTTAACACGGTGAAACCCCGTCTCTACTAAAAATACAAAAAATTAGCTGGGCATGGTGGCGGGCACCTGTAGTCCCAGCTACTCGGGAGGCTGAGGCAGAAGAATGGCGTGAACCTGGGAGGCGGAGCTTGCAGTGAGCCGAGATGGCACTACTACACTCCAGCCTGGGCGACAGAGTGAGACTCTGTCTCAAAAAAAAAAAAAAAAGAAAGAAAAGGATAAGGAAGATAGATGAAGCAAATATATTAACTTTGTTAACTGTTGAATGTGGGGTGACAGGTAGTGCATGATACTATTCTCTATATGTTTATGTTTGAAATTTTTCATTAAAAAATGTTAAGCTGTATGTTGAAAATCATTCCTTTCCCATACTCTTTTCAACAATTATAATTTTTAATGGCTAGGTAGAAAACTAAAGTTACGGCTTCAAAGCAGGTTATCATTATTATAACATCTAAAGTAAAAATTGCTTTGAATTTGCTCCCATTAAGATACATTTTATCTTCATTATCTTCATTATTCACTTCATCCTGACTCCAGCTACAGAATCATCTTTTGGGCCTTATAGGGAGTATCAAATCAACAATCAAGAACAAGTAGGCCAGGCGCGGTGGCTCACATCTATAATCCCAGCACTTTGGGAGACCGAGGCAGACAGAGTCCAGGAGTTCAAGACCAGCCTGGGGTGAAACCCCATCTCTACTAAAAATACAAAAATTAGCTGGGCATGTAGTCCTGTGACTTGGGAAGCTGAGGTGGAAGAATCACTTGAACCTAGGAGGTGGAGGTTGCAACTGAGCCAAGATGGCACCACTGCACTCCAACCTGTGCAACAGAGACTCCGTCTCAAAAAAAAAAAAAATAGAAAGAAAACTGATACAACTATACTAGTTAATAATAATTCTGGCCCAACAAGTGCCTATCATTTTTTTCCATACAAGATTTTTTTTAACTTTCAGAATGGTTGGAATTAATCATAAAAGCAGATTTTTAGCTAAACCTCAGTCACTTTATTGGGAAAAGACAGTTTCCTCACAATTTTTTTTTTAAGTAGGAACAACACATCCCAAATCTAAGAGATGACTGTTTCTTCTTCCTAGTTCCCAAAGAGTTTACTAGGAACTAAACTGCTACCATGTAGATATCTTATTCCTTAATAAATAATAAGCTTCTAAAAGGCAAAGAGAGGTTTTAGACTTATTTTCTTTGTATGCCTATTGTATCCCAAGTAAAAGTGCGAAGGGACAAGGAAAATACCATTTATTGAGGATGTATATGTGTCAAGCTCCACACCATCACTTTATTCTTATTTTTATTTATTTATTTATTTATTTGAGACAGAGTCTTCCTCTGTCACCCAGGCTGGAGTACAGTGGTGTGATCTCGGCTCACGGCAACCTCCGCCTCCCAGGTTCAAGCAATTCTCATGCCTCGGCCTCCCAAGTAGCTGAGATTACAGGCATGTGCCACCATGCCCAGCTAATTTTTTGCATTTTTAGTAGAGACAGGGTTTCACCATGTTGCCCAGGCTGGTTTTGAACTCCTGAGCTCAGGCAATCGCCCACCTTGGCCTCCCAAAGTGCTAGGATTACAGGTGTGGGGGTCCACACCATCATTTTAAATAAGCTTTTGGATAAGGTGTTACTCCTATATTGCAGAAACGAAGGCTCAGTGATGTAGTAATTTGCCTAAAAGTCACGTGGCTAGAAGACAGCCTAGCCAGAAACCCAAGAATGATTCAAAATAGCATGCTTGCAATTATCATGTATGTGCATAATTAATATTTAATAAATTAAATAGTTAATAATTAATATTAATAGTTAATATATTTATGGTTGCTAAAATTACATAGCTAAATGAAAGGAAAAGTTAATATTTAATTAATAAATTTATGGTTGCTAAAATTATATAGCTCCATGAAGGAAAAAAAATTGGAATTTGGGGTTAAAGCCCAAGCTCAACTCCTGACTTTTTGGCTATATAATCTTAAAATATGTAACATTTCTGATATAATTTCATCTTCTGAAAGACTGAAGATAATCATACCCACTTTACAGAGTTGTTAAGATCAAAAAGTGAAGTGAGCTGGGCATGGTGGCTCACGCCAACACTTTGGGAGGCCAAAGTGGGAGAACCGCTTGAGTCCAGGAGTTTGAGACCAGCCTGGGCAACATAGTGGGACCCTGTCTCTACCAAAAAAAAATTTTTTTTTAATTAGCCAGTTGTGGTGGTGTGCACCTGTAGTCTCAGCTACTCAAGAGGCTACATTGTGAGGATCACCTGAGCCCATAGGTGGAGGCTGCAGTGAGCAAGGATTGCACTACTGCCCTCCAGCCTGGACAACTGAGCAAGACCCTGTCTCCAAAAAAAAAAAAAAAGTGAAGGCCCTTTTGGAAGTGTAAAGCATTAATAAATGTATGACACTATTATTACTTTCTAAATTATTATACACCACTTCGGTCAGGGTAGGGGGCAGCTCTTTTTATTTTTTTATTATTTATTTATTTATTTTGAGACGGAGTTTCACTCTTGTCACCCAGACTGGAGTGCGATGGCGTGACCTCTGCTCACTGCAACCTCTGCCTCCCGGGTTCAAGTGATTCTCCTGCCTCATCCTCCCAAGTAGCTGGGTTTACAGGCCCCCGCCTCCATGCCCGGCCATTTTTTTTTTTTTTTTTGCATTTTTAGTAGAGATGGGGTTTCGCCATGTTGGCCAGGCTGGTCTCGAACTCCTGGCCTCAAGTGATCCGCCCGCCTCAGCCTCCCAAAGTGCTGGGATTACAAGCGTGAGCCACCACGGCCGGCCGTGAGGGTGGATCTTTTTAAAGCCAGAAATATTTGCTCTTTAAAGTCTCAAAAGCAAAACTGATCTTTATGGATTCTGGTGCTTAATTGCAGAGGTGGGGAGGCAGTATGTGTGATGGTTATGACCACAGGCTTCGGAATCAGATCGACATCAGGTTTGTACCTCTCAGCTCTACCACCTTCAAGCTGTGTGATCTTTGGCATGCTACAATCTTTAATTCTGGGATCTTTATCTGTAGAATGTGCAAAATAATGTTCCCAATCTGATATCATTGATAGGAATGAGCAAATGTATGTAAATAGCTTTGCACAGTGTCAAGTGAGCACTTTCCTGGAGCCCTCAGTTAGCTATTAATAACTTCTCGAGCTACCATGGCCATTAACAATGGGACCTGAAGCACTGCGGATGCTACAAATGCTTCAGCAGACCCAGTGCTTGATTTCAGGAATTTCAGACGAAGGGCGACACGCCCTCAGCTGGAGATGGAGGAAGAAGGGGCAGGGTCCAGCAGGGCTGAGAGGAGAGAATTCCGAAGAAAAATCTCTCCCCAGCCCTGGGAAAGGAAAGGAACGAAGGACTGGTCAAGGAGGGTCCCCAGAGCGCCCGCCGCCCGCCCCGGCTGGGGTGGCTGAGCAGTCCACTCACAGCTCCAAGCTCTGTGGCACCGCCTTCCGAGTGTATCTGGAGATCATCCTCCTCCTCCTCCTCCTCCTCCTCCTCCTCAGCCGCGGCCGGGGCAGGCACGCCAGGGTGGGGGCCTCCGGGCCTGGCCCTCCCGCCGGCTCCGGCCCGGCCCCTCCCGCCACCTACCGGCCCCGTCTCGCCCCGTCACCTAGACTCCGAGCAGCCACCTCCCCAGGGTCCCCACCTCTCCAGTCCTCCGACCTCCCTGCTTTGCCGCGGGGGCGGAAGTGACGAAGGCCCCCGGACACTCGCAAAATGCTCCCGCCGACGCACAGCAGTGACGACACACAAGGTTTCGGGGACTGAGTGGGTTTCAGACTTTCTCTCAGGATTTCCGCTGGCTTCAGGTTCCGGTCAGGCGTCGGGACAGAGCCTGATCCAGGCTTCGGCGGCCGGTGGCAGCTCTCGATCAGCTCTCGCAGTCGGAGAGGCGGCTAAGGAAAGGTGCCACAGCAGAGACGCGAAGGAGAGGCCCTAGAACCGTAAGAGAAATTGGCTTCATTTTGTTAGATGGCAGGAGGGAGCCTAGACTGGGGAAAGAGCACTAGACTCCAAGTCAAGCCCCTGCTGCTTGGTCGCTTCTTTTTCTGTACTCTGGGTTTTCTCATATGTACAGTGAGGTATTAGCCTGAGTGATCATAGAGTCCCTTCCAGTTCTGACACCAAATTCTGCATGATGACGTGTGTTTGGCGTTATGGGGTGGATGGGTAAAATTACTGTCTGTCCCTCTGGGTTGAAAGGCAAAATGATGATTTGGTTAGACTGTGGTGAGTGGGTGTCTGGATAAGAAGAAGCAGGTTCCTTACGAGTCTCTTAGAAAGCTGAGTAAGATTGGAATCATGGAGTTAGGGTGGTCCATCCACCGCCATTTCTTTCTTTACCAAGCATCACCTGGCAGCAAGAATAAACTAGTACTCTTATTTAGGAAAACCCTTAGAAAATTAAGAGATAAGGAAAACCCTTAGAAAATTAAGAGGTATCAATGCAACCTCCATCAAAATACCAGTGACATTCTTCACAGTCATAGAAAAAAGATCCTAAAATTTATATGGAACCACAAAAGAGCCAGAATAGCCAAAGCTATCCTGAGCAAAAAGAACAAAACTGGAAGCATCACATTACCCGACTTCAGATTATACAACAGAGTTATAGTAACCAAAACAGCATGGCACTGGCATAAAAACAGGAACAGAATAGAGAACCCAGAAACAAATCCATATGTCTGCAGTGAATTCATTTTCAGCAAAGGTACCAAAAACATACATTGGGGAAAAGACAGTCTCTTCAATAAATGATACTGGGAAAACTGATACCCGTATGCAGAAGAATGAAACCAGACCCACTACCTCCCACCATATACAAAAATCAAGTCAAAATGGATTAGAGACTTAAATCTAAGCCCTCAAACTATGAAACTACTAAAAGGAAATATTGGGGAAACTCTCTAGGACATTAGAGTGGGCAAAGATTTCCTGAGTAATACCTCACAAACAGAGGCAGCCAAAACAAAAATGGACAAATGGGAGCACATCAAGTTAAAAAGCTTCTGCACAGCAAAGGAAACAATCAACAAAGTGGAGAGAGAACCCACAGAATGGGAGAAAATATTTGCAAACTACCCATCTGACAAGGGATTAATAACCAAAATATATAAGGAGTTCAAACAACTCTCTAGGAAGCAGTCTAATAATTGATTAAGAATTGGATAAAAACTCTGAATAGACATTTCTCAAAGAAGACATAAAAATGGCAAACAGGTTTATGAAAAGGTGCTCAATATCATTGATTATCAGAGAAATGCAAATCAAAACTACAATAAGATAGCATCTCACCCCAGTTAAAATGGCTGTTATCCATAAGACAGGCAATAACAAATGCTGGCAAGGATTTGGATAAAACACTGTTGGTGAGAATGTAAATTAGTGCAGTCACTATGGAGAACAGTTTTGGAGATTCCTCAAGAAACTAAAAATAGAGCTACTATATGATCCAGCAGTCCCACTGTTGGGTATTTACCCAAAAGAAAGGAAATCAGTATATCAAAGAGATATCTGCACTCCCATGTTTATCGCAGCACTATTCTCAGTAGCCAAGATTTGGAAGCAACCTAAGTGTCCATCAACAGATAATGAAGAAAATGTGGCACATACACACAATGGAGTGCTTTTCAGCCATAAAAAAAAAAATGAGATTCTGTTATTTGTAACAACATGGATGGAACTGAAGATCAAGTGGAACTGGATGGAAGTGAAATAAGGATGGCACAGAAAGATAAACTTCAAATGTTCTCACTAATTTGTAGGAGCTAAAAATTAAAACAGTTGAACTCATGGAGATAGCAAGTAGAAGGATGGTTTACCAGAAGCTGGGAAGGGTTGCAGAGGGTTTGTGGGGGAGTATGGTTAAAGGGTACAAAAAAAATAGAGTGAATGAAAACTAGTATTTGGTAGCACAACAGGGTGACTATAGTAAATAATAATTTAATTGTACATTTAAAAATAACGAAGTTCAGATGAGAGCATGTCCTGGCTATAAAAATTTTTTTAATAAAAATAACTAAAAGAGTATAATTAGAGTGTTTGTAACACAAAGGATAAATGCTTAAGGCAATGGATATCTCATTTACCCTGAGGTGCTTATTATGCATTGTATACCTGTATCAAAATATCTCATGTACCCCATAAATATATACACCTACTATTTACCCTTAAAAATTAAAAAAAAAAAACAGCACTTTGGGAGGCCGAGGCAGGTGGATCATGAGGTCAGGAGTTTGAGACCAGCCTGGCCAATATGGTAAAACCCCGTCTCTACTAAAAATACAAAAATTAGCCAGGTGTGGTGGCGTGCGCCTATAGTCCCAGCTACTCGGGAGGCTGAGGCAAAAGAATCGCTTGAACCTGGGAGGCAGAGGTTGCAGTGAGCTGCGATCACTCCACTGCACTCCAGCCTGGGCGACAGAGCGAGACTCCATCTCAAAAAAAAAAGAAAAGAAAAAGAAAAGAAAAAAAGAAAAGAAAGATATACCTACCATCCCATGAGACTTGAAAAAGGGGCAAATTTAGGACAGAGGTAAAATGACAGGACATGAATGTTTTGTAGTTCTGAATTCCTCTACGCCATACAATGTTCATAAAAGAGAGAGATGTACATTCTGTAGAGCAAGACAGATTGTACTTTAGAGTTTAAATAACAAAATTTTAAAGCAGGGAGAGATTTTAGAGATGGTAGATAACTTATCCTAAATTAAAGAAAAAAACCCAGAAAGAGAAAGTGAAATGTCCATAGTGGCACAACTAATTAGTGGCAGAACTGGGGTTTTTGATAGTATGTAAACAGTAGGTGTTAGTGCAGTGTTTCTCGAAATATATTACACATACCACTGCTAGTACAAGGGCAAACATTAAAAATTTCATTCTTCACTTCCAAAATAGGAAAAATATAAAAAGTAAAGATTTTATTCTTACATACTTACTAATTGGGGAATGTGATACTAGATTTCTATTCACTGTATTATATCAAGGTTTCCTTTTAACGTAATTTTAAAGATAAAGTTTTAAGTGTAAAGGGTCATTAAAAATAATATTAGGCCAGATGCCTATAACCCCAGCACTTTGGGAGACCAAGGTGGAAGAACTGCTTGAGCTCAGAAGTTCTAGGCCAGCCTGGGCAATATGGCAAAACCTTGCCTCTACTAAAAATACAAAAAAAGTTAGCTGGGCATGGTGGCATGCACCTGTGGTCCCAGCTACTTGGGAGGCTGAGGTGGGAGGATGGCTTGAGCCCAAGAGGTGGAGGTTGCAATGAGCTGTGATCATGCCGCTGCACTCCAGCCTGGGCAACAAGAGTGAAACTCCATCTCAAATAAATAAATAAAGTTTAAAAAAATTAAATAAATATTACTGTAGGTGGTGTATGGTTAAGGCCAAAACCATGGTGATGGTATGTGACTAAATTTTATTTTTTTATTTTTTATTTTTATTTATTTTTTTTTTTAGTTGGAGTCTTGCTCTGTCACCCAAGCTGGAGTGCAGTGGCATGATCTCGGCTCATTGCAACCTCTGCCTCCTAGGTTCAAGTGATTCTCCTGCTTTAGCCTCCCAAGTAGCTAGGATCACAGGTGCATGCCACCACACCCAGCTAATTTTTGTATTTTTAGTATTTTGTATTTTTAGTAGAGACGGGGTTTCACCATGTTGGCCAGGCTGGTCTCAAACTCCTGACCTCCAGTGATCTGCCTGTCTCGGCCTCCCAAAGTGATAGGATTACATGCATGAACCACTGTGCCCGGCCTAACTAAATTTTAGAAAACAGTGTTCATAGAACCATCTAAAAGAGTTCAGATGTTACTTCTGCATTGTTCTATGTGGTTTATATTTTGGAACTTTAAACATAGTTTTCAAAGAAGAATGGAAGAAACCATGAAGCTTGCTACGATGGAAGACACAGTGGAGTACTGCCTGTTCCTGATACCAGATGAGTCAAGGGACTCAGATAAACATAAAGAGATTCTTCAGAAGTACATTGAGAGAATAATCACTCGGTTTGCACCTATGCTGGTCCCCTACATCTGGCAGAATCAGCCTTTCAATCTTAAATATAAACCTGGGAAAGGTAAGGCTCTTTTACTTGTTTGGATTAGTGTGACTTTTAATGTTATCCTGACAACAGTGATGTGTAATAGTCCACGCTTCATTCAGTGTTGCCAGGAAGAGATTAATACACTAAACTTTTTAGATGAGTAATACTTGTCTATATTCAGTTAGCCTTAAAGCTTTTTTTTAAAAAAAATCATATTAATGAAAACTTTCTAAATTTGCCTTAGGAATTAGCATATACTAAACATTATTAAACTCATGGCTATTCTTTTGAACTTTAGTTACTACACTATGCCATAATGTATCTAAGTATCTATACTAAATAGTTTCAGGCATCTGGCTTTAATCATGGTTCCTTTTGCTGTTACTCAGGATTCCTTATTTTGGTGATGTGTTTGGTAGGCTGCCTTGTTTCATATAGCCATTTTGGTGAGGATCTGAGTGGCTCTGCCCAGCTTATAAAGATAAATAATTGGGCTTTATGACTAATATTTGCCACTTACAAGCATTTTGAGGTTTCTTCATTGCTTCCCTGTGTTGTTGGTGCTTGAGATCTGACCTCTGGCAAAATATGGCACTCTGTCCTGTTATGAGAAAAACCCAGGATTAAACTAGGAGGGAGCGGAGAGACCAAAGAATGACTCGGACAGGTCTATCTTGGCAAGTAGATGAGTTTATTAGGACTTACAGACAAGACACTCCTGGGCAGCATCAGGACAGCTCTAGAAATCCACCCCACCTCCCATATTTAAGTTGCTAGTAAGCTAATTTTTTGGCTCTTTGCCTACTGCGTATATGCAATGACACTGTTTTCCTTGGTATGTTCCCAGCTATGCCCTGCAATGTTTGGGTTCTCAGGACCTGCTCCTCTGCTAGGCATGATGGCTTTGGCTTGCCAGCTGGCCTTTGAAGTTTAAGCAGCAGACATATACCCTTAAGTAGTCTGGTGGGGAACTGGTCACATTACAGTTCTATCATTTCTTATAGTTTTATGAAAATAAATCATGGGTAGGTGACCAAGTCTCTCCTTACACAGTGACTTATGTGAGGTCTTATTTGGGATCAGGAGCCTGGCATCTTGTGATACCATCACAAGATATACCCCCCATGTATACATCACAAGTATACATCACTGTGATACTCTCAGTTTAGTGCGTATCTGTTATCTTTTGGCAACAATTGCTACATATCTTACTGTTAATTTTATTGAACTCTTATTCATTGAAATACATATGATATTTATTGGCAAGAACACTGTCACATTGGTGTAGCACATCTAAAACCAACCCTTTATCCATCCTCTAGAAAACCATTTTTACTGTTTTCTTATCTTGTTTAATGGCATTGCCATCCACCCAGTTATCCAAGCTAGTCAGTAATTCAAAATCATAATCAGTTCCTCACTTCACCATGTTCAGTCAGATGCTAAATCCTGAATGCTTCTAAAATATGACCCCTTCTCTACATCTATTTGGCTTCAGTGTAGACCCTCTTTATCTCTACATCTGGAAAACAACAACAGCCTCCTAACTTACCTCTCTGGTTCCTGTCTTTCTAGTTCCTAACACTGTTGCTGGTTATGTTTGTAAAACACAAATTTGATTGTGTCACTCTCCTGCTTAATATCCTTCAGTAGTTCCCATTGCTTCAAGATGAAATTTAAATCAAAGTCTAATATAGACAAAAATAGTTACTTTAATTGGAGTTCTCTAGTTGAAGAAACTTGAGATCTGGGGTGGGGAGAAGAAGAGTTGGTTGGGCTGTTCTTCTACCTATTGTTTGCCATGGCAGCTCTTGAGACACTCTGTAATGCACTTGTTTGACCTTCATTCTGTTAATGTGGGATATTAACTGTACATTGATTTTCGTGTGTTGAACCATCCTTGCATCCCAGGAATAAATCTCGCTTGGTCGTGGTGAATAATCTATTTAATGTGTTGTTGAATTCAGATTGCTGATATTTTGTTAAGGATTTCTGCATTGATACTCATCAGGGATATTGATCTACAGCTTTCTCATATTGTCTTTGTCTGGCTTTGGTATTAGGGTAATGCTGGCCTCAGAAGGAATTTGGGAATTCCCTCCCTTTTATTTTTTTGGAAGATTTTGAGGAGGATTGGTGTCAAATTCTTTAAATGTTTGGAAGAATTCCCCGGTGAAGCCAGCTTTTCTTTGTTAGGAGCTTTTGGATTATTGATTCAATCTCCTTACTAGTTATAGATCTGTTCAGATTTTTGTATTTCTCATGATCCAGTCTTGACAGGTTGTGTTTCTAGGAATTTGTCAATTTCTTATAGGTTATCCAACTTACTGGTATACCATTGTTCATAGAATTCTCTTATCCTTCTTATTTCTATGACATAAGTTGTACTGTCCCCTCTTTCATTTCCGATTTTAGTTATTTGAGTATTTGCTCTTATTCCTGGTTAATCAAGTTAATAGTTTGTCAATCTTTTAAAAAAAACCCAACTCAGCTGTTTTGTTTTTCTATTATTTTTTCTGGTCTCTATATTTCTCTCTGCTGTAATGTTTATTATTTCCTTCCTTATGCTAGGTTTGGGTTTAGTTTTTGTTTTTTTTTTTTGAGGTATAGGTTGTTGATTTGAGATCTTTCACAACTACAAACTTCCTTTTTAGCACTGCTTTCACTGAATTCCTTAAGTTTTGGTATGATGTGCATTCATTTTCATTTGTCCCAAGATATTTTCTAATTTCCCTGTGATTTATTCCAAGAGTGTGTTGTTGTTTAGTTTCCATGTGTTTGTGAATAGTGCACATGTTTGAAAACTTCTGCTCCATCCAAATCTAGCGTCCTGGTATTCCCAGAATACTCTATACATACATACTCTATACATCATGCCTCTGTGCCTTTGCACATACTTTTCCATTTTTCTGGAAAGCTCACCTCTTGTCATTCCTCCAGGCAAGCATAGCACAGATATCCCCTCCTTTATACTCACATAGCCGTTACTGCACACTCCTGTTCTAGAGTTCATTATCTTGTTTTGAGATCATTTGGTTGTCTTGTTTTACCCTGAGCTCCTCAGGAGTAGGCTTCTTCTTCAGGATTGCAACCCCTGCTCCCCAGTACTTAGAGCAATCAGTCAATGAATGTGTATTCAGTTGAATGATTATGTGCATTTTATTTGCAGTAACAAATTTATCTGGTTACATGGTTGCTTTTCTCTTGTTTTTAGGAGGTGTTCCTGCTCATATGTTTGGCGTGACAAAGTTTGGGGATAACATTGAGGATGAATGGTTTATTGTTTATGTAATAAAGCAGATCACAAAGGAATTTCCAGAGTTAGTAGCAAGGTATTGTAGTTATTTTAATTATTCTAAAGGAATTCTATTACTGAAACAAAGTGACTACATTTTTATCTATTTAGTAATTTATTTTTCTCCTGTAGTCTGCTGGAAATTGTACAGATTTTAATAGTATCTGTGCTCTTTTTTTTTTTTTTTGAGACAGTCTTGCTTTGTCACCCAGGCTGGAGTGCAGTGGTGTGATCTTGGCTCACTGCAATCTTCACCTTCCGGGTTCAAGCGATTCTCCTGCCTCAGCCTCCCAAGTAGCTGGGATTACAGGCGTGCACCACCACGCCTGGCTAATTTTGTATTTTTAGTAGAGACAAGGGTTCACCATGTTGGCTAGGCTAGTCTCTGGAGCTCCTGACCTCAGGTGATCCACCCACCTTGGCCTCCCAAAGTGCTGGGAATACAGGCGTAAGCCACCGCGCCCAGCCATATCTGTGTTTTCTTTCTCTTCTCTTGTGGCTTCCTTTTCTTGAGAAAGAATTAAAGTACACGGCCAGGCGCGGTGGCTCACACCTGTAATCCCAGCACTTTGGGAGGCCGAGGCAGGCGGATCATTTGAGGTCAGGAGTTCGAGACCAGCCTCAACATGGAGAAACCCTGTCTCTACTAAAAATACAAAATTAGCCAGGCATGGTGGTACATGCCTGTAATCACAGCTACTCGGGAGGCTGAGGCAGGAGAATTGCTTGAACCTGGGAGGCGGAGGTTGCGGTGAGCCGAGATCGCGCCATTGCACTCCAGCCTGGGCAACAAGAGTGAAACTGTCTCAAAAAAAAAAAAAAAAAAAATTAAAGTACTGTCAAAGAGTTCAACTTCCAAAAGATTTCAAATAAAACCTACTTATTTTAGGTTTTCTTTTTAAAGTTCTAATTATGAAAAAACAAATACATGTGGTAAACAAAATTCAAAAGATACAAAGGTTTCTACTGCTCTTGCTTCCCAGAAGTAATCACCATTAAATTCCTTGTGGATCTTTGAAAAATAAAATTCCATTCATACACATACACACATATTTCACGTATTTTTAAATATGTATTCCTGTACTAGACCATAGCTATATTTTTTGAGAAATCATACACAGAAACAATTTAAAGAGAAGTCAGTGAACACAATTGTATAGGAAGCAAAGTAGGTAACATTACGTTAAAAATGGGACCTGGGTTTTCTGTAATTAACCACGTATTGCCAGCAGAGGGCGTTCCGCCCACTTATATTTTGTCCTAGTTTTCCTAGTCAGCACCCAAATTCTGATCTTTTTTTACCCACTCAACCTCTTTCCCAACAGAACAAAATAGAAGGGAGAAAAAAACCTTTGAAAACTTATTATTTAAATTTTAAACATACATTAAAGTAGAAAGAATGAACCCACATGTTCCCATTATCCAGCTTCAACAATTACCAACTCATGGTCATTATTATTTCATCTGTAGCTGTCATTTGATCCTTAAATATTTCAGGATGTAAATCTAAGCGATAACTCATTTTATTTTTATCTTTAAATAAATTTATTTAAAATTTTTAAATGTTTTAAATTTATTTATTATTTATTTAGTTTTTTAAAGACGGGGTCTTACTATTTTGCCCAGGCGGGACTTGAACTCCTGGGCTCAAGCCATCCTCCTGCCTCAGTCTCCCAAGCAGCTGGTACTACAGGCACATGCCACTGTGCTCTATTTTATTTTATTTTATTTTTTTGAGACAGGCTCTCACTCTCTTGCCCAGACTGGACTGCAGTGGAACAATCTCGGCTCACTGCAACCTCTGCCTCCCGGGCTCAAGCAATTCTCTTACCTCATCCTCCTGAGTAGCTGGGGCTATGGGCGTGCACCACCACACCTGGCTAATTTTTGTATTTTTTGTAGAGACAAGGTTTCACCATGTTGGCCAGGCTGGTCTCAAACTCCTGACCTCAAGTGATCCACCTGCCTCAGCCTCCCAAAGTGCTGGGATTACAGGTGTGAGCCACTGCGCCCAGCCTATTTTTAAAATTGATAAATAAAAATTTTATATATTTATTATGTATAACATGTTGTCTTGAAATACATATATATTGTAGGATGGCTGAATTGAGCTCATAACGTACATTACTTCACATACTTATTTTTTTGTGTGTGGTGCGAACATTTAAAATCTACTGCCTTAGCAAGTTTCAAGAACACAATACATTGTAGGCCTGGGGCGGTGGCTCACATCTGTAATCCCAACGCTTTGGGAAGTCGAAGCGGAAGCATCACATGAGGTCAGAAGTTCGAGACGAGCCTGGCCAACATGGTGAAACCCCATCTCTACTAAAAATACAAAAATTAGCCATGTGTGGTGGCCCATGCCTGTGGTCCCAGCTACTCGGGAGGCTGAGGCAGGAGAATCACTTGAGCCCAGGAGGTAGAGGTTGCAGTGAGTGTGATTGCACCACTACATTCCAGCCTGTGCGACAGAGTGAGACTCTGTCTCAAAAATAAAATAAAATAAAATAAAATAAAATAATAAAAATAGAAGTATAGAGCTAGAACGATATATAACAGTATATAAAATATGCCATGTCTTGTGTAAAAAAGGGAGAAAATACAAGTATATATTTCTATAGTTAGATTATGTGTAAGCAAACTCTAGAAGGATATACAAGAAACAGCAGTGATGCATGTAGGGTTGAGCAGATAGGGACAAAAGTAGGAGGGAGACTTTTTTATTTTGTAACTTTTTTTTTTTTTGAGATGGAGTTTCGCTCTTGTTGCCCAGGCTGGAATGCAATGGTGCGATCTCGGCTCACCGCAACCTCTGCCTCCCAGGTTCAAGCAATTCTCCTACCTCAGCCTCCCGAGTAGCTGGGATTACAGGCATGGGCCACCACGCCTGGCTGATTTTTTTTGTATTTTTAGTAGAGACGGGGTTTCTCCATGTTGGTCAGGCTGGTCTTGAGCTCCTGACCTCAGGTGATCCGCCCACCTCGGCCTCCCAAAGTGCTGGGATTACAGGCGTGAGCCACTGCACCTGGCCATGTAACTTTTAATACATTTTTTTAAAAAATGTAACCATGTGAATGTATAACCTATTTTAAAAAATTAAATTTAAAAAAGTGATACGGGCCGGGCGTGGTGGCTCACACCTGTAATCCTAGCACTTTGGGAGGCTGAGGTGAGCGGATCACTTGAGGTCAGGAGTTCGAGACCAGCCTGGGCAACATGGCGAAACCCTGTCTCTACTAAAAATACAAAAATTAGCTGGGCATGATGGCGGGCACTTGTAATCCCAACTACTCAGGAGGCTGAGGCAGGATAATTGCCTGAAAACAAGAGGTGGAGGTTGCAGTGAGCCGAGATCATACCACTGCACTCTAGCCTGAGTGACAGAGCGAGACTCCGTCTCCAAAATAAAAAAAAAAAAAGTGATGCAAATGAGGCAGAAATAATTATCTTTTCAGGCCCAAATAACACCTCCTACATGAAGGCTTTTCTAATCTCAGCTATGTGTTTCTTTTTTTTCTTTTGGAACCCTATAGTACTTTCGTATATTTTCATATTTTTGTCTAATATTTCTTTATGTAAATTGCTTATCTTCTCTCCTTATCATATCTACCTTCAACTCCTCCTTACAATCTTACAGTCTCCTTCAGTGCTTAATGTTATCTTAAATATTTTGCTTTCTTATAGCCATCTGCACATAGTACATACTCAAATATTTACTAAGATGAAGAGGAAAATGTATTAGAATGAAACTGTTTTGGTTACTAGCAGATATATGCTTTTTGAATGCAAAATTGGAAATTTTCTTGCATTAGGATTGAAGACAATGATGGTGAATTCTTGTTAATAGAAGCTGCTGACTTTCTCCCTAAATGGCTGGATCCTGAAAATAGCACCAATAGGGTAAGTATACCCAAGTTTAGAAAATTTATAGAGATGAAATCATGCTGCATTACATTCATATGTACCTGCAGTTTGCCAGTGCCCACTGTGAAAATTGAAATGTACCGTTTGCAGGTATTTTTCTGCCATGGGGAATTGTGTATTATCCCTGCACCAAGAAAATCTGGAGCAGAATCTTGGTTACCCACCACACCCCCAACAATTCCACAAGCATTGAATATAATCACAGCACATTCAGAAAAAATACTTGCTTCAGAATCTATACGAGCTGCTGTGAATAGGCGCATCAGAGGGTAAGAAAAATATCACTTTCATTGCTAATTAAGGAACCTTTTGGTTTCGTGTAGTTCAGTCTTTCTTTGATTTTTGTTTGTTTTCCTTAAAGCTCTGTTGGAGTTGATCAGTCTTTCTTTGACTATAAAATACCTTTCACCTAGATTAATGCTAATTTTCATTTTGTCTTCATTCCTCTTTATGAAATAGACTAGTAAATTAAACTTACAGATTTTAAAATCAGGAAACAGATACATCTTTAAATTCCCATTCAGAAGTGTTACAATCTTGTCCCAATATTTTTGCATTTATTTACCTTAGATATTGTGGCTAAGTATTAGCTATATCCATGGGTAAAAAATTTGAGACCTTTAAAAATAGAAACTTCATGGGCCTGGAGCGATGGCTCACACCTGTAATCCCAGCACTTTGGGAGGCTGAGCAGGGGGCGGATCATGAGGTCAGGAGTTCAAGACCAGCCTGGCCAACATAGTGAAATCCCATCTCTACTAAAAATACAAAAACAAAATAGCAGGGCGTGGTGGCAGGTGCCTGTAATCTCAGCTACTTTGGAGGCTGAGGCAAGGAGAATCGCTTGAACCCGGGAGGCGGAGGTTGCAGTGAGCTGAGATCACGCCACTGCACTCCAGCCTGGGCGACAGTAGGAAACTCCATCTCAAAAAAAAAAAAAAAAAAAAAAGTAGAAACCTAATGGAGCACAAACAAGGTGCTCAGGTTTTTTCTGTTGTTCTGGGTCTGTATATGGGATTCTTTGACCTATGTCAGAATTCAGTTTCTGAATAAAACTTTAGCTTTTATTCAGAAAAGAAAGGTCTTAGCCTAATTACATATTCGTTCATCCATTCAAATTTGGGTGCCTATTAAATATTAAGCACCATTCAGGTATTAACAATATTAAAAATATTTTTGGCCGGGCGCGGTGGCTCACGCCTGTAATCCCAGCACTTTGGGAGGCCAGGGCGGGTGGATCACAAGGTCAAGAGATCGAGACCATCCTGACCAACATGGTGAAACCCCGTCTCTACTGAAAATACAAAAAATTAGCCGGGCGTGGTGGCAGGCCCCTGTAGTCCCAGCTGCTTGGGAGACTGAGCGCAGGAAAATCACTTGAACCTGGGAGGTGGAGGTTGCAGGGAGGTGGAGGTTACAGTGAGCCGAGGTTGCACCACTGCACTCCAGCCTGGCGACAGAGCGAGACTCCGTCTCAAAAATAATAATAAATAAAAAATAAAAATCTCTTTTAGCTTCAGCATACTTTGTACCATTCTTTTAGAAGAATAAACTCTGATTTTATCTTTATTCCAAAGTATAATAGGTATTTTTGTTTTGTTTTGTTTTTGAGATGGAGTTTTGCTCTTGTCGCCCAGGCTGGAGTGCAGTGGCGTGATCTCGGCTCACTGCAACCTCTGCCTCCCGGGTTCAAGCGATTCTCCTATGTCAGCCTCCCGAGTAGCTGGGACTACAGGCGTATGCCACCACGCCCAGCTAATTTTTTGTATTTTTAGTAGAGATGGGGTTTTACCGTGTTAGCCAGGATGGCCTCAATCTCCTGACCTCGTGATCCACCCGCCTCAGCCTCCCAAAGTTGTTTTGTTTTTATAGAGCTACAATAATCCCTTTTCTTTATTTTCCATTTCTTCCTACTTTTTTCTTTCCCTCTCTCGTATATTCTTAAGTGTATATACAGTATCTTTTTTCATCTCTCTTGTCACTCTCTACGTACTGCTCTTGATGAACAAAGAGATGTCAAAAAGAATGTGAATGGTATAAGAATTATAGGTATTTATATACTGTAAAATGAAAGTAATTATGTTACCTGTCCCAGGTACCCAGAAAAAATTCAGGCCTCACTTCATCGAGCACACTGCTTCCTTCCAGCTGGCATTGTGGCAGTGCTAAAGCAGCGCCCCAGATTGGTGGCTGCAGCAGTCCAGGCATTTTACCTACGAGACCCTATTGACCTGCGAGCTTGTCGTGTTTTCAAGACATTCTTGCCTGAAACACGAATAATGACATCGGTGAGATTTCTATCTTGGTCATTTAGTTTCTCTTACTGGAAACCGAGTTGAAACATTATTATTTTTTTCTTTTTACATTTCTCAGTGCTCAGTGAATGAAACATTATTTTAATTGTTCTCTAGAAAAAAAAGGAAATATTCTGTTTCTTCATAGCATGTTAATATAGATTGAATATTCCTTATCTGAAATGCTTGGGACTAGAAGTATTTCAGATTTCAGATTTATTTGGATTTTGGAATATTTGCATTAAACTTACTACTTGAGCATCCCAAATCTGAAAATTCTGAAATCTCAAAACTTTGAGCATATCGTTGGGACTCAAAAAGTTTTGGATTTTGGAACATTTTAGATTTCAGATATTTACATTTGGGATGCTCAAACTATACACGTTTTTTCTTTTCTTGCACCCAGTGAAGGAAATTTTCAAGAGACCTGCCTCCCCATTTTATACTCAATGTTTTATAGCTATTTTTGACCATATGTTTCTATTTCTATAATTATTTCCTTTTTTTTTTTTTTTTTTTTTTTTGAGACAGAGTCTCACTCTCTCACCCAGGCTGGAGTGTAGTGGAGCCATCTCAGCTCACTGCAACCTCTGCTTCCTGGGCTCAAGCGATTCTCCTGCCTCCCGAGTAGCTGGGATTACAGTCACCTCCCAACACGCCCAGCTGATTTTTTTATTTTTAGATGGTGTTTCGCCATGTTGGCCAGACTGGTCTCGAACTCCTGACCTCAAGTGATTCACCCACCTCAGCCTCCCAAAGTGCTGGGATTACAGGTGTGAGCCACCGCACCCAGCCTAATTATTTCCTTCTTAACAATAAAACATTTCATCTCTTCCAGAGAATTAAGAATTATTCTTGGCCGGGCATGGTGGCTCACACCTGTAATCCCAGCACTTTGGGTGGCCAAGGCAGGTGGATCACTTGAACCCACGTGTTTGAGACCAGACTGGGCAACATGGTGAACCCCATCGCTACAAAAAATAAAAAAATTAGCTAGGTGTGGTGGTGGGCGCCTGTAATCCCCGCTACTTCGGAGGCTGAGGTAGGAGGATTGCTTGACCCCAGGAGGTTTGGGAGGCCAAGGTGGGCAGATCACCTGAGGTCAGGAGTTTGAGACCAGCCTGGCCAGCATGGTGAAACCCTATCCCTGAGGCTTCAGTGAGCCATGATTGCTCACTGCACTCCAGTCTCTGCAACAGAGCAAGACCCTGTCTCAGAAATAGAAAAAATGAATTATCTTTATCTTCCAGCCATTTAATTGCTGTATAATGTAACTAATGATAAGAATTTTACTAGCGATTACTAAAAAGTAGGCAGTAGGGTAAAATTTTTTTTGCAACAGTGTCTTGCTCTGTTGCCCAGGCCGGAGTGCAGTGGAGCAATCTCAGCTCACTGCAACTTCCTCCACCTCCCGGGTTCAAGCAATTCTCCTGCTTCAGCCTCCCGAGTAGCTGGGATTAGAGGCGTGCGCCACCATGCCTGGCTTATTTTTGTATTTTTAGTAGAGATGGGGTTTCACCATGTTGGCCAGGCTGGTCTCAAACTCCTGACCTCAGATGATCTGCCCACCTTGGCCTCCCAAAGTGTTGGGATTACAGGCATGAACCACCATGCCTGGCCAGCAGTAGGGTAAATTTTATGGTATGTGAGTTGTATCTCAATAAAGCTGTTACTAAAAACAAGTAGGCAATGAATAGGTTGAATCTTCTTTGCATTTCATATGAATATGAAGCTTATAAATGGACTTCTCATTATATTTAACTGTGAAGTGTTATTCACAATCTTAATTTCAGGAAAAGACTCATGTATTTTGTGTCTTGATGCCCAGGTCACATTCACTAAATGTCTATATGCACAATTGGTGCAACAAAGGTTTGTGCCAGACCGGCGGAGTGGATACAGGCTGCCTCCTCCATCTGATCCCCAGTACCGAGCCCATGAATTGGGCATGAAATTGGTAATGTTGAACCAGAAAATGTTGTTTCCTTTCTTTATGTAAATGGACTCTTAATAGAATAGTGGCACAATATACAAAGTCCAGAAATACACCCTGTTTATGTAAGAATGCAGTAAAATGTGGCATTTCAAATTAGAATGAAAAAAATGGATTACTTAGTAAGTGATGATGGGACAAGTCTGAAGTCATCTGAAAAATTGAAGTTGATTCCCTAATACCTATACCAAAATAAATTCCAATTGGATCAAATATTTGAACATAAAAATTGAAACTATACAATTTGAAAAAAAACCAAGAACCTTTTATAATTTGAATAGGAAAGGCCTTTCTATGCATGACTTGAAACCAGAAGCTATAAAGGGAAGACTGATGAATTTGATTATGCAAAAATTAAGCATTTCTGCACGGGAAAGAAAAACTCCATAAATAAAGTCAAAAGCAAATCTGGAAAAAGTGTTATATTTGCAATCTAAATGAAAAAGAGCTGACTTCTCTAATACATAAAGTGTTCCTTTAAGTCAATATGAAAATGATAATACTAGCCAATTAATTTTAAAATGTTCAGAACTATGAACATAGTCCACAGAAAAGGAAATACAGGTGACCTTTAATTTAAACATATGAAAAATATTGAATCTTAACTCATAATAAAAGAAATGCACTTTAAAGCTACAAAATAGTGTTTTTCTTTTTTTTTTGTTTGCTTTCAAAAATGTTACAATCTAGACATTGATAGGAATGTCTAGATTTTCTTTTTTTTTTTATTATTATGCTTTAAGTTTTAGGGTACATGTGCACAACGTGCAGGTTTGTTACATACGTATACACGCGCCATGTTGGTGTGCTGCACCCATTAACTCGTCATTTATATTAGATATATCTCCTAATGCTGTCCCTCCCCCCTCCCCCCACCCCACAACAGGCCCCGGTGTGTGATGTTCGCCTTCCTGTGTCCGTGTGTTCTCATTGTTCAATTCCCCACCTATGAGTGAGAACATGCGGTGTTTGGTTTTTTGTCCTTGCAATAGTTTGCTGAGAGTGATGGTTTCCAGCTTCATCCATGTCCCTACAAAGGACATGAACTCATCATTTTTTATGGCTGCATAGTATTCCATGGTGTATATGTGCCACATTTTCTTAATCCAGTCTATCATTGTTGGACATTTGGGTTGGTTCCAAGTCTTTGCTATTGTGAATAGTGCCACAGTGAACATACGTGTGCATGTGTCTTTATAGCAGCATGATTTATAATCCTTTGGGCATATACCCAGTAATGGGATGGCTGGGTCAAATGGTATTTCTAGTTCTAGATCCCTGAGGAATCGCCACACTGACTTCCACAATGGTTGAACTAGTTTACAGTCCCACCAACAGTGTAAAAGTGTTCCTATTTCTCCACATCCTCTCCAGCACCTGTTGTTCTCTGACTTTTTAATGATCGCCATTCTAACTGGTGTGAGATTACCATCTCATTGTGGTTTTGATTTGCATTTCTCTGATGGCGAGTGATGATGAGCATTTTTTCATGTGTCTTTTGGCTGCATAAATGTCTTCTTTTGAGAAGTGTCTGTTCATGTCCTTTGCCCACTTGTTGATGGGGTTGTTTGTTTTTTTCTTGTAAATTTGTTTAAGTTCTTTGTAGATTCTGGATATTAGCCCTTTGTTAGATAAGTAGATTGCAAAAATTTTCTCCCATTCTGTAGGTTGCCTGTTCACCCTGATGGTAGTTTCTTTTGCTGTGCAGAAGCTCTTGAGTTTAATTAGATCCCATTTGTCAATTTTGGCTTTTGTTGCCATTGCTTTTGGTGTTTTAGACATGAAGTCCTTGCCCATGCCTATGTCCTGAATGGTACTGCCTAGGTTTTCTTCTAGGGTTTTTATGGTTTTAGGTCTAACATTTAAGTCTTCAATCCATCTTGAATTAATTTTTGTATAAGGTATAAGGAAGGGATCCAGTTTCAGCTTTCTACATATGGCTAGCCAGTTTTCCCAGCACCATTTATTAAATAGGGAATCGTTTCCCCATTTCTTGTTTTTGTCAGGTTTGTCAAAGACCAGATAGTTGTAGATATGTGGCATTATTTCTGAGGGCTCTGTTCTGTTCCATTAGTCTATATCTCTGTTTTGGTACCAGTACCTTGCTGTTTTGGTTACTGTAGCCTTGCAGTATAGTTTGAAGTCAGGTAGCATGATGCCTCCAGCTTTGTTCTTTTGGCTTAGGATTGACTTGGCAATGCAGGCTCTTTTTTTGTTCTATATGAACTTTAAAGTAGTTTTTTTCCAATTCTGTGAAGAAAGTCATTGGTAGCTTGATGGGGATGGCATTGAATCTATAAATTACCTTGGGCAGAATGGCCATTTTTACGATATTGATTCTTCCTCAAAATAGTGTTTTTCATCATTTATTAGCAAGTATCAAACGGCTTGATAATACATACTGGGTTGTTGAGAATATATACAGAAAAACATTCTCAGACATTGTTGATAGGAATATAAATTGATTGTATCCCTTAGGAGAACATTTTGGCAAAACAGATGTTCCTTGACTTACAGTGGGGTAACTTCCTGATAAACCTGTCAAAAATTGAAAATATCATAAGTCAAAAATATATTTAATACAGCTAACCAACCAAACATCATAGCTTAGCCTAGCCTACCTTAAATGGGCTCAGAATACTTACATTAGCATACAGTTGGGCAAAATCATCTAACACAAAGGCTATTTTATAATAAACTGTTGAATATGTCATGTAATTTATTGAATACAGTATACTATAGAGTACAGTATTGGTTGATTGCCTTTGTGATCACATTGCCAACTGCAGCTTGCTGCCACTGTGTATCCAGCATCATGAGACAGTATGCATATTGCTAGCCTGCAAAAAGATAAAAATTGTAAGTAAGGTTTCTACTGAATGCATATTGCTTTCACACCATCATAAAGTCAAAAAATGTTAAGTCAAACCATCATAAGTTGGGGACCATCTGTATTCATCAACATTTAAAATGCACAAACCTTTTTAGTCAGCATTTTCACTTCTAGAAAATGATTCTTTATGTATTTTACCTATATACAAGGACATATATGGAGCATAGTCATGACAGCATTGTTCATAGTAGCAGGAGACTGGAAACTACTTAAATGTCCATTAGTAGGGGAATAGTTAGATAAATTGTGCTCTAGCCATGAAGTAAGATGGATGAATTTGTGTGTGCTCATGTAAGTGATCTCCAAGGTATATGGTTAAGTGTAAAAAGCAAGGTGTAGAGTAGTGTGTATGCGTCCATTGAGCAACAAAAGGGGTGGAGTAGAAAGCTATGCATACAGAGAGGCACACACATAATACTTCAGTGTGTAGGTTACTTCTGAAAGGATGTGCAAGAAGTTGGTAATGGTGTTCTCTAGCTTGATCAGGGAAGCTCCCTGTTTGAATTATTTAGCCATGTGCATCTATTATTTTTTTTAATCAAAGGACTTTTAAAATGAAGTGATTTCCTCTCTTTACTATGTCTGAGATCATGTTCAATATATGTATAATTTCTGTTGGACAAGAAACCTTTTGTAACCCTGTTCATAATCAAACAAAAAATAAATGTAAATTTCTGGTTTTGTAATCAGCAGGAAAAGGAATCTCTTTGAAGAGAACAGGAATCTTTATTGTATATTATTTTCTTTCCTTTTATGTTTTTAGTAATCTATAATGATTGAGAAACTTGGGAATAAGTTTATATTTTTCATAAAATTCAAAAAGTGTTATAATTGTCCAAATGCCCATGTATCCAGTCATCTAGTTCTAGAGTGTGGCTCAATGGAAAAAAAGTAATGTGTTATAATAAGATACGGGAAAAAAGGAACTTAGTAACAAAAATTCTACCTATCTCATCTAGGCTCATGGATTTGAGATCTTATGCTCCAAATGTAGCCCACATTTTTCTGACTGCAAGAAATCCCTTGTGACTGCCTCACCACTCTGGGCCAGTTTCCTTGAAAGTCTGAAAAAGAATGATTACTTTAAGGTAGGACTTGCAATATATTTGCTTTTAAGTATTCAATCCAGGGAAAATCAAGCCAGCGACTTAAAGTCCTATAGTCCATATTTAAATGTATGACATAATTATGGAAGCTAGACTTAAAGGAGACCTTTCTAGTTCAGTGGTACTCAGGTGCTAATGAAGGAGGTATCTATGAACTGTTTCCAGTATTAGAGAAAAACTAACACTGTTGGTATTAAATGATGAAAGTGATTATCTGTACCAGATAAAACAACTTGCAAAAACTTGATAATGCAAACATGAAAACACCAGATAGGAAAATTAGCAAAGATGTGGATTTTAAAAATTATTAAAAGATACCTAGTAAATTTCTCTTAAAATATTCAACTTCACAAGTAGTAAAGATATATATATATATATATGAACACAGTAATGAAGAATGTCTTTCATGTATGTACAAAAGGATATGAATGATATTCTGTGCTGTCGAGAGTATGGTAAAAATAACACTCCTATACCTTGCTGGTAACATTGCAAACTGGTAGAATCTTAACTGGAAAGTAATTTGGTAGTGTCTTCCAAGAGGTATAGAAAGGTTCAAACTTGGAACCTTCACTTTGAATAATCTTTTTAAAGGAAATATCCAAGAAGTGGAAAAGTCCCGAAGAATATGATGATGATAAAGATGGCACAGCAATACGAAAAGTACTAATGATATTATAGTATATATATGGTATTTTTTTTTTTTTGAGATGGAGTTTTGCTCTTGTCGCCTAGGCTGGAGTGCAATGGCACAATCTTGGCTCACTACAACCTCTACCTCCTAGGTTCAAGCGATTCTCCTCAGCCTCAGCCTCCTGAGTAACTGGGATTACAGGCCCACACTACCACACCCAGCCGATTTTTGTATTTTTAGTAGAAATGGGGTTTCACCATGTTGGCCAGGCTGGTCTCGGACTCCTGACCTCAGGTGATCCATCCGCCTTGGCCTCCCAAAGTGCTGGGATTACAGGCGTGAGCCACCGTGCCCAGCTATTACTGTTGTTGTTATTGTTGTTGTATAGGGTCTTGCTTTGTCACGCAAGCCAGTGTTGTGGTAGGATCATAGCTCACTGCAGCCTCGATCTCCTAGGCTCAAGTGATCCTCCTGCCTCAGCCTTTCAAATAGCTGAGACTAGGCATGTGCCACCATTGCCTGGCTAAAGATTGTTTTTTTTTCTTTTTAGTAGAGTCGAAGTCTTGCTATGTTGCCCAGGCTGGTCTCAAACTCATGTCCTCAAGTGACCCTCCCACCTCTGCTTCCCAAAGTACTGAGATTATAGGCATGAGCCACAGTGCCCAGCTAGTATATTCTTAAAAAATGTAAAATACTAAGTATGACTATCACTATAAATATGCATTTAGAAAACACAAATGATAGTAATGGTGGGATTTTGCCATTTTTTATTCTACTTGGCAAACTTTCTGTACTTTGTTTTGTGAATTACTAGTTAATCAGCTATATCTTTAATTTAATTTTTTTTTTCATAGAGGCAGGGTCTCACCATGTTGCCCAGGCTGGTCCTGAACTCCTGAGCTCAAGCAGTCTGCCCATCTCATCCTCCCAAAGTGTTGGGATTATAGGCGTGAGCCATCGCACCCAGCCAATTATATCTTAATAAGTAATTAAGTAAAAGAAAATGGTGGAAAACTTTCCAAACTGGAAATAGGCCCTTAATGGTGGAAAAGATTAGGAATCACTACATCTAGCCGCGTCCCCTCATTTGAAGAAACTGGAGCTCAAACAGGCCCATTAATGATAAAACAGGGCCTAGGACTTGGGGCACGTGATTCCTGAGTAGTAGATTATTTGCTGCCTCCCTGAAAGTTGCTGGTGAACACATTTTTTTCATGACAACTTGTGAGTAATGTTCTGATAGACCTTTTTTTTTTTTTAAGGGACTGATAGAAGGTTCTGCTCAGTACCGGGAAAGGCTAGAAATGGCAGAGAATTACTTCCAGCTCTCAGTAGACTGGCCAGAAAGGTGAGTTATTGTTAAGACTCCTACTACAAAGATTGGTATTTAGGTAGTTCTTTTTATTTTTTATTTATTATTTATTATTCTTATTTATTTATTTTTTTGAGACGGAGTCTCACTCTGTCACCCAGGCTGGCAACCTCCGCCTCCTGGGCTCAAGCGATCACACCACTGCACTCCAGCCTGGATGACAGAGTGAGACTCTGCCTCAAAAAAGAAAAAAAAAACAACGAAAGAAATTTTGCATCCTCCTCTATGTAATTTTACTCATCATGATATCACATTTTCCATGGCATTATGAAGTCTTTATAAACATAATTTTTAAAAGCTGCACAATATGGCCAGGCGCGGTGGCTCACGCCTGTAATCCCAGCACTTTGGGAGGCCGAGGCAGGCGGATCACGAGGTCAAAAGATCAAGACCATCCTGGTCAACATGGTGAAACCCCGTATCTACTAAAAATACAAAAATTAGCTGGGCATGATGGTGCGTGCCTGTAGTCCCAGCTACTAGGGAGGCTGAGGCAGGAGAATCGCTTGAACTCAGGAGGCGGAGGTTGCCGTGAGCTGAGATTGCACCTGGGGACAGAGCGAGACTCCATCTCAAAAAAAAAAAAAAAAAAAAGCTGCACAATATTTCAGCAAATGGATGTACCCCCATAATTTACTCAACTATTTTTTACTGTTGGGGAAAAAATTACAAGTAGCTTAAATGTCCAACATTTTAATTTATGTTGCAGGAGAGGCTCCCATTCTGCACACCAGGATAATTTTTAAACAGTTTAAAACCAAACTTCCATCTCCCTCCAGACCTGTTGTTGAATTCCCAAAGTTTGTGGTTTTTTTAAAATAGCTGAATTAATATCGTAGACTTTTATTTTAGATTTACCTTTCATTTTCACTTTTTTTCATTTATTGTTATTATTATTTATTTATTTATTTTAGACAGAGACTCGCTTAGTCACCCAGGCTGGAGTGCAGTGCTCTGCCTCCCGGGTTCAAGTGATTCTTCTGCCTCAGCCTCCCAAGTAGCTAGGACTATAGGCATGCACCACCAGGTCTGGCTAATTTTTGTATTTTTAGTAGAGATGGGGTTTCACCATGTTGGCCAGACTGGTCTCAAACTCCTGACCTCAGGTGATCCACCCACCTTGGCCTCCCAAAGTGCTGAGATTACAGGCGTGAGCCAATGCACCCAGCCATTAATTTTTTATTTTTAATTATTGTGGATACATACTAGTTGTACATATTTATGGGGTACATGTGATTACATGTATAATGTCCATGTGGCATACAATGTATAATGATCAAATCAGGGTAATTAAGCTTTCCATCACCTCAAGCATTTATCATTTCTTTGTGTTGGGAATATTTTTAGTTATTCCATTTTTTTAAGGTATTTGGAACTATATAATAAATTATTATTAACTGTAGTCACCCTGTTGTGCTACCAAACACTAGCTCTTTTTAATTTTTTAAAAAATATTTTTTGGGATTTGCCAGGAAGATGTTACTAAAAAGCATTCCAGATCCAGACCCCAAGAGAGGGGTCTTGGATCTCATGCAAGAAAGAATTTTGGGCAAGTCCATAGAGTAAAGTGAAAGTATGTTTATTAAGAAAGTAAAGGAATAAAGAATGGCTACTCCATAGGCAGAGCAGCAAACACTAGCTCTTATTCCTTCTATTTAACTAATTTTTGTAACCATTAACTATCCCCTCTTTTCCCCCCGCTCTCTGCTACCCTTCCCAGCCTCTGGTAACCATCATTCTACTTTTATTATTATTATTATTTGAGATAGAGTCTCACTCTGTTGCCTAGACTGGAGTGCAGTGGTACAGTCATAGCTCATTGCAATCTTGACCTCCTGGGTTTAAGAGATCCCCCTACCTTGGCTTCTCAAAGTTCTGGGATTACAAGTGTGAGCCACTGCACCCAGCCAGCCATTATTCTGCTCTCTGTCTCTCAGTTTAGAATTGTTTTTAGCTCCTACGTATAATATCATAGACTTTCCCCTAATTTATCAGAGATTGTAATAGTGAAAAATTATAAGCAACCAAAGTATCCATCAATAATGGATAAATGAATTGCAGTGTACTTATATGATAGCCTGCTATCTAGTAGTTAACCAGAGATGAACTATATTTACATATATCTGATTTAGGATTTTTCAACCTCAGTGCTACTGACATTTTGGATCTGATAATTTATTGTGAGGGACTGGCTTGCACTTCATAGGACATTTAACAGCATCCCTGGCCTCTATCCAGTAAATATCAATAGCACTTCTCCCTCATCCCCCAATCATGACAACCAAAAATGTCTCCAGACATTGCCAGAGGTACCTGGGCGGCAAAATCGTCCCTGGTTGGGAACCACTGATCTAAATGGGAACCACTGATCTAAATGAATAGATTTCAAAAACATAATGCAGTGAAAAAAAAAAAAAAAGCAAGTTATAAATACGTACAGTAATGGGTACCAAAAAAAAAAAAAAATAGAACGAATGAGTAAGACCTACTATTTGATAGTACAACAGGGTGACTATAGTCAATGATAACTTAATTATACATTTAACATAGAGTGTAATTGGATTGTTTGTAACTCGAAGGATAAATGCTTGAGAGGATGGATACCCCATTCTCCATGATGTACTTATTTCACATTACATGCCTGTATCAAAACATCTCATATACCCTATAAATATATACACCTACTATGTACCCACAAAAATTAAAAATGAAAATGAAAAAGAATAAAATATATACCGTGTGGATGTTACACATATAAAAATTTTAAATATACAAAATACTATACAGGCTGGGCGCAGTGGCTCACACCTGTAATGCCAGCATTTTGGGAGGCCAAGGCGGGTGGATCACGAGGTCAGGAGTTCAAGACCAGCCTGGCCAATATGGGAAACCCTGTCTCTACTAAAAATTCAAAAATTAGCTGGGCGTGTTGGCACGCCCCTGTAATCCCAGCTGCTCGGGAGGCTGAGGCAGGAGAATCGCATGAACCCTGGAGGTGGAGGTTGCAGTGAGCCGACATCGCACCACTGCACTCCAGCCTAGGTGACAGAGCAAGACTCCGTCTCAAAACAAAACAATACATTATTTATAGATACATATATATTCATTTATTCAACAAATATTTATTGAATGCCTCCTATGTGCCAGGCCCTATTCCAGGTACTGGGGATATAATAAATGAACCCAAAGTGTCCTTGTCCTTATAGAGCTTACATGCTAATGTAGGAGAAAGACCGCAAGCCATTATGTAATATTAGGGGGTGGTAAGTGCTATGAAGAAAAAGCAGTGTGTGGGGTAGAGGGGTAGAGACTGCTCTTCTAGATAGATTAGTCAAGGAAGGCCTTTCTAAGGAAGTTTTCTTTGAAAAGAGACCTGAATGAAGTGAAGGAGTGAGACATTCAGTTATTTAGGGGAATAACATTCCAGCAAAAGGACAGACAGCAAATACAAGAAATAGAAACAGAAATATATATACATACAGAGAGAGAGAAAAGTGCCGAAGTATACTTGAGAAAGCAGTCACCTCTGGGGAGCAAGACAATGGATTGGGATGGGTGGCAGTGGTCATCAAAGGAAACATTAGCTTTCTCTACAATTTTTTTTTTTTTTTTTTTTTTTGAGATGGAGTCTCTCTCTGTCACCAGGCTGGAGTGTAGTGGCACGATCTCAGCTCACCGCAGCCTCCACCTCCCGGGTTCAAGCGATGCCCCTGCCTCAGCCTCCTGAGTAGCTGGGACTACAGGCGCGTGCCATCATACCTGGCTAATCTTTTCGTATTTTAGCACAGACAGGGTTTCACCATGTTGGCCAGGATGGTCTCGATCTCCTGACCTGTGATCTGCCCTCCTCAGCCTCCCAAAGTGCTGGGATTACATCTCTACAATATTTTTAAGGTACATGATAAACCTATACACTTTTTTGTCAATTAAAAATAAACAAATAGGCCGGGCACAGTGGCTCACACCTGTAATCCCAGCACTTTGGGAGACCGAGATGGGTGAATCACCTGAGGTCAGGAGTTTGAGACCAACCTGGCCAACATGGTGAAACCCCATCTCTACTACAAATACAAAAAATTAGCCGGATGAGGTGGTGGGCACCTGTAATCCCAGCTACTCAAATTAAAAATAAATAAATAGCCAGGCACAGTGGCTAATGCCTGTAATCCCAGCTACTTGCTGAGATAGGAAGATTGCTTGATCCCAAGAGTCAAGGCTGCAGTGAGCTGTGATCATGCCACGCACTCTAGCCTAGGCGACAGAGTGAGACCCTGTCTTAGAAAAAGAAAAAAAAGAAACTATGCACAGAGATACTTATGTGTTGAGTGAGTGACATAATGGTGACATGATTTGTTACATAAATTGATGGCACCCTGTCTGAACTATTAAGAATGGATCAAATCAAGTTGTATAAAGGACTTGCTTTAATTGGATAAACATTTGCATACCTTGCAAAATCACGTAGGTGATGGGGAACTGTCTCTACTCTGTATTATTAATATGTAAACGTTACTAGGAGAGAGAATAAACCAAATAATCATAACAAAAGGCAAAATAAAAATCATTCTGGAATATCAAATGCTAAAGAGAGTCATAGTGAGAAGGTAATAAACTTTCACTAAGGTTGAAGCAGAGATGTTAAAAAAAGAAAGATAATGGAAGGCTTCAGGGAGGAGGTATTTGAGTTAAGTCTTAAAGAATGAGGATTTTTTTTCTTTTTATGGAGTCTCTTTTTTTTTTGAGACGGAGTCTTGCTCTGTGCCCAGGTTGGAGGTGCAGTGGCGCGATCCTGGCTTACTGCAAGCTCCACCTCCTGGGTTCACGCCATTCATCTGCCTCAGCCTCCTGAGTACCTGGGACAACAGGTACCCACCACCACGCCCAGCTAATTTTTTTTTTTTTTTTTTTTTTTAGTAGAGACGGGGTTTCACTGTGTTAGCCAGGATGGTCTCGATCTCCTGACCTCGTGATCCGCCCGCCTTGGCCTCCCAAAGTGCTGGGATTACAGGCGTGAGCCACCGCACCCGGCCAACGGAGTCTCGCTCTTGTCGCCCAGCCTGGAGTGCAATGGCACAATCCTGGCTCACTGCAACCTCCGCCTCCTGGGTAATACAGACTTTGCAAAAGTTAAAGAACTTCCCTGGGTTCTGGTTTTCTCATCTGTAAAACAGGATTATTACCTTCTATAATAGTAACAAAAGGACTCAATAAGAAAATGTATTTAAAGTGTTAGCATAGCATTTAATACATGCTAGATAAATTTTAATTGATGCTTTCCTTCTGGATCTTCTTTTCCTCGTATATAAAATATATATTATATGTATATTTTTATGTATTTTTAGTACGTGTTTTATATGTATATGTACTATTAACATAATACAACTGTATGTACATATATATACATATATAGAGAGAGACCCTGTCTCTGCATGTATGTATAGAAAGAATTATACGAGATCAGTGGCTTCATAATGATGTTCCATGGAGCCTGCTTCAGAGCCAAAAAGGAAGGCCAATTGTGTAGATCTCTGAGCTTCTATCCTCCAATTTATTTATTTTTATTTTATTTTATTTTATTTATTTATTGAGATGGAGTCTTGCTCAGTCGCCCATGCTGGGGCAGCTCACTGCAACCTCCACCTCCCGGGTTCAAGCAATTCTCCTGCCTCAGCCTCCCGAGTAGCTGGGATTACAGGCACGTGCCACAATGCCCAGCTAATTTTTGTATTTTTAGTAGAGACGGGGTTTCACCATGTTGGCCAAGTGAACTCCTGACCTCAAGTGATCTCCCCGCCTTGGCCTCCCAAAGTGCTGGGATTACAGGCATGAGCCACTGTGCCTGGCCTATCCTCCACTTTAATGAAGGCCATTTTTCTTTGACCCCTTCTGTATTTTAGAGTTCCTGGTAAAAGTTTTGTTTGAGAAAAAGGGATCTGCAACCTAAAAATATGCTTAAAAACAAATTAGAAGGCTGGGTGCGGTGGCTCATGTCTGTAATCCCAGCACTTTGGGAGGCCAAGGCAGGGGGATTATGAGGTCAGGAGTTCGAGACCAACCTGGCCAATATGGTGAAACCCCATCTTTACTAAAAATACAAAAATTAGCTGGGTGTGGTGGCGCATGCCTGTAGTCTCAGCTACTTGGGAGGTTGAGGCAGGAGAATCTCTTCAACCTGGGAGGCGGAGGTTGTGGTGAGCCGAGGTCGCGCCACTGCACACCAGCCTGGGCGACAGAGTGAAACTCTGTTAAAAACAAACAAACAAATTAGAGCCAGGTGTTTTGGCATGTACTTGTAGTGCTGGCTACTTGGGAGGATGAAGTGGGAGGATCATTTGAACCCAGGAGTTCGAGTCCATTCTGGGCAACAATGAAACCCCATCTCTTAAAAAAAAAAAAAAAAAACACTCCCCAAATTAGACTAGCTAATCCCTTCCAACCTTAAAATACTATGTATTTATGATTACTATTCTATGTTCTCTTATGAAGAAATACTCATGTTTTTTATTTTTCATAGTTCTCTTGCTATGAGCCCTGGTGAAGAAATCTTAACCTTATTACAGACAATACCATTTGATATAGAAGACCTTAAGAAAGAAGCAGCTAATCTTCCCCCAGAGGATGGTAAGTGATGGACCAGGATACAGTGGAAGGGTTAAAAAAAAAAAATTAAAATGTTCTACTCAGTCTCACAGGATCCTCTCCTAAGAGGACTTATGTGAATGTAGAATGGCAGTATTATGCTTTCTTCTTTTTCAGATGACCAGTGGTTAGATCTCTCACCAGATCAGCTGGACCAGCTGCTGCAGGAAGCTGTTGGCAAAAAAGAATCCGAGTCTGTTTCCAAGGAGGAGAAGGAGCAGAACTATGACTTAACTGAAGTCTCAGAGAGCATGAAAGCTTTCATATCCAAAGTCTCAACCCACAAGGGAGCAGAGCTGCCTCGGTAATTTGTGTTAAAGTATAAATATATAAATAGCTAGAACCCAAATGTTGAAGTCATAGTCATTGCCATTTCCACTTTTTTTTTTTTTTTTTGAGTAAATGAGTTGTACTGCTTGCTTTCTTTTTTGTGCCTAGTATAGTGATAACTTACTTATTTGAAGTCAGATTTCTAGAAGCCTCATCCTTTGCAATCCTTGAAATAAGCCAGAAAGATCACCCTAAAAACCATCATCCAGAACCACACAGGGAAACCATATACTTTACTCTTTAGTAGCTTTATGGGCTCAACATTTAACTTTCAACAAGTTCAGACCTCTGATCTCCCACCCTGCAAGCAGATTGGATACTGAAAAAGGAATTCATCAGAGGCAGAAATAATAACAGAAATATGAAACTACATTTGGCAAATAACAGGAAAAACAGGTAGATAGAATTATTACTTGTAGGCTGGGCGCGGTGGCTCATGCCTGTAATCCCAGTACTTTGGGAGACCGAGGCAGGCAGATCACGAAGTCAGGAGTTCAAAACCAGCCTGGCCAGCATGGTGAAACCCTATCTCTACTAAAAATACAAAAATTAGCCGGGTATGGTGGCGCACGCCTATAATCCCAGCTACTTGAAAGGCTGAGGCAGGAGAATCGCTTGACCCCGGAAGGCAGAGGTTGCAGTGAGCTGGGATCGTGCCACTGCACCGCAGCCTGGGTGACAGAGCAAGACTCCGTCTCAAAAAAAAAACAAAACAAAAAAAACTGTTACTTGTGTATCAAATATATCATTATTAGTGTTGATGCTCTTGAACCTGATGAAAGATATAAATTTATATTTGGTATTCTCTCTTTAAGAAAGCAGGGATAAGGGAAGATATGTTCTTGTTTATTTTTTAAGCTTTAGTTCTTAAAAGAACAGGCTTTATTTAAATTAACTCAAATAAATAATGGTTTTGCTAATGCTAGATATCTTATTGGGGCTAGAGAGTGGGTAGGTCCCTAAATCAGCATAAGCTAAATGTACATAAACAAGATGCAATTTTTACTTTTCATTTATCAGACTTTCCCATTTCTGTTGTCCTGCAAGGCCAGTAAACTCAAGGATTTTTAAAACTTAAACTACAACTTTTCTTGCTGTGCCTCCTTAGAAATTCTATCTTTGGTAGCTTTCCTAAGAATGGCACCACTTTAGAAAAGTTTCAAAGAGTTGTATTTAGAATAAATTAATTGTCTTTGTCCTTTAATATTGCAGAGAACCTTCTGAGGCTCCAATCACTTTTGATGCAGATTCTTTTCTTAATTATTTTGATAAGATTTTAGGTAAGTAGTGGTGTGATGTTGACTTTCATTTTGAAACTGTTAGTAGTATGGCTGTTGCTAGAGCATTGGTTTATGAGATATCTCAGAAGCCAAAATGTTTGCTTTCTCTTCCTGGTTTGAGTTGCTTTCAACCATGAATTACTACCCATGAATAATTTTGTAGAGGCTGCCTAGCTTAGTGTTTGACATATATAGTAGCTGCTCATTAATTTTTTTTTTTTTTTTTTGAGACAGTGTCTCGCTCTGTTGCCCAGGCTGGAGTGCAGTGGCACGATCTCGGCTCACTGCAAGCTCCGCCTCCTGGGTTCATGCCATTCTTCTGCCTCAGCCTCCTGAGTAACTGGGACTACAGGCGCCTGCCACCACACCCAGCTAATTTTTTTGTATTTTTAGTAGAGACGGGGTTTCACCGTGTTAGCCAGGATGGTCTCGATCTCCTGACCTCATGATCCGCCCATCTCAGCCTACCAAAGTGCTGGGATTACAGGCGTGAGCCACCGTGCCCGGCCTCATTAAATATTTGAGAGTGACTGAATGCTGTGTGTTTAAATAGGGTTTTACCTTGGCTCCCATATTATATTGTTCTTTTTTGGAATTACTGTACTTACAAATCAGTAATAAAAAGATAACTCAAAAAATAATTATAATATGTATATATGTACAGAACTGCAGAGAGAAAGATTGGGATACCCGGAAACTGCTAAAAGATGCTTACCTCTGGGGAGAGAGTGAGATTGGAGACAATACTTGTATGGCTTGAATGTTTACATCAAAATGTATTCATTTATTAGGTATTTTTAAAAATTTTTTAAGAAAAATATTTTAATTAATTGAATTCACTTTTTTTTAAGCTAAATCTTTTGATTCAGCTTGTACGCTTTTCCACAACATTAAATGCACACATATCTGCCAGCATTACCATTTGTAGAAGGGATTTTTGTGAAGTAGACTGACTGTGTGTATTAGTCTTTTTCTGTGGGTAACATTCTAATTATTTTGAGATGTGTAGTAACTAAATAATAATAATAATAATAATAATAATAATAATTACTAAGTGGCTCTTTCTTTCTTGGGATCTGTGTAGGGCCAAGGCCTAATGAGTCAGATTCTGATGATCTGGATGATGAAGACTTTGAATGTTTAGATAGTGATGATGACTTGGACTTTGAAACACACGAACCTGGCGAAGAGGCTTCCCTGAAAGGAACACTTGATAATCTCAAGTCATACATGGCCCAGATGGACCAGGAACTAGCACACACCTGCATCAGCAAAAGTTTCACCACTAGGAACCAAGTGGTATGTGTGTTTTTAACCTCTTTCTCTTTCTGAGTCTAGTATGTCAGATAGCTAAAACCATATTTTATCATAGTTTTTCTTTTTTTGGTGTGTGAGATTTGAAATAAATAAGAATGTTAATTGTTTTCCTAACTCTGGTAGGATAAAGGATCATAGACTTAATTTTCCAAAACATAAGCTTCATTATATTACTTATTCTACGTTATCTATCAGGATTTAAAATAAAAAGTCATATAATATGCTCAAATTAGAATGCGATTGTACACTACTACTTCTTAAATACATTTTTTTTCAAAAGTAGTTTAAAAAAACTACAGCTTAAATGGATTTTAAAAAAGAGAGGGCACATGTTCTCAAGACCTTTTGAGACTATGCCTTGGGCCACAGTGGATTAAAACAAAATAACATAAGTAAATAAACAGGATCTTAAACATTCAAATAACTTTCCAGTTTTAACAGTTTATTTTGTATTTTTCCCTAATTTAGAGCCAAATTTAGGATTCACCTTCCGTTTATGTTTTCATCCTAGTTTTTAATGCCACCACTGTCTAATCCTAAACAGAGGTATTATGGAAAGAGCAAGAACCCTGGAGTCTTATGGGTTAGGGTTTGAAGTCTAGCTCAGCTGTCCACTGTGAATGTATCTATAAACCAGTAATCCTCATATCATAAAATTAACATGAGAACCAAATTAGACAGCAGTAAAACCTACAATAGGCCTTTAATTAATGTTAATTCTCCTTGCTTTGATCATCTAAACCACTTTTAAAACTATAGTCACTTCCAGAATTGTCAAAATCTAGTAGAAACCATACATTAGATTTATCTAAAGCAGTATTTCTTAAATTTTAATGCGAATATAAACCAAAAGATCATGTTACAACATAGATTCTGATTAAGTAGGCCTGGGATGAAGCTTGAGATTTTCCTTTTTTTTATTATTATTTTGTTTTATTTTATTATTATTATTATTATTTTATTTGAGATGGAAGTCTCCCTCTGTCACCCAGGCTGGAGTACAGTGGCACGATCTTGGCTCACTGCACCCTCTGCCTCCTGGGTTTAAGCAATTCTCCTGCCTCAGCCTCCCAAGTAGCTGGGACTACAGGTGCGCACCACCGTGCCTGGCTAATTTTTGTATATTTAGTAGAGACAGGGTTTCACCATGTTGGCCAGGCTAGTCTCTGGAGCTCCTGACCTCAAGTGATCCACCCACCTCAGCCTCCCAAAGTGCTGGGATTACAGGCATGAGCGACCACTCCCAGCTGAGTTTTTCCATTTCTAATAAGCCCCAAGCGATGGAGACTCTGCTGCTCCATGGACAATGCTTTGGGTAGCAAGGACATAAAAGTCTATCGAGCTGTAATCTTTCAAATCCTTTCCCCAGCTTGTGGAATCAGAGGCCCAACTAACAATTTAGAATCTTTGTGGTTGGAACCACAAAGCCTTGTGTTTTTACTTTTAAGCTTTTTCACTGGGGGGAAAGAAAGGAACACTCGCTTCTTTCATTTTGAAGAAAATTTACATTATTATTTCATTTAATATTCACTTTTATGTTTGTTTCTTTTAAGACTCTTAGACAAGTTATAAATGTACCTTCTTAATTCTATTAGCCCTTGAGCTATTTCAAAATAGACATGCAATTTATTCGATTTGCAGGAATCTTTCCTGGAGAGAAATGTGTTATAACCTTTAGAACCAAGTTTTATTATGTGTGCTAGGCCATATAACTTGTAGACTTCATTTTCAGTTTATATCACCAAGGATAAGAAGTTTCCTTTTTAATTTGGAATGCAAATTTACATTGTGGCTTAGTTATCTTTTTATTGTAACCACCATGCAACCTAATGATACATTAGCCCATAATTTTCTTTTCCCTCTATGAATAAGGAACCTGTATCCCAGACTACCGATAACAATTCAGATGAGGAAGATTCTGGTACGGGAGAATCTGTTATGGCACCAGTAGATGTAGACCTGAACCTGGTTTCAAATATATTGGAATCCTATAGCTCCCAAGCTGGACTGGCAGGACCTGCTTCCAATCTTTTACAAAGCATGGGAGTGCAGCTGCCTGACAACACCGATCACAGACCAACAAGTAAGCCAACAAAAAATTAACCAGCACATTTAGCTTCTCTTTTTTCTTTTTAAATAAATATTGAATATGATTCTGTTCATTTCTAGTTTAGATTACTCATTTAGTAAAAATGTTTCTTCATTACAAGTTTTACAGATTGACTTCTCCATGAGCCCCAAATGTGGCCCTCTTGGCACAAGTCTTTGTGATCTCAGCTGTGGGTTATACACAGGTTTTGAACTCGGCAGGGTAGAATCTAGCCCCTAGACAACCTTGAGATGAAATTCACACACTTCATGCTAAAGACATACCCTACCACAATATACCCTTGGAGTAATTCTAAATATTTAAATTTCTCCCTTACTGCTATTCATCCTCAGATCAAAATTTCAAGTTGACAAATTTGGATTTGAAAACTCATTCACTTTTTCAATTTTTTTAATGAGGCATAACATGCATATGGTTAAGTGCACAAATCTTAAGTGTACAGTCAGTGAATTTTTGCATGTATGTATGTACCTGAAGCAAGATATAGAACTTATTTACTTGTAAATAACAGCTATATTGATATGTCACATACCAAAAAATTTACCCTTTAAATTATACAATTCAGTGGTTTTTAGTATATTTACAAAATTGTGCAACCATCCCTACCATCTAATTCTAGAATATTAGAAACCCCATACTCACTAATAGTCTCTCATTCCCTTCTACTCCCAGCCCCTAGAAACCACTAGTCTACTTTCTGTCTCTATGGATTTGCCTATTTTGGATATTTCATACCTGATACTGTACTTAATTGTTTTAATTAATTAATTGGTTTGATATTTAATATAACTGATATATCTTTTGCTAAGATGAAATGTTTATTTCTTAAAATGATGCTCATATTCCTCCTAAAATAAATCAAGTATTATCTATATATCATAAAATTCACCATTAAAAGCAAAAAAAAAGTCTTCTTTACAGACAGCTCCATATACTGACCATGTTTTTATAATCTAGGTCTCTGGATTCTTCTTTATTATTGTATGCAGCAGAGAGATGCCTTTACTATATCTTACCCTATCCAAGTAAAAACAATGGAAATAGTTTCATACTGTTCCCTCTCCAGTGACCAAGGGAGGAATTAGGAGAATGGTGTAGTAGAGTTCTCATCTGAGAACTTACTATCACGAACTAATAAAAACTGAATATGGCCGGGCATGGTGGTGGGCGCCTATAATCCCAGCTACTTGGGAGGCTGAGGCAGGAGAATAGCTTGAACCCGGGAGCCGGAGGTTGCAGTGAGCCAAGATTGCGCCATTGCGCTCCAGCCTGAGCGACAAGAGCGAAACTCCGTCTCAAAAATAAATAAATAAAAACTAAATATACCATATCCCACTCCAATCCTTTGTCTTCCTAGTGTTCACTGAAATGAACTAAGGAAGAGGATAAGTGTTACACATTGACTAAAGTAACACATCAGATGATATTGTGCAACATTTTAACATTTTAAATAATAATTATTTTAAATATATTTTTATTGTTTGTTTTGAAGCTACATTTCTCATGTTAAAAATGGGGCCAGAATGCCGTCCCAGCTCAACTGTGAGAAAAAGGTTTCCCCCCATCGCACTTGTGGTACATTAGGTTTATCTTCATTGAGGATTAAATATTGGGTAGAGAAAGGGTGATAGGCAAAAATATAAATGAAATTTTTTTTTATTCTGGTTGCCACGGCTGACTGACTTTCAGCCAGGCTCACAAGATTTTACCTGTTTTTCTATTCTGCATCATGGACCCAGATGGGTTCTATTTATCCTTAGCACCTTCATAATTTATTGCCCATGTATATATTCTCAGGTCAGGTAGGTCCTGTACCAAAGTTTCTTTTATTTATCTGCCATTTTCAGTATTCCAGGCCTGCTCTCTTCTGCCTCAGCTTTCAGATATCCTTGGGGTTCTACAGCAAAGCTCTTTTCCCACTCACTACTGAGAAGCAAAGTTCAATGTTGCAGCTCCTGCTGTTAGCCACTCTCATCTTTTCTTTTCCAAAAACACATTAATCAAAAAACAAACAGTTACTCCATGGTAAGTTTGGGAAACTCATAACCAGGAATTCCGCACACTCCCCTTTCTATCAGTATTTTCAGATTGGGGATGTGTACACATGCGCTCACAAACACACCCACATAGAGATAGAAAAGATTGGGAGATGGTAATACACATGGACCCTGAACTGTTTTCTTCTAACTGCAAGATATGAAGAAATCTCAGGACCTCTCTTTTGTGAGTGCTTTTCCCTTCTGCATGCTGGGTTCAGCCCAGGTAAAGGCAAGCTGCCAATCTAACAAGACAATCAAGTCCCATCACATATTATCCCTCAACATTTCCTGATGAAGGCACTTTGATTTCCCCAAAGCAATGATGGTTTGCTGGCAGTGGAGAGAGCAATGACCTTTTGAGATCAAAAGGAAATTCAGTGCTTTAACTTTTCTAGTTTTAGAATCTCTTTAGTGCTATGGGACTTTGGGACTTAGTCCTATGGGACTTTGACATGTAAATAACCTTAGGGTCTCTGGAGCTTTTGTCTTTAATCACAAATAAGTCCCTAGAATCTTCTGAAGATATGATTATTTCCTCTTTTCAGCAAGACCTCTAACATTCCTCCTGCACATTGCTTCAGTTGTTACACTGACTTGAAACCTGGACTTAAATGTTTAATTGTCACCAATAGGGATCCTTTCCCCTACCCCCAAATTCTCACCTTGTAAAATTTTCTCAATTCACAGGACAGAAAAAGACATCAGAACAAAGGTGTGGAAATTTCTTTTATTTTCCCCAAATAAACTCTTCTCCCTTATGGCATCATATATGAATGATGAGAAATCCTAAATTTAGTTTATTCCATAAAGTTTAAGAAATAGGTCAGGTTTGGCATCTGTTTATCTCCACCAATCCCTTTGTTAATCAACACGTTGTGGATGTGCAAATGCCAGCAACTGTTTTATTTAGGAAAACAGGCATGGCAAAGCAATAGTCTTTTCCCTGGGTCACAAACTGAGCATGTGACAGAGCTGAAAACAGCGAAAAAGATTTACTGTCTGGAGTCCCATTGGGATTCTACTTCCTCAACAGAGCCTCAGGGCATCTGATTTATTATAAAGTACTCTGAGTCATAATGACTTAATTGTGACTTTTATTTAACTAGCATGTTCATGTAACTAGAATGCACCTGTACATGAATTTTAAAATGTCATACTGTGCTATTTTTCTTAATTCTGTAAGGGTAACAAGTAACTCAGTAATGACTTAAAACTTGCTATATATTTTCAATACTAAGATAAAAGTTTTAACCAAACTTACAACAGGCACATTTTGGCAGTTAGTGTAAACACAACATTAACAAGCCATATGCCAGAAGATGTTTGCTTCCAAGGCCTTAGAGAAAATGACTGAACAAGGGCCTACATCCAAACTAATGCTTCCCCCTTCCCCCTGATTTTTGACAGTTGACAGCTCATCAGTTTTCTTCTCACACTGGCTTTTTTGATTGCCCATTGGTAGGAATTTCTTCCATTAACACTGCTGATAGAAGTGTCTTACTGTAGGCTCACCCTTTGCTCTGCCCTTCTGAGGTCCTTCTGCAGCTTATCTTTTGTCACTTCTCCTTTGTCAACTGATCTCTAGTTTGTCCCTCAGGAATACCAAGGAGCGATCTAAGTGACTTGATCCGGGCTAAGCAGGCAGGGAAGAACAGGTCTGTTTTTCCACCCACTCCTTAATCAGTTGGTGGGAGATGGCTAACTTAGGGGGCAGCCAGAATGGGAAAGTCCCATTCTGTTGCTGAGTATAGGGGCCCTTTCTCTTCAGGGCTGTGGCTACCTCATCATGACTGAACCAGGCAGCTGTCTCTAATTCTCTCAAGTTCACCTGGATCTGAAAGACATAAGGAAGAAAAGGATGTAAGGTCAGGAGCTACAAAATTTAGAATACTATGGCCAAAGGTCAGAAAATGATTCTAGAACTAAGCAATCTTAGAAGATAATACCTGGGATCTTCAGGTTAGGTGAAAGTCAGTTCTAGATACTGCCCAGAAGCAAAAGAGGCATAATTAAGAAATGAGAGTTTTATATGTGTGTGTGTGTGTGTGTATATATATATATATTTTTTTTTTTTTAGACGGAGTCTCTCTCTGTTGCCCAGGCTGGAGTGCAGTGGCGCTATCTTGGCTCAATGCAAGCTCCACCTCCCAGGTTCACGCCATTCTCCTGCCTCAGCCTCCTGAGTAGCTGGGACTACAGGCGCCCGCCACCATGCCCGGCTAATTTTTTGTATTTTTTAGTAGAGACAGGGTTTCACCGTGTCAGCCAGGATGGTCTCGATCTCCTGATCTTGTGATCCACCCGCCTTGGCCCCCCAAAGTGCTGGGATTACAGGTGTGAGCCACTGTGCCCGGCCGAGTTAAATATATTTCTAACATAGTAAAAAAAAAAAGATAAGATACATTAAATAAATCCTGGAAGTACAAATACTAAAATGTTAAGAGTGGTTAACATTGAGAATAAATTATGAATAATACCTATTTTTCCTTGTGTCTCTATTGATTGTATAAATTTTTCAATTAAAAAAGAACATACAAATATTACTTTTTTTTTTTTTGAGATGGAGTTTTGCTCTTTTTACCCAGGCTAGAGGGCAATGGTGTGATCTTGGCTCACTGCAACCTCCCCTCCCAGGTTCAAATGATTCTCCTGCCTCAGCCTCCCGAGTAGCTGGGATTACAGGCACCCGCCACCACACCTGGCTAATTTCTTTGTATTTTTAGTAGAGACGGGGTTTCACCATGTTGGACAGGATGTTTTTGAACTCCTGACCTCAGGTGATCCACCTGCCTCGGCCTCCCAAAGTGTTGAGATTACAGGCGTGAGCCACTGTGCCCAGCCACTCTTTTTTTTTTTTTTTTAAAGGGTAAGGGTTAATGATAGTCAAAAGCATAGTCTCATCTTTGCAAGAAGCAAAGTAATGCAAACTTCATCCCAAGGAAGCTGAAATAGATTAGATATTCTATAAAAACCAAAACATACAATAGGCAAACTTTGGCAGGCAGAGACCATCAGTCAGTGATGCTAGAGAAGTGCAAGATGAGATTGGATAAAACAATGTCTAGCCGGGCATGGTGGCTCATGCCCATAATCCCAACACTTTGGGAGGCCAAGGTGGGAGGATCACCTGAGGTCAGGAGTTCGAGACCAGCCTGGCCAACATGGTGGAACCCCCATCTCTAATAAAAATACAAAAATTAGCCGGGCATGCTGGCAGGCACCTGTAATCCCAGCCACTCGGGAGGCTGAGGCAGGAGAATTGCTTGAACCTGGGAGGCGAAGGTTGCAGTGAGCTGAGATTGTGCCACTGCACTCCAGCCTGGGCGACAAGAATGAGACTCCATCTCAAAAAAAAAAAAAAAAAAAAAAGACAACGTCTTAAGTTTCTTTCAACTACAAGTACCTATAGTTTTATATTTTTAGTTCCCAGCATCCTGACTGACTTGAGCAATAAGACCAATCCTGCAGTCAGTCATTAAATGATGCCTGATTGTGCGCCTACTATATGTAAGACACTCTTAACTCCTGACAATAAAAGGTAAATTGTCTTATATAAACAGTGTTGGGAAAATTGGATATCCACATGCAAAAGAATGAAATCGGACCGTTATCTTACATCATATGCAAAAACCAACTTAAAATGGATTAAAGACTTAAATATAAAACCTGAAACAATAAAATTCTTAGGAGAAAACATAAAGGAATAAATTTCTAGACATTAGACTGGGCAGTGGTCTCTTAGATATGATACCAAAGCACAGGCAAGAAAAGCAAAGATAGACAAGTAGGGATTCTATCAAACTAAAGCTTCTGCAGAGTCAGGGAATCAATCAACAGAGTGAAGAGACAACCTGCAGAATGGGAGAAAATATTTGCAGACCCTCTATCTTATAAGGAGTTAATATCCAAAATATATAAGGAACTTCTACAACTTAATACCAAAAAATAAATAAGCCAATTTAAAAATGGGCAAAGAATCTGAATAGACATTTCTCCAAAGAAGGTATTCAAATGGCCAACAGGTATGTGAAAAGGTGCTCAACATCACTAATCATCAGGGAAATGCAAATGAAAACCTCATACCTTCTTTGATGGCTACTATTAACTCATACCTTCTTTAATGGCTACCATTAAAAAAGTACAACGGACAGCAAGTATTGGTAAGGATGTAGAGAAAAGGGAACCCATGTACACTGTTGTGGGGAATGTAAGTTGGTGCACCTACTATGGAAAAAAATATGGAGGTTCCTCAAAAAATTAAAAATAGAATTACCCTTTGATCTAGCATCCCACTTCTGGATTGAAATCTAGATCTTGAAGAGATATCTGCACTCCCATGTTCACTGCAGTATTCACAATGGATGAATGGATAAAGAAAATGTGGTATATACTATAATAGAATATTATTCAGCCTTAAAAAGGAAGGAAATCCTGCAGTTGCAACAAGATAGATAGGCCCAAAGGACATGCTAAGTGAAATAAGCCAGACACAGAAAGACAAATATTGCATGATCTCACTTATATGTGGAATCTAAAATAGTCAAACTTACAGAAGCAGAGAGTAGAATGGTGGTTGCCAGGGGCTGAAGGGAGGGGAAAATGGAAAAAGTTGCATGCCAGGGGCTGAAGGGAGGGTGGCCACTGGTCAAAGGGTACCAGGTTTCAGTCATGCAAAATAAGTTTTGAAGATCTGTACACCATAAGGTCTACAATTAATAATACTATATTATACACATAAAAATTTGCTAAGAGAATAGATCTCACATCAAGTGCTCTTACCACAAAATTAAAAAAAAAAAAAAGTGGGGTGGGAGAAAAATAAAAGGGGTGGGAGGAAACTTTTGTAAGTGATGAATAAGTTTATGGCATTGATAGTGATGACGGTTTGATAATTTCAAGGGTATATACTTCTCTGCTGAAGCAGGAGAATCACTTGAACCCAGGAGGCGGAGGTTGCAGTGAGCCGAGATCGCGCCACTGCACTCCAGGCTGGGCGACAGAGTAAGACTCCGTCTCAAAAAAAATAAAATAAAATAAATTGTCTCGTGATTGACATATATGCAAGGGAGAATGGAGATTATTTGCTTCCTTTACTAGGTTGCAAATTCCTTGAGGGCATAAATCATATTTAATTAAATTAATTAATTAATTTACTTTCAAGATGCATTCTCACCCTGTTGCCCAGGCTGGAGTGCAGTAGCGCGACCTCAGCTCACTGCAACCTCCACCTCCCAGGTTCAAGCGATTCTCCTGCCTCAGCCTCCCAAATAGCTGGGACTACAGGCACCTGCCACCATGCCGAGCCAATTTTTGTATTTTTAGTTGAAATGAGGTTTCACTATCTTGGCCAGGCTGGTCTTGAACTCCTGACCTCGTGATCCGCCCACCTCAGCCTCCCAAAGTGCTGGGATTACAGGCATGAGCCATCGCACCCGGCCTTAATTTTTGTATTTTTAGTAGAGATGGAGTTTTGCCATGTTGGCCAGGCTGGTCTTGAACTCCTGACCTCAAGTGATCCGCCCACATCAGCCTCCCAAAGTGTTGGGATTACAGGCATGAGCCACCGTGCTCAGCCCTAAATCATATTTTACACATGTTTATGTAATCTAGATGATGCTGGACTAGACAAGTGCTTAATAAGTACTTGCTGATGAGCAGGTTGGATGAAGCAAAAGAAATATCACAGTATAAGGGAAGATGAGAACTTACTTCTGTCTGCCCTGGTTTCACAGTTGCATGGCAAGCAATCATGAGTGAGCCACTAGGGAAGGGCCAATGCTGGGATGCATAGTACTGCAGGCTTTCCACCTCCAATCCCACCTCTTCTGCAACTTCTCGGCGGATGGTCTCTTCCACACTTTCACCTACAAGCACTCAGATTAATTCAGGACAGCCCTGTAGGCTAGAAGGGTGATACAGACAGCCCATTTGAGAAAGGTGCACAACACTGGCTCCAAAGTTTCAATGAAATGCTCTTGGGAGTGTCCTAAAACTCTGAGTCATTCCAACAATAAGAATCAGGTCCAGAGCTGTGTGTTGAACCACAGTGCTTAAGTCTGCTAGGTCTAAAGTAAGTGTGACAGTAGGAGGGACTACTGCACTCAGCTTTCATAAAATTCCACTTTTCACCATTTGCAAATTTGACCCCAATAGACTAGAGAAAAAAACCAACCTGTAAATAAATACTGAATTCTAGCAAATGTTACGCATGCTGAAATAGGAAGAAGTGTACTAATATCTTCAATCTATGCATCAAAAAATAAGATAGATTAATGGATAGATGGACAGCTTTGTGATAAAGTAAGTGTAGTAAAAATTCATGGAATCTAGGGGTGTGCTCAGAGCAGGGGGCCTAAAGAATGGCTCCTCTGTTTATAACACACCCAACAGGAATCTGGGGTCAATGTGATGAGAGGCACAAAGCTTGTGGCCTCCCTACAAACAAATGCCTACATGTGAAGAGGAAAAAAAATTATAGAATCTGGGTAGTGGGTGTATGGGTGTTCACTGTATAATTCTTTCAACAATCTCCTATGTTTGAAAATTTGCTTAAAAAAATAGTGTGGCTCACACCTGTAATCCCAACACTTTGGGAGGTCAAGGCAGGTAGGTCACTTGAAGCCAGGAGTTCAGGACTGGCCTAGGCAACACGGCGAGACCCTGTCTCTACAAAAAATTTTAAAAATTAGCCGGGCATGGTAGCCTGTGCCTGTAGTCCTAGCTATTCAGGAGGCTGAGGTGGGAGGATTGCTTGAACCCAGAAGGTTGAGGCTGTAATGAGCCATGATTGCACCACTGCACTCCAGCCTGAGCAACAGGGTGAGACTCCCATCTCAAAAAAAAGGAAAGGAAAAAATTTTATATATATATATATATATATATATAAAATGCCAGAAAGCAGTTTTCTTGACATGATAGAAAAGAATGTGCTTGGGAATTCAAGCTCTATAGCAACAAGACAGAGAAGATTGTATTAGTAAGATTGTATATCTTCCAGTGTCACCTGTATATCCCCTAAACTCCTCACCTATATCACAAAAACCTGCCAAGGCAGAATACATTCCCTTGGGAAAGGAGCTTTGGCGGGCAAGCAGGCATCGGGTCCCATCTGACACCAGCGTGATCGCCACAGGAGCCATCTAGGAAAGGGGAATGGAAACTGAGATGCTGGCACTTTGGGCCCTGCCAATGAGCTAAAGCAGTGTATAATTAAGGAATTGCACAGGCTTCCTTCCCCAGGACAAAGCAGCGCACAGTCTTCTTGGATTACTGTCCTCTTACAGCAATAATTACCTGTGGATAATAGATTATATTATTGGAAGGGCACACACGCTTGCTGCCAGCCACGTTCTTCTTGGTGGGCTGCCCACTTCTGCTGCAGAACTGATGAGCATCATGCCAGCGGAGAAGAGCTTGAGCCTAGGAACACAATGATGGGCCTGGTGTCATTTGGAGAGAATGCGGGGCTCATCTTTAACAGCACTGGGCCTAGTGTCTGGAACAACTCACAGAAAAATGCCAATCTCTTTACAGCTCACGTAATTTAAATGGTTACTGTTTAAATTTCAGGACAAGTAAACTAACTGAACATATTCCTCTAGCATCAGAAATCTGAATAAAAGAAAGCATATTTTTAAATGTATTATTATTTAAAACATATGAAGTATATGAGGTAATAAAATGAACACCCATGTATTCACTAACCAGCTTAAAAATAAAACATTCCCAGTACAGTTGAACACCCCAAAATGTTCTTCTCCCTGGTAAAGTTGGAATTTTTTGCAACTAAAAAAATGTTTAGAGGTTTCTTTTTAAATTAAATGCACAATCAAAATACTTTAGCAAGTGAAATCTAAAGCTGTGAGGGCAAGTCATTAAAGCAATGTAAAGTAATTTCTCTTAGGGAAAACATGATACTGTATATGTCATGCTATGTGGGTCATTAAAAATGTTTATGAGGCTGACAGATCCTATTGCCATAGATCTGCATGTCTTTAGGAGACAATGATCTTGACAGTGGTTCTGCCAAAAACAAGGGCAGAAGAAGGAAGAATAAGCAATCTCCCTACAGCACATTGTCCTGCCAGTGTTTGTAGAAAGGACTATAATCTGCAAAAGAAGAAATCAAACGTCACTCTAGCCTTGTGTGTACACATGGATTTGCCCACACTTACTGCTCTACTAAATTTCCTACAGAATGAGAAATCAGAATCTACCGTGGACAGCAAGGAGGCATCCCTTGCATTGAGTTGAAAGAGTGCCTTTCTCAGCTCAATGAAAGACCCCTTGAGCTCTGTCTCCATTTCAGGTTTGTGTAAGGAGGCTAGAAAATTAGAAAAGATAATGAAATTAAACAATGACAAACTTTGCCTCAGGGCCTCTCTCCAGTCTATCCTGTTAAAATAGTGTTTCCCAAACTTGCCTCGTAAGATTCAGCTAGGTGTGGGGGGCGTGTGCCTGTAGTCCCAGCTACTCAGGAGACTGAGGCAGGAGGATGGCTTGAGGCCATTAGGAGTTCCAGGCTACATACAGTGCGCTATGATCTTACCTGTGAATAGCCACTGCACTCCAGTGAGACCCCATCTCTAAAATTTAAAAAAGGCCAGGTACGGCACTTTGGGAGGCCGAGGCGGGTGAATCACTTGAGGTCAGGAGTTCGAGACCAGCCTGGCCAACATGGTGAAACCCTGTCTGTATTAAAAACACAAAAATTAGCTGGGCTTGGTGGTGGGCGCCTGTAATCCCAGCTACTCAGGAGGCTGAGGCAGGAGAATCGCCTGAACCCAGGAGGCAGAGGTTGCAGTGAACCGATCGCACCATTGCACTCCAGCCTGGGTGACAGCAAAACTCCATCTCAAAATAAATAAATATATACATAAAATTTTTTTAAAAAGCAAGATTCTCAAGCCCCTACCTGGAGATTCTAAAGCAGCTGGCATGGAGTGAGGCCCAGCAATCTCTATTTTTGTTTTAACAAGCACCAGGTGATTCTTACATTCAGGCCAGTTTGGGAAACATTAGCACATAGTATTTCTCAAGATCTTCTTCGGGGCAAGAACATTTGCATTAGCTTATCCGTGGAAAAGAGATGAAGTGGGACCTCATGGCTCCTATGTGAACCTCATCCCAGCATCACTACATTTACACCTAGACCATTAAAGACAGAAGGAAAGCCTGACAGGAGCCATGAGCCAATAGCAAAGTGGTTCCCAATGGCAGGTCTGTGGACCCAGAGCTATATGGAAACATTTTTATTCACCTGTATTCAAAAAAGAAATTAGAATGATGTTATAAGTTTTTTAACATTTCTTATGAAATACTGAAATATACAAAATGTGACCGGGCTTGGTGGCTCATGCCTGTAATCCCAGCACTTTGGGAGGCTGAGGCAGGCGGATCACCTGAGGTCAGGAGTTCGAGACCAGCCTGACCAACATGGAGAAACCCCGTCTCTACTAAAAATACAAAACTAGCCGGGCATGGTGGCACGTGCCTGTAATCCCAGCTAATAGGGAGGCTGAGGCAGGAGAATCGCTTGAACCTGGGAGGCGAAGGTTGTGGCGAGCCGAGATCGCGCCATTGCACTCCAGCCTGGGCAACAAGAGTGAAACTCTGCCTCAAAAAAAAAAAAAAAAAGAAATATACAAAATGTATAGGCCAGGTGTGGTGGCTCATACCTATAATCTTAGCACTTTGGGAGGCCAAGGAGGGAGGATTGCTTGTGCCCAGGAGTTTGAGACCAGCCTGGGCAACATAAGGAGACCCCCATCTCTATTAAAAAAAAAAAAAAATTAAAAATTAGCTGGGCATGGTAGTACATGCCCATGGTCCCAGCTACTCAGGAGGCTGAGGTGGGAGGGTCACTTGAGCCCAGGAGGTCAAGGCTGCAGTGAGCTGTGATTGTACCACTGCACTCCAGCCTGGGTGACAGCAAGACATTGTCTCAATAAAATAAGATAAAATAAATAAATAAAATGTATAATGGTACAGAGACTAATACCATAAATATTCATGTACCCATCACCTAACTTAGAAGGCATTAAAATGTCCTTTATTGTCATTTAAATGATGATGATAGCAGATGACACTTTTTAATGTCCTTTTTTAAAAAATAGAAAGTTGATAACCTTTTGTATTCCCCAAATTTTCCTTTAAATTTTACCATTATGTGAAATCCCAAATTCTGAAGACCACTGGGAAGTACCCGTTAGGAATAATGTCATGTACCACTTATGGAAAAGGAGCTATCCAGACCTAGATCCAGAGCAAACCATGCTTCCTGCTGCTCAGAGCATCCAATCAGCACAGAATCTTCTATTCTTTGTGCATCCTGTCCAAATTTACCCAGGAGCCTTTCCAACTCTAAGAAACAGAAAGGGGAAGGGAGAAAAGCAAAACACAAGGGTTTCTATTAAATCACTACAGCCATATTAGACTCACAGAAAATCATCTACTTCAGCTTAAAGTGGGTATACTTGGCTTCCAACTGCAGCTAATTAGCTATGTAACCTTGGTCTAACCATTTAACCTCTCCAGGCCTGTTTTCTCATTAGCAGTCTGAGGACTTTAGACCAAAGAAGGAATTCTTGTATAACATTGTATTACTCTATGACTGTATCATGAAAGGAAAATATCCCCTAGTTAGTAAGATGCATGATAGTTAACTTATTAAGTCATTGAAAAAAAAATAAGTATCACACTTAAAATGGTACAGACCAAGGCTGGGGGGCAGGGAGGATCACTTGAGGCCAGGAGTTTGGGACCAGCCTGGGCAACACAGCAAAGACCCTGTCTCTACAAAAAATAAAATCAGCTGGGTGCAGTGAAGTGCACACCTGTAGTCCCAAAAACTTGGGAGGCAGAGATGGGAGGATCTCTTGAGCCAAGGAGTTCAAGGCTGCAGGTAAAGACCAATCCAGTTCTATAATTAACCTCCAGAATGTGCTACTTTTGTGGACGAGAGTAAAATACTCATCTGAGATGCCAATCTCTAAGAGATGAGTGATGTGTAGGGAGAAATCCTATACACTTGTTCATGAAGGACTCATATTTATTTGTTCATAATACAACATAACACACACAAAAACCGTAATACAACATAAACATTGCTAAATCTCTAAATAATGTTTAGTGCCTTCTGATGGAGTCCTCAGATTCTTCTGCAGTGCTAGAAACTACTTATCCAAGTACTCCAACTTCTGACCTATGGGAGAAATTCACTGGCAATACGGAAGTTAGTATATAGTGACTCATATAAAACTGAAAGTTCACATTTTGTTTTCTGTCTTTGAGACACCACAAGGCTCGACTAATTTTTTGTTCTTGGGTAGAGACGGGGTCTCACTATGTTGCCCAGGCTGGTTTTGAACTCCTGGGCTCAAGCAATCCACCCACCTCAGCCTCCCAAAGTGCTGGGATTACAGGCATGAGCCACCCAACCCAGCCAAAGTTTGCATTTTGAATGACAAACCCCAATGGCTTAGATATCTTTAGTTAAATATGCTAAAAGGGTTCTAAAAGCAAATTCATTTTAATTCACTTTTAATCTTGACCCTTCTAGTAAAAATGAAGTTATGATGGAACTTTTTTTTTTTTTTTTGAGATGGAGTCTCGCTCTGTCACCCACACTGGGGTGCAGTGCCGTGATCTCGGCTCACTGCAAGCTCCGCCTCCCGGGTTGACGCCATTCTCCTACCTCAGCCTCCCGAGTAGCTGGGACTACAGGCACCCGCCACCACGCCCGGCTAATTTTTTTGTATTTTTAGTAGAGACGGGTTTCACCGTGTTAGCCAGGTTGGTCTTGATCTCTTGACCTCGTGATCTGCCCTCCTCGGCCTCCCAAAGTGCTGGGATTACAGGCGTGAGCCACCGCGCCTGGCCATGATGGAACTCTGAATTAGCATAACTGTGTACCTCTGTGGAGGCTGGAATTCACTGCTCTAAGGCAAAGAATGGCAAACTTTTTCTGGAAAGAGATACTAAATATTTTAGGCTTTGTGAGTCATACAGTCTCTGTCACAACTCTGCATTGTAGTGCAAAAGTAGCCATAGACAATATGTCAATGAATGAGTACGTCTATGTTCCAATAAAAATTAATTTACAAAACAGGTAGCAGATACAATTTGGACAGCAGTTTTACCAACCCCTGGTTTAAGGCATTAGTGGTTCATTTCATCACCAAATAATATTTGACTGGACAACTAGAGTTCATACAATAAATTATTAGTTGGCAGAAGCAGTTATACAAGCATGAGACTCAAAAGCTTTCTGAAAAATCTAGACTCCAAAGTTCAAGGATCTTTCTTAGAATTCATTATGGGCTGAATTCTGCGTAGTGGCCACAGGCTGGTCAACGCCACTGGTCCACTCTGGACTTACCTAACAGGCTGTGCCGGGGGGCCAGGTATTGATGTGCTGAAGTCTGAAGCAGAGGAGCCAGACTATGAAAGAGGTAAAACGCTCCTGTTTGCTGGGCTTTTTTACATGCATCATCATCTTCCTTCAGTTCAAATAAATACCTGTATTTGGGAAATAATCAAACCATTACAAAACCACCCTTAGTTACCTGTATAGCATTCATCTTTGAGAATGCTGTCGCTGCATCCCTCTCTTACCATGGTTATTTCCCTTTATTTATTTACAACCTAATTTGCTCCAAAAAGGGTTTGAGGTGGCTATAGATAATCATTCATTCCCTCCTTTGTCTTACTGTGTACCTCACCCATACTTCTGTGGTTGCACTATTGGTTTATTTGTTCATTTGTCTGTCTCCTCTGAGAGACTATGATCTCCTTAAGGGGAAGGTATGCTTTACTCAGCTCTGTATCTCTGTAGTTAGCATATTGAATGGCTCGATTCAATAAATATTTATTGAATTGAACTTCAAGGGTAATAAATATTTACTGAATTGAACTTCAAGTTACTCTGCCAATATTACACTGTGAGGCAAGAATTTACATGCAGTGGAGTGAAAGGAAAACAAGTACAGTGATAAAACATCAACCACAAAATACCTAGAGATGGGAACAGACTTTTTCACAGCAGACAAAGAGTAAACACTGTATCTTCAGTGACCCTCATTCAATCTAGGGAAGATAAAGAACAAATTTTACCTTCAATGTACCCTTACTTCAGACATCTAGATCCCAAAGTAGATACCATTAACTCCTTATCTCTAGCAAAGGGAGCACCTGGCCGGGCGTGGTAGCTCACGCCTGTAATCCCAGCACTTTGGGAGGCTGAGGCAGGTGGATCACGAGGTCAGGAGTTCGAGACCAGCCTGGCCAATATGGTGAAACCCTGTCTCTACTAAAAATACAAAAATTAGCTGGGCATGGTGGCACGCACCTGTAGTCCCAGCTACTCAGGAGGCTGAGGCCGAAGAATCGCTTGAACCTGGGAGGCGAAGGTTGCAGTAAGCAGAGATCACGCCACTGCACTCCAGCCTGGATGACAGAGCGAGACTCCATCTCAAAAAAAAAGAAAACAAAGGGAGCATTGATGAAACCTATACTTAACCTATTTAATAAGGATAGTATTTTCATTTTCCTTCTTTTTTTGTTTTGAGACAGAGTCTCACTCTGTCACCCAGGCTGGAGTGCAGTGGCACGATCTCAGCTGACTGCAGCTTCTGCCTCCCAGGTTCAGGCAATTCTCGTGCCTCAGCCTCCCGAGTACCTGGGATTACAGGCATGCCCCACCATGCCCAGCTAATTTCTGTATTTTAGTAGAGACGGGGTTTCATCATGTTGGCCAGGCTGGTTTCGAACTCCTGACCTCAAGTGATCTGCCCTCGGCCTCCCAAAGTGCTGGGATTACAGGTGTGTGCCACCACACCCAGCCATAGTATTTTCAGTAGCCAAAATGAAAATGTGGAAAAAGGGAACATCCTCCTATTCTTGGTTTCTCAAAAACAGGCAATAGTAATGGGGTAAGTACCAGGCTTTTCCAGTACCTTCATTAAGGGTGGGCTGAGTCTCTCCCTTCAAATCCTTGTGATCAGCAGGGACAGAATGCAGACTCCCCTGGGGCCTTGGGATTAGCCATTTTTGCCTGTCAAAAGCCCTAAAACAGACGCTCAGGTAAAAACTGGCTTCTTTTGTCAAGTGGGAAAAATAGTTTGCAGATATTTCCTGTGGGATCTGAGAACTCATGTAATACCAGTAGGCAGAGTTTGCTCAACATGAAAATAAAAAGCAAAAAGACAAATGCACCCCAGTGCTATCTTTCAGAACCTACTCTTGACTGTGATAAAAGGGGTTACGATGAGCTCTTTATAAATAGAAGACAAAAGAAACCTGATCTTTTAAGAATTGTGATATTTTTAAACTTATGAGTCACTGTAGCCTCCTGGGGCAAAGACTCAATGCATGTCAAAGGAGAGACGTGTCACTCAGAAGTTACCAAATATAAACAATAGAACAAACACTGCTGCCTTCGTAAAAGAACAGAAAGAGTGGTACAACCTGTACTTGCCCTAATGACCCTAAAAAGCAAAACACCTACAAAAACACCCAGGTTAAGGTCTTAGACCCAGGGCCTCACTGGAACTGGAATTGAGATCCAAAAGTTCCTTACACTCCTCTGGATTGGGAACTCTTATTTTTAAAAATGTATTTTCCCTTTTCAGTTATAATAGCATAGAAATTGCTATGATTATCAAAGTTGAAAATATTTAGATTATTTTAAAACAAACTTTTTCCTTATTTTAACAGTAAAAAATAGTCAATCTTTAATAATCAGAATATACAATTGTCAATTTTTTGAAAAGAAAATCATCAAAATCCCACCACTCAGGGATAATCACTGTTTACACTTTGGAATTCTCTAAGCGATTACTATTATACATCAATACATATATAAGTATATTTAGAATCCATCAAACCTACTAATTTGTAGCCTTTTTTCTTAAACATATGTAAACATTTTCACATCATATTCTTTATTGATAGACTTTTATTCTTTTTTTTTTTTTTTTTGAGACTGAGTTTCACTCTTGTTTTCCAGGCTGGAGTGCAGTGGCACGATCTTGGCTCACTGTAACCTCTGCCTCCCGGGTCCAAGTGATTCTCTTGCCTCAGCCTCCCAAGTAGCTGGGATTACAGGTGCCCGCCACCACACCTGGCTAATTTTTGTATTTTTAATAGAGATGGGGTTTTGCCATGTTGGCCAGGCTGGTCTCGAACTCCTGACCTCAGGTGATCCACCCGTCTCAGCCTCCCAAAGTGCTGGGATTACAGGTGTGAGCTACCGTGCCTGACCTCATTATTTTTATTCATTCTTAAATAGATTTATTTAATCACTTTAACATACTTAAATTTTAGACTCTATTTAATAATTATGTTAATATTCTTGGCCAGGCGTGGTGGCGTACTCCTGTAATCCCAGCACTTTGGGAGGTCGAGGTGGGTGGATCACAAGGTCAAGAGATCCAGACCATCCTGGCCAACATGGTGAAACCCCATATCAACTAAAAATACAAAAATTAGCTGGGCGTGGTGGCGTGTGCCTTAGTCCCAGCTACTCAGGAGGCTGAGGCAGGAGAATCACTTGAACCCATGAGGTGGAGGTTGCAGTGAGCTGAGATCACACCACTGCAGTCCAGCCTGGCAACAGAGCAAGACTCCATCTCAAAAAAAAAAAAAAAAAAAAAAAAAAAATTCTTGTAGTCTGTTAAAGGAGTACACGCAATCTAAATGTCCAACAATATCTGAAACAAGTATCACAATTTTGTTGTTTGTTCACTCTTGTTCATGTAGGATTATATGCTTATGTGCTTCTAATTTTTTTTCTTTGAGACAGGGTCTCACTCTATCATGCAGGCTAGAGTGCAATGACACGATCTCGGCTTATTGCAACTTCCACCTCCCAGGTTCAAGCGACTCTCCCACCTCAGCCTCCTGAGTAGCTGTGACTACAGGTGCACGCCACCATTCCTGGCTAATTTTTGTATTTTTAGTAGAGACGGCTTCACCATGCCGGCCAAGCTGGTCTCGAACTCCTGACCTCGAGTGATCTGCCCGCCTTGGCTTCCCAAAGTGCTGGGATTACAGGCATGAGCCACTGCACCCAGCCTTTATATGCCTCTAAATTTTGGAGCTTGATAGGGCTTTATATATTGGAATCACTGGTTGTGAGTGTGTACTTCCTAAGGAGTTTTATATTTGTATTCACATGGTGCCCCAGGGGTATTTTCAGTCCAAGATTACTACTTAAATTCATTTCTTAGGCTGGGCATGGTGGCTCATGCCTATAATCCCAGCACTTTGGGAGGTAAAGGCAGGAGGATTGCTTGAGCCCAGGAGTTTGAGACCAGCCTGGGCAACATAGCAAGACCCTACCTTACAAACAATAAAAAAAAATTAGCCAGGCATGGTGGTGTACAAGTAGCTACGCATGTGATCCTAGCTACTTGGTGGGAGAATTGATTCAGCCTGGGAGGTTGAGGCTGCAGTGAGCTATGATCATAGCACTGCACTCCAGCCTGTGTGACAGAGCAAGATCCTGTCTCAAAAAGAAAAAAAAGAAAAAAAAATTATTTCTTAGGTTAAGGGTTCTAGAACCACACCACATAGATGGTATAAATTTAACCCCCAAAACTGTATGAAAGCAGGCTAGTGATTTCAAATTCACAGATTTCTAATTTCCCTAGGCTAAGACAAAAAAGTCTTTATCATCTTCATGTGCTATTGTAGATTTTGTTTTCCTACTCTACCTTTCACTGAAGTTTAGTTCTTGGGGGAAGGGGGTGGGGTTATCTACTTTATTTATAGGAAACTTCATGAAATATTATTCAATACAGTTTTTTTCATCTGAAGTGACAGGAATAGAACAATATAATTTTAACATGTTTATTATTCTATTATAGTACCTTAATTTACTTAATTTCTCCCTTACTGTTCATTCATTCAACAGTACTTTAGTGCCTACCATGTGCCAGGCACTGTTTTATGAAGTAGGGGTACCACAGTGGAAAGACAAAGTCTGATCTTAATAGAACTTATATTCAAGTGTGTGAGATATTTTAGATATTATTGGATATTTAGTTTGTTTAAAATTTTTCGGCCAGGTTTGGTGACTTACGCCTGTAATCCCAACACTTTGGGAGGTCAAGGCAGGTGGATTGCCAGAGCTCAGTTCAGACCAGCATGGACAACATGGCAAAACCCTGTCTCTACACAAAAATATAAAAATTAGCCAGGCATGGTGGCATATGCCTGTAGTCCCAGCTACTTGGGGGTTTGAGGTGGGAGGATCGCTTGACCCCAGGAGATCAAGGCTTCAGTGAGCCAAGATTGTACCACTGCACTTCAGCCTGAGTGACAGAGTGAGACTCCATCTCTAAAAAAGTAAAAATATATATTTTTTGATGTTTACTGGTTTATTATATAGGATATTACGAAGGATACAAATGAAGAGATGCATTTAGGTCAGGTATGTGGGGGGAGGGTGCAGAGCTTCCATGACTCCCTGGGTGCACCACCCTCCAGGAACTTCCATGTGTTCAGCTATCCAGAGGCTCTCTGAACCCTGTCCTTTTGGGTTTTTATGGTGGCTTCATTACATAGGCATGATTGACAACCATGTAGAAATCTGATTGGACAAAATGGTTATGATTTCATAATAATAGACTGACCGGAAACCCAGCAATGCCTGTCTGTTCAGGTTCTCCTTGGCCTCTCTGTGCAGCCTTCCTTCCTCCGGAGTATGGGGCACAACCCTCTCTGGAATGAGGGTCTTTGGACCCGCAATCAGATTAGAGTCCTGCCATGGGCAGGTAAAAGGAGGACAGGAGAAGGTAAAAGAGATTTTGTTTCCTGAGGCCTGCCCCTGAGGTCTAAAGTGCCCCACATTATAACAAAAGACTGTAATAAGGGCCATAGGAGTTATGAGCCAGAAACCATGGATGAATATATATATATATGAATATATATATATACACACACACACATATACACACACACAAATATAGTAATATATAATGTATATATAATAATCATAAACCTAAATATATATATAAAATCATAATATCACAATAGTTTAATGGGCCAAACAGAATAATCAAAGCTCAGGTTGGCTAAAACTCACCGTGTCTTAGTAACATAGGTTGACAGCAGCCTATAGCACCAAAAAAATTTTCTCCTGCAAGCTATTCCACAATACAGGGACATTGTCAGGTCCTTAAAAAAAAAAAAAAGGAGTTTTAAAAAAAGTCATAATATGAAATTTAAAGTAATGAATTGCCAAGAGGGTTATACTTTAAGCCAGAATGGGATCACTCTGTAATATTAAGGAAAGACAAACTCAATAGGAGTCAGGTGATCTTGTTTCTAAATTGCATTTCTACCCCTAAGTAGCTATGGGATCTCAACATTTCAGTACTTCTTTCATGATCTAGAAAACTGAAACCTGTTCTACCCACTTAGAGTAAGAATGAAGTAGAAGGAATCCTGTAGATAAGAATATATAAAGTCACAACATTAGGAAATTTTTTCAGAAGGCAGCTATGCAAATTCACATGGATCCAAGATATTTTCTATTTTTTTGTTGCTCATTGGGAAAGAAAAAAAATCTGTAACTAAATAATCCATTCTGGCCAAGATGGTCCCTTTAAATTGTATATCAGTATTTTATTCCCCATGAAAAGTACCTCTCACATTGGCAGTAAAAAAAGTCAAGAATTCATTACAGTTAAATAACCAACCACCCTTTTCACTGTGTCTGAGGAAAGCCAGCTTTGACACTAAATGACCGAGGAACATCTAAAATTTAGTCCTACTTCTTGGTTGCATAATTATGAATCACTGATGATGAATTCTTGGACAGTTTTGGCTACAATCTATGTCCTAGCCATGGGTAAAATATATTTAGCAAATGACATTCAACAAAGTATTTATTGAGTACTGACTTTATTCAGGGTCCCTTAAAGAACACAAAAATGTAAAAGATGAAAATCCCTGCCCTCAAGGAACTCTAGCAGGAGAGAGAAAACAAATATATAGCCAGCTTTCACAGAAGGCAGTATGCAATATGTGGGTTGCAAAGCACTCTAGGAGATTATTAAAAGTATTATTCCTACTTTAATAACCCCAAAACTAGTGTGATATACTATAAAAAATGTATTTAAAGTCATTATTTCTGGCTCATACACCACTCAGAATGTAAACTGGTATGATATTTTTACAGGTTGATTTGGAAATATCTATTAAAGTGTCAAATAATAAGCCTCTCTTTTTCCTCAGCAATTCCATGTTTAGGAATTTACCCTAGGAAGGAAAGGATATGTACAAGAACGTTAACTGAAAATTATGATAAAATGGATTAATACGCGACTTAAGAACAAATAGAAGGGCTGGGTGCGGTGGCTCACGCCTGTAATCCCAGCACTTTGGGAGGCCGAGGCGGGCGGATCACCCGAGGTCAGGAGTTCGAGACCAGCCTCACCAACATGGAGAAACCCCATCTCTACTAAAAATACAAAATTAGCTGGGCGTGGTGGCACACGCTTGTAATCCTGCCTACTTGGGAGGCTGAGGCAGGAGAATCGCTTGAACCTAGGAGGCAGAGGTTGCAGTGAGCAGAGATCGTGCCATTGCACTCCAGCCTGGGCAACAAGAGCAAAACGTCGTCTTAAAAAAAAGAAAAAGAACAAATAGAAAATAATATAACAGTGAAAAAAATATATATATATAGTAACAGGGAGAGAGACTTAGAACACATTATTAAGTAAACAAAAAAAGCAAGGAGGAATTGGAGGTGATACTAGTCAAAGTGTACAAAGTTTCAGTTAGGATGAATAAATTCTGGATATCTATTGTGTTGTATGGTAACTATAGTTCATAATATATTATATACTTGGAAATTACTAAGAAAGTAGATATTAAATATTCTCAACACACACAAAAAATGTGAGGTGATGAATATATTAATTTGCTAGATTTAATCATTTCACAATGTATACCTGTATCAAAACATCACATTGTAAACTATAAATATATACTTTTTTTGTCAAAAAGTATATATTATACTTTAATACCTTAATATTATACCTTAATAAAGCTGGAGAAAAAAACAGGTAACAGTTGGTTAACATGACCTAATTATTTATAAAAAAAAGGACACAGACATACCAATATACATAAATTATATGTATTTAATTATATTTTTCTTTCTATTTTTTTTTGAGACGGAGTTTCGCTCTTGTTGCCCGGGCTGGAGTGCAATGGCGCAATCTCGGCTCACCGCAACCTCCACCTCCCGGGTTCAAGCGATTCTCCTGCCTCAGCCTCTCGAGTAGTTGGGATTACAGGCATACGCCACCACGCCTAGCTAATTTTGTATTTTTTTTAGTAGAGATGGGGTTTCTCCATGTTGGTCAGGCTGGTCTCGAACTCCTGTTCTCAGGTGATCTGCCTGCCTGGGTCTCCCAAAGTGCTGGGATTACAGGCAAGAGCCACTGCCCCCGGCCTTATTTATATTTTTCAAATGACTAGAAGTATACATACCAAACTATTAAAGAGTGACTAATTTGGGGGAGTGGGATGAAGACAAATATTGAAAAAGGTGCCTGTAATTTTTATTTTGTTCATTTTTCTGTACTGAAAAAAAAATTAGCCATGTGTACTTATTCCTTTTAAGACAAAAGAAAAGCCTAATAAAATAGTAGTTCCTGAGACTAACTGGTTAATGAGGCTACCTCCATGCCACTGTTCCCCAAAACACCTCACCATATTCCATGAGCCAAAGGGAATTCATTTGGTGAGTTTCTTGGACCTTGGGAACTGCTGCCTGATGTTTTGCCTAGTTTCTGCTACTAAATTAACCTTAGCCAGTTGTAGATTATCATGGCTGCTGACTCATGAGCTGATGGTCACAGAGCTATTTATGTTTTTAAAAGTACAATGTTTGATAGAGATGAAAGGTAATAGCAGTCTTACCCAACTACTAAATGATGAGGCAAGGTGCTTTAACATTAAGAGTTTCTTTGAACTCCCCAACACAAATGATTCACACGTTTCTTATCCTGTTCATCTTTCCAGAAGAAAGATTATAAAGTACTACAGCGTGACAAAAAAGCCCATCTTGTAGTGAGCCGAGATCGCGCCACTGCACTCCAGCCTGGGCGACAGAGCGAGACTCCGTCTCAAAACAAAAAAACAAAACAAAACAAGACAAAACAAAAAAAGCCCATCTTGAATCTAGTGGTTACTTCCACCGTGAAGAGGCCAGGTTCCCTAGTATTTAAGAGACCTTTTTTTAGGCCGGGCGCGGTGGCTCACGTCTGTAATCCCAGCACTTTGGGAGGCCGAGGTGGGCGGATCACGAGGTCAGGAGATCGAGACCATCCTGGCTAACACGGTGAAACCCCGTCTCTGTTAAAAATACAAAAAAAAGTGGCTGGGCGTGGTGGCGGGCGCCTGTAGTCCCAGCTACTAGGGAGTATGAGGCAGGAGAATGGCATGAACCCAGGAGGCGGAGCTTGCAGTGAGTGGAGATCGTGTCACTGCACTCCAGCCTGGGCGACCAAGTGATACTTCGCCTGTGTTTAGAGTCCGTTTCTCCACGACTGTGGACCTCCATGGGACAGGGAAATATGGAAAACTGAGGAACCACGGGAATACAGCTTTGAAGGTCTCACTGACCTGCTTTATAGTTTGCTTTCTAAAAAATAATTTTCCCTCCTTTAAAAAAAAATAAAAATTAAGGCACAATGTGAGAGGTTGGCAAGTTCCATTTTTAAATGACTCTCCAAAAAAGTATCAGAAAATGATGAGCTGTGGTTACTGATGTAGCTCCACAGTTATGAGGCAAAACTATGGTTATATCCCTGGTTTCTGCAAAAAGGAAGAGATTAAGCTAAAATGTTAAAATGCTGTGACCACGACCTTTTTTCAAGTTCTGATCATGCCTCCCTGTGAAGTCCTTCCTGCACTTAGAAGCTGAGCAGGTTTCTGTTTCACTGTACTCACTCTGAATTCTTTTCGGGGCACCTTCCTAGTCCTCAGGAATCAGCACAAAAGAGGAAACTCCAAATGTTCACGTTCAACGGCTTCCGTTCCCTGGAGGGACCATTGCTGCTTCTGCCACACTTCCCAGAATCCTCCTAGAGATGCACTCTGGGAATTGTAGTTCAGTTCCCAGGCATGCTGCTGTGTTCTCCAGCTGCAAGTTAACCATGATTGTCAAAAGCATGAACATCTAAGATCTTATTACCAAGAGAACTACTGTATCCTTGGAGAAAGTAGGTTAGTATTAGATCCATTTTTTAATTAAAAAAAGATAAAGTCATTAAGTCCACCCTCATACACAGAAGGCATATATTATGAGGCTGGGGAGAGGATGAAGCAGGGGTGGGAATCAAATACCTTTTAACCTTAGTATATCTCTAGTTCTCTCTCTGCACACTTTAGAACTAGCTCTAAAATTTCATGAAGTTCTTCCAATTTAAAAGGATGGGACTCTGTATAGGTATGTATAGATATGTTTGAACTTATGGTAGGATTCATTTCTTGATCAGAGGAAGCGCATTCCATTTGACTGGAAGTAGTCTCCTAGAAGTGTGTCCGGAGTTGGTTCCTTCCAGTGGGTTCTTGGTCTTGCTGACTTCAAGAATGAAGCCGTGGAGCTTTCGGTGAGTGTTATAGCTCTTAAAGGTGGCACGAACCCAAAGAGTGAGCAGCAGCAAGATTTATTGTGAAGAGCGAGAGAACAAAGCTTCCACAGCGTGGAAGGGGACCCGAGTAGGTTGCCGCTGCTGTTGGGGGTGCCAGCTTTTATTCCCTTATTTGTCCCTGCCCACATCCTGCTGAATGGTCCATTTTACAGAGCACTGATTGGTCCATTTTATGGAGTGCTGATTGGTCCATTTGACAGAGTGCTGATTTGTGCATTTACAATCCTTTAGCTAGACACAGAGTGCTGATTGGTGCGTTTTTACAGAGTGCTGATTGGTGCGTTTACAATCCTTTAGCTAGACACAGTGCTGATTGGTGCATTTACAATCCTTTAGCTAGACACAGAGTGCTGATTGGTGTGTTTACAATCCTTTAGCTAGACACAGAGCACTGATTGGTGCATTTTTACAGAGTGCTGATTGGTGTGTTTACAATCCTTTAGCTGGAAACAGAGTGCTGATTGGTGCGTTTACAATCCTTTACCTAGACACAGAGCGCTGATTGGTGCATTTTTACAGAGTGCTGATTGGTGTGTTTACAATCCTTTAGCTGGACACAGAGTGCTGATTGGTGCATTTTTACAGTGTGCTGATTGGTGCATTTACAATTCTCTAACTAGACAGAAAAGTTCACCAAGTCCCCACTCCACCCAGGAAGTCCAGCTGGCTTCACCTCTCAGCAGAGCTACTTTGGTGCTGCTCTCTTCTCGTTTTACTACTGAAGTTACTTGCCTATGAGAGAAGACACTTTTTTTTTTTTTGAGATGGAGTTGCTCTGTCGCTCAGGTTGGAGAGCAGTGGTACGTACAATCTTGGCTTACTGAAACCTCCTCCTCCGGAGTCAAGTGATTCTCCTGCTTCAGCCTCCCGAGCAGCTGGGATAACAGGTGCACACCACCATGCCTGGCTAATTTTTGTATTTTTAGTAAAGCCAGGGTTTCGCCATGTTGACCAGGCTGTCTTAAACTTCTGACCTCAAGTGATCCACTCGCCTCAGCCTTCCAAAGTGCTGGGATTACAGGCGTGAGCCACCGCACCCAGCCAAGAGAAGAAGTCCACTCATTCAACATGTATTTAATGAGTACCCAATGTGCCTAGGACTGTTATAGGGATAGGATACAGCAGGGAACAAAACATGAAAATCTCTGTCCTCATGTAACTTACATTCTAGAAGGGGAAACAAACGAGTAAATATACAATGTGTCGTGGTTATAAAGCTTAAGAAGAAAAATAAAGCAAGATAAGTAGAGGGATTATTTTGCTATTTTATATAGGATGGTCAGCCTCATTGTTAAGATAATATTTAAACAAAGACCCTGAAGAAGGTGATGAAGAAACCAAATTTATATCTATGGAAAGAGATTTGTAGACAGAGCAAAATAAGCATATGCAAAGGCCCTGGGGTGGGAGTGTGCCGTTTGAGGAAAGGCTAGGAAAGAGCATGGTGATCAGAGATGAGATCAGAGTAGGCCGGGCATGGTGGCTCATGCCTGTAATCCCAGCACTTTGGGAGCCCGAGGTGGGCACATCATTTGAGGTCAGGAGTTTTAGACCAGCCTGGCCAACATGGTGAAACCCTACTAAAAATACAAAATTAAGCCAGGTCTGGTGTCACATACCTGTAGTCCCAGCTACTTGGGAGGCTAAGGCACAAGAATCGCTTGAACCCGAGAGGCAGAGGTTGCAGTGAGCTGAGATTGCGCCACTGCACTCCAGCCTGGGTGACAGAGCGAGACATTGTCTGAAAAAAAAAAAAAAAAAATCAGATTGGTTCATTATCCTTAAGGAAGACACAGAAAATTGTAGGGAAACAAGATATAAAGTCAATGGATTCTAAGGATGCTTAGGGGGAAATTGGGGCTCTAATAATTTAAAAAGTCAAAATAACTTTTTGTAGTAATTGTTAAGTGCTATAATAATAAAAATAGCTCAGACTGAGCATTTGCTGTGTTCCAGGCACTATGCTAAGTGTCCCACATATTTGTCATTAATCCTCACATCCTATGAAATCTGTATTAAAATTTGTACTTTAGGCTACGTGTGGTGGCACACGCCTGTAATCCCAGCACTTTGGGGACTGAGGTGGGAAGATTGCTTGAGTTCAGGAGTTCAAGAAACCAGCCTGAGCAACATGACAAAACACCATCTCTACAAAAAATACGAAAATTAGCTGGGCATGGTGGCATGCACCTGCGGTCCCAGCTACTCAGGAGGCTGAGATAGGAGGACTGCTTGAGCCCAGGAGTGAGCCGAGATCATGATGCTGCACTCCATCCAGCTTGGTGACAGAGACACCCTGTCTAAAAAAAAAAAAATTGCACGTTACAGATGAGAAAACATAGGCTTAGAAAAATTAAGTAGGGGAGGCGCGGTGGCTCACACCTGTAATCCCAGCACTTTGGGAGGCCAAGGCGGGTGGATCACAAGGTCAGGAGTTTGAGACCAGCCTGGCCAATATCGTGAAACCCCGTCTCTACTAAAAATACAAAAATGAGCCAAGTGTGGTGGCGTGCTCTTGTAGCCCCAGCTACTCGGGAGGCTGAGACAAGAGAATCGCTTGAACCCAGGAGGTGGAGGTTGCAGTGAGCCAAGATTGAGCGACTACATTCCAGCCTGGGCAACAGAGTGAAACTCCATCTCAAAAAAAAAAAAAAGAAAAGTAATTTGTCCATATTTACACAGCTAATCAGTAGAAGTGTTGGGATATTAAACTAAATCTGTCTTAAGAAAGAATCTGTACTTTTGACCACCATACTATAGACCTGGATTGTATCTCTGACTGGGTGTGAGGTAGAGAAGTTGAACATAAATATTGGAAAATATTGGAAGGATTGAAAGAATCCCATGTTCATAAATTGGAAGGCCTAATTTGGTTAAAATGGCATATTCCCCAAATTGATCTACAGATTCAATGCAATTTCTATTAAAATCTCATCTGGCTTTTTTTGCATAAGCAACAAAGGAAAAAATAAGACATCAAAATTTTAAGAACTTTTGTGCTACAAACAATATCATGAAGAATATAGAAAGATAACTCACAGAATTGGGAAAAATTATTGCAAGACATGTATCTGATAAGGGACTTCTATCTGGAATATATAAAGAACACTTAAATAACACAGTAATAAAAAGATAAACAACCAAATTTTAAAATGAGCAAAGAATCTGAATAGATACGTCTTCAAGGAAGATAGAAAAATGACCCATAAGCACATGAAAAGATTTGCATGGGAAATGCAAATCAAAATCATAATGAGATATCATTTTATACCCAATAGGATAGCTACAATCAAAATGCAGATAATGACAAGGAGTGGTGAGGATGTGGTGGAATTGGAATCCTCATACACAGCTGGTAAAATTGTAAATGGTGCTGCCGCTTTTGAAAACAGTTTGGTGGTTCCTCGTAAAGTTAAATATAGAGTTACCAAATGACCCAGCAATTTAACTCCTGGATTTATATTCCCAAGAGAATTGAAAACAAATGTCCACAAAAACTTGTAAATTAATTTTTGTGAAGCATTATTCACAATATTCAAAAAAAGTACAAACAACCCAAGTGACTATCAACTGATAAATGGAGAAGCAAAATGTGGCATATCCAACCATGCAATGACATATTTCTGGCAACAAAGAGGAATTATATATACTACAATATGGATAAAGCTTGAAAACATTATGCTAAGTGAAATAATCCAGTCACAAAAGAGTACATATTGTATTCCTACGAAATGTTCATAACAGGCAAATCTATAGAGACAGAAAGCAGATTAGTGGCTGCCTAGGAATGGGGGCAATTTATATGAAATATACCTAGGGTTGTGATTGCACTTATGTGAAATATTCAGAATAGGCAAATCTGTAAGACAAAAAGTGCCTAGGGATGGGGATGAGGATAGTGTTCAAAGATAATGAGGAGTAACTGCTCATGGAAACAGGATTTTGTTTTTTGTGGGATTTTTTTTTTTTTAAGACAGGATCTTGGCCGGGCGCGGTGGCTCACGACCGTAATCCTAGCACTTTGGGAGGTCGAGGCGGGTGGATCACGAGGTCAGGAGTTCAAGACCAGCCTGGCCAATATGGAGAAACCCTGTCTCTACTAAAAATACAAAAATTAGCTAGGTATGGTGGCGCGTGCCTGTAATCCCAGCTACTCCGGAGGCTGAGGAAGAATTGCTTGAACTGGGACCCGGGAAGCAGAGGTATCAGTGAGCCGAGATCGCGCCACTTGCACTCCATCCTGGGCGATAGAGGGAGACTCTGTCTCAAACAAACAAACAAAAAAAGACAAAGTCTCCCTCTGTCGCCCAGGCTGGAGTGCAATGGCGCAGTCACGGCTTACTGCAGCCTCAACCTCCCAGGCTCAAGTGATCCAGCCTCAGCCTCCCCAGGAGCTGGGAACACAGGCACCCGCCACCAAACCCGGCTAATTTTTTTTTTTTTTCTGAGACGGAGTCTCGCTCTGTCGCCCAGGCTGGAGAGCAGTGGCGCGATCTCAGCTCACTGCAAGCTCCGCCTCCCGGGTTCACGCCATTCTCCTGCCTCAGCCTCCCGAGTAGCGAGTAGCTGGGACTACAGGCGCCTGCCACCGCGCCCGGCTAATTTTTTGTATTTTTAGTATAGACGGTGTTTCACCATGTTAGCCAGGATAGTCTCGATCTCTTGACCTCGTGATCCACCCGCCTCGGCCTCCCAAAGTGCTGGGATTACAGGCGTGAGCCACCGCGCCCTGCCAATTTTTGTATTTTTAGTAGAGACAGGGTTTCGCCATGTTGCCCAGGCTGGTCTCAAACTCCTGCCCTCAAGTGATCCACCAGCCTCGGCCTCCCAAAGTGCTAGGATTACAGGCATGAGCCACCATGCCTGGCCAGATATCTCTTTGATGTACTGATTTGTTTTCTTTTGGGTTAATACCCAGCAGTAGGATTGCTGGATTATATTAAGATGATAGTCCTATTTTTAGTTTTTTGGGGAACCTTCATCCTGTTCTCCATAGTGGCTGTACTAATTTACATTCCTACCAACGGTGTATGAGAATTCTCCTTTCTCCATATCTTCGCCAGCATTCATTATTGACTGCATTTTGGATAAAAGCTATTTTAACTGGGGTGAGTTGATATCTCGTAGTTTTGATGTGCATTTCTCTGATGATAATGATGTTGAGCATATTTTTATATACCTGTTGGGGCAAGGTTTATTTTTTACTACACAGACATGAATACAGAAAGTGGAGAAGAATTGGATCTATTAATGCAACCAATCTGCCACAGTAGTTCCATTAAAAGTATTCCTCAAATTGGCCAGGCTCGGTAGCTCATGCCTATAATCCCAGCATTCTGGGAGGCCTAGGCAGGTGGATCATTTGAGGTCAGGAGTTTGAGAGCAGCCTGGCCAACATGGTGAAACTATCTCTACTAAAATTACAAGGAAAATCGCTTGAACCTGGGAGGCAGAGGTTGTAGTGAACCAAGATGGTGCCACTGCACTCCAGCCTGTGTGACAAAGGGAGACTCTGTCTCAACAACAACAACAAAGTATTCCTTAAATTATATAGGATATGAAGCAGTGATGTTTCACTTCTGGATTGACTTAAGAACTAACATTAACCTTAGACTAATTATAGATACCACAAGTATATATCCCTCTTCTTTACTTTTTGTCTGCATTAAGATTAGTTATAATTATTTTTTCATTTCATAATTTTCTCAAAGTCATTGAAACAGGTCTAAAACTTATCAGCTTTGGCTCTATGATTAACAAACAACAACAAAATAAAATACCACACAATTGCATATCATACAGCATCCAATAATGATTACTCATATTAATCTAGTACTTCATACTTTTCGAAGAAATTTCAAAATAACATCAATTGACTTTTATAATGTCTTTCTGTGGATGGTAGGGCAAATATTATTATGGCCATTTGGTGAATGAAGAAACTTTTGCATAAAAGTTAAAATAATTCACTCAGATACCGTTAATGGTGGACTAGAATCTGGGTTCACTGATTCTACTACTGTTTCTTCCAAATAAGAAGTTATACTTTCTACCAATTTCCGTAATTTTGAGATTTTCCTGCCTCAGCCTCCCAAGTAGCTGGGATTACAGGCTCGTGCCACCAGGCCCAGCTAATTTTTGTAATTTTAGTAGAGATAGTTTCACCATGTTGGCCAGGCTGCTCTCAAACTCCTGACCTCAAGTGATCCACCTGCCTAGGCCTCCCAGAATGCTGGGATTATAGGCATGAGCTACCGAGCCTGGCCAATTTGAGGAATACTTTTAATGGAACTACTGTGGCAGATTTGGTTGCATTAATAGACTCAGCTCAATTTCCCAATTTTTATTTTAATTTTTTTGAGACAGGATCTCACTCTGTTGCCCAGGCTGGAGTGCAGTGGTGCAATCACAGCTAACTGCAGCCTTCACCTCCCAGCCTCAGGCAATTCTCCCACCTCAACCTCCCCAGTAGCTGAGACAGCAGGTGGGCGCCACCATGCCTAGATAATTTTTCTTTTTTTTTTTTAGAGACAGAGTCTTGCCACGTTGCTAAGGCTGGTCTCAAATTCCTAGGCTCAAGTGATCCTCCTACCTTGGTCTCCCAAACCGCTGGTGTTACAGGCATGAGCCACTGTGCTTAGCCCCAGTATTCTTATTTTGGTTGTTGATACCATTATTTTGCCAGTTTTAATTACATCTGCAAAGTTCTTTTGCCGTGTACGGTAACATATTCACAGGTTTTCGAAATTAGGATGTGGACCTTTTTGAGGGGCCATTATTCTGCCTACCACAGTGAGCATCCCCGTTGAGGCTACTTGACGCAGGTGGTCTGACTACCTCACTGCAGCCATTTCCCACAATGCCAAAGTGCCAGCATGTTAGTGACTAGAGTCATTTCCAGTTTCAGCTACATTCTAGAATCCCTTATGTCTTGATTGTCATGTCCCTATTCATAAGCAAGGAAGAAGTCTCTATCACTTCTACTCCCAAGGCCCGTCCACATGTCTGCTGACTTGGCATTCACAGGTAAACCCATCCTCTTACACTGAGTTTTTCCTCTGTTAAAGGTAAATAACATAAGGTTACTCCATTGCTTAAAATACTTCAATGCTTTCCCATTACTTGTTACAGTACTTAACAGGTCGGCATGACCTAGCTTTTGCGTACCTCTCCAATCTCCTCTCATATGGGTTCCTTCCTTCCTTACTGCATTGTAGCCACATTGAATTTCTTTTTTTTTTTCTTTTTCTTTTTCAGACGGAGTCTCGCTCTGTCACCCAGGCTGGAGTGCAGTGGCGCGATCTGGGCTCACTGCAAGCTCTGCCTCCCGGGTTCACGCCATTCTCCTACCTCAGCCTCCTGAGTAGCTGGGACTACAGGCGCCCGCCACCACGCCCGGCTAATTTTTTGTATTTTTAGTAGAGATGGGGTTTCACCGTGTTAGCCAGGATGGTCTCAATCTCCTGACCTCATGATCCACCTGCCTCAGCCTCCCAAAGTGCTGGGATTACAGGCGTGAGCCACTGCGCCCGGCCCCACATTGAATTTCTTTAGCTCCTCAAATGCACCAAGTTGTGTGTGTGTGTGTGTGTGTGTGTGTGTGTGTGTGTGTGTGTGTGTGTTGCTACATGGACCTCACATATAAAGACACACAGTAATATTCTCTCTCTCTAAATGTTCTTATTCACACACTTCATCTAGCTAACTCAGTTCTCAGTTTAAATGTCATTTCTATAGTGATACTTTTCTTGTGATATCAATCTAAGCCATGTCCCTCGCCTTCTTCTTTCCCAGAGCACCCTGATGATTTCATTTTTTTTTTTTTTTGAGACGGAGTTTTGCTCTTGTTGCCCAGGCTGGAGTGCAATGGCACAATCTTGGCTCACTGCAACCTCCGCATCTGGGGTTCAAGCAATTCTCCTGCCTCAGCCTCCCAAGTAGCTGGGACTACAGGCGTGCACCACTACACCCAGCTAATTTTTTTTTTTGTATTTTTAGTAGAGACCGGGTTCCACCATGTTGGATAGGTTGGTCTCGAACTCCTGACCTCAGGTGATCTGCCCGCCTTGGCCTCCCAAAGTGCTGAGATTACAGGTATGAGCCACTGTGCCCCGCCAAACATGTTTATTGGCCATATATATATATATATATATATATATATTTTTTTTTTTTTTTTTGAGATGGAGTCTCATTCTGTTGCCAGGCTGGAGTGCCATGGCACAACCTTGGCTCACTGCAACCTCTGCCTCCTGGGTTCAAGCAATTCTCCTGCCTCATCCTCCCGAGTACCTGGGACTGCAGGCGCGCACCACCACACCCAGCTAATTTTTGTATTTTTAGTAGAGACGGGGTTACACCATGTTGGCCAGGCTGGTCTCAATCTCTTGACGTTGTGATCCGCCTGCCTCCACCTCCCAAAGTTCTGGGATTACAGTTGTGAGCCACCGCACCAAGCCTTTTTTTTTTTTTTTTTTTTTTAGATGGAATCTCACTCTGTTATCCAGGCTGGAGGGCAGTTGCATGATCTCAGCTCACTGCAACCTCCACCTCCCGGTTTTAAGTGATTCTTGTGCCTTAGCCTCCCGAGTAGCTGGAACTACAGACATGCGCCATGATGTCCATCTAATTTTCATATATATATATATGTATTTTTTTTTTAACAGACATGGGGGTTTCACCATGTTGGCCAGGCTGGTCTCGAACTTCTGACCTCAGGTGATCCACCCAGCTCGGCCACCCAAAGTACTGGGATTACAGGTGTGAGCCACACCTGGTTTCCTTATTATTTTCACTTGTCAAATGTGTATGTACGTATATTTGTGTGTGTATGTTTTTTAATGTTGTACATACATACTTTTTTTTTTTCTTTTTCACTCTGTTGTCCAGGCTGGAGTGCAGTGGTGTGATCTCAGCTTACTGCAACCTCTGCCTCCCAGGTTCAAGCAATTCTCCTGTCTCAGCCTCCAGAGTAGCTGGGATTACAGGTGCACGCCACCATGCCTGGCTAGTTTTTATATTTTTAGTAGAGGTGCGGTTTCAACATATTGGTCAGGCTGGTCTCGAACTCCTGACCTCAGGTGATCCACCCACCTCAGCCTCCCAAAGTGCTTGGATTACAGGTGTGAGCCACCATGCCCAGCTGAAACATACATTTTTATGTTGTAGGTTTTCTTCAAAGGACTCCAAATTCTACAACAGCAGGAATCATATACCCAGCACTTACCATAGTCTGGCTTATATGGGCAGGCAATTATTTATGGATGAATGAATTTCTATTGCCACAGTGCAGGTTTTAATTCTTTTCAACAAAGATTATAAGCTCCTTAAAAGCAGAGATTGTCTAATTAAAGTTTGATCTTCCACAGCTCAGTAGGCAGTGTCTTGGACACAGAAGGTAGGTGTTCTATAAATATTTATTCTATGAATCTTGAATTACTAACCTAGACTCTCTTTCTCTTCTAATTCACATAGCATATGTGATTGATTAAAGTTCACAACTCATTGTTGGTAATGTCATATAAATTATTAGGCTTGTTGTCCAGTTTTGAAAAATCTCCAATAAGCTATTTATTTATTTAGACACAGGATCTCTTTCTGTTGCCCAGGCTGGAGTGCAGTAGTGAGACCACAGCTTGCTGCATCCTATATCCTGATCCTCTAGCCTCAGCCTCCTGAATAGCTGGGACTACAGACACATATCACCACACCCAGCTAATTAAAAAAACTTTTTTTGTAGAGGTAAGGTCTCACCATCTTGCCCTGGCTGGTCTCAAACTTCTGGCCTTAATAGATCCTCCCACCTGGGCCTCCCAAAGTTCTGCAATTACCTGGGAGAGCCACCACATCCGGCTTCCAAAAGATTATTTAATATATGACTTAAAAAGAGTTCAGGACCCATCAGATTTCTTTAAACTAATGACACTCTTTAGTTTGTTGTGGATGTCCTCATCAAGTTCTGAGAAAAAAATATAAATTTCTTTTTTGGGCAGGGCCCCACAGCTCATGACTGTTATTGCAGCACTTTGGGAGGCCTAGGTGGGAGGATTGCTTGAACCCAGGAGTTCAAGACCAGCCTGGACACATGGTGAGACCTGTCTCTGCAAACAAAACAAAATCCTACAGAAAACCCGGACATGGTCGTGCAGGCCTGTAGTCCCAGCTACTTGGGAGGTGGGAGGATCGCTGGAGCGCAGTAGTTGGAGGTTACGGTGAGCTATGATCATGCAACTCCACTCCAGCCTGGGTGACAGAGTGAAACCCTGTCTCTAAGAAAAAAACAACACTTTTTTGGCTAGGTATTGATGAATGCTAAATCTTTACAATTTTACACATCCAATAATTGGAATAATTTCCCACAGATTAGCTTCAGGTTCCCAAAATTTCAACCCTGCTTCTCTTCTACTATTCACATAGTTTTTGATGCTAGAACATTGGACACATTAAAATAACTTCAAGAGTTCTGGCCCTGCACCTTTGTTTTGCAATGCTGGGTGGATCAGCACAACGGGCAATTGGAGTATTCTTGGAAGCCACTGGGACAGCTGGCAATATCTTAACTACACATGGAAGTGACTGTGGGTTATAAAAATATATCCCAGTAAATTCAAACCAAATGTATTCCTAACTCAACTTCCCTTTAGCTAAATTTCAAAAATGTTTGCTTGCCACTCCAACACTAGACAAAGGGAAACATGGTGGAGGGAAGTCACTAAGGACTAAAGATTGCAGTTTAAAATACATTACTTTTATAAATTTTACAGAAGCATAGGACAGTGTGAACATATTACTAGGGACCCTTCCAGGGACTTGGAAAGGGCTAGTGTAAATGAGGGCACCTGAAGCTGAAGCCTCCTTAGCTTCACAGTAAATCTGCTTCAGAGTCTACGGCCATTTTAATTACTGAGTAAACTGTCAACTTTCAGAGTCAGCTCTATGTAGGGCTAGTGAATATGTTGATTACAGCTCCATTTGAGGAAGTTTTTTTTTTTTTTTTTGAGATGGAGTCTGACTCTGTCCCCAGGCTGGAGTGCAATGGTGTGATCTCAGCTCACTGCAACCTCTGCCTCCTGGGTCCAAATGATTCTCATGCCTCCGCCTCCTGAGTAGCTGGGATTACAGGTGTTTGCCACCATGCCCAGCTAATTTTTGCATTTTTAGTAGAGACAGGGTTTCACCATGTTGGCCAGGATGGTCTTGATCTCCTGACCTTGTGATCCGTCTGCCTTGGCCTCGCAAAGTGCAGGGATTACAGGTGTGAGCCACCGCACGCCCTGCCTCTTTGGTCTTATAATTACTTTATACTCCTAAAAAGTATTGAGGACTCCAAAAAGCTTTTATGTGGATCATATTTATCAACATTTACTATATTAGGAATTAAAACAAACATATAAAATATTTATTCATTTAAAACAACAATAATAAACCTGTTACATGTTAACATAACATAAATAACTTTTTTTTTGAGAGAGGGTCTGGCCATGTTGCCCAGGCTGATTTCGAACTCCTGGGCTCAGGTGATCTTCCCGCCTCGGCCTCCCAAAGTGCTGGGATTACAGGTGTGAGCCACTTCATTTGGCCTAATAACATATTTTTAATGAAAAATAACTATTTTCCAAAGCAAAATAATTTAGTGAGAAGAGTGGCATTATTTTACATTTCTGCAAATCTCTTCAGTGTCTGGGCTAATAGAAGATTCTCATATCTGTGTCTGCGTTCCATCTGTATCACAGGCATGTAGTCTCTGGAAGACCTCACTGTATTGTTATTAGAGTGAAAAAGGCAGTAAGTCTTAGTATGAAAATAAAGTCTTAGTATGAAAATAATTTTGACCTTATGGATTCCCTGACTACGCTTTCAGAACCATTGATTTAGACATCATTATATCTACTTTTTAGTTGCCTAGTGCTCCCAGAGTACCCTCTCTCTCTTTCTGTAGCTATATAATCACTCACCTCCTGCGTAAGTCAAATGTTAATTATTGCTATACTTTTTAGCATACATGGAAAACTTTAGAAACCACAATTCTTAATGAATAACAAGTCTTAGCAACTCATTTTTCTCTTTAACTGACAAGGAAAAAATTATCTTCTTCATTGTATTCTCCCTCATAGTACAGGGAGATATAAAGAAACCCTTGGTTTGGGGTTACTTTATAACTAAGGCAAATGTTAGACTAAGATCAAACGCAACATTGGGTGCCTTATATAAATTAATGTTACTGGAGAATCTAATATTTACTAAGTCATTTCTGTGTGTGAGGCATGTGTTAAGTGCTTTACATACATTATCTCATTTTATTCTCACAAGAATCTTACAAGATGGGTAGTACCGTCATTTCTATTTTACAGATGAGTAAACGGATACGGAGAGGTTGTTAATGCCTAGTGTTACACACAGGATTGAGGCAGGATTTGAATTGAGATAACCTGACCCTGGAGCTCTTAGTCTATTATCTACTGATAAGGTATAAAGGTAGGAGATAGAGCACGATTAGTATAAAATGAGTGCTGAGATGTGAGAGGAACAAGACAGCTGAGATACCAAGACTGAATCTCTATTATTTTCCACCCTAGAAAAATTCTGCTTTATTTTCTACACTCCCACGTTCCTCTTCTCATTTTTAAGATACTTTATTGCCGGCGGCCTCGTCGCTTAGGCCTGACGCGGACCCTGAAATCAAGGAGGCAAACTGAACAGGAGCGGGGGAAACCCCGTGGTAACCACGGTAACGGTGGCGGGGCGAGAACCCTGCGCAGGCGCGTTACATCCCACTCCCGCTTACCCACACCACGGCGGCCGGTCCCAGCCACTCCTCTCGGCCTCAGACTCCACGGGCCGGCCACGGGTGGGGGCAGCAGGGAGGCACGGGCTTGGCGCCTGCGCAGTCGCCGGGGCGCTGGTGTGATCGAGCTCACGTAGCGAGGGCTGCAGTCGCCTCCTCCCTGGCGCTGCCATCGCGGCCTAGAGGTTATAAAAGGGCTAACGGGCTCCCTCTGCTGCCCAGTCGCGCCGCCAGCGGGCTGAGGGTAGGAAGTAGCCGCTCCGAGTGGAGGCGACTGGGGGCTGAAGAGCGCGCCGCCCTCTCGTCCCACTTTCCAGGTGAGACGCTCCCTCGATCCCGGAGACTGAGGCCACTGGGCAGCCGTGGACCTTCTCGGACGGCTGCGGCGATCCATTCCTTCCCGCTGTGGTGGTACTTCTGGGGCGGGGGTTCCCCAGGTTACCACAGCAGCCTCGGTTCCTTCCCCTCGGGAGACTCGGCCCCTCTCCCTGCGCCACGCGACTCCCGGCGCCCGCGCTCCTTCGTGCCCCCCTTCCCACCTCTGTCCCTAGTGCGCCTCGGACCGCTGGGGCTGCTGCAGCCTCAGTCCCCGCCCTAGGGACCAGGACTTTCTTGAATTTTCCTTCCCGGGGAGGAATCACTCTGTTGCTTTTTTTTTTTTCCAAGTTCCCCTGCACCTGGTCCTCCCTAACGAGGCTAAGGGGAACGCAAGCGCGGGGCGTGGGCTTTTGGCCGCCACAGCCGCAGATGGTTCGCATGTGGCGGTGGAGAGCGGATTTTAAGGCTTGGAGCTGGATCCGCAGCGCGCCAGGCATTTTTGCCCTATCGAAAGTCGCCGGGAGCTGGGGGGACCTCCCCAGAAAGTTCCGGCTGAACTCATCTGTTGCGCGCAGCGGTGCAGCATTAGCTGCCAGACGTAGCCCGGGGCGCCGAGCTTTCTGCTCGTAGCGCCGAGGAAGTAGGCTCTCAGGTCACCTCGTCGTCAGGGAAGCTTCCTTCCCTCTTCTTCCCCATAACTTTTTTTAAAAAGAGACAAGAGCTCTTCTCTCAATCTCTGTCTCTCTGTCTCTCTCTGCCGAGAATTTGCAGCTTTTAAAAGTCCACATCAGTCCAACAAATTCCATGGTTGTGTGAGGATTTTGAGTTGGATTACATGGCTGGCCCCCGGATGTATGTTTCAATGGGGAGGAAGGATGGTATGATAACTGTGAGACTCTTTCTCCTAAATAATCGACTCTGTTACATACAAATTCAATGTTTAGACACTAACATCTTACGCGTTCCGGATAGAGTGAAGACTCTTGGAATTTTGCACTGTTTTCTTTAAGAAAGGGTTGAAGAAGCAGCTAGATCCTCTTTTAGGAATTGATCTAAAAGGCCAAAGAGACTTGCCAATTTCCACTTAACTGTTTCTGGTTTCTCCGAGAGCAGTGGTTCTCGGACTTTCGCTTGGAATGCACTCGGAGGGGATGAAATAGCCACTACGTGAAGGGGGGAGGGGCAAAGACGTGGCAGCAGCGTTCTTTCATCAATTTTTTACTCTTTTTTTTTTTTTTTTTTAAAGTTCTGGTTAGAAACGTATTTCCCCTTTTAGGTTTAGACGTAGCTTATGAATGAGGCTAGTCTTTTCCTAAAATAATCAGATGAAGAATTCAGTCTGCATAGCAGGAACGTTGGAAGTTAATTTAAAAAACATTTTAAAGGGATTTTTAGAATCAAGTTTCTATGGAGAAAATCGGTATCCTAAGACGATATATTCAAGAAGCTGAAAGTGAACAACCTCAACTATATTTTGTCTTCATGTGAAATGTGAATACACACCCCGTGATTTTTTTTTTTTTTTTTTTTTTTTTTTAGCTTGTGAGCGTAATTTAAGAATCTGAAATGTGAACTTCAAATTTTACTTTTTTCTTTATGTGGGAAAAGAGACTTTATCACTTACCTTTAATAAAATTCATAGTCAGTTTTGGTTTTGGGACATTGTGCCTTAAGTCCTGCCATTGTTTTTGATAGCTGATGACAAATGTTTCTTAGATTTACATAGACTAACTAGGAAAAGGACTATTTCTGTCTCTTTTAAATGGGTAGTGCTGTTTTTATTGACATTTTGAAATGAGTTTTATTTTGAAGTACTGAAAATCAGGACTTTGGTAGGCGGATAATTACATTGGCCATTTTGTGTTTTGGTAACTTAGATGGTAAAACAGTTGAAAAATGTGTACAACTTTTAATTATGCCAAAAAAATTAGTGCAAAAGACTATTGAAAAAAAGTTTTATATTGCCTTGTAGTCTGGGTTGTTGCAGATGAATCTTGGCTTTTTGGCAAGGAGCTGTTAACCTTTTCTATTAGTGCAGAATAAGTTGTATACTGAAAAGCAGTGTTTTTCAGTAGGGCAATTAAGTTCAAACGGCATTTATTCCAGAGATGCAGCAAGAGCTGGGACAGCCATAAAGCTTGTGAGCCTTCCTTTCTGTGGAAGGAATGCTTTATTTTACTTAGCAACCAGTTATCAACTAGGATATAATTATTGCTCTTGAATTGACCTGTGAGATACATAATAGTGGTTCTCAAACTATTTTAAGGTCATGAAATCCTTTGAGAATCTGATGAAAGGTGTGGTCCTATGTCAGAAAATGCAAATACACCCTACATGGAATTTTGTATGTCACTTCCTGCCCCCCCACTCAAGTCCATTCATGAACTTTATTATAAGAACCCCTAAAAAGTAAGAGATGTGAAGTTACTCTCTAAGGGTATCTAGGTGTCTTGAGGCAGTATTGAATGTTTCTGAAAATCGAGCTGGGCATGTAAGTCTGACTGGACTTGTATATGTGGGTGACCCTAATACATTTTTGCCAAAAGGGTTTTAACAAAAGTTAATAGGTTGTTAGAATTGTTGAAATGCTAAATTGTCTAGTCTGTGAAAGTATATCACATTGCATGCCCTCTCCTATATATGGTAACTTAACTTTGGTTTTCCATTCTGAAAGTGGAACAGGCTTGGAAGTAAACAAAAATAAATTGCATAGGCTCTTGGCATTAAACTTTATTGCTTTTCTTGCAGTGAGATCTTGAATCTTGTAATTAAACCATAATGTGTTGTGTGTGTATAAATATATGAATATATATAAAAAATCCAAATAAAATGAGTATGTGTGTGTGTGTGTGTGTGTATATATATATATATATATATATATATATATATATTTTTTTTTTTTTTTTTTTTTTTTTTTTTTTTGAGATGGAGTTTCACTCTGCCACCCAGGCTGGAGTGCAGTGGTGCAATCTCGGCCCACTGCAAGCTCCACCTCCCGGGTTCACGCCATTCTCCTGCCTAAGCCTCCCGAGTAGCTGGGACTACAGCCGCCCACCATCACGCCCAGCTAATTTTTTGTATTTTTAGTAGAGACGGGGTTACACCGTGTTAACCAGGATGGTCTCGATCTCTTTACCTCGTGATCTGCCCGCCTTGGCCTCCCAAAGTGCTGGGATTACAGGTGTGATCACGCCACCGTGCCCGGCCAAAGCTTTGTGTTTCTATTCAAGAAAATTTATTTGTATAAATTGAAGCTGTCCTGTCATTAGGACAGCTTCAGTTTCTCTAGTTGAATAAGTATTGTACCTAAAGAAAAGCTTTGGCAATTCAAAAGGACTCTCATTTAGGTTACTCCAGCAGTTTTTAAACTCGGTGTGGTGAAAAACATTCTTTTTCCTGGTCTTCCTTTGGATGATCAGTATGACTGTTAGTATATTTGATTTGACATTTGCTAAAAATACATTATAGAGATTCAGACTTCTTACCTAGTTGTCATCAGTGAATGAGTTCTATATTGGGCCTTTCTCTTCCTCATGTTTAGTGTTTCATAAAAATGTGTCCATATTACTCATTTCTTTCTTAAATAGTAATATTATGTGGAATTAGTACACTCAGCCTTACTCTCTCTTTTTTTTTTTTTTTTAAGAGATAGGATCTTGCTCTGTTGCCCAGGATGGAGTGCAGTGGTGTGACCATAGCTCACTGCAGCCTTGAACTCCTGGGCTCAAGCAATCCTTCTGCCTCAGCCTCCGGGTGTAGCTCGGGGTACAGATGCATGCCACCATGTCTAGCTAATTTTTTAATTTTTTGTAGAGATGGGATCTTGCTCTGTTGACCAGGCTAGTCTCGAACTCCTGGCCTCAAGTGATTCTCCCATCTGCCCCACAAAGTGTTGGGATTATAGGTGTGAGCCACCATGCCTGGTCATCCTTACTCTCTTGTTGGACACTTGAGCTGTTTCTCCATTATAAGTAGTGCAAAGAGAGGACTGTAATTTAGTGGTTTATTTTATCAACCTGTATAATTACAGTAAACTTTAACCAATTTTTTAATTTTTAAATTTATATTTAAATTTTTTTTTTTTTAGAGACAGGGCCTTACTATGTTGCCCAGGCATGGTGGCTCACACCTGTAATCACAGCACTTTGGAAGGCCGAGGCAGGAGGATCACTTGAGGCCAGGAGTTCAAGACCAGCCTGGTCAGCATAGTGAGACCCCATCTCTCTACAAAAAAAATTTTTTTTTAATTAAGGGGGCATGAGGTTGCATGCATCTGTAGTCTAACTACTTGGGAGGCTGAGGTGGGAGGGTCGCTTGAGCCCAAGAGTTGGAAGCTGCAGTGAGCTATGATAGCACCATTGCACTCTAGCCTGGGTGAGAGTGCAAGACCCTGTCTCTAAAAAAAAAAAAAAAAAAAAGAAAAGAAAAAAAAATTATTTACAATATGGCCAGTAGACTGTAGGAAAATCAAGAATGATGAGAAATGTTTCATAGGAGAAGTAGGACATAAAAATTACATGATATAGCACCATGTGGCTAACATTTTACTAGATATTAAATCTGTAGCACTGAATGGAAATGCATATCTAGATTCACATCCTCTACAACCATGAATTCATTTTTCCCTGTTCTAGTATACATGGTCTTATTTTGTCTCTCTTTACCTCAACTTGAGAAATTTGGATCTGGCATTAGAGTAAACAGATAATTGAAGACTAGAAAGAGGTAGACTGGGTGGAAATAAAAGTGGAATTTTGACAGAATAGCCTTGGGAGGGATGAAGCTGAGTATACCTGGGCCTCAGAGCAATAATCCATTTTTTAGGAGGAAAGGGACTGCTAAAGCCAGCTTTTGAGTATTCTACTCTGACCTGAGTGGCCTTGGTCTGAATAGCTCATGTTCAGAGATAAGAGTATATTTAACTTTTTTGTACTAAGAATAGTATTTGAGTAATGTTATAGGTACATATGAGAATTTGGCCTTCATCTCTGCCGAGTCAGTTAAACACAAGTTTCTCTAGATATTTCCATTACAAGAATCAAAGCTCTTTGATTTTTGGAACTTCAGTAAAACCCAAGAATGAATAGCCGAGAACTATCATACAAGTCATAAAATTAAAAGGCATTGAACAGTGTATGAAGCATCAGATATCCTGTTACATGTGTCTGCAACAATAAATTAAATATTGATTAACTGATTTTAAGTAGGCTCAAGACTTCTCTTACAGTTCTAATCTTATATTAACTAGATTTGCATATCTAATTTCTCCAAAAATATGATCAAGAAATGTTTATTTTAGTCTAGGCGTGGTGGCTCACATCTGTAATCCCAGTGCTTTGGGAGGCTGAGGTGGGAAGATCTCTGGAGCCCAGGAGTTCAAGGCTGCTGTGAGCTCTGATTGTTCCACTCCACTCCAGCCTGGGTGACAGAGCCAGACCCTGTCTCAAAAAAACAAAAAAAGTTGGTATTTCTAAAACCTACTGGTTGAATTTAGGACCTCAAAATGTTACTTGTGTGTGTGACCTTTGTTCTTGCCCTATGGTTCTGACAACCTTCCTCCTTTTTATTTATTTATTTATTTATTTATTTATTTTTTTGGTAAACTCAGGCAACATATTCATAGTCAAAGGTTACATGAAGACATTCTCAAATTTACATGATTTCAAAATTTAGTTACTTCTTTTTTTTTTTTTTTTTTTTTTTTGAGATGGACTCTCACTCTGTCACCCAGGCTGGAGTGCAGTGGCGCAATCTCGGTTCACGGCAACCTCTGCCTCCTGGGTTCAAGCAATTCTCTGCCTCAGCCTCCCGAGTAGCTGGGATTACAGGCACCCGCCACCACGCCCGACTACTTTTTTGTATTTTTAGTAGAGACAGGGTGTCACCATCTTGGCCGGGCGGGTCTCGAACTCCTGACCGGGGGTGATCCATCAGCCTCGGCCTCCCAAAGTGCTGGGATTACAGGCATGAGCCACCGCACCTGGCCTGCAGTTACTTCCTTTAACCTCAAAGATATTTTGAAAATAGACCTCAATTTACTATGCCTGAATTTAAAAAACCTTAATATTGTATTTGAAAATAGTGAATAGTGACCATTGCCACCAAGTAGAGTGATAGTAATAAGTAAAACACTAATCTTTGATATAAGGGTGATTACTAATAAATTGAATAAACTGATATATTTTAACGACTTTATTGAGCAAAATTGACAGGACAAATTGCATATATTTACAGTGTACAATTTGATAAATTTGACAAAAATATCTACTTAAAAAAATATCAGTACAATCAAGATAAGGAACATATCCATCACCTTCAAGAGTATCCTCAAGGTCAGGCACAGTGGCTTAGGCCTGTAATCCCAACCCTTTGGGTGGCCGAGGCAGGAGGACTGCTTGAGCCCAGGAGTTCCAGACCAGCCTGGGCGACATAGAAAGACTTCATCTCTACACAAAATAAAATAACATTAGCTGGGTGTGATGGTGCCTGCCTGTAATCCTAGCTACTTGGGAGGCCGAGGCAGGAGGATTGCTTGAGCTGGGGAGGTTGAGTCTTCAATGAACTGTGATTGTGCTACTGTACTCCAGCCTGGTGACCGAAATGAGTCTCTGTCTCAAAAAAGAGTATACTTGGCCAGGCGCAGTGGCTCACACCTGTAATCCCAACACTCTGGGGGGCCGAGGCAGGAGGACTGCTTGAGCCCAGAAGTTCAAGACCAGCCTGCGCAACATGGTAAAACCCTGTCTCTACAAAAAAATTAAAAAGCCAGGTGTGGTGTTGTGTGCCTGCAGTCCCCGCTACTTGGGAGACTGAGGTGGGAGACTCACCCAAAGCCTGGAGATTAAGGCTGCGGTGAGCCAAGATCACGCTACTGCACTCTAGCCGGGGCATCGGCAGTATCCTTATGACTTTTTGTAATCCCTTCTTTTGCTCCTTACTACCCTCTCTGTATCCCTAGGAAACCATTGTTTCCTTTCTGTTGCTTAAGATTAGTTTTTATTTTCTAGAATTTTATAAAAATGGAATTGTATATACGCTTTTTTTTTTTTTTTTTAGCACGGGGAATCTCCTTACACTCAGCATAATTTGAGATTCATCCATGTTGTTATGTGTTCATAGTTTTTTATTGTTGAATAGTATTTTATTTTATGAATATACCATGATTTTTTTTAACCCATTTACCCTTTGATGGACATTTGGATTGTTTTCACTTTTTGACTATTATGAATAAAGCTGCTATGAGCATTCATGTACAAGTTGTTGGAGAGAGATATGCTTTCTTTTCTCTTATATTAATGCCTAGGAGTGCAATAGCTAGATGTGATAGGGAAATATTTTTTCCCAGTTGTTGGCTTGTCTTCATTCTTTAAACAGTGTGCTTCAAAGAGCAGTTTCTATTCACAGACAACATGTCTGTGACTCTTCAAAAAAGCTCTAGTGAATAGGTTAATTCAGCAGAGTTGTAGCTTAGAAGGTCAATATACAACAGTAAATTGTATTTCTATATACTAATAATGAACAATTAGAAACTAAAGTGAAAAATTCCCATCTCATTAGCACTAAAAACCATGAAATACTTAAGTATTAACTTTTCAAATGGTGTGTAATATTTGTATGTTGAAAATTATGAAACACTGATTATATCATGTTCATGGATTAGAAGACTCAGTATTAAGATACCTACTCTTCTCAAACTGATTTATAGATTCAGCACATTTCTAGTCCAAATCTCAGAGGATTTCTTATAGAAATTAATGAGCCGATTCTAAAATTAATATGGAAAACCAAAGGAACTAGAAAAGCTAAAACAATTTTGAAAAAGAATAACAAAGTTGGAAGATTCATACTACCTGATTTCAACTTAGTTTAAAGCTGCAATAACCAAGACTGTGGTATTGGAGAAAAGATAGACATACAGATCAATTGAACAAAATAGAGAATTTAGTCACACAAAAATTGTCAATTCATTTTGAAAAAGTTTAAGGGCAGTTCAACAGAGGATAGTCTGGAACAGTTGAATATTCATATGCAAAGAAAAAACAATCTTTGTTTTATTTGGGCACCAAGTATCCACTGTTGGACACTGGGCAGTCCCTTGCCCAGGAATTTATGTGAATATTGGGACAAGTGACATGAATCCACCAGTGGATATGAAATAAAGTTTAATCACACAGTAAACAGCAAAAGGACTCCTCAAGGTCAAGGACTTAGGTTTAGTCCAGGATGAAGCAAGAGTGAAACAGGGTGGGTGGCTTTGGTTTTTATTGACCAGAAGGTGGAACTTGTTTGATGGTCCCCATGTGTGGTATTTACATGGTTTCAACTTCACACCAGTACCAAGGGAGGGAATACTGGTCCCCAAGTGTGGTATTTATATGGTTTCAACTTTACACCAATACCAAGGGAGGGAGTACCTGGGCTTTCTTACAGACTTACCCAGATGTGGGACAAAAGGGAGAGAGGTGTGGGACCTGAAGGCAATCTGCACTCAAACATCAAAATGAAATCTTTTTATTAGAGCCTCAATCTGTACTTGACACTGTATGCAAAAATTAGTTCAAAATGGTTCGTAGGCCGGGTCTGGTCGCACACGTTTGTAATCCCAGCATTTTGGGAGGTTGAGGCAGGAGGATTGCTTGAGCCCAGGAGTTTGAGACTAGCCTTGGCAAGAGTGAGACCCGTTTCTATTTTAAAAAATGTTCATAGATTGTGAAGTAAAATGTACAGCTATAAAATATTTGAAAGAAAACATAGGACAAAAATATTTTTGACCATGGGTCAGGCAGAGATTTCTTGGACATGATGCCAAGAACATGATTCATAAATGAACAAACTGATAAATTAGACTTCATCAAAATTAAGAAATTCTGCTCTTCCAAACACACTGTTGAGAGAATAAAAAGACTTCACAGACTGGGAGAAAATATTCCCCATCACATATCTGACAAAAAATAGACTGTATAAGGAACTCAAAGCTGGGCATGGTGGCTCACGTCTGTAATCCCAGCACTTTGGGAGGCCAAGACTGGAGGATTGCTTGAAAATCCAGGAGTTTGAGACCAGCTTGGGCAACATAGCAAGACCCCATCTCTATTAAAAAAAGTAAACAACCTAATTAAAAAGAGCAAAAGATTTGAGTAGACACTATGCAGGAAGGTGTATGAACAGCAGATAAACACCCCAAAAGGTGTTAAACATAGGCCAGGCATGGTGGGTCATGCCTGTAATCCCAGCACTTTGGGAAGCTGAGGTGGGTGGACCATCTGAGGTCAGGAGTTCAAGACTAGCCCGGCCAACATAGCGAAACCGTCTCTACTAAAAATACAAAATTGGTCAGGTGTGGTGGCACGTGCCTGTAATCCCAGCTACCTAGGAGGCTGAGACACGAGAATCACTTGAACCCAGGAGGTGGAGGTTGCAGTGAGACAAGATTGTGCCACTGCATTCCAGCCTGGGCGACAGAGTGAGACTCTGTCTCAAAAAAAAAAAAAAAAAATAAAGGCATTAAACATCATTAGTAATTATGGAATTGCAAATTAAACCCATAATGAGATAGTACTATATGTCTATTGTGAAAATTAAGATATTAAGAGAAACTAAGGAAAAAACGGCAATACAAAATGCTGGTAAGAATGGGAGCAATGGAAACTTTCATCCTTTGCTGTTGGAAGGGCAAATAGTGTAGCTACTTTGGAGAAACGTTTGGCAGTTTTTTATGAAGGTAAATATATACTTGTCATATGACCCAACATTCCCGCTCCTAGGTATTTACCCAAGTGAAATGAGAACTTAGGTTGATTTCCTCTTTTTTTTTTTTTTTTTTTTTTTTTTGAGATGCACTCTCACTCTTTTACCCAGGCTGGAGTGCAGTGACACAATCTCGGCTCACTGCAACCTCCACCTCCTGGGTTCAAGCAATTCTCCTGCCTCAGCCTCCCAAGTAGCTGGGATTTACAGGCATGTGCCACCACGCCTGGCTAATTTTTGTATTTTTAGTAGAGATGGGGTTTCACCATGTTGGCCAGGTTGGTCTTGAACTCCTGACCTCAAGTGATCTGCCTGCCTCAGCCTCCCAAAGTGCCGGGATTACAGGCGTGAGCCACCGCTCCCAGCCTGTTTTCTTTTTAATTTTTTTAAAACAGTTTTATTGAGTAATAATTCACGTACCATGCAATTTTCCCTTTAAAGTATACATTTCAGTGGCTTTTAATATATTCACAGTTGTGTTACCACAACAATCAATTTTAAAACATTTATATCACTCCAAAAAGAAACCCCAGAGCCAGTAGCAGTCACTCCCATTGTCCCTTGCCTAACCCTGGGCAACCACTAATCTACTTTTTGTTTCTAGAGATTATTTTACTTAATGTTTTCAAGGTTCATTTGTGTTATAACATATATCAGTACTTCATTTCTGTTTATAGCCAAATAATATTCCATTGTACGGATAGACCACACTTTGTTTACCCACTAATGGATATTTGGGTTATTTCCACCCTTTTGGCTATTATGAATAATGCTGCTGCCGTGAACATTCATGCAAAAGTTTTTGCCTGGGCATGTGTTCTCATTTCTTTTGGGTATAGACCTATGAGTGAAATATCTGGGCCATATGGTTATTCTGTTCAGCTTTTTTGAGGAACTAAACTGTTTTCCAGACCAACTGCCTCATTTTACGTTTTTACCAGCAATGTATCAGAGTTCCAGTTTCTCTGTGTCCTTGTCAATACTTGTAATTGTGTGTCACTTTTTGTTTTAAAGAGATGAAGTCTTACTATGTTGCCCATGTTGGAGTACAGTGGCCATTCACAGGTGCAATCATAGTGCAGTTATATGCTCAAACTCCTAGACTCCAGTGATCCTCCTGCCTCAGTCTCCCAAGTAGATAGAACTACAGGCGTATGCCACTGTACCCAGCTAGTCATTTTTTACTGTAGCCATCAAAGTGGCAGTGAAGTGGTATCTCATTGTGGAATTGATTTGCATTTTCATAGTGATGAATGATGTTGAACATCTTTTCATGTACTTGCCTCTTTGGAGAAATGTCTATTCAAATCCTTTGCCCATTAAAAAAAAATCACTGGCCGGGTGCGGTGGGTCACTCCTGTAATCCCAGCACTTTGGGAGGCTGAGGTGGGCAGATCACCTGAGGTTGGGAGTTCAAGACCAGCCTGACCAACATGGAGAAACTCCGTCTCTGCTAAAAATACAAAATTAGCCAGGCGTGGTGGCACATGGCTGTAATCCCAGCTACTCGGGAGGCTGAGGCAGGAGAATCGCTTGAACCCAGGAGGTGGAGGTTGCAGTGAGCTGAGATTGTGCCATTGCACTCCAGCCTGGGCAACAAGAGCAAAACTCTGTCTCAAAAAAAAAAAAAATTATTGAGTTCTAAGTTCTTTATATATTTGGATACTAAACCTGATGCTATCGGAAATGTGATTCGCAAATACTTTTTTACATTGTCTTCGCTTTCTTGAAGCACAGCAGTTTTAGATTTTGGCAAAGTTCAATTTATTTATTTCTTTGGCTTCTTGGTGCTTTAGGCGTCATATCTAAGAAACTATTGCCTAGGCGTTATGATTAATTGCCTAATCCAAGGTTATGAAAATAATTTTTTTTTTTAAATGAGATGGACTCACTCTGTCACCCAGGCTAGAGTGCAGTGGCACAATCATGGCTTATAGTACCCTCTGCCTCCTGGGTTCAAGCAATCCTTCCACCTCAGCCTCCTGAGTTGCTGGGACTATAGGAGCATGCCACCATGCCCGGCTAATTTTTTTATTTTTTTGTAAAGACTGGGTTTCACCATGTTGCCAAGGCTGGTCTCGAACTCTTGAGCTCAAGTGATCCTTCCATCTTGGCCTCCCAAAGTGCTGGGATTGCACCTTGGTGGCATGAGCCACCAAGCCTGGCCAGTTTATTGTCTTAAACTTCAAAATGGTCTTAATGTGTTAATTTTAGGGTAAATTTACAGTTATCTTGTTTATTCCCAGGTAATTAAGTGTTGCTGTTGCAAATGAGCTTTTTAAAATTGTTTCCTGTGATTGGTTATTCTTTGTATATAACGGTCATTTTCTAAAGAGAATGCCAGTTTTTTTCCCCAAATGGTCATTTTTCAAGTAGTATAACTGCTATATAAAATTCAATCTTGGTCTGGGCACGGTGGCTCACATCTGTAATCCCAGCACATTGGGAGGCTCAGGCGGGAAGACTGCTTGAGACTAGCCTGGAGGTGGAGTTGGAGACTAGCCTGGGCAACATAAGGAGATCCCAACTCTACAACAAATAAAAGAAATTTAAAAAATTGGCCGGTCGTGGTGGCACAAGCCCTGTAGTCCAAGCTACTCAGGAAGCTGAGGTGGAAGGATCACTTGAGCCCTGGAGGTCGAGGCTGTAGTCAGCTGTGATTGCTCCACTGCACTCCAGACTGGGCAACAAAGCCAGACCCCCAAACAATACAATTAGTCTTGAATGAAGTTTCATGAAAACTTCTGAATTTGGAATTGTTTGCCTTACTTAACTTCATAATTTATATTTAAGTTTAAGAAATCTAAAGTGCATATTGTACAAAACTTTTAAACTTTTTACTTGTATCCTTAGGGTGGTGAAAAAACCAAAGCTGTCTTATCAGAACTTCTTGTTTAAATCAAAAATAGGTGAAATTTGTTTGGGAACAAAAGGGATTGATGGTGGTATTATGCCAGCTAGAAGCAGAGCTGTGGAATTCATCATTTGGGATTTTGCTAACTCTATGATTTATCTATTTACTTAAACTTTGTTTTTTTGTTAGCTTGTTTATTTACAGAAATAGAATTTTTTTAAATTAAAAATGTTTATCAAAGAAGTGTAGATGTTGAGGGAAGAGAAAAACAACTGTGATTCCACCTCTCATTTAACATTTTTTTGAGTTCTTTTAATTATTGTATTAAATTTAAAAAACCTGTTACATATGTAGGCAAATATATTCTTTTTTTTGAGACCAAGTTCCACTCTGTCACTTGAACTTTATGTAGTTCAGGCATTCAGAACTACTAGAACTTTGAATAGCCATTTGGTTAGGGATAAGCATCATGCTGTATGGGGATGAATTAAAGGTAGAATAGAGTGCCAGAAAAAGGTAAAAGGGGTCAGTTTCTTGAAGAAAGAGAAAAGGGGTGGAGGAGGTGTCATAAGCAAAACATAAGTGTGTGTTTTTGAAATGATCTCATCTTAACGTTCTTTCTGACAGGAAAGACTTAGGACTTTGGAAGAACTTCCAAAAGACAGCCTGTGTAGCACTTTCAGTTAAGGGCAATATCTTAACTTAGAGCTGACTTCTAATATGAATCTTGAAATGCTTTTCATTTGGAATTATGCCAATAAGTGCTACAATACTGCTCAGTACAGTTCACTACCCTAGTACAGAAAGTGAGGGAAAGAAGCTAGCGTGATTTCTGAATTTGTGATAGAAAAGTTGGTCATAGCATTAAAGTATTTGTCCATCAGATTGTAAGTACTAGACATGTAGCTCACTCTTCTTTTAAGAACAGAAGTATGACTGGAATTCATGGAGTTAAGTAAAAACAATGGCAATTTGCAGAGGGATTATAGGGAAGAACAGAAATATAACTAATTCTATTAGTAATTACTCTTACTTGTCTTGGAAGATACATCCTGTTAAGATGGAAAAGACATGCCAAGTTTTGACATAATCTGAGATTAGTCTTTCTTTTAAAGGAGATTGCATCCATTTTGACCCATTAATTTCTTTTTCAAGCTTGTTTGAATATTTAGAACAGGAGGCATTTATATTTTATAATTTTTGATAAAGTCATAATGTCTTTTGGGATACTTGACTCTTAAATGTTCTATAATGATTCTCTTTGCAAGCTGCTTTCTGAATGAAGGTAGAATAAATAGAAGTGAGACACCATAAGCACATTATAATGGCCTGATTTAGGAGCCTGAATTTGTGGTGTTCTTTTGTGTTGACCATGAAAACTGTCAGAAACATTAAAAGTCTGAAACAGATTTCAGGAGGACCAACAGTTGAATAAGGGATCTGTATGAGGAAAAATAAAGTTGGAGCCTTCTAAAAGAAGGTTTGGAACAAGTGTCGAAGGTTAAAAGAACCCCTGTGGAAAATTTTAAGTGTCAGAGAAAGTTTAGTTTAGAATATCAAGCATTCTTGGCTGGACCAAGTGCAATGGTGTTTACAACTAATTGATCACAATGAGTTACAGGTTTCTTTGTTTTTTCTGCACTCCCATTGCTTTACTTGACTAGCTTAAAAAAAGAGAATATCAAGCACTCTTTAGTCTGCCTTATTAATTTTTGAATGATTTGTCTGGGAGATATAAACTTTTGAAAATTTTACAACTTTTTCTTGGAAGAAAAATATTTGACCAAAACGCTAATAGAATTATTTACCAGATGCCCTGTCCTAGTAATTCACTGGATAACTTGTACTTAAAATTCAATGACTCCTCATAACTCAATGTAAATATAGATGCTCCTTGACTTATGGGGCTGTGTCCTGATAAACCAACTGTAAGTTGAAAATACTGTAAGATGAACATCATAGCTTAGCCTAGCACACCTTAAACATGCTCAAAACAGAACACTTAAATTAGCCTACAGTTGGGCAAAATCATCTAACAAAGCCTATTTTATAATAAAGTGTTGAATAGCTCATGTAATTTATTGAATATTGTACCGAAAGTGAACCACAGAATGGTTGTGGGGTCAAAGTATGTTTTGTTTTTGTTTTGAGACGGAGTCTCGCTCTGTTGCCCAGGCTAGAGTGTGGTGGTGCCATCTTGGCTCACTGTAAACTCCACCTCCCAGGTTCAGGCGATTCTTCTGCCTCAGCCTCCTGAGTTACTGGAATTGGAGGCACACGCTACCACGCCCATAGTAGAGACAGGGTTTCACCCTGTTTGTCAGGCTGGTCTCGAACTCCTGACCTCGTGATCCGCCAGCCTCCGCCTCCCAAAGTGCTGGGATTACAGGCGTGAGCCACTGTGCCTGGCCCAAAGTATGTTTTTTATTGAATGGCATATCACTTTTGCACCATCATAAAGTTGAAAAATCCTAAGTCAAACTGTCCTATGTTGGGGATCATTTGTATTTACTATATGGTAGAACTTTTAAGATCTGTTCCCAGGTTTGATTGACCTGTTGAGTCTGTGGGACTGGACTTCCCTGGAATAAGAACTGTAGGAAAGTTTTGTGTTTGGATGAATGTAAACTTCACATTTATTTTTATCCAGGCCTACCTGAAAATGTTTTCTGGTAGGATTTCTTCCATACTGCTTTTTTTCTTATAGTTTAAAAAATGTAATATGCTACCAAACATTATAAGTAATATACATGTATGTTACAAAAATTATATAATAAACACTTTTGAACCTATCTAACCAATAACCTAAATATTATCAATAACTTATTCATACTGTTGCAACACCAAGTTTTATTCCAGTGTAAGTTTATCTTTGGATCTTTGACTCTTCTTGGGTTTTCTTTTCTTTCTTCCTCCTATTCCTCCTCCCTCCCTCCTCTTTGTCTTTTTAAAAATTAAGACAAGTCTTTTCAGGGATGCTATCTGAGATTAGTCTTTCTTTTAAAGGAGATTGCATCCATTTTGACCCATTAATTTCTTTTTCAAGCTTGTTTGAATATTTAGAACAGGAGGCATTTATATTTTATAATTTTTGATAAAGTCATAATGTCTTTTGGGATACTTGACTCTTAAATGTTCTATAATGATTCTCTTTGCAAGCTGCTTTCTGAATGAAGGTAGAATAAATAGAAGTGAGACACCATAAGGAAACCATTGTTTGTTTTGTTTTTGTTTTTGAGATGGAGTCTCGCTCTGTTGCCCAGGCTGGAGTGCAGTGGCGCAATCTCAGCTCACTGCAACCTCCACCTCCCGGGTTCAAGTGATTCTCCTGCCTCAGCCTCCCGAGTAGCTGGGACTACAGGTGTGTGCCAACATGCCTGGCTAATTTTTTGTATTTTTAGTAGAGACGGGGTTTCACTGTGTTAGCCAGGCTGGTCTCAAACTCCTGACCTCAAGCAATCTGCCTGCCCGCTTCTGCCTCCCAAAGTACTGGGATTACAGGTGTGAGCCACCATGCCCGGCTAGAAACCATTGTTAAAAAAACCTGTGATTGATACGTTTGGCTATTAACATGTCACTTAAAGTTTCTGAATGAATGTGGATGAATGAGACATAGTGCTAAAACAGATTAGAGAACCATTCTCTAGAGTAATTAGACATTCAGTTGTACTTTTACATAAGATAAATTGAAGTAAAATCTATTTTAAATGCAGAGGTGATTTCATAGGGTTGTTTGCTGTATCCAGTGGTTCTCAGACTGTGATCCCCCAGCCAGCACTATCAGCATTGCCTGGAAACTTGTGCAAATTATCTCGACTTTTCAGACCTTTAGGTGATTCTGATAGAGCTAAAGTTTGAGAAGCACTGCCATATAGGTCTATCTTCATTTTTATTATCTAGCTTGGGTAGGCATGTTAGTTTGGAATAATGTTGTATGGGTCTGAACTTCCTATTGTAAGTGACAGAAATCCAACTTGAATTAGCTTAAGCAAAAAGGAATTTAAAGGCTTTCTTAGGTGGGCTGGGAGATTATTGTAGTAGCTTACAGATTCAAAGCAATAGTTGCAAAGAATCAGGGCCCTGGGGGTTGAAACTGTTTGTCTCTGTATGACTTTGTCCTGTTTATAGATCCTAGACAAGTGAGAAAGATGGTCACAGGAGAGCCCCAAGTTCACATCCTCTGAGCTTAGCAACTCCAGAAAGAGCTGCTTTCTACCATTCACAAGGCCATCCCTCAACCGTTATGTTAATGAGAATGAAAGTCAATGATTGACCTAGTCTGGGTCTTATATCTAAGTGTAGGAGGAAATAGAATGGGAAAGTGTGCTACTTTGGCAGCCTAGTTCACTGCTAGATAATAGGGTTGCTTTCAAAGTATCGTTATTTTTATTTTTATTGTTATTTATTTATTTATTTATTTTGAGACAAAGTCTCACTCTTGTCTCCCAGGCTGGAGTGCAATGGCGAGATCTCAGCCCACAGGAACCTCCGCCTCCTGGGTTCAAGCGATTCTCCTGCCCCAGCCTCCTGAGTAGCTGGGATTATAGGCGCCTGCCACCACGCCCGGCTAATTTTTGTATTTTTGGTAGAGACGGGGTTTCACCATGTTGGCCAGGCTGGTTTCGAACTCCTCACCTCAGGTGATCCATCCACCTTGGCCTCCCAAAGTGCTGGGATTACAGGCGTGAGCCACCGCTCCTGGCCTTACTGTTGTTTTTACGGGTATAGAGTCTCTGTCACCCAGGCTAGAGTGCGGTAGCACATTCATGGCCCGCTGCAGCCTCTACCTCCCAGGCTCAAGTGATCTTCCAGCCTCAACCTACTGAGTAGCTGGGACTACTACCACACCTGGCTATTTTTAAAAATTTTTTATAGAGTTGGGGTCTCCTTGTGTTGCCTGGGCTGGTTTCGAACTCCTGGCCTACAGTGATCCTCCCACCTTAGCCTCCCAAAGTGTTGGGATTATAGGCATGAGCCACTGCACCCAGTTTAGGCTTAAGTATCTTTGAAAAAGAGAAAGTGAAATGTAGAGGCTTATAGAACTACAAGATGGAACATGCTCAAAACCTTATATTATTTGTTAGCTACTCTTTTGTTAGAGAGTAATTAACTACTTCTTTAAAAGTTTAGGGTATCTTAATATGAGAGTTAATGCTTTAGGTTTATTATTTTGTACGAAGTTAATTTTTTTGTCACTATAAAAATATATTATAGGAGGTCTGGAAAATACAGAGATATAAAAGAAAATTACCAGCCGGGCGCGGTGGCTCACGCCTGTAATCCCAGCACTTTAGGAGGCCGAGGCAGGCAGATCACCTGAGGTCAGGAGTTTGAGACCAGCCTGGCCAATGTGGCAAAACCCCGTCTCTACTAAAAATACAAAAATTAGCTGGGCGTGTTGGCAGGTGCCTATAATCCCAGCTACTTGGGAGGCTGAAGCAGGAGAATCGCTTGAACCCGGGAGGCGGAGGTTGCAGTGAGCTGAGATTGCGCTACTACACTCCAGCCTGGGCAACAGAATGAGACTCTGTCTCCAAAAAAAAAAAAAAAAAAAAAAAAAAAATTACCTACTGCTTTGCTAACCAGAGACAATTACACTTTGGTGAATTTCCTCTGCATATGTTCTTGCATAGTTATGACTGTATTATGATGTTAATTTTTCTTCGTTTTGACCAGTGTTAATTTATTTATAACTTTGTGTTGGGGTAATGAAAACATAATCTTAGTCAATATAGATTCCACCAAGGTTGTATGATAATTTTTAAATCTTGTTTTTTCATTTAACTCTACAAGTTAAAGGATGTGTTCATTTTAAGTTTCTTGGCATATAACAACATTAAATAATTTTGCTTGTTAATTGTTCACTTGATGGGCAAAAATGGTTTCTTATTTTGTGTCATTAATTACTAATAAGTTTGAGCATTTTTTGTTGAGCTAACTACTTTTCCTTTTTGTGAGTTCCAAGTTCTATATCTACTTGTCTATTAACATCTTAGTGGTTTTCTTATTGATTTGTATGAACTCCTTAAAAGTGCTCTATTTTCTTTAAATGGTTTTCTAGTTTGAGTTTTAAAGGTTTTTTTTTTTTTTTTTTTGACACATAAGCTTATTTTGTGTATTCAGATTCCATCTGGCTTTTGATAGGTTGTTTTCTTTCTCTCTTTTTTTTTTTTTTGAGATGGGGTCTCACTTTATTGCCCAGACTGGAGAGCAGTGACAAGATCATGGCTCACTGTAGCCTCAACTTCCTGGTCTCAAGTGATCCTCCTACGTTAGCCTCCCAAGTAGCTGGGACCACAGGTGTATGCCACCGTACCCAGCTAATTTTTTGATTTTTTTTTTTTTTGTAGAGATGAAGTCTTGCTATGTTGCCCGGCCTGGTCTCAAACTCCTGAGCTCAAGTGATCCTCTTTCCTTGGCCTCCCAAAGTACTGGGATTACAGGTGTGAACCACTGTGCCCAGGCATTTTCTTATTTTTAAGTTTAGAAATTCTCTGCTTTTAGAGATCTGATAACTATTCTGTTGTTGCTATTTGTTTTACTTTGTTTTGTTGATTATAACTATTTAATCCATCCTAGAATTCATTTTGAAACATTATGTAAGGTAAAGATATTTATTCTTTTTACGATTGTTTTGAATTTTTATGTAGGCTCTGTCATTCTTAAAATATTTTCAAGCTATTCGAAGAAAAATACCATCTTAAGCTGCTTTTTAGTTATTTCTGTAGGCTAATGGTTTTTAATTCCTTGTGAGATTTAAGGACAATGAAAGATGACAAAAAAACTTTAGTGACAATATATTTTAGCAATGGCAAAATAACCTCTTTTCTGACAAATCTAAACTCTCTTATCAGAGTTAAAAGTTTAGACAACATTTGTGATTAGCCTTCTGTTAACAGTGAAAACATTTGTATTTTCTGCAAATAGCATTTATCCATGAAGAAAATTAGAATAGAAGTATGTTTAAACAGAAAATTCTAGACTCTTCTTCAGACAGCTCAGGCTTTTCAAAAAGCCTTGTGCTTTGGCAGGAGCCCAGGAGAGGAAGTGTCTACATCTGCTACATTCTAGAAGCCTTCCCCAAATCACTGTAAGGTAGCCAAAAGAGCAGTGTATTTCCTTACTGTGTGGTTCTGGAAGTAACTGGAAGTTTGCAGCAAACTCGAGGGAGGAGACTAGGGAGTACTTCCAGTTTTTGTGGTGATCTGTTTTTATTGAGATTCAAGTTAGGGGGCAGTGGGGTTATTTTTTAGCTCTTGTAGAACGGGGAGCTTTCAATTTGAACCTGAGCCTTTTGGTTTAGCTCACGTCACATAGGAAGACGAGTCAGAGGGGCCTGCACAAAGAGAAACAGGTTGACAAGTCAGGGTAACTAATGGGAGCCTGTTACTGGGGCAAACTATACTGTAATGTAACTTATTCTCCTGTAAGGTAATAAGAAAGACAAAGTTCATGTTTGTAGGGGAGAAGGAGCAAGAGAAGAGTGCTAGCAGGGCATCTGGGAAAGTGAGGTAAAGCCTTTCTGTTGGTTAGTTTATATCCTCATCTGCCATGAAGAATCCTCACTAGAAAAGACGGTGCTATCATGGATATAGAGGAAAAACACTAATGGGCTTTGCTGCCAGGTTTAAAAAAAGAAAAGAGGCCATAGACATGTCTTAGGCTAAGTTTTTTTTTACATAGAACACAGTTGATAAGAGAAACAAAACTGAAGTCTGGGTCCTTTGAGAGAAAATACTAGTTTAAATGGACATGGCTGTTTATTCGTTTTGGATTCTCTACAACTTAAAAAAAAAAAAAAAACAGGCACAGTGGTACAGACCTGTATTTCCAGCTACTCAGGAGGCTGAGGTGGGAGGATGATTTGAGCCCAGGAGTTTGAGTTCAACTTGGACAACATAACAAGACCCCTGTCTCTTAAAAAAACAAACTAAGTCAAACCAAGAGAACAGTGTCATTGCAATATAATTCATATACCTTATAATTCACCCATTTAGTATTCATGATTCAATGGTTTTTAGTACTTTCACAGAGTCATTCCACCATCAGTCACCACAGTCAATTTTATTTTATTTATTCATGTTTTTTAGAGATGGGGTCTTGCTGTATTGCCCAAGCTGGCTTTGAACTCCTGGGTTCAAGTGATCCTCCTGCCTCAGCCTCCCAAGTAGCTGGGACTCCAGGCACCTGCCACTGTGCCTGGCCAGTCAATTTTAGAACATTTTATTGACCCCAAATCTACAACTTTTGATTGAATTTATTTTAAAAAGTTAAGCTATATAGGAAAAAGATGGGCCGGGTGCCGTGGCTCACGCCTGTAACCCTAGAACTTTGGGAGGATGAGGTGGGCGGATCACCTGAGGTCAGGAGTTTTGAGACTGTCACACACACACATACACACATACACACACACACACACACTATATATATATATAAAATATATATGAAAAAGATGGAACAAATTAGGAATTTTAAGGATTAACAGAAAGCTCTGAAATATTTTTCCTTTAAAATGTATTCTAACATTTTGAAAATGTATTGGTAATATTTAATATTTAAATTGATAAGTTGGTACATTTTTATGAGAAAGTCATAGGATAGGTCTAAATCACAGAGAAAACTTATTTTTCAGGCTATATGAAAAAGCCACCTACTATTCAATTACTCTAATTGTAATAGTGACTAAGGAGAACAAACTCAGCTTGAATTTTTAAGCATAAATTATCAGGTGATAACAAACATACATTTTTATCTAATATGGGTGCGTTGGCTCACACTTATAATCCCAGCACTTTGGGAGGCTGAGGCGGGTGGATAACTTGAGGCCAGGAGTTCGAGACCAGCCTGGCCAACATAGCAAAACCTTGTCTCTGCTAAAAAGACAAAAAGTTAGCTGGGTGTGGTGGCACACACCTTTGGTCCCAACTACTTAGGAGGCTGAGGCATGAGAATCGCTTGAACCCGGGAGGTGGAGGTTGCCGTGAGCCAAGATCACACCATGGCACTCCAGCCTGGGCGACAGAGACTCTGTTTCAAAAGAGAAAAACACAAAAAAGAAATGTCATGGTAGTACTCTCATTATATGAAAAACAAGATAGTAGCTATTATTAAACAATTGATAATAACTAACATCAATTTTATGGGCAACCTTGGAATCTTTTACTTTTTCATAGAAATAATAGATAAGGAACTTTTCCTTCTCTTTGTATTTTTTAAGTAATGGCTGCATTTCTCTCTTTCTTTTGTAGGTGTGTGATCCTGTAAAATTAAATCTTCCAAGATGATCTGGTATATATTAATTATAGGAATTCTGCTTCCCCAGTCTTTGGCTCATCCAGGCTTTTTTACTTCAATTGGTAAGTCTTACTACTTGTTGTTTTTTGTTGGTTTTGCATTTTTTAATTTCCATTTTTTAGTGTTTTAAAATCAGCAAAAACAAATACAGTGTATTCCTAGAGTATAGGTTTATTCCCTGCCCCCTAAAAGGTCCTTTTTTAATAATTTGACATTTTCTTTATTTTTTATTACAAAAATGATACATATTGAAGTTAAAATAATTTAATGCATATACTTAGTCTTTTTCAGTGCACAGATATACAAGTAATATACTGCATATATATCTAATCTGCTTTTTCCACTTAATCTACTGTGAACACAAGTTTTTTTTTGTATTTATAACTTAAAAAATATTTTATCATTATTATTTTGAATAGAGACAGGGTCTCACCATGTTGACCAGGCTGGTCTTCAACTCCTGGCCTCAAGGGATTCTCCTGGCTGGGCCTCCAAAGTGCTGGGATTACGACAGGCATGAGCTGCCACGCCTGGCCCATAAGTATTATATACTTATGACTCTTGATTCCAGTATATAAAATGATGGGTTCTCGCATCCTGTTATAAATAACAGATTATTTGAAACTTTTTTAGTGTGGCTTTTATTAATTAAATAAAAATTTAATTCTAATTAGTCTCAAAAACAAAGGTAAGGTAAAGGGGAACTAAAGAAGTAAAGGTAAAGGTGAAGAAACATTAATCTTTGGAAAGTAGTGTTGATTTGCAATTTAAAAATACATTTGTAGATATAAAGACAATTTGCTAGCACAGTCTAAAGCTTGCAAAATCAAGTGGCTTAAAAATTAGAACTGGAACAGTTGATTAGAAAAGTTTTTGGCTTTATTTTGGTTTATCTGGTAAAAAGGAAGAAAAGATAGTCTCCAGCATATCTGATTCATGCCAGTTAAATTGTCTCATAGAATGAAACAGTCTCAATCATTCTTATTCTTAACATACTTGTGTTGAAGGATATGAGTATTTGATAACCTTCTTCCCCTTCTAGGTCAGATGACTGATTTGATCCATACTGAGAAAGATCTGGTGACTTCTCTGAAAGATTATATTAAGGCAGAAGAGGACAAGTTAGAACAAATAAAAAAGTAAGCAAAATGTTTGCTTATTATGACTCTGACTCAACCTGGATGTTTTCTTTCTCAAGCTAAAATATTCTTTAAGTAGAAATGAAACCCATTTTTGAGTCTTACAAAGCCAGTTGCAATGGCTAAAATAGGAGTATAGAGAACAAGTTAGGCTTGGGCCAACTTTCACATGGAAGAATATGGGTTGGGATAAGAATATGGATAGATACCAGCCGGATGCGGTGGCTCATGCCTGTAATCCCAGCACTTTGGGAGGCCGAGGAGGGTGGATCACTTGAGGCCAGGAGTTCAAGACCAGCCTGGCCAATGTGGTGAAACCCTGTCTCTACTAAAAACACAAAACTAGTCGGGTGTGGTAGCATGTGCCTGTAATCCCAGCTGCTTGGGAGGCTAAGGTGGGAGAATCACTTGAACCCGGGAGGTGGAGGCTGCAGTGAGCCAAGATTGTGCCACTGCACTCCAGCCTAGGCTACAGAGCCAGACTCTATCTCAAAAAAAAAAAAAAAAAAAGAATATGGATGGATACAGGAAGCTGACTGATACATTTTTTTTTTTTTTTTTGTGACAGAGTCTTGCTCTGTTGCCCAGGCTGGAGTGCAGTGGCATGATCGTGGCTCACTGCAACCTCCACCTTCCAGGTTCAAGTGATTCTCTTGCCTCAGCCTCCCAAGTAGCTGGGATTACAGGTGTGCGCCACCATGCCCGGGTAATTTTTGTATTTTTAGTAGAGACGGGGTTTTGCCATGTTGGCCAGGCTGGTCTCGAACTCCTGACCTCAGGTGATCTGCCCTCCTCAGCCTCCCAGAGTGCTGGGATTACAGGCGTGAGCCACCGCACCCAGCCTGACTGATAAATTTTAAAAGTATTGCTAATATCTTCTATCCTCTTCTAACCTCTTAGTCAAGCCACCTGCTGCAGCAATTTTCCAATTCTACTTATCCTTTACTCCCATGGTTCCATTGTAGAGATTATAGTGATGGTAGCGTTAGTGTTATTTAATTGATACAGTTTTTCTCAAATATGAATTTATTTTTAATTGACTCATGTTCATAGTTAATCCTGACCTGAGAATTCCTGTCTTTTATTTAATGAGTAGCTAAGTGTTCAGTTTTTCATTTTAAGATACAGTTTCTAGAAACTGGATGTAAAAATTTAGTATAAGTTGATTTAAATGAACATGTAATTGAATTTGGGTTGGGCTAATTTGTAGTTTGTAATAATCAGTTATTTGGCCCTGGGACCTAAGTCTAAAATTTTTAGACTTTTACTGGAGGGATTCATTCACAACTTTTACTAAGACAGGGAGGTTCCATTTACTGTAACCATTTGGGAGAAACAAAATTAAAACAAAAAGTCCTATAGTTGTATTGATTCTGCCAAGAGGATGTCGCTTTTTAAAGAGACCGAGACCGTATACTTTTACTTTAAAAAGAAACTACAGATATAGTTGAACTCAAAAACTTCTAGTCATTTTTTTTCTGAGCGTTTCATTAAATTGTGTTTTTCCCTATGAAATATAAATATTCAGTTTTTATGTTTTACATCTGTAGATGGGCAGAGAAGTTAGATCGGCTAACTAGTACAGCGACAAAAGATCCAGAAGGATTTGTTGGGCATCCAGTAAATGCATTCAAATTAATGAAACGTCTGAATACTGAGTGGAGTGAGTTGGAGAATCTGGTCCTTAAGGATATGTCAGATGGTAAGTCTGAAGAGATTCCTGAGTAAGGTAATATTGCCACCATATGTAGAAATAATAAAATTAATGATAAATTCAGTTCCCAGGAAACCAGTTCAGTTCAGTGTTGTAACTGGATTATGCCTGGGTGCATTTGGTTTGAATAGAGTTAATTTAGTCAAAATCCTGAATTCTTTGATTAAAAAAGAAGTAATTTCTTTTTTTGTTGACTTGTTTTGAAATCTGCAAAAGTGAATAGATTATTTGGCATATAGCTTCATTTCTGAGGGTAATCATTTTTATTTTAGGATTACCTTCAAACTTTAAAAATTTATGTCTTTATCTGCAATCAATTTAAAAAAATGTTGGGAGTGTTACTATAAAGAGAAGTATTAGCTGTGTTCTATCTAGTATTTTGAAGTTTAGAATTAGTTTGCTCAATGTGGACAATCAAACTGAGGCTGCAAACAGTAAAAATGAGTAAGTGATACAATACAATTTGTAGTTGGAGCATTGAAATGTTTTAGATACTTTAATAACAGATGTAGAAGACTAAATCTGGACTTTATTAAGGAGGTAAAGGGATTATGCCTCGCCCCCCGCCGCCCCTGCCCTGCCCCGCCAAGAAAAGAAGAAGAGAGAGACGGAAAAGAGCTGAGCTAGTTGTGTAGATAAAATACTCCAAGGGTACTTACCAGTGTTTGTAAGCAGTGAAGTAAACTTATTATGCACAGGGATCAGGAAGCCTTGAAAAGAAAAATATGGCAAGTACTTGTGAATACTTCTTTACTGTGAGAGGGAAATGCCTGTGATTATTTTCTGTACTGTATAACACCTTGGGAACTTTTTTTTTTTTTTTTGGAGACAGGGTCTCACTGTCTAACTGTTGCCCAGGCTGGAGTACAGTGGCACAATGGTGGCTCACTGCAGCTTTGAACTCCTGGGCTCAAGCAATCCTCCCACCTCAGCCTCCTCAGTAGCTAGCACTACAAGCATAGACCACCACGCCAGGCCAATTTAAAAATTTTTCTTTCTTAGAAACAAGGTCTTGCTATGTTGCCCAGGCTGATCTCAAATTCTTGGCCTCATGTGATCCTTCCACCTCAGCCTCCCACAGCGCTAGGGATTACACGCGTGAGCCATGGTTCCTGGCCCCTGAACCATTTTTTAAAGGAAATCGATATATTTATTCTCAAGTAATGAACTAAGTTGTTTTATAATGTGAACCTTGGCACTTTGTTGTTTTAATCTGTAGTAGTCATTCTATAATGCTATGAGAGAGTATATATATTTTAATTTTTCTTAGAATTTTGTTTGTAGCATAAGAGATATTATAGCCTTCTATAAAACTTATAAAACTTGCTTGTAAAATTCCATATAGAGATTGCAACTGAGAGTTGGTCGTAAAACTAAAAATATTGTTGGGAACAGAGCAGGTCAAAACTCCCATGATTGATCTAATAATGGAATTATACTGGTAAAAAGCCACTGCACTTCAGCCTGGGCAACATGGCAAGACTCTGTCTCTAAAAAGAGACAAAACAGCATAAAAATATGCTTGATATAAACTCTAGCCCTCTTCTAGTTATTTGTTCATTTGTACATTTTCATTTCACGCCTGTAATCCTAGTAGTTTGGGAGGCTGAGGCTGGCAGATCACTTGAGGTCAGGAGTTCGAGAGGAGCTTAGTCAACATGGTGAAAACCCGTCTCTACTAAAAATATAAAAGTTAGCCGGGCCTGGTGGTGGGCACCTTTAATCCCAGCTAGTCGGGAGGCTGAGGCAGGAGAATTGCTTGAACCGGGAGTTGGAGGTTGCCATGAGCCAAGATTGCACTGCTGCATTCCAGCCTGGGTGACAGAGCGAGACTCCATCTCAAAAAAAAAAAAAAAAAAAAAAAAAAAAAAAAAGGCCTGGTCTCTTGCTGTTCAAAATACGTAGCTGGCTGGACACAGTTGCTCATGCCTGTAATCCCAGCACTTTGGGAGACCAAGGCAGGTGGATCGTTTGAGACCAGGAGTTGGAGACCAGCCTGGGCAACACGGTGAAACCCCGTCTCTACTAGAAATACAAAAATTAGCCAGGTGTGGTGGCACATGCCTGTAATCCCAGCTACTGGGAGGCTGAGGCAAGATAATTGCTTGAACCTGGGAGGTGGAGGTTGCAGTAAGCTGAGATCATGCCACTGCCACTGCTCTCCAGCCTGGATGACAGAGTGAGACTGTCTCAAAAAAAAAAAAACAAAACAGTTGATTATAAGTTAATGAGAAGAGAGGGAAGTCTCATACCTAACTTTTATTCACAAGTAATGATACTGATATTAAAATTTTAAACCAATTTTTTATTTCTTAAGGAGTGTTTAGCATTCATTCTTCTTGGGGTTATATAGTTATCAGTAATTGGTTTGTTTGATTTTTGCATACTTTATATAAATCCTCTAAGATTAGGTTTATATATTGTAAATTTTGGTTGATCAACGTCATGTTTGATAATTAAACTGATTTAAATATATTTTAGTAAACTAGCTTTGCTGTTGATCTTAAATATATAGTTAATATCTCTTCCTTCTCCTTGAAGAATTCCACCAAACTTTATATATTTACATATTTATATAATGTGTAATACATGGAAGAAAAAAACAACTTTAAGAGCACATATTTTACTTACCATCTGTTATCTGGAAGTATAATTGATTGTCAATGAATGTCATTTCAGACCCATAAATGTGTTCATTTCTCAAACTTAGTGGATGCACTTTGTTTTCTTGCTGTGTTATATAACTAAAAACTCATAACTATTATGTTAGGTGATCTTTACCTGCTAATACAGATACAATTTATATAACAGCGTCACAGTCCTTAAGCAACACTAGGCTTTTGGAAGATTGAACAAGTTAGAAGTATGCCAAGTCTTATTCAGTGTATTTAATTTTTTCTTGTTGAGTATGTAGAACTTTTCATGGTGTGGTAGAAAATAATAAAATAGATTTTGAACAATCCTTATTAAGTCTCTTTATGGGAAGTTTATGAGGTTCTACAGTTTTTTTTTCTTTGATTTATCTATTTCAAGGCTTTATCTCTAACCTAACCATTCAGAGACAGTACTTTCCTAATGATGAAGATCAGGTTGGGGCAGCCAAAGCTCTGTTACGTCTCCAGGATACCTACAATTTGGATACAGATACCATCTCAAAGGGTAATCTTCCAGGTAAGATCATTCTTCCATTCTATAAAATACCTATCACCTAGCTTCTCTGTTGAGTCCATTAACACAATGTTAGTATAAAAAAGACTTGCATTTTAAGATTTTAAATTGTAGTTTGTTTCATAGCCTTCGAAGACTAAAGAATCACCTTCCCTTTCTCTTAGGGCTTAATAGTTACGGGTATGCTTCTAGCTTCTAGCTTGTTACTCTGAAAGCTTGTATTGATAGAGACTAACTTAAGTAGGGAATTTTAGTGTGTAAGGAAAAGAAACTATCATTTCACCAAATGTTTTTATTCAGAACACCTAATACTATTTGAAAGCTTTGTATGTAAAGCTATAAGGGATTGATAGTCAAAGTTTATATGTTAAATAATTAAAAGCCAAGATGTTTTGGGTATCCACATATGTTTAAAGTGTTCCATAGTATGGAACATCCTACTTTCTGACCTATTTTTGGCAAAGTCCTCTTTTTAAGTTACAGTTGCTTTCATGATAATTTACTTTTGCCGTCCCTCACTTTTTCAAAGTTTGTGACTCATTACCACTACTATCTCCTGTTATTGTCAGCTGCAGAAATAAAATATGTTGTCTGTGTCTTCACATTGAAATTGATTTTCTCCGTAAGAAAAAATCACTGGGATGAGTTGTTAATCAAAATGTTTTCTTGCTCATCTCCCTTTATTTGAGGTGAAGGTATCCGTTGGTAAAAACTAAACATGGTATAATAGTAAATAAAATTTCTGTTAAGCTGGAATATAATTCCATTAATTTGAACTTCCAAAAATGTACAAATTTGCAAATTTTCAGTTTCTACTAATATTATACATTATAACGCTTTTGATAAGATTATAACCTTATTTTTAAAATTGGTTTCAGGTTTTCATAGATATTAAATACTTAATATGTGCCAGCTATTATGTTAGGTACTGGGGACACATAATGAACAAGACATACACTACCCTCGCCATTAGGGTATTTAACATTCTTACAGTATAGTAAGATGAGTGCTTGGATGGGAGAAATTCAGGATACCATATGAGCACATCAAAAGAAACCTATTGCTGGACCTCATAAGGGATGTAAAGGAAGAATTCCTGGAAGATACACATTAAAAAAATTGAGATCTAATGGACCAGGAATTAGCCAGAAAAATGGGGGAGAGGGAGACAGGAGTGGGTGTGGGAAAAGTGTTTCAGACAGAGGGAACATGTAGAAAGGTCAAAAGGAGAGAGCATATCATATTCAGATAACTAACATGTAGTTTGTATGGCTTAATGTAGAGTTCAAGAGGTGAACGCACCAGGTGGATATGGGGGTTTGGCTTTGTGAGAGTAGTGAGAGCTGAGACTAGAGAGGTAAGCAGAAGCCATCTCTTGGAGAGCTTTGTAAGCCATGTGGAAGAGATTGAACTGTCCTGAGTGCAGTGCGGAGCTATTAAAAAGTTTGTAAGGGAAATTTATGATTTTTCCTTTTAGAAAACCATTCTGGCTGCCGAATGGAGATTGGGTTGGGGCCAAGGGACGAAGAACCAGGGAGGAGGCTGTTGCAAATATTTAAGTAAGAGGTGGTAGTGGATAGATTATCAAGCTACTTATTAGAGTAGAATAGTAGAATTTGATGATGTACTTGATAGGAATTTCTGGCTTCATCAACTGGATAGATTCCATTTAACAAAATAGGGCTGGCATGGTGGCTCATGCCTGTAATCCCAGCACTTTGGGAGGCTAAGGTGGAAAGGATCCCTTGAGGGTAGGAGTTCAAGACCAGCCTGGGCAGCATAGCAATTCCCTGACTCTACAAAAAAATGAAAACTTAGCTGGGTGTTGTGGTGCTTGCTTGTAGTCCTAGCTATTTGGGAGGCTGAGGTGGGATGTATTCACACTGCTATGAAGAAATACCCAAGACTGGGTAAGTTATTTTAAAAAAGAGGTTTAATTGACTCACAGTTCCGCATGGCTACGGATGTCTTAGGAAACTCACAATCATGGCAGAAGGCACTTCTTCACAGGGTGGCAGGAAAGAGAATGAGGGCCAGCAGGGGAAATGCCAGGTGCTTATAAAACCATCCTATCTCATGAGAACTCACTGTCACAAGAACAGCATGGGGGAACTGCCCCCATGATGCAGTTATCTCCACCTTGTCCCGCCCTTGATAGGTGGGGATTATTAAAATTCAAGGTGATATTTGGGTGTGAACACAGAGCCAAACCATATCACGGGAGGATCACTTGAGCCCAGGAGTTCAAGGCTGCAGTGAGCTGTGATCACGCCACTACACTCCAACCTGGGCAACAGAGTGAGACCCCTATCTCAAAAAACAAAAAGCAAAAAAGAAAACATCCCACCTCAGCCTCCCAAATGTGTGGTGGTGGGTAATAAATGTTATTTAGATTACTATATGTGTTTTGTTTAAAAAATGATTATATTCCCATCAAAATGGTCCTGAATATTATTTAACCCTGATTTCACTGTGTTTAGTCTTAGGGGCAATATTCATTCTTTCTCAGGTGCTTTTTATCTCCTTGTTGACTTTTTTCCTCTTTTATCACAGTTTTGGGCTAGTTCTTATTGACTTTTCTTTCAGGCAAATTCCTTATAAGTAGAATAACTGAAATTTCCTAATCACATTATACCCTATAAGTGGTAAAAATAATAGCATGAATACTAGCATAAGAGTTTTTAGGCTCCCCCAACCCAGATTATTTTCTGTTGTTAATAGTCAAATATCACAAATGTGTTCGAAGGCTTCTTGTGCACCTTCCCTTGTTTAGAGGTAATGACTATTCTGAACTTGGTGCGTATCCTGTCATCTTTTTATACTTTATCATATATATTTTCCATTGTATTGTGTTTTTAAATTTTATGTCAATAGTACATCATACTCTATGTATCTTTCTACAACCTTTTTTTAACCTAATATTTTCAGTAAATTTATCTGTGTTGATCAGATTCATCTAACTGCTAATGTGGTATTGTATAACATTATTTATTCATTCTTCTGTGGATGGATGTACATTTAGATTTTGTCCAATTTTTTGCTTTATCAAATGAAGTTTGATACATCTTTGTTGATTTCTTTTTGTGGCCATGTACTCACGTGCAAGGCTTTCTCTTAGGGTATAAGAAATCATAGGGTATTTGGTTTTTCATCATACTTACCAGATGTGGCCAGATTGCTTTCCAGAGCATGTATTTATACTGTCACCAGCATTGTATGAGAGTTCCCATTTCTTCATATCCTTGCCAGCTCTTGGTTTTGTCAGACTTTAAAAATTTTAGCAATCTGGGTGTGAAATGGTGGGGGTGAGGGAGGAAGGATGCATGTATTTTAAATTTTCTTCAAACAAAAAAGTCAGAGAAATGCTTAGTGAATTTATATTGATGCCACATCACTCCTTGATTAGTTTCATCTGTTTCTTTTGCCTCTTTGGGCCTATCTTTTGAAATGCTTTGTTGGTATTTTAATGAAAAATCTGATAGGTTACATGCATTTTGACATCAGTGTTGTCCTTATAGTTCTTAAGGACTTCCTTCAGTTTTCAGATTGTTTGTTCCCAACCCTGATTTGTTGAATAGATCCATATCTGCCAAAGATATCATGCTTTTTTTTAAGCTGTGATTTTTTTTAGGGGGTGGGGGTCAGTAATAGAAAATGTCATATGTACAAAATTCAATTTGCTTCATGTGGAAGTTGAATGTTCACCCTTCTGGTCACTTGCATCACTGTCTTGGTAAGTTAATAAGGTAACTATAGCAAACAGTAGATTCTCCAGACATCTCTGGAGCTCACTCAGCTATCAGTGTACCACACTGCCTCAGAGGTGGGACATTAACTTCTAAGTGTGTGCATTTTAAACATAATTATCCCTTACAAATTAAGTTTTGATCCATTAAGTGTTCTTGTGAAGTGCAAGAATTTTTGGATTACGTGTCTCTCTCAGTTTAACGGATGATGTCTCTCTCAGTTTAACGGATGAACCATAAAAATCGATTTCTTTTTCTTTTTTGACATGGAGTCTCACTCTGTTACCCAGGCTGGAGTGCAGTGGCGCAGCTCGGCTCACTGCAACCTCTGCCTCCTGGGTTCAAGCGATTCTCTTGCCTCAGCCTCCCAAGTAGCTGGGATTACAGGTGCCCACCACCATGTCCAGCTAATTTTGTTATTTTTAGTAGAGATGAGGTTTCACCGTGTCAGCCAGGCTGGTTTTCAGCTCTTGACCTCAAGTGTTCCGTCCACCTCAGCCTCCCGAACTGCTGGAATTAAAGGCATGAGCCACTATGTCTAGCTAAAAATGTATTTCTAAATAATGTTTTTCCTATAGTGCCTATGATATTATAGTTTATTTTCTTTATTTTCTTTATTTTTTTGAGACAGGATCTCACTCTGCTATCAACCCAGGCTGGAGTGCAGTGGCACAATCACAGCTCACTACAGCCTCAACCTCCCAAGCTAAGGTGATCCTCCTACCTCAGTCTCCCAAGTAGCCAGGACTACAGGCATGTGCCACCACAAGCAGCTAATTTTTGTATTTTTTGTAGAGACAGGGTTTTGCCATGTTATCCAGGCTGGTTTCGAACTCCTGAGCTCAAGCAATCCACCCCCCCGCACCCCGCAGCCTCCCAAAGTGGTGGGGTTACAGGCAAGAGCCACTGTACCTGGCCTGATATTATAGTTTCTATTGTGACAATAAATTAAAAGACTCTTTAGTGTTAGTTTACTTTCAATTTGGTTTATTATATTCAATTTGGTATGTTCATGTCAGTCATCCATGCCTCTTCCTTTGAACCAAAGGAATTTACAACTTATTCTTGTTTCTCATCAAACTCGGTTTGCTTTTTATATGAAGCTTTTTACAGTCTTTTTCTGCCCATACCACTTTCCTTATTTCATTTTCTTCTTTGTTTTCTTGCCTACTTTTTCTTCTCATGTTCTCTACTTTGGAAACAGCCTTCCTTTTCAAATGCTGCATTACTTTTGATTTATTTTAAAATCAGATTCCCAGGCAGTCTGCCTTTAATATTGTTAATAGATCAGTAAGTAAGACAAGCAGAAATACTTTACCAAAGCAGAATAGCTAAAAATCTTCTACTATCTCTGCCATGCATGTTCAAATAATGTTGCCAGAATATCAAGTCATGTAAAAAAAATTATTGGTGCTATCTGCGTGGATTAATGGCATACTGTCATCTTATGTGTTTTGCATGTCCCTAAGAGAAACATTTATAATTGCTGCATTATGAGCTCATCTTCTCAGTTTACTAGTTCTCGTAACCGAAAAAATAATAGCATTGTCAAAATTTAATATGCATCTTTAGTTTCTGGAACTAACTCATGTTAAACTATTAAGAAGTTAGTTTCTTAGCATCTGCTGTTGTTGGACTATGTCCATCCAAAATTTAGGTGGTGAAACTTCATGGCCAGTGTGATGGTATTAAGAGGTGGGGCCTACAGGAATGGGATTTAAGGCCCTTATGAAAGAGGCTTTATGCAGCCACTAGCTCTCTTGCCCTTCAGCCTTCACCATGTGAGGACATAGCATTCTTCCCCTCTGGAGGATGCAGCAACAAGGTGCCATCTTGGAAGTGGAGAGCAGCCCTCACTAGACAATTGAACCCGCTGGTGCTTTGAATCTTGGACTACCCAGCCTCTAGAACTGTGAGAAAATAAATTTGTTTTTTTATAAATTATCCAGTCCTTGGTATTTTGTTATGGGAGCATAAATGCACTAAGATAGTATCCTTTCCTAGAGTGGAAGGCGGGATAGAGAATTATTTAAGGGAAAAACATCAAAACGTGGGTCTTCATCTTCATTTTAGGAGTATACTGATAATCAGTTACTGCCTGTAAGTGACTAATGGGGCCAGAAAAAAAAAGTGAATGGAGATGATTGTATGATTTGAATATTTGATTATATTGGGTCATGTGATCCTCCAGTGCATACACCTCCAAGCTTGGACTCTGTTTGATACTGGAATTCAACAGCTCATTGTCAGACCAGGGCATGCTTTTCTGTAGTCTGCAAATGTCTGATCACTAGCAAAACGTGCCCATAACTTTACTTCCTTTTGATTTATTTCTCATAAATGCCTTTTCTGTTAGCATCTTTTTAAAAACATATGTGACCACCATTGGATAGGTTATAGCTAAGTCCGGTTCTGGGCATTTTAGTGACTCTTTGAAGTGTATTCAATCAAAATTTATTAAAGAAACCACTGTTGTGTTTGTTTCTCTACCAGTTTTCTTTGTGATGTTATCGGACACTTAATAAATATATACAGTTTTATGTGTTTTATCAGAGAAAATGTAGGCTAGTCTGTCTTTGACCAGTAGTTTCTGGTCAAATACAATATTATACTAGTATAATATTGACTTAGTCTCAGAACTGTATATTCTGAGAGAAATGTTGTTGGAGAAGTCATATTTTCTTGTGTAGGCTTGTTGTTGTTTTTTCACATACCTGTCATTTTTTTTTTATAGTGTCAGAAAGGGAACTATGTGATTTTCTGTGTAACAGCATAAAAAGAGCCCTGTAGGACATGACTTTCTCCTTTTTCCATTATTTATAAAATTTCTTTTATTATGGAAAATATCAAATGTCACACATACACAAAAATAAAGGTAATAACATAATGAACCTATGCCATCACCAAGCTCCAGACGTTTTAAACATTTTGTCATTCTTGGTTTATCTACTCCTTCCACCCTTTCTTTCTGTCATTTTTGTTGGAGTATTTTAAGAGCAAATCCTAGACATCATGTCATTTTATCCATAAATAATTCAACATGCATATCTAACTGATCAGGTCTTTATTAAAATTTATTTTTTTGAGGCAAGATTTCACTCTATCAGCCAGGCTGGAGTGCATTGGCATGATCATAGCTCACTGCAGCCTTGAACTTTTGGACTCAAGCCATCCTGCTGCCTTAGCCTCCTGAACAGCTGGGACTATAGGTGCGTGCCACCACACCTGGCTGATTTTTAAATTTTTTGCAGAGATGTGCTATTGCTGTGTTGCCCAGTCTGGTCTTGAATTCCTGGCCTCAAGTAGGTCTTTGTAATTTATTTTTAATTTTTTTTTAGAGACAGGGTCTCACTTTATTGCTCAGGCTAGAGTGCAGTGGTACCATTATAGCTCACTGCAGCCTTGAACTCTTGGGCTCAAGTGTTCCTCCTGCCTTAGCCTCCCAAGTAGCTGGGACTATAGGTATAAGTCACCTGCGCCCAGCTGGTCTTTTTAAAAAAGTAACATAACCACTTACTATCTCCCTGCTTAACAAATCGACAGTATTTCCTTAATATAATTTAATACCCAGTCAATATTATTTCTCTGGTGATCTCAAAGTTGTTGTTTTACAGTTGTATTTTTTTAAATTATGTCTGTTAAGTCCCTTTTATTCCCTTTTCCTTTTTTTTCTTTCTCTTTATGACATTGGTTAGCTGGGGAAACCTAGTCATATGTTATGTGGAATGTTCCACATTCTGGAGTTGACTACTTTGGTGGTTAACATGTTCCTTTAATGCCTATGTTTCCTACACACTGGTTAGAGCTTGTGGCTTGATTAGATTCGAGTTAAATTTTAAAATTAACTCCATAGGTGGCGCTATGAACTTTCTTTTGAACTGCGTGAACCAACACCTAATGTCCTGTCCCACTTTTTATGATGCTGATTGATGAGTGAGGTTCAGGTGATGAGAGCCTGATCCCTCCATATAAAGTTCTCCTTAAGTTTTATCTACTGGTTTTGGCAGCCTTTGATGATCATTGCCTAGAACCACTATTTCATTAGGGGTTACAAAATGATGATTTTTTTCATTCCATTATTCCTTTTACTTTTATTAACTGGAATTCTATAAACAGGAACATCCTTCATGAACCATTTGGTTACCCTGAACTATATATAGGAAAGGCAGGGTAAGTCTATAATTAGTCTTCTTTATCAGTTTTCAGAGTAATGAGTTGGTGTCCTAACCATTTTTAGTAGTGATCTGTAATTTTCATGACATATCATGAATATGGATATTATTATTTTTTTTTTGTATTTCAGCCTATTCAGTATTACTTTGATCTCAGATTATCCCATTTTAGGCCAGTGGGGAGCATCTTTAGATAGGCTTGTTTTTTTGAATTGACTGTGTTATTATTCTTTGATAGAGAGGAAACTTCCTTGCTTTCTGGCACAGTTTTTTTTCCAGGTTTCTATTCCAGAGTAGGAACTAGGCATTTCTTCAATGAGCCTTGGCCCTTCTTTTTCCCCCCTTAAGAGATAGGTTCTTGCCATGTTGCTCAGGCTGGAGTGCAGTGGCTATTCACAGATGCGATCATGGTGCACTACAGCCTGGAACTCCTGGGCTCAAGTGATCTTCCTGCTTCAGCCTTCTGAGTAGCTGGGACTACAGGTTTTCCACTCCTTGCCTGGCAAGGCTTGATTGCTTTGAACAGGGATGACATTTAAGCAGCAGAGTCTAGCTAGGTTCTAGGGGTGATTATTGCTATATAGTTTGTCATAAACAGAGACAGGAAATATGTAAGTTCATATTGTTCAAATTGAAAACCACAGGGTTTATATTTATATCTCTTTTCTTCTGAAAATTTGGTTCCTAAGGATATTAACATGATTATTCTTTTATTCATACTATTAACTCATACTATTTTATTCATACTATTAATAACATTAAGACTACTGAATACAGGTTTTTTTGTACTTTATATCCTTAAAATATATCACTCTAGATATGATCAGTCAAAATCTTGTTTTAAAGACATCTGAGGTAATTCATTTCTCTTTGTGGCTATGCCCTTAACATGTTATACAGTTGAGTTCATTTATTTCATTTCCTCAGATTTTTAGGGATTGTCCTCGTTTTTTCTTTTGATTCATTGTTTTCATTTGTTTGTTTTAGAAACAATATCTTGTTCTGTTGCCCGGCCTGGAGTGCAGTGGCATGATCATAGCTCAGTGCAGCCTTGAACTCCTGGGCTCAAGGGATCCTCCTGTCACAGCCTCCCAAATAGTTAGGCCTACAGGCATGCAAGTACCACCATACCTGGCTATTTTTTTTTATTTTTTATTTTATTTATTTTTATTTTATTATTATTTTTTTCAGATGGAGTCTTGCTCTGTCGCCCAGGCTGGAGTGCAGTGGCGTGATCTCAGCTCACTGCAAGCTCTGCCTCCCGGGTTCACGCCATTCTCCTGTCTCAGCCTCCTGAGTAGCTGGCACTATAGGCGCCCGCCACCATGCCCGGCTAATTTTTTGTATTTTTAGTAGAGATGGGGTTTCACCATGTTAGCCAGGTTGGTCTCGATCTCCTGACCTCATGATCCACCTGCCTTGGCCTCCCAAAGTGCTGGGATTACAGGCGTGAGCCACTGCGCCCAGCCTTTTTTTTTTTTTTTTTTTTTTTTTTTTTTTTTTTTTAAATATATTGTCTCATTATTTTGCCCGGGGTTGTCTTGAACTCCCTGGCTCAGGAGATCTTCCTGCCTTGGCCTCCCGAAGTGTCAGGATTACAGGCTCTAGCCGCCATGCCCAGCCAATTTATTGTTTTTAATTATGTAAAACTTTTAAATTCTTTGACAGTCCAAACTAGACTAATAAGGTACATTAATAGAAGTCTCACTTTCATTCTTATACTTTTCAACCTATTCCCTTCCTTTTTCTATGTGACCATTTTGTTAGTTTTACTATTTCCAGTTTTTTAAAATACAAGCAAATATATATCTACTCCTATATTCTCTCAACATAAACACAAAAGATAGCGTACTGGCTGGGCGTGGTGGCTCACACCTGTAATCCCAGCACTCTGAGAGGCCAAGGTGGGTGGATCACCTGAGGTCAGGAGTTTGAGACCAGCCTGGCCAATATGGTGAAACACCATCCCTACTAAAAATACAAAAATTAGCTGAGCGTGGTGGTGGGCACCTGTAATCCCAGCTACTCAGGAGGGTGAGGCACGAGAATTTCTTGAACCCGGCGGGGCACGGAGGTTGCAGTGAGCCATCGCACCACTGCATTTTTAGCCTGGGCAACAGAGTGAGACTTCGTCTCAAAAAAAAAAAAAAAAAAAAGCATACTATAAATACTGTTATGTACTTTGGTGCTTTAATTTATTGATATACCCCAGTCATTACTTCATGTATAGAAATCCTCATTTCTTTTTATAGCTACGTGTTATTACTCTATTTTGTGGAGGTTCTACAGTTTTTTTTACTTATTGTCAGTAGAGGATGATTTATTGGGAAACTTAGAGATGGAAGCATGGTCTTGGGCAGTAGCAAGACAGGTAGATCTCTGCACCGTTAGTCCCCAGACCCATGACTTAAGTGTCATAGGGAAAGGATGTACATGCTCTGTAGGGACAAAGGCAAGCTCCAGAACAGGCAAGAATGCTATGCGTGTCATAGCCTGTAATTTTTGTGATAACATCAAGGTTGCTTTGCTCTAAAGGCAGGATTTATAGTGGGTACATGTTCCTACACTAAGGACAGCAAGTAAAGTAGAAATCAGCAGGCATTCGTGGGACTGAGGTTAATCAAAAGTGAACATGGTAGATTAGCATGCAAGATGGAGTCACTGTTGTCTTCACACCCATCAGTTTCTACTTTTTTCATCCCATTTCTTAATAACCATCTAAAGATTGCCACCCTGCTAGAGCGCGTCCCATGACCATCCCCTTTCTTTTTTCCCTTAGTTTCACCCCTATCAATGTTGTCTTTATTCACCTTTTTTTTTTTTTTTTTTTTTTTTTTTTTCTGGACGGAGTCTTGCTCTGTCACCCAGACTGGAGTGCAGTGGTGCAATCTTGGCCCACTGCAACCTCGCTTCCCGGGTTCAAGCGATTCTCGTGCCTCAGCCTCCCCAGTAGTTGGAATTACAGGCGTGTGCTACCATGCCCGGCTAATTTTTTGTATTTTTAGTAAAGACGGCCTTTCGCCATGTTGCCCAGGCTGGTCTCGATCTCCTGAGCTCAAGTAGTCCGTCTGCCTCCCAAAGTGCTCAAATTACCGGTGTGAGCCACTGTGCCCAGCCCTTTTCTTTAATTTAGACTGGCATTTATGTATACCATTTTCATTTTTCATCATTCTTTATTGTACCTCAGACTTTCCTTTTGGAATTTTCCTCCTTGAAACACATTGTTAAGAAGCCCTCAAATGTGCTTTGTTTGGCTTGGAATTCTTTGTTTCCTGAATCTGAACTTCCATGCATTTTAATTTTGGAAATTTTTCTACCATTATCTCTTTAAATACTATCTTATCTATATTCTTTCTGTTCTCTTCTTCTAGAATTCCAAGTAGACAGACTTTAGTTTTTTTGTCTTTGTGTGTGTTTTGTTTTTGTTTTTGTTTTTTTTAAGAGATGGAGTCTCGCTCCGTCGCCCAGGCTGGAGTGCAGTAGCGCCATCTTGGCTTACTGTAAGCTCTACCTCCCAGGTTCATGCCATTCTCCTGCCTCAGCTTCCCAAGTAGCTGGGACTACAAGCACCCACCACCACGCCCGGCTAATTTTTTGTATTTTTAGTAGAGACGGGGTTTCACCATGTTAGCCAGGATGATCGCGATCTCCTGACCTCATGATCTGCCTGCTTCGGCCTCCCAAAGTGCTGGGATTACAGGCGTGAGCCACCGCGCCCGGCCTTGTCTTTGTGTTTTAACTAGCATTTCATGTTTTTATCTCTCTCTACTGCATTCTGGGTAGTTTATGCCATGATAATTTATTCAGCTCTCTCTGCTGGATTTATTATTTTCTTTTTAGTTGTGTTTAATCTATTTTTTTTTTTTTTTTCGAGACAGCGTCTTGCTCTGTCACTCAGGCTGGAGTGCAGTGGCGTGATCTTGGCTCACTGCAAGCTCTGTCTCCTGGGTTCACACCATTCTCCTGCCACAGCCTCCTGAGTAGCTGGGACTACAGGCATCCGCCACCACGCCCGGCGAAGTTTTTGTATTTTTAGTAGAGACAGGCTTTCACCGTGTTAGCCAGGATGGTCTCAATCTCCTGACCTCATGATCCGCCTGCCTCAGCCTCCCAAACTGCTGGGATTACAGGCGTGAGCCACGCACTCGGCCTTAATCTACATTTTAACCAGCCTAATGAGTTTTGAACTGTCGTTGGTTATCTTTATGATTTTTGGAAGGTCTTTTGTTTTTCCCATTCCAATATGCCTGCTCTTTGTTGGGGTATTTTTTATTTTTATTTATTAATTTATTTATTTTTTGATGGAGTTTCATTGTTGTTGCCCAGGCTGGACCGCAATGGCGTGATCTTGGCTCACTGCTACCTCTGCCTCTCAGGTTCAAGTGATTCTCCTGCCTCAGCCTCCTGAGTAGCTGGGATTACAGGCACCCGCCACCATGCCTGGCTGATTTTTATATTTTTAGTAGAGACAGGGTTTCACCATGTTGGCCAGGCTGGTCTCGAATTTCCGACCTCAGGTGATCCGCCTGCCTCGGCCTCCCAAAGTGCTGGGATTGCAGGCGTGAGCCACCACGCCTGGCCTAGGATATCTTATTTGTTCATATTTTCTATTTTTAAATTTATTATAATTTTCTCTATAGCATTGAAATTATCTTTCTTAATGAAAAATGCTATTCCATTAAATTGATATATCTGCCTATATATTCCTTATTTCCTCGCTTTTAGCTTATTACAGTTTTTAGCTATAATATGTTTCAGCCACAAAAATCTTTTATACAGGAAGGTCCCCAACCCCTAGTACTAAATCTCAATGAAATAACTGAAAAATAGTAGTATTAAGTCATAGAGTTTAAATTCTTCTTTTCTCTTATTGCTGAATTTCTTAAAAGCAAAGTTACCAGTTTACATTGCTGCTTCCTCCCACTATTAGGTTTTGCCATTTAATGTTATAACATCAGGAGCACAAACTTCTGGAGGTGTATGGAACAGATTCCATTTCTTACTTTTAAACATGTGACCTTGGACATATTAGTTAACCTCTATTTTAGTTCCTCATCTGTAATAAGATGGCTTTGAGGATTAAATAAGTGACAAATACTTGGCAGATAGTAAGACCTCAATAAATCTAGGCCATTATTTTAAAATATTTTTATTTGTGGTGGTTTTAATTTCTTCAGTGATGAATGAGACTAAGTATTTTCTGAAGTGTTTTCTATTTATATTTTATCTCATGTGAACTATCAAATACCTCCTTTTCTTAAAATAGAAGTTTCACTGCAGAAGCGAGTTGACATAATAACACCAAAAGCACAAGTGCTGAAAGATTAATAAGTTGGACTTCATCACAGTTTCAAAAGTGCACCATCAAGAGAGTGAAAAGACAACACACAGAATGGGAAAAATATTTTAAAATCATGTAGCCGAGCCAGGCACCTGCAGTGGCTCACACCTGTAATCCCAGCAGTTTGGGAGGCTGAAGTGGGTGGATCACGTGAGGTCAGGAGTTCAAGACCAGCCTGGCCAACATGGTGAAACCCCGTCTTGACTAAAAATACAAAAATTAGCCAGCATGGTAGCACACGCCTGTAATCCCAGCTACGTGGGAGGCTGAGGCAGGAGAATCGCTTGAACCTGGGAGATGGAGATTGCAGTGAGCTGAGATCGTGTCACTGCACTCTAGCCTGGGTGACAGAGTGAGACTCTGTCTCAATAAAGAACTCTAACAGAGTGCAAGCAGTGGTGCAGTCATAGCTCACTGTAACCTTGAACTCTTGGGCTTAAGCATTCTTCTTGCCTTAGCCTCTCAGCTAGCCAGGACTACAGGTATGCACCACAATGTCTGGCTAATTTCTAAAAATTTTTTTTTTGTTAGATATGAGGGTCTCATTACGTTGTCCAGGTTCGTCTCAAACTCCTGGCCTTAAGCAGTTCTCCTTCCTTGGCCTCCCAAACACTGGATTACAGGTGTGAAACCACCGTGCCTAGCCACCAAATTTTTTAAATGGGCAAAAGCTTTGAAAAGGTATTTTTTCCAAAGAAGATACACAAATGGAAATAAGCACACGATAATAGGCCCAACATAACTAGTCACCAGGGAAATGCAAATCAAAACCACAATGAAATGCCTCTTCATACTCACCAGAATGTCTACAATAAAAAAGGACAATAACAAGCATTAGCAAGGATGTGGAGAAATTGGAATTTCATACCTTGTTGGTGGGAATGTAAAATGATGTAGCCACTTTGGAAAACAGTTTGGCAGTTCCTCAAAACGTTAAGCGTAGAGTTGCTATAGGACCAGTCAGTTCCATTCATATGTATATACTCAAGAAATGAAAACATGTTCACATAGAAACTTACACACAAATGTTCACAGTAGCATTATGTCCAGAATAGGCAAATTTGTAGAGACAGAAAGTAGATTAGTGGTTGTCTAGGGCTGGGGCAAGGTGGGGAAGTTAATGGGTAGTGACTGTTAATGGTTACAGGGTTTCTTTTTGGAGTGATGAAAATGTTCTAAAATTAGATTGTGGTGATGGTTGCTCTACTCTGTAAATATACTAAGAACTACTGTAATCTTTCAATGAGTGAATTTATGGTATTTAAATGACATATTAATGCTGTTTAAAAGAAAGAATCCAGTTGACGTATTTACCTCTCCTCCTGTACATTCATCTCTTGCCCAGATTGTTGGTTAGGGATGAGATAGATATATCTCATATGGTGGCCGGGCGCGGTGGCTTATGCCTGTAATCCCAGCACCTTGGGAGGCCAAGGCGGGTGGATCACCTGAGATCAGGAGTTCGAGACCAGCCTGATCAACTCCATCTCTACTAAAAATACAAAATTAGCTGGGCATGGTGGCACATGCCTATAATCCCAGCTACTCAGGAGGCTGAGACAGGAGAATCACTTGAACCTGGGAGGCGGAGGTTGTGGTGAGCTGAGATTGTGCCATTGCATTCCAGCCTGGGCAACAGAGCAAGACTCTGTCTCAAAAGAAAAAAAAAAAAAGAGATGTATCTCATATGGTAATTCCTACTGTTAGGAAATAGTATATTTCAACTTAATGGATGTTTCATTTTGGTATGATGGCTGATAATTTCAGTCTTGGGTTCTCTAGGTTCTGTGTCCCCTAATACCAGCTGTGTGATTCTTGTTTATCTACATTATATTATAGATTGTTCCATTGTTTATAAAATTAGGGTAATTTTTGCTCATCCAGAGGATTATTGTGAACTTCAAATAGAAGTGAGACAGCATTTTGAAAGCTGTGTAGTCCTAAATAAATACACAGTAGTGTTAAGATTCCTAAAGTTCTCTGTATTTTCTTTTCATAGGAGTGAAACACAAATCTTTTCTAACGGCTGAGGACTGCTTTGAGTTGGGCAAAGTGGCCTATACAGAAGCAGATTATTACCATACGGAACTGTGGATGGAACAAGCCCTAAGGCAACTGGATGAAGGCGAGATTTCTACCATAGATAAAGTCTCTGTTCTAGATTATTTGAGCTATGCGGTATATCAGCAGGGAGACCTGGATAAGGCACTTTTGCTCACAAAGAAGCTTCTTGAACTAGGTATGTTATCTGGGCCTAATTTAAGGTTATAGTTATATTGAGGGATATATATTCTCTATTTTTCTGTCTTTCCCTCATTTATATATGGTATTTTCTTACTTTTTAGAAGTCAGGAGCTTTACTTGTTAAATATACATTATTCTCTTCTTTATTCTCAAAGTAAATGATGGCTGATTTTTCTCACCTAATAGTGCTATAACAGTGGTTGTGTTTCTTTGCTCTATATTCTCCAGGAATTTCAAAATTGAAGCTAACGTAACTAAGTCAAAAATGTTTGTTTACCATGTTGCCATTTTAATCAGTTTCCTTTGAAGGGTGTTATGTTTTATTGCATTTCATATTTTAAAATAAAGTGATTTAAAATAGATGGGCTGAAAATATATTTATCATATTCAAATGTTGGAAAAATACACCTTAGGAGAATTTTATCAGTAGTACTTTGAACAGAGATGTAGTGTTTCTTCAAGTATGGCCCAAGCACCACGTGCATCAGAATTACTTGGATACTTGTTAGAAATGAAAATTTCTTGATCTCTACCCTAGATCTGCTAAATTGTAATCTCTGGAGATGGAGTCCAGAATTTGTATGATAATAAGTTTAGGTGGCCTTTGGTATATAACGAAGCTTTAAAACTTTAAAAATTATTTTTACAAAATAGGAAAATATGTGCATGTTAGAATCAAACAGCTCAAAAGGATTGATCTGCTGAAAATGAACTTTGGATAATTGGGTTATTTCTTAGTTGGGTAATAATAAATCAAGATATTGGTTCAAGTAATCTTTTTTCCTTTCAGTATTTTCCAGTGGTATTTCCTCTTGACTTAAAATATACTTTGTACTCATTATAGAAAATTTATTAAAACAGAGAAAGATACAGAAGAGTCATCTATAAGCCAGTCACTCAAAGACACCTACACATTTGTTTCCTTTTAGTGTATACGCCTCTTCCCTGCACACACTTTTCCTTTGCTTTTACAAAATTAGGTTAATATTGGATATCGTAACATTTATTGTGAGCAGTTTCTGAAGGACAAGAAATATTTTACAATCTAAGCCTAGGTATCCTAAACACTTAGTTACTGTCACAAGTGAAGTCTCTATATATTCTTCTGCCTTTTTATTTTTATGTGTGTGTGGTTCTTTAGTTTTTTTTTTTTTTCCTCTCAGATGGGTAGCGTAGTCATCTTTTCTTCTACTAAAAGGTAGTTCAAAATTATGACTAGCAATTCTGAGGCAGTTAGTGGATTCCAGCTTATTCGAAAATTATATCTTTAGTTTCCCTTTTCCTTCTTACTTAGAAATTTGGGACTGAACTTCACTCAGCCCTTAGAAGTAGGCTACATTTATAATGTATCTGTGGTAAAGGTTGCTTTTGAATTGCTTATCCCCTGTCTTCCTCATGTGATTGTTTTTCTGTCTTGGAAAAATCTTTTTCATTTCTTAAAATAAGTAGGATGAGTAAGATTTTAAACTTCATTTGACATCAAATTGAACTTAGTTCCTTTAGCTGATTAGTAAATTCTCAAAGTAAAAGCACCAGTTGCCACCTTTAAATAAATAGCTGTTTCTGTCTCCAGAACTGTCTTTTTTGAGACAGGGTTTCACTCCTTTTGCCCAGGCTGGAGTGCAATGGCATGATCTCGGCTCACTGCAACCCCCGCCTCCCGGGTTCAAGTGATTCTCCTGCCTCAGCCTCCTGAGTAGCTGGGATTGCAAGCACCCACCACCACGCCCAGCTAATTTTGTATTTTTAGTAGAGACGAGGTTTCACTATGTTGGTCAGGCTGGTCTCGAACTCCTGACCTGAGGTGATCCACCCACCTCAGTCTCCCAAAATGCTGGGATTACAGGTGTGAGCCACCAGGCCTGGCCCAGAACTGTTTTTATATAGGTGACTATATGTCCTGATTTACTTGGGGGCAGTAGTAACTTATACCTATTATTTTGGTATAATAATTTTTATTAGTGCCTCCTTTCACTCACAACAGCAACCTGGTTTGGAAGATAAATTATAATGTCTCCTATTTTTATATTACTATATTCTGATGCTTGAACAAGCATGAACTTACCCATGGACATGCTTTGTTTCTCTTCTAATAGATCCTGAACATCAGAGAGCTAATGGTAACTTAAAATATTTTGAGTATATAATGGCTAAAGAAAAAGATGTCAATAAGTCTGCTTCAGATGACCAATCTGATCAGAAAACTACACCAAAGAAAAAAGGGGTTGCTGTGGATTACCTGCCAGAGAGACAGAAGTACGAAATGCTGTGCCGTGGGGAGGGTATCAAAATGGTAAAGTGGAAAAGCCAATTGTGTGTATGTGAATGTGTGTGTGTATGTGTTTGTACACAGTTCTGGAGAGAATCAGTTATTTTATATTTAAGCCTATGTGATAAAAATCAGAATGACTGCATAAAATATTACAGTATGTCAGCTTAGGCAACATAGACCCCATTACAAAAAAATTTAAAAATTAGCTGGGCATGCTGGTGTACACTTGTAGTCTTAGCTACTCAGGAGTCTGAGGTGGGAGGATCACTTGAACCAGGAGTTCAGGGGCACAGTGAGTTATGATTACACCACTGCACTCCAGCCTGGGCTACAGAATAAGACCCTGTCTCTAAAAAACTTTTTTTTTTTTTTTTGAGATGGAGTCTCACCCTGCCACCCAGGCTAGAGTGCAGTGGCATGATCTCGGCTCACTGCAAATTCCGCCTCTTGGGTTCAAGCGATTCACCTGCCTCAGCCTCCTGAGTAGCTGGGATTACAGGTGCCCGCCACCATACCCGGCTAATTTTTGTATTTTTAGTAGAGATGGGGTTTCACCATGTTGGCCAGGCTGGTCTCAAACTCCTGACCTTGTGATCCACCTGCCTTGGTCTCCCAAAGTGGTGGGATTACAGGCGTGAGCTGCTGTGCCCAGCCTAAAAAACTTTAAAAAAAAAATTACAGTATACCATTCTCTCTCTGTGGGTGCCACATTTAATATGTTCCAATTATTAGTAAAATAGCTTTAAAATAAAGCTTGTGAATCATATACTATTACATATGTTTGGGGCAATATTACCTTTTTCATTTGATCCTTCCAGGGTGAAGGATCAAATAAGTTTAAAGGAAGTGATAGTTTTTTTTATATTTAATGCAAGAGAGATTTCAGCAGTATTTTTTTTTTTTTTTTTGAGACAGAAACCCACCCTATCACCCAGGCTGGAATGCGGTAGCGCAGTCTCGGCTCACTGCAACCTCCGCCTCCTGGGTTCAAGCAATTCTTGTGCTTCAGCCTCCCAAGTAGCTGGGACTACAGGCATTCGCCACCATGCCCGGCTAACTTTTTTGTATTTTTAGTAAAGACGGGGTTTCCTTATGTTGGCCAGGCTGGTCTCAAACTCCTGACCTCAGGTGATCCTCCCGCCTCGGCCTCCTAAAGTGCTGGGATTACAGGCGTCAGCCACCACACTCATCTGTTCAGCAGCCTTAATTAGAGACAATAACACTACTCTGTGCATCTTATGAGATACAACAGATTCATCTATACAATAATCCCTTGTAGTTTTGCTCCTAGTTAATCTTCACAAGATTGCTTAGTGAAATGCTTTAGTCTGTTTAATACTGAAAATGCAGAAAGTTTTCAACAGATTTTGTCTTTAATATTTCTTTAAAATATATCTATAAATATTACTTTGTTTATTGTATATGTATTTATAACTCAGAATTCCAGTTCTATAGATGTTAATAGATACTAGGCCAAAAGCAAAAAGAACAAAGTCTGGGGAACATTTGTTAAACAAAGTTGAACATAGGTTTTTGTTTAGCCTCAAAACTTCTCAGAACCTTTTTATGATAATGTGCATTGTGATATGATATACATTCTTTCTCAATATTAATTGATTATGGAACCTTTTGAAAAGGAATTTCATGTGGTATTAGTTTTCAGTTGAACACAGGCTTGCATAGAAGGAGTTAGTGAATTTTTGGAGTAAGTACTTTTAGGTGTAAACATTTGAAAAGTGTTTAACATTTTCTTTACTACTGGTAAACTCAAGCTGGGCTTTGCATTTCGATATTGATGACTGTTGACAGCTTAACCACTAACAGCAAAGTATACAATACGTATGGTGACACTTTCAATAGATAGGTTCATGGAGTCCTAGGAGGACATGCTTGAGCTAATGAGTAAATACAAAGATGGTGACACTGTTAGACTCATTATTTTCTTTTTTTTTTCTCTGAGACGGAGTCTCGCTCTGTTGCTCAGGCTAGAGTGCAGTGGCGCCATTTCGGCCCCTGGGTTCACGCCATTCTCCTGCCTCAGCCTCCTGAGTAGCTGGGACTACGGGCGCCTGCCACCACGCCCAGCTAATTTTTTGTATTTTTAGTAGAGATGGGGTTTCACCTTGTTAGCCAGGATGGTCTTGATCTCCTGACCTCGTGATCCGCCTGCCTCGGCCTCCCAAAGTGCTGGGATTACAGGCGTGAGCCACTGCACCTGTTCCCTCATTAAACATTTTCTTTTCTGTTTCATTACTAAATATTTTAGTATGTATCTTTTAAAGATACAAATTCAAAATAACTACAATACCATTATCACCTAAAAATTCACAAGTTTTGTAATATCAAATATCTAGTGTTCAAATTTCCGCAGTAAGCAGAAATTTTTATTGCTCTTAATAACTCTTAAGGAACAAAATAAAACTGTAGATATAAAACAAAGAGTCTGCTAATTTCCCGGTTTGTTAATGTAACACATACTCAACTTTGCCTAAGATCAAAAGAACATTCTTGCCAGGCACGATGGCTCATGCCTGTAATCTCAGCACTTTGGGAGGCCAAGGTGGGTGGATCACCTGAGGTCAGGAGTTCAAGACCAGCCTGGCCAACATGGTGAAACCCCATCTCTACTAAAAATACAAAAAGTTAGCCGAGCATGGTGGCAGGGGCCTGTAATCTCAGCTACTTGGGAGGCTGAGGCAGGAGAATTGCTTGAACCCAGGAGGCAGAGGCTGCAGTGAGCCGAGATCAAGGCATTGCAGTGCAGCCTGGGTAACAGAGCAAGACTTTGTCTAAACAAAAACAAAAACAAAAAATTCTTTTTCTCAGAATAGCTACATTCATCTCATCATTATATAAAAGACTTACTAAAAATTAAAGCCTTGGATTTGACTCTAGGTAAAGTGCATGGAGAATAAACATGAATCATTATTTGTTTTAGTATACTATTAGTATAATAATTGAAACAGACTACTCATATTCCTGCTTATGTGACATACTTGTTTTTGTTTTGTTTTGTTTTTTTGAGACAGCTTCTTGCTCTGTCACCCAGGCTGGAGTGTAGTGGCATGATCATGGCTCACTGCAACCTCTACCTCCTGGGCTTAAGCAGTCCTCCCATTTCAGCCCCTCAAGTATGTGGGACTACAGGCAAGTGCCCTCATGTCCGGCTAATTTTTTAAATTTTTTGTAGAGACGAGATTTCGCTGTGTGACCTAGGCTGATCTTGGTCTCCTTGGGCTCAAGTGATCCTCCTACCTCAGCATCCCAAAGTGCTGGGGTTATAGGCATGAGCCACCATGCCAGGCCTGACATACTTGTTTAATTAAGAGAAGTAGGCAACAAAATAACTTATTAATATAATACATAGATGATTGAAGGGAATTTGTTTTGTTGACTGCTCTATTTTTATACTGCCTAATAAAAGCATCTGGGATCTTTGTTTAATAACTTATTTTTTCTTTTTCAGAGCTATCCATTTTTTATTTTGCCCTTAAAAAAATTCCTTTTTTTTTTTTTTTTTTTTTGCCACAAGCATTTAACTGTGAGGTATTTAGGAAAACCTAGTTTTTTTTTTCTTCTAGAAACTTTTTGTCTCTGGGTGCTTTCCAGTTACTTTGTGCCATTTAGAGCAATGCCAGGCATTCATTTAATATTTTCATAAACATGGCTTTTTTTTCATATTTAAACATTTGAACTTTATTTTGATGAGTGAAGGGTTAAAAGAGATACACTACCTTTCTCCTTATTTAAGACCTCGCCTCTCTCACCCAGAAAATAATCATTAATACTGTATTTAAAATTCTGAACATCCTGTTTGAGGCAAAATATTTGCAGAGTACTGCTTCTTTTGTATGTTTTTCCAGAGATACTCTGTATATGCAAGCATGATTATTGTCTCTTATCTGCATAGGAATAGATATTAAAAGTATTATTACTGTAATATATTCATCATATTCTTAACTTTATGTTTAGACCCCTCGGAGACAGAAAAAACTCTTTTGCCGCTACCATGATGGAAACCGTAATCCTAAATTTATTCTGGCTCCAGCTAAACAGGAGGATGAATGGGACAAGCCTCGTATTATTCGCTTCCATGATATTATTTCTGATGCAGAAATTGAAATCGTCAAAGACCTAGCAAAACCAAGGGTAAATAATGTTTTCTTTCTTTCTCCTCAATTTACTGTACCTTTGTATCAATTTTTCTTTGTAAAAAAATAGGATAATTGATATACGAATAATGCCACAGATTTTTTAAAGATATTTTGCCTCAGCATAATGGAGTTACTAATGATGCTGTGTTTATGCCAGTTTTTCCATTTGTTATCAACACAAGTAATGTACCCTTAACTGGGTTTTAAGCACTGAATTATGAAAATTATTGTGAGATTTTTATTCACCATTAACAAATTTGTGTTTCACTGTCTTCCTGATAAACTTTTCTCTGTATTTTGGAGTCTTTTAATCTCAGAGGCTACTCAAAGCCCAGCTTTTTCACTTCTGTATTTTTACTGAAAGAATACCGTGGAAGTATTTTTATTCCCTTTTAGGCACATTGTTACTATTATAAAAAGATATAATTGGGCACAAGTATTATGTTAATTTGAAATGGTGATAGTTTTCTGACTTTAACCCACAGAATTTATCTTAAAAAGAAAAAGAATCTAACGTAAACCCAATCTATAAGCTTAGTGTTGAGCATAAAAACTCTTTAGTGAGAATGTGGAAAAGACTACCCTTTATGCTCTTGCCTTTTCCCCCATCAGCTTGTTCTTAAAACATATTTGGTCTTCTTGATAGTAAAATACAAGCTGCCATCACTTTCATAAAGAGATTGTTGAATAAATTCTAGGCATGCTTTGCTGTCTTACACAGGAGTTGGCAGATTTTTTCCATAAAGGTCAATATTAGATATTTTTTAGGCTTTGGAGGCCATATGATCTCTGTCATGACTATTTAGTTCTGCCATTATAGTGCAAAAGCAGCCAAAGAAAATATGTAAATGAAAGAGTGTGGCTATATTACAGTAAAATTTTATTTCCAGTGGCAGGTAGCAGGCTGAATTTGGTCTGTGGCCATAGTTTGTTGACCCTTATTATATCAAAGGTTTGAATTATCTGGATATCTATACTACAAAATGAAGTTAGAATTTCTTTTAGAGTTTTTCTGCTTCTCCAAATTGGTGGTTTTTTTTTTTTTTGGCCAAAGATTACATTATAAATGCAAAAGACTGGTCTAACATTAATATATATTATTGGTGCCATCCAAGGTAATTAATTCATTTCAACTTGGAGATCAAGTTATATTCTGGAGATTCCTCAATTTGGATTGTTTTTGATCAATAAATTTAATGGCAATAAAATTTCATGCTCTCACAACCTCAGAATCATCGTTCCATTAAAAAAAATTGAAATTATTATCTAGGCGGTCACCTCTTTCTTGCTGTTTTTAACATTTATGAGCTCTTTTCCTCTGCCTTTGTTCTCAGTCCAAGATTATTTCACTGTATATGTTAATGAGAGTGGCTATCTTGAAGGGACAAAAGATTGACCTTAAAATGAATTTTAAACATTAACCTGTGCAAACAGTTCCATCACTAAAAAAAATTAAAGTCAAAGGTTTTGGAATGGATCATTAATTGCAAATAGGCATTCTTCTTTTTTTCCCCTTCTCTCCCCACCCCCAGATGGCTATTTTAACTGTAAATTAGACTTCAAATTTTAGATATGTCTCTTTTTCTTACTGTCATGTCCTTTCACCATTGAAAGAAATTTAATTTCCAATCTCTTTTGTTTGTATGTCCTCCATCTATGCAAAACAAAAAATTGAAGAAAAAAAAAAAACCCCAAAAACCTAAAAAACTAACTGGCTTTCAAGGCTCAGCACAAGGTGACTGGAAGTGTATGGAGTTATTTTCTCTTTTTAGCCTCCTTTGTAAAAACCCTGGAATTCTGACTGGTTGGGTAAATGTGATTCAGTTTTTTGTTTTGTAATGCAACTATTTTGATGGTTGGCTTCACAGCTGAGGCGAGCCACCATTTCAAACCCAATAACAGGAGACTTGGAGACGGTACATTACAGAATTAGCAAAAGGTAAGAGATGTGTATGCTGCATATTTTGCCCTCTAATGAGTGTTTTATACATCTTACAGGAATTATTCATTTAAGGAAAGTGGGTCATTTTCAGTCACCAGCTCAAGTCACCACCCTGTATATAAACAGGATAACGCATGGATAAACTGCTTTGTGTTTCACAGGTCTTTCTCCTTCACTAGAAGTTCTGTTTTTAACCTTTAATTGGTATGTTATTTTTAGGGAATTAATATGCTTTTTATCTTTCTTCAGATCAGGTGTCAAATATCCAGGAAGTGGCCTGATACTTGTTTTCTTTTTCCCTTTTGTTGCCAAAGGGGGAAATAAAGCAGCAGCCTCCTGAATCTGGGAGTAGTAGTCTTCACCTATGCAGTTTTCTCATATTCATAAATGCTGCGGTGATTCATATCCTCCTTCATGGTGATTACGTTGGCATTTGTTCATACATCTTGTAAAATAACATTGTCATTATGTAGTAATCTGTATTCCTCCTGTTTGAGTTTTTTATTTAAAAAAATTCGCTGACTCAAAAGTTGGCAGTAGGAAGAACAGAGTTACGCTTCTGAGCTCTGTCTTCCAAAAATTAGTTGTAAACTTAGTTGCCTTTTACTTTGCCAGAGAGATTTAAAAACAGTTTTATCTCAGTGAGAGGTTTGAAAAATGAATTTAAGGAGTCTACTATTTTTTTTCAAAATATTTAAATAACTTCTAGATCTGAGAAAGTTTCTGTGAAACCCAGTGCTATAAATCATTTACATACAGCTTCAAATGATTTTTTGTTTAAAAAAAGTGAAAGGACAATAAATCTACAACAAAAATCTGTCAACTCATTTTCTCTTGATTTGGAAGTGGCTGTTCTTACTGCCACTTTTCTAAATGTTTTTGTGGATTCGAGACCATTACCCACCATCCAGACCAATCTGAACCCTTCCAATCACCTGTGGCTTGGCAAAACAAAACAAACAAAAAGCCCAAAATTGCCTGCTACTGGAGTAAGTCCTTGTCCTTTCTCTTTTTTTGTAGCTGAGCCGAGCTACAGTACATGACCCTGAGACTGGAAAATTGACCACAGCACAGTACAGAGTATCTAAGAGGTAAGGGAGTAATGGAGAGAACTTTAGTCATATTTGGACCATTTCTTTCTTGGGAATCTAATTTTCTGAAAACTCATGATATAGTTTCTAAGACCTAGGTGGTTAGGCATAGATGTTTGATAATATCTGTGCTGGAGTTTTCATGACGGACTAATAAACATGGTTATGGGGCAGTTAATAGGGGTTTTCCAAAGTAACATTAACTTACATAATGTCTGTTGAGGCTCCCCAAACTTTGATAAGTGAAATGTGTTCTCATATTGAACTAAGAGAAGTTCCCAAATTCCCTTCATTAAACAAGGCCTCTTTTGGACTCTGCAGTAAAGCAGGGGTTTAAAAATCTCAGGGTCACCTAGTAGCTGCAGGTATTGCGTAAGTAAGTGCCTTTATAACAAAGCCTTTGCAAGTTCCTTGCTTTTAACAGTGTTTAAAGATAATCTTATTAGGTTATTAGTTGATTGATCACTAAAATGTTTTTTAAAAAGAGCTCACTGTGTAACTTAGAGCTCACAGAATTGGGTGACAGTATTACAATAGAACTCCTTTTCCATCTACTTGTGAAGGTTTCTCGGCTCTCATGAAAATAGAAATATCTTTGTGCTGAATTTTTATTCTAACAAGTAGAATATTTATCCACAGACACAATAACTAATGAAATATAACAAACATAAGCCCCATCCATCTCATTAGGAACATCTTAATACATTTTCACTTGTTTATACTTGATAATGATTGTTTAGTCATGTTATTTAGATTAACAAATGTGAATAATAATTATAGTAACAATCCAGAAGATACTATCTTTAACACAGCCTTTTTATAGGTCTTTAACACAGGCTTTTTGTTTTAGGAAATTCATATTTTTGTTAATTGTATAAATATTTTTAATATAGATAAGTATAATGTGATAAATAAAAGATTTTCAGGCATAAAAATGTGTCACTGTAGGACAAGGTTTCTTAACCTTATCAATAGCACTATTGACATTTTGAGTCAGATAATTCTTGTTCTTGGGGGCTATCTTCAGCTTTGTAGGATGTTTAATAGCATCTGTGGTTCACTGGATGCCAGTAGCACCCTTCCTTAAGTTGTGACAATCAAAAATGTCTCCAGACATTGTCAAATGTCCCCTGATAGGTAAAATCCCCACCACTACCTCTAGTGACTCCACCCCTGTTGAGAATTAACTGTTCTAGGATAAGAATGGAATGAAACTATAACATCAAGAAAAAAAAAAAAGATGTAAAATGTCCAAGTATTAAAAAATATTTTGTTCACATATTTTAAGTGGATGATGGTGGATATCAAATCATTATGGTATTTAGATTCCAGTGGATACATTTAAAGTAATCATTTTTTAGAAATTACCAACGTTTTCAATATGACAATTCAATCATTCGAAACTAAATTATGAAAAAATTTAGTTGTCAACTAAAAAATTTATGCAAAGGCAAACATAGATTTTAACAGGCATTTTAGGAGGTACTCAGAGAAATTTTGAAGATTACTGCTGTCTTCAAAAAGAAAAAGATTAGGCTGGACCGAATGTGTTGATTCAGCATTTCCTTTTTCTTTTTTGGGCAGGACCATATGCCTTTTATATATTAACCTTAAACGTTACTATACACGTCTTGGTTTCTTGTCTCTGCTGTATAACACCACCTGCCCTTTTGCCCCAGTAAGAGAGAAAAATTTTTTTTCTTGCCTATCACTAGCTTCATAGCTGAGACCCCTATAACAAAAGACAGATTAACAAGAGAAAATCATACAAATTTATTTAATACAAAATTTACTTGACAAGAAGCCTTTAGAAATGAAGACCGCAGCCTGAGCAACATGTTAAAACCCCAACTCTACAAAAAATACAAAAAAAATTAGCCAGGTGTGGTGGCATGTACCTGTAGACCCAGTTACTTGGGAGGCTGAGGTGGGAGGATCACCTGAGCCTGAGGAGGTTGAGGCTACAGAGAGCCACAGTGAGCCATGAGCATGCCACTGCACTCCAGCCAGGGTGACAGAGTAAGATCCTGTCTCAAAAAAAAAAAGAGAAAAGAAATAGAAAAAAATGAGAACCCAAAGAAACAGGGAAACCTGTGTATTTTTATGCTAGGTTTGATGAGTGGATAGTCATACAGAAGTATGATGAACAAAGGGGATATGATCTAATGGTAATAAACTGGGGGAAACTTAGCAAAGCCTGTTTGTTCACATACCTCTTGGTATCTCTGTGTCTCAGGATAAGGATGTTCATTTCTTCCAGGTAGAGAGAGGATACTTCTGGATTGAAAGTCTTATACTACTTTAGAGGAAGGTCAGAGAATTCTTTTTTTTTTTTTTTGGGGGGGGGATGGAGTCTTGCTCTGTCGCCCCCAGGCTGGAGTGCAGTGGCGCAATCTTGGCTCACTGCAAGCTCCGCCTCCTGGGTTCATGCCATTCTTCTGCCTCAGCCTCCTGAGTACCTGGGACTACAGGCGCCCGCTGCTGCCCGGCTAATTTTTTGTATTTTTAGTAGAGATGGGTTTCACCGTGTTAGCCAGGATGGTCTCGATCTCCTGACCTCGTGACCCGCCTGCCTCGGCCTCCCAAAGTGCTGGGATTACAAGCATGAGCCCGTGCCTGGCCTAGACAATTCTTTTATAGCCTGCTTAAGGGGAAAAGAGTGGGAGAAGGTCAGAGAGACCTGCTTCTGCTCAAATGCTACAGTGCCATATTTTGGGGTTGAGTGTCCTGAACCCCATTAGAAGACATGAAGAAAATTTAAATTTGCCATAATATGATTTTCATTTTAATCACAGGAGCAATTATCCTTAAGGAACACTAATAGATAGTAAGGATTTGCAGAAACTAATTTGCATAGACATGTTTTGAGATATGATTTACAGTGCTTCTGAACATTGCAATTAACCCGATTTTTACATTAAGCTAATTTTCCATTCTATTACAGAACCTAATTCATATCTACAAAAAACCCCTTCTTTAAAAAAAATAAAAATTAAACTGTTAACAGATTTTATCAGATTATTGCATGGTTTTACACATTTTTTGTCATAAAGTTTGTAAATAGCTAAATCCTCTAGATTTGCATGCTTCTAGGAAGCATATAAAACAAAATTACGGCCAGGAGTGGTGGCTCACGCCTGTAATCCCAGCACTTTGGGAGGCCAAGGTGGGTGGATCACAAGGTCAGGAGATCAAGACCATCCTCACAAACATGGTAAAACCCCATCTCTACTAAAAATACAAAAATTAGCTGGGTGTGGTGGCGCGCCTGTAATCCCAGCTACTCGGGAGGCTGAGGCAGGAGAATGGCTTGAACCCGGGAGGTAGAGATTGCAGTGAGCCGAGATCATGCCACTGCACTCCAGCCTGGCGACAGAGAGAGATCCATCTCAAAAAAAAAAAAAAAAAAATTCATGAATTCGATGTTTTGGAAGACTGTTTGTTTTTGGAAATTTTCTATGTATGCAATGACCCTTTTGAAGAAATATCCAGCCCACAGTCAATGGACTGTTGCCAATAAATCAAAATAAATCACTGTAGGAAAGTGATCTATACACTTAAAAAAAAAAACTAAATATTGCTAAACATTTCAAACCTATTTTTTAAATATTCTAACTTTGTAGCTCTTAAGCAGTTTTATTGGATTTTTGAGAAAGGTACAACCATACTTACATATTATAAATGATAGCAGAAGGTATTTAGCTACTAGCATTAGAAGGCCGGGCATGGTGGCTCATGCCTGTAATATCAGCACTTTGGGAGGCTGAGGTGAGAGGATGGTTTGAGCCCAGGAGCTTGAGACCAGCCTGGATAGTATAGCTAGACCTTGTCTCTATTTACAAAAAATTAAGAAAAAAATTAGCTGAGAGTGATGGTGCACGTCTGTAGTCCCAGCTACCCAGGAGGCTTAGGTGGGTAGATCACTTGAGCCTGGGAAGCAGAGATTGCAGTGAGCTGAGATTGCACCACTGCACTCCAGGCTGGGTGACAGAGCAAAAACTCTGTCTCAAAAAAAAAAAAAAAAAAAAAAAAGGCCATCTCAGTTGCCAAATGGAAGAAAATTCGTGTTCTGATGTCAGTTAATTTAATCCCTTGTAGCCTGGGAACATCTGTATTTTGAATGATTTAGAAAGGAATTTCAAATATCTGTATTTAGAGAACTGTCTAAGCGATGACATCACTTTCAGTGGAAGTAATAATTTGTTCCAGCATTTCAGCAAATAGAATTTTTTTGGCAAAATATTTTTGGAACTCCTTTAGTATTTAAAAAACATAAAACAGGCGGGGCATGGTGGCTCACGCCTGTAATCCTAGCACTTTGGGAGGCCCAGGCGGGCAGATCCCGAGGTCAGGAGATCGAGACCGTTCTGGCTAACACAGTGAAACCCCATCTCTACTAAAAATACAAAAAAATTAGCCGGGCATGGTGGCGGGTGCCTGTGGTCCCAACTACTGGGGAGGCTGAGGCAGGAGAACGGCAGGAACCCAGGAGGCAGAGCTTGCAGTGAGCTGAAATTGCGCCACTGCACTCCAGCCTGGGCAACAGAGCGAGACTCAAAAAACAAACAAACCCATAAAACAAAAAAGGCTTTTTTTTTTTTAAGAGGCAGGGTCTTGCTCTGTCATCTAGGCCTAAGTCCAGTGGCATGATCATAGCTCACTGCTCCTTCCAACTCCTGGGCAGAAGTGATCTTCCTACCTCAGTCTCCCGAGTAGCTGGGAATACAGGTGCTCACCACCATGCTTGGATAATTTTTAATTTTTTATTTTGTAGAGACAGGGTTTCACTATATTGCCTAGGCTGGTCTCAAACTCCCGGGCTCAAGTGATCCTCCCAGAGTATTGGTATTACAGGCGCGAGCCATTGCATCCAGCCAAAAAAGGCTTTACTTATGTTACTGACAATCTGTTAACTTTTGGCAAGTCATCTCTGTCTTTTCCACTATTAAAAAGCAAATAAAGGCCGGGCACGGTGGCTCACGCCTGTAATCCCAGCACTTTGGGAGGCCGAGGCGGGCGGATCACGAGGTCAGGAGATCGAGACCATCCCGGCTAAAACGGTGAAACCTCGTCTCTACTAAAAATACAAAAAATTAGCCGGGCGTAGTGGCGGGCGCCTGTAGTCCCAGCTACTTGGGAGGCTGAGGCAGGAGAATGGCGTGAACCCGGGAGGCGGAGCTTGCAGTGAGCCGAGATCCCGCCACTGCACTCCAGCCTGGGCGACAGAGCGAGACTCCGTCTCAAAAAAAAAAAAAAAAAAAAAAGCAAATAAAAACCCTAAGAATTTACTACAGCTTGTAAATGAAAAAGCTAATAATTTTGGGTAGATCAGAGAAATGGAATTTGAAGTTTTTGAAATGTAAACATTCAGTTTTGTGCTCTGAAAAGATAGTTAAGTGAACTCATAAAGTCTAGTTAAAGTAATATAAATAATGACCTATGCAAATAAACAATAATCTGTTTAGAGTGGTAGAAAAGCTTTTTTGATTCTGGTGGGAAAGTGATTTTCATTTTTTTACTCTGAAGTGATGATTTCCTACAATACGGTATTTATGATATCATGAATGTAACATGATATATATGTATATGTGTGTATTTATTTATTTATTTTATTTTACTTTATTTTCTTTCGGAGACAGGGTCTCACTCTGTCGCCCAGGCTGGAGTGCAGTGGCACAGTCATGGCTCACTACAGCCTCCACCTCCCAGGCTCAAGCAATCCTCCCACCTCAGCCTCCTGAGTAACTGGGGCTACGGGTGCACACCACCATGCCCAGCTAAGTTTTGTATTTTTGTAGAGATGCGGTTTTGCTTTGTTGCCCAGGCTGGTCTTGAACTCCTGGGCTCAAGTGATCATCTCACCTTGGCCTCCCAAAGTGCTGGGATTACAGGCATGAGCCACCATGTCTGGCCTTAAATATATCATAAATATGTTATTTAGGCTTAAGATTTTGTTTACCCTTGTTACTAAGGAGCAAATTAGTATTAAAGTATAATATATATAAACAAATACAAAAAGTTTTGAGTGGTTCAGCTTTTTTATTTTTTTTAATGGCATAACTTTTAACAACACTGCTCTGTAATGGGTTGAACTGTGGTACTCAGACTGAGATAACTGAAATGAGTGGATGTATAGTGTTATTGCATAATTATCCCACTATGAAGCAAAGGGACTGGATAAATTCCCAGTCTAGATTATTAGCCTTTGTTAACCATCAAGCACCTAGAGAAGAATTATTGGAAATTTTGTCCTCTGTAACTGGCACTTTGGGGTGTGACTTATCTTTTGCCTTTGTAAAAAAAAAAAAAAAAAAATATATATATATATATATATATATATATATATATATATATATATATAGTGGTTTTCGATTAGCTAATCATAGAATATTCTTATGTGTGTGTCGGGTTAGAAGAAGGTAGTGATCATGTTCAAATTACATTACTGACATTTTTCTTTGGAGCTTTCCTTACTCACATATTAGAAGTGTAGTTTTGCAGTGTGAGAATGTTGCTCCCTTACTCTGCGCATTCTAGTGGTATTTTACAAAATCATGAAGTTTTTTTTTTTTTTTTTTAACAGCGGAAACTCAGTAGAAAGGAAAAAAGCATAGAAATGTTACTCTAATTGAATGCACAGCTTTGGCTTCAGGTCCTGTCATTAAGGCCAAAAGGAACATACTTTGGGCTATTTAATTTTTAATGGAAAAAAAAGGACACATATAAAGTTATCTGAAGAAATAGTTCTTTTTTCTCCTGGCACTAAATTGTGTTTTATGGGGAAAAACACTGTATAATTAGTTGACATTTTCAATTACAGTTATACAAAAGATAAATGATCTTCAAATGATTTTTCCTATTAAATGCTATAACATTAAAAAAAAATCCCAACTCAGTTAAAGCACTGGGTACTAGAAAGCAAAACCTCTGGATTTCTTATGATTTAATCTAACACAGGAATAAGACTTCCAGGTCCTAGAAGAATGGACAGTTAACATACATTACAGTATAATGGTCTCCACTGAATTTTAGTAATGTTACAATGTAAATTCAGAGCTGAGTTTTTAGATAACCTATTATGTCTATAATAATGTCACTGAAGACAGATTAGCAGTAATTGTTAAGGATGGGATCCAGATGAGTAACTTGAAGATAGTTCTTAAACTAAGGAAAGTCTTAATGTATTTTGGGCCAGGTGTGACGGCTCACACCTGTAATTCCAGCACTTTGGGAGGTCAAGGCAGGTAGATTGCTTGAGCTCAGGAGTTTGAGACCAGCCTGGGCAACATGGTGAAACCTCATCTCTACAAAAAAATACAAAAATTAGCCGGGCGTGGTGGTGCATGCTTGTAGTTCCAGTTACTCCGGAGGCTGAGGTGGGAGGATTGCTTGAGCCCGGGAGGTAGAAGTTGCAGTGAGTCGAGATAGCGTCATTGCACTCTAGCCTGGGTGACAGAACCAGACTCCATCTCAAAAAAAAAGGGAGTGTTACTATATTTTGGAGGGGATTTTACATGAAAGTCAAATTAAATGAAATAACTTCCCATGCATCAGTAGAATTCATTTTCCTCTGTAGTGACTACAACAGAACTACAATTAAGATGACAGTTTGACAGTTATTTTTTTTTTAACCTACAATCAACATTGGTTTTAACTGCTAAGCCTCAAACCCTTCATCAAGATTTTTTTTTTTTTTTTTGAGACGGAGTTTTGCTCTTGTTGCCCAGACTCGAGTGCAATGGCGTGATCTCGGCTCACTGCAACCTCTGCCTCCTGGTTCAAGAGATTCTTCTGCCTCAGCCTCCCAAGTAGCTGAAGTTACAGGTGTGCACCTTCACACCTGGCTAATTTTGTATTTTTAGTGGAGGCGGGGTTTCACCACGTTGGTCAGGCTGGTCTCGAACTCCTGACCTCAAGAGATCCACCCGCCTCAGTCTCCCAAAGTGCTGGGATTACAGGCGTGAGCCACTGCGCCTGGCCGAGATATGTTATGATATAACAAGAAATGCAAATAAAAACTTAAAAAATTTAAACCATTAAAATATTTTTGCCTTGCTAAGATTGACAAAGAATAAAAGGATTGAAACTGGCAAGGGTTTTATGAAATGGGTAGGTGTAAATCATTGCAACTGTTTTGGAGGGAAATTTGACATTTATCAAAATGTAAAAGTCATTTAGCAATTCCACATCTAGGAATTTATCGTACAGAGATACTCCCACAAGTGTGCAAAGATATAGCATTTTGTTACAATATTGTTTATAACAGAGAAAAATTAGAAATAACCTATTATTTAACCAGTACTTAATTGGTAGACTTTCATGGCCATTCCTGGAATTAAAAGTTTGTGGTGGTGTTCTGTTGTTTTTTTAAGAGATGAGGTCTCATTCTGTTGCCAAGGCTGGAGTGTAGTGGTGTGGGCATAGCAACCTCGAACTCCTGGGCTCAAGCAATCCTCCTGCCTCAGCCTCTAAGTAGCTGAAACTATAAACCTGTGCCACCACACCTTGCTCATTAATTTATTTTAATTTTTTTTGTAAAGACGGGGTCTTGCTATGTTTCCCAGACTGGTCTTCAACTCCTATCCCCAAACGATCCTCCCACCTTGGCTTCCCAAAGTGCTGGGAGGTTATTAGATTTTTTTTTTTTTTCTAAAAGCAGTAGTTTAAAAGGCAGTGAGGGATGGGAATATAAAGTGGTGTCACTGCTGTGGAATATAGTCTGCCAGCTCCTCAAAAAGTTTAGGGTTACCATGTGATCTAGCAATTCTACTTCTAGGTACATACCCAAAATAATTTAAAGCAAGGAGTCATATACTTGCACACCTATGTTCATAACAGCATTTATTCACTATAGCCCAAGGTTAGAAGCAACCCAAATGTCCATCAACAAATGAATGGATAAACATGTGGTATATATAGATAATAGAATATTATTCAGCCTTAAAAAAGGAAATGAATTTCTGATACCCTGCTTATAACATGGATGAACCTTGAAAACATTATTTTGGCTGGGTGTGGTGGCTCACACCTGTAATCTCAGCACTTTGGGAGGCTGAGGCAGGCAGATTGCCTGAGTCCAGGAGTTTGACACCAGCCTGGTCACCATGATGAAACCCCGTCTCTACTAAAAATACAAAAAACTATGGTGGTGCATGCCTGTAGTCCCAGCTACTTGGGAGGCTGAGGTGGAAGAGTCACCTGAGCCCGGAAGGTTGAGGCTGCAGTGAGCCAAGATTGCATCACTGCACTCCAGCCTGGGCAACTGGAGTTGAGACCCTGTCTCCAAAAAAAAAAAAAAAAACCACACACACATGTTAAGTGAAATAAGCTAGAATTGACAAATATTATATGATTCTTCTTACAGGAGATACCTAGAATAGGCAAATCCATACAGACAGAACGTAGAATAGAGGATTACCAGGGGTTGTGAGGAGGGAGAGATGGGAGTTGTTGTTCAGTGGGTACAGTTTTCTGTTTGGTTTTGATGAAAAAGTTCTGGAAATGGATAGTGCTGATGGTTGTAAGGTATTGTAAATGTACTTAACACCAGTGAATTGTACACTTAATTAAAATGGTAAAATTGCTGTTATATATATTTTACCATAATTTAAAAAATAGTCTAAATGGCTAATTTTATGTTACATGTATTTTACCACAAATTTTTATTTTTTTAGAGATAGGTTCTCATTCTGGGGCCCAGGCTGGAGTGCAGTGGTGTGATTGTAGCTCCCTGCATCCTTGAACTCCTGGGCTTAAGTAATCCTTCCGCTTCAGCCTTATGAGTAGCTAGGACTACACAGGCACACGCTACCATGCCTGGCTAATTTTTAAACTTTTTTTGTGGAGACAGGGTCTTGCTAGGTTGCCGAGACTGGTCTTGAACTCAAGTGATTTTCCTGCCTTGGCTTCCCAAAGTGCTGGGATTACAGATTTGAGACACTGTGCCCATCCTGTTTAACTTTCCTGATGTTATTCTTTGAAGCATAAAAGGTTTTTATTTGGATAATGTCCCATTTATTTATTCCTTTTGTTGCCTGTACTTTTGATGTCATAGCTAAACCATTGCTTCGTCCAACGTCACAAAGATTTGCTCCTGTGTTTTCTTCCCACAGTTTTTATAATTTTAGCTTTTACATTTAGGTCTTTGATCCATCTTGAGTAATTCGTTTTAATATAATGTGAAGCAGAGGTCCAGCTTCTTTCTTTGCATGTAGATAACCAGTGTCCCATGACCATTTGTGGAATGTAACAAGCATTTCTTACTTTTGCAGTTTTAAAGGAGTAAAGTGAAAGACTGGAGTGGTAATTTGCTAGAATGGCTAAAGTGAAGGTATTTTTCTTGGTAGCAGGAGACTTCAATAAGCAAGCATTGACAAGGAGGAGATTAAAGATAAAAGGGAGGCAATAACTGCTGGAGTAAGGCATCTAGAGTTAGAAAGCATAGAATCAAAAGCATAGATAGAAAGTCTGCCTCTATAAGGCTGAAGGACGATGATTCTACCAAAGTACAAGAGGAAAAGATAAGACTAGATATTTAAAAGTTGTTGGTAGCAGGGAGGGAAGTTGAAGATATCAGAAGACACGTTCTCTGTGGGTGATAGGTTCCAGGATGGAATAGGAACAGTTTGTTCATGAGGCATTTAGTTCGAAGCTTTATTAGAATGCTTTCCAATTTAGCATTGCAATTACCTGTAAAAATCAAGTCAGTAGTTGGTTGGTTGCTTATAAAGTTCAGACATCCATCAAATTGTGCTAGGCAGGAAAGACAGGTACATTGACATATACCAGATTAGTTCTACCAGGAACTTGGGCAGAATTAGAAGAAAAAAATTCTTAATATACTTAATCAGCTATATTCTTTACAACAATAACACTTTGATTCTTCCCATTTTTGCTACACTGAGGAATTCTGTAATACTCAGCCAGTCCCAAAAAATTTGCAAGATATCACCAAGCAAATAATTTTAGTAATATAGGATAAATCTAAGAATCCACCCTGTTTGTCATGTTAGTTTCATGTTGGTAATGATTAGTAAAAACTTCTTTCTTCTCCATGTCTTTCTCTTGTTAAAGAAAAACCCACACACTCTCTCTTGCTCTCTCTCTTACGCTTGCTCGCTTCCTTTGTCTGTCTGTGGAAGCTTTGGCTTCGTCTGGCAGCGGGAGAGGTAAAGGAAAGCTTCTCTAAAGAAGTGGTAACTAAGGTGATATCCAGAGTCTTAATTTTGCAAAGTGAAAAAGAATATTCTGGGCAGAGAGAAGAGCATACGCACTAGCCTTAGGCCTAGAGGAAATACGTTCTTGAGGAAATGTTGCTGCTGTCCTGAGAGGGAGGCAGAATATAGTGTTGGAGGCTGTAAATTAGGAGACCAAGAAAAAGCAGCCTGAGATACTAGAGGAATTCCTGGAGAATGAGTGTTTGAGAGAGTTTCCAAAAGGATGAGTATTGTCACAAATGTTACCAAAGGAACAAATACAATGAGAATTGAAAAATGTCATTAGATTTAGAAGCACAATAGGGCTGTGGGTAAGATTAGCAAGAGCAATTTTGAGGGAGTGATATAAGTGACTAAAGCTAGATTACAGTGGGTTCAGAGATTAGGAATCTGACAAAGTTAGCTTGAAGAGGGAAAAGAAAGATTGGTAACTGGAGGGATGTACAGATTTGGGGAAATCATTTTTAATTGTAAAGGCGTTTATTTGCTCTATGAAGTAGGAAATACATTATCTACTGAGTGAAGGGAGAGGCTGAAGTGAGTTAGGGTACAGAGTGGAAGAGGAAGTAAAGTGAAGAGCCCATTTGAAGTTGGTATTCATGAATTTTTAGTGGAACATATCTGCCCTATTTCATGACTTTCTCCAGTAGGGTTTGGTGACAGAGATATACGCTTAGATAAAAGAGATTGATCCAGGATTGTTTTTGCCAGACAGTTGAGTTTAGGCGTTTAGAAAGAATGTTAAAATGATGAACTATGGAATCAAAGCTCAGTGAGAGGAGAAGTGAAGAAAGCGAAGGACTGATTGACTGCTTAAAAGCATATGTGAAAAAGGGATATAGCTGAATTTGGGAGTACCATTTAAAATTGAGATATAGTTCCCGTATCATAAAATTCACGCTTTTAAAGTATGCATTTCAGTGGTTTTTAGCCTTGTGCAACTATAACCAATGTCTAGTTCCAGAACATTTTTGTCACTCAAAAAAAATCCTGTACCCATTAGGAGTCATTTCCCATTCCCCCCAGCCCCATCCCCATCCCCTGGCAACCACTAATCTATTTTCTATTATCTATTGATTTGTCTATTCTGTATATTTCATAGAAGTGGCATTATATAACATGTGGCCTTTGTATCTGGCTTCTTTGACTTAATATGATGTTCCATCCATGTTGTAGCATGTATGTAGAGACAGGGTCTCACTCTGTCACCCAGGTTGGAGTGCAGTGGTGTGATCATAATTCACTGCAGCCTCAAACTCCCATGCTCAAGCGGCTCTCTTGCTTCAGCTGCCAGAGTAGCTGGAATTACAGGTGCATGCCACCATGCCCAGCTAATTTTTTAAATGTTTTGTAGAGTTGGGGTCTCACTGTATTGCCCAGGCTGGTCTCAAACTCCTGGCCTCAAGAGACCTTTCCACCTCAGCCTCCCAAAGTGCTGGGATTACAGGCATGAGCCACTGTGCCTGGCCAGTACTTTATTCCTTTTTGTGACACAATAATATTCCAGTTTATAGATCTATCACGTTTTATGTATCCATTGATAAATTGATGGATATTTGGGTAGTTTCTACTTTTTGGCTATTATATGTAATGATGCCATAAAAAATTCTGTACAAGTTATTGTATGGACATAAGATTTAATTTCTCTTGGATATATACCTAGAAGTAAATTGCTGGGTCATTTGATAACTGTGTTTAGCATTTTGAGCAACTACCAAACTGTTTTCCAAAGTGGCTGCCCCTTTTACATTCCCATTAGCAATGTATGAGGGCTCCAGTTTCTTCACATCCTTACCAACACCTGTTATTGTCCATCCTTCAGTAGGTGTGTTTGGGTAACTTTTCAAAACTTAAGCAGTAAGCAGAATTTTTTTCTTATAAAATATTAGCATTATGTAGCTCAGACTAAAGACCCCATGACTTCCACCATAGTCAGTTCCTATACCTTACCTGGAAAGAACGTTGTTTTGTTTGGTATGGTTTTTTAAAGAATTTTTTGAAGTTCTCAATGTAGGTGGCTTTCAATATAGCCTCCTTACATTAATCCAACTGTTTTCATATAAGCATTATAATAAATTTGATTAGTTTTTTCCTTCCCAACCTCTAACAGTAGAATGTGACATTTAAAAAAAATTACAATATCCATTAATAAAGATGATACTAAGCAAGAAAATGAACTAAATGCCTTCAGTAAAGGTTTATTGTCCTATATATTAAATATTATGGCTTTAAAAATAACAGCTATTAGTCTCCATGTAATGAAACATTATCAATAAAACTAATATTCCTCTTATTCTTAGTGCCTGGCTCTCTGGCTATGAAAATCCTGTGGTGTCTCGAATTAATATGAGAATACAAGATCTAACAGGACTAGATGTTTCCACAGCAGAGGAATTACAGGTAGGTAATCACATTATCCTTAAGTCATTTTTACACTTCAGGAGATGCTTGAGAGGAGATTTCCTGACACTGAACAGGCAGTCCTCAATTTGCATGATAGTTTGGGACCTTAAAAAGTGACCCTGTAAGCTGCAACCATGCAAAGTGATTTTAATAATGGGAAAAATTGTGATTGTTCTGTGACTTTTAAATTTCTTGTCAAAACATGAAAACTCTTATCTAGGGAAATGAAAAATATAGATCACTAATACTTACTAAGTACACTGTAATTTTTTTTCTATCCCCCAGGCCTCACTTTGCCTGTCAAGTGGCCAGGGTGGGTTTTAAAAAATAGTGGGTTTTTTTCCTTTTTATTTATTTATTTTTAAGCAAACAGTTTTCCTTTATTTGTAATAGTGAAACATAGGACTTTTTTCATCACTTCTCTTTTTCTGTTACTTTTATGTCTATAAATCATTTGTCATCAAAAGTAGCTGTCCCAAAATAATTCTTCTTCACTCCGTCATAATCACAACTTGACTCAAAATATCTGTAGTAAACAGGTATATATAGGAATGTTAGTTATAGGGAATAAACATAAAATCCATGTATAATAATCTCACTTGGTTTCAATAGTAAAAAAAAAAAACTAAGCATAGGCCTATAAACCAGAGAAAAGAAACAGCTTAGTCTTCCCCTTTGTCAGCGTTATTTACTATTCCTTAGTCTTTTCCTGTAGAAAAATACTTTTTAAAATATTTGAGTTCCCTTTTCTGTATTAGATTTTTTTTTTGAAGTTATCAAAATGTGCACTAAAAAAACCAATGCCTTTATTTTAGCCTTTCTGGTTGCAATTTTTTTTTTTTTTTTTTTTTTGAGATGGAGTCTGAGTCTGGCTCTGTGGCCCAAGCTGGAGTGCAGTGACATGATCTCGACTCACTACAACCCCTGTCTCCTGGTTCAAGCGATTCTCCTGCCTCAGCCTCCCAAGTAGCTGGGATTACAGGCATGCGCCACCACACTGAGCTAATTTTGTATTTTTAGTAGAGACGGGGTTTCACCATGTTGGCCAGGCTGCTCTTGAACTCCTGACCTCAAGTGATCCACCTGCCTTGGCCTCCCAAAGTGCTGGGATTACACAGGCGTGAGGCACTGTGCCTGGCCTGGTTGCAAAATTCTAAGACAGATGCAGTCAATATGCAGCTCATAAATTCATTAGAAAGGTGATACTTTTGCTTCTTTTCAACCTTTCTTTTTCTTTTTGAGACAGTCTCACTGGAGTGCAGTGGTGCAATCTTGGATCAGTGCGACCTCTGCTTCCTGGGCTCAAGTGATTCTCCTGCCTCAGCCTCCCAGGTAGCTGGGACCACAGGCACATGCCGCCACGGCTAGCTAATTTTTGTATTTTTAGTAGAGATGGGGTTTCACCATGTTGGCCAGGCTGGTCTTGAACTCCTGGCCTCAAGTGATCTGCCTGCCTTGGCCTCCCAAAGTGTTGGGATTACAGGCATGAGCCACTGTGTCTGGCCTCTTTTCAACTTTAAATAATAAACTGTTGTCCGGGTCTGGTGGCTCATGCCTGTAATCCCAGCATTTTGGGAGGCCGAGCCAGGTGGATCACCTGAAGTCAGGAGTTCGAGACCAGCCTGACCAACATGGAGAAACCCCGTCTCTACTAAAAAATACAAAAAAATTAGCTGGGCGTGGTGGCACATGACTGTAATTCCAGCTACTCGGCAGGCTGAGGTAGGAGAATTGCTTGAACCCAGGAGGTGGAGGTTGCGGTGAGCTGAGATTGCGCCATTGCACTCCAGCCTGGGCAACGAGAGCAAAACTCTGTTTCAGAAATAAATAAATAAATAAACTGTTAATTTATCAGAAGACCAAAATGTATTCTTAAAGACAGTTAATTCCCTTTTTCTAATTAAGTTTTAAAAATGTATTTTGTGTGTGTGTGTGTGTGTGTGTGTGTGTGTGTGTGTGTTTTACAGTGACACGGTTTGATGCCATCCTACTCCGTCTTTGTCAGAACACGTGGTCTTTTCTTCTGTTTTTTTTTCCTATCTCAAAATTATGAAAGCTTTTATTTATAACGCTTGCAGTTTTTTAAAAGTGAGATTCATAAAACTGTGTTCACCCAACACACTGAATCCTATCATGACTTGGCATGAAAAACAGCAACCCACTCAGAGTCCAGTAACACTGTGCCCTCCCCTGTGATGCACACCTGCCAGGTTTATTCAGTGTTTGACTGTTGTTCAGTATTCATCCAACAACATTTTTGATACATGTGGTGCTAAATGTTGGGAATGCAAACCTGAATAAGGTATCGTCCTGATTCCTGCCTAATGGTTTTCCTGGGTTTCACTGGCTATGATTTCTGATTCTTCCCTCCCTCCCTCTGTCCCTCCCTCCCTCCCTCTCTCCCTCCCTCCCCTCCTCTCTCCCTCCCTTCCTTCCTCTCTCTCTCCCTTCCTTCCTTCCATATTTCCTTCCTTCCATGTTTGCTTGCTTCCTTCCTTCCTTCCTTCCCTTCCCTCCCTCCCTGCATCCATCCTTCCCTCCTTTCCTTTCTTTCTTCTCTCTCTTCCTCCCTCCCACCCTCTTTATTTCTTTACTTCCTTCCTTCCTCTCTCCCTCCCCCCTCCCCCTCCCTGACTCCCTTCTTTCCTTCCTTCCTTCCCTTTTTTTTTTTTTATACTTTAAGTTCTAGGGTACATGTGCACAACGTGCAGGTTTGTTACATAGGTATACATGTGCCATGTTGGTTTGCTGCACCCATCAACTCATCATTTACATTAGGTATTTCTCCTAATGCTATTCCTCCCCCAGCCCCCCACCCTCCGACAGGCCCCGGTGTGTGATGTTCCCTGCCCTGTGTCCAAGTGTTCTCATTGTTCAATTTCCACCTATGAGTGAGAACATGTGGTGTTTGGTTTTCTGTCCTTGTGAGAGTTTGCTGAGAATGATGGTTTCCAGCTTCATCCATGTCCCTGCAAAGGACATGAACTCATCCTTTTTTATGGCTGCATGGTATTCCATGGTGTACATGTGCCACATTTTCTTAATCCAGTCTATTATTGATGGACATTTGGGTTGGTTCCAAGTCTTTGCTATTGTGAATAGTGCCACAGTAAACATACGTGTATATGTGTCTTTATAGTAGCATGATTTATAATCCTTTGGGTATTTACCCAGTAATGGGATTGCTGGGTCAAATGGTATTTCTACTTCTGGATCCTTGAGAAATCACCACACTGTCTTCCACAATGGCTGAACTAATTTACACTCCCACCAACAGTGTAAAAGCATTCCTATTTCTCCACATCCTCTCCAGCATCTGTTGTTTCCTCACTTTTTAATGATTGCCATTCTAACTGGCATGAGATGGTATCTCATTGTGGTTTTGCTTCGCATTTCTCTTATGACCAGTGATGATGAGCATTTTTTCATGTGCCTGTTGGCTGCATAAATGTCTTCTTTTGAGAAGTGTCTGTTCATATCCTTTGCCCACTTTTTGATGGGGTTGTTTTTTTCTTGTAAATTTAAGTTCTTTGTAGATCTGGATATCAGCCATTTGTCAGATGGGTAGATTGCAAAAATTTTCTCCCATTCTGTAGGTTGCCTGTTCACTCTGATGGTAGTTTCTTTTGCCATGCAGAAGCTCTTTAGTTTAATTAGATCCCACTTGTATATTTTGGCTTTTGTAGCCATTGCTTTTGGTGTTTTAGTCATGAAGTCCTTGCCCATGCCTATGTCCTGAATGGTATTGCCTAGGTTTTCTTCTAGGGTTTTTATGGTTTTAGGTCTAACATTTAAGTCTTTAATCCATCTTGAATTAATTGTTATATAAAGTGTAAGGAAGGGATCCAGTTTCAGCTTTCTACATATGGCTAGCCAGTTTTCCCAGCACCGTTTATTAAATAGGGAATCCTTTCCCCATTTCTTGTTTTTGTCAGGTTCGTCAAAGATCAGATGGTTGTAGATGTGTGTTGTTATTTCTGAGGCCTCTGTTCTGTTCTATTGGTCTATGTCTCTGTTTTGGTACCAGTACTATGCTATTTTGGTTACTGTAGCCTTGTAGTATAGTTTGAAGTCAGGTAGCATGATGCCTCCAGCTTTGTTCTTTTGGCTTAGGATTGTCTTGGCTATGTGGGCTCTTTTTTGGTTCCATATGAACTTTAAAGTAGATTTTTCCAATTCTGTGAAGAAAGTCATTGGTAGCTTGATGGGGATGGCATTGAATCTGTAAATTACCTTGGGCAGTATGGCCATTTTCACGATATTGATTCTTCCTATCCATGAGCATGGAATGTTCTTCCATTTGTGTCCTCTTTTATTTCGTTGAGCAGTGGTTTGTAGTTCTCCTTGAAGAGGTTCTTCACATCCCTTGTAAGTTGGATTCCTAGGTATTTTATTCTCTTTGTAGCAATTGTGAATGGGAGTTCACTCATGATTTGGCTCTCTGTCTGTTATTGGTATATAGGAATGCTTGTGATTTTTGCACATTGATTTTGTATCCTGAGACTTTGCTGAAGTTGCTTATCAGCTTAAGGAGATTTTGGGCTGAGACAATGGGGTTTTCTAAATATACAATCATGTCATCTGCAAACAGGGACAATTTGACTTCCTGTTTTCCTAATTGAATACCCTTTATTTCTTTCTCTTGCCTTATTGCCCTGGCCAGAACTTCCAACACTATGTTGAATAGGAGTGGTGAGGGAGGGTATCCTTGTCTTGTGCCGGATTTCAAACAGTGCTTCCAGTTTTTGCCCATTCAGTATGATATTGGCTGTGGGTTTGTCATAAATAGCTCTTATTATTTTGAGATATGTTCCATCAATACCTAGTTTACCGCATTTTCAGCATGAAGGGCTGTTGAATTTTGTCAAAGGCCTTTTCTGCATCTATTGAGATAATCATGTGGTTTTTGTCATTGGTTCTGTTTATGTGATGGATTACGTTTATTGATTTGTGTATGTTGAACCAGCCTTGCATCCCAGGGATGAAGCTGACTTGATTGTGGTGGATAAGCTTTTTGATGTGCTGCTGGATTCGGTTGGATTTTTGCGTCGATGTTCATCAGCGATATTGGCCTAAAATTCTCTTTTTTTGTTGTGTCTCTGCCAGGCTTTGGTATCAGGATGATACTGGCCTCATAAAATGAGTTAGGGAGGATTCCCTCTTTTTCTGTTGATTGGAATAGTTTCAGAAGGAATGGTACCAGCTCCTCTTAGTACCTCTGATAGAATTCGGCTGTGAATCCATCTGGTCCTGAACTTTTTTTAGTTGGTAGGCTGTTATTGCCTCAATTTCAGAGTCTGTTATTTTTCTATTCAGAGATTCAACTTCTTCCTGGTTTGGTCTTGGGTGTATGTGTCCAGGAATTTATCCATTTCTTCTAGATTTTCTAGTTTATTTGCATAGAGGTGTTTATAGTATTCTCTGATGGTAGTTTGTATTTCTGTGGGATCTGTGGTGATATCCCCTTTATCATTTTTTACTGTGTCTATTTGATTATTCTCTCTTTTCTTCTTTATTAGTCTTGCTAGCTGTCTATCAATTTTGTTGATCTTTTCAAAAAACCAGCTCCTGGATTCATTGATTTTTTGAAGGGTTTTTTATGTCTGTATCTCTTTCAGTTCTGCTTTGATCTGAGTTATTTCTTGCCTTCTGCTAGCTTTTGAATTTGTTTGCTCTTGCTTCTCTTGTTCTTTTAATTGTGATGTTAGGGTGTCGATTTTAGGTCTTTCTTGCTTTCTCTTGTGGGCATTTAGTGCTATAAATTTTCCTCTACACTGCTTTAAATGTGTCCCAGAGATTCTGGTACGTTGTGTCTTTGTTCTCATTGGTTTCAAAGAACATGTTTATTTCTGCCTTCATTTCGTTATTTACCCAGTAGTCATTCAGGAGCAGGTTGTTCAGTTTCCATGTAGTTGTGTGGTTTTGAGTGAGTTTCTTAATCCTGAGTTCTAATTTGATTGCACTGTGGTCTGAGAGACAGTTTGTTGTGATTTCTGTTCTTTTACATTTGCTGAGGAGTGCTTTACTTCCAATTATGTGGTCAGTTTTAGAATAAGTGTGATGTGGTGCTGAGAAGAATGTATATTCTGTTGATTTGGGGTGGACAGAGTTCTGTAGATGTCTATTATAATGGTCTGCTTAGTGCAGAGCTGAGTTCCAGTCCTGGATATTCTTGTTAACCTTCTGTCTTGTTGATCTCATATTGACAGTGGAGTGTTAAAGTCTCTCATTATTATTGTGTGAGAGTCTAAGTCTCTTTTTAGGACTCTAAGGACTTGCCTTATGAATCTGGGTGCCCCTGTATTGGGTGCATATATATTTAGAATAGTTAGCACTTCTTGTTGAATTGATCCCTATACCATTACGTAATGGCCTTCTTTGTCTCTTTTGATCTGTGTTGGTTTAAAGTCTGTTTGATCAGAGACTAGGATTGCAGCCGCTGCTTTTTTTTTTTTTTTTCTTTCCATTTGCTTCGTAGATCTTCCTCCATCCCTTTATTTTGAGCCTATGTGTGTCTCTGCACATGAGATGTGTCTCCTGATGGGTCTTGACTCTTTATCCAATTTGCCAGTCTGTGCCTTTTCATTGGGACATTTAGCCCATTTACATTTAAGGCTAATATTGTTATATGTGAATTTGATCCTGTCATTATGATGTTCGCTGGTTATTTTGCTCGTTAATTGATGCGGTTTCTTCATAGCATCGATGGTCTTTATAATTTGGCATGTTTTTGCAGTGGCTGGTACCAGTTGTTCCTTTCCATGTTTAGTGCTTCCTTCAGGAGCTCTTGTAAGACAGGCCTGGTGGTGACAAAATCTCTCAGCATTTGCTTGTCTGCAAAGGATTTTATTTCTCCTTTATTTAGAAAGCTTAGTTTGGCTGGATATGAAATTCTGGGTTGAAAATTCTTTTTTTTAAGAATGTTGAATATTGGCCCCCACTCTCTTCTTGCTTGTAGGGTTTCTGCAGAGAGATCCACTGTTAGTCTGATGGGCCTCCCTTTGTGGGTAACCCGACCTTTCTCTCTGGCTGCCCTTAAGATTTTTTCCTTCATTTCAGCCTTGGTGAATCTGACAATTACGTGTCTTGTGGTTGCTCTTCTCGAGAAGTATCTTTGTGGTGTTCTCTGTATTTCTGAATTTGACTGTTGGCCTGCCTTGCTAGGTTGGGGAAATTCTCCTGGATAATTTCCTGAATAGTGTTTTTCAGCCTGTTTCCATTCTCCCCGTCACTTTCAGGTGTACACCAATCAAACATAGATTTGGTCTTTTTAGATAGTCCCATATTTCTTGGAGGCTTTATTTGTTTCTTTCTACTCATTTTTCTCTAAACTTGTCTTCTTGCTTTATTTCATTAATTCCATCTTCAATCACTGATACCCTTTGTTCCACTTGATCAAATCGGCTACCGAAGCTTGTGCATGCACCATGACGTTCTTATGCCATGGTTTTCAGCTCCATCAGGTCATTCAAGGTCTTCTCTACACTGTTTGTTCTAGTTAGCCATTCGTCTAACCTTTTTTCAAGGGTTTTAGCTTCCTTGCGATGGCTTAGAACATGCTTCTTTAGCTGGGAGGTTTGTTATTACCGACCTTCTGAAGCCTACTTCTGTCAGCTCATCAAAGTCATTCTCTGTCCAGCTTTGTTCTGTTGCTTGTGAGGAGCTGCAGTCCTTTGGAGGAGAGGAGGTGCTCTGATCTTTAGAAGTTTCAGCTTTTCTGCTCTGGTTTCTCCCCATCTTTGTGGTTTTGTCTACCTTTGGCCTTCGATGTTGGTGACCTACAGATGGGGTTTTGGTGTAGATGACCTTTTTGTTGATGTTGATGCTATTCCTTTCTGTTAGTTTTCCTTCTAACAGTCAGGTCCCTCAGCTGCAGGTCTGTTGGAGTTTGCTGGAGGTCCATTCCAGACGCTGTTTGCCTGGGTATCACCAGCAGAGGATGCAGAACAGCAAATATTGCTGCCTGATCCTTCCTCTGGAAGCTTCATCCCAGAGGGGCACCCGCCTGTATGAGGTGTCTGTCGGCCCCTACTGGGAGGTTTCCCCCAGTTAGGCTACACGGGGGTCAGGGACCCTCTTGAGGAGGCAGTCTTTGGTTCTCAGAGCTCAAATGCCATCCTGGGAGAACCACTGCTCTCTTCAGAGCTGTCAGACAGGGACGTTTAAGTCTGCAGAAGTTGTCTGCTGGCTTTTGTTCAGCTATGCCCTGCCCACAGAGGTGGAGTCTACAGAGGCAGTAGGCCTTGCTGAGCTGTGGTGGGCTCCGCCCAGTTTGAGCTTTCTGGCCATTTTGTTTACCTAATCAAGCCTCAGCAATGGTGGACACCCCTCCTCCAGCCAGGCTGCAACCTCTCAGGTCCATCTCAGACTGCTGCACTAGCAGTGAGCAAGGCTCCATGGGCATGGGACCCACTGAGCCAGGCACAGGAAAGAATCTCCTGGTCTGCCAGTTGCTAAGACTGTGGGAAAAGCGCAGTATGTGGGCAGGATTGTCCGGTTTTTCCAGGTACAGTCTGTCATGGCTTCCCTTTGCTAGGAAAGGGAAATTCCCTGACTCCTTGTGCTTCCTGGGTGAGGCGATGCCCCGCCCTGCTTTGGCTCATTCTCTATGGTCTGCACCCACTGTCCAACCAGTCCCAATGAGATGAACCAGGTACCTCAGTTGGAAATGCAGAAATCCCACATGTGAGTGAGAACATGTGATATTTGTCTATGCTGGGCTTATTTTACTAATATAATGAACTCCAGTTCCATCCATGTGATAAGATTACATTCTTCTTATGGCTGAATAGTGTTTCATTATATATAAGCACCACATTTTCTTTATCCATTCATCTGTTGATGGACACTTAGGTTGATTCCATATGTTAGCTGTTGTGAATAGTCCTGCAATAAACATGGGAATGCGGATATCTCTTCATCATGCTAATTTCCTTTCTTTTGGATATATACTTGGCACTGGGATTGCTGGATCATATGGTAGATCTATTTTTAGTTTTTAAGGGAACCTCTGTACTGTTCTCCATAGTGATTGTACTAATTTACATTCCCACCAGCAGTGTATGAGCATGCCCCTTTCTCTTCATCCTTGCCAGTGTCTGTTATTTTTGGGTTTTTTTGTTTGTTTTTTCTTGAGATGTAGTCTTACTCTCTTGCCCAGGCTGGAGTGCAGTGGTGTGATCTTGGCTCACTGCAACCTCCACCTCCTGGGTTAATGCAGTTCTCCTGCCTCAGCCTCCTGTGTAACTGGGATTACAGGCCCCTGCCACCATGCCCAGCTAATTTTTATATTTTTAGTAGAGACAGGGTTTTACCATGTTGGCCAGGCTGGTCTCGTACTCCTGACCTCAGGTGATCCATCCACTTTGGCCTCCCAAAGTGCTGGAATTACAGGTGTGAGCCACTGTGCCTGGCCAGGATGCTGAATTTTTTTGAAAGCTTTTTCTGCATTTGCAGAGATGATCATATGGTTTTTAATTCTGTTTATGTGGTGAATTACATTTATTGAACCAACCTTGCACCCCACAAATAAAGCCTAATTGATTATAGTAAATTAACTTTTTGATGTGCTGCTAGGTTTTGTTTTCTAGTATTTTTTTGAGTATTTTGTGTCTGTGTTCATCAGGAATATCAGCCTGAAGTTTTCTTTTTTCATTATGTCTGTGATGAGTTTTGGTATCAGAATGATGATGCTGGCTTCATAAAATGAGTTAAGGAAAGATTCGTTCTCAATCTTTTGGAATAATTTCAGTAGGATTGATACTAGCTCTTTGTATGTCTGGTAAAATTCAGCTGTGAATCCATCCAGTCCAGAGCTTTTTTTGGTTAGTAGGTTGTTTTTTTGTTTTTTTGTTTTTAATTAAAATTGAATTTCAATTTCAGAATTCCTTATTGGTCTGTTCAGGGTTTCAGTTTTTTTCTGTTTCAGTCTTGGGAGGTTGTGTGTTTCCAGGAATTTATCCATTTCTTCTAGGTTTTTTATAAAAGTTTGTGTGCATAGAGGTGTTCATAATAATCTCTGAGGACTTTTTATATTTCTTTGGGGTCAGTTGTAATGTCACCTTTGTTATTTCTGATTGTGCTTATTTGGATCTTTTTTCTTTGTTAATCTAGCTATCTTGCTGTTTCTAGAATTCTTTATTTGTCTTTGATGTTTGACAATCTGACTGAAATGTGCTTCAGAGGGGACTTTTTTTGGTTGAATCTATTTGGGGACTTTTGAACTTCCTGGAGTTGGATACCCTTATCTCTTCCCCAGACTTGGGTAGTTTTCAGCTATTATTAAATAGGTTTTCTGTGCCTTTTACCTTTCTTCTCCTTTTGGAACTCCTGTAATACAAATGTTTAATGGTGTCCCAGAAGTCTTGTAGGCTCTCTTTATCCTTTTTCATTATTGTTTCCTTTTTTTTTCCCCTCTGAGTAATATTAAATAATGTATCTTCAGGTTCAGAGATTGTTTTGCTTAATCAAGTGTGCTGGTGCAGCTTTGTATTGTATTTTTAATTTCATTCATTGAATTCTTTTTTTTTTTTTTTTTCTGAGACAGAGTCTCGCTCTGTCGCCACGCTGGAGTGCAGTGGCAAGATCTTGGCTCACTGCAACCTCCGCCTCCCAGGTTCAAGCGATTCTCCTGCCTCAGCCTCCTGCATTCATTGAATTCTTCAGCTGCAAGTGTTTTGTTTGGTTCTTTTTTATGATATCTTTCTTTGTTGAAATTCTGATTCATATCATGAATTGTTTTCCTGATTTCATTGAATTATCTATCTGTATTTTCTTTTATCTGTTTGAGTTTCCTTAAGATCATTATTTGAATTTTTTTCTAGCTAGGTGTTGATTTCCTTTACATTTGGGCCTGTAACTAGAGAGTTACATTCTCAGCAGTGTCATATTTCATTGCTTTTTAATGTTTCTTGTTTCCTGCATTGATGTCTGTGCATCTAGTGGAACAATTGGCTCTTTTAAACTTTCCGCTTCTGTTGGGCTGTTTGGGAAGGGTGTGGTGACTCTGTTTCCAGGTAGGTTCAGTACTGTAGTCTCTTATAGCCTATTCAGCTGCATTCATTGTCAGAATAACTGTGGGTGCCTCAACAGCCTAGGCTGGAGAAGTTTGCAGTGGTGGTAGCTGTGGAGTAGATTGTTAATATCTTCAGTGGCAAGAGCTTTTGGAATCCTTCCATTCTTGTTTTCCCCACAATAGGGAGTTTTAGCCAGTGGGAGTCTTCTTGGTGGCAGGTCTTACATATCCTACAAGCAGCTGCCATGGTGCTGCAATCCAGGTGCAAGCGTTTGGAGTGGCTATGGGGCTAGGATCCTGGGCTCAGGGTCTTGCATACTATTGTAACACCTGGGTGTTAGGGTACAGGGTCACTATTGGCAGGGTTGGATGTAGGTTGCCTATAGTGCCAGGATCTGTGACTCTGAGGCACCCTCTAGCTGCTTGGGAAAAGAGTGTCAGGTTGTAGCTGTGAGTCTACCCCTGGTGGACAGGGCACAGCCCTGGCCCAACTCCAGGGAAGAGAGGATGCTCTGGAGGTTTGAGTCTGGGATGCAGGGTTTGGCTCTATTAGGAGCCTGAGCCAATAGGGCTTAGTGGCAACTCCTATCCCTGGGGATGAGGCACCATGATGAGGTGCCCTGGATGAGGCACCAGGTTCTAGTAGTCACTCTAGAACCTGGATTGGTGGAGCTCAGATGGATCCCAGACTCTGAGGCCAGGTACAGCAGGAACAGGCACCCCTGAATGGCCAAGCATGCCTGTTGTTTGGGCCCTGTGGGGCAGAGAGCAGCACAGCAATGACTTCACTCCCTAGAAAGAGAAGTGTCTCAGCAGCGCAGACTCTCCAGGGAAGCAGGGTACTAGAGTTATTTGCCCTGCAGGGCACATTTCTCAGCTTAGCCACTGCTCTGTTTCCCTGGGTCTCTGGGTACTACTTCAGCCCTGGGATGTGCAGCTGCTCAGCTTGGCCAGTGCAACAATTCCCCAAGGGTGATGTGCTGTTTCAGCTCAGGCTCAGGGGACGTGACTGTTCTGGGTGGCCCAGACATCTCATGGGATGCAGGGTTCTGCCAAAGTACTATTTTCTTGGGAGGGAGTACATGGCTGCAGCTCCTGCCTCAGGGAGTTGGGGGAGGGGTGGGTAGAGCAGTTCCACCTCTCTTGACCCCACCAGGAAGGGTGTAACAGCTGCTGGCAGCTCTGCTTGGGAATGTCAGGCCTTCAAGTAGGCCTTCATTCCTGGCTTAGCTTCAGGGATGAAGGGGTGCTGTGGCTACTGGCCCCAGAGCAAGACACACTCCAGCAGTTCCAGTTCCACCAGTATTCTCCTTCTGGTTTCATCAGCAGCACTCTTAATTATGTTCTCCTTTGATTTTGTCAGCATTTTATTGTGTTGTGTGATTGAGGGAAAGAGTTAAGTATCATTCTCTTCACTTTAACAAATAAGAAAACTGAGATGATATCCAAAGTTACATTGTAATTAAGAGAGCTGGAACTTGAACTCAGACCAAATATTTTTCTTAAATTTTGGTGCGTCACACTGGGACATTGTCGTAAGCAACTGAAGTTGTTAGGGCCCTTCGACAGGAATAATTAAATTGGTGTTAATTTCTTTCCTTTTTTAGCAGGGAAAAAATATGTAAGAAAAGATATTTTATTAAAGTGGATTGCGAGTTCAGCATTTGGGGCTTTGGAAAACATTTTTTGATTTAAGTTCCAAAGGAAAGTGTTTAGTGAAACAAAATAATAGAAATCTCAAATTTTAGCTTATGTATTAAATTTTTAAAAATTAGCTGGGTGTGGTAGCATGCACCTGTAGTCCCAGCTACTCAGGAGGCTGAAGTGGGAGGATCACTTGTGCCCCAAAGGTTGAGGCTGCAGTGTGCTCTGATTGCATCACTGCACTCCAGCCTGTCTCTGGTGGGGGGTGGGGAGGGGTACATATGTAGATATAGATCTATATATATAGATATCTATATATGTAGATCTGTATAGAGATATAGATATCTATATATACATCTGTAGATATAGATATCTATATATACATCTGTAGATATAGATATCTATATATACATCTGTAGATATAGATATCTATATATACATCTGTAGATATAGATATCTATATATACATCTGTAGATATAGATATCTATATATACATCTGTAGATATAGATCTGTACATAGATATATAGTAGCTGTCCTTTGTTTTTCATCCCTGTTTTCATAGGAACTCTTGTTGATTTTAAATATTTTTCATTTCTCTGTAAATACCTGACCATGATCTATAAAAGTCCAAAAAATGAGGTTCATAGATTTTTTTTGAATAGTAATCTTTATAGTTCTTTTCTTTCATGCTTTGTGTCTTTCCTTCAGGTAGCAAATTATGGAGTTGGAGGACAGTATGAACCCCATTTTGACTTTGCACGGGTAAGTGAAAAAGAAATGGAGAAATTCACTGAGGCTTATGCATTACATTGTTTGTCTCAAAACAAAACAAAAAAACAGTCTCACTCTGTCACCCAGGCTGGAGTGCAGTAGCACGATCTTGGCTCACTGCAACCTCTGCCTCCTGGGTTGGAGCAATTCTCCTACCTCAGCCTCCCGAGTAGCTGGGATCACAGGCATGCGCCACCATGCCCAGCTAATTTTTGTATTTTTAGTAGCGACAGGGTTTCGCCATTTTGGCCAGGCTGGTCTTGAACTTCTGACCTCAGGTGATCCACCCACCTCAGCCTCCCAGAGTGCTGGGATTACAGGCGTGAGCCACTGTGCCCGGCCGCATTACATTGTTAAAGAAAAAGTTATTCTTGACACTTGTTAAAGATGGTAAGGCAGACTTCATTCAAGGGGGGACCATTGCGATAGGTATAGGGACCACTGCAAATGCAGTGGGATTTTGCAGTAAGGGAGAGAGGTTAAGCCCAATTCCAAATACAACAAGGAAAAGTGGGAATTTATAGCCAATGAGCAAGGGTGGGTGTTAGTAGATGGAAAATTACTAAGAGGTAAGGGAAGATTCTGGCTAAACTGACCTAACAGGATTCTTGCTGAAGTCAGGGAAGAGTGATCATCATCCAGGGGATAGTGGAAGATGAAGAACCCAGTTAGGTTTTGAGGGTGATCACATGGCAAGGACGGGGAATTCTGGCTAACCTGACTTAGCAGGGTTCTTGCTTAAATTGGACAATGCAGAGGTAAATACCAGAAGCCCAAAGTCAGGGCCTACTTGAGAAGAAAGTTCAGAGGAGCCTGAGTAGTTGGGTCAAGGAGAGATTCTTTGTCAACATGTTAATTCTGTTATTTTAACATTAAAAATTCATAGCCTATTTGGAATTTATGGAAATACGGTGTGGCAGATATTCTGTGAAACCTTTTTACCAGTTAAAAAAAAAAAACCAAACACCTAGATACCCAATAAAATCACTTAAGATACTTTAAATGCATTGGCAAGCCTGGAAGAAAGTAAAGGGTGTTCCAAAAGGCAAACTGAACAATGATCCCAAACTTAGAGAATTAAAGAGGGGACAAAACACAGAGGCTGGAGGTATGTGCCTCCAGGAACTAGAGCTTTGGGAATAACAGCTCTGTAAGAGGAGGATCTGCCACAGTGTAGGCTGCTGAATTTGAGACCCTGGCATAAACTCTAAATCTCCACAAGGATTACACCTTCAGTAAAGAAAGAATGGGTTTGAAAATAAATCTCTTGTGATACAGGAGCCTTATGGGGAACTGTCTGTTTCCATCCTGGCTGGGGCATAGTGTGTATGATAGGGGAGCTACTTCAGGGAGTACTATGTATGGAATTTTCCACTTGTGTCATGTTAGCACTAAAAGTTTTGAACTTCAGAGCATTTTGCATTTTGGACTTTTGGTATGCTCAACCTGTATTCCATGTTACGGATATACCACAGTTTAGCCATTCACCCATCGAAGGACATTTGGATAGTTTTTAGTTTTTGGCTATTACAAATAAAGATGTGTTTACATTTCTATGTGAAAAATGCATTTTCATTTTTCTGGGAGAAATGCCAAGAGGTTGTATTGTATTTTAATTTAGATATAAATATTTAGATATTAATTCTTTAGCTTGATTATAGTGCTGAAAGTCACTTTACTAGCATTATTAGAAAAATAATACTAGGGGCCAGGCGTGGTGGCTCATGCCTGTAATCCCAGCACTTTGGGAGGCCAAGGTGGGTGGATCACTTGAGGTCAGGAGTTCAAGACCAGTCTGGCCAACATGGTGAAACTCCATCTCTACTAAAAATACAAAAAAATTAGCCAGGCATGGTGGTACACGCCTGTAGCCCCAGCCACTTGGGAGGCTGAGGCAGAAGAATTGCTTAAACCCGGGAGGTGGAGGTTGCAATGAGCTGAGATCATGGCACTGCACTCCAGCCTGGGCGACAGGGCAAGACTCTGTCTCAAAAAAAAAAAAAAAGAAAAAAGAAAATAATACTAGGAAATATTTCAGTAGGTCGTGAGTTCAAAGTAAGTCTCAAGGTAAATTAAGCTTCAGGAGTATAGCTAAGAGATGGCTGTCAAGTCATATTTTTTAGAAGCTAAAATTGTGGGTATTTGTTTTTAAAATAATATGTAGCTTGCAGATAATGGCTGTCGTTTAGGCTAATAAGTCTGCTTTTTATCCAGTAATCTTGTCTAAAGTATCCAGTATACAAGTTCAGTCATCACGTATTTGAGGCCAGGTACAGTGGCTCACACCTGTGATCCTAGCATTTTGGGAGGCTAAGGCAGGAGGATCGCTTGAGGCCAGGAGTTCAAGATCACCCTGGTCCACATAGCAAGACTCCATCTTACAAAAAGATTGCCTGATGTTTATAGTGCACTGGACATTACAAGGGAAACTTTTGCGGTTGTTGTTGGCATATTCTTCAGGATATTACTACTGATGTTTAGTTGCCACTAGAGTATTTGTATTACTGAATTTTTACACCATTGAATTTACTGTGTTTTTATTCACAGAAAGATGAGCCAGATGCTTTCAAAGAGCTGGGGACAGGAAATAGAATTGCTACATGGCTGTTTTATGTAAGTCGTCACTAAAATTTTTAGATTAAGTTGGGATTTGATGACAAGATTCATTTTAATGTTTTAAGTTTGTTCTGTGTAGCTCTGATTCAGCATCCTAGTTTAACATTTTTACAACTGAATAAAGTGAGTTAAGAATTATTTTGCACTTGCAACTTTTTCAGGCTATAAGATAGATGTTCATTATAGAAACTTCTGGACAAACTTAGAATTTATAGTGCCACTACCTGCAGATAATCATTAATATTTTAACATATAGTCTCTCTGTTTAGTAATATATAATATGTGTATATAAAAATCTCTATATATTTGAATTTCTATACATACACATACACATTATTTCAGTAAACTTCTGAATTACATTTTTTTATTGAAGTATATCAGAAGAGTGCGCAAATTAAGTATTATAACTTAATTTTCACAAAGTGAACACTTCTGGTGTATTCAGTACTAAGATGAAGAAATAGCATATTACAACCCCCAGAAACCCTATCTCAGAGTTTTAAAACAGTATGATCATAATTCAATTTTTAAAATTGTTTATATATTTTTATATATGGAAAAAAGTTTTGATTGTAGTGTTTGTTCTAGTTACCCCAAATAAAGCACTCCAAAACTCTCCTTTCTGAGTGGTTTAAAATAACAACGATTTTCTTAATGTATCTCTAACAGTTATGAGGTTGACTGGGCTCAACTCATGGTTCCTGCTCCAAATCTGACATGTATTTGCCGTCAAATGCCTGGCACTGGGGTATCTTGAAGGCTAAGGTTGAGGCTGGCTGTCAGCCAGAATGCCTAAAGTCTGGCCAATACATGTGGCTGAGCTTCTTCACAGCATAGTGACTGGATTGCAAGAGGAAGCATCCCAAAAGAACAATGCAAAAGTACATGGTATTGTTATGACCTACCCTCAGAAGTCACAGATGTTAATTTTGCTGTATTCTGTTACAGCAATTACAAAGGTCTGCCCAGCTTCAAGGAGAGGGCACACAGACCCTACCACTGCAGACGAATGTCAGCGTCACATAAAAAGAGCATGTAGGATGGGACATATTGGGATGTATTATATTTGGAAAATGCAATCTGCCATAATGTCATAACCTTTGTTAACTTAAAAAAGATATTTTAGGCCAGGCACAGTGACACACGCCTGTAATCCCAACACTTTGAGAGGCCGAGGCGGGCAGATCACTTGAGGTCAGGAGTTCGAGACCAGCCTGGCCAACGTGGTGAAACCCCTTCTCCACTATAAATACAAAAATTAGCTGGGTGTGGTGGCACACACCTGTAGTACCAGCTACTCAGGAGGCTGAGGCACGAGAATCACTTGAACCTGGGAGGCAGAGGTTGCAGTGAGCCGAGATCGCGCCACTGCACTCTCCAGCCTGGATAACGGAGCGTGGCTCCATCTCAAAAAATAAAAATAAAAAAAATATATATATTTTATATGTAGACTTAATTTTGGTTATTTCATCACTTTTTCCATTCCTTAGCCCTATTTGAATTACATCTTTTTGTTGTCTGTAGTATCTCACTCCCTACCAAAATCTGTCTGTTCAGTCTATTTCCTTTTTCTCTTCCTGCTACCTTCCCTGTTTGTTTTCTTTCCCTTCTTCCCTATCTCCTTCCTCTCCGTATGCCTCCTTTTCTCCCCAATTCCCAATTTGTATTTCTCTCACAACTCCATCTTGTTTCCAAAAGGAGGTAAGGTACATTACAAAGATTCATATAAAAAAAGAGAAATACCACAAAGGGAAAACCAGGAGAGGGTTAGTACGGTATACAAATTCATGCTGCAAAGGCTTGCATATTTTCTAGAGGTGAGTCTTAGAGGTTGTACCAGTTTATATCCCAATTTTAAGTGGGATATGTTTGTGAAGTATGTTTGTCAGACTTTTTGATCTATGTATATTTCACTTATTAAATTAGCAGTTATTGTGGCTTTAATTTGCATTTCTCTTATTAGAGAGGTTGAGCATCTTTTCAGATGTTTAAAAGCCATTAGTGTTTATGTGTTCCTGGTTCTGCTTATATTTCTTTGTTTTATGAATATTGATGCTGTATTATTTGGCCCACTATCTGTTTCTCCCTCTTAATGTAAACACCCTTCCTGTTTTTCTAAAATAGTTGTATAGCATTTTAATTGATTATCATTTTTTCCGTTATTTAAATACCATTCCCAGAGGGGCACATAGAATATCTCAAATTACTTTTCCTCTCATGCACAACTTTTTAATTTCCTCAGAGTTTAATTTTTTCATTGGTTAAGTGTTCTTAGTTCTTTACTATTAGTTATGTATTTATCATTGTAAAATACCTTCTATCTCATTTAATGCTTTTTACCTTGATTTAAACTGTATCTCATACTAAGATCATATCCTGTTTTCCTTGGATAGCATTTGCCCAAAATCTTACATTTTTGTGTTCTGTGTTTGTAAGTCACTTGTTTTAGATGCAGCTCTGATATAATATGTAGCTGGGTTTTGCTCTGTGATCTAATCAGTCTATACATTCTACTTATGTTGCTTTAAAAAAATCTTTATGATCCATGTTTCCTTTGCCTTGTTTTTTGTGATTCTTTGGTTAATTTAAAAGGTTTCCATTTTTATTCTAGGTTATCTTTATGACTATAACTTTATATAATCCTTTAACTTTCTCACTTTTATTTAATATGTTTGATTCCCTTCCATGAGAAATGGCAAAACTGAGTATTTTTATTTTACATTTATTTAAATATTTCTTGAGCACCTACTGTTCTTGAGGTACTATTGTTCTAGACATTAATGATCAGCAATGAACAAAACAGATGAAAATTCCTGCCTCCATGGAGATTACATTCTAATACAATAAAATACATATTTATATCTGTGTATTGACTCATTAGTTTTAAGTCATTACTTTTTCCCTCTGGCTATAAATAAGTTCCTATCTCAAATTATATCCCCAGTCTTCCATCCTGATAGTTTTTTGTTATTCATTCCTTTGCTTTTTGTAGTTTTTTTACTTATGTATATAAACCTAAATGGCATTTTATTTTTGAAAAACTGAGTAGCATGTACCAACCATGCTATATAAGAACAAGTCCATATGTTCCCAATATTCTAGTATCCAATATCAAGTCTATATAATGGCATGTTTTACTTTATTCTACCAGCACTTTTGATAACACCCTCTTGTTTCTTATAGATGAGTGATGTGTCTGCAGGAGGAGCCACTGTTTTTCCTGAAGTTGGAGCTAGTGTTTGGCCCAAAAAAGTAAGCCTGTTTGTTTTGTTTTTGGTTTATTAATTTTTTCCCTAAGGAAGAGATGCACTTGTATTCATGGTCTAATTAATGAATTACATTTTTTTTTCTTTTTCATTTTTTGAGACCTGTTCTCGCTCTGTTGCCCAGGCTGGAGCCCAGCAGTATAAACATGGCTCACTGCAGCTTTGACCTCCTGGGTTCAAGCCTCAGCCTCCCAAATAGTGGGGACTACAGGTGCATGTCACCATGCCCAGCTAATGTTTAAATTTTTTGTAGAGACAGTGTCTCCCTGTATTGCCCAGGCTGGTCTTGAACTCTTGGGCTCAAGTGATCCTCCCACCTCAGCTTCCCAAAATGTTGGGATTACAGGCATGAACCCCTGTGCCTGACCAAATTACATTTTTAAAGGTATTTTTATGGTCCTTGCCACGAGTACTTAGAGGTAATGAATGACCAGGAATTAGTATTTAAAATTTTTCATTTCTAAAATGGGTTCTGCATTGTGTTTTCCCCTCCATCTTGCTATGTAAGATATGTTAGCTTTCTTTTGGCAAATACTTTTGTTGTCAAACATTTTTATGGTATTTTTCATATGATCAAAAACGGTTCTTAAAGTGATATAACCATATTTTCAGAATTATATTAGAGGAAAATAAAATACTGCTATAGAGTTCTTCCGCAGGAACAAAGGGAAAATTACTGCTGAAAACGGCCGGGCACGGTGGCTCACGTCTGTAATCCCAGCACTTTGGGAGGCCAAGATGGGCGGATCATCTGAGGTTAGGAGTTCGAGACCAGCCTGACCAACATGGTGAAAGCCCGTCTCTACTAAAAATACAAAATTAGCCAGGCCTGGTGTTGCACGCCTGTAATCCCAGCTATTTGAGACGCTGAGGCAGGAGAATCACTTCAACCTGGGAGGTGGAGGTTGCAGTGAGCTGAGATCGTGCCATTGCACTCCAGCCTGGGCGATAGAGCAAGACTCTGTCTCAAAAAAAAAAAAAAAGTAATAACTACCGAAAGCAATTACCTGGCATTGTATACTTGGGGATAATTGTGAATTGTTCTCCATAGGGAACTGCTGTTTTCTGGTATAATCTGTTTGCCAGTGGAGAAGGAGATTATAGTACACGGCATGCAGCCTGTCCAGTGCTAGTTGGCAACAAATGGGGTAAATATTTCATATATTCTGCGAAGATAATGTAATTTTTGTTTCTTATTTTGGAACTATTATCTGTGTCTTAAAAACAAAAGCCCCCATGTTTGCTTAATATGATTTTAACATTGTACAGGATTCAGCCAAACAAGTGCCTAATCATAATACAAATTTGAAATCAGAATTTTGATGACAGATTTTATTTTTAACTATTTTTACTTATTCCAAGAAACAATGACTGACTCAAAATTGAATAAGACAATATCTTCCCCTCAAAGGGTTAATAATCTGATTGAGACATACTAATGGATTATAATGTAGTACATATTAATACAAAAATGTAAACAGAAGATGGTGACTGCCTAAGTTTGGGGAGTCTTCTTCAAAGCTTTTTCTTTAAATTTGGTCCTGAAGATAGAACAGCAGTTTTCCAAACATGTTAGATACCAGGTTCTAATGTGAGGCTCGAGTAGCACCTAATGTGCAAAATTTAAAGAGGCACTCACTCTCAGTCAGGGACATGCAAGTGCAGGACCACATTTTTAAAAAGTAAAAAGAAACAGGTAAAATTAGTTTTAATATCTATTAATTAGCCCCATGTATCCATTTCAATCTGTGTTACTAGCCACATGTTGAGTGGTTACATACAGGACATTACAAGGTTAAGGAGTGAGGCCTGATCAGGATTTTAAAATCTCCCCTTATGATTATAGTGTTTAAGAACCACTGGACTAGAATGAGGAGAGGCTAGTTGGTGAGAGAGAGTTTAGAAAGCTGTTTTCTGTTGTCTAAGTGGGAGATGATAATGGCCTGGATTAAAGCATCAGTGAAAGGGTTGGAGAGCAAATAGATTTGAGAGAGATGTAAGGAAAATTGTCAGGGTTTGATGAATAAAGTGTAGATACAAGGGTTGAAGAAGGAAAAAGAGTTAAGAATTAAGGTTCCTGCTTTAGATATTTTGACTGGGTTCTATGGTACCAGAGACAAAAAAAAAATAGAAAATTAACTGCTTTTGGGATACATTTTTACATGGTATACATTTTTTAAAGGTATTTTGGAAACTTGATGAGCATACAATAGCAATGGTTGATAAGAGAGTTGTTCCTTTAGAGTGCAAAGTTTGTGTTCATTATTGTCTTTGTATTTTGGAGGCTGTACTTTGAAAACAATACATAAAGCAATATTCTACTCTTACCTGTACCTGTATCTTAGGTCCATTTGTGTCTCATTTCAAGCCTCACATTGAACATTGGAAACTGTAAGAAATGCACATAGACTGGCAAATATACATGTGTATACATACATGTATGTACATACACGCACACAAGTGTGTACACATATGTATATAGGTATATAAAATCTGTGTTTTCAGCATTTAGCCAAGTTTTTAAGTAGCATCTGCCTTTATCCGGTTTTGGTGTTGAACTTTTATCCCATGATGAAACTTTGTTATAGACCTAGCTTTTAGAAACTAATTAAATACTGATTAGATTAAGGGGGAAAATTAATATATTACTTTTCTCTCACAGTATCCAATAAATGGCTCCATGAACGTGGACAAGAATTTCGAAGACCTTGTACGTTGTCAGAATTGGAATGACAAACAGGCTTCCCTTTTTCTCCTATTGTTGTACTCTTATGTGTCTGATATACACATTTCCTAGTCTTAACTTTCAGGAGTTTACAATTGACTAACACTCCATGATTGATTCAGTCATGAACCTCATCCCATGTTTCATCTGTGGACAATTGCTTACTTTGTGGGTTCTTTTAAAAGTAACACGAAATCATCATATTGCATAAAACCTTAAAGTTCTGTTGGTATCACAGAAGACAAGGCAGAGTTTAAAGTGAGGAATTTTATATTTAAAGAACTTTTTGGTTGGATAAAAACATAATTTGAGCATCCAGTTTTAGTATTTCACTACATCTCAGTTGGTGGGTGTTAAGCTAGAATGGGCTGTGTGATAGGAAACAAATGCCTTACAGATGTGCCTAGGTGTTCTGTTTACCTAGTGTCTTACTCTGTTTTCTGGATCTGAAGACTAGTAATAAACTAGGACACTAACTGGGTTCCATGTGATTGCCCTTTCATATGATCTTCTAAGTTGATTTTTTTCCTCCCAAGTCTTTTTTAAAGAAAGTATACTGTATTTTACCAACCCCCTCTCTTTTCTTTTAGCTCCTCTGTGGTGAATTAAACGTACTTGAGTTAAAATATTTCGATTTTTTTTTTTTTTTTAATGGAAAGTCCTGCATAACAACACTGGGCCTTCTTAACTAAAATGCTCACCACTTAGCCTGTTTTTTTATCCCTTTTTTAAAATGACAGATGATTTTGTTCAGGAATTTTGCTGTTTTTCTTAGTGCTAATACCTTGCCTCTTATTCCTGCTACAGCAGGGTGGTAATATTGGCATTCTGATTAAATACTGTGCCTTAGGAGACTGGAAGTTTAAAAATGTACAAGTCCTTTCAGTGATGAGGGAATTGATTTTTTTTAAAAGTCTTTTTCTTAGAAAGCCAAAATGTTTGTTTTTTTAAGATTCTGAAATGTGTTGTGACAACAATGACCTATTTATGATCTTAAATCTTTTTTAAAAAAATGTTTGTTTTCTGTGTGGTGTTTTTCGTATTTAAATCCGAATGTATGATGTGGCAGTAACAGGTTAACTTATGTAATTTCTTTAGTACATAGGGCTTAGGTTTATACTCTTGGTTTCCACTCACACTAATGTCACATGGTTAAGAAAAACTTAGGCTCTCTGAAGTTTCAGATATTTCATGAATCAAGATGTGCTTCCTTCAAAGAGAGCTCTAAAATACTTTACTGTGGTTATGAAGTTATTATGGGCCAGGCATGGTGGCTCACGCCTTCAATCCCAGCACTTTGGGAGGCCGAGGCAGGCGGATCACCTGAGGCTAGGAGTTCGAGACCAGCCTGGCCAACATGGTGAAACCCCATCCCTACTAAAATTACCAAAATTAGCCGGGTGTGGTGGTGCATGCCTGTAGTCCCAGCTACTTGGGAGGCTGAGGCAGGAAAATCGCTTGAACCTGGGAGGCAGAGGTTGCAGTGAGCTGAGATTGCACCACTGCACTCTAGCTTGAGTGACAGAGTGACTCTGTCTCAAAAAAGAAAAAAATTATTACAATAGTGGTACTTAAGACTTTCTCCTATTAAGAAATATGATGCTCTTTCCTAAGTGGCCTGAGGTAATCTGAAAATGGTTCGCTATTCACTTGACCCGGAGAACCCCACAAAATCATGCAAATCAAGAGGTTCCAATCTTCGTGTTCACTTTAAGAACACTCGTGAAACTGCTCAGGCCATCAAGGGTATGTATATACAAAAAGGCACGAAGTATCTGAAAGATGTCACTTTACAGAAACAGTGCATACCATTCCGACATTACAATGGTGGAGTTGGCAGGTGTGCGCAGGCAAAGCAGTGGGGCTGGATCTTCTAAGTTGATTTTTTTCCTCCCAAGTCCTTTTTAAAGAAAGTATACTGTATTTTACCAACCCCCTCTTTTCTCTTAGCTCTTCTGTGGTGAATTAAACCTACTTGAGTTAAAATATTTCGGTTTTTTTTTTTTTTTTTTTTTTTTTTTTTTAACAAAGTCCTGCATAACAACACTGGGCCTTCTTAACTAAAATGCTCACCACTTAGCCTGTTTGGGCCACAAGGTCGGTGGCCCAAAAAGAGTGCTGAATTTTTGCTGCACGTGCTTAAAAACACAGAGAGTAATGCTGAACTTAAGGGTAGATTCTCTGGTCATTGAGCATATCCAAGTGAACAAAGCACCTAAGATGCACCAACGGACTTACAGAGCTCATGGATTAACCCATACATGAGCTCTTCCTGCCACATTGAGATGATCTTTACTGAAAAGGAACAGATTGTTCCTAAACCAGAAGAGGAGGTTGCCCAGAAGAAAAAGATATCCCAGAAGAAACTGAAGAAACAAAAACTTATGGCACGGGAATAAATTCAGCATTAAAATAAATGTAATTAAAAGGAAAAAAAAAGAAATATGGTGTGGTAATAGCTGTGAGCTTAATGAAGTAAGTTAATTGATGCTTTAGACTATTTACATTACTTATGGTGAATCCTAGTTCACACAAGAGTTCTTTATACTTTATGCAGTATTTAAATACTGAAGGAAGAATTTGGTTTGATTCTCTGGGAAAGTAGGTATTTTTACCCACTTTTAAGTGAACTCTGAAGCTCCTTTCTTCTGACTAGCCTTTGTTCCAATATAAGTGTTTTAGAAATATGGAGAATTAAGTTCAGCACTTTGATCCACTCAGATTTTGTGACCATTGATGATTTTTAAAAAAATTTTTTAGTAAAGTGGATGGAAGCAGAAAATTCAAAAATGTAGACATAATATAGGGGTTCAAAGAATGGAAAATACTGTTTATTGCCATGTGTGTTATAGAAAGTAGAATACAAGTGTCTTTCAGAAGGAAATTACGTATTCCATAATCTTACAAATTTCATTATATTCAACTTGGAACCCCACGTGGGAATTATTAAACTCTTTCAGAATTAGATCATACAGAACCCTTTAAAGTTTTATAATTACCAATGATTTTTCTTTCCAAATGAAAAGAGGGAAAAATCCAATATGAAGCTTTTAGTTCCATTACTGCAATTCTGTTATTTCTTTTAATGCTGAACTTTCACATAAAGGAGGGCTGGAACTACCCTGGAAAATGTGGAAACTGTTGTTTCCTCACCAACCCTAAGCCTTTCCTTCCATATTGGAAGTTTCATCATTCATTAACTAACTTTTATTCTTATTAACTTTAAATAGGGAGTTATCACCAACATGGAGTTAACGGAAGTATCCACCAGAACATCTTAACAGTGGGGTAAGCAAATGTGATAACTAGATGGTAATAACCTAGTAATATTATAAAAAGAGCAGTGAACTGACTTTACGATTCTTTGGAAAGCTGAATGGTAAATGCAGTAATAAAAGAAGCAATCATCTACCTCAGTGAAATTATAATAAAATGGTTATTGGGCAGGCATGGTGGCTCATGCCTGTAATCCCAGCACTTTGGGAGGCCGAGGCAGGTGGATCATCTGAGATCAGGAGTTTGAGACCAGCCTGGCCAACATGTTGAAACCCCGTCTTTACTAAAAATACAAAAAATTAGCCAGGCATGGTGGCAGGTGCCCATAATCCCAGCTACTCAGGAGGCTGAGGTGAGAGAATCACTTGAACCTGGGAGGCAGAGGTTGCCGTGAGCTGAGATCGCACCAGTGCACTCCAGCCTGGGCAACAGAGCAAGACTCCGTCTCAAAAAAAAATAAAATGGTTATTACAGTGTGAGAGTGTGGAGAAGTTACAAATAGTAAATCAACACATATATATAATTTATAAACTAATATATGTGTGTGTGTATATAAATGAAATCTTATTGCTGCTTAAAAGAATCTAAGTATCTTTACGTAGCCATGTGTTGACTGCTATATGTAACTTCCATACCACTTAAGTCCATATAACTGAAAAATGAACAGCTTCTATGCAGAGCCCAATGGACTAAACTATTGAATGACTGGATTGCTGTTAAGAAATTTATAGGCTGGGCACAGTGGTGTATGCCTGTAATCCCAGCACACTGGGAGGCCAAGGTGGGAGGATCTCTTGAACCCAGGAATTTGAGACCTGCCTGAGCAACATAGCAAGACCCTATCTCTGCTAAAAATAAAAAAGTTACCCAGGTGTAGTGGCATATGCCTGTGGTCCCAGCTACTTGAGCAGGCTGAGGTGGGAGGATCCCTTGAGCCTGGGGGTCAAGGCTGCAGTGAGCTGTGCTTGTGCCACTGTACTCAAGCCTGGGCAACAGAGCAAGACCCTGTCTCAAAAAAAAAAAAAAAAAAAAACTGTGATTCTAAAACACATACACCAAATTATGATTAATTATAAATCACTTGAACAGACAGAATTATGAAATGAAGATTGCTGGGAGAAAGCAGAATGGGAAAAATGACATCTTAATCCAGATGGCCAGCAACACAAGGACCAATCTCTTGGCGGTGGTTATTTTTACTATAGTAAAAGTTAGTGTTTTAGAGGGAACAATATTGGGTAACTTAGACAAAAAGGAATGAGTTAATAGAGTACCATAAATTACCAGATTTATCAGAATAAAATTTCAAAATCCTGTGCTCCTAATGTCCTTGGATATTATTCAACCACTTTAATGATATTTTGCAAAATTAACTGTAGTAGACCAGTAAAGGTCTTTGGCTGCCTACTTTCTGAAATTTGAGGACTATGAAGTTTACTTTCTGTGTAAATGTAGCCTTAAGTTAAATATAAATTTCTACTCAGGAAAACTGATGAGAATGCCTTACTGTAAATAACATATACAAGCAGATGTTAAGTAAAAGGAGCAACCAAAAGGAGTGGAAGTCCTCCATCGTCTGCTTTTGAGGTCTTGTTGAACTTTCATTGTAGCACTGTTCTGTTGAAATTAGTTATGTGTTGCTTAATGAGAGGAAAATGCATCATCATTAGAAGATTGTTGTTGTGGGAACATCACAGAGTGTACTTACACAAACTTAGATGGTATAGTCTGCTACATACCTAGGCTATATGATACAGCCTATTGCTCCCAGGCTACAAACCTATACAGCATGTTATTGTACTGAATACTGTAACCAGTTATAACACAAAGCTAACAATGTATGTATCTAAACATAGAAAAAGGTACAGTATAGAGTATTTTAATCTACAGGACCACCACCAGATAAGCAGTCTGTCACTGACTGAAATGTTAGGTGGCACATGACTGTAGTGTTATATACAAAGCAGGATAATCACATAAGAAATAAACTCTAAAATCTGAAAAAGGAAAACTTCTCAAATTTTGTCAGTTGGTCTTTTCAATTCATAATAGGCTTATTTCTAAAAGAAATCTGTTTTAGGCTAAGCACTTCAAATTTGGAATAGAACATTTTAAATATAGATTGATGTACACTTTTACATTTCAGTGCTTTTTAGGGAGAAGGATTGTGTTTCAAGTTAGAAAAGGCATTCACGTAAGTCCAACAAAGAGTCAGAATTATCATAATATCTACTTTAAGTATAGTTGAACTCCATTCCAATGTGGGTTTTACCCAGGTTTTGATATATCATGAGTCATATATAAAATAACTACGTATGGTTAACTTATAATAAAAATCTCATCTTTTGATACATGCATGATAAATCATTAAGTCTGAGAAGACAAAATAACTTACATAACAGTTGAATTTAGTTATGTTCTATTTTTACTTTGCTTTTAAAAAGCAAAAAAGTGAGGTTCTGTTACATGAAACACCTTTTGACTTATGAGATAGATAGAAAAAAAGTAGTCCTTACTAAAAATAATCAGTGCTATCTTTCCCACGTTCTTTTCTTATTTCTGCAACTATGGAGAAAATAGTCCATGAAAAGTTCAAGTAAGGTAATATTAAAAGTGCTCTGAAACAGTGCTAGTCAGTGTGGCTTATAGATGAGCTGCCGTGGGGTTTCTTGTCCACAAAGGCATTTACATCAAAATAAAAATAAACTACATCAGTAAGTACCTCCTTCATTTAATTCAGTTGACTTTTTGTAGCAAGTCTTTCTAGATGAAGAAAGCAGTGTTATTTACATTATAGTATAAACTTCTAATCTCAGTGTAAACCAGAACTTTTCAGTAGTGTTGCTCATTTCCCTCCCTTGAACGGGAGGGAATAGAGCAGAACTTATTTCCAGCATTCTAACTCATCTGGGGGCTTCTTGAAAGAGTGTGTTTCACTTAACAGAGGGCTCACATGGGGAAAGGCAGCATGTCTGGGAAAAGCTGCACAACTTGAAGCTGTCACCCCAGGCTGCTCCCAAGGCTCAGAACACGCCTGCTAATTAGTGAAGGAAGGTTGTCCTCATCATGAAACCAGTCTGCAAAAACTGGGAGAGATGATTTTTTTTTTTAATTCCCATTTTTCCAGCAGAAAACCACAAGGCAAAAACAGGAAAACACCCATTCAAAGGGAGAAAAGGTGACAGAAACTGTCTCTGAAGAAACACAGTTATTAAATACTTAGAACACCTGTCTTAAGTATGCTGAACAAGCTAAAAGAAAACATGGACATAGAACCAGAAGTAGTCAGGAAAATATATGAACAAAATGAGAATATCAACAAAGAGATAGAAAAGGAGCAAAACGAATTCTGGAGCTGAAATGTACAATACCTGAGTTGAAAAATTCACTTCAACATCAGGCTAGAATTCAGATTGTTCCAACATTAAGATGTAATCCTCATAACTGCAAAGAAAATATGTATAGAATATAGACAAAAGGAAAAGGGTATCAAAAATACGTTACTAAAAAAAAAAAAAAAGGGGGTAGGGGGAGCCAGTAATGAGGCCAAAAAAAAAAAAAAAAAAGAAGCTGCCAGGGGCAGCAGCTTACACCTGATATCAACACTTTGGGAAGCTGAGGCAGGAAGATTGCTTGAGACCAGGAATTCGAGACTAGCCTGGGCAACATAGATGCCATCTTTTCAAAAAAATTAGCCAGGCGTGGTGGTACATGCCTAGTCATAGCTAGTCTGGAGGCTGATGCGGGAGAATTGCTTGAGCCTGGGAGGTCAAGGCTGCAGTGAGTTGTGCTTGTGCCACTGCATGCCAGCCTGGGCAAGAGAGCAAGATCCTGTCTGAAAAAAAAAAATCTTAAGACATGAAAACAAAAAGGCAAAGAAGTTCTTCCCCATCAGTGACTAAATGGATTAAACCCTGTGATCAAAAGATACACATTGGCATAATGCATCAAAAAAAAAAGGAGCTAACTAGATGCTGTCAATAAGAGACTCACTTTAGATCTAGAGACACAGGTTCAATGTAAAGGGATGGAAAAACATATTCCCTGTGGAAATCCCAATGAGGGTGCTATGGTTTTGCATGTGGTTTGTCCCCACCAAAACTCATGTTTAAATTTAATTGCCAATGTAATGGTTCTGGGAGCCTGGGCCTTAAGAGATAATTAAGATGGATTAATGTCTTTCCCATGAGACTGGGTTAGTCGAGACTCTTGCAAAAGCATGTTGTCGTTAAGTGGGTCATCCTCCTTTGTCCTGTCTCTTTTATATACACTTCTTTCCCCTTCTACTTTTCCACCCTATTATGAAGCACCGTGAAGCCCTCACCAGATGCCACCACCATGCCCTTGTAATTCCCAGCTTCCAGAACTGTAAGCCCAGTAAATTTCCTTATAAATTACCCAGTCTTAGGTATTCTGTTACAGCTACAGAAAAGACTAAGATTTTTGCAGAAATAGGAAAATCCATCCTAAAATAAGGAATCTCAAGGGATTCTGAATAGCCAACAATCTTGGTAAAGAATAATATTGGAGGTCTCACATGTCCTGATTTCAAAACTTAAACTACAAAGCTACAGTAATCAAAACTGGTACTGGCATAAAGACACATAGACAGATTAGAGAGCCCAGAAATCCTTGTAATTCAATAGCAAAACAATTAAAAATGGGCAAAGGACTTGAATAGGCATTTCTCCAAAGAAGATACACAAACATCCAATAAACACATGACAAGATGCTCAATATCACTAGTCATTAGGGAAATGAAAATCAAAACTATAATACCATGTCGGGATTACTATTATTAAAAAATAGATAATAAGTGTTGGCTAGAATGTGGAAAAATCGGAACCTTTTCATTACTAGGGGGAATGTAAAATGGTGCAGGCACTGTGGAAAGTGGCATGACAGCTTTTCAAAAAATTATACAGTTAACATATGATCCAGCATTTCCACCTCTGGAATTGTATACCCCAAAGAAATGAAAACAGGGACTCAAAGAAGTATTTGTACATCATGTTCATAGTAGCATTATTCACAGTAACTGTAAGTGGATGCAGTTAAGTTGTACATAGACAGGTGAATGGATAATTGTTGTGTATACACATACATAATACAGACAATGTTCAGCTAAAAGAGGAAGGAAATTCTAACGTTTCTTTAACATGCATGAACCTTAAAGACATGCTAAGTGAAATAAGCCAAACACAAAAGGACAAATATTGTATGATTCCACTTACATGATGTGCCCAGAGTAATTGAATTCATAGAAACAGAAAGGAGAATGATGTTTACCTCGGGGGAGGGGGATTGTGAGTATTTAATGAGTACAGAGTTTCAGTTGGGGAAAATGAAAAAGTTCTGAAGATGGATGATTGGTGATGGTTGCATAACAATGTAAATGTACTAAAAGCCAAAAAACTGTACACTTTAAAATGGTTAAATTGATAAATTTTATGTTACACATTTTATTGTGATTATAATATGTACATAAATTCTGATTTTTTATTGTGATTATGTATAATTTTATTGTGATTATGTATGGATACATATAATCCCAATAAAATATGTATCCAAACATAGTCACAATAAAAATATTATACATACATAATCACAATAAAAAATTAATCAGAATTACAGTGTGGTCCTGCAATTCTGCTTTTCTATGTATACCCTACATAATTGAAAGCATGGACTTGAAAATATATTTGTACATCCATGTTTATAGCAGCATTATTCACAATAGCCAAAAAGTGGAAGCCACCCAAGTGTCCATCTACAGATGAAGAGATTAGCAAAAATCTTAAAGGTGAAAAACAGGATAATTTTTTTTAAAAAAGTAAAAGACCTCAAAGAGACAGACATTGAAAATAAGCAAAGGCAGCCTGGGCAACGTGGTGAAACCCCATCTCTACAAAAAACTAGCTGGATGTGGGTGGCGCATGCCTGTAGTCCCAGCTACTTGGGAGGCTGAGGTGGGAGAGTCACCTGAGCTGAGGAGATTGAGGCTGCAGTGAGCTATGATCACAGCACTGCACTCCAGCCCCAGGCTGGTTGATGGAGTGAGACCCTCCAATGGGTCTCAAAAAAAAAAAAAAAAAAAAAATTAACACACACATAATGGAAGTCCAAAACAAAACCAAGGAAAAGAGCAAAGCTTTAAAATTATATTTTAAGAAAACTTTCCTAAAATAACTGTTTAAAAACCAAATATTGGAGAGCATATTATATATGTGAGAATATTGAGTCAGAATGACCAACACGAATTGATTCTTACAAAATTACCAGATATTAAAGAGGAGGAAAATTCTCTGGGAATTGAGGCAATAAAAGCACGTGACTGGGCCAGGTACGGTGGCTCACACCTGTAATCCCAGCACTTTGGGAGGCCGAGGTGGGTGGATCATTTGAGGCCAGGAGTTCAAGACCAGCCTGGCCAACATGGTGAAACCCTGTCTCGACTAAAAATACAAAAAATTAGCTGAGCATGGTGGCAGACACTTGTAATCCCAGCTACTCAGGAGGCTGAGGCAGGAAAATGGCTTGAACCCAGAAGACAGGTTGCAGTGAGCTGAGATCACACCAGTGCACTCCATCCTGGGAGACAGAGTGAGACTCCATCTCAAAAAAAAAAAAAAAAAGCACATGACTTATAAAGAAGAGAAAATTAGATTATCAGATATTGACAGCAATACTTTATTCCAGAAGAAAAATGGATTAATATGTTTAAGATAAGGAAAGAAAATATGAAGAATTTTATATCCAGCATAACTAACCTTTAAGTATAAAGCATACAGACAAATCTATTAACATGCAGGAATTCAGAAAATATTCTTCCTATAATCCCTTTTCAAGGAATCTACTAAAGATTGAGCTTCAGACACTCAAATGGAAATTATGAAATAGATGTGAAAGACAATGAGAGCACTCACTAGTTATCAAATCTTAATGTTTTTGGTATTATGCCATAAACATTACTTAACATAAACTTTATAGTATAGTAAAAAAAAATTTAAAATTTGTGTATTCTATTAGAAAAACCCAAAGTAGGTTGAAAATAAGCAGTGCTTTGCTGAAAGTTTACAACACTAAATATCCATGTTAGAAGAAAAATCAAAATTATTTCTCTAAGTTTCCACCTTATGAAGCTAGAAAAACCATATAATGGAATGTTATTTGACTATAAAAAGAAGTGAAGAAATAAGGTGGTCATCATGGACCATGCAGTGAATGATTCCTTATATATGAGATGTCTAGAAAAGGCAAATCTATAGAAACAAAGTAGTTAATGGTAGCCTTGGAATGGAGGAGGGAAATTGGGAGATGATAGCTAAGGGGTATAAGGTTTCTTTTTAGGGTAATGAAGATGTTTTAAAATGGTGATGGTAGATGGCCAGTTCTGTGAATATACTAAAAGCCATTAAATTGTATACATTAAGCTGGTAAGTTGTATGGTAGGTGAATTATGTCTAAATAAAGCTATTTTTTAAAAGCTAGAAAAAGATCAAATTAAACCCAAAGTAAGCAGAAGGATGGTGACAAAGTTAAGAACAGAAACGAAAGAAATTGAAAATGGACAAACCATAGAGAAATGAAACCAAAAGTTGATTTATTTTTTTCAAGACAGGGTCTTGCTATGTTGCCCAGCCTAGCCTCGAACTTGTGGGCTCAAGTGGTCCCTCTGTCTCAGCCTCCTGAGTAGCTAGGACTACAGTAAAAGTTGATTTCATAAATAGATTAATATAATTGACAAACTTCTAGCTAAACTGGTAAGGAACAGAGAGAAGAAACAAATTGCCAGTATCTGGCATGGAAAAAGGGACATTACTACAGAGTCTACAGACATTAAAAGGATAATAATGGAATTTTTAAAAAATAAGAGCACTTCTTTTTTATATTTTTATTTTTTTGTAGAGATGGGGTTTTGTTATGTTGCCCAGGCTGGTCTCAAGTTCCTGGGCTCAGAGAGATCTGCCCACCTCCACCTCCCAAAGTGCTGGGATTACAGGTGTGAGCCACTGTACCCGGGCAATAATGGAATATTATTAACATATTTATGCCAATAAATTTGACAACTTATATAAAATGTACAGGTCTTGAAATAAACTAATTACAAAGTCCATATATAAATTTACTCACAAAGAAACAAAGTCTGAATAGCCTCACATCAAGTAAAGAAATTAATAATTTAAAATATTACCACAGAGCAAAGTTGAGGCCTAGATGACTTTACTGGTGAATTCTATCAAACATTTGAATACCCATTCTATAGAAACCGATTCAGAAAATAGAGAATGGAAAGCTTCCCACTTGCTTTAAGAGATGAGCATTATACCAATACCAAAACCAAAAACATTCAAAGGAAAAAAAACTACCAATCAATATTTCTCATGATCACAGATGCAAAATACCTTAAAAAAACATTAGCGGCCGGGCATGGTGGCTCATTCCTGTAATCCCAGCACTTTGGGAGGCCGAGGCGGGCGAATCACCTGAGGTCAGGAGTTTGAGACCAACCTGGCCAACATGGTGACACTCCATCGCTACTAAAACAATACAAAAATTAGCCAGGCGTGATGGTGGGTGCCTGTAATCCCAGCTACTCGGGAGGCTGAGGCAGGAGAATTGCTTGAACCCAAGAGGTGGAGTTTGCAGTGAGCCGAGATTGCACCACTGTACTCCAGCCTGGGCGACAGGAGGAGACCCTGTCTCAACAAAAATAAGTAAAATAAAATAAAATATTAGCAAGTCTAGTCCAACAATAAACAAATGACTAAGTTGTATTTATCTCAGGCATACAAGATTGGTTTAACATTCAAAATTCAACCTGTGTGATTTACCATAGTACCAGGGAAAAAAAAGGAGAAAAAAATACATGATTACTTCAATAGAGGCAGATAAATAATTTGACAAAATTCAATATTGTTCATGTTTTTTTATTATACTTTAAGTTGTAGGGTACATGTGCACGATGTGCAGGTTTGATACATAGGTAAACATATGCCATGTTGGTTTGCTGCACCCATCAACTCATCATTTACATTAGGTATTTCTCCTAATACTATCCCTCCCCCAGCCCCCCCACCCCCCGATAGGCCCCAGTGTGTAATGTTCCCCATCCTGTGTCCAGGTGATCTCATTGTTCAATTCCCACCTATGAGTGAGAACATGTGGTGTTTGGTTTTCTGTCCTTGTGAGAGTTTGCTGAGAATGATGGTTTCCAGCTTCATCCATGTCCCTGCAAAGGACATGAACTCATCCTTTTTTATGGCTGCATAGTATTCCATGGTGTATATGTGCCACATTTTCTTAATCCAGTCTATCATTGATGGCCATTTGGCTTGGTTCCAAGTCTTTGCTATTGTGAATGGTGCTGCAATAAACATATGTGTGCATGTGTCTTTATATATAGTAGCATGATTTATAATCCTTTGGTTATATACCCAGTAATGGGATTGCTGGATCAAATGATACTTCTGGTTCTAGATCCTTGAGTAATCACCACACTGTCTTCCACAATGGTTGAACTAATTTACACTCCCACCAACAGTGTAAAAGCATTCCTATTTCTCCACATCCTCTCCAGCATCTGTTGTTTCCTCACTTTTTAATGATTGCCATTCTAACTGGCATGAGGTGGTATCTCATTGTGGTTTTGCTTCACATTTCTCTTATGACCAGTGATGATGAGCATTTTTTCATGTGTCTGTTGGCTGCATAAATGTCTTCTTTTGAGAAGTGTCTGTTCATATCCTTTGCCCACTTTTTGATGGGGTTGTTTGTTTTTTTCTTGTAAATTTGTTTAAGTTCTTTGTAGATTCTGGATATTAGCCATTTGTCAGATGGGTAGATTGCAAAAATTTTCTCCCATTCTGTAGGTTGCCTGTTCACTCTGATGGTAGTTTCTTTTGCCATGCAGAAGCTCTTTAGTTTAATTAGATCCCATTTGTGTATTTTGGCTTTTGTAGCCATTGCTTTTGGTGTTTTAGTCATGAAGTCCTTGCCCATGCCTATGTCCTGAATGGTATTGCCTAGGTTTTCTTCTAGGGTTTTTATGGTTTTAGGTCTAACATTTAAGTCTTTAATCCATCTTGAATTAATATTTGTATAAGGTGTAAGGAAGGGATCCAGTTTCAGCTTTCTACATATGGCTAGCCAGTTTTCCCAGCACCATTTATTAAATAGGGAATCCTTTCCCCATTTCTTGTTTTTGTCAGGTTTGTCAAAGATCAGATGGTTGTAGATGTGTGTTGTTATTTCTGAGGCCTCTTTTCTGTTCCATTAGTCTATCTCTCTGTTTTGGTACCACTACCATGCTGTTTTGGTTACTGTAGCCTTGTAGTATAGTTTGAAGTCAGGTAGCATGATGCCTCCAGCTTTGTTCTTTTGGCTTAGGATTGTCTTGGCTATGTGGGCCCTTTTTTGGTTCCATATGAACTTTAAAGTAGATTTCTCCAATTCTGTGAAGAAAGTCATTGGTAGCTTGATGGGGATGGCATTGAATCTATAAATTACTTTGGGCACTATGGCCATTTTCAGGATATTGATTCTTCCTATCCATGAGCATGGAATGTTCTTCCATTTGTTTGTGTCCTCTTATTTCGTTGAGCAGTGGTTTGTAGTTCTCCTTGAAGAGGTCCTTCACATCCCTTGTAAGTTGGATTCCTAGGTATTTTATTCTCTTTGTAGCAATTGTGAATGGGAGTTCACTCATGATTTGGCTGTTATTGGTGAATAGGAATGCTTGTGATTTTTGCACATTGATTTTGTATCTGGAGACTTTGCAGAAGTTGCTTATCAGCTTAAGGAGATTTTGGGCTGAGACAATGGGGTTTTCTAAATATACAATCATGTCATCTGCAAACAGGGACAATTTGACTTCCTGTTTTCCTAATTGAATACCCTTTATTTCTTTCTCTTGCCTTATTGCCCTGGCCAGAACTTCCAACACTATGTTGAATAGGAGTGGTGAGGGAGGGTATCCTTGTCTTGTGCCGGATTTCAAACAGTGCTTCCAGTTTTTGCCCATTCAGTATGATATTGGCTGTGGGTTTGTCATAAATAGCTCTTATTATTTTGAGATATGTTCCATCAATACCTAGTTTATTGAGAGTTTTTAGCATGAAGGGCTGTTGAATTTTGTCAAAGGCCTTTTCTGCATCTATTGAGATACTGATGTGGTTTTTGTCATTGGTTCTGTTTATGTGATGGATTACGTTTATTGATTTGCGTATTTATTTATTTTTTTGAGATGGAGTCTCACTCTGTTGCCCAGGCTGGAGTGCAGTGGTGCGATCTCAGCTCACTGCAAGCTCCGCCTCCCATGTTCACGCCATTCTCCTGCCTCAGCCTCCTGAGTAGCTGGGACTACACGCGCCCGCCACCACGCCTGGCTAATATTTTCTATTTTTAGTAGAGACGGGGTTTCACCGTGTTAGCCAGGATGGTGTCCATCTCTTGACCTCGTGATCCACCCACCTCAGCCTCCCAAAGTGCTGGGATTACAGGCGTGAGCCACCGCGCCCGGCAATTTGCGTATGTTGAACCAGCCTTGCATCCCAAGGATGAAGCTGACTTGATCGTGGTGGATAAGCTTTTTGATGTGCTGTTGGATTCAGTTTGCCAGTATTTTATTGAGGATTTTTGCATTGATGTTCATCAGGGATATTGGTCTAAAATTCTGTTTTTTTGTTGTGTCTCTGCCAGGCTTTGGTATCAGGATGATGTTGGCCTCATAAAATGAGTTAGGGGAGGATTCCCTCTTTTTCTATTGATTAGAATAGTTTCAGAAGGAAGGGTACTAGCTCCTCTTTCTACCTCTGGAAGAATTCGGCTGTGAATCCTTCTGGTCCCGGACTTTTTTTGGTTGGTAGGCTATTAATTATTGCCTCAATTTCAGAGCCTGTTATTGGTCTATTCAGAGATTCAACTGCTTCCTGGTTTAGTCTTGGGAGGGTGTGTGTGTCCAGGAATTTATCCATTTCTTCTAGATTTTGTAGTTATTTGCGTAGCAGTGTTTATAACATTCTCTGATGGTAGTCTGTATTTCTGTGGGATCGGTGGTGATATCCCCTTTATCATTTTTTATTGTGTCTATTTGATTCTTCTCTCTTTTCTTCTTTATTAGTCTTGCTAGCTGTCTATCAATTTTGTTGATCTTTTCAAAAAAAAAAAACCAGCTCCTGGATTCATTGATTTTTTTGAAGGGTTTTTTGTGTCTCTATCTCTTTCAGTTCTGATCTGATCTTAGTTATTTCTTGCCTTCTGCTAGCTTTTGAATGTGTTTGCTCTTGCTTCTCTTGTTCTTTTAGTTGTGATGTTAGGGTGTCGATTTTAAATCTTTCTTGCTTTCTCTTGTGGGCATTTAGTGCTATAAATTTTCCTCTACACACTGCTTTAAATGTGTCCCAGAGATTCTGGTACATTGTGTCTTTGTTCTCATTGGTTTCAAAGAACATGTTTATTTCTGCCTTCATTTCGTTATGTACCCAGTAGTCATTCAGGAGCAAGTTGTTCAGTTTCCATGTAGTTGAGTGGTTTTGAGTGAGTTTCTTAATCCTGAGTTCTAATTTGATTGCACTGTGGTCTGAGAGACAGATTGTTGTGATTTCTGTTCTTTAACATTTGCTGAGGAGTGCTTTACTTCCAATTATGTGGTCAATTTTAGAATAAGTGTGATGTGCTGAGAAGAATGTATATTCTGTTGATTTAGGGTGGAGAGATCTGTAGATGTCTATTAGGTCCGCTTGGTGCAGAGCTGAGTTCAAGTCCTGGATATCCTTGTTAACCTTCTGTCTCATTGATCTGTCTAATATTGACAGTGGGGTGTTAAAGTCTCCCATTATTATTGTGTGGGAGTTTAGGTCTCTTTGTAGGTCTCTAAGGACTTGCTTTATGAATCTGGGTGCCCCTGTATTGGGTGCATATATACATGTTTAGGATAGTTAGCTCTTCTTGTTGAATTGATCCCTTTACCATTATGTAATGATCATCTTTGTCTCTTTTGATCTTTGTTGGTTTAAAGTCTGTTTTGTCAGAGACTAGGATTGCAACCACTGGTTTTTTTTTTTTGTTTTTTTTTTTTTTTTTTTCTTTCCATTTGCTTGGTAGATTTCCTCCATCCCTTTATTTTGAGCCTATGTGCATCTTTGCACATGAGATGGGTCTCCTGAATACAGCACACTGATGGGTCTTGACTCTTTATCCAATTTGCCAGTCTGTGTCTTTCAATTGGGGCATTTAGCCCATTTACATTTAAGGTTAATATTGTTATGTGTGAATTTGATCCTGTCATTATGATGTTAGCTGGTTATTTTGCCCGTTAATTGATGTTTTTTCTTCATAGCATCAATGGTCTTTACAATTTGGCATGTTTTTGCAGTGGCTGGTGCTGGTTGTTTCTTTCCATGTTTAGTGCTTTCTTCAGGAGCTCTTGTAAGGCAGGCCTGGTGGTGACAAAATCTCTCAGCATTTGCTTGTCTGTAAAGGATTTTATTTCTCCTTCACTTACGAAGCTTAGTTTGTCTGGATATGAAATTCTGGGTTGAAAATTCTTTTAAGAATGCTGAATATTGGCCCCCACTCTCTTCCAGCTTGTAGGGTTTCTGCTGAGAGATCCACTGTTAGTCTAATGGGCTTCCCTTTGTGGGTAACCCGACCTTTCTCTCTGGCTGCCCTTAACACTTTTTCTTTCATTTCAACCTTGGTGAATCTGGCAATTATGTGTCTTGGAGTTGCTCCTCTCACGGAATATCTTTGTGGTGGTCTCTCTATTTCCTGAATTTGAATGTTGGCCTGCCTTGCTAGGTTGGGGAAGTTCTCCTGGATATTCTGAACAGTATTTTCCAACCTGGTTCCATTCTCCCCATCACTTTCTGGTATACCAATTAAACGTAGATTTGGTCTTTTCACATAGTCCCATATTTCTTGGAGGCTTTGTTCATTTCATTTTATTCTTTTTTTCTCTAACCTTGTCTTCTTGCTTTATTTCATTAATTTGATCTTAAATCACTGATACCCTTTCTTCCACTTGATTGAATCGGCTATTGAAGCTTGTGCATGCATCATGAAGTTCTTGTGCCATGGTTTTCAGCTCCATCAAGTCATTTAAGGTCTTCTCTACACTGTTTGTTCTAATTAGCCATTCATCTAACCTTTTTTCAAGGGTTTTAGCTTCCTTGCTATGGGTTCAAACATCCTCCTTTAGCTTGGAGAAGTTTGTTATTACTGACCTTCTGAAGCCTACTTCTGTCAACTTGTCAAAGTCATTCTCCATCCAGCTGTGTTCCGTTGCGGGCAAGGAGCTGCGATCCTTTGTAGGAGAAGAGGCACTCTGATTTTTGTATTTTTCAGCTTTTCTGCTCTGGTTTCTCCCCATCTTTGTGGTTTTGTCTACCTTTGGTCTTTGATGTTGGTGACCTACAGATGAGGTTTTGGTGTAGATGACCTTTTTGTTGATGTTGATGCTATTCCTTTCTGTTTGTTAGTTTTCCTTCTAACAGTCAGGTCCCTCAGCTGCAGGTCTGTTGGAGTTTGCTGGAGGTCCATTCCAGACCCTGTTTGCCTGGGTATCACCAGTGGAGGCTGCAGAACAGCAAATATTGCAGAACAGCAAATATTGCTGCCTGATCCTTCCTCTGGAAGCTTCATCCCAGAGGGGCAGCCGCCTATAGGAGGTGTCTGTCGGCCCCTACTGGGAGGTGTCCCCAGTTAGGCTACACGGGGGTCAGAGACCCTCTTGAGGAGGCAGTCTTCCATTCTTAGAGCTCAAATGCTGTGCTGGGAGAACCACTGCTCTCTTCAGAGCTGTCAGACAGGGACGTTTAAGTCTGCAGAAGTTGTCTGCTGGCTTTTGTTCAGCTATGCCCTGCCCACAGAGGTGGAGTGTAGAGGCAGTAGGCCTTGTTGAGCTGTGGTGGGCTCTACCCAGCTTGAGCTTCCCGGCTGCTTTGTTTACCTACTCAAGCCTCAGCAATGGCTACGCCCCCTCCCCCTGCCTGGCTGCAGCCTAGCAGGCTGATCTCAGACTGCTGTGCTAGCAGTGAACAAGGCTCTGTGGGCGTGGGACCCACCGAGCCATGCATGGGAGAGAATCTCCTTGTCTGCCGGTTGCTAAGACCTTGGAAAAAGTGCTGTATTTGGGTGGGAGTGTCCCTTTCCAGGTAGTCTGTCACGGCTTCCCTTGGCTAAGAAAGGGAAATTCCCTGACCCCTTGTGCTTCCCGGATGAGGTGATGCCCCGCCCTGCTTTGGCTTGCCCCCACTGTCCAACCAGTACCAATGAGATGAACCAGGTACCTCCCTTGGAAATGCAGAAATCACCCATCTTCTGTGTTGATCACACTGGGAGCTGCAGACCAGAGCTGTTCCTATTCAGCCATCTTGGAACGCCCCTCATGATTTTTTTTTAAATAGCAAGGGACAGAAATTTCCTCAACTTGATAAAAGGCATTTATAAGAATCTTATTTTAGCATATTTAAACGGTAAAGGACAGAATGCCTTCTCCCTATGTTTGGAATAAGTCAACAATATCTGCTTTCCTCCATTCCTACTTAACATTGAACTAGAAATCCGGGTTAACGCAATAACGTAAGAAACAGAAATAAAAGGCACACACCTCAGAAAGGAAGAATTAAAGTAGTAGTCTTTATTCATATGTGACATGATTGTGTTGGTTAGAAAAAAAATTCCTAGAGAATCTACAAAAGAGTTTTTAAAAATGAACAGAGGTTAACAAGAGTGTAGAATACAAAGTCCATATACAAAAACGAATTAAAAACTGAATTTAAAAAACAGTATGATAGCCTGAAAAATGTTACACTTAGATTTAAATTTAACAAAATATGTATAAGAACTGTATATTGAAAACTATAAAACATTGCTGAGAAATATTAGAGAAGTTCTAAATAAATGGAGATAGGTATCATGTTCACAGATCAGAGGACTCAATTTTGCTTTCCCCAAATTAACCTATATATTCAAGACAATCCCAATAAAAATCCAAGCAGATTTTTTAAAAATAGTCTCATTCTAAAACAAAAAATTTATTTAAAGAGACAGGGTCTTGCTCTGTTGCCCAGACTGAAATGCTGTAGCACGATCATAGCTCACTGCAGCCTTGAACTCCTGGGCTCAAGCAATCCTCCCACGTCAGCTTCCTGAGTAGTTGGGATTATAGGCATGAACTATCATGCTTGCCTTATCCTAAAATTTATACGGAAATACAAAGGATCCAGAATAAAGATGACAATTAGCGGGGGAAGAAAAGGAATAAAGTTGGAAGATTCACATGACCTAATTTAAAGACTTTTTTTTTTTTTTTTTTTTTTTGGTGAGACAGAGTCTTACTCTGTCCCCCAGGTTGGGTGCAGCAGCGTTAGCTCACTGCAACCTCCACTTCCCGGAATCAAGCAATTCTCCTGCCACAGCCTCCCAAGTAGCTGAGATTACAGGTTCCTGCCACCACGCCCAGCTAATTAATTTTTGTATTTTTAGTAGAGATGGGGGTTTCACCATGTTGGCCAGACTGGTCTTGAACTCCTGACCTCAAGTGATCCACCCACCTTGGCCTCCCAAAGTGCTGGGATTACAGGCATGAGCTACCGTGCCCGGCCTAAAGACTTTTTATAAAGCAACAGTAAGTGAAGATAGTGTTATTATTCTAAGAATAGACATATAGATCAATGGCACAAAATAGAAAGTCCAGAAAGAGACAAACACATACGCGTTCAACTGATTGTCCGCAAAGGAGTCAATACAATTCAATAGAAAATGGATACCTTTCAACAAGTGTAACTGGAACAAATTGGTTATCTGTCTACCACCTATGTGTCTATCAAGCCATAACCTTTACTTCATGCTATATACAAAAAATAAGTTGAAATGAATTATATACCTGAATGTGAAAGTTACAACTATAAAAACTTAGGAAAAAAATACTTTTGACTTCGGGATAGGCAGTAGTTTCTTAGGACATAAAAAGCATTAACCTCAGCCAGGTGTGGTGGCTCATGCCTGTAATCCTAGCACTTTGGGAGGCTGAGGCAGGAATGTCACTTGAGGTCAGGAGTTCAAGACCAGCATGGGCAATATAGTGAGACCCTGTTCTATTAAACAAACAAACCAGAAAAAAACAACAACAAAAAAGCATTAACCATAAAAGAAAAAATACACTGGAGTTTACCAATATTTGAAAGTTCTTCTTTTTGAAAGTCACTTAAGAAAATGAAATGGCAAGATGCAGACTAGAAGAAAATGTGTGTGTGTGTGTGTGTGTGTGTGTGTGTGTGTGTGTCTGAAAAAGGACTTGTATCCAGATTGAGACAGTTCAATTTAAAAAGGGCAAAGATTTTAATAGGTGCTTTCACTAAAGAAGATATGTGAATAACTACAAAGCATATGAAAAGATGCTTAAGATCATTGGTCATCAAGGAAATGCAAACTGAAATCACAGTAAGATACTACTACACACTCACTCTACTGGCTAAAATTAAAAAGACTGACAATGCAGGATATGGAACCACTGGAACTCATACACTCTTGGTGGAAATGCAAAATGGTACAACCACTTTAGCAAGCAGTTTTGCAGTCTCTTATGAAGTTAAATATACAGTTGACCCTTAAACAACATGGGTTTGAACTGGGTTTTTTTTTTCAGTGAAACACAGGTGGAAAATAATACATATTTGCAGGATGCAAAACCCACATATATGGAGGTCTGACTTTTCAAATATGCGTGTTCCACAGAGCTGACTGAGAAACTTGAGGATGCATGGATTTTGGTATACATGGGAGGTCCTGGAGGAATCCCCTGTGTATATACCAAGGATTGACTGTGTACTTCTCATATAACCCATGAATTCCATTCCTAGGTTTTTTCCCTGAAGAGAATTGACAATGTGTACATATAAAGACTCATGAGTCTTCACAGCAGCATTATTCATAATGGCCCTGAACTAGAAACAACCCAAATTTCTATCCACAGTGAAATGAGTAATCAAACTATGGTATTGCCATTTAGAGTAATACTCAGTAATAAAATGAACTAGTAGTGATATATACAATGATATATATGAATCTCCAAAAATGCTGAGTGAAAGAAGCCAGGCATGAAAGAGTAAATACTCTATAGTTACATTTATATGACACTGTAGGAAAGAAATTTATAGTGATTAAAAAGTAGATCACTGTTTGCCACGGGCAACAGTGGGGTGGGAGTAGGGTGGGAATTGACATGAAAGGTGCACAAGAGACATTCTGGGGTGATTAAAATGTTCTATATCCTGGTGGTTCTTCAGGTGCATACATTTAACAAAGCTCATTTTATAGTATATTTAAAATATATGCATTTTATTCGATGTAAATTATTCATTAAAATCTACTTTTTAAAAATTAGCAAACAACCAGGCAATGTAAACCATGCATCAAAAATATTGTGACCAAGTATCATGTATCCCAAGAATGTAAAGATGGTTCAACGTTTTAAAAACCTGTTAATGAGGCTGGGCGTGGTGGCTCATGCCTGTAATCCCAGCACTTTGGGAGGCTGAGGCAGGAGGATCACTTGAGGTCAGGAGTTCGAGACCAGCCTGGCCAACATGGCAAAACCCCATCTCTACTAAAAATACAAAAACTTGCTGGGCATGGTGGTGCATACCTGTAATCTCAGCTACTTGGGTGGCTGAGACAGGAGAATCACTTGAACCCAGGAGGCAGAGGTTGCAGTGAGACGAGATAGTACCACTGCACTCCAGCCTGGGGGATAAGAGTGAAACTCCGTCTCAAAAAAAAAAAAAATCTGTTAATAAAATCCACAATATTAGTAGATATGTTGTTAGGGAAAAGTATTTGACACCCATTTATGATTTTAAAAATAAGATACTCCTTGAAAACTAGTAGAAGGGAACCTCCTTAACTTGATTAGCGGGATCTACCATAAGCTTCTAACGAATATCACACTTGATTGTGAAACTAATTTTGAAACACTTTAGATAATGCCAGAAATAAAGTCAGAGTGCTTGGTAGCACTTCTTCCACTCAAAATGGTTCTAGATGTGTTGATAATATAAGAAAAAGAAAAGAAGTATGTGGCAGATAATTTAGAAAACCTCACTCTGCCTATTCCAATTCTTACTTTCATATACCAAAGAAGCTGAAAGCTAAAATATTTAAAAGACTTCCATATCTGTAAGAATCTTCCTAGGCTTCGTCAAGCAAATGTACCCCAGAACAATATATGGCAGCAATTGCAAGAGGAGACTGGATCTTTTGTGGTAAGCCTCATGATGGTGGCACCTGGTTCTTTCAGAGCTTCTGTGACACAGTTTCTGGCATCTATCTATCTATCTATATATATAGAGAGAGATGAGGTCTTGCTCTGTTGCCCAGGCTGGAGTGCAGTGGCACAATCATAGCTCACTGCATCCTTGAACTCCTGGGCTCAAGTGATCCTCCCACCTCAGCCTTCTAAGTAGCTAAAACTGCAGATGTACAACACTGTCTGGCTAGTGTCTTAAGTATTGAGTGGCAGCAGTAGTAGGTTGGAAATTTTATTTGCCATATAGCATCCAAGTTCAACACTCGCATAGATTTTGTGACCTAATTGATCATTTTTAACTACTTTTTGCTTAAATTGTTGTGTTCTAAGCAGTAAGAGTCTTACTACTTAACTATTCTTGGAAATAAAAAGTAAAACACACTCAGCATCAGGCCAGGCACAGAGTGAGCGCCCAGTAAGTGGTGCTCACTGTTATTACAGTTAAGCTAAATAAATTTCATAGAAGAATGAGTGAAACTGAGCCATAAAGGATGCATCAGATTTAACCAGGCAGAGGAAGCGTTTCAGGAGAGGAGTGTGGTAATTAAAGACTGTGTGCCAAAGACAGTATGCTATGCTTCTTTAGTCTGGAGGTGAATTTAAGTTACATGAAGCAAAGATAAGGTGATACCTATGAAGTTGAATATTTAAAAAGCCTCAACTGGTCAGGTTATCTATTATAAACTTGTGGTTTTTTAAAAAGTATTTTACTATTAATACAAGAATTATATATTCTACTTCCACTTAAGTTTTTTTTTTTTTTTTTTGAGATGGAGTCTGGCTACATTGCCCAGGCTGGACGGTGACATAATCTCAGCTCACTGCAACCTCTGCCTCCTAGGTTCAAGCAATTTTTGTGCCTCAGCCTCCCAAGTAGCTGGGATTACAGGCGTATGCTACCACATCTGGCTAATTTTTGTATTTTTGGTAGAGGCGGGGTTCCACCATGTTGGCCAGGCTGTTCTTGAACTCCTGACCTCAAGTGATCCATCCACCTCGGCCTCCCAAAGTGCTAGGATTACAGGTGTGCGCCACCACACCCAGCCCCACTTAAGGTTTCAATTGAAGAGTGGCTCTGCTGCTTCTGGAATAGAGAGTATGTGGGGCTGTGAATTGGGAGAGCTGAGTTTTAGTCCCAGCCAGGGTCAGCTTCGTGGGTGCCATCCCCCCAGAAGAGCCCCATGCTTGGTTTAATGTTCTGCTGTCACCGTCTTGAAGTTCTTAAAATTTTTATCTTTGAACTCGTGTTCTGCACATGAAATCTAATGGGCGAGTAGAGCATGTAGGTGAGCAGTGGAGACACAATCGGATCTGTGGGCACAGGAGGAAGCTGAGGTACCCCCGACATGTCTACTATACACGCCTCAGGGCTGTTCAGGTCTCTGCAGGAACTTGAGGCAGCTGGGATTAGCCTCAGTAAGATTATCTTGCCAATTTCTCAGCAGAAATCTTAGAGGCCAGAAGCAGTGGGATGATTTATTTATTTGTTTATTTATTTTTATTTACTTGAGACAGAGTCTTGCTCTGTTGCCCAGGCTGGAGTGCAGCAGTGCAATCTCGGCTCACTGCAACCTCTGCCTCCCAGGTTCAGGCGATTCCCCTGCCTTAGCCTCCTTGGTAGCCAGGATTACAGGCGAATGCCACCATGCCCGGCTAATTTTTTTATTTTCAATAGAGACAGGGCTTCACCATGTTGGCCAGGCTGGTCTCAAACTCCTGACCTCAAGTGATCCACCCACCTCAGCCTCCCAAAGTGCTGAGATTACAGGCATAAGCCACCACACTCGGCCTGAGATGATACATTTAAAGTGCTGAAAGGAAGAGAAAAAAAAAACAACTGATGGCATCTTTGATTTTCTTGTTAAAAAATTATATATATATATATATAAATTAAAAACTTTTAAAATTTAAAAACATCAACTGAGAATTATCCGGCAAAGCTGTTCTTCAAAAATGAGGGAGAGATTAAGACATTCCCAGATAAATAAAAGTCGAAGGAGTACATTACCACTACACCTGCCCTACAAGAAATGCTCGAGGGAATTCTTCAGGTTGAAATGAATAAATGCTAGACAGCAACTCAAAGCCACATGAAGACAGAAAGATTTTTATTAAAGGTAAATGCATGGGCAAATACAAAAGATTACTATAAAAGATTATTATAATTTTGTTTTGGAACTCCACTTTTTATTTTCTAGGGGATTTAAAAGATAAACACCTAAAAAGTGATTATAAATCTATGTTATTGGGCATATAGTACATAAAGATATAATTTGTGACATTCATAAAAGGATGGGTAGAGCTAAATAGGAATAGGGTTTTTTTTGTATATGATTGAAATTAACTTGGTATCAACTCAAGTTATATTGTTGTAACTTTAATGTGTTGTATGTAATCCCCGTGGTAACCACAAAGAAATATCTATAGAATATACACAAATTAAATGAGAATGGAATAGAAATGTGTCACTACAAAAAAAAAATCAACACAAAAGAAGGCAGTATGGAGGAAATGAGGGACAGAAAAAGTTATCAAACATACACAGAACAAATAGCGAAATGGCAAGAGAAAATCCTTATCAATAATTAAATGTAAATAAACTCTCCAACTAAAAGGCAGAGATTAGCGAATATGGATTTAAAAAAAAAAATGATCCAAGTACATCTTGTCTATAAGAGGCTCCCTGTAGATTTAAAGATAAAGAGGTTGAAAATGAAAGGCTAGAAAAAGATATTCCATGAAAACAGCAAGTAACCAGAAGTGATTTGAGGTGACTGTCCTAATTTTAGACAAAATAGACTTCACGTAAAAAAAAAACTGTTACAAGAGACAAAGGACACTATATATTGATAAAAGGGTCAATTCATCAAGAAAGTATAACAAATATAAACATATATGCACCTAACACAAGAATCCAAAAAAAGTAAGTATTGACAGAATTGAAGGGAGAAGTATACAGTTCTACAGTAATAGGTATAGAATATCTCTCTTTTAATAATGGATAGGACAACCAGACAGAAAATTACTAAGGAATTAGAGGACTTGAACAATACTGTAAAACAATGGACCTAAATACACATACAGAACGCTCCACCTAACAGTAGAATACACATTTTCCTGAAGTATACATAGAACATTCTCCAGAATAGACCACATTTTAGGCTACAAAACAAGTATTAATAAATGTTAAAGGATTGAAAGCTAAGATTTGACTGGAGTGTTGACGGGAGAGCACTAGAGTGCAGCAGGGGAGGGGAGATGCAGCTGTGGTGATTGGAAGTTCAGGAGGACAGTATGGAGGCATCCGGCCACTGCAACCTTGTACCCTACTCCACCTGGCCACTATTCCCCAGATAGGATCTGCTCAGAGTTAGTAGGGACTTTGTGTTGCAGGGAAAAGGTAAGCAGAAGATCTCCACCAGCCTCCTTTGCCACCAGAAACACCTACAGTCCTTACAACAGGAGAATCCCATATCCCTCACAAGCCTTGAGCCCAGTTTGGAGAACTGCCAGGAATTCATGCAGCTGCATTGCCCCAGATTAGGTGCACTCCCCACCCCCACCCTCTGTGAACCAAGCTTCTGCAGCATGACACCATCTTGAGACAACAGCCACCTCTGGTGTGCTTCCTGCCCTGGGGGCCAGTAGCCATTGCACTTCTCCAGTACTGGGACTCCCTCTTCATTCCACCAAGCCTATAAGGGTAGCTGAATGTCACAACCCCAGCTGTGTGGAGCCTGGGCCCAGGATTGGCTGTGACTCTGACCCTGCATAGCAGGGAAACCAACCCCTGCCAATGCACTTCCAGCTGGAAGATCAGCCTGGCAGTCTCACTCAGTGCAAACCTTCCCTTGACCTGGCCAAACTGTGGCATGCTCTCCCCTAAGCAGTAGAAGCCCCTGAGCAGCTGATACACCCCTAGGCCAGCGGAGGAGCTATGCATATACACTGACACTCAGGACCCAAGAAACAGCTCTGCAGAGCCCCCAATCCCCACAGATACACCCCTAGCCTGCCCAAAGGCCCTATTCTCACAATCAAGGCCTGAGAAACAGTCCTACAGGGTGCTCCTAGAAGGCATTCCCCCAGGCTGGCCAAACAGCTGTATGTGTACCTGTGATCGAGGCTTTTGAAGTAGCCCCATGGACTGCCCCTAGCAAACACATCTGCAGACCACCTGAACTGCCATGCAGCTGTGTCTGTGGCCTGAGAAAAAGCCCTACAGGCCATCCTAGTTAGGTACACCCCTAGCAGCCTTGCAGCAGTATTCCAGATTTGAGAAGCAGCCTCACAGGACACCCTCAGTGGACTCACCCCTAGGCCAGCCAAGTAGCCCTGTGCCCACATCCCAGGCCTACAAAACAGCCCTATGGGCCATCCCCTGCAAAAATGCCCCCAGGCTAGCTGAGCAGCTGTGCAGCTGTGTCATGAGACTTAGAAACAGTCCTGTACCTGCTCCTGACAAACACGCCCCCAGGCCAGCCAAGCAGCTATGCAGTCAAGTCCTGGACAAGAAAACAGTAACATGGCCCACCCTCAACAGATACCACCAGGCCAGCCAAGCAGCCTTGTGCCTACATCCCAGGCCTGAGAAGAAGCCTCGTGGGCCACCCTTGTAAGACATATTCCCAGGGCAGCCAAGCAGCACCAAAGTCCTGGATCATAGAAACAGCCCTGTGGGCCACCCCCAGCAAACATGCACCCAGGCCAGCCAAGCAGTCATATGCCCACCCCTGAGAAGCAGCCTTATGGGCCACCCCTGACAGACATGTCCCTAGACTGGCCAGTCAGCCAAGAGCTCATGTCCTGGACCTGAGAAATAACCCTGTGGGCCACCACCAGCAGACCTGCACCCAGGCTAGCTGAGAAGCCATGTGATCATGTCCCAAGCCTACAAAACAACCCTGTGGATCATTCCTGGCAAACACACCCCAGGCCAACTGAGCTGCCATGCTATGTCCCAGGCCTGAGAAACATCCCCCAGGCCAGCCAACCAACTTTGTGCCTGTGCTTCTGGCCAGCGTAACAGCCCCATACCCTCAACCCCAATGAGTCAGACTCCAAGTTGGCTGACCCACTGCATGCATGCACATGCCCCTAACCTGAGAAACAGCCTGGCAAGCCCACACTTGGCAAAGCCACACCACAATCACCACAAACTCTCTCAGCCTAGGCCACTAAGAAATATACAAGCATCATTAGTACGGATTACAGCTGAAGCAACTACATAGAGACTATACTACTACTGCATCCCCTAGAAATCAATGCACCCCACCAAACCAATAGCCCAAGACTCATTCATACAAATAAAATTTTCCCCATCACACCAACTCCATAAAAATGGAAGAGGCAACTTCTGTACCAGAGGCGTAGAAATCAATGTAGGGATACATCAACCATGAAAAAGCAAGGAAACATGACACCTCCAAAGGAAAACAATAATTCTCCAGCAACAGACTCCAATCATAGGAAAATATATGAAATGCCAGAAAAAGAATTCAAAATGATAATATTAAGGAAACTCACTAAGCTACGTGATAATACAGATAGACAATTCAATGAAACCAGGAAAACAACTCATGATTTGAAGGGCAAATTCACCAAAGAGATGGACAGTTATAAAAAAAAAGAATGAAGCAGATATCCTAGATAATTTAATGAATGACATAAAAATACAATTGAGAGCTTCAACAGTAGACTATACCAAACAGAAGAAAGAATTGCTGAAGTTGAAGACAAGTCTTTTGAAATAACACAAAAATAGACAGGAAAAGAAAATAAAAAAGAAAAATGAAGAAAGCTTACAGGATTTGTGGGACACCATTAAGTAAACAAATATTTGTATTATGGGCATTCTAGAAAAGAAGGGAAAAGGTGAGGATAACTTATTTAATGAAATGATAGCAGAAAACTTTTTCCAAGTCTTGGGAGAGAGATGGACATCCAGGTCCAGGCATCTCAAAGAATAAATATATTTTACCCCACACAGATAATCTGAGGCACATTCTAGTCAAATATCAAAAGTCAAAGCTAAAGAAAGAATTCTAAAAGCATCAAGAGAAAAGCAGCAAATCATGTATAAGAGAGTCCCCATTAGGCTAAAACTGGATTTCTCAACAGAAACCTTATAGGCAAGGAGAGAATGGGACAATATATTCAAAGGACTGAAAGGAAAAAAAAAAAAAAAAAAAAAAAAAAAACCTGTTGGCCAAGAATATTATACCCAGCAAAGCTATCCTTCAAAAATGAAGGAGAAATTTCATCACTAGACCAGCTTACAAGAAGTGCTCAAGATAGTCCTACATCTGGAAGTGAAAATATGATTATCACCAGAATGAAAATATGAAAAATATAAGACTCACTGGTAGTGCTGATATACAGGGGAAAAAGGAAAAGGAATCAAACCTTATCACTACAGAAAACCACTCAATCACTAAAATAACAGAGGAAGTAAGGAACAAAGGATATATAAAACAGAAAACAATCAATAACGTTATAGGAATTAAGTCCTCACCTATCAATGGTAACCTTGAATATAAATTGATTAAATTCTCCATTTAAAAGATATAGACTGGCTGAATGGATTAAAAAAAATGACTTAACTCTATGCTGCCTACAAGAAATTAATCTCACCTTTAAAGATACACACAGATTGAACGGGAGGGGATGGAAAAAGATATTCCATGCAATCGGAAACCAAAATCACGCAGGAGTAGCTATACTTATATCAGACAAAACAACTTCAAGTCAAAATCTGTTAAAAGAAAAAGAGAGAGAAGGACATTATATAGTACTAAAGGGATCAATATAGCAAGAGAATATAACAATTGTAAATAAATATGCACCCAACACCAAAGGACTCAGAAGCAAATATGAGATCTAAAGAGATAGACCCCAAAACAATAATAACTGGGGACTTCAACACCCCATGTTCAGCATTAGATGGATCATCTAGACAGAAAATCAACAAAGAAACATCAGATTTAAACTGTACCATAAACCAAATAGACCTAACAGACATTTATAGAACATTTCACCAAACAGCGGCAGAATATACATTATTTTCATCAGGACATGGATTGGATTTTCCAGGACTGACCATATTTTAGGACACAAAATCGTTCTCAAAAAAATTTTTTTAAATCAAAATATATTAAGTATCTTATCTGACCACAAATGGATAAAACTAGACATCAATAACAAGAGGAACACTTGAAACTATATAAATACACAAAAATTAAACAGCATGCTCCTGAATGACCAATGGGTAAAGGAAGAAGTTAAGAATGAAAATTAAAACTTCCTTGAAACAAATAAAACTAGACATCAATAACAAGAGGAACACTTGAAACTATATACATGCACAAAAATTAAACAACATGCACCTGAATGACCAACGGGTAAAGGAAGAAATTAAGAATGAAAGTTTAAAACTCCTTGAAACAAAATGAAAATAGAAACACCAAAATCTATGGGACACAACAAAAGCAGTATTAAGAGGCAAGTTTATAGAGGTAAATGCCTACATCAAAAAAGTAAAAAGGTTTCCAATAAACAACCTAGTAATATACCTCAAGGAACTAGAAAAGAACAAACCAAGCCCAATATTGATAGAAGAAAAAAAAAATCAGACCAGAAATAAACAAAATTGAGACTAAAAATACAAAAGATCAGTTAAACAAAAAGGTTTTTTTTTGAAAAAATAAAATCAACAAACCATTAACTAGACTAACAAAAAAAAAAAAAAAAAGAGAGAGAGAAGACCCAAATAAAATTAGAAACAGGCCTAACATGGTGACTAATGCCTGTAATCCCAGCACTTTGGGAGGCCAAAGTGGGTCGATCACCTGAGGTCAGGAGTTTGAGACCAGACTGGCCAACGTGGCGAAACCCTGTCTCTACTAAAAATATAAAAATCAGCCAGGTGCCTATAATCCCAGTTACTCAGGAGGCCAGGGCAGGAGAATTGCTTGAACCCGGGAGGTGGAGGTTGCAGTGAGCTGAGACTATGCCACTGCACTCCAGCCTGGGAAACAGAGCGAGACTCTATCTCAAAAAAAGAAAAGAAACAAAAAAGAAGTTGTCACAACACAACAGATACCACAGAAATATAAAGGATCATTAGAGACTAATATGAACAACTATTCCAATAAATTTAAAAACCTAGAGAAAATGGATATATTCCTGGACACATACAAACTGTCAAGATTGAACCAAGAAGAAATATAAAGTCTGCAAAAACCAATAACAAGTAATGAGATTGAATCAATAATAAAAAGTCTCCCAGCAAAGGAAAACACAGGAAGAGATCTACTGAAGCTTTAAAGAATTAAAACCAATTTTGTCAAACTATTTTAAAAAATTGAAACAGAGGGAATTCTTCCTGACTCCTTCTATGAGGTCAGGATAATCCTGATAACAAAACCAGAAAGGACACAACAAAAAAGAAGACTACAGGCCAATATCCCTAATGAACATAGACACAAAAATCCTCCACAAAATACTAGCAAGCAAATTCAACAGTACCTCAAAAAGATAACACACCATGATCAAGTAGGATTTATCCTAGGAATGCAAGGATGGTTCAACATACACAAATCAATAAACATCATACATCATGCATCAATAGAATGAAAGACAAAAGCTGTATAATCATCTCAATAGATGCAGAAAAAACATTTGATAAAATTAAACATCCCCTCACAATAAAAACGCTTTTTTTTTTTTGAGACAGTGTCTCACTTTGTCACCCAGGCTGGAGTGCAGTGGCATGATCTTGGCTTACTGAAGCTTTGACCTCCCAGATTCAAGTGATCCTCCTGCCTCAGCCTGCCAAGTAGCTGGGACTATGGGCACATGCCATCACACGTGGCTAATTTTTTTTATATTTTTTGTAGAGACAGGGTTTTGCCATGTTTCCCAGGCTGGTCTCGAACTCCTGGACTCAAGGGATCCACCTGCCTCAGCCTCCCAAAGTGCTAGGATTATAGCTGTGAGCTACCATGCCTGGCCCACAATAAAAACTCTTAAGAAATTAGATATACGAGGATATTATCTCAACATAATAAAGGCCATATGTGACAAACCCATGGCTAACATCTTACTGAATAGAGAAAACCTAAAAGCTTTTTCTCTAAGAACTTGAACAAGACAAGGATGTCCACTCTCACCATCTTTTTTTTTTCTCTTTTTTTGAGACAGGGTCTTTTCTGTCACTCAGGCTAGAGTGCAGTGGCATGATTATAGTTCATTGCAGCCTTGACCTTTTGGGCTCAAGTGATCCTCCCACCTCAGCCTCCTGAGTAGCTGGGACTACAGGCACATGCCACCACACCCAGCAATTTTTTTTTTTTTGGTATTTTTTTTTTTTTTTTGTAGAGATAGGATCTCACCATGTTGCCCAAGCTGATCTTGAACTCTTGGGCTCAAGTGATCCACCCACATCAGCCTCCCAAAGTGCTGGGATTATGGGTGTGAGCTACCATGCCCAGCCTACTCTCACCACTCTTATTCAACGTAGTACTAGAAGTCCTAGCTAGAACAATTAGGCAAGAGAAGGAAATAAAGGACATCCAAATTTGAAAGGAGGAAGTCAAATTGTCTGTTTGCAGAGGACATGATCTTAAATACAGAAAAACCTAAAGACTACTAAAAAACCCTTGGAACTGGGAAAAAATTCAGTAAATTTGCAGGTTACAAAATCACTATACAAAAATCAGTAGTGTTTCTATACACCAGCAACAAACTAGCTGAAAAAGATATCAAGAAGGCAATCTCATTTGCAATAGCTACAAAAAATAAACACCTAGGAATAAATTTAACCAGGGAAATAAAAGACCTCTCCCTACAAGGAAAACTGAAAAACACTGATGAAAGAAATTGAAGAGGATACAAATGGAAAGACATCTCCTGCTTATAGATTGCAGAATATTGTTAAAATGACAATACCATTCAAAGCAATCTACCAATTCAATGCAATCCCTATCAAAATGCCAATTGCATCCTTCACAGAAACAGAAAAAATAATCCTAAAAAGTGTTTGGAACTCCAACAGATCCCAAATAGCCAACGCAATCCTGAGCAAAAAGAAGAAAGCTGGAGAAATCACACTACCTGATATCAAAATATACTACAAAGCTGTAGTAACCCAAACAGTATGGTACCCAAACAGACAAATAGATCAACAGAACAGAATAGGGAATCCCAGAAATTAATCCATATTACAGCTAACTGATTTTTAATAAAGGTACCAAGAATACTCATTGGGTGAAGGACAGTCTCTTTAATAAATGGTGCTGGGAAAACTGGATATCCACATGCAGAAGAATGGAACTGGAACCCCACCTATTACCTTATAGGAAAATCTGTTTAATAATAAAAATGGATCAAAAACATAAATGTAAGACCCAAAACTATCAAACTGCTAGAAGAAAACAGGGGAAACACTTCAGGACATTCATCTAAGAAAACATCTTATGAATAAAACCTCAAATGCACAGGCAACAAAAGCAAAAATAAACAAATTGGATAATATCAAATTACAAGGCTTCTGCACAGAAAACCACAAAACAAAACGATCAACAGAGTGAAAAGACAACCTATAGAATGAGATAAAATGTTTTCAAACTACTCATCTGATAGGAGATTAATATCCAGAATCTGTAAAGAACTCAAAGAGCTCAACATAAAAAAAACTCAGTCTGATTAAATAATGAGCAAATGATCTGAATAGACATTTTTCCAAAGACGACACACAAATGGCTACAAATATATGAAAAAATACTCAGCATCACTAATCATCAGAGAAATGCAAATCAAAACCACAATGAGGTATCATTTTACCCCAGTTAGAATGGCTACTATCAAAAAGATCGAAAAATAACAAATACCATCAAGGATGTAGAGAAAACGGAACTCTTATACATTGTTGGTGGGAATGTAAACTAGTTTTGGAGAATAGTATGGAGATTCCTCAAAAAACCACAAATAGAACTACCATGTGATCCAGCAATCTCACTACTGAGCATTTATCCACAGGAAAGGAAATCAGTGTATCAAAGAGACGTCTTCACTCCCACGTTTATTCCAGCACTATCCACCATAGCCAAGAGATAGAATCAACCTAGGTGTCCAACAACAGATGAATAGGTAAAGAAAATGTGGTATATATATATATATATACACAATGGACTGCTATTCAGCCATTAAAAAGAATAAAATCCTGTCATTTGTGGCAACATGGATGGAACTGGAGGACCTTATGCTAAGTGAAATAAGCCAGGAATAGAAAGTTAAATACTTTCTGTTAAGTATAATAAATGAATATGTTCACACTTTTATGTGAAAACTAATAAATGTTTATCTCACAGAAGTAAAAAGTAGAAGAGAGGATACTAGATACTGGGAAGGGTGGGAGGAAAGGAGAGATTTGTTAAAAGATACAAAATTACAGCTAGACAGGAGGACTAAGTTCTAGTGTTCTGTATCACTGTAGGATGACTCTAGTTAATAATAATATATTATATAGTTTCAAATAGCTAGGAGGAGGATATTGAATGTTTCAAGCACAAAGAAATGATAAATGTTTGAGATGATGGATATGCTAATTACCTGGATCTGATCACTATATATGTATCGAAACATCACTATGTAGCCCCCATGTATATATATAATAATTATTATTATTTTTAGAGATAGAGGTCTCATTCTTTTGCCCAGGCTGGAATGCAGTGGAGCAACTATAACTCACTGTAGACTTGAACTCCTGGGCTCCAGTGATCCTCCTGCCTCAGTCTCCCAAGTAGCTGGGACTACAGGTACATGCCACCACATCCAGCTAATTTGTATTTGTTTATTTATTTATTTATTTTTAGATGGGGTTGGGGGACTTGCTATATTGCCTAGGCTGATTTCGAACTCATGGCTTTAAGCAATCCTCAGCCTCCTGAGCAGCTGAGATTACAAGCATGAGCTACCAAGCCTGGCTTATTATTTGTCAATTTAAAATAAATAAAATTAAAACTGGAAAATTCATAAATATATGGAAATTAAACAATGTAGTCTTAAACAACCAATGGGTCAAAGAAGCAAACACAAGAGAAATTAGGAAATACCTTGAGACAAATGAAAACATAAATACAATATATTAAAACTTATGGGATACAGTAAAAACAGTGCTGAGAGAGAGATTAATAGTTGTAAGTAAACATATTAAAAAAGAGGGAAGATCTAAGTAAATAACCTAACTTTATACCTTAAAGAAATAGAAAAGGCCAGGCACAGTGGCTCATGCCTGTAATCCCAGCACTTTGGGAGGCTGAGGAGCGGGGATCACCTGAGGTCAGGAGTTCAAGATCAGCCTGGCCAACGTGGTGAAACCCCGTCTCGACTAAAAATACAAAAATTAGTCAAGCGTGGTGGCACATGCCTGTAATCCCAGCTACTCGGGAGGCTGAGGGAGGAGAATCGCTTGAACCTGGGAGGCGGAGGTTGTAGTGAGCCAAGATCACACCACTGCACTCTAGTTTGGGCAACAAGATTGAAACTCTGTCTCAAAAAAAAAAAAAAAAAAAAGGAGAGCAGGCTGGGTGTGGTGGCTTGTGCCTGTAATCCTAGCACTCTGGGAGGCTAAGGCGGGTGAAATCACTTGAGGTCAGGAGTTTGAGACCATCCTGGCCAACATGGTGAAACCCCGTCTCTACTAAAAATCCAAAAATTAGCCAGGCATGGTGGCACACACCTCTAGACCCAGCTACTCTGGAGGTTGAGGCAAGAAAATCACTTGAACCTGGGAGGTGGAGGTTACAGTGAGCTGAGATTATGCGCCACTGCTCTCCAGCCTGGGCGACAGAGTGAGACTCCGTCTCAGAAACAAAAAAAGAAAAGAAAAAGAAGAGTAAACTAAACCCAAAGGTATAAGGGGGAAGGAAATAATAAAGATTTGAACAGAAAAAAGTAAAATAGAGAATAGTAAAACAATGGAGAAAAATCAACAAAACCAAAGCTGGTTCTACTAAAAGATTAACAAAATTGAAACCTTTAGCTAGAATGACTAAGTAAAAAAGAAGACTCAAATCACTAAAATCAGAAATGAAAGTAGGGACATTACTACTAATTTTACGGAAATAAAAAGGGTTATAAGGGAATACTGTGAACAACTATACATAAGCAAATTGGATAACCTACATGAAACATACAACTTCCTTAAAAATGCATGATCTAGTCGGCCGGTTAGCTCAGTTGGTTAGAGCGTGGTGCTAAAAATGCATGATCTGCCAAGATTGAATAATGAAGAAATAGAAACAGACTTATGAGTATGGGATTGAGTCAGTAATCAAAAATTTCCCAATAAAGAAAAGTCTTGGACCACATGGCTTCACTGGTGAATTCTACAAAACATTTAAAGAATTAATACCAAACCTTCTCAAATTTTTCAAAAAGCTAAAGAGGGGAGAATACTTTCTCACTTATTCTTGAGACAGAGTCTTGCTCCGTCACCAAGGCTGGATACAATGGCACGATCTTGGCCCACTGCAAACTCTGCCTCCCGGGTTCAAGCGATTCTCCTGCCTCAGCCTCCCAAGTAGCTGGGATTACAGGTGCCTGCCACCACGCCTGGCTAATTTTTTTTTTTTTTTTTTTAGTAGAGATGGGGTTTCACCATGTTGGCCAGGCTGGCCTCGAACTCCTGACCTCAGGTGATCCACCTGCCTCGGCCTCTGAAAGTAACTTTCTCACTTATTCTAAGAACCCAGCAAAACTCTAATCCTAAAGCCAGACACATACTACAAGAAAACTACAGACCAACATCCCTCACAAATAAAGATGCAAATATCTCATCAAAATACTAGCAAGGCTGGGTATAGTGGCTCACACCTGTAATCCCAGGACATTCAGAGACCAAGGCAGGAGGATTGCTTGAAGTCAGGAGTTTGAGACCAGCCTGGGCAACATAGTGTGAGACCTCTTCTCTTAAAAAAATAAAATAAAATAAAATAAAATTAGCCAGGCATGGTGGTGTGAGCCTGTAGTTCTAGGTACTTGGGAGGCTGAGGCAGGAAGATCACTTAAGCCCAGCAGTTTGAGGCTGCAGTGAGTTATGATCATGCCAACATACTCCAGGTTGGGCAAAAGAGTGAGACCCTGTGTCTATAAACAAACAAAAAGTACTAGCAAATTGCCAGGCTCAGTGGCACACATCTTTATTCCTACTACTCAGGAGAGAGAAGCAGGAGGATTACTAAAGCTTAGAATTTAGAAGCTGTAGTATACACAATCATGCCTGTGAATAGCCACTGCACTCCAGCCTGGGCAACATAGTGAGATTCTGTTTTTTTATTATTTTTGTTTTGATTTTGTATTTTTAGTTTTTGGGTTAAAAAAAATTTTTTTTTGAAACAAGGTCTTACTGTCACCCAGGCCACAGTGCAGTGGCATGGTCGTGGCTCACTGCAGCCTTGACCTCCTGGACTCAAATGATCCTCCTGCCTCAGCCTCCTGAGTAACTGGGAATATAGATGCATCCACTGCATCCAGATATTTTTAAATTTTTTTTATAGAGGTGGAGTCTTGCTATGTTGCCTATTGTCCAGGCTGGTCTCAAACTGCTGGTCTCAGGTGATGCTCTTGTTTTGGCTTCCTAAAGTGCTGGGGTTACAGGCATGAGCCACTGTGCCCAGCCAAGACTCTTAAAAAATACTAGCAAATCAAAATCAATAATAAAGTTTAAAGGATTATACATCTTGATCAACTGAGATTTATTCCTGAAATACAAGGATGGTTCAATGTATTAAAAAATCAATTAAGGCTGGGTGTAGTGGCTCACGCCTGTAATCCCAGCACTTTGGGAGCCTGAGGTAGGCAGACTGCTTGAGGTCAAGAGTTCAAGACCAGCCTGGCCAACATGGTGAAACCCTGTCTCTACCAAAATACAAAAATTAGCTGGGCATGGTGGCAGGCACCTGTAATCCCAGCCACTAGGGAGGCTGAGGCAGGAGAATTGCTTGAGTCCAGGAGGTGGAGGTTGCAGTGAGCCGAGATGGCGCCACTGCACTCAAGCCTGGGCGACAGAGCAAGACTCCGTCTTGGGGGAAAACAAAACAAAACAATAATGTAATACCCCACTTTAATACAATGGAGGGGAAAAACTCACACAATCAATTCACTTTATATAGAAAATGCATCGGGCAAATTTCAATACCCTTTCATGATAAAAACACTCAACACACTAGGAATAGACAGAAACGTTCTTAATGTGATAGAGGCCATGTGTGAAGAACCCACAGCTAACATCATACTCAAGGGTGAAAGACTGAAAGCTTTTTCCCTAAGATCAGGAATAAGACAATAATACCACCTTATATCACTTCTGTTCACCAGAGTATTAGAAGTTCTAGCCACAGCAATTAGGATAAAATAAAGCAACAAAAGGCATCCAAATTGGAAAAAAAGAAGTGAAAGAATCTCTGTTCACAGATGACATAATCTTATATGTAGAAAACTCTTAAGATACATGTGCACGTGTGCACAGACACACACACACACACACATACACATTGTTAGAACCAAAGAATGAATTCAGCAAAATTGTAGGATACAAAATCAACACAAAAAATAAGTTGCATTTTATACATTAATAATTGACAATTGATAAGGAAATTAAGAAAATAATTCCATTTATAAAAGCATCAAAGAATAAAATACTTAGGAAGAAATTTATTCAAGGAAGTGAAAGTCGTTTTTGTTTTTGTTTTTTGTTTTTTGTTTTTTTTTTTGAGATGGAGTCTTGCTCTGTCGCCCAGGCTGGAGTGCAGTGGCGCGATCTGAGCTCACTGCAAGCTCTGCCTCCTGGGTTCATGCCATTCTCCTGCCTCAGCCTCCCAAGTAGCTGGGACGACAGGCGCCCGCCACCATGCCCAGCTAATTTTTTGTATTTTTAGTGGAAACGGAGTTTCACCGTGTTAGCCAGGATGGTCTCAATCTCCTGATCTTGTGATCCGCCCACCTTGGCCTCCCAAAGTGCTGGGGTTACAGGCATGAGCCACTGTACCCAGCATGAAAGTCTTATATACTGAAAAATATAAAGCATTGCTAAAATAAATCAAAGGAGATGTAAATAAATGAAAAGACATCCTGTGTTCATGGACTGGAAGACTTAATATTGTTGAGGTGACAATATTACCCAAAGTCGTCTATAGATTTGATGCAATTCCTATTAAAATCCCAATGATTTTTTGCAGAAATAGAAAAGCCCATCCTAAAATTCATGTGGAATCGTAAGGATCCCCAAACAGCCTAAACAGTTATGAAAAAGAACAAAGTTGGAGAACTCATATTTCCTGATTTACAAAACTTGATATGGTGCTGGGTGCAGTGGCTCACGCCTACAATCTCAGCACTTTGGGAGGCCGAGGCTGGGGGATCATTTGAGGTCCGGAGTTTAAGACCAGCCTGGCCAACATGGTGAAATCCCATCTCTACTAAAAATACAAAAATTAGCTGGACATGGTGGTGTGCTCCTGTAGTCCCAGCAATTTGGGAGGTTGAGGCAGGATAATTGCTTGAACCCAGGAGGCGGAGGTTGCAGTGAGCTGAGATCATGCCACTTCACTCCAGCCTGAGGGACAGAGCGAAACTCTATCCCAAAATAAATAAATAAATAAACCAAAAAACTTGATATGGGTTTGGGGAGAGGTGTGGAACAAGATGGCAAAATAGGAGGTACACCATTTGTCCTCTCTGAAGGAACACCAAATTTTAACAGCTAACTTAACACAAAAAGCGTCATCACAAGAACCAAAATCAGGTGAGCAATTGCAGTACCTGGTTTTAACTTTATACTACTGAAGGAGGCACTGGAGAGGGTAGGAGAAACAGTCTTGAATTGCCAATGCCACCCCGCACCCCCACAACCACCATTCAGCATGGAGAAATCTATGACCTTGGGAGAGGGAAAGTACAGTAACTGGGGGAACTCTCTCTCTCTTTTTTTTTCCTGAAACAGGCTCTCGCTCTGTCACTCAGGCTGGAGTGCAGTGGTGCAATCTTGGCTCACTGCAACCTCGACCTCTGCTCAAGCAGTTCTCCTACCTCAGTCCCAAGTAGCTGGGACTACAGGCACATGCCACCATGCCTGGTTAAATTTTATTATTTTTTTTGTAGAGATGGGGTTTTGCCATGTTGCCCAGGCTGGTCTCAAACTCCTGGACTCAAGTGATCTACCCACGTCGGCCTCCCAAATTTCTAGGATTACAGGCATGAGCCACTGTGCCGGGCCAACTGGGGGACTTTACATTGGACGTGGTGCTTTCCTGACACAGCAATGAGCAAGCTGTGCTGGGCTCAGCCAGTGCCCATGCACAGAGACAGATTTAGGACCAGCCCTAGCCAGAGGGGAAGTGCCCATGCCAGCAGTAAGAACTGAGTTCTCACCACCATGGCCAAAGTGCTCTGGGGTTCTAGGTAAACTTGAAAGGCAGTCTAGGACACAAGGATTGCAATTCCTAGGCAACTCTTGGTGCTGGGCAGGACTCAGAGCCAGTACACTAGGGTGGCATGTGACTTAGGAAGATAACAGATGGGGCAGCTAAAGGTGTGCTTGTGCTACCCCTCCCCACACCTCAGGCAGCCCACCTCACAGCAATGAAAGTGTCTCCTTCCTTCTGCTTGAGGAGAGGAGAGTGAAGAGTTAAGAGGGCTTTGTATTGCATCTTGGATACCAGCTCAGCCACAGCAGGATAGGGTACCAGTCAGTCATGAGGCCCCTGTTCCAAGCCCTAGCTTCCAGACATTTCTAGACACACCCTGGGCCAAAAGGGAACCTGCTGCCTTGAAGGGGAGGATCCAATCCTGGCAGGATTCATCACCTGCTGACTGAAGAGCCTTTGGGCCCTGAATAACCAACAGTGATACCCAGGGAATATGCCGTGGGCCTTGGGCTCTGAGAAGGGCTGGATTCACGTGTGACCCAGCACATTCCCAGGTATGGTGTTACAGTGAAAGACTCCTTCTGTTTGAGGAAAGCAGAGGGAAAAGTAAATAAAACTTTGTCTTGTACCTTAAGTACCAGCTCGGCTACAGTGGGGTAGAGCACGAAGCAGGCTCTTGGGGTCCTTGAGTCCAAACCTAGGCTCTTGGAAACCATTTCTGGACCTGGGCCAAAGGGGAGCCCACTGCCCTGAAGGGTGAGTTCCAGGCCTGGAAGCATTCACCACAAGCTGACTGAAGAGCTCTTGGGCTTTCAGTGAACATTGGCAGTGGCCTGGCAGAACACCCCTTGGGCCACTGGTGGTGATGCCCAGAGAGAGGCTCCTCTGCTTGCAGAAAGGGGAGGGAAGATCAGGTGGGACTTTGTCTTGTGGCTGGAGTACCAGCTTAGCTGCAACAGAACAAAACATCAGGTAGATTTCTAAGGTTTTTGACTCCAATCCCTCACTCCCAGACAGCATCTCTGGACCCATCTGGGGCCTGGGGAGCTTGCTGCTCAGAACAGGGAGGGACACAAACCTGGCTGGCTTTGCCACCTGCTGATTGAAGAGCCCTAGGTCCTTGAGTGAACATAGGTGGTAGCAAGGTAGTGGTTACACCAGGCTTTGGGCAAGACCCAGTGCTGTGCTGGCTTCAGGTCTAAACCAGCACAGTCCCAATAGTGGTGACCACAGGGGTGCTCGTGTCCCCCCAGCCCCAGTTCCAGGCAGCCCAGCACAGTGAAAAAGGCTTTGTTTGGGAGAACAAAGTAAGAGAAAGTAAGGGAAAAAAAACAAGTGTCTCTGCCTGGTAATCCAGAGAATTCTTCTGGATTTTATCCAAGCCCACCAAGGCAGTACTTCTGTAAGTGTGCAAGAACCACAGTGCTACTGAGTTTAGAGCCCAAGTCCCTTCCAATCCTGGGAAAGCTTTCCTAAGCAGAATGGGCACAAACAAGCTCAGACTGCAAAGACTACAATAAATGCCTATCTCTTCAATGCCTAGACACCCATGAACATCTACAAGCATCAAGACCATCCAGGAAAACATGACCTCACCAAACAAACTAAATAAGTCACCAGGGACCAATTCTGGAGAAACAGAGATATGTGGCCTTTCAGACAGAGAAATTATTAAAATGAGTCAAGCAGAAATTCTAGAGTTGAAAAATGCAATTTAAATACTAAAGAATGCATCAGAGTCTTGTTTGTGTTGTTGTTGTTGTTTTTTGAGACAAATCTTGCTCTGTTGCCCTATGGAGTGCCAACATGTCTGACAGAAGACTTTTCAGTAGAAACCTTACAGGCCAGGAGAGGGTGGCGTGACACATTTAAAGTACTGAAGGAAAACACTTTCACCCTAGAATAATATATCTGGTGAAAATATCCTTCAAGCAAGAAGGAGAAATAAAGACCTTCCCAGACAAACAAAAGCTGAAGGCTTTCATCAACACTAGACCTATCCTACAAGAAATGCTAAAGGGAGTTTTTTAATCTGAAAGAAAAGGAGAGTGATGAGCAATAAGAAATCATCTTAGCTGGGCATGGTGGCTCATGCCTGTAATCCTAGCACTTTGAGAGGCACAGGAGGGCAAATCACTTAAGCCCAGGAGTTCAAGACCAGCCAGGGTGACGTGGTGAAACCTTATTTCTACTAAATAATAAATAAATAAAGCAAGTCAGAGTGGTAACATGCACCTGTAGTCCCAGCTACTTGGAAGGCTGAGGTTGGAAAATTGCTTAAGCCTGGGAGGTCGAGGCTACAGTAAGACATGATTGTGCCACTGCATTCTAGTCTGGGTGACAGAGTGAGATCCTGCGTATCTATATAAATCATCTGAAGGTATAAAACTCACTAGTAATAGCACACAGAAAACACAGAACATTGTAACACTGTAATCGTGGTGTATAAACTAGTCTTAAGTAGAAAGACTAAATGAACCAATCAAAAATAATATCTACAACTACTTTAAGACAGTACAATAAGACATAAAGAAAAACAACAAAAAGTTAAAAGTGGAGTAATGAAGTTAAAGTGTACAGTTTTTATTAGTTTTCTTTTTGCATGTTTGTTTATGCAATCATTGTTAAGTTGTCATCAGTTTAAACAGAGGATTATAAGATAATATTTGCAAGCCTCATGGTATCTTCAAATTGGAAAACATACAACATGGCTGGGCATAGTGGCTCTCGCCTGTAATCCCAGCACTTTGAGAGGCCGGGGTGGGTGGATTGCCTGAGGTCAGGAGTTCAAGACCAGCCTGGTCAACATGGCAAAACCCTGTCTCTACTAAAAATACAAAAATTAGCCAGGCATGGTGGTACATGCCTGTAGTCTCAGGTACTCGGGAGGCTGAGGCAGGAGAATCACTTGAACCTGGGAGGCGGCAGTTGCAGTGAGCCAAGATTGCACCATTGCACTCTAGCCTGGGTGACAGAGCAAGGCTCCATCTCAAGAAAAAGAAAAGAAAAGAAAAACATACAACAGATACCCAAAAAATAAAAAGAAATTAAATCATACCAGAGAAAATCACCTTTACTAAAAGGAAGATAGGAAGGAAGGAAAGAAGAAAGAGAAGACCACAAAACCAGAAAACAAATAACAAAATGACAGGAGTAAGTCCTTACTTATTAATAACATTGAATGTAAATGGACTAAACTCTCCAGTCAAAAATGGCTGAACGGATAAAAAAGCAAGACCCACTGATCTGTTGCCTACAAGAAACACACCTCACCTGTAAAGATACACATAGACTAAAAATAAAGGGATGGAAAAAGATATTCCATGCCAATGGAAACCACGAAAGAGCAGCAGTAGCTATACCTATATCAGACAAAATAGATTTCTTTTTTTGAGATGGAGTCTCGCCTTGTCACCCAGGCTGGAGTGTAGTGGGGCAATCTCGGCTCACTGCAACATCTGCCTCCCTGGTTCAAGCAATTCTCCTGCCTCAGCCTCCCAAGTAGCTGGGATTACAGGCACATGCCACCATGCCCAGCTAATTTTTGTATTTTTGTAGAGATGGGATTTTACCATGTTAGCCAGGCTGGTCTCGAACTCCTGACTTCAAATGATCCGCCCACCTCAGCATCCCAAAGTGCTGGGATTACAGACATGAGCTACCATGCACCTCTATGCCCAAAATAGATTTCAAGACAAAAACTGTAAGGAGAGACGAAGAAAGTCATTATATAATAATAAAAAGGTCAGTTCAGCAAGAGGATGTAACAATTTTAAATATGTATGCCCCCAACAGTGGAGCACCCAGATATATAAAGCAAATATTATTAGAGCTAAAGAGAGAGAGAGAGAGAGACACCACAATACAATAATAGCTGGAGACTTCAACACCCCACTTTCAGCACTACACAGATTTTCCAGACCGAAAGTTAACAAAGAAACATTGGAGTTAACCTGCACTACAAAACAAATGGACCTAATAGATATTTACAGAAAATTTCATCCAACAGTTGCAGAATGCACATTCTTTTCATCAACACATGCATCATTCTCGAGGATATTCCATATGTTAGGTCACAAAACAAGTTTTTAAACATCAAAAAAAACTGAAATATAAGCATCTTTCTGACCACAAAATAAAACTAGAAATTAATAACAAGAATTTTTGGAAACTATACAAACACATGGAAATTAAACAATATCTACTGAATGATCAGTGGGTCCATGAAGAGATTAAGAAGGAAATTGAAAATTTTCTTGAAACAAATAATGGAAACATGACATACCAAAACCTACAGGATATAGCAAAAGCAGTACTGAGAAGGAATTTTATAGCTATAAGTGTCAACATCAAAAAAGAAAAATTTCAAACAAATAACCTAATGATGCATCTTAAAGTACTAAAAAGCAAGAGCACAGCACACCAAACCAAAAGTAAAGAAAAAGGAAATAAACATCAGAACAGAAATAAATTTGAAAAGAATACGAAAGATCAACGAAACAAAAAGTTCATTTTTTGAAAAGATAAATAAAACTTACAAACCTTTAGATAGACTAAGAAAAAAAAAGAAAATCCAAATAAATAATCAGAGCTGAAAAAGACATTACAACTGATTCTGCAGAAATTCGAAGGGTCATTAATGGCTCCTATGAGCAACTGTATGCCAACAAATTGAAAAATCTAGAAGAAATGGATAAATTCCTAGACACATATAACCTACCAAGATTGAACCATGAAGAAATCCAAAACCTGAACAGATCAGTAACAAGTAACAAGATCAAAGCCACAATAAAGTCTCCCAGTAAAGAAAAGCCTGAGACCTGATGGCTTTACTGCTGAATTCTACCAAACATTTAAAGAAGAATTAATACCAATTCTACGTAAACTATTCTGAAAAATAGAGGAAGAAGGAATACTTCCAAACTTATTCTTTAAGGCCAGTGTTACCCTGGCTTTAAAGACAAAACATTCAAAACCAGACAAAAACATTTAAAAAAAACTACAGGCCAATATCTCTGATGAATATTGATGCAAACATCCTCAACAAAATACTAGCAAACCAAATTCAACAATACATTTAAAAGATCATTCATCATGACCAAGTGGGCCAATATATGTAAATCAATCAATGTAATACAGCATATCAACAGAATGAAGGACAAAAATCATATGATCATTTCAATTAATGCTGGAAAAGCACTTGATAAAATTCAACATATCTTAGTGATAAAAATCCTAAAAAAAAAACAAACTGGGGATAGAAGGAACATACCTCAACACAATAATAGCCATATATGACAGACCCACAGCTAGTATCATATGGAATGGGGAAAAACTGAAAGTCTTTCCTTTAAGATATGGAGCATGACAAGGATGCCCACTTTTACCACCATTATTCAATATAGTACTGGAAGTCCTAGCCAGAGCAATAAGACAAGAGAAAGAAATAATGGGCCTCCAAATTAGAAAGGAAGAAGTCATATTATCCTTTTTTGCAGATGATATGATCTTACATTTGGGAAGACCTAAAGACTCCACCAAAACACTATTAGAATGGAAAAATTTAGTAAAGTTGCAGGATACAAATTCGATATACAAAAATCAGTAGTATTTCTACTACAGTGAACAATCTGAAAAAGAAATTTAAAAAGTAATCCCATTTACAATAGCCCCAGATAAAATTAAATACCTAGGAATTAACCAAAGAAGTAAGAGATCTCTATAATGAAAACTATTAGACACTGATGAAAGAAATTGAAAAGGACACAAAAAAATAGAAAAATATTCCATGTTCAATGATTGGAAGAATTAATATTGTTAAAATGTCCATTACTATCCAAAGCAATCTACAGATTCAATGCAATCCCTATCAAAATACCAATGACATTCTTCACAGGAGTAGAAAAAACAATCCTAAAATTTATACGGCACCACAAAAGACCCAGAATAGCCAAAGCTATCATGAACAAAAAGAACAAAACTGGAGAAATCACTTTACCTGACTTCAAATTATACTACAGAGCTATACTAACCAAAACAGCTTGGTACTGGCATAAAAACAGACACATAAACCAATGGAACAGAATAGAGAATCCAGAAACAAATCCACATACCTATAGCGAAATCATTTTTGACAAAGATGCCAAAAACATACATTGGGGAAAACAAAGTCTCTTCAATAAATGGTGCTGGGTGAACTGGATACCCATATGCAGAAGAATGAAACTTGACCCCTGTCTCTCACCACATGCAAAACTCAAACTAAAATGGATTAAAGACTTAAATCTAAGACCTCAAACTATGAAACTACTACAAGAAAACATCAGGGAAACTCTCCAGGACATTGGTCTGGAGTGATACCCTGCAAGCACAGGCAACCAAAGCAAAAATGAACAAATTAGATCACATCAAGGTAAACAACAACAACAACAACAAAATTCTGCACAGCAAAGAAAACAACAAAGTGAAGAATCAACCTACAGAATTGGAGAAAATATTTGCAAACTACTCATCTGACAAGAGATTAATAACCAGAATATATAAGGAGCTCAAACAACTCCACAGGGGGAAAAAAAAGTGAATTATTCAATTTTAAAAATAGACAAAAATTCTGAGTAGCAATTTCTCAAAAGAAGATATATGAATGGCAAAGAGGTATATGAAAAGGTTCTCACATCACTGATCATCAGAGAATGCAAATAAAAACTGCAAAGAAATATCTCACCCCAGCTAAAATGGCTTTTATCCAAAGACAGGCAATAGAAATGCTGGCAAGGATACAGAGAAAAGGGAATCCTCTTACACTGTTGGTGGGAATGTAGATTAGTACAACTATTATGGAAAATAGTTTGGAGGTTTCTCAAAAAAAAAACCAAAAAACTAAAAATAGAACTACCACGTGATCCATCCATCCCACTGCTGGGTATATACCCAAAAGAAAGGAAATCAGTATATTGAAGAGGTATCTGTACTCTGTTTTTTGCAGCACTGTTCATAATAGCCAAGATTTGGAAGCAACTAACTGTCCATCAGTAGATAAATGGATAAGAAAATACAGTATATATATATATATATATATATATATATATATATATATATATATATAACAGAGCACTATTCAGCCATAAAAAAGAATGAAATCCTGTCATTTGCAACAACATGGATACAACTGGAGATCATTATGTTAAGTGAAATAAGCCAGGCATAGAAAGACAAACTTTACATGTTCTCACTTATTTGTGGGATCTAAAAATAAAAACAATTGAATTCATGGAGATAGAGAGTAGAAGGATAGTTACCAGAATCTGGGAAGGGTAGTGGGCATAGGGGGAAGTGGGGATGGTTAATGGATACAAAAAAATAGCTAGAAAGAATAAGACAAAGTATTTGAGAGCACAATAGGGTGACTTTAGTCAATCATAATTTAATTGTACACTTTAAAATTAACTAAAACAGTATGATTGGATTGCTTGTAACACCAAGGATAAATGCCTGAGGGGATGGATACTCCATTTTCCGTGATGTGATTACTATGCATTGCATGCCTGTATCAAAGTATCTCACGTATTCCATAATTATATACTTGTAGGTACGTACTACGTACCTACAAGAAATAAAAATAAAACGCTAAAATTTGATACAGAGCTAATCAAAATAGTATGGTATTGGCTTATACACAGACATACAGACCAATGGAATGGAATAAAGAGCCCCTACATATATGGTTAAATGATTTTGACATGGATGCCAAGACTTTTTGATGGTGGAAAGGACAGTCTTTTCAACAAATGGTACTAAGAAAACTGGATACCTATGTGAAAAAGAATGAATTTGATACCTTACCTTACACCACATACAAAAATTAACTCAAAATGAATCAAATCCCATATAAATTAATCAGAATTTCTAGGGGCAGGCCTGGACATCATATTTTTAAAGCTCCCTATGTGATCCTAATGTGAAAGAAGGTTGAGAACAACCAATCTAGCCTCAGTGCAGTGGAACAGGCTATGTGGCTCATAAAGTAGTTCTGAAACATCTTTGAGCTATTTTTAGCAGTGACAACACTGGGCCCCCAAGACAAGTTTTAACTAACTTTGAAGGTCAATGTTCATTAACATGTACATTATTGATGAAATTGGTCTCATTACTTTTCATCCTTTCTCATACATAAAGTAAGGGTATTCCAAAAACTTCTATATGGAAATAGGGAGGAAAACTTTGTGAAAGAATAAAGACATTTGGAACCCAAGAGTTTGATAAAAACAGATGTAAAGTGTAGCTAGAATTCATGAGACTGATATTCAGAAATACCCTGTTCTCTTCACTAAATTTCTAACCAAGTTGTTGAGTTGGAAAACCCATGGTATAAAGAGGCCGATTTCTAAAATATGCTATTAATTTAGGTAGTGAATGCTGGTTGTCACATAGAGAAAAGCATCTTGTAAATAAGTAATGCTCAATTTTTCTCTATGTGTTCCAACAATATTCTTCTGTTTCTCATTCAGAACTGACAGCATCTCTCATCATAACAATGCCATGTCAGCAACTGCAGAAGTCAAACCTTAGAGTCTAGGTAGAAACAACTCAGGAAGGGAGTGTGTCATATTCTTTCTCTAGAAATCCATTTGCTTCATTCTTTACGATTTTGAGAAAAACACTGGGGGTCACAATAGGCTACATTTTCTTTTTATTAAGAGGAAGCATTGCTTGAGCCCAGGAAGTGAAGGTTGCAGTGAGCCATGATCAAACCACTGTCTCCAGGTGACTGAGTGAGACCCTGCCTCAAAAAAAAAAAAAAAAAAAAAAAAAAGCATATTTAAATTTTCTAACTAAAACGTATTCATTCCCTCTTTACATATTAAAAAAGTAATAGCTAACTCTGAAGCTACAAAGAAAGCTGATCAGCATAGAGGGGATTCAAGTATTAGAAGACCTGCTGGACAAGATTAACTTTCATATTCCTGCCAACACAGAAGATCCATAATTCCAGGCTGGGCACCGTGGCTCATGCCTGTAATCTCAGCACTTTGGGAGGCTGAGATGGGCGGATCACTTGAGGTCGGGAGTTCAAGACCAGCCTGGCCAACATGGTAAGACCCTGTCTCTACTAAAAATACAAAAATTAGCTGGGCATGGTGGTGGGCACCCATAATCCCAGCTACTTGGGAGGCTGAGGCAGGAGAATTGCTTGCACTCAGGAGGTGGAGATTGCAGTGAGCCAAGATTGTGCCACTGCACTCCAGCCTGCACTCCAGCCTGGGTGACAGAGTGAGACTCTGTCTCAAAAACAAAAAACAAAAAACAAACAAACAAAAAAACCCTATAATTCCAAAGAAATATACTTGGATCTCAATCCTAGCAACATAAATAAAACTATTATTACTATTATTTTAAGACAGGGTCTTGCTCTGTCACCCAGGCTGGAGTGCAGTAGCACAATCTTGGCTTACCACAACCTCCACCTCCTGGGCTAAAGCAATCCTCCCACTTCAGCCTCCAGAGTAGCTGGGACTATAGGCAAATGCCATCATGCCCAGCTGATTTTTTGTATTTTTTTGTAGAGACAACATCCCTATGTTTCCCAGGCTGGTCTTGAACTCTTGGACTTGAGCGATCCACCCCCGCTTTGGCCTCCCAAAGTGCTGGGGTTACAGGGGTGAGCCACAGCTCCCGACCGTGTTATGTCATTTTTAAAAATGGATCAAAGACATAAGAGCTAAAACTCTAAGATTCTTAAAGAAAATATAGGGTCAAGATCTTCATGACCTTGGATTTGCCAACACTTTCTTGGCTATGACACAAAATCACAGTCAACAAAGAACAAAAAAATAGATAAATTGGACTTCATCAAAATTTAAAACTTTTGTGCAAAGGACACTACCAAAGAGTGAAAAGGCAACCAAGAGAATGGGAGAAAATGTATGCAAATTATATATCTGATAAGAGATTATTATTATTATTATTACTTGAGACAGGGTCTTGCTCTTTTGCCCAGGCTGGAGTGCAGTGGCACATTCTCAGCTCACTGCAGCCTCAACCTCCTAGGCTCAAACCATCCTCCCCGCTTAGCCCCCTGAGTAGCTGGGACTACAGGCACACACCACTCCATCTGGCTGATTTTTGTATTTTTTTGTAGTGGTGGGGTTTTGCCATGTTGCCTAGGCTGGTCTTGAACTCCTGAGCTCAAGCAATCCACCCACCTCAGCCTCCCAAAGTGCTGGGATTACAGGCATGAGCCACCATGCCCGGCCCTGATAAGAGATTAATATCCAGAGTATATAAAGAACTTCTGACACTCAACAATAACAAAAAACCCAATTGAAAAATGGACAAAGGTCTTCTTAAATAGATGTTTCTCCAAAGAAAATATACAAATAGCCAATAAGCACATGAAAAGATGCTCAACATCACTAATTATGAGGGAGATGCATGAGATACTACCTCACATTCATTAGGATGACTATTGTCAAAAAAAAAAAAGGAAAACAACAAGTGTTGACAAGGATGTGGAGAAATTAGAAATCTTGTCCATTGCTGGCAGGAATGTAAAATGGTACAGCCACTATGGAAAGCAGTATAATGGTTCTTCAAAAGTTAAACATAGAATTACCATCCAGCAAACCCACTTCTAGGTATATAATACCCAAAAGAATCGAAAGCAGGGACTTGAATGGGTATGTGTACACCAGTATTCATAGCAGCAGTATTCTCAGTGAAGTATTGATACATACCACATGGATGAACTTAAAATTATACTAAGTGAAATCAGCTGGACACAAAAGGACACATATTATATTATTCCATTTATATGGGGTACCTAGAATAGGCAAATTCCTAAGAACAGAAAGTAGAATAGTGGCTGCCAGGGGCTGGGGAAAAGGGGAATGGGGACTTATCACTTAATGGGAACAGAGTCTCGGTTTGGGATGATGAAAAAGTTCTGGAGATGGATAGTGGTGATGGTTGCACAACAATGTATGAATGTTCTTAATGCCACTGCATTGCACACTTAAAAATGGTTAAAATGGTAAATATGTTATGTATATTTTACCACAATTTAAACATGTATAAAGTTTCAAGAAATGGGGGGACAATACTATTAACAGCTCTAGTAACAGTTGCATCAGCAAAAAGATCCTTCTCAAAACAAAAAAGTATCAAATATTTCTTGCCATCTTACAATTGCCAAGAGCAACTGACATCACTTTCAGTTACACTGATTGAAAATTAGGTTGTTAGAAGTATAAACTTTGATGACCTAATCAATGAATTTTCAGAAAAGTCAGAAAAATCCTATGATCAAAATATTGCATACTTATAAAGTAATATATAGTATTATATAAAATTATGACACCAATTTTTAAAAAATTTATGTATATATTGATACTCATGTATCTCTATTAACCTTATTATATTTTACAAATAATAAAACATTTTTTAAAGGAAAAAGCTTTATAGTTAGCTTTTTTTTTTTGAGGCAGAGTCTCACTCTGTCACCCAGGCTGGAGTGCAGTGGCACGATCTTGGCTCACTGCAACCTCCACTTCCCTGGTTCAAGCAATTCTCCTGCCTCAGCCTCCTGAGTAGCTGGGATTATAGGTGCACGCCACCACGCCGGGCTAATCTTTTTGTATTTTTAGTAGAGACGGGGTTTCACCATATTGGCCAGACTGGTCTTGAACCCCTGACCTCAGGCAATCCACCTGCCTCGGCCCCCCAAAGTCCTGGGATTACAGGTGTGAGCCACCGCGCCCAGCCTATAGTTAGTATTTTAATGGCAAGTTCCCCTGCTTTTGGAAAAGGAGCTCTGCATTTGCAGTTTTGTTTTGGTGAAGCCCTACAAATTATGTAGCTGGCCCTGGTGCCAGCTTTCCCATTGATAGCCTGTCCAGCTTTGATCAAGTCACTTACCCTCTGCATCAGTTTTCTCACCCCCAAATGGGACTATTTAATCTGCTTCATGAAACTGGCATGAACATTTGTGCATATGTGCATGTGTATGTGTGTGCCTCTGTGTATGTGCATATGCATGAAAGTGGTTTGAAAAAGTATAGATGCTTTAAAATATTGGGTGGCATTGTTGTGACTATGAATAATTTTTAACCACTGCCCTTCCTGGAGTCTGAGTCTTCAGCCAAACACATTTACTGAAAATGAAGAAATTAATTCATTTAATTCATTATTTTCCATGGGGCTTTCCAGACAAACATTTGAGAAAGGAGCTAAATGATTCATGTGGTCCATAAAGGTATCATTTTTATAGACTGGTGATTATTTTATTATTACTATTTTTTTGAGACAGAGTTTCGCTCTTGTCGCCCATGCTGGAGTGCAATGGCGTGCTCTCGGCTCACTGCAACCTCCGCCTCCTGGGTTCAAGTGATTCTCCTGCCTTAGCCTTCCTAGTAGCTGGGATTACAGGCGGCTGCTACCTTGCCTGGCTAATTTTTGTATTTTTAGTGGAGACGGGGTTTCGCTATGTTGGTCAGGCTGGCCTCAAACTCCTGACCTCAGGTGATCCAAACGCCTCGGCCTCCCAAAATGCTGGGATTACAGGCATGCACCACCATGCCCGGTCCTAGACTAGTGATTTTATAGATGGCATTTCTTCACACGACTAAAAGCAGTCTAAACTGAAAACGATGCCAAAACACTAGACTTCAGTCAACAGTCTTAAAAGCCTACACTCCCAAATAGACTATTTGATAAACCCTCTGACTTCTAAGAAACTCAAAGGAAAAACACCACCAGGAGAGCCGAGTGCCCCCAGAATTGTCCTTGGACCATCTGTAGATCTTGTCTTATGATCCACTTATGCTGAGTGTAAACAGAGATACTGCTGTAAATAGAAGCCAAAATGTCCCTGCACTCAGATGGCTACATCTGGGAGCTCTGCCAAATTAGAGGATTTATGCGTCAGAGCCAGGTGGGTTCCACAGCAGAAGCTGGGGTCTCAAATCTGAACTTCTGCTTAACACACACTTGGTACCTACTCTGACACTATCGTGACCCTTGGTAAAGTGACTATTAATTCCTACCGCTGGGGCTTTCCTGGGCCCTGTACACATCCTCCTGACTCTCCTTGGAGACTATGTAGGTAGCTGGCTGAGGGGTGTGGCTAGGACCTTCGGTCAAGCTCTTCTATCAAGAGGCTGGCCCTGAAGAGCCACACTTGTAACTGATCAACAGCTTAACAAGCTGGTCGGGGTAGAACTCCGAATCCTTCACCGTTCCTGCGTCTCAGAAGCTGGCTAACATCTCCCTCCCTCCAGGGTGGTAGAATCCACTTTGAAATGTTCTCTCTCCCTGGCCCTCCCACTCCCTAACCTTTGCCCTCTTTCTAATTGCCCTGATCTCATCCCAACCTCCATAGCTATGTTTAAAGTCCACCTCTGGGGAACAGACAGATTGAATGTTCCAGATAATCCCTTTCCCAGTCCTGCCTGACATCTGGGTAGGGGGTTTGTCCCTGGAATTCTGGGACACTGGCTGGGGTTTGAGGAGAGAAGCCAGTACCTACCTGGCTGCAGGATGAAGCTGGCCAGTGGCTTCTTGGTTTTGTGGCTCAGCCTTGGGGGTGGCCTGGCTCAGAGCGACACGAGCCCTGACACGGAGGAGTCCTATTCAGACTGGGGCCTTCGGCACCTCCGGGGAAGCTTTGAATCCGTCAATAGCTACTTCGATTCTTTTCTGGAGCTGCTGGGAGGGAAGAATGGAGTCTGTCAGTACAGGTGCCGATATGGTGAGTGTGCGGTTTCTCTTTCTGTAAAAACTGTTGCTGGTGGACCCATGGACAGCCCCAGAGAGGTCACGATCTGTCTTGCACTTTTTCCTGTTATCCACTTAGAGCTGCCAGATTTAGCAGATAAAAATGTAGGACACCCAGTGAAATGTGAAATCCAAATAAACAACAAATAAGTCATTAGTATAAGTATGTCCAGTGAAATATCTGGGACATACTTATCCTGACAAATTCTTCGTTGTTTATCTCAAACTCACATTTCACTGAGCTTCCTGTATTGTATCTGGGAAACCTTCCCTGGGCCATTTTAATGAGTTTGTTGTGAGGCAGTTCTTAGGAAAAAAGGGTACCTGGGGTGGGAAGAAGGAGGGTGGGTATGAGAGGCCTCTGTGAGGAGTTCCCAGGGATGAAAACTGAAGCCGAACATTCAGAGAAAAATCTGCCATGGGGCAAAACCACCTCCTCAGCTGCTCTGTGCTCAGCTTGGAAACAAATTCTCCCTTCCCCCTGCTGCAGTTCACACCGTCCTCCCAGCTCTCAGTCCCTGACTGGCATCAATTTGCTGGACTTTCTCAAGGGAGCTGTCCCTGCCTGCAGCCTCGGCAACGACAGGCATGCTGTGGAGAGGAAGGGTTCGTGGCTCACCAGGGATCCCGGGGCTGTCCCCTGGACTTGGCGCCAGATGCAGATTTGTGAGCTGGCAGGAGCACTTCCCCTACCTTGCCTGAATATGGCTGGGGGTACACAGATATAAGGTGCACACCTGGCTGCCGGCACAGAGCCCCTGGTCCCAGGGGCCCTGGAAGTTAATGTAAGGGGAGCAAAATGTGGAGCCCCAGGCCTTGAAGCTGGGTGGCATCGTGTAATTGCCAATGCGCATGAAAACGTTTTCCAAAGCATGCACAGTCTCAGGTCTCAGGTAGCATTAGTTTTATGGTTTAATTTATCAACTATCTCATCAAGGGATTAGAAATGAAAATGGTGAGTCAATTTAGCCTAACAGGAAAACACATTTGAGAAATATTTTCTCCAAATACTCAACAGAGAAAAAGTCAGCTTTGAAGAGATGCACAAAAAAACTACATACTTCCCGGACTCACCCTTAAGTCTCTCTATTCCTTTTTGAGTGGGGAAAATCGCTTCCTTATACACTAAGAGTGACTAGGAGGTAATGGTTAATCATTGCATCAGGACCCAAAGTTTTGCAGCATAGATGTTTTAACAATCTATGGTTAAAATCTATGTTTTAACCATCTATGTTTTAACCATCTATGCTGCAGCTTCTTTGTGAAAGTTTCACAGAGAAAAATGCCTGGTCTGTTAGGACCCACCTGGCCCTAAAACCATGTATTTGTCCAAGGCAGTTGGACCAACGCAGAGGCCTTGCCACTGGATTATGCTCACACTGTTTGCACGGATGGGACAGGGAAGGGGTTGACTCACTTCAGACATTGGAATCAACACAGGTGTTTTCCTTCCTAAAGGCAACACAGGACTAGTATCTGTAGTTCAGCAAATAGGCAACAGCAGGAATTTTTATTAGGAAATCAAGAACCAAATCCTATTCTTCCTTCTCTAGCAAAACAGCATTAAAAGACTTAAGCAAATTTTAGTTGCGGAGCCTCTGGCTGGGCAGGGTGGAAGCCAGCAGCAACTGGTGGGGGATGGGAAGAGTAAATAGAAGAGAAAGGCAAATAACTCTTCTCACTTTGTGTAAAACAACCTGCTCAAAGAGGGGCCTGAAAAACACTTAGAAAAATAGGCGGTTATGCCTCCTTACCTTGGAACCCAGTAGAGCCAAAAACCTGGCGGCTGTGCCCAAAAGAGTACAAAATACCTTCTCAAACTGATTGTGAATCGAGCAATCTTTTGAACAGACAACACCTAACAACGAGTCTGCTCTTTTGTAGTTTGCTTTGTGACACATCTCTCATGCACCGTGCTCGTCTTTTAAGTAGTGGTTCTCAAACTCACCTGTGAATTGAAGCCCCTGGAGGGCAGATTCAACCAGATCTCTGGGCCCCACCCCAGGTGTTTCTGATTAGTAGGAGATTCTGGGCTTAGGAGATCCTCCTGCCTCAGCCTCCCAGTTAGCTTGGGCTACAGGTGTGCGCCACCATGCCCAGATAATTTTGTAACTTTTTGTAGAGCAGGGAGTCTCACCATCTTGCCCAGGCTGGTCTCCAACTCCAGGGCTCAAGCAATCCTCCCAACTTGGCCTCCCAGATTGCTGGGATTATAGGCGTGAGCCACGGCACCAGCCAGATTTTACCTTTGATAGGTACTAACTACTATTTAAAACAGTGGGTTTCTAACTTGGGTACACTTCAGATCACCTGAGGGGCTTTAACAACACCTGGCACCAAATCAATTAAATCAAAATTTCTGTGGGTTGGCCCCAGACATCAGTATTTTAACATTTTTCCCAGGTGATTGCAAAGCACAGCCAAGGTAAAGGGGTGCCATTCTATGACGTCATTCTTAGAGAACTTCAGCCCACAGGTTAAATTATGCAGGCAGATAAAACTGTGTATGTATCCTGGTAGCCCATGATAGCATGTCAACATTGTTTTCCGTGCTTCTCATATCTAAAGTAATTTGTTCTCATGCCAACACACAAAATCTGTACTTGTCAAACAACTGGGCTATAAATATGACAAGATCCAGCGTGTGTCAATGGCATACCTAGCACAACTGTTATTAAGGAGTCTCTACCAGCTGGGTGCGGTGGCTCATGCCTGTAATCCCAGCACTTTGGGAGGCCAAGGCAGGCAGATCACGATGTCAGGAGATCGAGACCATCCTGGCTAACACGGTGAAACCCTGTCTCTATTAAAAATACAAAAAAAATTAGCCGGGTGTAGTGGCGGGTGCCAGTAGTTCCAGCTACTCGGGAGGCTGAGGCAGGAGAATGGTGTGAACCTGGGAGGCAGAGCTTGCAGTGAGCTGAGATCTCACCATTGCACTGCAGCCTGGGCAACAGAGCGAGACTCCACCTCAAAAAAAAAAAAAAAAAAAAAAAGGAGTCTGTGCCAATGCAAACAAGATTTCCTTGAGAATCGCTTCCAAAATATAGATAACCTTTTCCACCTCCAGAGATTCTGATGCAGTAGGTCTGTGGTGAGACCTTGGAAGTGCACTTTTAATGGGTAGTCTTTGAACCAGACTTTGAGAAATAAGCATAGTAATGGAAAAATCATGGGTTTGAATTTAGGAGAAAATATCCCATTGCTGGTGACCTTGGGTGAGTTATCTGACTCTCTCAACCTTAGTTTCCTCAAATATGTAAAAATAATGTTACTAATACCCACCTTGCAAAGGTGTTGTGAGAATTAAAGATAATATACATAAAGAATCAGTGGTATATATAAAGCATGGTAGGTACCAAACAAATTTTATAAACGTTATGAGAAAGACAGTCTAGTGAACAGGTTAATTGCATTCAGATTCTTCTAGCTCTCTTTCAACGTAAAAATGAAAAATCCCAGAAATCCCAGTGGCTGGACAACAGCCTCTCAGCTTCCGGAAGAAGTCCCTCGAGGGAACAACGACTGAAGAGTTATCTGCCTCATGAAGGTCTCTGGAGTTGGGTCAATGGAGTAGTTTCTATAATGATACTGTTCACGCTTTCACACTTTAATAAAAGATCCTGAAAATGAATTTCTTCCTGGATTTAGTTCCAAGAGTATCTTAAAAGTTTCTTTAAATATCTGTCTATTGTAATCCCAGCACTTTGGGAGGCTGAGGCCGGCGGATCATTTGAGGTCAGGAGTTTGAGACTAGCCTGGCCAGCATGGTGAAACCCCATCTGTACTAAAAATACAAAAATTAGCCGGGCGTGGTGGCGCGCCCTGTAATCCCAGCTACCTGGGAGGCTGAGGCAGGAGAATCACTTGAACCCTGGAGGAAGAGGTTGCAGTGAGCCGAGATCGTGCCATTGCACTCCAGCCTGGGCAACAGAGCGAGATTAAGTTTCAAAAATAAACAAATAAATAAATAAATAAAAATAAATATCAGTCTATTTTTTAAAGAGAATTTTTATCTGAAGTTTTACAGCAAAATTTTATAAACCTGTGAGTTTGTATCTTTTTCCAGGGAAATAACTCAAAGACTTCATCAGATTCTCCAGGGAATCCAGAGCCCAAAAAAAGAAAACAGCCACTGGCTTAGAGGCAAACAGATTATTCTTGTTTTTGGGCAACTGACCTCCTAGTCTGCTGGGGACTCAAGGAGGAGGGGAGATGCTCCTGGGATGTGAGACTTTCAGTACTAACACCGGGACGGGTACCAGGCAAACCAGGACAAGTTGCTCACCCTACTTTATGCAGTAACTTAATCTGTTTTAGTGACTGAAATACAGAGTTCTTCTCTACAGGAGAATTGCCTCTGTCCTGCTGTGTTCCATTGATGTATTAATCATGGTGCATCTGAGTGTTTCTGGGAGGAAGGAGGACATACCTTTCTTTCTTTTTTTTTTTTCTGGAATTTTGTTTTTCTTGAGACGGAGTCTCCCTCTGTCACCCAGGCTGGAGTGCAGTGGTACTATCTCGGCTCACTGCAACCTCCGCCTTCCAGGTTCAAATGATTCTCCTACCTCAGCCTCCTGGCGTAGCTGGGATTACAGGCATGCGCCACCACGCCTAGTTACTTTGTATTTTTAGTAGAGACGGGGGTTTCACCATGTTGGCCAGGCTGGTCTCGAACTCATGACCTCAGGTGATCCCCCTGCTGGGCCTCCTAAAGTGCTGGGATTACAGGCGTGAGCCACCGCGCCCGGCCTGGAAATTATTTTATTTTCTCATGTTTGAGACAGCTAGTTGGGGTTGTTGATGAAGCCATGCCTATAATAGTTTAGTAAATACTCTTATTATTCATTCGTTATCATTATCTGTTCTTTGTAACAATATAATATTAATAGAAAAATCATATCATTGAGTGGAAAATTGTAAAACAAATGACAAAGACATAATATGTATACTACAAAAAGGTTCTTACAAACTGTGAAGAAATAGGCAAAAGATCTAAAAGAAAAATGAGCAAAGAATGGAAATAGGCAATTAACAGAAAAGAAAAACTAAATGGTTTGCATACAAATAATATGGTCGAATTCAGTATTGATCAGGGGCTTACAAATTAAAGTAACAATGAGATACCACTTTTAGCCAACAGAGTGGCAAAATTTAAAAGAAGAGTGATAGGAACTATTGCTGTCCGAGATAGGAAAAAAGCACTCCCGTGAATTTCTTTTGGAAATATAAATGTTAATCCTTTTTTTAATGTTGATTTTTAAGTTCTGGGGTACATGTGCAGGATATGCAATTTGGTTACACAGGTAAATGTGTGCCACAGTGGTTTGCTGCAGATGTACCTTTTAATAAAGCATACTCACTCCCTCCTAGCACCTTTGGGGGAACCAGCTGGGTGGAGAGGATGGACGCACCCTCCCGGGAAGGCAAAACTCTTGCCCTGGGACACAAAGCCCTGAAAGTTTTTACTGCTGTTTCCAGTGACAGAGAGATAAAAGGGCGGGCCCGGGAGGCAGTGTCTACCGCTGGCAGGTAGAGCTCTTGGGATTCTTGGCTAACACTTCTCGATCTCCCTCCAGTTGGTCTTTTAAGACTTTTATGGTATTTCACTTTATTCAGAAGCTTTTAAGTTTTATAAGATCAAATCTGTCAGTCTCTTTCTTTATGGCTTCTGAATTTTATGTCTTGATTAGAAAATCATCCTCACATCAAGATTAGAACAGTATTCTGCTGTTTTTTCTGTGACAGCAGCCATAGCTAAATCATAATAGTGTGGCTGTGTTCCAATAAAACTTTTTTTATGAACACTAAAATTTGAATTTGAACAGGATCAAGTTGTCGGCCTCTCACTCCTATAAACAGCTCCAGCCAGAAAATAAAACATGTGTGGATATGATACATTATTAATGCCTAGACTTAAAACATCAACCATAAGCTACTGAAACAATAATTTGAGGATATGGTATCCTTGAATGATTTCTGTTTCTGCCTAGACTGAAACCATTACCTTTTGTCTTAGAACTTATATTTTCAGCTTCGTTTCTAAATAGAATTTCTGCAGTTAACATAAAACATTAAATAAAATAAAAATAACCATCATCAGCTGCAGGCCGGATAGGAATTCCATTCCGGTATCTTTCAAACTAGAATAGCAGAGTTTTATCTTCTGTGAGTTATCAAGGGCAAAAAGGCAGAGGGTAACCCAAGAAACCGAGCCAAGTCTGTGGCAAATGCCCTTTTCAGCAAAATTATTAAAAAGATGTTTCACTCTCTGGCTGGGCAAGGTGGCTCACACCTGTAACCCCAGCACTTTGGGAGGCCAAGGAGGGCAGCTCACTTGAGGTCAGGCGTTTGAGACCAGCCTGAACAACATGGTGAAACCCCGTCTCTACTAAAAACACAAAAAATTAGCCGGGCGTGGTGGCAGGCGCCTGTAATACCAGCTACTCAGGAGGCTGAGGCAGGAGAATGGCTTGAACACAGGAGGCGGAGGTTGTAGTGAGCTGAAACGCTATCTTGAGTGTGGGGCTACCATGATGAGACTAGTGTCCTCGTAAGAAGAGAAAGAGAAAGAAGAGAAGACAAGGCCGTCTGCAAGCCAGGAAGAAGGCCCTCACCAGACACAGAATGCACTGGCACCCTGATCTTGGAATTCCCAGCCTTCAGCACCGTGAGGAATAAATTTCTGCCGTGTAAGCCATCCAGTCTATGTTATTTTTGTTATAGCATCCAAACTGCCTGAGACAGGGAATGACTGCTGAATGGGCACAAGGTCTACCTTGGGGGTGATGAAAATGTTTTTGAGCTAGATAAAAGTGATGGTTGTACAACATTGTGAATGTATTTAATTGCATACTTTAAGGTGGTTAATTTTATGTTATCTGAATTTCACCTCAATAAGAAAAAGAAGGCTGGGTGCTGTGGCTCATGCCTATAATCTCAGCCCTTTGGGAGGCCGAGATGGATGGATAGCTTCAGTCTGGGAATTCAAGACTAGCTTGGGCAACATAGCCAAACCCCATCTCCACAAAAAAATACAAAAATTAGTCAGGTGCAGTGACAGCACTTGTAGTCCCAGCTACTAGGGAGGCTGAGGTGGGAGGCTTGCTTGGGCCTGGAGATCGAGGCTACAGTGTGCCAAGATCACAACACTGCATTCCTGCCTGGGTGACAGAGTGAGAGACCCTGTCTCAAAAAATAAAATAAAATAAGAAAATGAAAAGAAGCAGGGCACAGTGGCTCATGCCTGTAATTCTAGCAGCTCATTAAGCTGAGGTTGGAGAGCTGCTTGAGCCTAGGAGTTTAAGACCAGCCTGGGCAACATAGCAAGACCCCATCTCTATCAAAAAATTTACAAGTTAGCCATGCATGATGGCATGCACCTGCAGTCATAGCTAGTTGGACAGCTGAGATAGGAGGATCACTTGAACCTGGGAGTTTGAAGCTGCAGTGAGCTATGATTGTGCCACTGCACTGCACTCCAACCTGGGTGACAGAGTGAGACCCCATCTCTTAAAAAAAAAAAAGAAGATGAAAACAAATAAATAGTTACACCATCAAAAACGTGAAAAGACAACCCACAGAATGGCACAAAATATTTGCAGAATTGACAAGGCTTCCAAAATATATAAAGAACACTTACAACTCAACAGTAAAAAGATAAATAACTCAGTTATAGAGTGGGTAGAGGATTTAAGTAGACATTTTCCAAAAGAATTTATATGAATGGTAAATAACCACATAAAAAGATGCTCAACATAATCATTATAGAAATGCAAGTCAAAACTACTGTGAAACACCACCTCACTCCCACTAGGATGGCTACAATAAAAAAGACAGACAATAGCAAGTGTTAGTGAGGATGTGGAGAAATGGGAACCCTCACGCATTGCTGCTGGGAATGTGGTGCAGCCACTTTGGAAAACAGTGTGGCAATTCCTTAAAATGTTCAACAGGGTTACCATATGACCCAGCAATCCTATTCTTATGGAGAAATGAAACACATGTTCACACAAAAACCCGTCTACAAATATTAGTAGCAGTATTATTCATGATAGCTAAAAGGTGAAAACAACCCAAATGTCTATTAACCGATGAATGGGTAAAAAAATGTGGTATGTCTATACAATGGAAGGTTTTTCTGGCAATAAAAAGAACTTAAGTACTGATACATACTACAACATGTATGAAACCAGAAAACATTTTGCTAAGAGAAAGAAGCCAGACACAAAAGGCCACATATTGTATGATTTAATTCATATGAAGGAGTTGCCTAGGGCTGGGGGTAGGGAGATGGGAGAGGTGGTTAATGGGTACAGGGTTTCTTTTTGAGATTATAATGTTCCAAAATTAGATTATGGTGTTGACTGGACAACTCTGTGGATATGCCAAAACCATTGAATCGTACACATTAAATGAGTGAATGTATATGATATATGAATTATAGCTCAATAAAGCTGTCATAGAAAAAATATAACAAAGAGATTAAAATCATAATGGCAGGCCAGGAAAGGTGGCTCACGCCTGTAATCCCAGCACTTTGGGAAGCCAAGGTGGGTGGATCACTTGAGGCCAGGAGTTCGAGACCAGCCTGGCCAACATGGTGAAACCCCATCTCTACTAAAAATACAAAGATTAGCTGGGTGTGGTGGTGCGTGCCTGTAACCCCAGTTACTCAGGAGGCTGATGCAGGAGAATCACTTGAACTTGGGAGGCAGAGATTGCGGTGAGCCAAGATCGCACCACTGCACTCCAGCCTGGGCAACAGAGCGAGATTCCATCTGAAAAAAAAAAAACATCATAATGGCAACTGCAACAGTTATATATTATTGAGCAAAAAGGTACCTCGAAACTCAGCAGCTTACAATAGCAAAGATTATATCACACACTTGCTGAGGGTCAGGGATCCTGGAGTGGCTTTGCTGGGCGATTCTGGCTCAGTTTCTCATAAAGTTGAGGTCATGCTGCCCAGCTGATGCTGCCATCTCTGGAGATTCAGCTGGGGCTGGAGGATCTCTTGTTAAATTCATGTGGCTATTGGCAGGAGGTTTTAGTTCTTTGCCGCATGGGTCTTTCTATGGGACTGTTCATGACATAACTTCCCCTAGAGTGAACGGTGAGAGAGAGGGAGAGTAAGAGAGCCCAAGACAGAAATCATGGTCTTTTATAGCTTAATCTTAGGAGGAACACACCTCCACTTCTGCAGTATTCTCTGGGTCACACAGACCACTCCTGGGACTATATACAAGGAGGTGAATACCAGGAGGTGGGGATCATTGGAAGTCATCTTGGACCACAATCTTATAACCACATGTATCACAGCAACAAATACCCAAACTGTGGCAGAAACTGCTTAGTGTCCCCTAATATCCATTCTTCCCCTTTTCTACAGTATAAAGCCCCTCCTTCCACGTTTTAGCTGGGCTCATGGCTGCCCACTTCATTTCCTAGCCCACCTTGGCAACCAGATTTTGCCATTTGATTAAGGTCTGGCCAGAGGGAAGTATGAGGAAGTGACGTGTATAACATTCTGGAGTGTGTTTACTGAAGAGAGGGGCTGGACCCTTCCAACTCCTGCCATCCTGCTACAGGTAATATGGATGTGTTGGCTGAAATGCCATCTTAGACCATGAGAGCCAGGGCTACACTCCAGGGCTGGTAGAGCAGAAAGCTAGAAGCAGCCTGGGTTCCAGGAAAGTGCAGATTTACTATACCAGAGGCATGAGTCTTAGCTCTGGATTTTTATGAGATATTCTATCTTGTTTAAGGATCTGAATAATATAGGTATATAGAAAGTATAATATACAATATGGAGAAAATTGCAGTGCTCTGTTGAATGACATACAGAAAGACCTAAGTAAATAGAGAACTATACCGTGTCCATATTTGGGAAGACTGAGTATCCTAAGAAAGGCAGTTGTCTCCAAATCTATACATTCAATGGATTTTTCAATCAAATTCTTGGCCATTTTTCTTGTAGAATTTACTAAGTTGATTCTACAAATTCAAAAAAATTGCAAAATTCTTTGTGAGAGTAAAGGTCCAAGAATAATCAAGACAATTTTGCAGAATGATACGAAGTGAGGGCTTTAAAACATAAACTTAGTATCTAAAAATTAAAACAGAATGATGAGTGCAAAGAGGCTTCAACTGCACCTGAACCTGTACTTGAACTGTCACATTTAATTAAAAAAAATTTATAGCAAGTTTGGCAAATGTTAACATTTATTATGTTTGTGCATTTGGTACATGGCTGTTTGTTTCTCTGACTTTTCAACAGTTTTGAAATATTTCATGATATAAAATAATTAAAAATAAATACCTGGTAGGAGAAGAAGGAAGGAAGGAGAAAGAAAGAAAGAAGAAAAGCAGAAGAAGAAAAGGAGGAAGGAAGGAAAGAAGGTGGGAAGGAAGGAAGAAAGGAAGAAAGGAAGGAAGGAAGAAAGAAAAAGAAAGAAAGGAAGAAAGAAAAAGAAAGAAAGAAAAGAAAGAAAGAAACTGTCATATGCCTTACTCTAAGGATTAATTATTCTTAGCACATTTCCCCAGTCTTACACTAGGGTCTTGTATCTCCTAAAAAGAGGCAGATATGTGGTGAAGGAGCATAGGCTTTGGAGACAAACAGGAAATCTGACTTTATATCCTATTTCCCCCACTTTCTCTATGATGGTAGGCAAGTCATGCGACCTCTTAGCCCGAGTTTCTTATCTGGATAATGGGATAAAATACCCACTGCAGATGGCTGTCCTGAGGTCATCTCAGGTCAAGGTTATCTTTACCTGTGAGCACTGCCATTGATACAACTGATAAAGCTTCTCTCTACACATTTGAAAGATCTTAAAAAACAGAAATTCAAAGCTGTTCAGATCATTTCTGCTTAGTTCTATGAAAGAAATGCCTAAGATATCACATCAGGGTAATTTCTTTGCTCTTTACTCAATAATACTCTGTCTACGTTTATGGAATCTTGCTTGAATTTCCTGCAAGTTAAACCCTTTTGTGGTGCTGCTACAATTCGGATTCCTTAAGTGTACGATCAAGTTGTGTTCTGCTTGTTCTTTGAGTGGTGTGTGGTCTTGCAGTGAAGGAATGAGGAACCTTGAGTTTTAGTTGGGTTTTGCCATGGCCCTTATCTTCAATGTTATGCACTTAAAAAACATTAGAAATGTCAGTAAATAAGTGCTTATTGGGTGTGGTGGCTCACGCCTGTAATCCCAGCACTTTGGGAGGCCAAGGCGGGTGGATCACTTGAGGTCAGGAGTTCGAGACCAACCTAGCCAACATGGTGAAACCCTGTCTCTACTAAAAATACAAAAATTAGCTGGGCGTGGTGACACATGCCTGTAATCCCAGCTACTCGGGAGGCTGAGGCAGGAGAATTGCTTGAACCCAGGAGGTGGAGGTTGCAGTGAGCCAAGATCACACCACTGCACTCCAGCCTGGGCAACAGAGAGGGACCCTGTCTCAAAAAAAAAAAAAAAGTGCTCATGAAATTTTTTGAGATTAGGGGAAAAAGTCAAAGTGGTTTGAAAGTCATTATTCTTCTGTGACATCATCATCATCATCATCACCTGATTTGGATGTGAGGAACAGTGACTTTTAAAGAAAAAGTGAAATATGCTTTTAGAAAATTTTCATTTGATGAATGTTCCCAAATGCTTGATTTCTAAATATTTCTTCTTGCTTCTTTCCTTTCTTCCTCCTGCAAGGAAAGGCACCAATGCCCAGACCTGGCTACAAGCCCCAAGAGCCCAATGGCTGCGGCTCCTATTTCCTGGGTCTCAAGGTACCAGAAAGTGTATGTACTGCCAGCATTACCTTCTTGGTTGGTTGGTTTTGACTGAGAGCAATCCTAGAGTTATCCTTGATGGAAGTGATTATTTCTGGAAAAAAGTTGAAGAATACAATTAAGTATTTTAAATTGGATATGAGGGAGAGAATTTTTAAAGAAGATATCTGATTTCCTTTTCTCAGGGACAGCTGTCCCTCAGATAAGCCCTTGGTAGTGGATCAGAACTTTGAAATCACCACTGAAAATGTCAGCTGAGGCTTAGGGCATCATGACATAACTTAATTTGAGATAGATCTGACAGGTTTGACTTATTGAAATTAGTGAACCATTCCAGTGATGTGCTAGAGCCAGCTGGTGCTGGCCAGTGAGAGCTGATTGTTACATATTGTCATGACTTTTGCAAGCAGCTGACTTCATGTTAGTAGTGCCAAATTGGCTATGTTTGGAGAGCTGACATCATAGAAATCTGCACACACACACACACACACACACACACACACACACACACCCGACGCCCTGCTAATTTTTGTATTTTTAGTAGAAATGGGGTTTCACCATGTTGGCCAGAGTGGTCTCGAACTCCTGACCTCAAGTGATCCACCCACCTTGGCCTCCCAAAGTGCTGGGATTACAGTCGTGAGCCACCGTACCCAGACACGTGGCATTTTATGAACTTAGTGACACAGTTTATGCCACTACATTTACAGTTGTTTATAGGATGCTTAGTAATGATGGGTGTGTGTGAGATGTTGTGGTTTGACCACAGTCCTCTTGTGATCAGGAGCTGTGTGTTCTATACCCACTCTACTTTCCAACACACACACCCACACACACACACACACACGCACACCCTTAAAATAGTGCTGTCTGGGATGCTGGTGATCTTTTGATGAACGGAGGCTGAATTTTTTTTTATACTTCTTAGCCGTAGAATCCTTTGCTCACACAAAATCTCATATGGGACTGTTAAGTGTTAATTAAATTTAGAAGCCCTATGGTTCTGCTCTCTTGACTACCCTTCTGGTCTCTATTTTCATTACTGTAAGCTGCCTCTGAATTTTAAAATTACTAACATCTGAAAAAACAAAAGGTGAAAAATGGCCAGAATCACTTACTGAACTAATAACTAAGTAACAATGAACACTTGTAATCCTGTGACTGTTGGTATTCTACTGAGTCATTGGTGTTTCTGAATTGATCGGGATATGCAACAGAAATGTGAGAACCAGCTAGTTAATAACAAGGTGGGCAAGGTTGCCTAAGGTCCTTAGTCTAAACGTGGCATTTCTTCCCCTTCTTTTCCCTTCCTTCACTTTTCCCCAGATGGACTTGGGCATTCCAGCAATGACAAAGTGCTGCAACCAGCTGGATGTCTGTTATGACACTTGCGGTGCCAACAAATATCGCTGTGATGCAAAATTCCGATGGTGTCTCCACTCGATCTGCTCTGACCTTAAGCGGAGTCTGGGCTTTGTCTCCAAAGTGGAAGGTAGGTGTCTCAATGGCACGTACAGTGCACAGGGAGGTTTGTTCCTGTTTTCACACCGAGATATAGCCAGAACCCCTTGACTCGAAGAGATCATCAGAGCTCACTGAATATTCTTTATGGAACACTGTGGCTGAGCAAGAAATGGTGAAGGAAAGATTCTGGGCACTCCTTCACTCAAGTTCTTGCTGTCCTGCCCGCGAGCTGCTGGCACCACTCCTGAAGGTAAAAGACTACACCAAAGTCTTCCCAGAAAAATAAAAATCTATCATTTAAGGCTGGAGAAGGAATTGCCCAACTGGCTTGGATTATCCATTCCACTGTTAAATAATTTTCCATATCAGGAATTATTCCTTATAGGACCACTTGGTTTGGCTTAAGTTTTTTTTTTTTGTAATTTTGTTTTCAGTCAGGGTAGGAGTTCAAAAAACCTTTTCTGCATAAAGGTCTCTATATACTTGAGGATAATTATTTTATTTAAATTAAAAAAAATTTTTTTTGAGACAGAATCTCACTCTGTTGCCCAGGCTGGAGTGTAGTGGTGGGATCTCAGCTCACTACAACCTCTGCTTTCCGGGTTCAAGCGATTCCTGTGCCTCAGCCTCCCACGTAGCTGGGATTACAGGCACCCGCCGCCATGCCCAGCTGATTTTTGTATTTTTAGTAGAGATGGGGTTGCCCATGTTGCCCGCCTCAGCCTCCCAAAGTGCTGGGATTATAGGTGTGAGCCACCGCGCCCAGCAAGGATAGTTATTTTAAACAACTGCTTTGCTACCTAGATTCTAGCACCGACTCTATAATTTCTTTTTCCTAATTTACTTAGGAAAAGTTTTTACTGTCTCAGTTTCTGAAGCCAGGATATTGTATCCAGGTATGAATTAGCATTTTCTATTTTTAGATGGTAAGAGTTGAAATGTAGGCTGATAAAGAGCTGGCTCCACACCACAGAGAGTGTCTGCAGTAGAGAGAATTTTGGATCTTTTCATAGATCAATGTCTAGAGTGCAGTCTGGAGGTGAAGGTGTGAGGGCTTAGAAATGTGAATAATTCAGTGTGCCCTATGAAAGGGAGTATCATTCTATTCTGTTTCTGCAGAGGCTGAAAAAGTACCTGCTGCTAATCTAGGGTCAGGTCAAGTTACTTCCTGCAAGCAATGTCCTGTTGATTCATTCTCCCAAATATCTCTTTCATATCCCACTTGCCTGGTTACTGCAAATTAACCCAGTCTCTGTGTCCCATCTAATTGATAGTCACCATTGGGACCAGATATGCCACATGAATGTGATCATCTCAACCCCCTGTGTAAATCATTCAATAGATTCCTCCTCCTTACGGATGAAATCCAAACTCCTCAGTATGCCATACATGGCCCTTTCTGATTCAGCCCTAGCCTTCCTCTCCACCATTATCTTGGGCATTTCTGGTCTGTCTCTTGACTCCTGCTTCAGTGGGCTCAGAACTGTCCCTTCGTAGATTCTACAAAAAGAGTGTTTCCAACCTGGTGAATCAAAACACAGGTTCCTTTCTGTGAGATGAATCCACACATCACAAAGCATTTTCAGATAGCTTGTTTCTAGTTTTTATCACGGGATATTAGATGTTTTTCTTATAGGCCTCAATGGGCTCAGAAACGTCCCTTTGTAGATTCTACAAAAAGAGTGTTTCCAACCCGGTGAATCAAAACACAGGTTCCATTCTGTGAGGTGAATCCTCAAAAAGCATTTTCAAAGATCGCTTATTTCTCATTTTTATCACAGAATATTTGATTTTTCCTTATGGGCCTCAGTAGGCTCAGAAATGTCCCTTCGTAGATTCTACACAAAGTGTTTCCAACCTGGTGAATCAAACTCCTTGGGTTGATGGCCCATTCCTTTCTGCCCCTGTGTGAAACGCCCTAATCATTCATTTTTGTTGTTGTTGAAACAGATTTATTAAGCTACAATTCACACATGATACAATTCACCCACTTAAATGCTTTTAAATATGTTCACAGAGTTATGCAGTCAATCCCACAGTCAATTTTAGAACATATTCATCACCCTGAAAAGGAGCCCCAGGGCCATTAACGGTCTCTCCCCAAACTCCCCCTGCCCAGCTTGAGGAAACCATGAATCTACTTTCTACCTCTAGAACTGCCTATTCTGGACATTGTCAAAAATCAATTGACCATAAAGGTTAGGATTTATTTCTAGATGCGCAATTCTATTCCACTGATCTATGTCAGGACCATGCTGCCTGTTACTGTCGTTATGCAGTAAATTTTGAAATCAAGATGTGTTCTTAAACTGTGTACTTTTCTGTCAAGACTATTTTGGATATTCTGGATCCCTCACATTTCCATATGAATTTTAGGAACTGCTTGTCAATTTCTCCAAGGAATGGCAGCTAGAATTTTGAGAGGGTTATGGTTGAATCTATAGATCAATTTGAGAATATTGCCATCTTAACAAGATTATATTTATATCAATGTCCTTTCCATTTATTTAGGTCTTCTTTAATTTATTTCAACAATGTGTTTATAGTTTTCACAGTACAAATCTTGGACTTCTGTTAAATTTATTCCTAAGTATTTTATTCTTTTTAATGTTATTGAAATGTAATTGTATTTAAATTTTATTTTCAGATTATTTATTAATAATGTATAGAAATTCATTTGATTTTTGTACATTGATCTTATATCCTGCAACCCAGCTGAAATAACTCCTTAGTTCTAATATTTTTTTTCATGGATTCCATAGGCTTTTTTGTATATAAGATAATGCCATCTGCATATCATCTTCCTTTCCAATTTGGATTTTTTAAATTTTTTCTCTTGCCTAATTGCCCTGGCTAGAGCTTCCAACACAACATTGAATAGAAGTATTGCGAGTGGACATTTTTGTCTTGTTCCTGATCTTAGAGTAAAAGCATTTCATCTTTCACCATTGAGAATGATTGTTAGCTATGACTGTCATTAGACGACCTTTATTAGGTTGTGGGAGTTCTCCTCTTTTCCCAGTTGGTTGAATGTTTTCTTTTAATTTTTCTTTCTTTCTTTCTTTCTTTTTTTTTTTTTTTCTGAGATGGAGTTTCACTCTTACACCCAGGCTGGAGTGAAGTGGTGTGATCTTGGCTCACTGCAACCTCCACACCCCGGGTTCAAGCGATTCTCCTGCCTTGGCCTCCTGAGTAGCTGGGATTACAGGTGCCCACCACCATGCCCAGCTAATTTTTGTATTTTTAGTAGAGACGGGGTTTCGCCATGTTGTCAGGCTGGTCTGGAACTCCTGCCTCAGCCTCCCAAAGTGCTAGGATTACAGGCGTGAGCCACCACACCTGGCCAAGTGTTTTTATCGTGAAAAAGTGTTGGATGTTTTCAAATGCTTTTTCTGCATCTATTGAGATGATCATGTGGTATTTGTTCTATATCCTATTGATGTAGTGTATCATATTAATTGATTTTAGTATGATTTAGCATTCTTAGGCTAAATCCCACTTAGTCATGATGTAAACCTTTTTATATGTTACTGGATTCAGTTTACTACTATTTTGTTGAGGATTTTGCATCCATATTCATAAGAGATACTAGTCTATAGATTGTTATTTTTGTGATGTCTTTGGTTTTGGTATGAGAGTAATATTGACCTCATAAAATGAATTGGGCAGTGATCCCTTCTCTCCTAATTTTTTAAAAAGCTTAGAAAGGATTGATATTAATTCTTTAAATGTTTGGTAAAATTCCCCAGTGAAGCCAAGTAGAATTGGATTTCTTTGGGGAAGTTTTTAATTACTAAATCACGAGCTTGGGTTAGTAATTGTATTTATATACACTAGTAATCTATTCATATTTTCTATTCTTCTTGAGTCAGTTTCAGCAGTTCACGTCTTTCTACGAATTTGTCCATTCCATCCAAGTTATCAACATTTTTTGGCATGTAGGTATTCATAGTATTCCCTTATAATCCTTTTTATTTTTATTTTTTTGAGATGGAGTCTCGCTCTGTCGCCCAGGCTGGAGTGCAGTGGTGTGATCTCGGCTCACTGCAAGCTCTGCCTCCGGGTTCACGCCATTCTCCTGCCTCAGCCTCCTGAGTAGCTGGGACTACAGGCGCCCGCCACCACGCCTGGCTAATTTTTTGTATTTTTAGTAGAGACAAGGTTTCACCGTGTTAGCCAGGATGGTCTTGTTAGCCAGGAGGTCTCCTGACCTCGTGATCTGCCTGCTTCGGCCTCCCAAAGTGCTGGGATTACAGGCGTAAGCCACCGTGCCCGGCCCTAATCCTTTTTATTTCTATAAGATTGTTAGTGACATTTCTCTCTCATTCCTTAATTTGGTAATTTGAGTCCTCTCTTTTTTTCTTGGTTAGTCTAGCTAAAAGTTTGTTAACATTTTTTATCTTTTCAATGAACCAATTTAAAAAAATTGATATATCATTCACATACCGTAAAATTTACCCTTTAAAAGTATACACTTCAGTGGTTTTTGTATATTCAGAGTTGTACAACCATCACCACAATCTAATTCCAGAACATTTTCATTAGTCCCAAAAGAAACCCTGTAGCCATTAGCAGTCACTACTCATTACCTCCCCTACCCCACCCCAGCCCTAGACAACCACTATTTTACTCTCTGTATGGATTGCCTATTCTGGAAATTTCATATGAATGGAATCATACAATATGTGGCCTTTTGTGTCTGGCTTCTTGTGCTTAGCATAATGTTTTCAAGATTCATCCATGTTTTGGTATGCATCAGTACTTCATTTTCCTGACCATTCTTGAAGTTTAAACTTAGATATCTTACTTACTCTAAGATACCTCTCCTAATAACCCTTGCTGCAAAGGGATAGAGACCCTTTCTGTGGGCTTCCATACCACCTTGAGGTTATTTTCATCATGAGGTAGTGTAGCTATCTGTTTACCTGTCCACCTCTTTATCCAAACTGTGGAGTACTTAAGTTGAGGATGCCTTTTGTCTCTGTATCTTTGGCTCCTAAGACAGTGGCTAACCAACATATCCAAGCCATGCAAATGTTTTTCCATCAATGAATGGTTGTTCATCCAATACTTGAACAGTGAAAGCTATAGGCGAGATTCGGTGTGTTCTGGGTGGTATGGCCATAGATGGGAAAGCTATGGGAAACATAGTTGTTCATGTGAGGGAGTCTTCTGCAAAAAATATTCTCCATGGAGTGAGCATGGTGGTGTGGGGGGTTCTGGTTGCTCACCATTGTTTTGACCAAGGGCCCACATGCGAGGGCACCTCCAGGTGTCTTCTGCTTTACTGGATTGGATGGGAGCTTTTCTGAGAACATTCTCTGAAATGGATGCTCTTCCTTTGAATTCTGTATTTGGATTACTGTCTCTACTTTCCTCTGGGTATCATGTCATGCCTGGAAATACTCTTCAAAATTACTCAGGGTTAACCTTTCTGTCCCTCTTCATCTTTTTCAAGCAGCCTGTGATTCCCTGGTTGACACTGTGTTCAACACCGTGTGGACCTTGGGCTGCCGCCCCTTTATGAATAGTCAGCGGGCAGCTTGCATCTGTGCAGAGGAGGAGAAGGAAGAGTTATGAGGAAGAAGTGATTCCTTCCTGGTTTTGAGTGACACCACAGCTGTCAGCCTTCAAGATGTCAAGTCTTCGAGTCAGCGTGACTCATTCGTTCTTCCAACAGTTTGGACACCACAAAGCAGGAGAAAGGGAACATTTTTCTACAGCTGGAAAGTGAGTCCTATCCTTTGAGGAAATTTGAAAAAAGACATGGAGTGGTTTGAAAGCTACTCTTCATTTAAGACTGCTCTCCCCAACCAAGACACATTTGCCTGGAAATTCAGTTCTTAGCTTAAAGACTAAAATGCAAGCAAACCCTGCAATTCCTGGACCTGATAGTTATATTCATGAGTGAAATTGTGGGGAGTCCAGCCATTTGGGAGGCAATGACTTTCTGCTGGCCCATGTTTCAGTTGCCAGTAAGCTTCTCACATTTAATAAAGTGTACTTTTTAGAACATTTGGAAAGAGATGAATGAATTCCATTATCACCAATGTGCTTCCATTTCACTTAGAAGAGACCAAAACTGAACCTGGTAAGTTCCACCAATGACCACAGTTATTCCCACTGATGCTAAACAGAGAAAAACAGGTGGGCAGGCTCAGAGGCTTACCTGATTAAGGCCAACGGAGGGGAAGGTCAGATGGAATTAGGTCTCTGAGGATTCATTTTTCCCTCCGGTGACCTACCCCATTGGTATTCCCAGTTACTAAATGGTGTTAGAGTCATGCTAAGATCTGAGATGTACTTGCTAAGAGTTACTGATGGAGCTAGCTAGGAAAAGTCCCTGCAGCCTGTCGGGAGTGAGAGACAAGTGGCCATTCCCTAACTTGCGGGTCTCAAGCCTAACTATGGATTAGAATCACCTGAGGATCCTTTAAAACAAACCAGTAAATATGCACTGGTATTTTATAAATGTTTTCCAGGTGATTCTGCTGCACAGAAGGGCTGGGGGCCACTAATCTAGAGCAGGAATCGGCCCAGTCCCGTGGGCCAAGCCTAGCCCAAAGCCTGTTTTGTTGTTGTTGCTGTTGTTGTTTGTTTGTTTTTTTGAGACAGAGTCTCACTCTGTCGCCCAGGCTGGAGTGCAGTGGCCATATCTCGGCTCACTGTACCCTCTGCCTCCTGGGTTCAAGCGATTCTCCTGCCTCAGCCTCCCGAGTAGCTGGGATTACAGGTGCCCACCACCGCGCCCGGCTAATTTTTGTTTTTTTAGTAGAGACGGGGTTTCACCATGTTGGCCAGGCTGGTCTCAAACTCCTGGCCTCAAATAATCTGACCACCTCGGCCTCCCAAAGTGCTGGGATTACAGGTGTGAGCCACCACACCTGGCTCAAAGCCTGGTTTTGAATCCTTTTTTGGAATAACCATGCTCACATTTGTTTACATATTCTCTGTGGCTCTCCTTGCACTACAGCTGCAAAGTTGAGTAGCTGCGACAAACACTGCAGGGCCCAGAAAGCCTAATACATTTACCAGTTGGCTTGTTACAGAAAAAGTTGCTGACTTCTATCTAAATCTTTTTCTCCTTTCCCTTACTTTTGTTAATTTTACTGATTCTACTAAGAACTATTAATTGTAGCAATTTTTTTTAATTTTTTGGGATTTGGGGGGTTTTTTGAAACAAGGTCTCACTCTGTCACCCTGGCTGGAGCACTATCATGGCTCACTGCAGCCTCGACCTCCTGAACTCAAGCAATCCTCCCACCTCAGCTCCCTGAGTAGCTGGAACCACAGTGGCACACCACCATGCCCGGCTAATTTAAAACAATTTTTTTGTAGAGATGAGGTCTCACTATGTTGCCTAGGCTAGTCTTGAGCTCCTGGGCTCAAGGGATTCTCCCACCTTGGCCTCTGAAGTGCTGGGATTTCGGGCATGAGCCACCAAGTCCAGACTATAGCAACTTTTAAAAACTAAAAGCAGAAAAACTTTTCTGATCTTATGTAAAGGCCATAAAATTAATTGGCATATAAAGAAATTGGAGTTAACTGCAGATAATATTTATCTTTGTGGTTTATATTTATTTCAATAAAACTTCTTATTATTAAGTACCTACAAAACAGAATATGGCAGAATTATATACTTTTTTCTATTGTCTTATCAGCCTGAGGGCACAGAATACCAAATCACAGGGAACATGGTACCAAACTTTAATTCTGTTACAGCTCATTGAAGCACTTAAATACATGTTGATGAATTTATTAATATTTGTTAGGTGAAAATATTTCACTTAAGGCAATATATTAGAAGTATCAAAAGATGGCCGGGTGCAGTGGCTCACGCCTGTAATCCCAGCACTTTGGGAGGCTGAAGCGGGTGGATCACCTGAGACCAAGAGTTCGAGCCAGTCTGGCCAACATGGAGAAACCCTGTCTCTACTAAAAACACAAAAATTCGCTGGGTGTGGTGGTGCATGCCTGTAGTCCCAGCTACTCAAAAGGCTGAGGCAGAAGAATTGCTTGAACCCAGGAGGCAGAGGTTACAGTGAGCTGAGATTGCGCCACTGCACTTCAGCCTGGGCGACAGAGCGAGACGCCATCTCAGAAAAAAAAAAAGAGAAAAAGAAAAAAAAGAAAATAGTATGCAACAGAAAAACCAAATACTACTTTTAAAATTATATACTGTTTTATTGATACACTTCCAAATTCCCTATAATTAGTCTGCATTTGAATTGAAATTTCAAGGTATAACTATAATTTACATATTTAAGGAGTCATTGGGTATTTAAGTCATAATTTCAGTAACTGTTTAATTTTTCTAGGGTTTGTAACTTGAAATATTATACCCAGCTTCTGATTTTGTGGTCTGATTGCACCATACACGAGGTATTTAAGTGTAGGAAAGAAATGAGGGAAATGGGGTGAGTGTCTTTCTGGGTGGACAGTTTAGTTTTCAACCCTAGAAAGATGAAACCCCACCCAGGCCACATTGTTCAGCAGTGCTGTGACCTGTGCCCACTGAATGGACCAGAATCAGAGTGAGTTGGTGCTGGGAGTCTGAACTCACAGTGTGAAGTCTGAACCCAGCTGTTGGCAGATGTTCTTAGAGGGCGGTGGGGGGAGAAGCTCCAAAGAGCAGAGCCGTCCAATGCAGGGACTCGAGGTATGGCTACGAACTAGTCCTCCCAGTCGATGCGGATCGGGCCGCCTGTTAGCGTCTGGCCCTGTAGACCGGCTGAGTCCTCTCCTCCTGCCCCACGACGCATTCGCCGGTGGCAACCCTGGGCACAGCGGGAACGCTCGTCCAACACTCCACAGACAAGAACCCGGCAGTGCAGAAACACTTCCTGAAGAGATGATCACGACTGTTAATAAAAACAATAACTGCTGCCACTTGTGGGGCACTTACAAGACACAATACTAAATGTTCCTAAACATTAAGTCATGTAATCTTAACAAGGACATCCACAAGTAGAGTTTATCATCCCCATTTTACAGATAAGGAAACAGAGAGGTTAAGGAACTTGCCCAAATGTACACATTTAATAAAAAATGTGGCAAAGTTTGCATTTAAGTCACATGAGTGATTAAAAAAACCCACATTCATAACTCCTGCATGGAGCTGGAACAGAAGAGACCTTTGTGAAGCAACATCTACTAACTTGAGCATCTTCCTTCTTCACACCAAGGTCTGGGGATAGCATTGGCTCCCATGCACTTGTGCTGTCAAATAACCAGTGTTTTCTGCAAGCACCTTTCTGTAGGTAACTGCCTGAGCTTCCTGCCTGATTGAGGGCAATCAGGATCAGCCATCATTGTTAGCAGTTGTTCTGTAACCATGGTATAGCTGGGATGGACATGCATATACTTACAAGCAGTGTGGAAAAGAATGTTGGCCTCTTCAACTTCCTTTTGTTTAAATGTTTCAACAAGTACACTCTAACAACAATGATAAAAAATCTTCCAGCTTATCTCACTACATTAAATGTAATATATTTAATATGCCTGTAAATTGTTATGACAACAGTTTTTATGTCTGCTTTTCCCATATTTATCATTTTAATAACTCTTAATATTGCATTAAATTGATATACTGTGGCCCTTAGCCCTGCTTGTTTGGGGCTTTTTCTTTTACCCCCTTGTAACAATGCTCTACAAACACTTCCAATACACCTTGTCTGTTTTGGCTTAAAAATTTGTTTTGTTTGTTTTTAGAGACAGGGTCTCACTCTCTCACCCATGCTGGAGTGCAGTGGCCTGATCATAGCTCACTGTAACCTTGAACTCTGGGCTCAAGTGACCTGCCTCAGCTGCCTAAGTAAGCTAGGACTACAGGTGTGTGCCACTATGCCCAGCTAATTTTAAAATTTTTTGTAGAGTAGAGGTCTTGCTATGTTGCCCAGGCTGGTCTCAAACTCCTGGCTTCAGGCAATTCTCCTGCCTCTGTTTTGTTTTGTTTTTAAGAAACTGTCAGAATTGGAATTTTTAGATAAAAGAATATGACGATTTTATGATTATTATTACAGATTATCAGACAATGTTCCAGCAAATGTACTAATTTACACTGTCACTGTATACTTCTCCCTATAACCTTGTAAGTGTTGTATTTTATAATTTTCATAAATTTAATATGTATAAAATGGTGTCTTATAATTGTTTTCATCAGCACTTAAGTACTATTTTCAGTGAACATTTCACTATTTGTCTTTTCTGTGAATTTCCTGTCCATATCCCTTGCCATTTGACCAATCACCACACTGGCTTTTCAACCATAACTGCCCACAAAGATTTTAAATTAAATTATGATCCTATAGTATTTTCTTTGAACAGCACAGTTATTTTGGCAGGTGGTATGAGGGGAACAGCACAGTTATTTTGGCAGGCAGGGCGGGTGTGACATGCATGAAAGGGTTAAGCTTCTCGATGGCCAGTTTCTCTGTTTTTCTCTTGAGCCCATGCAGATCCCACCAGTGGGCTCTTGGAATGTCAACACACTGGGACACCAAAAAAAAAAAAAAAAAGGCTCAGGTTCAGGGGTTATAAATTAAAGATGTTCAACTCACCTTGTGGTCTTTGCCCACAAACTTGAAGACAGGGACCTGGAAGTGCTTTGCTAGGTGATCCCGGGATGTGTACTGCTTTACCGAGTCATCTGAAACACAGCTGAAAGTAGGGCAGATAGCACATAAGACTTGATTGTTTCAACAGAGGTGGAAAAACAATCTAACCCAACATTTTGGCCCAAGGAGAGCCAAAGGGGTGGAGGAGGCTGGACTGTACTCAAGCTTTTTGGGAATGAAAGAAAAATTAAATTTTTCCCTGTGAAGGCCTCTTCAGACCTAGCCTTATTTACTAATAGCATCTGTCCCATTTATCATTTGCTGTACCCACAAACTGGGCACCAGGGCTTCCTGTTAAGTTAATGCGTTTAAGTGTTGGCAACAGCAACACCATTTATTTCAGATACCTTTTGCTAGTAAGGCTGTCTTTCCATTTGCAATATATTGCAGGAATTCTGCCTCTATGTACCTTAGTATTGATTTGAGAAGGCTTTTCTTTAACAAAATTTATTAACTATGTATTGGACACCTAATAGCAACTGACTACTGAAGGGGATACAAAAGTTAGGGAACTGCAGTGCATGCATCAAAGTGACATAAATATCCAAGTTTCTTAGATAATAACTGGTTCTATTGGGTAAAAGTCATGCACCTCCAAATTGTTTTAATTTCTCTTTTCCCAAATTTAATGTTAAATTGCAGTTTGATAGGGTTTTGGGGTTTTAATCTCAGGTCTACTGCTTAAAGCAAAACACCTAGGTTCACTTCAGGGTTAGCTGGGGGAAAAGAAGCACTCCTGGCTGGGCGAGGTGGCTCACGCCTGTAATCCCAGCACTCTGGCAGGCTGAGGCAGGAGGATTGCTTGAACTAAGGAGTTCGAGACCAGCCTGGCCAACATGGTGAAAACCCGTCTCTATTAATAATACAAAAAGTTAGCCAGGCGTCATGGTGCCTGCCTGTAGTCCCAGCTACTCGGCAGGTTGAGGTGGCAGGATTGCTTGAGCCCCAGAGTTCGAGATTAGCCTGGGCAACATAGCAAGACCTTGTCTCTAAAAAAAAAAAAAAAGTCAAGTGTGGTGGTATGCCTCTGTAATCCCAGCTACTCAGGAGGCTGAGGCACGATGATAATTGCTTGAACCTGGGAGGCAGAGGCTGCAGTGAGCCATATTTGCCCCAGCTGAGGCCAAAGTTTTGGATATTCATGAAACTTCTTATAGGCCAAGAATCACCCTCATATTATTTTTCCCATTCTAGATTCTAGAGGAACTTTTTTTTTTTTTCTGGACATAGTTGCCTTTTAGTGGGTACCTAATAGTTCCTGTCTTCTGGGCCAGGAAAAAAGTGGAGGTCAGATATTAAAGCCGATTAAACTGGGTACTTGCTCCACATGCACAGGCCACTTCTTTTTCTTTTCTTTTCTTCTTTTTTTTTGTTTTGTTTTGAGACAGGGTCTCACTGTTGCCCAGGCTGGAGTGCAGTGGCACAATCACAGCTCACTGCAGCTTCGACCTCCTAAACTCAAGCAATTCTCCTGCCTCAGCCCCTCAGTGGGATTATAGGTGTGTGCCACCATGCCCGGCTAATTTTCATTTTTTGTAGAGATGGGATCTCACTATGTTGCCCAGGCTGGTCTTGAACTCAAGACCACTCAAGCGATCCTTCCGCCTCGGCCTCCCAAAGTGCTGAGATTACAGGTATGAGCCATGACAGTGCCCAGCCAGACTGCTTTCTAGTTCCTTGCTAACTGCTGTTTTGGTGCACCTAAAAAAATCCAAAAAATTATTTTAAAATAAGGCATCTTGACTAGTGTTACTACCAGCACCTCATTCCACTGAACTGAAGGGGATCTAAACATAATGTGGTTTCTGTTATTTCTTGTATTTATTTACTCATTTTTATTTTCCTGAGGTAAAATTCATTTATACCCTCTTCTGATTATATTCTATAATAAACATCCATGGCATACCTAATCTATGCAAGACACCCTGCTGGTTGCTGCAGAGGACATAAAGATGAATAATATGGTCTCTGACGTCAAGGAGTTTACAGTCCAGTATCTTAAGATAATAGTAAGGCTTGATATTAAAATAGTACTTTTAATCTAAATACCTGAGCATTTTCAATTTATCTTTATCTCAAAATAACTGTTATTTTTCTTTAAAAGAAAAAATGAAGCAGAAGGGGTTATTACAAGGTAACACATTGCAGAACAGAAACCAGGACAAATGTTGGCTCTTGATTTGGGGTTTGCTGTGACTAGACAATGCTAGTTCCGAGCACCGAATTCATGTACTGAAAGAAAGTAACAAGGGTATAATGGAATCAAAACTAGTGGCTTATCGAAAACTTGTTCAATGCTTGATTTTGGAATTTAGTATGTTTCTTTTTCCAGTGATTAACTTTCTAGCTATATTTTGCTTAGGCTTGTGTTAAATTATTTTGTATTCTCAGAGCATACGCCAACCAAAATTAAAGGGAAGTGAATCAGATGTGTTCAATATCGGGGAGAACCAACTTGATTTAAATTTAAGCCGAGGACAATGAAAAATCAAAGAAATGAATAATCAAACAATTAATAAATATAAGTAAAATGAGCTATGTTTATTTTAGGTTTGTGGACTAGCCCCAAATTATGATTATTATAAAGACTCATTCAATTATTTACTTGGCAAATATTTAATGACCCTTACCATATGCTAGGAATTGAGGAAGAAGAAAAAGGAAAAAGGATTTTTTAGTTCAAATGGAGAAAGGTGCCAGGAAAGGCTTCATGGAGGAAGTAAACCCTCCATGAATCTCGAAGAACCAGTAAGGATCAGACAGGAAGAAAAGGCGGGGAAGAAGATATCAGGCAGAGGAAACAGCATGCGCAAAGTCAGAAGGGTGTTCAGGAGTGACAGTTTGGGAATTGTCAATAATTCCCTTTGGCAGGAGCAGAAACTCGAGGGGGCTGAGGTCAGAGGGTAATGGCCTATGAGCCATGCCAAGAGCTGGAGGATCTTGCACACATCATTCTTGTACAGCACCACAGACGGGATGATTTGTCTGCTTACAAAGTAGGGCCACACTGCTGTGGTTTTCACATTTTTGCCTATGCTTTTTTCTTCTAGAGCATATATATTTTTTCTCTTCTGTATGTGCTAAGCACTGGCAAAATAAATAGCGCAGCTTCTTAGAACTGTCTAAAATAAAAGTAAATATGGTTGGGCGTGGTGGCTCACGTTTGTAATCCCAGCACTTTGGGAGGCCGAGGCAGGTGGATCACCTGAGGTCAGGAGTTCAAGATCAGCCTGGCCAACACGGCGAAACCCCATCTCTACTAAAAGTACAAAAATCAGTTGGGTGTGGTGGTATATGCCTGTGGTCCCAGCTACTTGGGAGGCTGAGGCACGAGACTTGCTTGAACCTGGGAGGCAGAGGTTGCAGGGGAGCTGAGATTGCGCCACTGCACTCCAGCCTGAGCTACAGAGTGAGACTCTGTCTCAAAAAGGAAATAAAATAAAATAAAATAAAATGGTCCTTCACTAAGAGACTGAATAATGCATATATAAATAAGTTTCACAAGCTCTACTAAGATTGTAGGTTACGTTTTTCTCAGTGAGTTATGATTATATTCTTATTTTTTCAAAAACTAAATATAAGGGGCAGGGGAAAACTTACAGTGAGAAAAATGTTCATTATCTTGATTATTGTGATGGCTTCATGGGTATACACATCAGAACTTGTCAAACTACATGCTTTAAATATGTCTATTTATTGTATGTGAATAGTACTCTACTAAAGTTATTTTTTAAAAAAAGTAAAAAGGAACAAAAATCTATCACTGCAAAAAAAGTAAACCTAGTCCCTGAAAAAAATAAATACAAAATGTTGCTTCTTCTTTTCATGTTAAGGTTTTTTAGAAATCACCTTAGCATGGCAAGAAATCCACATATCTGCAGATGCCCTTTGCTACGGGCCGTCCAGAGTAGCTCAGGATGACAAACTTTCCATATTATGAAAATGAGCTTAAGGAGGCTACAAGAATCTGAGGCTGGAAGCACACCTTCTGAGAAGCAGATTTACTGATCAAAGCTAATAAAGAACCATTAAGAGGTTTTCAGCAGGGATGTGACAAGATCATATTTTGTTTGAATGGATCACCCAGGGGCTCTGTGGAGCTGAGATGTGAAAGGTGAGGTTTTGGAGGCTGTGTTAAGAGGCTGCTTTGCTGTCCAGGTGAAAGATAATGAAGGTGGGAATTAAGACAATAGGAATGGAATAGAGAGGACAGGGTTGGGGCATTGCTATTTGTTAAAAAGCATCTCAGTTGATCCTATGTATATCAAGGGGTGAAATATCACTGCGCAAGAGATTGATAGCAGCAGGTGAAGGCTGGCTGTAGTGAAAAACAAGAGGAGTAAAAGCAGCATAGTAATGTCCAAGAGCCTGCAGGCCACCCAGCAGAGGGCAAGCCCCCGAGGGTGCTGAGCTGCTCGTACTGGACCATTCTCCCTTTGGTTAAGCTGCAGTTCCTGATCCTACCTGAGACTGTGTCCCACCTGACATGGAGAACAAGGAAGAAGCCCATGAGATACTGCTATGAATTTGGGTTTGAGTGTAATTTTCCTGGGAATGTAGGCAATGCCTATGAAAAGGACTAGGTCTCCATCAGTACCTCAGGACACCTACAGATCCCACCAAGGATCCTTAGGAAATACCATGGAACTCTCTTTTGTATAAAACAAGTGCAGGGGCCAAACATGGTGTCTCACACCTATAATCCCAGCACTTTGGGAGGCCAAGGCAGGAGGATCACTTGAGCCCAGGAGTTCAGGACCAGCCTGGGCAACAAAGTGAGACCTCGTCTCTAGAAAAAAAAGAATTAGCTGGGCATGGTCGTGCGCATATGGTCCTGGCTACTTGGGAGGATGAGACAGGAAGATCACTTGAGCCTGAGGATCAAGGTTGCAGTGAGCTGTGTTTGCACCACTGCACTCCAGCCTGGGTGACAGAGCAAGACCCTGCACTGCCCTCCACCCCTGAAAAAAACTAAGCACAAAGCCAAACTGCTATATCTATGTCTTTCTTCTAAAATCTACCAACTATTTCTTCTCTGTCCTTGACTACCAAACTTCTTAAAAGAGGAATTTATGTTTGCTGGCTCCTTGTTCCCTGCACTCTCAGCCACATGAACAGGATCTCACCTCCACCTTCACACATGCTCTGCCATCTCCTAGCAGGTTACTCAATCCTACAGTTTCATCTCTAAATCTGGTGATTCCCTGTCCTTCAGTTCTAGTCCAGACTGTGTTCCTGAGTCTAATTGATAATGCATTTCCACTGAATGCCCACTGAATTTCTCTTCCTAGACATCCTGCAGGTATCTAAAAAATTAAATTATTCAATATGTCATTTTGAATGACCAAATTCAGTATTTTAACCTCAAATCTGCTTTTCTATATACATCTTTTCACCTTGGTTAATGGCATCTAGTCAGTCACCTGGGTTAGACCACTTGGAGCCTTTTTTTTTTTTTTTTTTTTGAGATTTTAGGAGTTTCATTCTTGTCACCCAGGCTGGAGGGCAATGGTGCGATCTTGGCTCACTGCAACCTCCACCTCCCGGGTTCAAGCGATTCTCCTGCCTCAGCCTCTTGAGTAGCTGGGATTACAGGTGCCTGCCACCACACCCAGCTAATTTTTGTATTTTGAGTAGAGACAGGGTTTCACCATGTTGGCCAGGCTGGTCTCGAACTCCTGACCTCAGGTGATCCACCCGCCTTGGCTCCCAAAGTGCTGGGATTACAGGTGTGAACCACTGCACCTGGCCTAGGAGCCACTTTTGACTCTCCTCTCCCTCACTAGTTTTACCTCCAAAATGTCAATAAGTGGTTCCTGAACTAATAAATTGCTGACAGTGGTACCATGCAGTTTTAGTAAATGACTGGGTGTGCTGTGAACTTAGAGGCCGGATGTGAACTAGGGGTGATGAGACCATTCTTGCAGCAGCATTACCCATCCCGGATGAGGTAGTATTTCAGGACCTCGTCGATCTTGGAGGTGGGGGTGGCAAAGCAGCTCTCCACCAAGCTTTCCAAGCCGCTCACGTGCACCACGGGCTCAATGCCAAAGTAGAGGGAGTCACGAAGCTTGAGGGTGGGCAGAGCTTCCCGGTAAGGCTCTTCAAACTCATTGTCCTTGAAGATCTCCAGAGTGAATGGGAAGATCCCATGATTTCGGCTCATGATTTCCAGTGGGGAGTTTCGAAGGTTGGGAACGTATCCTTCAGAAATGGTGTACAGGCGTGGAAACTCGCAGGTCACCGGGATCAGCAGCTTGCTGGTTCGGATGATGAAGTCCCCGCTGCTCCCCGGGGTCTGCTTGGGTAGACCTGTCACGAGGTTGCTGGCCACAATCTTGTCATTCACCACCTGAGCCAGGCCAGGGTGAGGAGAGGAAAGAGATTGTCTGTTTGTTTCTACAGTTTTTTTTCCCCCTCCTCTCACCTTAACATTCTATCTACCTCAAAACACATTAGAGATTTGGTTGCCTAAGGATGAAGTTTTGTTTTGTTTTTTTTTCCCACTGCCCTCCTCTTGTTATCAAGCCATCCTGACTGTTAAGAGTCTTAGCTCTACCAAAACACAGCCAGACTGCTTCTTTAAGTGGGACCCTGATCTGCTCCTTATCTCTGAGGGGGACCTCCCAACTGGGGCCTCCAACCGGCTCTGCCCATATTCTCTGGCAGACAGAGTTTTGATTTCTACCTGGGATGGAGTGCCAAGCGGGAGGGGGAGGCTGTTTGGACAGTTGTTTGGACAACTCAGCCATTCCAGCCTGTGGGGTGTCCAAACTGTCTGAAAGTGGAAGCAGTACCCCAGCATGGCATACCTACTCTAGGAAAGCATGGCCACACTGCTTCTTTAAGCAGGTCCTCGATCCTGTTTCTCCTGGATGAGTGAGATCTCCCAAATGGGGTATCCAGCCACCTCCTATAGGTGTGTTCAGGTCAGCAACAGGTCTGTACCCCACTGGGATGGAGCTCCCAGAGGAAGGGGCAGGCCACCATCTTTGCTGTTTCAGCAACTTAGCTGTTTTAGCCTCCAGACTTTGGAGAGCTCAACCTGAGGAGGGGGAGGTGAAGGAAACGGTACCACAGCACAGTTCAGTTGCTCTATGAAAGCAGGGCTAGACTGCTTCTTTAAGCAGTTCCCTGATCCTTTTCTTCCTGGCTGGGTGAGACCTCCCAACTGGGGTCTCCAACCACCATCTACAGGTATGTTAAGGCTAGCAACAGATCTGTACCCTGCAGGGATGGAGCTCTCAGAGGAAGGGCCAGGCTGCTATCTTTGCTGTTTCACAGCCTTCACTGGTGATACCAGATACTGGAAAATCTGAGGTGACTAGGGACTGGAGCAGATGCCCAGCAAACCACAGCAGCCCTACAGAAAAGTGGCCAGACTGTTAAAATGCCGGGGGGAAAGGCCAGGCACGGTGGCTCACACCTGTAATCCCAGCACTTTGGGGGTCCAAGTCACATGGATCACCTGAAGTCAGGGGTTAGAGACCAGTGGCCAACATGGTGAAACCCCATCTCTACTAAAAAATACACAAAAATTAGCCAAGTGTCATGGCAGGGGCCTGTAATTCCAGCTACTCAAGAGGCTGAGGCAGGAGAATCACTTGAATGCAGGAGACAAAGGTTGCAGTGAGCTGAGATTGCACCACTGCACTCCAGCCTGGGTGACAAGAGCGAGACTCCATCTCAAAAAAAAGTGGGAGAAAAAAACCCCCAAAACCCCATCCAAAGGTCAGCAACATCAAAGTTTGAAGGTAGATAAGCCCTCAAAGATGAGAAAGAATCAGTGCAAGAACACAGAGAACTCAAAAAGCTAGAGTGCCCTCTCTCCTCCAAATGACCGCATCACCACTCCAGCAAGGGTTTGGAATGGGGCTGCAGCTGACATGGCTGAAATAACAGAAGTAGATCTCAGAATGTGGATAAAAACGAACTTCGCTGAGCTAAAGGAGCATGTTCTAACTCAATGCAAGGAAGCTAAAAATCATGATGAAATATTGTAGGAGCTGACAAAGAAAATAGCCAAGATAGAGAAGAACATAACCAACCTGACAGAGCTAAAAAAACACAATACAAGAATTTCATAATGCAATTGCAAGTATTAAAAGCAGAATTGATCAAGCAGAGGAAAGAATCTCAGAGCTTGAAGACTGTCTTTCTGAAATAAGACAGGCAGACAAGAATAGAGAAAAAGGAATAAAAAGGAATGAACAAAACCTCCGAGAAATATGGGATTATGTAAAGAGACTGAATATATGACTGATTGGGGTACCTGAAAGAGCTGGGAGAATAAAACCAATTTGGAAAACATATTTCAAGATATCCATGAGCACTTCCCCAACCCTGCTAGACAGGCCAACATTCAAATTCAGGAAATGCAGAGAACCCCAGTAAGATACTCCACAAGAAAATCATCCCTGAGACACAAAATCTTCAGATTCTCCAAAGTTGAAATGAAAGAAAACATGTTAAGGGCAGCCAGAGAGAAAGGCTAAGTCACCTACAAGGGAAGCCCATCAGACTAACAGTGGACCCTTCAGCAGAAACCCTACAGGCCAGGAGAGACTGGGGGCCAATATTCAACATTCCTAAAGAAAAGAATTTTAACTGGCTGGGTGCAGTGGCTCACACCTGTAGTCCCAGCACTTTGGGAGGCTGAGGCAGGCGGATCACTTGAGGTCAGGAGTTCGAGACCAGCCTGGCCAACATGATGAAACCCCGTCTCTACTAAAAATATAAAAATTAGCCAGGGATGGTGGCACACACCTGTAGTCCCAACTACTCGGGAGGCTGAGGCAAGAGAATCGCTTGAACCTGGGAGGCAGAGGTTGCATGTGCTGAGATCATGCCACTGCATTCCAGCCTGGGAGACAGAGCAAGACTGTCTTAAAAAAAAAAAAAAAAAGAAAGAAAGAAAAGAAAAGAATTTTCAACCCAGAATTTCATATCCAGCCAAACTAAGCTTCATAAGTGAAGAAGAAATAAGATCCTTTTCAGACAAGCAAATGCTGAGGAAATTTGTTACCACCACACCTGCCTTACTGGAGCTCCTGAAGGAAACACTAAATATGCAAAGGTAAAACCACTACCAGCCACTACAAAAACATACTGAAATACACAATGACAGGATCAAATCCACACGTAACAATACTAACCTTAAATGTAAATGGGCTAAATGCCCCAATTAAAAGACACAGAGTGGCAAACTGGATAAAGAGTCCAGACCCATTGGTATGCTGTCTTCAAGAGATCCATCTCACATGCAAAAATACACATAGGCTCAAAGTAAAGGGATTGAGGACAACTTATCAAGCACATGGAAAACAGGAAAAAGCAAGAGTTGCAATCCTAGCTTCCAACAAAACAGACTTTAAACTAGCAAAGATCAAAGAAGACAAAGAAGAATGTCACATAATGATAAAGGGTTCAATTCAACAAGAAGAGCTAACTATCGTAAATATATATGCACCCAACACAGGGGCACCCAGATTCATAAAGCAAGTTTTTAGAGGCCTTCAAAGAGACTTAGATTCCCACACAATAATAGTGGGAGACTTTAACACCCCACTGACAATATTAGATCATCAAGACAGAAATTAACAAAGATATTTAGGACCTGAACTCAGCTCTGGATCAACTGGACTTGATAATTATCTACAGAAGTCTCCACCCCAAAACAACAGAATATACATTCTTCTCATCACCATATGATACTTACTCTAAAATTGATCCATAATTGGAAGTAAAACACTCCTCAGCAAATGCAAAAGAACTGAAATCATAACAGGCTCTCAGATGACAGCACAATCGAATTAGAACTCAAGACTAAGAAATTCACTCAAAACCATACAATTACATGGAAATGTAATAACCTGCTTCTGAATGACTTTTGGGTAAATAATGAAATTAAGCAGAAAACAAGAAGTTCTTTGAAACTAATGAAAACAAAGATACAACATACCAGAATCTCAGGGGCACAGGTTAGGCAGTGTTAAGAGAGAAATTTATAGCACTAAATGCCCACATCAAAAGCTAGAAAGATTTTAAGTTAACAACCCGACATCACAACTAAAAGAACTAGAGAACCAAGAGCAAACAAATCCCAAAGCTAGCAGAAGACAAGAAATAACCAAAATTAGAGGTGAACTGGAAGAGACAGAGACACAAAAAACCATTCAAAAGATCAACAAATCTAGGAGCTGGTTTTTCCAAAAAGTTAATAAAATAGATAGGCCACTAGCTAAACTAATAAGGAAGAAAAGAGAGAAGAATCAAATAAACACAATCAGAAATGATAAGGGGGATAATACCCCTGGCCCCACAGAAATACAAACAACCATCAGAGAATATTATAAACACCTCTATGCATATAAGCTAGAAAATCTAGAAGAAATGGATAAATTCCTGGACACATACACCCTCCCAAGACTGTGAATCCCTGAACAAACCAACAATGAGGCTCTGAAATTGAGGCAGTAATAGCCTACAACCAAAAAAAAGCCCAGGACCAGACAGATTCACAGCTGAATTCTACCCCCTGTACAAAGAAGAGCTGGTACCATTCCTACTGAAACTATTTCAAAAAATTGAAAGGGAGGGACTCTTACTTAAGTCATTCTATGAGGCCAGCATCATCCTGAACCAAAATCTGGCAGAGACACAACAAAAAAAGGAAACCTCAGGCCAATATCCTTGATGAACATTGATGCAAAAATCCTCAACAAAATACTGGCAAACTGAATCCAGCAGCACATCAAAAATCTTATTCACCACGATCAAGTAGGCTTCATCCCCAGGATGCAAGATTGGTTCAACATATGCAAATCAATAAATGTGATTCATCACATAAATAAAACTAAAGGCAAAAACCATATGATTATCTCAACAGATGCAGAAAAGGATTTCAATAAATTTTGGCATCCTTTCATGTTAAAAACGCTCAATAAACTAGGTGTTGAAGGAATATACTTCAAAATAATAAGAGCCATATATGACAAACCCATAGCCAACATCATACTGAATGGGCAAAAGCTGGAAGCATTCCCCTTCAAAACAAGCACAAGACAAAGATGCACTCTCTCACCACTCCTATTCAATATAGTGTTGGAAGTTCTGGCCAGAGCAATCAGGCAAGAGAAAGAAATAAAGGGCATTCAAATAGGAAGAGAGGAGTCAAACTATCCCTGTCTGCAGATGACAAGATTCCATATCTAGAAAACCCTATCATCTCAGCCCAAAAGCTTCTTAAGCTGATAAACAACTTCAGCAGTCTCAGAATACAAAATCAATGGTGCAAAAATGCCGGCATTCTTATATACAAACAACAGTCAAGCCGAGAGCCAAATCACAAATGAACTCCCATTCACAATTGCCACGAAAAGAATAAAATAACTAGGAAAACAGCTAACAAGAGAAGTGAAAGATCTCTAAAAGGAGAACTATAAACCACTGTTTAAAGAAATCAGAGATGACACAAACAAATGGAAATACATAGGAAGAATCAATATTATTAAAATGACCATATTGCCCAAAGCAATTTATAGACTCACTGCTTTCCCATTAAACTACCACTGATATTCTTTGCAGAAAAATCTATTTTAAAATTCATATCGAATCAAAAAAGAGCCTGAATAGCCAAGGCAATCCTAAGCAAAAGAACAAAGCTGGAGGAATCATGCTACCCAACTTCAAATTATGCTACAGGGCTACAGTAATCAAAACAGCATGGTATTGGTACAAGAACAGACACAGATCAATGGAACAGAAAAGAGAACCCAGAAATAAGACTGCACACCTACAACTCTCTGATCTTCAACAAACCTGACAAAAACAAGCAATGAGGAAACGGTGCTGGGATACCTGGCTAACCATATGCAGAAAATTGAAACTGGACCCCTTCCTTACACCATATACGAAAATTAACTCAAGATGGGTTAAAAACTTAAGTGTACCCTGGTGTGATTCTGTCCTGTGCGGCTGTTCTCTTGAGCAGTGGTGGTTTATCTCCATCCGCCTTCTCTCCCACCTAAGTGTGTGCCGCCACCCGATGGAAGATTCGATGGACATGGACATGAGCCTCCTGAGGCCCCAGAACTATCTTTTTGGTTGTGAATTAAGGCTGACAAAGATGATCACTTTAAGGTGGATAATGATGAAGATGAGCACCAGTTATCTTTAAAAACAGTCAGTTTAAGGGCTGGTGCAAAGGACGAATTGCACATTGTTGAAGCAGAGGCAATGAATTACGAAGGCAGTCCAATTAAAGTCACACTGGCAACTTTGAAAATGTCTGTATAGCCAACGGTTTCTCTTGGGGGCTTTGAAATAACACCCCCAGTGATCTTACAGTTGAAGTGTGGTTTAGGGACAGTGCATATTAGTGGACAGCACTTAGTAGCTGTGGAGGAAGATGCAGAGTCAGAAGGTGAAGAGGAGGAGGATGTGAAACTCTTAAGTATAACTGGAAAGCAGTCTGCCCCTGGAGGTGGTAGCAAGGTTCCACAGAAAAAAGTAAAACTTGCTGCTGAGGAAGATGATGATGATGATGATGATGACGATGAAGAAGATGAAGATGATGATGAAGATAATGATGATAATGATGAAGATAATGAGGAAGCTGAAGAAAAAGCACCAGTGAAGAAATCTATACAAGATACTCCAGCCAAAAATGTACAGAAGTCAAATCAGAATGGAAAAGACTCAAAACCATCATCAACACCAAGATCAAAAGGACAAGAATCCTTCAAAAAACAGGAAAAAACTCCTAAAACACCAAAAGGACCTAGTTCTGTAGAAGACATTAAAGCAAAAATGCAAGCAAGTACAGAAAAAGGTGATTCTCTTCCCAAAGTGGCAGCCAAGTTCATCAGTTATGTGAAGAATTGCTTCCGGATGACTGACCAAGAGGCTATTCAAGATCTCTGGCAGTGGAGGAAGTCTCTTTAAGAAAATAGTTTAAACAATTTGTTAAAAATTTTCCATCTTATTTCATTTCTGTAACAGTTGATATCTGGCTGTCCCTTTTATAATGCAGAGTGAGAACTTTCCCTACCATGTTTGATAAATGTTGTCCAGGTTCCATTGCCAAGAATGTGTTGTCCAAAATGCCTGTTTAGTTTTTAAAGATGGAACTCCACCCTTTGCTTTGGTTTAAGTATGTATGGAATGTTATGATAGGACATCGTAGTAGCGGTGGTTGGGCATGGAAACGATGGGGAGACAAAAATATACACATGAAATAAAACTCAGTATTTTAATAAAGTAAAAAAAAAACCTTAAATGTAAAACCCAAAACTATAAAAATCCTGGAAGACAACCTAGGCAGTACCATTGGAGACAGAGGCACAAGCAAAGATTTCATGATGAAGATGCCAAAAGCAATTGCAATAAAAGCAAACATTGGCAAATGGGATCTAATTAAACTAAAGAGCTTCTACACAGCAAAAGAAGCTATCATCAGAGTGAACAGACAACCTACAGAATGGGAGAAAAATTTTTTTCTCTGATGAAGGTCTAATATCCAGCATCTACAAGAAACTTAAAGAAATTTATAAGAAAAAAACATTAAAACGTGGGAAAAGGACATGAGCAGACACGTCTCAAAAGAAGACATACATGTGGCCAACAAGCATATGAAAAAAAAGCTCAACATCACTGATTATTACAGAAATGCAAATCAAAACCACAATGAGATATCATCTCACACCAGTCAGAATGGCTACTATTAAAAAGTCAGAAAATAACATGCTGGTGAGGTTGTGGAGAAAAAGGAATGTTTTTACACTGTTGGTGGGAGTGTAAATTAGTTCAACCATTGTGGAACACCGTGTGGTGCTTCCTCAAAGACCTGAAGACAGAACTACCCTTTGACCTAGCAATGCCATTACTGGGTATATACCCAAAGGATTATAAATCATCCTATTATAAAGACACATGTAATGCACGTGTATGTTTACTGCAGCACTATTCACAAGAGCAAAGACATGGAATCAACCTAAATGCCATCAATGATAGGCTGGGTAAAGAAAATGTGGTACATATACACCATGGAATACTTGCAGCCACAAAAAAAGAATGAGATCATGTCCTTTGCAGGGAGTGGATGGAGCTGGAGGCCATTATCCTTAGCCAACTAACACAGGAACAGAAAACCAAATACCACATGTTCTCACTTATAAGTGGGAGCTAAATGATGAGAACACACTGACACATAGTGTGGAACAGCACACACTGGGGCCTATCAGAGAGTGGAAGGTAGGAGGGGGGAGAGAAGCAGGAAATATAGCTAACGGGTAGTAGGCTTAATACCTGGGTGATGAAATAATCTGTATAACCAACCCCCATGACACACATTTACATATGTAACAAACCTGCACATGCTGCACATGTACCCCTGAACTTAAAATAAAAATAAAAATAAAACTAAGCTTCAAAGACAGTATGGTATACGAGAGTAAGAAATGATCTATGGTCAGGAAGGGATGAGTGCGATGAGAGTAGAACTCATTAGGGGCTGACATCTTTCCTCACCCATCATTCCCATCTTCATTTACCCGCCCTTCAATGCCTCACTCAAACTCATCTCTTCTATGAAGCCCCTCAGGTTTACCATGTACAGTTGATGCCCATTATTCATGGATTTGGTATGTGTGAATTCACCTAGCAGCTAATATTTATGTATAACCCCAAAATCAGTACTCACTATGCTTCTGAGGTTATTCACAGAATGTGCACAGTGGCACATTCCCAGCTGAGGTCCAACAAGGCACCACTGCCTTCTTGTTTTAGCTCTCATTGTAAACCAGGATCCTTTTTGTGATCTACAGAATGGCATGTTTTTTGCATGTTTGTGCTTTCGTGGGAGATTTTGCTGTTTAAAGGGACCCCCAAATGCAGTGCAGATGGGCTATCTAGTGATCCTAAGCACAAGGAGGCTATGAGATCCTTACAGGGAAAATGGGAAAATATGTGTTTGATAAACTCCAGACATGAGTTGCGGTGCTGCTGGCCATGAGTGCAATGTTAATGAATCTATAATGTATGTTAAATAAGGTATCTTTAAACAGAAACACACACAGAACAAGACTGTTAACTGATCAGTTAACAAAAATGTTGCAACCAGAGGATTACAGGAACCTAACCCAGTGTTTCCCCTAGGAGCAATACTTAATTGCTAAAGAAATTAGCTTCAGTATTCCCTAATTTATTGCTTGTGGCAGCTTTGTAGAACATAACTACTGTGAATAACAAGAATCAACTGTAGCTTAAACTCAGATGGCTCTCATTTAGAACTTCTTTCTACCTCCTAATTAGCCCATTATTATACATGGCTTTATATTCTAACTATTGGTATTATACCGCCTAGCTCTTTGTTGTGTACTTTTTAATAAATAAGAAAATAATACCAAAAAAAAAGGGCTGGGCACAGTGGCTTACACCTATAATCCCAGCACTTTGGGGGTCTGAGGCCGGTGGATCACCTGAGGTCAGGAGTTCAAGACCAGCCTGACCAACATGGTGAAACCCCGTCTCTACTAAAGATACAAAAATTAGCCAGGCATGGTGGCAGATGCCTGTAATCCCAGCTACTTGGGAGGCTGAGGCAGGAGAATCGCTTGAACCTGGGAGGCAGAGGTTGCAGTGAGTCAAGATTGTACCATTGCCAGCCTGGGCAACAAAAGCAAAACTCCATCTCAAAATTTAAAAAAAAAAAAGAGTTTTACACACTACTTCTTGGGCAGACCCACATATTCCTTTGGAGTGTTACTCATAATACCTGATCTATGCAGAATCAGCGAATTCAAAGCTCTGGTATTTTAGAAAAGGACAGCTTCCGCCTGTTATGTTTCTTTCAGGAGTTTTAGACCTGGTGATACTGCGGCAGCATGACCTTGTGTGAACTCTTGCACACTCAGAATTTTGGCTGTGGCATTTACCGGATGGTTTTCAGCTTTTTATCACCAGATTCCTCTGCTCTGCCATGCATGGGACAATAGTACCAACCTACCATGTGGCATGTCCATTTGATTATCCACAGATACGATCGACATAACTTGCCTCAAGTGGGACCGCCTGCTCCTTGAATATCCCTCACTTGTCTCACTGCAAGTCGAATCAGCTTTCTGATTTTCATTTAGAGTCATAAATAAATATTCATTTAACCAAAGGATCGCAAAGGCCTCCGTGCTGATCCAGATGCAGGCCCCCTCTGCTCTATCCATCTTGCAAGTTGCTGTCAGATCATGGCATTCATCACCACATCACCTAAACCCATTTCTGTGGGATCAAATCCAGATGGCTCACCCTAGCACACAAGGCAGGCCTTTGGAAGCTCAGCCCACCCCACCTACTTTTCCGGTTTCATTTTCCAGTAGGCTAAACTCTCCACACACCTCTGCACAGGCCTGCATATCCCCTCTCAGAGACTAGCTCACTTGTTTCCTATCTGAAAGGCCCTTTCTTTTCCTCTCTGCTGTGTAAACCACACACACACTTCCACCTGGATCCAAGTCCCACTTGTCTTGACTGCTCCTGTGTTTGTCCCTTGACTGGACTCCTACAGGACCTGTCATCTGTCTCGCTGTTCATCCTTTCCTTACATTTTCTGTGTCGTCATCTCAATTCTGCTGTGCAAGTTCCTAAAAGGCAGGATTTCATACATTTCTAACTCTCCAGCACAGGGCTGTGTGCAGATTTTTGGATGAAAGTATAAACCTTTTCACTCAACCTGGTTCAATACTTGAACTCATTCACTGCACCACAAATGAACCACCAACTGTATTAGTTGCTTTCTTCAAATAAAATAATTGGTCAGAGAGGATGTAGCCAGCCTCCCAGTACCACTGGTACTGATGCATTCAGGAAAATGTCTGTGCATGCTGGAGAGATGGGACTATTTGAAAACAGGAATAGCAGAATTCTTCACAGTGCCAGGACCACAGCAGATGCTCAATAACACGTTGGTTAAAAGAATGACGTAAGATGTTTTGAGCTCAGTTCTTTTGTGTGTAAATATCTCATCGATGACACAAGCCACATGGCATACCTCTGTCCACTGCCTCCCAAATAACCGGCTTTTGGTCATTCCCCAAGTGCCCTCCAGGAGGAACCTACATCGACCACTGTACCACATGTCTTGAGAGAGAAGAGGATGTTGACATGGGTGCCGTTGGACACTCCTCGGCAGGAGGTGTTGGTCAGGAAGAGCTCCAGGCCACCAACCAGCTCCCTGGGGATGTTCACTTCAATGGCATTTGATTTGCACAACACAGGGACTGCAGAGAAAAAGGGCCACTGTTAGAGCCAGGAAACCTGAATCGGGAGGAAGGCTTTTAGGAGAAATAATTTCACCCTCACACAACCCAAGCTTTTTGTTCCATCCCCAAGGAAATCAGAGGGGCTGAAAACAAGTTGGTGAATAAAACCACTATTCTTAACTCCCAAGATTATGGTGAAATAATGTTCCTCAAATATATGGTTCCCTGAATTAGGAAATACCAGGTTCGACTTTCAATTCACCAAACATTGGTTTCGAAGTGTAGACAGCATAACTCTGTGAACTGAAACACCTAAGATATTAACTTTCAGCACAAACACAATTTATTAGCAACACAGAAAAAGTGCTGCTTTGATATAGGCCTAAGGTACATAACGATACTGCTGTGACTTTACCATTAATTACTGCCTCGTAAAACAGAGACAATAAAAACAGTGTTAGTGCACTTGGGAAAGGCTTCCAAATTGTCCTTGCATTGCTCAGGAAACCATAAACTCTGACTATAAATTTCACCACTTTACCTTAATATAAAAAAGATTGCTTTTCCTTAGCATTCCCAGGTTCTTCTCTAGACTCTGCAAGTATCCTGAAAAGAATACTTGAGTTCTGTCAGAGTCCAATACATGAAGACATATCATAACAATGGTATTGTGCAAAGAAATCAAAAATAGGTGCCCATTACATATTTGTTAGATGAATGAATGAATATTCTGGACATCAAGAACTAGATTTCCAGGCCAGGTGCGATGGCTTATGTCTGTAATCCCAACACTTTGGGAAGCCAAGGAGGGCGGCTCACTTGAGGTCAGGAGTTCGAGACCAGCCTGGCCAACATGGTGAAACCCCGTCTCTACTAAAAATGCAAAAATTAGCCAGGCATGGTGGCACACGCCTGTAATCCCAGCTACTCAGGAGGCTGAGGCAGGAGAATCACTTGAACCCAGGAGGTGGAGGTTGCAGTGAGCTGAGATCACATCACTTCACACTCCACCTGAGCAACAGAGTGAGACTCTGCCAAAAAAAAAAAAAAAAAGAAAAAAAAGAATTAGATTTCCAGAAAATAATTCTCAGAGGATTGTTAACCCTCATATCCTAAGTGTAGGGAGAAGAATATGTTCCTCAGGCCTTTCAACTGAGTTCACTTAGTTTCAACCCTGTTAGAAAAGACAGGAGATGTATCAATGTCTTATGCTTCCATATTGAGTATTAGTCATACAACTAACCATAGAAAGCAGTCAAAAATCAAAGGTAAACAGCAAAGGAAAGTTAAGTTTTTGGTAATCTTTTCTTAGAGATCTTCTCTGTTAAATGATTCCAGAGTGATGATTCAGCAATACACACTGCTCGAAGAGCCATTGTTCTAAAAGATGAGAACCCTGACACACTTGGGGGAGGAAGACAAAGAGCTTTGGGAGAGGAAGAAGTGTAATCAGAGTAGAGACAAGTCCCCCTGCCCCATGTACTACCTTGGCAAGTGTGGTTATCCTCAGACAGCACCAGGCCCCGGGGACATTCACACTGGTAGCCTTTCTCAGATCCAAGGCAAGAGTGGCTGCAGCCACCATTGTTATTGTGGCATCCTTCAACGTCTGCAGTAGAAACCAACAGAAAAGGGAATAATCTCGTAACCCTCTACCCCAAGAATTCTGGCACTTTGCATCAGGGATTATACTTAACTTATGGCAGCATCCCTGGTGCCTAACCTAGTGACTGGACATTCGGGCAAGACCTCAAGGAATGTTTATGAAATATCATAGCTACAAAGAGCAATCTTCCAACATCCATAACTCTACCCAATTAAGCTGGTGAGGAATTTTGTAGCATGTCCTTCAGGTTGGGTTTGTCTGATGTTTTTCTCATGGTTAGCCTGGGGTTATGAGTTTTTAGGACTAGGACCCAAAAGTCATTTCTTATTTGCTGTAACATTTAATCTACCCAATTTGACATTTTATAGAGCATTATTGATGTAAAAGAGACTGATGGAATATGAATTCACCTGAACTGGCTGGATGGATCTGACTTATTGTGGACTGGCTGGGTCACCTGGCCCTCTCCTCAAATATTTAGGACAAGAGCACTGGGGGTAAACGGCTTTGGGCTGATAGCACACTATAAAAAGGAGGCCTGGACAACATGCTGAGTCCATTCAACCAAACCCTTGGTGATGGTCCTTTCACAGGATGGTTTTGTTTAATTTTCCTTTTTTAATGTTTTACATATTCAAAAAGCAAACTCAAGCCAAATGGACAAAAAGGAAAAATATTCCATTGAAAACAAAAGAATCTACAAGGTGATTTTAAATTTAACAGAGAAAAAAAAAATGACCTTTGTGGGACTTGGACATTATCTTCTAGGTCAGAGGTTGTCAAATTCTAATCTGCACACATTATTACAAATAAAGTTTTATTGGCACATAGCCATGTGCATTCATTTACCTTCATGGCTGCTTTCTCACTACAAGAACAGAGTTGAGTAGTTTCTACAGATTCTGTATGGTCCACAAAGCCTAAAGTATTTACCATCTGACCTTTGGAGAAAAGTTTGCTGACCCCTGTTCTAGGTTAAAGTAAAGAAAGGGGATGTTTTCAAAACATCTGAGACACTCAGGTAAAGAGAAAAGCTGATTTCCAGTTATAGCTATAACTCTCTCAGTTCAATAATAGTTTTTAAAAAGCAGTTATTTGGAACATGAATTAGTTTTTGTGAAATGTATGTAGAGAAAAATATGGCAATGAATTACTCTTTGCAACACTTAAGAGATTAATACCAGTTTATACATCTGTATTTTTTTTTGTTTTTTGTTTTTGTATTTTTAGTAGAGACAGGATTTCACTGTGTTAGCCAGGATGGTCTCGATCTCCTGACCTTGTGATCTACCCGCCTCGGCCTCCCAAAGTGTTGGGATTACAGGCGTGAGCCACCGCACCTGGCCATTATACATCTGTGTATTTTTAAAGGATAAAAGCACACCTAGAGGCTTTTGAAATGGCTGAAGATTATATATAATACTATAGAAGAAAGCACAAAAATATGCTATAAGATGTTAAAATGAACATTAATAGCACTTTTTTTCCTTAAAAGTTACCTTCCTTAAGTCATTTTATTTCTCTGAGTCACAATTTCAATATCTGTAAAATGAAGAGGTTGCACTAAATGTTCATTCAGGATATTTCCAGGTCTAAAAATACAAAATACAAAATAAACTGAAAATTTAAATTAGCTTAAAATATTTAAGTCTCTCAGGAAGATATACCAAAATGTTTAGAATGGATATATCTGGCAAATGGATTGTGGGTCATTTAAATTATTTTCTCTTGCTCCTCTATATTTTCTTCTACACTTTTATGATAAAACAAAACAGGTCAGGCGCGGTAGCTCACACCTATAATCCCAGCCCTTTGGGAGGCCAAGGCAGGTGGATCGTGTGAGGTCAGGAGTTCAAAACAGCCTGGCCAACATGGTGAAAGAACACGAGGTCAGGAGATCGAGACCATCCTGGCTAACATGGTGAAACCCCATCTCTACTAAAAATACAAAAAAAATTAGCAGGGCATGGTGGCAGTTGCCTATAATCCCAGCTACTGGGGAGGTTGAGGCAGGAGAATCGCTTGACCTGGGAGGCAGAGGTTGCTGTGAGCTGAGATTGCCCCACCACACTGTAGCTTGGGTGACAAAGTGAGACTCTGTCTCAAAAAAAAAATTAATAATAATAAATACAAAATAAGTAAAACAAAACAATAAAAATTACTTAAAAACTAACAAGAGCTGAATTAATGCAGGAACAGAAAAATACTGCATGTTCTCACTTGTAAGTGAGAGCTAAACAATGGGTACACACAGACATAAAGATGGGACAAATACAAACTATATAAAAAGAGACACAGGGAGCCTGGCACAGTGGCTCACACCTGTAACCCCAGCACTTTGGGAAACCGAGGCAGGTGGGTTGCTTGAGCTCAGGAGTTCGAGACCAGCCTGGCCAACATGGTGAAACCCTGTTTCTATAAAAATACAAAAACTAGCTTGGTGTGGTGGTGCACGCCTGTAGTCCCAGCTTCTTGAGAGGCTGAGGTGGGAGGATCACCTTAGCCCAGGCAGGTGGAAGCTACAGTGAGCCAAGATGGTACCACTGTACTCTAGCCTGGGTGACAGAGTGAGACCTTATCTCAAAAAAAAAAAAAAAAAAAAGACACTGGGAACTCCAAAAGGTAGGAGGAGGGAGCAGGGTGAGGATTGAAAAACTACCTATTGGGTACTACATTCACCATCTGGGTGATGGGCTCAATAGAAACCCAAACCCAGCATTAAGCAATATATCCATGTAACAAACCCGTGCATGTAGCCCCTGAATCTAAAAAAAAAAAAATTAAAAAGGGCCTTTTTTTTAAAAAAAAAGAACATATAATTATCAAATAGCTTAGCTAAAGAAACATATATGTTTGGACTATCAATAAAACTTAAGGGTTATAAACAGGAATATTAATCCTAAAGTATAACTCACACTTAATTTTCATCTTCTGCTAAAATATTTTTTCAGTTATGGTTATTAGTTTTTAAGATTATATAAGGGAGGATTAACTGCAATCTTTCCAATAAAGTACTCATAAATAATTACAAATGTTTTTATGGAACATTTTATTAATATTCAAATATACAAAGATTATTACATAAAATAATTAAGATTTAAGGAGGACTCTGGATACTACGCCTATTCAATAAAGTTTAAAATACATTTAGACTTATTATAAGGAACAGTAATTTAATATTCTGGTTAATGGTCTCTCAGTTAATAATGCAAAGTTTGTTGCATGAAATAAAATATGGACAGTAGCCATAATTTTTCCTTTTGGGGTAGTATTTTTATTATTTTGAATATTGCTAGAATAAAGTGAACTTTTGTAACCAGTACCACAGCTCTATTATTCCACAAATTTAATTATCCTAAGGAACAAATATATGTCCTCTGTAAATAATAACAATTACACCATTTATCTCTCCATATAATCTGCAGGGTGTCATGAGAACTCTGACTTATTAAAGTAGAAGTGATGGGATTTTTTTTTTTAGCTGGAGTCTCTCTTTGTCACCAGGCTGGAGTGCAGTGGCGCTATCTTGGCTCACTGCAACCTCCACCTCCCAGGTTCAAGTGATTCTTGTGCCTCAGCCACCTGAGTAGTTGGGATTACAGGCGCCCGCCACCACGCCCAGCTAATTTTTGTATTTTTAATAGAGACGGGGTTTTACCATGTTGGCCAGGCTGATCACGAACTCCTGACCTCAAGTGATCCACCCGCCACAGTCTCCCAAAGTACTGGGATTACAGGCGTAAGCCACTATGCCTGGCCGAAGTGATGGAATTTTAGTTGTGATAATTTGCAAGGGTAAATGTGCCTTAGAGAAGGGATATTATCTAAGTTTCATATAATAATGGTAGGCAATTTCCATTTCAAATATTTGATATATATTATGAATTCTTTTTTATTAGTTATATAAATGTATAAAGTCCTATAAAATGTCTGCTATTAAAAATAGATCTAAAAGTAAAATAAAATAGATTATTTTATTTATCCCCCCAAACTGTATTCCTCTCCCATAAACACAAAGCATATGGGGAGGAGAGGAAATGGTTTCATGTAAACCAGTTTCTCAAACTTCCAAGATGATAAAAATCACCCGTGGAACTTGTTAAAAACACAAACTCGAAGTCCCCATCTTAGCTCCTCTGAAGCCAAGGCTCCAGGAGAGGGTCTGGGAGGGGCTAAGCGTAAAAGCCCCAGGTGCTTCTCAGCAGCAGGGAAGTTTGGGAAACACAGCTGTCGGCCAGTGGTTATGCTACTGCCTCTATTACCTGGCCAGTCCAGGTGTGCTCCTTGGACCAGCAGCATAGCTGACTCCTAGAACTTGTTTAAAAATGCAATATCTTGACCTGATCTCAGACCTACTAAATCAGAATCTGCATTTTGACAAGATCCTAAGTGATTCGTGGGCACATTAAAGTTTGAGAAATACCAAATATCCACCCTCCTTTTTTTTTTGAGATATTTTCTCTCTGTTGCCCAGGCTGGAGTGCAGTGGCGCAATCATAGCTTAATGCAGCCTCAAACTCTTGGGCTCAAGTAATCCTACTGCCTCAGCCTTCTGAGTGGCTGGGACTACAAGCATGCACTACCATACCCAACTAATTTTTATTTTTTAATTTTCTGTAGAGGTAGTGTCTTACTATGTTGCCCAGGCTGGTCTTAAACTCCTGGCCTCAAGTGATCCTCCCACTTCAGCCTCCCAAAGTGCTGTGATTTCAGGCATGAACCACTGCACCTGGCCAGAACACCCTATTTTTATTTCTCACATAAAAATGTGGCTTTCTGCCTCTTGCAAAATTCCCTCCTGTTAAATCTTAGAGACAAAATCAAAACTGAATTCTGTCCATAGCGTGAGTATTCTCAATGTTGATGAACGCCTTTTGTCATTTCTTTGCACAGCCAAACGGTTGCTCTCTTCGGACACTAAGGCAGTTTCCTGAACATCAGAGAATAAGCCAGTGGCTTCCTCTGGGCTCTTGATTTGGGTCCCTTTTTGCCCATTCTCACCTTCACAAGTCTTGCCATCACTTCTTAGCACACGGCCAACCCCACACTCACAGCGGTAGGAGTTTTTGAGGTTCACACAGATCTCACTGCAGCCACCGTTGTTTTGCTCACATTCATTTTCATCTGCAGAAGAGAAACCACACTGTTTCTATACTGCTGAGTGATTCAGCCTTTTCCCAACCCCCCGGGCAGAATTTCCACATCTTTTCAGATCCTGTTGATGCACCTTCCACCATCCAGCTCCCCCTCTGATCCAGTATCATCACTCCCATCCACCTGATCTCCTCAACCACGTTATTGGTTCATCTGCCCTTTGCTGAGTGGAAGGTACCTAATTGCTTGCCAATTACCTTCTCTTCAGGGAAAAACAATGGGAAAATGAAGTTCCTTTTGAGTCGTGGGTACACCTACCTATTTGTATTGGTGAATTTCACTTTCTTTAATGAGTTCCTGAGAAGTTGCTAAATAAATACAAACTTATAAAGTAAATTGTTTTAAGTCATGAAAGGAGCTTCCATTACAGAAGGAAATAGCTGATAAAATATTTTGTAAGGCAATTTTCTTTTGTAACATGAACTATTACCCTCAAAATCTGTTTTTTAAATTAGTATATTCTCACTCTGTACTTAAGCAATGATTGCTAACCTTTTTAAGAATCTGATGAAAGGTATGGACTCTTGTAAAAAAATGCACAGTTGGCAGCAAATGTCTATGCTTTTCTTTCTACAAACAAGGAAAAGGAAGCTTGGGAGCTAAATTTGTCATAGTCCTCAGGAATAACAGGCCTAGATAGGACATAAACCAAGGACTGGGGTTAAACACCCATGCGATGACAGGAGGCATGACCTTGGCCCCAGGAGAGGAGATAAGCTGTGACTGAAACCCTGCTTAAGTCTAGGACCCCAGAAGATGTATCCCCTCAATGAGATGGGGAGAACTTTGCCCAGTGGCCCAGGGAAGCAATAAGGAAACTCTGCCCAAGGCTCTAGGAGAAAGAAAAGCCTTCACAAGCAATGGAAGCCCCAAGCCAGGGCTCTGCCATGGCTGAAGTACGGTTTTACACTTCCCACATGGTATGGGGAAACTTGAAGCTGAGAAATTGATGGAAAATTTGGCCTAGGTCTGATAAAGCATCTGTGATGCTGACAGGAGCATTTGAAAAAGTGCTCTGTGTAAAACTTCCTCAAACCAGGTGCTGTGGTTTGGATATTTGACCCCTCCAAATCTCATAGCGAGATTTTTCTTTTTTTTTGAGACGGAGCCTCTGTCACCCAGACTGGAGTGCAGTGGTGTGATCTCTGCTCACTGCAACCCCTGCCTCCCAGGTTCAAGCGATACTCCTGCCTCAGACTTCCGAGTAGCTGGGATTACAGGCACGCACCACCACGCCCAGCTAATTTTTGTATTTTTAGTAGAGACAGGATTTCACCATGTTGGCCAGGCTGGTCATGAACTCCTGACCTCAAGTGATCCACCTGCCTTGGCCTCCCAAAGTGCTGGGATTACTGGCATGAGCCTCAGTGCCTGGCCTCATATTGAGATTTGATCTCGATGTTGGAGGTGAGGCCTAATGAGAGGTGTTCAGGTCTTGGAGGCAAGTCCCCTGTGAATGGCTTGGTGCTGTCTTTGCAGTAATAAGTGAGTTCTTGCTCTATTAGATTAGTTTCAGCGTGTTTAAAAGGAGCCTGCCACCTCCCCCTTCTCACTCTCACTTCCTGTCTTGCCATGAGATCTCTGCACATGCCAGCACCCTTCACCTTCCTCCATGAGTGGGAGCAGCCTGAGGCCCTCCCCAGATGCTCAGTCTCCCAGCCAGCAGAATCATAAACCAAATAAACCCATTTTCTTTATAAATTACCCAGCCTCAGGTATTCCTTTATAGCAACACTAAACAAAGATACCAGATGACACGAGTGGTGTCCTACAGAAAAAACTACAACAGAAGATGGTCTGCCACAAGACACTTACATGAGGGATGATCCACTGTGAGAGAGCATTATCGTGATAATTAGAGGCTTTGAACTGGAGATAACAGAATTATCCAGAAAAATCCATAATACAAGTATTTAAAGAATTAGTAAAAAGATAAAAGAAAGGATAATAAGCAAAATAAAAGAAGTGTGTAAAAAGACAAGGCAGAACTGAAAACAAACAAACAGAACTTGTAGAAATGCAAAATGTTGATAATATTAAGAATCTTTATCAGGGCTCCTTCTTTCCCTTTCCTCATTATACTGCCTGGAAAGTAGATGGTTAGAGGCCCACAGCCTTCCTGGATGTAGACATGGTGACATCCGTGCTTGGGTAGGTCACTTAGAAGCCTCTATTCCAAGCCTGGACTGCTTATCTTGGACTGTAGCAGGACAAGCCGCAGACAAAACCCCTCAGACAGCGAGTTAAAGAAGGAAGGGCTTTATTCGGCCGGGAGCTCCGGCAAGACTCAGGTCTCCAACAACTGAGGTCCCCAAGTGAGCAATTCCTGTCCCTCTTAAGGGCTTACAACTCTAAGGGGGTCTGCGTGAGAGGGTCATGATCGATTGAGCAAGCAGGGGCGTACGTGACTGGGGGCTGCAGGCACCGGTAATCAGAACAGAACAGAACAGGACAGGGATTTTCACAGTGCTTTTCCATACAATGTCTGTAATCTATAGATAACATAACCGGTTAGGTCAGGGGTCGATCTTTAACTACCAGGCCCAGGGTGTGGCGCCGGGCTGTCTGCCTGTGGATTTCATTTCTGTCTTTTAGTTCTTACTTCTTCTTTTTTTGGAGGCAGAAATTAGGCATAAGACAATATGAGGGGTGGTCTCCTCCCTTAGGACTGATTTTTTTTTTAATATGAGAGAGAAATAAACTTCTACTTATTTAACCCATCATTATTTGGGGTTTATTGTTATAGCCAGTGAAGATACTCTATGCCCCAGCAGTTCCATTCTTATGGGTACCTGCTAGAGAAAATCTCACACATTGGGTAAGGTATCATTTTTATGTTAATTCTAAGAACACACAAAACAATGCTATCTATTGTTATGGGTACATACATAAATAATAAAAGCATTAAAATGGGATGAGAAGAACACATGTTAATTTCAAAACAATGATTACCCCTGGAGGCTGAGAGAAGAAAGCAGGATGGGGTGGGATGGCTTTACTGTATTTACAAAATTGTATTTAAATTAAAAGAAAAAGGGGGCTGGGCATGGTGGCTCACGCCTGTAATCCCAGCACTTTGGGAGGCCAAGGTGGGTGGATCACCTGAGGTCAGGAGCTCAAGACCAGCCTGGCTAACATGGTGAAACCCTGTCTCTACTAAAAATACAAAAGAATTAGCCAGGCATGGTGGTGAGCATCTGTAATCCTAGCTACTCTAGAGGCTGAGGCGGGAGAATCACTTGAACCTGGGAGGTGGAGGTTGCAGTGAGTCGAGATTGTGCCATTGCACTCCAGCCTGGGCAACAGGAGTGAAACTCCATCTCAAAAAAAAAGAAAAGAAAAACAAAAAGGAAGCAAAACTTAACTCTAGTTAAATCTAGGTACATGAGTGTCTGTTATATTATTTTCTTGTATGCTGCCTGAACAAATTATATAATTTAAAATAATTAAAATTATTACATTTAAATAAAAACTAAAGGAAAATTGACACATGCTTACAAACACAAAACACTGTCTACAATTTCAGAGGATTCACCATCTCCCTGAAGTCCCACAGACCCCACATAGGAACTTGGGGCTTTGATAGAAAAAGATTGTCTAAGATAAATTAAGGAAGAGATGTGAATGATATGCTACCTTTGATGTTTAAAAATGGCCAATAAGTAAACATATTGATATGATTTGGCTGTGTCTGCACCCAAATCTCACCTTGAATTGTAATAGTCCCCATGTGTAAAGGGTGGGGCCAGGTGGAGATAATTGAATCATGGGTGCAATTTCCCCCACACTGTTCTCTTGGTAGTAAGTAAGTCTCACGAAATCCAATGGTTTTATAAATGGGAGTTCCCCTACACATGCTCTCTTGCCTGCTGCCATGTAAGATGTGACTTTGCTTCTCATTCATCTTCTGCCATGATTGTGAGGCCTCCTCAGCAATGTGGAAGGGTGAGTCAATTACACTTCTTTCCTTTATAAATTTCCTTTATAAATCCAGGCTTGGGTATGCCTTTACTAGCAGCATGAGAACAGACTAATACACATATATATATTTACATTTTTAAATCTGACTGTAGAAACCCTGGAAGCACATATAAGAAAATAATACAGCCGTTTCCTTGGGATGGAGTTGGGGAAGAGGGAAATGGGGCAAGAGGGTGACTGAGAGCTGGACAGTTTGCTGTATACTTTTTCATGTTGTTTAATTTGGGAACCATTTAAACGTATTACCTCTTCAAAAGTTATATTAAAACAAAAGCAAAGAAATGCATGAACAACTCCTGGCTTAAAATAAAGCCAAATATTTTTGAACAGAAATACATGAGGGTGGGCAGAGACTTCAGGAACCACTATTGCCCCTACCCCAAGGCATTTAGCATTAAATCACATACTCAAAATCAATCACACGAGATCCCTAACAACGCCTATGGCAGAGCCGAAACATGCTTCACAGGATGGTCAGTGGGGTTCATTTAGGAGGCTTTATTTATTGAAGTATTTATGTTTTGTTTTGTTTTGTTTTGTTTTTCAGAGACAGGGTCTTGCTCTTTCGCCCTGGCTGGAGTGCAGTGACACAATCAGAGCTGATGGCAGCCTTAAATTCCTGGGCTCAGGCAATCCACCTACCTCAGCTGAGACTACAGCTACTTTGGAAGGCTGCCACCATGTCTGGCTAATTTATTTTTATTTTATAGAGATGGGGTCTCACTATGTTGCCCAAGCTAGTCTTAAACTCGGCCTCAAGCAATCCTCTTGCTTCGTCCTCTCAAAGCGCTGGGATTACAGGCATGAGCCATTGCCCCTGGCTCATTTAGGAGACTGAAGAGCAAAAGCTTTTCTAAAACAAGAAGCTACTTGGGCCCAGGATGTCGAAGCTGCAATGAGCTGAGATCACACCACTGCACTCCAGCCTGGGCGACAGAGCAAGATCCTGTCTCAAAAACAAACAAACAAACAAACAAAAACCAATAAGCCTTTTATGCTCCTTTCACCTTAATCTCCTACCTCAATCCTGACCTGTTACTGTTCTTCTTGGGGGACCAGGGTAGGGCAATCTTCCCCTTTCTCTCTAGACTTGTTTTAAATCTATTTGAGTCTGAATCCAAAAAGCTTCATAACATTAAAGAGAAAGAGAAATAATATTCAATCTTGGGGTTTTCATCTCTGTTCTCTTCTAGTTATAGACAACATAATATAAAATTCAAGAACTCTGGATTTCCTACAGACAATCTGACTCATCTTTCTTGCTACTCAGAACAACCAAAATTGTATCAGTGAAGCTAGAGGAGTAAGTCCTTAGATAATTCTAGACCAGACCAGTGCTGTTCAACAGAAATATAAAGCAAATTACATATTTAAAATTTTTTAGTAGTCATATTAAAATTTTTTAAAAATAAACTGGCGAAATTAATTTTAATAATATATTTTATATAACCCAATTATATGCAAAATATTTTCACTTTGATATATAACCAATATTAAAGATATTATTATTATTTTTAGAAACAGAGTCTCGTTCTTTCACCCAAGCTAGAGAGCAGTGGTGTAACCATGGCTCACTGTAACCTTGAACTCCCAAGTTCAAGTGATCCTCCCACCTCAGCCTCCTGAGGAGCTGAGACTATGGGTACCTGCCATCATACCCACATAATTTTCATATTTTTTGTAGAGATGAGTTTTTTCTTTGTTGCCCAGGGTGGTCTCAAACTCCTGGGCTCAAGCCATCTGTCAGCCTCAGCCTCCCAAAGTGCTGGGATTACAGGTGCGAGCCACCGTGTGTAGCCAAACATCACTTTTAAAATTAAAATAAAATTAAAATTCAGTTTTTCAGTCACACTAGCCACATTTCAAGTGCACCATGGCCATCTGTGGCTACCCTAGTGGAGGGCACAATTCTCTGCTGTCCCTAATCATGATACAAATTTGGCGTGGGGCTTTCGGTCCAGGCATAAACTAAAAAGCAAACACCATTCCAAGTGTTTGGAGACACACACTGGGAAAATGATGGTGCTCTGAGGCAGGAAGAGTTTTTGATTTGTCCTTTCGATCCTAATAGCCTGATTCTACCTTTGATGAGTTTCTTACCAAAGCATGTCTGCCTGTCAGGGCCTAGCACAGTTCCTGGAGCGCATGTGCACTCGCTGGTATCTGAGCAGCTGCCATGGCAGTCCTCGTCGCAGATGTCATAAAAATCTATGGAAGAATAAAGATTATCTTCATGAGGGCAGGAGACCAGAAGACACTCTTTCATTCTTTTTAGAGATGGTGCGGGGGGTCGGGGGGGGTGGTATCCCTATGTTGCCCAGGCTGGCCTCGAACCCCTGGGCTCAAGCAATCCTCTCACCTTGGCCTCCCAAGTAGCTGGCACTACAGGCATAAGCCACTGCATCCAGCTGACCCTCTTCTTGAGAGAGCCTCATAAGTGCAGCCTGGGGGATGAGTTTCCAGCCACCATCAAGGGAATCCTCATTGTTCAGGGTTTATATAAACCAATGGAAAACAACAATCTAGGGCATCTTCTGTCATCTAGATCAATGATTCCCAACTTCAGATCCACAGGCCCTTGAGTGGCCATAGAGTTTCTGCAAATCCAAAACCTCACCATACAAGAGCTATAGACTAAGAAAGTGTTATGTCCTACTCTTCTAGTGTTCTATTTAAAAAATGAATACAGACATTGACAGGATTAATAACACAGAAATTAAAAGTATTACTGACATAAAGTAGCTTCTTCCCATTGTATATCACTTAAAAAAATCAGTGGACACTAAACACAATCCAATCACATGGATGTCTGATTATCTATCTATCATCTATCTATCTATCTATCTATCTATCTATCTATCTATCTATCTATCTATCTATCATCTATCTATCTTAAAAAGGGGTTCTCCATACTCAAAAGTTGGAAATCCACCATTTAGATAATCTAAATCAGTGTTTCATTTTCTTTTTTTCTTTTTTTTTTTTTTTTGAATCAGAGTCTCACTCTGTCACCCAGGCTGGAGTGCAATGGCACGATTTTCGCCTCACCGCAACGTCCACCTCCCGGGTTCAAGCAATTCTCCTGCCTCAGCCTCCCGGGTAGCTGGGGTTACAGTTGCCTGCCACCACGCCTGTCTAATTTTTGTATTTCTAGTAGAGACAGGGTTTCACCATATTGGCCAGGCTGGTCTTAAACTCCTGATCTTGTGATCCACCTGCCTCAGCCTCCCAAAGTGCTGGGATTACAGGCGTGAGCCACTGCGCCTGGCCCAATGTTTCATTTTCTAATGTTTTGTTTGAATGGAATTCAGACAAAATTAAAAAGAACTGATCAAAGTCATAGCTCCTTTCCCCTTCTATTTCTTCAGGAATTTTTCAGAAGTTCTAAGAAGAGATCTCAGAAATCAGAGGTATCTTTAGCCCCACATCAATGTTGTTCAGATTGAGATATAGTTGCCACTGTAACTGCATATCCTATAATTGGCACTTTTGGACTCCACCTGTGGCCTTGTTGGTGGAGAAAAAGAGCACAGGGAAGGTACTCACGACCACAGTAGACGTGGAAGCAGACGCTGGGCTTGGTCAGACGATACACATAGTAGCCTCCAGGGCAAGCCTTGACTTCCACCGTGGTGTTCCAGAGACAGCAGTTCCCATTGAAGCTGGCACAAGCCTGGCGTTGCACAATGCCGTCGCCTTCTAGGGGGTGGCTGCCATTGAGCCAGACAGGTGCGTGGGTTCCACAGTGGTTTTCTGGTATGCAGAAGGTAGGCATGGCATCTCCCGCCATGCCCGTGAAGTGGTACCACTCCCCATTCACATGGTTGTCACATAGAGGAGGACCTTGAGACTCATCCAACTGGTGGTCAGTGTTCCTCCAGGGCTCATTCAGGCTGATGTAAGCAGAACAAGGATCTAGGGCTGGAAATGAAAAAGATACCTCAGAGTACCTGGAGTGTTTCGGATCACACCACCAACAGCCCAAGTCCAACTTCTTGGTCTTGCATTTGGACATTTTTGAATTCCAGAGAGAAATTAGTTAAGGTCACAAAAAATAGCTGTTTAAGGTTCCTCAGGTTGATTTAAACATGTTGCATAAATGCCCTTTTCAAAAGTATTTCAAACCTAAAGTTAAGTGTTAGCATTGAACTGAATTTTTATCCAGAGTAATTATTTGATAGAAGGATAGTTGATCAGACCAAGGGAGGTTAGGATTAAAGACTCACTGAACTCTGCACGAGTCAGACCACACTCTGAGTATTTTGTTCATACATGGAGACTGTATTATTATTATTTTTGAAACAGGGTTTGGCTCTGTCACCCAGGCTGGAGTGCAGTGGTACAACCATGGCTCACTGCAACCTCCGCCTCCTGGGCTCAAGTGATCCTCCCCACCCAGCCTCTGAAGTAGCTGGGACCACAAGCGTATGCCACCACACCTGGCTAATTTTTTTTTTTTTTTTTGGTAGAGATAGGGTTTTGGCATCTTGCCCAGGCTGGTTTTGAACTCCTGGGCTCAAGTGATCCTCCTGCCTCAGCCTCCCAAACTGTTGGGATTACAGGCATGAATCTGGTGCTCGGCCGGAGACTGTATTTTATGAAAGTAATTGACAAATTTGTTCAGAGAAAGTTGAACAGACTTAGAAGGGGTCCTAAAAATTATTTACAGGAGAAGTTGAGAACTATCATTTTGAAAAAAGAAGATGGAAGAAAATGCATATTAGTTTTTAAAAATCTGGAACAGGCGTGTGAAAGAGGAATTAGCTATTCTGTTACAAGAACAAGAATGAATTATGGGAAAGCACGTTTCAGTTCAGCTATCCAGTCATGGAGAGGCTGTGTCACAGTGCAGTTAGCTTCCAATCCTTGGAAATTTTCAAAAAAGTATTTGGCTGGCCATTTGTAAAGATTATAGGTGGAATTTTGCATTATTAGAAAGTTTGACTTGATCAGGAATGTGTAAAAGCTCATTCCACTGAAAAGAAAAAGGCCTCGGGCACATGTCACCTACTTTGAAATACAGAGTATACTAGCATGTTGTTACCAGAAATATTCTCAAAGTGAATTTTGGTATATATTTTACCAGCTTATTGAAAATACCAAGAACTTTGTGTATTCACAGTTAACCATGGCATTACTATCCTAGCTGTCATATAGCCAAGTTTCTCAGGCATACATATTTAGTGCATAAATTACAAGGACAAATATCTCAACCAAAACATTTTATTGTATGTCATGAAAACATTGGAAAACAACATTTTGGCCAGGCACAGTGGCTCACACCTGTAATCCCAGCACTTTGGGGGGCCGAGGCGGGTGGATCACCTGAGGTCAGGAGTTCGAGACCAGCCTGGTCAACATGGTGAAACCCCACCCCTACTAAAAATACAGAAATCAGCTGGGCGTGGTGGCACGTGCCTGTAATCCCAGCTACTTGGGAGGCTGAGGCAGGAGAATTGCTTGAACCCGGAAGGTGGAGGTTGCAGGGAGCCGAGACCACACCATTGCATTCCAGCCTGGGCAAGAGAGTGAAACTTCGTCTCATAAATAAACAAACAAACAAATAAATAAATAGAAAAACAACATTTTAATGACTAAAGAACCAATATCTCCAATATTCTCATTGCTCCCCTTAACTCCAGGGAAACTAATTAATGAATCAACATAGGTAAATTGTCCTTATGAAGAATCTATGAAACCAAGAAATTCTAGAAAGGAACATTGGCCAGAGAGTACTATATTATCCTTCTTAATGCACATGAGGTTGACTTACGTAACTGATATCATAGGCAGGAAATTCACATTAGGGCCAATACATTTTGTGGGCAGGGAATTCAGTATTAGCAAATACTGCACAAAAATTAAATATGAATGGGCCATGATCACCAAATCTAACTTGTCTAGAAAATACTTTAGATTTTTCCAATCTACATATCCACAATTCAAAGTTAAGTTTACTCTCTAAACTTCAGTCACATGTAGAGAAAAGTGTAGCCCACTGCTAATGGCCTCCAAGAAAATATGACAATGTAAGACAAGAAATAAGTGGGATATTGCATTTTCTGGAAATAACACGCAGGGTTGCAAATGGCAGAAACAACCCTCTTTCTTTAAAATGCCCCTTATGTATCTCGGCTGAACCCTAGACCATAATCCTTTGAGGGGAAGAAATATCCTCAGATTCTTTCTCCCATCAAAAGGGACAAATTTCTTCCTCCTTTGCTCTCCCAGCTGTGACTTTTTCTTACAAATAAGGTTTCCAGAGCAGTTTCACAGGTGATTACAGAGTCATAGAAATATTTGATTCCTCTCCCTGGCTCTAATTTTATAAGAAATGGTTAGATACTTAACTTTTAATCGCTTCTACAGAAACTCCTAAACCTCTCTCAGTAACTATTTCCTTATTTATAAAGTTTTTCCTTCAAGTTAAATGTCATTTCTTGGGCTGTTTGCTAAAAGTTCACTTCCTCCCCTGCTGTAGGGGAGATAGGGTATGAGGAGGAAAAGTTTATCTACCATCTTCTATAACTAATTAAATAATACATATATATTTTTAAAAGTTAACCATCCAATACTTTCTGACATTTAACGTACCCATCCCACTCTACCCCCTTTTAAGGCAGCAATCCAATCTAATAATCTGGCCACTGGTCTTATATCCTGTTTTTAATCTCAGCGTGAAGCCCAGAATCTGGTATTGCGCACATTCATCCTAAAATGCTGATCTATACATCTCAGTGCGAAGGCTTCAAAAAGAACAGCTTCCTGGCCTGCCAGAAGCTCCTCAATGGTTTGCTAAGATGCCCACTTGCCAGCTGCCCCTCTGCTGTCTTCCACCAGGACCACGCAGGGCCAAGGGCAGGGAACCATGTCTGCGTCCCCACCCTTTCGCCCCAGGGTTGAGTCCTCCAACCCTCCAGGTCCTATCCGGCAGACAGCCGCCCCTGAATCACAGCCCCTTTTCGACCCTGTGCCTGAGCTTGGTCGGGAAGTGCCCCTCCTTTCCTGCTCCATCCTCTTCCATCCTCCTCCCTCATCACCCCACTTTGCTTCCCCCTTTCTCATCCCTTCTTTTCCTCTTCTCTCACTTCCCCTGTCCTCTCAGGGCAAACACCAGCTCTAGTTCCCAAAGTTCCCCCTTTATCATGCTTCTGGCATTGAGCCAAATATCATCCTTGAGGAGCTGGGGGTTGGAGGAAAAGATCTGGGAAGGGCGATGGTATATGGAAAGAATGGGGAATATAGGAGGTACTAGAGGGAGAATAGGTAAGGAGAAGGGTGGGAAGAAAGGGGAGTGGAGATTTTCGGGAGGACAACTTTCTGAGCGACCCTTGGGTTAGTTATTGGCAGCAGATAGGGGGTGATTAATGACAGGTAGCTCAAGCATATTTTTTGGAATAGTTTTGGATTTACAGCATAATTGAGATGATAGGACAAAGAGATCCCACATACCCCACACCCAGTTTCCCTTGTTATGACACGTTACCTTTAGCCATACATTTACCACACATTGGCATGGTACCTTTGTCACATTAATGACCCACTATTGATACCTGATTATTAACTCAAGTCCACACTTATTCAGATTCCCTTAGTTTCCACCCATATCTTTCTGTTCCAGGATCCCACATTACCTTTAGGTGTCAGGTCTCCTTAGGGTCTCAAATCACCATTTTTATTTTTATTTTTATTTTTTTGAGATGGAGTCTCCCTCTGTTGCCCAGGCTGGAGTGCAGTGGTTCGATCTCGGCTCACTGCAACCTCCACATCCCGAGTTCAAGTGATTCTCCCGCCTCAGCCTCCCAAGTAGCTGGAATTACAGGCATGCAACACCATGACCATCTAATTTTTTTGTGTGTATGTATTTTTAGTAGAGACGGAGTTTCACCATGTTGGCCAGGCTGGTCTTGAACTCCTGACCTCAGGTGATCCACCCGCCTTGGCCTCTCAAATGCTGGCATTACAAGTGTGAGCCACCGTGCCTGGCCACAAGCCTATTTTTAATGTGTATCCTTTCAGGTACTAGAGCAACCATGAAGAAATAAGCCAGGGTCAATTAGATACTGAGCTACTCAAAAGTGTCAAGAAGGATGGTTCTCTCCATCTCACCCCCACCCTCTGTTCCAGTTAGTACTCACATTCTACTAGAAAAAGATGCAAGAGAGAAATCTGTTAGTAACTGGAATTGAAACTTTTCTTTGCCTGACTGGCCAGTTTTGCACCAAGCCTGAGGAGGGAGACAATTTAAGATTCACTCGATCTGTGCAAAAAGTCTTATTTTCTGACATAAAGACTAATGAGTTTGGTTTATCCAGATCTGTGCCCCCCATGGCAACAGAGCTTTCAGTCCCTTGCCTTCATTAAAGAAAAATTCTATGCTCAACTTTAATTTTTTTTTTTTTGGCTCTTCAAGTTGGAACTATAAAGTGCCTAGAACACAAAGAAGATAGAATTATTTTTACACATACTCCAGGAACTCTTTAGCTAGTGAAAGCTGTGGGATATGGCAGATCCATGGAAATTTTGGAGTCCAGGCAAGAGGCTAAATGGAACATGTAACAGAAATTCTCGGGAAATCTATTTTCAAGGATTATTAGGGACTTTTCTTACAAGATTCTAGAGCTAGCATTTAAGGTACTGGAATCTAGTTCTTAATCATCTGTACATTATAGCAAATTGCCACAACAAAAAGTGCATTGTGCCAAGTTCTTGACATGAGACTCACCCACGGGTGACACGGAGGTGCCTGTGATGAAGAGGCAGGTGAGAAGCAGGAATGGAGGCATCCTTCTGGACCAACTGCCAGAAACACTGGAAAATCCTCTTAATACTGGTGTTCCTTTGTCCCCTTCTCTTTCAAGCACTTTTTTTTTTAAGGCCTCTAGGCTCTCACGAGAAAGACTTTATCAGCACTGGTAGGGGCTTTATCAGAGGAAGAGGATGAGGATGAGTGGGATAAGGTGTCCACAGCTCTGGCCTTGGCCCCAGAGAGAAGCACTGCTTTACACTGTCAACAGGGTTCCTTTATTAATAGTTTTCTTTAGGAAAAAAAAAAAAAAACACAACTCACAATCCCTCATCCTCCTATTGTTTTCTCTCAAGAATTCCCTGCAATGAAACCCCAGTATCTTATCCAGAAGGGAATTCTAAATGAGGGACATCCCTTCACGTCAAATTCTTGCTTTGTGACTTCTAGGAATTGATTTCACAATGTTGCAGCCATAGCACTGCACACTAAACGAGAATGGATGAAGCCAAATCACTGCAACTGTCTTGGTCAGATGGTTGAGGAGCTTATAATAGCACACAAAACAAAGTAGTAAGGACAGGTATGAGACAAGGACAGTATTCTCTTGAAATAAGCTCCTGAGTTTGTTTTATTACGGTCTTTGGCCTCAAAACTTCTGAAAGAAACAAGGTTTAAATTGTGTTTTTACTAATTCAAGCAGCAATACCTCATATTTTTATTGTCTTTACTCCCAAAATTAAAAAATGGTTTAATGTTATTTATTTCACTAATTCTCACATTAAGATGGGGTAGGAGCTTAAAATTAGAAACTACTCATTAAATTAACACTCTGGAAAATTAAATGTCAAAATTTCCTGAAGTTTCACTTTTAGACAAAGGAGAGAAAATGTGCTTCTTAGCACAATTTTTTTTTTCAGACGGAGTCTTACTCTGTCGCTCAGGCTGGAGTGCAGTGGTGTGATCTCGGCTCATTGCAAGCTTCGCCTCCCGGGTTCACGCCATTCTCCTGCCTCAGCCTCCCAAGTAACTGGGACTATAGGCGCCCACCACCACGCCCAGCTAATTTTTTTGTATTTTTAGTAGAGACAGGGTTTCACTGTGTTAGCCAGGATGGTCTCGATCTCCTGACCTCGTGATCCGCCTGCCTTGGCCTCCCAAAGTGCTGGGATTACAGGTGTGAGCCACCGAGCTCGGGCAATCACTGGTTTTTGACAATGACAAAAGTACACATGGTCTCCAGAAGCACAGGGTTTATGGTCAAGCAAGGGGTTTCCATTGATCTAAAATTGTAGTTAGCTACTTCATTACTAACATCAGTGGGACACAGGCAATTTGACCATTAACTTATTAAGTTGTGGTTTGATGGCAGCAATGGATGACTCTGCTGTCTCATTGCAGGATAGTGTTGCTAAGTATCAGTGCTTTAAACAGAAAAAACAATCCCCCACAACTTCCTGCGCCTAGGAAGCCATCTGAGGGCTTCATATGTGTTGCAGAGAAACAGAGGACGTGTGCATGAGATAAACCCAGACTTGTTGCCAGGATTGATTGCTGGAGTCAAGGACTTTCACCAGATAGCCTTTGGTTCTGTAAACAAGAATTCCCAGGATGGTAAGATGTTTTTTCCCCCTTATTTCTATTTTTTCCTTTTTAGTTGACCTGCTCTTTCATTTTTTACTTTTTATGATGAAAAATTTCAAATATATATACAAAAGTATAAAGAACAATAATGAACACTCAGCTATAATAATTACTAACATTCTATCAATTTCATTTACATACCAGTATGCATTTCTAACACATTGTATTTTTTTACATAATCATGATGCTTTTATTACAACTATGAAAATTAGTAATAATTCCTTAACTCATATCCAATCCATATTTAAATTGCTCCAATAGTTCCAAATATTCCTTTTATTGCTGGGTTGAGTCAGGATCCAAACAAGATTTATATATTGCATTTTGATTGTCACTTAAATTTATTTTTATCAGCTGGGTGCAGTGGCTCACACCTGTAATCCCAGCACTTTGGGAGGCCAAGGTGGGTGGATCACCTGAGGTCAGGAGTTCGAGACCAGCCCGGCCAACATGGTGAAACCCCATCTCTATTAAAAATGCAAAACTAGCCAAGTGTGATGGTGCACGTCTGTAATCCCAGCTTCTTGGGAGGCTGAGACAGGAAAATCACTTGAACCTGGGAGGCAGAGGTTACAGTGAGCCGAGATTGTGCCACTGGACTCCAGCCTAGGCAACAGAGGGAGACTCCGTTTCAAAAAAAAAATATATATATATATATATATTTTTATCCATAATGGTCTTCCCCCCTTCCTTCCATTTGTTGAAGAAACCCCATCATTTGTCCTACAGAATGTTCCACGTTTTGGGTTTGGTGAATTGCTTCTTTGTGGTGTCTTGTAGTCTTTCCTCCCCCATATTTAATGTTAATGCTTGTTCATATGTTACAATTTTTCTAAATTATGTGCTATTAGAATTTAAAAACAAAAATACTCTGGTGACATTGAGAGAATTTAATGTACAGAAGGCAATGCTAGAAATAGACCAGTTACGAAGAGGATAAATCAGTCTAGGATATATCTGAGCTAGAGTAACAATTTGAGAGCTACCAACATATAAATGGTAATTTAAATAGGGGAGAGGGGTGAGATCACACCCATGGAAAATGGGGTCCAAGATGGAACCTTGGGGAAGCCTAATATCACAGATGTGGGCAGAGGAATAGGACGCTGTAAAGGAGACCAAGAAGTAGTCACAGATTTACGAACGGAAACCCAAGGGTGGAGTCACAGGAGCTGAAGTTCAAGGAGGAGGGGTTGCTCAGTGAATGATGCATTTATAAAATATTAACATTTATCAAATAAGTATTTTTTTTTTTTTGAGACAGGGTCTCACTCTATAACCCAGGGTGGAGTGCAGTGGCGCAATCTCAGCTCACTGCAGTCTCTGCCTGCGGGGTTCAAATGATTCTCCTGCCTCAGCCACCCAAGTAGCTGGGATTACAGGTGTGCACCACCATGCCCGGCTAATTTCTGTATTTTTAGTAGAGATGGGGTTTTGCCATGTTGCCCAGGCTGGTCTCGAACTCCTGAACTCAAGCTATCCACCCACCTTGGCATCCCAAAGTGCTGGGATTACAGGCAAAGTAGGTAATCTTATATTCAGTAGGATTCATTAAAAATAACTTACACATTTATCCTAAGGAAATATCACAAGCGCACCATGGGAAATAAGGAGCTTGGACTCATTTGGGAGAGCAACAAACAAACGTTGGCAGTGATAAAACTGAATTAAAACTCTGAAGAGTTTCGGTGAAACTGAGCTCTAAAATCTAAGAAGTCCCATTTTTCTGTGAAATCTTTCCAGATAGATTTAAAAAGTCAACCTATTTGTATTTGTTTTTGAAAGCATCCACCATGTGCTTACCACTGCACCCTGACAAGCAGGATACCACATTAGTGTTAACATCACCTCTGGTTACATCTTTTCTACTCACCAGTCACCATGCTCAGCAGTCCTCCAGCCACTCAGTCTGGTACTTGACCACAGGATGCACTGAGGAGTTGTGATGTAGGCGCCATCTCTGAGCCTCAGTTCCTTTCTCTTTAAAGTGATGGTTCTCATCAGAATCACCAGGAGGGCTTGTTGAACACTTGGCTCCACTCCTAGTTTCTGATCCAAAGGGGACCGGAGAACTTGCATTTCTAACAGCTCCAGGAGATGACATGCTGCTGCTCTGGGGACCATGTTCTGAGAACCCTTCTACTTTTTCCACCTCTAAAGTCTATGCTTCCTCAGCAAAACTGCATTACTTACACTCAGTAATAGATTTGACACTATCATTATTTGCCTCTAATCCACTATGCTTTTTTTTCTCTATTGTGGTAAAATATACATAAAATCTATCATTTTAACCACTTAAGTGTACAGTTCAGTGGCATTAGGTACATTCACATCGTTGGGCAACCATCACCACCAACCACCTCCAAAACTTTGTCATCTTCCCAAACTGACACTCTGTATGCATTAAACAATAACTTGTCATTCTTCCCTCCCTCACCCCGGCAGCCACTATGTTACTTTGTGTTTCTATGAATTTGACGAATCATGTAAGTGGAGTCATACAGTAATTGTCCGTTTGTGACTAGCTTGATTCATTTAGCATGTGTCTTCAAGGCTCATCCTTGTTATGGCATGTGACCCAATTCCATTCTTGTATGGCTGAATAATAATCAGTTGTGTGCACACACCATGTTTTGTTTATCCATTCATTTGTTGGCGGACACTCAGGTTACTCCTACCTTTTGGCTATGGTGAATAACGCTGCTATGAACATGTGTGTACACGTTTGTCCCTACTTTCAATTCTTTTGGACATATGCCCAGAAGTGGAATTGCTGGATCATATGGTAATTGTTTCACTTTCTGAGGAGCCACCATAGGAACCATTTTTCACAGGAGATGAACCATTTTACATTCCCGCCAGGAGTACCAAGGGTTCCAATTTCTCACCAACGTTTTATTTTCTGCTTTTTCTGATAATAGCCATTCTGATGGGTGTGAAGTGGTATTTCATGGTAGTTTTACCTTTCCTTATTAGTGATGTTGAGCATCTTTTCATGTTTATTGGCCATTTATATATTTTCTTGGAGAACTGTCCAACTCCTTTGCCCATTTTTTAATAAGGTTTCCTTTGTTGTTCACTATACTTTAAGCTTGTCCTACCCATGGTTTGCAGGCCGTGTGCAGCTCAACACAAATTCGTAAACTTTCTTAAAACATTGAGGGTTTTTTGTGTTTTGTTTTAGCTCATCAGCTATCATTAGTGTTGGTGTATTTTATGTGTGGCCCAAGACAATTCTTCTTCTTCCAGTATGGTGCAGGGAAGCCAAAAGATTGGATACTCCTGCTTTAAACTTCAAATTGTAAGCTCCTTAAAGGCAGGAATCATGTTTTCATTTTCCTTAAAAAACCTAACCAAAACAAACACAACCCTGCAAAGCTTAACAGAATGTGTGAAGTATGTAGATACCATTTGTTGAATGCAAAAAACGACTTAATATTTTCAACCTTGTAAGAGTTGAAGAAAGAAGGAGGAAACACAAGAAGTGGCTCAATAGTCAAAGACAGGTTTATTTTGGGGAGTATTCTGGCTGATTTCAATCAGGAGCATTCTGTCTTACAGACTGAGGGTACTTAAGGGTTTAGCAAGGGAGAGCTTATCGCATGCTCGGAGTGTTTCTGGGTGGAGGAGAATTTTATTTCAAGGGTGGAATGTCTGTTCGGAGGGGAGGTTATCTCGGGGCTGGGATGTCTCTGGTCAGAGGGGGCTTTATCTCAGGGTTGGAAAGTTTCTGGTCTAAGGTGTCATTTATGGTTTATGGTCATGCTGACATTAGCCATTAGGCTGATGTTTTCTGGGCTGGATTTAGGCGGTTTTTAATTGGGAGAACTTAAAATGGCAGTGCTTGTCCAAGATGGCGATGCTTCTGCTCTGTCAAACCTTACCTTCTTACACTTTACATGGGGGTAAGGGTTGTCTGCGTTAGGCTGCTGTAAGCTGCCAGAAGGCAGGACCACAGCTACAGAGGCTCTTTGAACAGCACCTCATATTGCACTCCAGCAACCAGATATTTAATACAAGTTTTTAAATATGCCTGTGGTGATCTTGGCAGCATGTGATATTTCCTGTTTGGCTACCACTGTAAATTTGATACAAACTCTGAAAATAATGAATACTTAATTTTGGTGCGTCTTTGAACAATTTTCTTGAGTCCAGGAGCCCATAGCACTGGGCAATCCAGGTGATCTGATACCACAGAGATTTTTCCTGTCAATCAGGAGATGAGGATTCAGGCTCACTGAGACTGCTGCTGCTGACTTTATTAACGGTTGTACAGGTCACTCAACCTCTTGGTGGCTCTGGAAAATTAGGAAAATACTGATTATCTTAGGTTCAGGAAGAACTAGTGAAATGCCTATTTTTGAAATATAGGCTTAAGGAAGAGCTTAATTTGATAATGATATTTTTATAAAAATGAATTTTAGAAGTAAAAAACTTCCCACCTAGAATCACAGGAAATGTAGTTTTTCTGGTTTTGTTTTAAAGAATGAGATGCTATCGTTCAAAAATTGAATAAGTATTTATTGTTCCAGAAGGTACATTGCTTTTTATACATATTTCATAAATGATACAGGATTTTACACATGTTCAATAGTTTGCTATTTGTTTAAAGAACTTTTCTCCATGTCCTCCCTCCCTTGCTTCCCACACACCCCAAAAAGATTTGCTCGTTGCACTGTGCTGTTTCTTCTTAAAAACCCTATGCACAAACAGGATAAATGGGTTAAAAATAATTCACACAACTTAACAAAAATAAATGAGGGAAGGAGCTGACGACTGGGGGTGGTGGAGGGAGAAGGAAGTGGGCGGAGGGTCAGGAAGTGGAGACATGCATCCTTTCATTCCGTCATGCCAATGAAAGGGGTGTTGGCAGGAGTAGCAGCAGCAGCAGCAATCCTGGCTGGCCTTCAACCTTTGCAAGGCACCTGGAGTCTGGGTTTGTCATTTAAAGTTTTTCTTTTCATACACAATGATCCCAAAGGAGGAAGAAAAAGAGAAAGAAACTCCTTGCCACAATGAGGAAGGATGAATCACGTGAAAGAAAAGGCCAATCAGTGGTGTGGCAGCCCCCATCATCCTTTCCATCCTGCCCCTACAGCAGTTAAAAACAGGATATTAGACACAGATTCCTTTGACTCTTCAAGCGCAGATGTCATCTGGAAATATGGTAGAAAATGTTTTGACAAAGTATAAGATTAATTCTCTTTCTCTCAATTTAAGATAAGAAAAAATAGGGTGAAGAGAGTGGGCTTGAAGGAAGCCCTAGAAATGTATTCCTATATAAAGATAAATTGCACCCTTTGAGATCCACACACTTGATTTACAACTGAAGTTGTGGAGGTGGGAGGGCTCACAAACAGTGTGGAAGTGTGTGTCCTTCGAGATGAACAAAGCCTCCAGACAAGGCAGTCCCATCTGGCTGGCCTGGAATGCTGTCACACAAAGCAGATTAGCAATAAAATTATTCTGGTTGAAATGGCTACAGAGCCATGATTCTTAGCCAATTTGTAAACCTTACATCTTCCTGATTTGGTAGTACAGCTGAACACCCCCTTTCCCTCTGATTTGTGTTCTGGAGGGAGAGGGGATTATCAATAGATAAGTATATAAAGGAGGGCAATTATTCCTCCTGTGAAAGACTAATTAATAAAACAAAACAAAACCAACAACCTCATGCAGTGTTGCCAGTGATTTTTAGACACTGATCCAGAGCACTGGGATATATAGACATTTAAGAAGGTATTAAGAGATAATCTAAAGTGTCAATTATTAAACAGTTATAAGTTGGTTCCAATTATCAAATGGAAAAAATGAGTGTAACCAAGAGGTACAGGTAGGTGGTCAGTAAAGGGATGCTGGAAGGAAAGATTCCTGGTAACTCTGCAGAGACTGGGTCCAATTTAAAATAAATGCTAATGATATTTTAGCATATCATGAGAATTTGCTTTTCTAGTATATTTATTTACTCCTATGTCAAAAATAGGGACAGTTAAATTAAAAACAAATAGAGTCGAGTGGGGTGCTGGTGTGTTACTCTTTTGCTGACTCTGCAAAGAAGATGCAAGAAACGAACACCCCCAGCATTGTTTTCTCTTTATGAATCTCTCAACTATATAACTGCATCATTTTCATCCAGAAACTGAGATACTTGGTTAAGACAATATTCACTAAGCCCTTTGAGCTTATATTCCACAATGCCTGATCCTCAGGTTTTAACATTCCCTTCTTCCCTCAGATCCTTTCTGTTTTTGTTTTATAATTAAAGGTAAAAACGCTCTACCCCCCACATGGCTCCCAGCTTCCACCTGCAATGCTTTAATTAAAAAGGCAAACAGGTGTTCCTTCTGCCAGGATTCAGAGGCTTTTTGCAGATCAATCTTTTTCACCAATTTGTCGGAGAGGCAGATGTACTTGTAATGGGTCTCTCAGTCTCTTAAGGTCCATTTCTGCCTAAAATAGAAACAAAAGGTGAGAAAACTGGCTAGTGAAGCTTTCAATGATATTACTGTCTACCAAGAAAAGGAAACTGTTCTCCATTACTATAAGTCAGAGAGATCATCTCAATAACTCTCAAAATAAGAGTGCCTTGAAAGACAAAGCATTTTAACTCACGGCATAGGACAACAAAGGGTGAATCCAAAATGGAAGCCATCCTTGGCAGTTTCAGCCCTCAACAAAGCCTCCAGAAAAATCAGTGCTATCAACAGGGTAGGACTCAGAGGCTAAGAATGTAAGGAGCATCTGAGACATACATCTTGATGGTGTTTCTCCAGTGAGAAGCCCTTTCACAAGGGCTAAGAGCCAGAACTTTATGCTACTCAAGATTTTAGTTATTTATCCAGTACCTGTTTAAGTTTTTACTTAGCCAGTGAATTTTGGAACAGCGTGTGTAGTCAACTGTAGTACTTTCAAAACTCACACATGCTTGGACTTCACCCGGGAGGAGCTGGACTAACGAGCAAGCCTAGGGTGAGACTGAAGCATCTGTACTTTTAACAGCTCCAGGCATGATTCTGATGTATTCCCTCCAGTTTAGAATCACCATACATAGCAAAGGAAGACAGAACTCCACTTAGGCCAAAGCAGGAAGATGGATTAAGCCTATTCAAAGCACAACCCTATCATCAAGAAGAGACAGGAAAGGCAGAGAAGAGCAACTAAACATTAAAGAGGATGGAAAAGCTTCTAGAGATTGCTGAAAAATCTCTAAAGTCACAAAGACTACAGAGAAAAGGAATGAGGGTTTATTCACCAAAATCAAAGATAACAGAGTGAGGGAGGCACATCCAGAAATTTGAAAGAGGTAGCTTTTATGAAAAATAAAATATATCAATCTTTTCCAAGCATCTTCTAGTTTAATAATCTCTAAACTGTCCCTGGCAAAGATCTCTAGCAGTCTTTCCCTCTTACCTGGGTTTTACTTTTCCCCACTGCTACCACACATTTTTGTGAAAAATCTTAGATAAATTATTACAGAAATAATCAAAAAGCAGAGGGAAAAGTAGAAACAGACAACTACAAAGAAATAAAATGAAAAAAAAAAAAAAGTAAAAGTAGGCCTAAAAATGTCAATGTGCTAGTGTTAACAGGATGGAGCAAACACACCATCTTCTCACTTGCTTTTTATAAAACTTTCTAGAGAAATGTCCATGCCTAAAATAGTTACTGTAATCAACTGAGGAATAATTTATACAGGAAGAAGAGGGTTGGAACATTCCTTCAGTTTACTCATTTGAAGAACCGTGGCTGTGGATAATAATAATAACCATGCAAGATAGGGCTGGGATTTATTTTAATTTTTGTAAAACTTACCTGAGCAATTGCATCCTTGAGTTGATTGTATTTCTCTAGGTCAAAACGTGACTTTTTGGCTCCTTTATGGAAAAATAGTAAGTATTGTCTGTCTCTGGCTTCTGGATAAACATATTCCTAAAAAAATGAAGAAACGGAATTATCAGTCCTTAGCATACTATCTTCACAAAATATTTACTAACTGCTGCTTAGATTCAATACATATGTATGCGTGTGTGCTGACATGTGCTGTGTTAAGTATTTAATCACCACCTGAACATTTCTACTGTGAAACATACAGAACAGTACACACAAAATGTACATCACAGTGAATCATCACACAATGAACATGCTACTCATCACCAGGTTTTATAAAAATAGAACTCTGCCAACAATCCAGAAACTCCCTCTTGCCCCTTCCCAATTACTCATATCTCTTTCCCCCAAAGTAATCACTCTCTTGACTTTTATGGTAATTGTTTTCTTATTTTCTTTATAACTTACCTCCTTAAGCATGTATTCCTAAGTTCCACAACTTAGTTTTACCTGTTTTATGAATTTTATGAAGATGGAGTCATACAGTATATATTTATATGGCTACCTTCACTCAGTATTAGGTTTGTGAAATTCACCTTTTGTGTGTAGCTGCAGTCTATTCATTTCCATTATATTATATTGTGTGACTTCATCATAGTTTATTTAACCATTCTACTATTGATAAGCTTTTGGGTTGTTTCCGTTCTTACTAATAATGCTGCCAAAAGCATTTCTGGATTTATCTCTTCTGCTGGAGATATACCTAGGAGTGGAAATCTTAGATCACAGGGTATGCATGTGTTCAAATGTAAGCAGTGATGATAAACAGTTTCCAAAATGGTTGTACCAATTATACTTCTATCAGCAGGATTATGAGGTACCACCATTCCACACCCTTGCCAATACTTGATATTGCCAGTTTAAAAGACGTTAGCCATTCTGCTGTGTATGCAATACTGTCTCATTTTTAAAAAAAGCTTTATTGAGATATAATTCACATACCATACAATTTACTCAAAGTATAATGCTCAATGGTTTATAATATAGTCACAGAGTTGTACAATCATTACTACAATTTTAGAACATTTTCATCACCCCAAAAAAGAACTCCATACCTTGTGACAGTCAAGTCTCCTCTCCCCCCAAACCCCCAGTTCTAGGCAGCTACTAATCTTTCTTCTGCCTCTGTAATTTGTCTATTCTGGACATTTCATATAAGTGGAATCATACAATATGTGGCCTTTTGTGTCTGGCTTCTTTCACTTAGCATAACATTTTCAAGGTTCATCCATTTGTGGCATGTATCAGTATTTCATTTCTTTTTATTGCCAAATAACATTCCATTAATAGTTATCGGGGAATCTGCCCTGATAGTCACGTAGGTTCTTTTCTATTTTCCCTAAGCGTTGGCCAGTTTGAGAAATAAAGGGACAGAATACAAAAGAGAGAAATTTTAAAGCTGGGCATCCGGGGGGGACATCACATGTCGGTAGGTTCCGTGATGCCCCACAAGCCGCAAAACCAGCAAGTTTTTATTAGGGACTTTCAAAAGGGGAGGGAGTGTACGAATAGGGTGTGGGTCACAGAGATCACATACATCACAAGGTAATAGAATATCACAAGGCAAATGGAGGCAGGGCGAGATCACAGGACCACAGGACCGGGGTAAAATTAAAATTGCTAATGAAGTTTCGGGCACCATTGTCATTGATAACATCTTATCAGGAGACAGGGTTTGAGAGCAACTGGTCTGACCAAAATTTATTAGGTGGGAATTTCCTCTTCCTAATAAGCCTGGGAGCGCTATGGGAGACCGGGGTTTATTTCATCCCTACAGTTTCGACCATAGAAGACGGCCACACCCAAGGGGGCCATTTTAGAGACCCAACCTCAGGGGTGCATTCTCTTTCTCAGGGATGTTCCTTGCTGAGAAAAAGAATTCAGCGATATTTCTCCCATTTGCTTTTGAAAGAAGAGAAATATGGCTCTGTTCCACCTGGCTCACTGGCGGTCAGAGTTTAAGGTTATCTCTCTTATTCCCTGAACAATTGCTGTTATCTTGTTCTTTTTTCAAGGTGCCCAGATTTCATATTGTTCAAACACACATGCTCTACAATTTGTGCAGTTAATGCAATTATCACAGGGTCCTGAGGTGACATACTTCCTCCTCAGCTGACAGGATTAAGAGATTAAAGTAAAGACAGGCAGAGGAAATCACAAGGGTATTGACTGGGGAAGTGATAAGTGTCCATGAAACCTTCACAATTTGTGTTTAGAGACTGCACTAAAGACAGGCGTAAGAAATTATAAAAGTATTAATTTGGGGAACTAATAAATGTCCATGAAATCTTCACAATCCACGTTCTTCTGCCATGGCTTCAGCCGGTCCCTCCGTTTGGGGTCCCTGACTTCCCACAACAATAATTATGCCACATTTTATTTATCCATTCCTCAGCTGATAGCATTTGGGTTGTTTCCACGTTGGGGCTATTATGTACAATCCTGCTGTGAACACTTGTGTACAAGTTTTTGTGTGGATGTACATTTTCATTTCTCTTGGAGATACACAGCATTTTCCTGATCACTAAGAGGCTGAGGCCTTTCCATTTAATCTATTATTGGCCATTTGCATATCTTCTATTAGAAGTGCCTGTTCAGATATCTTGCCATTTTTTCTAGTGGAGTCTGTCACTTTCTTACTGATTTGTAGAATTTGTTTATATATTCTGGATATAGATCCTTTGTAGGGTATACATACTGCAAGTATCTCCTTCCAGCCTATTTACCCTCTTCATGGTGTTAATAAACAGATATTAATTTAATGTAGTCTAATTTATCATTCTCTTTTGTGAGATGGGATCTTGCTATGTTGGCTGGCCTCAAACTCCTGGGTTCAAGCGATCCTCCCATCTCAGCCTCCCAAGTAGCTGTGATTACAGGCATACACCACAGTGCCTGGCTTACTTTATCACTCTTATCCTGTATGGTTAGTGCTTTTCATTCCGTGTAAGAAATCATTCTCTATTCTACAGTCATTAAGATATTCTCTTATAGGAGCTATAAGAGAATAGCTATACATTACCTATCACATTTAGATCTACAATCCACCTGGAATTTATTTTTGTTTATAGTATAAAATGGGGTTATTTCATTTTTTAATATAGGTATTTAATTGTCCTAGCACCATTTATTGAAAAAGACTCTCCTTTCTTTGTAGGGCCATCTTTTTTGTTTATTTATTTTTGAGTCTCACTCTGCCACCAAGGCTGGAGTACAGTGGTGTGACCATAGCTCAATGCAGCCTCAAGATCCTGGGCTCAAGCAATCCTCCTACCTTGGCTTCCTGAGTAGCTCGTACCTACAGGTGCACGACACCACACTCAACTAATTTAAAAAAATTTTTTTAGCTATTGGGTCTCACTATGTTGTCCAGGCTGGTCATGAACCCCTGGCCTCAAGTGATTCTCCCACCTTGGCCTCCCAAAGCACTGGGATTATAGGCATGACCCATCATGCCTGGCCTGCCATCTTCTTAAAATCAAAAGTTCATTTATACTGGGTCTGTTTCTATACTCTTCTATTCTATAGGTCTGTCCTTGTGCCACTGTTATTGAAGTGTTATAACTAAAGCTGTAGTCTTCATATCTAATAGAGCAAATCCTCTTACCCAGTTTTTCTTCAAGAGTTTAATGGCTTTTCTTAGTCTTTTACATTTTCATACCGTTTTAGAAGCAGTCTATTCAAATCTCTTCCCCAATCCCCAAATCTGTTGGGTTTTTGACTAACTGGGATTGTACTGAATCTAATGGATCAGTTGAGTAGAACTGACATTTTTGGATAGAGTCTTATACATTTTTTATACATATATTTCTAGGGTTTCCCCCCCCCCGCTTTGCCTTCTACGTGTGGTCTATGTATTTTTAAAAGTAATTTTAAGGTGCAGCTTTAAATATTTTCATTTTCTAACCATTTGTTGCTAGCAATATAGAAACGCAATTGATTTACATACATTGATCTTGTATCCAATAACCTTATGAAACTCACTTATGGATCCTAACCAATTATCTGTACATTTCTTCTGTATTTTTTCATGTACAAAATCTGTAAGTGTCAGTTTTCTTTCTTTCCAATCTTTGTATCTTTCATATTCTGTTCTTGCCTTCTGCACTGGCTAGGGCCTCCTCTTCAAAGGTGAATAGGAGCGGTACTTCTACCTTATTCCCAGACAATGAAGGAATATTAGAACATTTTAAGTCTATTTACCTGCTCCAGACATATATGTCATTGTTGTTGCACATTTAATTTTACTTATTTATTTTTGAGACAGAGTCTCACTCTGTCACCCAGGCTGGAGTGCAGTGGCGTGATCTCGGTTCATTGCAACCTCCACCTCCTGGGTTCAAGCGATTCTCATGCCTCAACCTCCCCAGTAGTTGGAATTACAGGTGTGTGCCACCATGCCCAGCTGATTTTTTTATATTTTTAATAAAGACAGGGTTTTGCCATGTTGGCCAGGCTGGTCTCAAACTCCTGACCTCAAATGATCTGCCCGCCTCAGCCTCCCAAAGTGCTGGGATTACAGGCATGAGCTACTTAGCCCGGCCTGTTGTTGCATTTTAATTCTCTCTATATTTTAAATTCCATAAGAGTTTATTATTGTTTATACATTTAATATTAGTTTAGACTCATCACTCACAGGTTTACCATTTTTGTTGCTCTTTATTCCTTTCTGCTTTTCCGACTTTTCACGTGTGATAATCTTTCTTCTGCCCAAAGAACATCTTTCAGTATCTCCTTTAGTGCAGATCTGATGGTGACAAATTCTCTGTCTGAAAATGTCTTTATTTTGGAAAGATATTTTTTGCTGAGTATAGAAGTCTAAGATGACAGTTATTTTCTTTCTAGAAATTGAAGATACTATTCCATTGTCTTTGGCTTTCATTGCTGCTATTGAGAAGTCAGCATTCAGTCTAACAGGGACTCCTTTGAAGGCAAACTTTTTTCTCTCTTTGGCTGCTTTTAAGATTTTTCCATTTGGCTTTGGCTTTTGAAGTTTTACTACCAATATATCTCAATGGAAATTTCCTTTTTTATTTTATTTTTTTGATACAGAGTCTTGCTCTATTACCCAGGCTGGAGTGCAGTGGTGTGATCTCAGTTCACTGCAACCTTCGTCTCTCAGGTTCAAGCGATCCTCATGCCTCAGCCTCCCGAGTAGCTGGGATTACAGATGTGTGCCACATGCCCAGCTAATTTTTGTATTCTTAGTAGAGAAGGGGTTTCGCCATGTTGGCCAGGCTGGTCTCAAACCCCTGGCTTCAAGTGATCCACCCACCTTGGGCTCCCAAAGTGCTGGGATTACAGGTGTGAGCCACCGCGCCCAGTCAGATTTCCTTTTTTATATTGGCTGGTATTGGTTGGGATTCTTAAATCTGTAAATGGATGTCTTTCATCATTTTGGAAAATTCTCAGCCATTAACTCTTTATTTAAATATTGTTTCTTCCCATCCTCTTTCTCTTCTCCTTCTGAGACTCCAATAAAATTAAATACATATTAGGCCTTTCCACTGTATACTGTGTCTCTTACCCTTTCCTATATTTTACATCTTTCTGTATCTGCACACTTCATTTTGAATAGTTTCTTGTGCCTTACTCAAGGTCACTATTTCTGTCTTTTGTTATGTCTAATCTGCTATTAAACCCATCCATTATATTTCACTTCTAAAATTTTTCAATGGGTTCTTTAAACAAAAAATCAAGTTATCTGCCAATATTCTCAACCTTGTTGTTTATCTCCCTGAATATAGTAAGTATAATTATTTTAAAGGCTATGTCTGATAATACCAATATCTGGAGTCCTTGTGTCTGTTTGTAATGTCTATTGTTTCTGTAGGTATTGTGTATCTGCTTATTTTTATTGTATGTCTAATTTAATATCTGCAAAACTGGCCAGGCATGGTGGCTCATGCCTGTAATCCAGCACTTTGGGAGGCTGAGGCAGGCAGATCGCTTGAGCCCAGGAGTTTGAGACCGGTCAGAGTGACATGGAGAAACCACAGCTCTACAAAAAATGCCAAAAAATCCTAGCTGGGCATGGTGATATGTGCTTGTAGTCCCAGCTACTCAGGAAGCTAAGAGGGAGGGCTGCTTGAGCCTGGGAGTATGAGGCTACAGTAAGCCATGATTGTGCCACTGTACTCCAACCTGGGCAACAGAGTAGGACTCTGTCTCAAAAAAAAAAAAAAAAAAAAAAAAAGCAAAATTATTTGTAGAAATAATTTAAGGTTTAGAATAATGTTATCTCCTCCCAGGGATGATTTATGTTTGCTTCTGCATGAAACCTGTGAGCATCAGCACTCGGGGATTACCAGTATTCCAGGACTACCTCAATCTAATTTACAGGATTGAGATGAATGAAAGATGAGCTACAGTACCTGAAAGAGCCTATACTAGGTGAATCCTTATTCTACAATGGTAGCCTTTACAGGTTCCAAATCAAAGCAAGATGGTTTCTGTTTCGCCTACTTTAGTGATCATTAGACACCAATCTCTAAGGCTTTGGTTCCTCTAGGCTAACAAGTGTGGCTCAGCTTCTTGGCCTCTCCACTATACTCTCCTCAATTAGCATAAATCCCCAGAGGAAAAAGCACACCTAAATACTAGTCTCATCTTCCTGGGACTCCTCTTATTTAGACCCTTACCTAGCAATTTTTGCTATTTTGTTAGTTCTCTAGTATCTTTAAACAGATGTGTATTATGTTTTGTCTAACAATTCTAACTTTTCTTGGTGGAAGGACTGATTGATTGCCTAGTATGCCACAACTAGAACCAGAGTAAATATTTAGTTATTGATGATGATAGATAATAGATATTGGATGACTGATAGCTAAAGGGTTTGTGGAAGCCTTTTTAAAATGAATAAAATCGAGGTCTGAATCAACTGAAGGGATAATTAGTGGATTAAGAACTTGAGGGAAAGCCCTCTACATTCATCTAACATGCTGCTACTAGGCTATTCACCTATGTTTGCTTAGGATGCAAATATACACACTAAGTTTATTCAAATCTTTCTGTGCTTCCTCTTTCGGGCAACAATCATTTACTGAGCAACTATGTGCTAGACTCTATTCTAAAATTTCTGTGATTTGGGCTAAGTGCAGTGGCTCATGCCTGTAATCCTAGTATTTTGAGAGGCTGAGGCGGAGGATCACTGGAGCTCAGGAGTTTGAGACCAGCCTGGGCAATGTAGGGAAACCCTGTCTACAAAATATTTAAAAAATTAGCTGGGCATGGTGGCACATGCCTATGGTCTCAGGTACTCATGAGGCTGAGGTGGGAGAATTGCTTGGGTCTGAGAGGTAGATGCTTCAGTGAGCTGTGATTATGCCACTGCATTCTAGCCTAGGAGACAGAGTAAAACCCTGTCTCAAAAAAAAAAAAAAAAAACTGTGATTTGATACTAAGTGAGAGAAGATGCAGACAGTTTTGTTAGGAAAGAAAGAAAGTCACAGAGGGAGAGGTTAAAAACACAGGGAACACAAAAAAGAAACTGGAATAAGATACTAGGAGGAAGGAATGGGATTAAGAACATGTGGAGGGGCTAGCCCTAAATAGGAAAATGCCACCTCTTCTTGGAATTTGATGGAAATCGTGTAAAATTCAGTACAGATACAGTTGCATTTACAGTTTTAAGAATTAGAAAGCTTCTAACTGTTAACTTCAATTTTCTAGGAGAAGGTTAAGGGTGGGATGGGGATCTTGATGTGAAGTCTTAGAATAACTACTATGGGGATATGAGGGAAGAAAATATGATTAAAAACACAAGCAGTGGCCCATTCTACACTATGACATGCTTTCTCTCTAGTAATATTTAATAGCCTAGATATAGATAGGATAAAGGTCTAGATTAGTCCAATATTAGGAGTTTATAGAGTACATACTGTAAAAGACAAAAGGGCAGGGATGGTAGCATACTAAGAAGAGAATGGCAACACAGTTTAAATTGGATAGAAAAGGAAGTGATACAGGAGGAAGGTGACAGTAAAAAGTTAAGGGAAAGATGCCAGTAGCTTAAAGGTCTGGATGAGGTCAAAGGAGTGAGTGAGTGAATAAAAGGTCTAGAAAGAAAATAAATTATCAGAAATTAACATACTAATTTATATTATAAGTGGGACAGTTCTAGGAAAGAAGGCCCTGAACAGCCATTGAAGTGGTTTGCCGGAGTACAATATAAATGACGGTTATTGGAATTGAGGAGGTAAAGGGTATTAAAGGCTAGGTCACTATTTATCAACACTTTTTTCATTATTGCCACCCTAAGTAGCTTTTTAAGGCATTTTTTTCCTGATTACTCCTCCTTCCCACAGGAGGTTTAATATACTGTTTATCTGTTTATGCATTATAATATGCAATATGTTTTTACTCCCCAAGAATCAATGCTCACTCCTATGAGGCAACATCATCCCCTTCATTGAAAAGGCATGGGCCAGATGGTGGGACGGCTGGTCCACCTGCACGCTGACACAGCTCCCACAGGCAAGTCTTACTGCCCAGCTCCTTTTCCACATAATAGAAATCAGTACTCAGGTTCTACTGAAATATTAATCAGCAAAACTCAATATTCCATTTGATTTTATGATTTCAAGGAGCTTGCCATCTTAAAAAGATTCTTTGGAACTTAACATACTATTGGGATATATTTAGACTGTTAACAAGTACAGCAACTCATAGTAACAGCAGTTTAGAAGAGTTTAAATGCCATTGAACAGGCATTTGCTTCAGAGGTAATAAGATGGGTATGTTAGTAAAAATATTTAATATGAAAACTATTTACATTTTATTTGGTCACTGTTTTCCTATTCATAAGTGAATAGTGACTAAATTATTTACTACTGCTATTTTGCAACTTGTCACTTGGGGGCAGCAAGACTATTTTGGTAATCACAGAATGGAGCATTTAACTAGTAGGACAGGTAGGGCATTAAAGATTCTACAGCATGACGAGAAGGGAGAAAGTGGTAACACTGTATTCAAGTCTAATACAGAAAACATTTACAAAACAGCCCTTTGTAAGAAGTAATAATTATTTCCCCAATATATTTTTATTTCTATTCTGTATCTATTCTAATTATAGTTTTCAAAAGTTACTCCTCATAAATGAAGTCAACAGAAGGCAGCATAATTGAGTGGAAAGTGAGCAGCCTACAGAGCCACACAAATCTGGATTCAATTCCTTGTCCTACAGTGTACTAGATATAATGTTTGGGCAGATTACTTATCCTCTTGGAGACTCAGTTTCCTCATCTATGGAATGGCGATATATTAATACTTATAGGGTTGAGATTAAATATGTGAATAGATGTACTTATGTTACTAGATGTAAAATGCTGGACACATAATTAGGCTTAGCAAAACGTACTTAATAGTAATGACCAAGCAAAAGGTATGGGTATCTCACAGTGGAAAGAATGCTTCACCTCTTCAGTAATCAAGGAAATGGAAAGTCCACAAGGAAATACCACTATTTTGTACCCAATTAATCAGCAAGAGATATATCAAGGGTGATCTTTAGATTCAAGGTATAACTGGAAAAATATTAGTGTTTGGCTGAAAACATGGTTGTTATCCATGCCCAGAGCTGTGATCAGATAAGAATGATGTGACTGTTCAGTTCGTTCACAGTGACTAGTATGAGCCAGACATGCAACTAGGTGCTAAAAATTCTGGGCAAGCAATTGTAAGACATAAAACAGTTTACTTTCTTCTCTATTAGACACATTTGGGAGGCCAAGAAAAGTTAAATAACATTCTTGTGCTATCATTTCCCCAAACACAAATAGGCTGTGACCACTAATCTAACAACAGAAAGAAAATGCGTATGTTCAATAGCAGCCATATTAAATATGAGATGCAACTCTCAGCTTTCTTCTGATAACTAAGAAAACAGAAAAAGCTTTTCCGATGTCTCAGGTATTTCAAATATTTGATATTAAAGGGAGTGCTAGGTTGGATCTATGATGGTATATTATAATAATAACTGAAAGTAATGCTAAATCTTCATACTTCCTAAAGTGACACTGGAATTCCAAGATATTTAAAACGGCACTGACAATAAAAATTAGTTCTAGATACTGGTATTCAATAAAGGAGCCTCGGTTGATAAAGAATAAATCAACACTACCCTGAACCATGTACACATTTGATGCATTCCCTATCAAAATACCAATTATACTCTTCACAGAAATAGGAAAAAAATTCTAAAAACTATGCAGAACCAGAAAAAACCTTGAACAGCCAGAGCAATCCTGAGCGAAAAGAACAAAGCTAGAGGCATCATACTACCTGATGTCAAAATTTACTACAAAGCTACAGTAAGCAAAATAGCATGGTACTGGCATAAAAACAGACACATAGACCAAAGAAACAGAATAGAGAATCCAGATATCAATCCAAGCATTTATAGCCAATCATCTTTGACAAAGGCACCACGAACCCACAATGGGGAAAAGGCAATCTTTTAAATAAATGATGCTGGGAAAACTAGATAACCATATGCCGAAGAATGAAAGTAGATCCCCCTCTCTCCATACAAAAAATCAAATCAAAATGTATTAAAGACTTCAATCTAAGACCTGAACTATGAAACTACTAGAAGAAAACATTGGGGAAACCTTCCAGACATTGGTCTGGGCAAAGATTTTTTGTAAGACCTCAAAAAGCACAGGCAACACAAGTCAAAATAGACAGATGGGATTATATCAAACTAAAAAGCTCTTGTACGGCAAAGGAAACGGTCAGCAGAGTGAGGAGACAACCTACAGAACTGGGAGAAAACATTTGCAAAAGCTATTCATATGACACAGGATTTATATCAGAATATACAAGGAACTCAAACAACTCAATAGCAAAAAAATAAACTATCCAATTAAAATATAGGCAAAAGATCTGAATAGACATTTCTCAAAAGAAGACATACAAATGACTAATAGGTATATGAGGAAATGCTCAGAGTCACTAATCATCAGGGAATACAAATCAAAACCACAATGAAGGCAGGGCACGGTCGCTCACGCCTGTAATCCCAGCACTTTGGGAGGCCGAGGCAGGTGGATCACGAGGTCAGGAGATCGAGACCATCCTGGCTAAGACGGTGAAACCCCGTCTCTACTAAAAATACAAAAAATTAGCCGGGCGTGGTGGCGGGCATCTGTAGTCCCAGCTATTCAGGAGGCTGAGGCAGGAGAATGGTGTGAATCCAGGAGGCGGAGCTTGCAGTGAGCCGAGATCGTGCCATTGTACTCCAGCCTGGGCAATAGAGCGAGACTCCATCTCAAAAAAAAAAAAAAAAAAAAAAACCCAAAAAACAAAAAAACAAAAACAAACAAATAAAAAAACCCACAATGAAATATCATCTCATTCCAGTTAAAATGGCTATAATAAAAAAGAAAAAGAATATCAAATGCTGGTGAGGATGTGGAGAAATGCTGGGAATGTAAATTAGTATAGCCATTATGGAAAACAGTAGGGAGCCTCCTCAAAAAAACGAAAAATAGAAATATCATACAATCAATCTGGCAATCCCACTAGTGGGCATATATCCAAAGGAAAGGAAATCAGTATGTTAAAGCTATATCTGCACTCCTATGTTTACCGCAGCACTATTCACAATAGCTAAGATACAGAATCAACCTAAGTGCCCATCCAGGGATGAATGGATAAAGAAAATGTGGTACATATACACAATGGAATATTACTTAGCAATAAAATGAATGATATCCTGTCCTTTGCAGCAAAATGGATAAGGCTGGAGGACATTATATTTAATGAAATAGGCCAGGGACAGAAAGACAACTACCACATGTTCTCACTCATATGTGGGAGCTAAAAAAGCTGATCCCATAGAAGTTGAACCCACAGAAGTAGAGAGGAGAATAATGTTTACCAGAGGCTGGGAAGGGTAGAGGAGAGAAGGGGATAGGGAAAAGTTAGTTAATGGTACAAAATTACAGTTAGATAGGAGGAATAAGCTCTAGTGTTCAATAGTTAACAACAATTTATTGGATATTTCAAAACAGCTAGAAGAAAGGATTTGGAATGTCCCCAACAAAAAAAAAATAATACATGTTTGAGGGAGATATGCCATTTACCCTGATTTGATCATTACACATGTATATATGTTGTATACATGCACAGACACCCTCAAAATATGTACAATTATTATGTATCAATAAAAAAAGAATAGACTTGAGTATTAAGTAATTAGGTATCTAATTCTCAGCTCTCTTCCATAATGGAAACAACAACAACAACAACACCTTTCCTTTCAACATACTTAGGAGGATTTCTGAGTTTAGTTTAAGTATTTGATTAGTTATCACCAATTCTCCATTCCAAAAACTCAATAAAAATAAAAAGCATGGGACTTTTCCCACAGTACTTAAAAAGCCAAGCAACACAGCTGAACAGGTTATCCTACAGCTGATCATTCTGCTCCTTTGTCCACTTATTCTATACCTTACTGTAGTATATTTCTCTGAATTTAATGGTCTACATGGCTTTCTTAATAGTTTGTGAGCTCCATGAGGGTGGAAGTCATGTCTTATATCTACCTCTCCATCTACAGCACTTGCTTAGAATATTGCCTAATACACAAGTGGCACATGTGTGTGTATGTGTAAAGGATGAGTACTTAAAGAAAACTGGCTTTAGAAGATGAGAAAAAAGAACTCTTTTGACAATCAAAACTTTATTACTATCTCATAAAAAGTTACTTGAAGAGAATTCTTACCTGGCGTGTCATTACAAAATATGCATACATTGCCATGGCACTTCCATAAGTGATGAAGTATGTTACTGGCTCCATGATGTCCCAGGAATATTCCCACCAGGTAAGCCGGGCCAAAATGCCAAACTGTGTGGCCATGTAGGCAAGGCCACCCCATAGCACCAAAGTGGTCCTCTTCTCAGCTTTTCTGCTAATCTCAATTCGTACCTATTGGGCACACATAATCATAAGGCATTTTGACATAAAACCAATCTAAAAAGGCTTAAACTGTTCTATGTTCACTAAAGAAACAGGGCTCATCATCAAGACACAAGTCTCAATTCTAGTAAATATAGCTTGTCTTCCTAAATAGTATCTGCAGTTTTCACTGAATAAAATATCTTAGGCCAGGTGCAGTGGCTCACATCTGTAATCCCAGCATTTTGGTAGGCCAAGGCGGGAAGCTTGCTTGAGCCCAGGAGTTCAAGACCAGCCTGGGCGACATGGCGAAATCCCATCTCTACAAAAAATACAAAAATCAGCAGGGCATGGTGGCACATCCCTGTAGTCCCAGCTATCGGGAGGCTGGGGTGGGTGAATCGCTTGAGCCCAGGAACTGGAGGATGCAGTGAGCCAAGATCACACCACTGCACTCCAGCCTGGGTAACAGAATGAAACCCCCTTGAAAAAAATATATATACATACAACTACTATTCAGGGCATTTGTATTTTATGTTTCAACCTAGAAGTGGGTGGAAATATGGGCATGAATAACTCAGTTTCAAGAGGTCTTCATCCAGTCACAAGATTATCTTCTCTGAAAGAGGGAAATGCACACCTACCTATATTCTTTCACTGTTGCATACACGATTTAATCTATTCTCAGTTTTAACTCCAGTGGTATACTAGGGGCAGAATATGGACTCTGGATTTAAAGCAGCTCAATTCAGAGCGATGATCTGCAAATCACCATTAACTTCATTAAAGAGTTGTTCCAAAGATTAAATAAGAAAATATAGGTAAAGCTGGGCGCGGTGGCTCACGCCTGTAATCCCAGCACTTTGGGAGGCCAAGGCAGGTGGATCACGAGGTCAGGAGATCGCGACCATCCTGGCTAACATGGTGAAATCCCGTCTCTACTAAAAAAAAACACAAAAAATTAGCCGGGCGTGGTGGCAGGCGCCTGTAGTCCCAGCCACTCGGGAGGCTGAGGCAGGAGAATGGCGTGAACCCGGG